>NC_000010.11:74120368-75370368 GCF_000001405.40 Homo sapiens | reverse complement strand
TAGCCCACTATTTTCTTAAGAAAAATTATTGTCTTGCTGGCAGATTCTTTCCTGGCCCCTGCCCTGAAGGGGTAGGGTGGCCATTCATTTGCACAAGTCTTGGTTAGGCTTCTTCATTGTCATAAAAGACAGTCAACTTAACAGTATTAGCTTAGTGTTTTTAAAATTATTATAAACGTAAATACCTACTTATTAAAATGTTACAGAAATTAACTTAGAAGGTGGAAGTCTGTTGTACTCTAACCTCCCCAAGATAACCACTTCATTTTATTTATTTATTTATTTATTTATTTATTTATTTATTTATTTTGACATGTAGTCTCGTCCAGGCCAGAGTGCAGTGGTGCAATCCTGGCTCACCTCAACCTCCACCTCCCGGGTTCAAGCGATTCTCCTGTCTCAGCCTCCCGAGTAGCTGGAACTACAGGCACACACCACCACGCAAGGCTAATTTTTATATTTTTAGTAGAGACGAGGTTTCGCCATGTTGGCCAGGCTGGTCTCGAACTCCTGGCCTCAAGTGATCTGCCCACCTCGGCCTCCCAAAGTGCTGGGATTACAGGTGTTAGCCCGGCCACCAAGATAACTACTTCATATCTATCCAGATTCTCCCTTCATATCTTACTTCTTCAGTAACACTAATATGCTTCATTCTTTTTAACAAAACTGCATTGTTTTCTCAATTAGCTTTTCAAAAACTATTTTTTAAATCTAAAAGTGTAATTGTCTGTTCTCACGCTGCTATAAAGAATTGCCTGAGACTGGGTAATTTGTAAAGGAAAGAGATTTAATTGACTTACAGTTCCACATGGCTGGGGAGGCCTCAAGAAACTTACAATCATGGTGGAAGGGGAAGAAAACATGTCCTTCTTCACATAATGGCAGGAAGGAGAAGTGTGAGAGCCGAGTGAAGGGGGAAGCCCCTTATAAAACCATCAGATCTCATGAGAACTCACTTAGTATCACGAGAACAGCATGGGGGAAACCACCCCTATGATTCAATTATCTCCACCTTGTCATACCCTTAACCCATGGGGGTTATGACAATTCAAGATGAGATTTGGGTCTGGACACAGAGCCAAACCATATCAAAAAACAATACATAATTATAGTAAGGAGGGCTTGGATAAGCTATGAAATTCTCGCTCAAAGTTAAACACTTACCAATTTTTGTGTATCCTTCTAGAAATTTTCTATACCCGTGTTTTATTATTAATTTTTGATACAAGTGAGATCATACTATACCCACTGTTTTGCAACTTGCTTTTTCCCCCCACTTAATAATGTATCTTAAACAACCTTTCCTAACAGCGTGTAAAGTCTCCCTTGTTCCTATTGATGTTTGCATAGTATCCCACTATACAGATGTGCTGTAATTGATGTATTTAAATCCAATTCTCAGTCATATGGAATACCTGCATTCCAGTCTTTGACTGAAACTATAACCTTAAACTATCCGCTGTTCAGTTTCCAATAAAAGCAGAGCTGAAAGAATCACTTTGTATGGAGAATAATTTGGAGGTCAGGTTGGAGTTAGTCCTTGCACTTTTCCAGTATTAAAGTCTCACCCCTGAATGAAACCATCCATTAGTAAACCACTTATCTGATGCATATCTCCTGGATTTCCCAGAGAGTTGGCTTTGCCAGGTCATCCATTTCCAATGCAGGGATCTCTGTGAGCCTTACCCCTGCCTTAACTATGAGGGTTTGTGGAGGATGATGCCAGGTACATGATCCACATGAGGTCATGCAAAAGAACCTTGTTTCTGCTAAGAAGGTGGTCTGCTTTTTCTTTAAAAATTGCATAACATTTGTAAGTAATCATATGTCTTATTTTCCTTCTTTGCTTTGGCCTCCAGGAAGCCCAGAGCCAAAGTTTAGTAATTACATAAGATTTATCTGCATATCTGTTTACTATTCTTTCTCCTTTCATCTTATCTGTCTATTCCTTTCTATTCCTGGATCTTTAATGTTAAAGATCTTGATTTTTTATTTTTGAACCCTTCTCTTTCTATTTTGCAGAGATTTGTTATTCTTATTGGTACCCTTGAAAATCTGCTTATTTTTTAAACTTGCAGAATGAGCTGCAGAGCATTAGAAGAATAATTGTGGAAAATGCTTTTGGGGCATACCACTTTCTGCTCAAATGCCTGCTTCTCCCCTGTATTGTTGATGCAGAGAGGTTTGAAGGGCACCATGGAGACCACAGAGCTAGATAGGGCAGTGGGTAGCCTAAGAGGAATGATTTGTAGCTCAAGGACATGGGGTCAAAATTCATTTGAGGTGCCTGAACTCCCTCCTAGTGATGTGTGGGGACATTCCAGATGCTTATCGAGGTTCAATGCCCTAACTCGAGGTTTACTGGGCCTTCCCCAAGCCCAATAAGTGGCTCTTCCTTACAGGATTACTGCTCCTGGGATCAGCTTGGAAAAAGGCAGGGCCAAGCAGGACTTGAAATGCTTTCAGAATCAGAGCCAGGAAGGACCCTTGGGTCTTCCACTAAATAAGGGGGAGGTGTGGCAGTCCCCGAACCCTGTAGGTTAGATACTGTCCTGTCACCTTATGTGAGGAATGGCTGTGATAAAATAATAACCAGGAATAGTAGGTGACCCAGTTTGAACAAAGGAGATAAGGATCGATGCTCCACAGCCACCTTCTGCTTTGTGTGTCCTTTTACTACAACATTATATATTATATGCAAATCGCTGCACAAACTTCCAAGGCCTCTTTTCATGTCAAGAGGCTTCTTTGAGCCTATATGTTATATTTTACATATCTTGGACAGTAACATTTTTCTTTTTAGCACGAAGTTGCTCAAGGTTCATCTGAGACTCTTTTAAATTGCTGCTTTCAGAGAAATAACAATGTAAAATGACACGATGATGTATGGCCCCGTCCGGCAGACCAGGGCTGCAGCAGCCACAAACGCCACCAAACCTCTGGGAATGAAGCAGTCTCCGGAGCGCCATTGTGCAATTGTCCTAACCAGATCATTTTTAATTAGTTGCAATTAATTTCAAGTGACAGCATCCTGCAATATCAAGTTAGAGAGTTTCCCGTGCGTGGGTGGGGTTGTTAGGAACAGACAGCTGGTGAGAGAGAAGCCAGAGAGGGAGGTCTCATCACAGGCTACAAGATTTTCTGGGTGGGGGGTAGAGAGACAATTTCCTGAGCTGGGGGAGGGAAATTCTTCCTAATGATGCAAAAGTTCTGATTCTTTCTGGGCTGTTTGTAGGCCCTGCTAGATGGATACTTATCATGACCTTCACACGAGGCCCTTCTGGTGGGCAAGTGTGTTTGCAATTATCTTGCTTCAGTAACACAAAGTGGTGCAGCCAGCTAACCTCTGCCTTAGTTTGGCAGAAGCAGATTCTGAGATGAGGATTTGGGAGGTGACCCTAGGAGTGGGAAGTGAATCAGGAAAGGGGAGGAGCCAGTAAGAGATATATTAAGCAAGCTAGTAGTGCGGGTACCTGGAGCTCTCTCCCATTGGGAAACTCTGGGAGACGTTGTAGAACCTACATTTCAGAGTTATCTCACCCGCGGGACGAAGGAGCTAGGATATTTACACAATGATCCTGTTGGTCACTGGTTGAGGACTGCTTCCAACCTGCCTTGTAAAGGCAGACCAAAGGCTGAAGAAAGCTCTCAAAGAACTGCAGATGCTGGTGGCTGGAATCAGGCTCGGAGCACAGACATGGTAAGGGCAAAGGCCTTGGGGCACTGTGTCTGCTACAGCCTCCAGGACCTTGTACAGTTCAAACATCCTACAATTTCCCCAGTACCCCTTGGATGTCCCTCTGAGGCACTTACATGTGGGGACACAGAGGCAGAGCGGTTAAGTGGGGTGAAGCACCCAAGTTCCCCACGCCTGATGGAGGAGAGCTGAAAAGTCAGGTCGCCTACCTTTTGGTAGCAGGCAATCACCATCCTGCCACACCATTGCTCGGGACGTGGGAACCCAGGCTACCTCTAGCCAGGCTATTATGAGCAGACGGTGTTTTTTACTCTCCAGCCAATGCTGACACTTTTGTCTCCTGTATCCCTGGCCGACATCACTAATTATTTGATCTTGGCACCCTTTCCCTGGCATCCAGATGTGGATTCAGAATCCCCAATAGGATATAGCCCACAGCTGTTATCAAGCAATGGTATATACAAAAGAGCTCAAACCTATTTGCTGCCATGGCCTAGAGGGAATATTCCTCCTAAGCACGATGTTCTCTGATCAAAATCTTTTGGGGGGCACAGATTACCTATGTAGATAACTATGTAGTGACACAGTCACTCCTTGTCACCTACTAACTGAATCTTTGCGGCCAAGGGGGTAATCTCCACTTCAAATGTACTTGCTACTCTAAACAGTGGATTTAGAACCAGGACCAGAGCACTTGACCTCCTCACTGGGGCTCCTCTGGGAAAGCGAGAGGCACGCATGCCTGCCCTGATTCCTCCCTTATGTTCCCAGAGCCACCCTTCATTGGTTAATCAGCAGGAAGGGAGTGGGAACTAATACAACTTGGCCCTTTTCTTGAAAGTAACAACAACCTAAGCAGACAGTTACTGAGCACTCACCATAGGCCGTGCACTATTCTAAGCATTTTCATATACCATATTAACTCATTTCATTTTCATAAGCCAGCAAAGTAATATTACCAACCCCATTCCAGAGGGGAGAAAGCTGAAGCACAGATAGGTTAAATAACTTGCTTAAGGTCACCCAGCTATGCAGTGGTGGGGCTAGGACATGAACTCAGGCAGTGTCTGGAACCCAGGGATGAAGTCAACCCACTATACTCCTACTGGGTTTTCTTTCATGATTCTTCTGACCTGAAATACACACACATTTAAAAATTGACTTTCCAAAAATGCAGCTTGAATCCGATCATTTCTCTTTTTTCTTTCTTTGAAAAACTGAAGTGGGGCCGGGCACGGTGGCTCACGCCTGTAATCCCAGCACTTTGGGAGGCCAAGGCAGGCGGATCACAAGGTCAGGGGTTTGAGACCAGTTTGACCAACATAGTGAAACCCCGTCTCTACTAAAAATACAAAAATTAGCCGGGTGTGGTGGCACACACCTGTAATCCCAGCTACTTAGCAGGCTGAGGCAGAGAATTGCTTGAACTCGGGAGGCAGAGGTTGCAGTGAGCTGAGATCACTCCACTGCACTCCAGCCTGGACGACAGAGCGAGACTCCGTCTCAAAGAAAAAAAAGGAAAAACTGAGATGGACTATTGCATCCATATGGGGGACCCCTAGAAATAACCCGAGACCCAGCAGTGCCTCCTTCCTTCCAGGTTCTGGGCCCATGGTCTGTCTCAGGTTAGGACACAAGGACTCTGCCTCGGGAATGCGCAGTCATCCCCCAGATATCACAAGTGCTGCTCCTAAGTGGAGCCAAGTTCCCCTTAATAACCTTTTATGGTGCTATCATCCATTAACTTACCTAAACCTGCTCTCTGAGCCTGGCCAATCTGCCCATTTACAAAGGATGCCTCTTTGCCACAGAAGTCGCTTTAAAGTCACCATCTTACCACACAAGATGTTTTTTTCATTCCTCAACATGTCCTGTCTTTGGATTTCCAATAAGCTATTTTTAAACAGTCTCAGGCTTTGGATGGTTTACTTGTTTTTCAATGATTTCCCACAAATTTTTTTTTCTAATTAGTCTTTAATTTGATGAGACTTATGAAACGTCTCTTCTAGAGTCTTGGGGCCCTCTATTTTGCCCCAGCTCTCTCAAGCTGGGTGATGGGGCTTTCTGGACTTTGTATTACTTTGCTGGGGATGCCTGTCTCTGGTTTCTGCTCCCAGGGGCCCTACCGCTGCCAGACTTGTGTATTTCAGATTAGCACACCAAGCTAGTGTCCTTTTCTCCAGGGCCTGGTCAGGGCCATGAACAGTGACCACCTCAAGGCTGTCCTTAGAGAGCTTTCATGTTTCTTGGGACACAGTTGACATGATTGTCCCTGAGATGATCAAGGAAAAAAAAATAGAAAGTAGGCATAATGAAGTACTTCATTTCAGGGAGGAAGGAAAGCAGGCTTTGGGTGGGAGTGTGGGGTAAAAGTGGTCAGAAGAGGCTTCCTAGAGATGTTGAGGCTGGAATTCTCTGGCTTCAGCACCCAGTCCATCAGACCCACAGCTTTCTTTTATTACCAAGTTTGTTGTCATGCCCCATTTACTATCTCAGAATGGAAAGCAGAGATAACATAAGCAACCTACCCATGGAATTTTTTAAAAAGTCAATATATTGACCCACCTGTAAGATAAAGGAGAAATCAAAGGAAAGTCAGTTATAATAAAATATGTATTTCAATATGTAAATGCTCAGGAATAATGAAAAAGTGGAATGCTTGCACCTAAAGACAAACCCTCCCAGTGGGACTGTAGTCAGTGCCACCTGCCATGGAGCAGCATCCTGGTGACTTAAGGGCCACAGTATGGCTGCATGAATGGTGGTTTCTGAAATGGTACACAACTCTTGGTAAGGATCTGTGCAGAACAGAGGACAATTTCCTTCTCAATTGTCACAAAAGTTGCAATCCTAGAAAATCCAGTGTATATTAGAGCCATGCAACAATACTCAGTGCTTATATGTAAAACAGCTAGGTTTAGAGCTCTGGTCACTGTAAACAGGTTTTTCCACTGGGATGACTGTCAAACTTAGGACCTCTCTGATGGTTGTGCAGGTTGTGCACTGCACAGCCATTTACTTCATCATGGAAATGAATAGTGCCCCCTAGGGCTGTGGAGTACACAGCGACCTGGGTGGGCATTTCAAAAGTTGTATGGAATGCGGGAGAATTATTTGCTGGGCGAGACTGTCCTGAACATTGCAGGATCCAGACAGCACACACACATATGCCAAATGCCAGCATTTCCACGTGGATAAACAGAGACAGAAGGGTTAAGTAACTGGTCACTTCCTGGCCATGGCTTTGAGCAAAAGAGGTGGGGGGCATCTCCGGTCTCTGAGAAGGATGCTCCTGGACCCCACAGAGAATCACAACAACTCACAAGAGGACATTCTCCAAGGCCTGGCCACAGGGACTGCTCGAGCCAAGTCAGCTGATGACAAGAAAGACCCACAATACAGCCCCAGAGGTCTGCTCAGCTCCATCCTGGGCCTGTCTCCCGGGCTGGGGGCTGTGACTAAGCCTAGCTGTGGGGTAAAGGTGGACTGGAGCCTCCTCTTCTGGGCTGCTGGGCTTCCATAGCTGGCAGGACTGGCAAAGCAATTCCTTAAGAGGGAAGGGAGAAGTGTGTGTGTGTGTGTGTGTGTGTATGCATGCATGCACACACACACCCATGCCCACACACAGACTCCTGCCACCTCCGCTGCTGTCTAATAGGAGGGCTGACACTTAAACCCTTCCTTGCAGCTTTCACACCCAGGGGTGGGGACTTGGCCAAGGCTGGGGTGGGGGTAGAAGTAGAATGAGAGATTGAAGAGGGGGAACTGAGATTTCATTCCGGCCATTTTGAACAAGACCAGGTAGGAAGGAAGGAACGGGGAGCCTCGATTCCCAGCTGAAGCTGAGCAGTGGTTCCCCCACCCTCGCACAGGGCCTGACTCTAATGTCTTCTGATGGGACAAATTGGTGAGCACAACTATTAGCTGAGTGACATCAAAAGGCATTAATCTCTGGTTCCTGAGCAAGACCAGCACCACATTAGTGCCTCATACCCAGTCATTATTAAGACTTTAGCCCAAGGGTGTAATAAATGTTTTATGGCATGCAAACCAAGGTAATGGAATGCAAATCCCATAATATAGCCATACATTTATTTTCTAATGGAGCAAATGATGATGTATTTTATCTGAGAAGAGCTGCCTGATAGGGTCTGCTTGGGAAATTCGAAGTTAGAGACCCAAAGGGTGAGTGGGTGGCCCTGCTCTGGTGTGGGCTGGGGGTGAGCAAGGGTGGCAGTCACGGTGGGACTTCCCAGAAATGGTCAAGCCTTCATACACACAAACCTTTTGGACAAGCCCATCACCCTTGCTCTAGGTCCCCCAAGTACCGCCCCCCTTTTGGGGCATATACGGAACATTCTGAGGCTTAATTAAAACCCCTTTGCAGAGTGCCCCCCTCCCAGGATCCCCCACCCCTAACCAGAGCTGCATACCAATAAGCTACTCAGACAATATGAATTGGCTTTCCCAAAATATGGCCGCATTAAGGTGCAAAATGTTAATGGATGGAAGGGCGCAGGGCTATTTCTCCAGTGAAGTTAGGGCTTTGCATTGGTGCTGTTTTTATTAAGAAGCCAACACTGTTCAGTTGCAGCCCTGGGGCTGGTAGGGAAGCTGGGCTAACTAGCTGCAGCCACTGCAGCCTTGGGAAGGGCTTTGGTTGACCCAATGCCCCAGGTTTTTCTGGCTGCTGCCTCCCCAAAAACAGCTTTCTGATTATTCCAGTTGTCCAAAAAGTGTATGGGCTCCCTTTTAAAGTCAGAGGGGCTCTTCCTTCCCAGGAACCCCTTTAGTGACCTCTCTTTTGTCCTTCCCACGCCCAGGCACACAGCACCCACCTGGGCAGCTATCAGGCTCATGGGCCTTATACTGATGTCCAGAGACCTACTCTGTACCTAGATTTATGGGGGCATCAAGAAATCTAAGACCTGTCCCTACCTTCAAGGTCCTGATGATGTAACTAGGGAAAAAGACACACATCTGAAAAGAAATTAACAATGTAAATGATTTAATGGTCACCTGAGTGGTGTATTTGAGGAGTACAGGTTTCCTTGTAGGATTTTTTTTTTAAGGCATCCATTGAGAAAAAAGAAATGAACACTATCAGAGAAGAATCCTGATGGAGATACTGTTTTGGGCTAGAGGTATTGAAGACCCCTTAAGATAAAAAATGCATGACTTGGCTCTTCCCTCAGAGAGCTCATACTAGGTGTTCAATTCACATTGGTTTCTGAATGGCTTGAAAACAATGATATCCATTCTCAGAGGGCTGAGACTGGATCTAGAATTGGCACTTCAATGCTTGGCAGTACTTTTGATCTTCTAATATGCCCTCTTGTTTTCCAGAACAATATTGACAACGATAATTCATTGAAAATTTACATCAGACCCTGTGCTAAGCCTGCATTATTTTACTGAATTTTAAAACAACACTAAGAGGAAAGTACCTTTATGATTCTATTGAGAGATGACAGAAGAAACTAAGTCTCAGAGTGAGTCTTACCCAACTTAGTAAGAGCTGGGATTATAACTGGACCTCCCTGCCTGCAAAGCCCATCCTATATTGTCTGCCTCTCCAAATCACAGTAACAGGGGTCAGAGGAGTAAAACATTGTATTCAAGGACACAGAGCCTCTGGCTTCAGGCCCTGCTGTCTCCTGCACCACAGTGAGCAGCTCTTGGTTTTTTGTGTGTATTATCCCAGGAGAGGTCTCCCCACACCCAAGGGCCTGTCTCTCTCTCTACCTTCAACTAGTCTGAGGCCAGGAAGAATATCTTCTCACTCTAAGGTATGTCAAATCATGGTTGAACACAACTAAGATCTTAATAACAGTAAATTCATTGACCCAAATGGATTCTGAGCCTAATTTGAAGATTCTCCATGGATTTGATTTCTCTGTGCTTGGATGCTGTAGGTTGATTGCCCTTGAAGAATAGTTAGGCTGGGATGAGTTACTTGTTGGGTTCTTCTCCGGTTTGACCTGGTAAAGCTTCAGAACAGGCCTCTATAGAACATTACCTTCCAAAGTCTAGAGAATGGGCCAAGCCCACCTGTGGGGGAAGAAAGACAGTAGCAATCAACTCTGAATTCTTCAGGCTGGGTTCAGGGACAGATAGGGGTGGACTTCCAGCAGCCTAAGCAGGGCCAGGAATAGGGAGAGGAGAGAGGCACCTGGGGTACAAAATGTAAGGAGGCACCCACTCTCAGAGTCGCACAAGTGCAAACCTGAAAAACAAGGGCCCCCAGGCCGGTCACGGTGGCTCACGCCTGTAATCCCAGCACTTTGGGAGGCCGAGATGGGTGGATCACGAGGTCAAGAGATCGAGACCATCCTGGCTAACACGGCGAAACCCCATCTCTACTAAAAAAAATACAAAAAAACATTAGCCAGGCGTGGTGGCGGGCGCCTGTAGTCCCAGCTACTAGGGAGGCTGAGGGAGGAGAGTGGCGTGAATCCAGGAGGCAGAGCTTGCAGTGAGCGGAGATCGAGCCACTGCACTCCAGCCTGGGTGACAGAGCGAGATTCTGTCTCAAAAAAAAAAAAAAAAAAAAAAAAGAAACCTTTGGCAGCCATCCAACATCCTTAACCATCTTTTCCTTTCCATTTCTCAGCTCTGCGTTCCTTGATATTCTGCTTGGGCACAGACTAGCTGAAGGGAGACAGAGAGTCTCTTGGGCCTGGGTAATAAACACACCTAAAAACCAAGAGCTTCTCATTGCAGGGCAGGAGACAATAGGGGCCTGAAGTCAGAGGCTGTCCCTCGGGAGCAAATGAAGTGATTGGCTTCACTCTCAGGTTCCTGAAGCCTCTCCCAGGTGAAGACAAGAGGGTTACTAGCAGCTCCAGGCTTACTTCTGGCCAGTCCCAGGGGAAAAAGAGAGCTCCTCCTTCCCAGGAGCTGCAGCAATAGCTTTCACTGGCCCAGCCCAAGTCTAATGCCCATGGCTGAAATGATCACTGTGGCTGGGGACTAACCTGCCCTGAATGGTTAGCTCTACTCATGGGCTGACTCCTGGGGACCCCAGACATTCAACCACATTTGGAACCACATAGATTTAGTGAAGATGTGGGTTCTCCAAAGGAGAATCTGGTTGCTCTTGTAGGAGGGATGGGTGCTGAACAGGCAAACTCAAGAGCAGTCAACTCAACAGCCGGAGATGCTTCTAAAACTCTGGCTTCTCTGGAGGCCCACAGGACTCTTGCCCAAATCTGCGTTATTTGTGGGCCTCCTCTGTAGGCTTTCCTAAGGCATGAAATGCTTAAAATGCTTCTTGCTCATCTTTAGCCACCTAACCCTCTTCCCTAAGGCTCTGGCCAATGACTTGTGCATTACAGTCACTCAGGAAGAATTTGCTGATGTTATGAAAGAATGAATGAGGAACTGTGCTGGGGCTGGGCCCAAAACTTTTATTAACTGCAGGGTTAAAAGCTATCGAGGGTCAGGGGCACCACAAAGGGGCAGAGGGAGTGAGTCAATTAACACCTGCCTTTTTATTTCCAAATCGAATTGTTGCATGAGGTTTGGGGATGATGTAACCACTCTGCAGTGTTGGGGCAGGATTTATGAGCTAGGGTATGTGGAGCAATGGTCTGAGCAGGCAGCTGGTGAGAGGCACTTACCCTGACTGCCCTCACTTGGAATCCTCCCGAAAATAATAGCTGTATGATATGAAGGCATCTTGGCAGAAGGACCGCTGCACCCAGGGTGGACCGGAGCTGAATCACTTTTTCCTGGGTTGGTATGGAAGGGTGTCCAGCTCAGGCATGGCTTCGTGTTGGGAGGGGAAAGGAGTGGGAATGTGGCAGGGTGGAGAATGAAGGGGCAGGCAGGATAGCATGTTAGCGCAGCCTTAGGGCCCGGGAATGGGGACATGCGCCATTGGAGTCATCCTAGGTTGAGTAGGGACTGGCATTAGCTAACACAGGGAGTCCATTTGTTAAAATCCATTCATTGTCTCCTACCTGAGAGGAGCAGGATTAACCTCTGCTGGAAGTTTCTGGGAATGTGGTTGGCACTGTACGAACTCGCTCACCACTCCATGGCCTGCTGTAGGGCTCGGGAGGGAGGAAGGAAGGCAGGCCTCCCCTCCTGCCTTTCCCACCAGTGCTTGGGTCCAAACAATGAATTTTCGACTGGGTCATTAAATGCTGATTAAAGTACTGGAGAAAAGAACAAAAGAAAAAACCAACATCAAGTGTTGTATGTACATACACGCTCTCACCCCAGGCCCCCCTTTCCCTTTCTCAAGCTGCCTCAAAGTTCGTTCCAACCCTCCATTGGAAATGCTATAAAAGGCCAGGTTAATTAAGTCCTATATATTACCAGCACAAACACTTCCAACTTTATTCCGGTGGCTCGGTGAGTGAGGAGGAGGCCGGGCAAGGTCCAGGCAGCTCAGGGTAATAAAACAGAAGACTCAATTACCTTGTACATTTGCAGTTTTATAAAATCATTTAAAGTTCTGCCAATGAAAAGCACAGTGGAGAGGCACTGGAATTCTGACATCCAGCAAAAGCTTAGGGAACCAGGATTCCCTTAGAGTTGTCACAGATAGCAAAGTCATCCTGGCCATCTCCCTCTTCCCTGGGCAGGAAAGTTCTCTCCATAGAGTGGCCCACGGCAAAATATGGAGGAAGGAAAAAAGGAAAGGGACTCTCCAATGGTGCACTGAGCACCCACTGGGTCTGGAGGGCTGTGCTAGTGCCTTACATAACTCACTGGGGTAGGTATTATCCCCATTTCCAGATGAGGAGACTCAGGCTGCAGAATGAGTCTTTGGTGTCTAACCAAGAGAGACCCAACACCCAGAGCCTGTGCGCCTCGCCTGTTATATTCCAATTCCTGCCCCTCCCTTTAAGCTACCAGGCCTGCTAGCTGCATATCATGGCCCAATATTAGAGGACAGTCTCTGGAGCCCATGGGCCTGGATTCAAATCCCAATTCTACCACATCTTAGCTGTGTGCTCTTGGGCAAATTACTTAACATCTCTGGGCCTTAGAGAAATTACTTTCCTCATTTGCGCCATTCAATCTGCTAACAATGCCATCAGAAAGGTACTAATATCATTTTCACAATGCTGCATAAAATGCTTGGAGTCCAGAATATGATATATATTGGTTATTATTGTGATTAGTTATTTTCTTTCTTTTTGAGACAGAGTCTCGCTCTGTTGCCCAGGCTGGAATGCAGTGATGCCATCGTGGCTCTCTGTAGCCCCAACCTCCTGGGCTCAAGCAATCCTCCCACTTCAACCTCCCGAGTAGCTGGGACAACAGGCATGCACCACCATGCCCAGCTAATTTTTTTTTTTTTTGTAAAGATGGAGCCTCACTATGTTTCCTAAACTAATCTTGAACTCCTAGGCTCAAGCAGTCCTCAAAGCTCTGCCCCCCAAAGTGTTGGAATTACAGGTGTAAGCTACTGTGCCCGGCCCTATTGTGATTATGATGCTAGCTATACCTCTACTTGTCTTGACCCACTCATTCTGCTTTCCAGTATAATAGCCAGTGAACCAGCTATACAAACCATGCTCCTGTGCTTAAAAAAAAAAGGGGTTAGAGGAGTTCTCCCAACTTCTTTCTCTATACCACAGTGACCTAATTCACACACAGATTCTCCCATTTCCAAGTCTTACGGAAGGGCAGGAATCTATTTCCAATTGAGGAACCCTGTTTTTTCTTGTGGGATGAACAAAAACAAGAGCTATATATAAATAAAAAAACAACTTGTTTTCTTCTTCAATAAATAGAAACTGTTCGACACGCCTACACCTTGAGAAATGGGAGTAAAAACCTTCCATTCAACAGCAGCCTCCCGGGGGAGGAGTTATTCTCTGGGCTATAGCCACAGTGACCCAGAGCAATGTTTCCCAGGAGGCTGGAGAGAATTAAGCCCAAAGTTCTCTCATCTTGATAAAATCTGTCAGGGCCTCAATGGGAGAACCTGGGTGGGGCTGGGGCTGAAAGGCAATGCAGCTATGGACCACCAGGGGCATGAGGGGATAGCAGCTGGCACACGGTAGACTCTGACACTTGTGCTGACTGAATGAATGATGTTCTTACACCCTGAGCACCTCCCAGACCCTCTCACGTGGAGAGCTTCCTCTGAGCTAGGCAGATGAGCTACGTGATGTTTTCTTAAAAGATTCACTGTAGGCTGGGGGCGGTGGCTCACGCCTGTAATCCCAGCACTTTGGGAGGCTGAGGCAGGCGGATCACGAGGTCAGGAGATCGAGACCATCCTGGCTAACATGGTGAAACCACATCTCTACTAAAAATACAAAAAATTAGCCAGGCTGGTGGCAGGTGCGTGTAGTCCCAGCTACTTGGGAGGCTGAGGCAGGAGAATGGCGTGAACCTGAAAGGCAGAGCTTGCAGTAAGCTGAGATTGCGCCACTGCACTCCAGCCTGGGCGACAGAGTGAGACTCCATCTCAAAAAAATAAATACATAAAATTTTAAAAAAGGTTCACTATAGTATCTCCAGTGCCACCCCCTTTTCTAGAATCTTGACATCCCCACTCCTTGAAATTGGGCAGAACTTGCAAATGAAACGTAGCAGATGTGATGCTGCACTACTGGCAAAGCTAAATCCTAAGAGGTAATGTGGCTTTCACTTGTCACTCTCTCCTGGGAACCTGGCTGCCATACTGTGAGGAAGCTCAAGCTATCTGGAGAGGCCACACACAAGATATTCTGGCCCAGAGTCCCATCTAAGGTCTCAGCTGACAGCCAGCCCCATCCACCAGACACATGAGTGAACAAGCCTTCTGATGATGCCAGCCCACAAAAGTTGAGTCACCTTCAGCCTTCGAATCTTCCAGCTGAGGCCCATATGCTGTGGAGCAGAGACAAAGCTTCCCTGCTGTACCCCATCTGAATTCCAGACCCATAGAACCTATAAACATAATAAATGGTTGTTTTACACCACTAAATTTGGGGTAATTTCTAACCCAGCAATACATAACCAGGATAGCCAAATGTACCTTTCAATGCCAGGTTCAGTTCTGGGGACAGCTGTGTAAGAAGATCATTGACCAACTGAAGAAATTCCCAAGCACTGTTATCAGGGGAGAGGGGCCTGGAACTCTGACCTAGATGTTGATGGCTAGATGGGAGTGGAGGGTGGGGAGGACTCAGTCATGACCCTCCTATTCCTGAGAGATGAGTAGCCTTGTTCTGGGGCAGCAGGGAGGTATCGTGGGAAGAGAACAGGCTTCAGACAGGGATCCTAGTGTCTCTCTTGCAGGACACTTGCGCAGATTAAATAAGTGGCAAGCTTGATGCAAGGACTCTGAATAAATAATATCATGAAAGGTCTTTCGATTACCCATTCCAATCTGCAAATAAATAGGAGGTTTTTATTTTAAAAAGAAAAAAAGGTGCTGTAGGTTGTCGCCTCTGATTTAAGGAGGGGAAGGAAGATTAAAACCTAACTCTCCTTGTCTCAAGGTTTTAACGTGTAGAAAATAGGCATAAGGAGGAGGATGTGGATTGAAGCTTTGGCTTCACGAATAGCAGCAGATGGCTGGGCACCGTGGCTCATGCCTGTAATCCCAGCACTTTGGGGGGCCAAGGCGGGCAAATCATTTGAGGTCAGGAGTTTGAGACCAACCTGACCAACATGGCGGAACCCTGTCTCTACTAAAAATACAAAAAAAAAAGTTAGCTGGGCGTGGTGGCACATGCCTGTAGTCCCAGCTGCTTGGGAGGCTGAGGCAGGCTTGAACCTGGGAGGCAGAGGTTGCAGTGAGCCGAGATCGTGCCCCTGCACTCCAGCCTGGGCGATAGAGTGAGACTCCATCTCAAAAAAACAAAACAAAACAAAACAAAAATGAAGCACAGCAGATGCCCAATAACAACAAAGGAAGGGCAGCTATTGGAACCTGGCATTCTCTGTGCAGCGATCTTTCATTCAAGATTCAAGTTTTTTTTTGTTTGTTTGTTTTGTTTTGTTTTAAGAGACAGGGTCTTGCTCTGTCTCCCAGACTGGAGTGCACTGGCATGATCATAACTTACTGCTGCCTCAACCTCCTGGGCTCAAGTGATCCTCCCACCTCAGCCTGGGACTGGGACTATAGGCATGTGCCACAATGCCTAGCCAATTTTTTTTTTTATTTTGTAGAGATAGGATCCTACTATACTGTGCGGGCTGGTCTTGGACTCCTGGCCTCAAGCAATCCTCCTGCCTCAGCCTCCCAAAGTGCTAGGATTATAGGCGTGACCTACCAAGCCCAGCAAGATTCAAGTTCTTTCATCGTTATAGGATTATTCAGGCTTTCTATTCTTTTGTCAGTTTTGGTAATCTATGTTTTTCTACGACTTTGTCCATTTTGTCTAAATTTTCACGTTTATTGGCATAATGTTGCCCAACTGCCTTTTTAATCAACCAGGAAGTTCCCTCTTTGATCAAACCTCCAAAATTGTGTTGTGGGGTAACCCCATGTTCTCTTGTCTAGTGGCCATGGAGGTAGTGGTTTTGCCACCACCACTTGCAGCCACCTGCTGCATTTTCCTGGGCTTCCCAAGGGAGAGTGGAGAATGCATTCTGAGCATCAGCAAGTTAGAACTGCTGTTCACCCAGAAAGTTCAAGGAAAAGCCAAATCCCTTCCTAGCACAGACTCCTGAAGACAGCTCAAATGTGCCACTGGATGATTAGGGTTTGGGTCTGACCAAGCCATCTTCCCTACCCCACTTTCAGCAAGTAGCTCCTTTCCTCCTTGCCGATTTCCCAAGCTGAGCCAACGCTGAGCTCACTTTGGCAGCAGTGGTCATGCGTGTTCCACTCTCGCATCTATTGCTTATTTATTCTCCACTGAGGACAAGCAGCATCTAGCAGGCTGGGATCTTGGGGTGAGAGGAGAGCTTATGGGGTAGCAAGGGGTTATCTGTTTATCCCAGAGTGATCTCCCATTTGCTCATGCTGAAGTGAGGATGGACAGGTGTCACCTTAGCAATGGTTCAGTGAGCTGCCCGTTTGGGAGGTACCCTGCTGTTTGCCTTTTCCAGGGGAGCCCCTCCCTTCTTGACAGTTTCAGAAAAACTGCAAAGGATGGGACTGGTGGGTGGTTCTACCGAGCCCTGGCTTTTTGGGGAGTCCCTGGCTTGCAGTCTTCAGACTCCACCTGCCTCCTCAGTTGGGTTTTCCCTGGCACCCGCCCTGAGCTCTGCCTCCTTCCGAGGGTGGCTGCCCTGAGGGTCCTGGCCGCACTGCCCTCCATCTGGCTGCTCAGCTGAGGAGAGCAGAGGACACAAGCAGCTGCTGTGCTGTCTGCCAGGGTCAAAGGTCTCCGCAGGGTCAGCCAGGAATTGGCCGCTCAGCCAGCACTGGAACCTGATGCTCTGGGGGATGAGTGAGAGCCTGGGTGGGCACTGAAGGGGTTAAAAGAACGTGGTGGAAGATGGGAGAATGGAGGCACACGGCACTGCTGGAAAAAAGCTAGCCCTGTGCATGGATAATTAGAACTGAACATCAGTAAACAATGCCTTTTCCCCTCATTAAGGACAAATCTGTACGTATAATGTGCCTATTTTCTCTTTCATTAACTTATAAATGGCCTCTACTTTAAAGCCATTTAACCAGCAGTTTTGACTTGCCCGTCAACTCAGGGTCTGACGTGTTTTCTCCCCTCCTACGAGGACAGAGGTGCCCCCCCTCGGGACACAGCTCCCATGGGGAGAGGTTGTGTGGGTGCTCCTCTAGAACACCCCCTACAGAACTGTAGCAGTTTCCAGAAGGCAGTGCAGACAGGCGTGGCTGGGGGAGGCGGAGGCCTGGCTCCCATGTGGTCCTTCTGCCCTAGGCCCAGGCAGCCCCTCCTGGTCCATCCCGTACTCTCAGCTGTCCTTGATGACTCACTCACTCTCATGCTCTGAATTGCTTTGTCTGTGCCCTTGAGTTATTGAGTTATTAGAGGACCTTGAGTTATTAAAGGACCTTGACTCTTCTTTAAATAGGGAGGCCATGAGAATGTGCCCAATCTGCAAGCATTCTTCAAGATGGCCAGCAACAAGCTGGGACCAGAGATCCCAAAAGTAAGATAATACGCCTGCATTCAGGCAGCTCAGTCCAGCCAAGACCAGCACGCATTCATACATAGGGAAGTGGTGCCTGAAGAGAGGCTCACGTCAAGTGGAAGTCTTCACCGAACCTTGGGATGGCTTTCCAGATGACAGTGTGTTTCCTCCATCAGCCTGGAAACTTCCTGAGAATTGATATCAAATCAAGTCTCCCTCATCAGGCGAGGTGCTTCAGAGGATATTGACTAGGCCCTTCCCAACAGGCTAGGAGATCTTCTGGGGAAAAAGACCAGGTCTCTAGAGGCCAGGGTTAGGAACTATTGCTCCTATCAGATTGAAAATCCCATGAGGCAGAGATCTATCCGAGGGCAGGGCCTTGCCTCTCTGTCCTTTGCTGGGTAGCCCTCCCAGGACCCTGCATAAAGACAAAGCCTGGCCCCTACAGCAGCCCCTTTGCATCTCTGCCTCCTTTTGGGGGCTCCAAATGTGCCCCAAACTTGTGCCAGGGCTTGGGAAGATGGGTTAGTGACAAATGGGGAGAAGGACAATCCCTGCTCTCTGGAGCACCCATAGGCATTTCAATATTGGAGTGGCACTAATCCACACAGAGCAATGGCGAGAGAGGGAAGGGGACTAGAATGAACACTTAGGGAGTGCTCACCTTGTGGCGGCAAGGGGCATGCACATGACCTGTTCTGTTATTCAACCTATAAACTCATAATCCTGGGAGGTGGATAATATTTCCCCATTTGTAAAATGGGGAAGAACTGGAGGCCCAGAGAGGTAAAGCAATTCACTGAAAGTCACACAGCCAGTTGGTGGTGGAACTAGGAATCAAACAGTCTGTCCCGTTCTAAAGTCCAGGCTCTTTCCACTGTATCCAAATGCCACCTTGGATAAGTAAAAGAGGCTCATGAATAGTAGAGGGAAGGGAAGATGAGGAATAAAGAGTAAGAATGGAGGAGTTGACTCTCCTGGGAGCCTCTGCTAAACCTCAACTGCAGGAAAGATTTGGAGAGGCCAAAGACCTTCTGAGGATCTTCTGATGGTGAAGCTGGGGAGAGTCCCACTTCTGAACCCCATCTGTATCTTCCCTGGGTATGAAAAGTGGAGAGTCCTCAGCCCCAGTGAGGGACCATGTGCATAAATTCAGTTGTGCC
Organism: Homo sapiens; assembly: GCF_000001405.40. Classification (NCBI taxonomy): domain Eukaryota; kingdom Metazoa; phylum Chordata; class Mammalia; order Primates; family Hominidae; genus Homo; species Homo sapiens. The sequence goes on along the minus strand of NC_000010.11, from coordinate 75,351,489 downwards.
TCAAAAATGCCACCTCCTGGCTGGGCATGGTGACTCACACCGGTAATCCCAGCACTTTGGGAGGCCGAGATGGGCAGATCACTGAAGGTCGGGAGTTTGAAACCAGCCTGGCCAACATGGTGAAACCCCGTCTCTACTAAAAATACAAAAATTAGCCGGGTGTGGTGGTGCATGCCTGTAATCCCAGCTACTCAGGAGGCTGAGGCACAAGAATCGCTTGAACCTGGGAGGCAGAGGTTGCAGGAGCTAAGATCACGCCATTGCACTCCACCCTTGGTGACAGGGGGAGACTCCATCTCAAAAAAGAAAAAAAAATTGCCACCTCCTGATAATAGTTTAACATTAGGCTGACTTCTGATGGATACTAGGTTGTTCCACTGTTGAGATAAGATCCCCATCATCATGATCATTAGCACTGTTAATCATTCCAAAGAATTGGAAACAACCTGAATACCCATCCACAAGAGGATGTAGATGACTCATCTGTGGAATATGTAGAATGCTATACAGCATGCATTGCTCAAAGAAATGAAGTAGCCCCATGTGGCAGGACATGGCTAAATCTCCAAGACATACTGCTGAGTGAAAAAAGACACCTTACGTGTGATATTATTTATGTAAAAAGAAAAAGTGCCAGGCTGGACGCGGTGGCTCATGCCTGTAATCCTAGCACTTTGGGAAGCTGAGGCGGGAGGATTACTTGTGGCCAGGAGTTCAAGACTAGCCTGGGCAACATAGTGAAACCCTGTCTCTAGAGAAAAGAAAAACAAAAAAAACAGCCAGTCCTGGTGGTGTGGGCTTACAGTCCCAGCTACTTAGCAGGCTGAGGCAGGAGGATTGCTTGAGCCCAGGAGCTCCAGATTACAGTGAGCTATGATCATACCACCACACTCCAGCCTGCGACAGAGTACCTGTCTCAAAAAAACAAGGAAAACAGAAATGGCCAAAGCACTTTCAATGGATACATATTGTACTTAAAGGGTCTGCAAAATACACATCAAGCTGATAACAGTGGTTACCTCTGATTGGGGGTGGTTGTAACCAGATGGGAGGATCAAAGGGGACTTCAGGTTTCACACGGTGACCACCTGTCCAGGTTTGCCCAGGATGGCTTCTGCTTTCTCTGTTGCTGGTGAAACTAACAACAGCACTGCCTTTCACTCCCCAAAGTGTTCAGTTTCAGTGATAAATTATATAGACCCTACTTATCTGCAATGTTTAATTTTTTACACTAAGAATGTATTAATTTATCACTTATGTCATGTCTAATAATGCATAAGGTAGAAGGTAAAGTCCTCCTCCAGCCCTCCAGGCTCCCAGCCCCATTCCTCAGAGGTGAATATTGGTAACAGTTTTCTAGTGTCCTTCCTGAAACTGTAAATCCATATATAACCACATAAGCTTCAAAAGGAGAAAGAGAAATACGTGATTATGCAGTATGCACTGTTCTAAAACTTGCTCTTTTCACTTAATGTTGTCTATATCAGGATCATCAGGCAAACCTAATTCACTAGATCCTCAGGGCCCACCAACTGAGGTGCAGATTCAGTGGGTTGGCAGCAGGGCCCACAGATGTATATTTCCGACAGGCTTTCTGGGTGACTCTGGTGACACTGGTCCATGGACTCCATGTTAACTTTTGTCCACAGAACAAACATTCATTTTTTTTGTTCAATAAACAATTTGGACCCTGGTTCTGGGTTTGGCCCTGGATAAGCTTGGCACTCTGCAGAGAACAGAGTGGAGGCCCTGCCTCCAGGCACAGCCTCAGGTCTTCTTCCAGTGGTACCAGCCGTCACTGGCAGTAGTGATTGCCACTACAGTAGTCGGCTGCAATGGTTATGGGCATGGGCATTGGAGTCAGACAGACCTAATCCCGGCCTGTCCTCTTTCTATGTGACTTTGGGAAAAGTACTTAGCCACTCCCTGCCTCTGTTACCTCATCTGCAAAATGGACACAATAATCCCCACATCACATGACGGACACTCAATAAGTTGCAGCCACTATTATTAATAATACATTAATTATAAGTAATAAATAAGATTAACATTAAAACTCATGTGGCATTCTTGCCGAAAATGTCTAAATTGAGTTCAATCATGAAGAAACAGACAAATCCAAACTCAAAGACATTCCCCAAAACTGGCCTATACTCTTCAAAAATGTCAATGTCATAAAAGATTTTTTGTAAATGTAGAACTGTTCTACATTAAAAAAGACTGAAGAGACATCCAACTAAATGCAAAGTGTGTCCGAAGATTGGATTATTGATTTTAAAAATACATATATCCATAAAGAACATTATTGGGATAACTGGGGAGATGTGAATATAAACTTATGTTACATTGTAGCAAGGTTAAATTTCTTGAGTGTGGTAATTGCACTTTGCAAATGCCCTTGTTCTTAGGAGATGTGAAATATTTAGAAATAAGGTGTCATAATGTCTACAAGTAACTCACAAATGATTCAAAAAATGTGTAGTGGTGGGAGAGAAAAAAGAGAAACAGGAAGGGAGAGAGAGAGAGAGAGTATATAGCAAAACGTTAACGACTGGTATATTAGGTGAATATATAGGTGATCTTAGTCTAGCCTTCCAATTTATTTTATAGATTTGCAATTTTAAAAATTAAAAAATTAGGAAAAGTGAAATCTAATGGTTTTAAAAAGTAATAGGGGCGGCCGGGTGCGGTGGCTCACGCCTGTAATCCCAGCACTTTGGGAGGCTGAGGCGGGCGGATCACGAGGTCAGGAGATGGAGACCATCCTGGCTAACACAGTGAAACCCCGTCTCTACTAAAAATACAAAAAAATTAGCCGGGCGTGGTGGCAGGCACCTGTAGTCCCAGCTGCTGGGGAGGCTGAGGCAGGAGAATGGTGTGAACCCGGGAGGCAGAGCTTGCAGTGAGCTGAGATTGTGCCACTGCATTCCAGCCTGGGCAACAGAACAAGACTCTGTCTCAAAAAAAAAAAAAAAAAAAAAATAGTAATAGGGGCCAGGCGTGGTGGCTCACGCCTGTAATCCTAACACTTTGGGAGACCGAGGTGGGCAGATCACTTGAGGTCAGAAGATCAAGACCAGCCTGGTCAACACGGTGAAACCTTGTCTCTCCAAAAATTTCAAAAATTAGGCCAGGCACGGTGGCCCATGTCTGTAATCCCAGCACTTTGGGAGGCTGAGAAAGGCGGATCACTTGAGGTCAGGCGTTCAAGACCAGCCTGCCAATATGGTGAAACCCCATCTCTACTAAAAATATAAAAATTAGCCAGGCGTGGTGGCACATGACTGTAATCCCAGCTATTGGGGAGGCTGAAGCAGGAGAATCACTTGAACCTGGGAGGTAGAGGTTGCAGTGAGCCGAGATTGTGCCACTGCACTCCAGCCTGGATGATAGAGCAAGACTGTCTCAAAAAAAACAAAAAAAAGAAAAGAAAACAAAAATTAGCCAGGTGTGGTGGCGGGTGCCTGTAATCCCAGCTATTCAGAGGCTGAGGCAAGAGAATCACTTGAACCCGGGAGGTGGAGGTTGCAGTGAGCCGAGATCATGCCACAGCACTCCACTGCACTCGAGATGGGACAGAGGAAGACTCCATCTCAAAAATAATAACAGGCAAGGTAGTGGTGAATTTGGGAAGAAGGGAGTAACTGGGTGGGGAGCTCGCTGGGGACTTCCAGGATGTCCTATTTCTTGATCTCATTATTTGGGAGGACTTTTAAGGTGGGAACCTATTATTTCTCCTCTTTTGTGTATGTATGTTAGGTGTCAACAAAAAGCTTTTTTAGAATAATCATCATCATAAACCATCCTTCACAATATCCTATTGTCTGATCTCTGTCTGGAAATGTGAGACAGGCTCCGAGGGAGAGAAGGCTGGGGCTGGGCCCCCCATTTTGACTGCAGTGCCATCTCAGGGAAGGGCAATGAGGCCTGAGTTAAGGACAGCCTGCCCCCTAGGCTGGCCCCTTGGGGAGGATGCAGGCTGCTTCCAGGAGGTGCCCTATGCCACCCCTCAGAGCCATGCCTGAGTTCTGCTGCCAGCCCCTCCGGCAGGAGGTTGGCCTTGACTCCACACTTCTCGGGCTTCCGCGTTCTCCTCTCGTCAGCCCTGCGGGCCCAGATGGATGTGGGATTAATGAGGCATGTCTTCTTGTGTGAGAAATAAGTCGAGGGGTCACATTTTCCTCTCCTTCATTGTTTTCCTATGTACTTGATCTGATCTGCTTCACTAGCTGGAGACATGAACATAGTCACATCTCTGTATTTTGCAAATTAATTGCCGGAGTCCTCACTTGCCTCAATTAACAGGCATGATAGCAATTGCTAACACTTACATGGAGCTTACTACATGCCATTCCCTGCTCTAAGTATTTTATGTGTATATAACTCATTTAATATTCACAACAACTCTCCGAGGCAGATAATATTTTAAAAATCCGTTTCAGAAATAGGAAAACAGAGGCATAAGAGAAGTAAATAGTTGGCCCAGACACGACTGGCTATGTAATTTGCAGGGCTCAATGCAAAATGAAAATGGGGGCGCCTGGCCAGGCGCGGCAGCTAACGCCTGTAATCCCAATCCCAACACTTTGGGAGGCTGAGGCAGGAGGATCGCTTGAGTCCAGGAGTTTGAAACCAGCCTGGGCAATATAGGGAGACCCTGTGTCTACAAAAAAAAAAAAAAATTCTTTTTAATAAGCCGACTGTGGTGGTGCACGCCTGTAGGCTCAGCTACTCAAAGAGGCTGAGGTTGCTGGGTGTGGTGGCTCACACCTGTAATCCCAGTACTTTGGGAGGCCGAGGCGGGCAGATCACTTGAGCTCAGGAGTTTGAGACCAGCCTGGGCAACAGGTCAAAACCCCATTTCTACAAAAAAATACAAAAAGTTAGCTGGGCATGGTGGCACATGCCTATAGTCTCAGCTACTTGGAGGGGGGTGGTGGCTGAGGCAGGAGGATTGCCTGAACGCAGGAAGTTGAGGCTGCAGTGAGCCAAGATTGCAGCACTGCACTCTGTCCCGGGTGACAGAGCAAGACCCTGAAAAAAAAAAAGAAAAGAAAAAAGATAGAGAAAGAGAGAAAGGAAAGAAAGAAAAGGAAAAGAAGAGAAGAGAAAAGAAAAGAGGGAGCCCTTGTTCAAAAATTACCAAGATTTTCAAGACACCAAACTTCAAGCCAAGCATAGGGATCTATTTAAGGACAGGGCCCTGTGAGACTGCACAGGTCTGCACATTTGTGAAGCCAGACCTGTACACAAGGTAAACCAGTAAGTAGCAGAGCAGGAACACAAACCGAAGCCATCTGGCTCCAGAGCCCATTCTCCTAACCACTGGGCTATATTACCTCTACCTCTCAGGATCTCCATCCCCTCACCTCACTTCCTCCAAACTGTCCAAGAACAAGAGATGCTTACTCTTTTCATCAGGATCTCTCATTTCTGAAAGCCAGATGCAGACAGAACTGAACAGTCTTATCAGTCAGCTGCCACAAGAGGTTACTGATGAACACTGATTCCGCACAGTTTGACCCCCTCCATATCCACCAGCAAGTGACGCTCTTGTGCTCCAGATGCCTGGATGCACACAGCATAGTGGAGCCCTACCGTGCGCTCCAGTCTACAATTCCTTTATTTCACACTCCTATGTGCAGCCATTGTTCCCACAGCACGGAATGCCTGGGTCCAGGATCATCTCTACTCTGCTACATGCTGAGCTGGCGCCAGCCCCCATAACAAGCATCTAAGCCTGATATCAGCTTGGCTCACCTATTCCCACTCCCCATTTCCTGATGGTGAGCTCCCCTCTGGGGTCCTTTCTTTTTTTTTCTTTTTCTTTTCTTTTCTTTTTTTTTTTTTTTTTTGAGACAGAGTCTCGCTCTGTCACCCAGGCTGGAGTTCAGTGGCACAATCTTGGTTCACTGCAACCTTCACCTCCCAGGTTCAAGTGATTCTCCTGCCTCAGCCTCCTGAGTAGCTGGGATTACAGGCACCCACCACAACGCCTGGCTAATTTTTGTATTTTTAGTAGAGACAGGGTTTCACCATGTTGGCCAGTCTGGTCTCGAACTCCTGACCTCATGATCCACCTGCCTCAGCCTCCCAAAGTGCTGGGATTACAGGTGTGAGCCACCGTGGGGTCCTTTCTACCCTTTCATGCCAGAGGGTCTTAGAGAGACTGACTCAGTTCATCAGAAGGGCTCTAGTAACCTTATACCCCAACAGAGAAGGATCAGTCAGGGTCTTGATCTCAGTCCTGCTAGGAGACTGCCTGGCCCCTATGAAATATCCCAACCTCTGTGACCAGCTCTGCACACCAAAACCTGCTCAGCATCACAGCATTCCTTGTCACATCCCTTTCCCAGAGCAATGCATTTCCTACTTACCTCAAAGTCATACAACTAAGAGAGGAAACATTGTTTATCTGCCAGAAAATCTAGTTTTGCCTTACCAGGTACTCCATTGCATAGAGTTTAACATCACTGATATATCAATGTCACACCAGCTACTTTCTGAAACTTTCTTCATGACATGGGTGGCTTAAAGGGGTTGGATAATAAGACTTTAAAGGACAAAGACGTGCAGAGGCTACATGATTGGAGAGGCAGAGCTGGTGACACTGGGTTACTGTTACCACCATAGCCTCTCTCATGCCCCATGGCTGGCGAAGCTTGGGGATGTCTGAAGTACTCTATGGACCTTGGGCATCTCTGCAATGACGCTGGCACCAACCAGAATTTCCTCTATATTAGAAATGTCTTTGGCTACAGGTAACAGAATACCCAGCCAACAGTGGCCTAAACAAATAGAGATGTATTCTTTTCACATAATGAAATCTAGAGGTAGAATGGTTACTGGCATTGGTTTATCAGCAACAATGTCAGGGCTGGTGTCACTACAGTTCTCTTGGTCTTTCCTTCATAGAGGCTGATGGCTGCAGGAACTCCAGCCTTCAAGTCTTCATTCAAGGCAGCAAGGAGAAAGGGCAAGAAGGGGCAGGACCAGCGGCATCCAATGTCTTCTGTGAGGAAAGGAAAAGACTTCCTAGAGCCAGGCTGAAGGTTTCAGCTTATGCCTTATTGGTCTGAGCTGTGCCATCTGGTCTTCCTTAGCTGCAAGGGAGTCTGGAATTTCTTGTCTGGGGCTAGGCACATTTTCACCATGAACGTAAGTGGAATGTTGAAGCAAGTAGGAAGAGGAGATGCCATACCTTTGCTCTGACAGTCATCTCAACTGCCACGCCACACGGCCCCAGGGCCCCTTCCCAGCCACCCGAGGGACCCTCATAGAGGAGCCCCTGTGGCCCTCTCAGTGCTACAGACAAGAAGGGCCCACCCAAGGAGCCTGATTTCCCCTGAGCCCCAAGGCACTGCTGCTGGCTTTCTCCTTCGGTGATTAATGGTGCTCTGCCAAGCTGAGGAGGCAGCTAATTAGCTATAGACTGATTAAGGACAAGGCAGGCAAAGTCCCAGACATGATAAATGTGAACTTTCCATCTTCCTTTCCCCTCCACAATCAGACCTGCCACCACCAGCTGAAGCCAAGCCTGTGGCCCCCGTACAGTCTGCCTGCATGGGAGGCCCAGCAGATGTCACCCCCCGCACAATTCACAAGGCCTTGCACCCACCAGGGCATCATGTAACAGGGGTGGGCATGCTGGGTTTTCTTTCAGGGCTCAACTTCTCCTGCAGCTTTTTCCCAACCTCTGTGCTCTGGAGCAGGCCTGGCACCAGGCATGGGATTTCTCAAACAAACCAAGTCTCTGCCCTAAAGAATCTGCAGCTAGGGCCGCAGAAATCCAGGGAGGGCTGAGCATAGCAGGACCTGGAGTCACTGGGCAGGGCTCCATGGAGGGGATTTGGGTGGATTTTGTACATCAAGAGGGGCACTGCAGAAAGGGGAGGCCCCCTGAACAGGTGTGGAAGAGAAATGAAATGTACAGGCCACAGTCCTTGGGCAGTGGGGAGTAGAGACAGGCCCAGAGGGGATAAGGTTGGGCGCAGAGTAGATAAGGACAGATGGGAAATACGGGCTTAGGTGTGGGGTGGCCCAGCTGTTTCCACCCTCGGTTCCTCCACAACACACCGAATCCATGTGCAAACCCCTTCCTGGGCAACCCCGGGTTAGGCCCCCTCCACCTCCAGCCGTGATGCCTTGCCTGTATGTACCAGCCCAGAAAGAACATCCGGGTGCAGGTGATTCCATCCCACAGCAGCCTGGGCTGAGTTCTGGTGGAAATGAGCTCACCAACACATGAATCTTGTACAAGATAAGGCTGTGATACAGACAAAGGATACATTTCAGCAACAGATAACAGGATACATTCAGTGAGCATGCCTTCTCAGTTCTGTTTCCTCCCAGGAGACACACACAGGAGGTGGCAAAGCTGAACACCTGTCCAGGGGAGGCTTGGGAAGTACCTCCTTCCCCCCATTTTGCCTGGTTCACTCTTACCCAGTCCTTGGGTCTCAGCTCAAGCGTCACTTCTTTGGAGAAGCCTCCCCTGACCCCTCAGATTAGATCAGATTCTCTATTTCCCTTTGTCAAGTGTATCAAGTTCACATTAACGCATTTAAGTGACCGTTTGTCTTTAGTCTTATACATTCAATCAGCAAATATTAATGGAGCTGTGAACTGGGCTAAGGTCTGGGGATACCGTGAGACATGAGCCTGCCCTTCTGGAGCTTATGGTCTAGGCAGAAGTCCCAGCAAGGGTTCAGTCTAACACCAAAAGTAACACTTCCCCCAGTGCCAGCAGAACATTGGGACAACTCGTGTATCAAAGCTATCAAAGCCAGGAGCAAACCACACCCACAAGCCCCCTCCCCCCGCCCCACCACCGGGAGGCACTGCTTTGAGAACTATCCCCAGTGTCAGCTTTACTTGTTACTAGTAATGAAATCCCCTATTAAATCCTCCTTGGCTGTGGTCACTGGGCCATCACCTGCCAAGCGATGGCACCCATCTCTGTGTGGTTAACAATTTGAAATAACAATCCCCACCCCTTGTCTCAATCCAAGACATTCTGGAAGGATGATCCCAGCTTCAGAGCTTTCCAGGAGTTGTTCAACTTCTCCTTCTGCACAGTCCTGCTTCTCTCGCTCCCATACGGGGTGGTAGTTCCTGAAAGCGTTCCCCAATAAGACTCCTGCATGCAAATCCCGAGTCTGTTTCTTGGGGAACCTGACCAAAAAAACAAGTGGGAGCTGAAACCCACCCTCGTGTGTGACCGCGTCTGTCTGGAGGAAGGGACTCCTTTTTCTAAACTGCATAACAATGCCTCTGATGACTTGATAGTAGCCTGGCCCACCCCACCCCACCCAGCCTGGAAGGTGGACCAGGGATACAAGACAGTACCAGAAAGGCCTTGGCACAGGAGAGGGGAAGGAATAGATCCTTGCAGCCAAGTGATTTAGAAGACTCCAGAGGAGAGTATATCTGCAGTAAGAAGCCCACCAGCCCCTGGAGTTTGATTCTAGCTGATTAAGAGGCACCCAGGACCTGTATTTCAGCAAGACAACCAAGAAATAAGCCAAGGGAAAATGTTAATCTGTGTGCCAGGGATTCCCAACAATGCAGTTCCAGACCAGCCCCAAACATCCTAATTCAGACCCAGTGTGTGGGAACTTGCCTGGGTGGGAGCAGGAGGAGGGAGTGGGGGAAGCAGGAAGAAATTAGGCTTGCACAAACTTAGTAATTGAAATCATTAATAGCAGTAAAATAAGTTGTCTGTCCTACATGTAATTTGTAGTAATGTTTCGTTACTGAGATTAATTTCTAGTAATGAAATACTAATTAAACCATTTATTGAGTAATGTATTTGCTTGGTGGTGTTTTATGGGTGTTCGCTTATAAATATTTTAATTACTTTTGCTAAGTAATTAGAATTTACTAAATATTTCCAAACTATTTATTAATTCTAGCAATTCTCAGCCAACCCACAAGTAATTGTTTTACTTTATATCAGTAATTAAAGTCTCTTTTAAAAACTTTGAGTGAAGAGAAAGACATAAATGATTGTCTGTTCTATTCACATGAGGCTGGTGTGTTACAGCAAAAAAAAGAGACAAGTCACTCATGATCCAACATTACTCAAACACTGTTAACATTTTTATTTATATTTTCACAGACTTTTCCTATGGGTGCATACTATTTTTTCAAGGTTGAGATCATATCAACTACATGTATTCAGGATACCAAACTTTGCCAATGTTTATATTATAGTTTCTATTCTATTAAAATATCAAACTGTTCTAGAGGGGCAGTCTCTTTACAACTTTAAAAGAGTTTCTGAAAGTAATAGTTTTTCTACCTCTAAGCACTACTATGTATCAGACACTATGCAAAGTAATGTACACAGTCTAACTGTAACCTTCACAACATGGCACTATAAACTAATCTGGAGCAGTAACCTGTGTAAAACTGGGCGTCCACACAGTGCAGTCTCAGCAAAAAGTCACCTTTAATGAAATAATGACTGAAATAGAGGAATTTATCTATTTTATCTATAAAAATAGGGTCAGAATGAATATATTGTCCTGGGATCTGCTCTTTTCACGTAAAATATTACAACCATCTTTCCCTATCAATAAATATGAGGTGGAGTATGGAGGCTCATGCCTGTAATCCCAGCACTTTGGGAGGCCGAGGTGGGTGGATCACGAGGTCAGGAGTCCGAGACCAGCGTGACCAACATGGTGAAACCACATCTCTACTAAAAATACAAAAACAAATTAGCCCAGCGTGGTGGCGCATGCCTGTAATCCCAGCTACTTGGGAGGCTGAGGCAGGAGAATCGCTCGAACCTGGGAAGTGGAGGTTGCAGTGAGCTGAAATCATGCCATTGCACTCCAGCCTGGGCAACAAGAGCGAAACTCTGTCTCAAAAAACAAAAAAAAAAGAGACAGCAGCAGTGTCCTTTTCAATAGATGCATGGTATTCTATGAAGTTACCTTCATTTATTATCCAATCTCTAATTGCTGGATATTTTGGTTGTTTTCAGTTGTTCACGATTGTGAACAAAACTATCATGGATATCATTATATGCTGATCTTTGTGCACTTGTCCAACTATTTTCTTAGAACACATTCCTAGAAGTGGAATTGCTGGGATAAAGTATATGAACATTTTTAAGACTTTGATACTGCCCAAATGCCTCAAGAAAGACCAGACAAATTTACACTCCCACCAGTAGAGTTGAAAGTCTTGTTTCACTGCTGTGTGTGTGACTATTATTATTATTGTTGTTATTTTGAGACAGGGTCTCACTATGTTGCCCAGGCTGGAGTGCAGTGGTGTGATCACGGCTCACTGCAGCCTCGACCCCCCGCCCCCTCCCCCCGGCCCCCACCACCAGGCCCCCATTCAGGTGATCCTCCCACCTCAGTGTCCTGAGTAGCTGCGACTACAGGCGCACACCACCACACCAGCTAATTTTTGTATTTTTTGTAGAGATAGGGTTTTGCCGTGTTGCCCAGGCTGGTCTCAAACTCCTGGGCTCAAGTAATCCACTCGCCTTACCTCCCAAAGTGCTGGGATTACAGGCGTGAGCCACTGCGCCCAGTTTATTATTATTATTTTAAATCTATGTCACTTGTTTTCACTCCCTAGTCTAAGCAGAGAGGTGGCCCAGAAAAACATTCTGAACCAGAGAGTCTCACAACCCATTTCCCATGACGAATCAATGGTTGGTTGGCAAAAGACCTATAGGCTATGTCTTCATAACTTAAATAGCATCAAGATGTATAAAACCATCTTCTACCATACCATTCGCCTTTGCCCCCCAATCTACTTTTCCCCCAGGGACTCCGCCTCCTTGGGGCATCACCAAGGCACAGGTGGCTTGGCTCCTCGCTGGCGACACCCACCCGTGTGTTGGCAGAATAGGCACCTATCACTGGGCTCTCTCTTTAGCTCTTGACAAAATATCTCCCCCACCAGCGTGTCACAGCACCTTGAATGTCTACCACTGGTGGCATACAACAAGCAGTTTTCTAAACATTCAGAGGTTATCTCAGGTGACATTTTATGAGCTAATAAGTGTTTTGGAGGCTCTCCCATCTTCTTTCCGAAGCTCCCCTCTCATGTACTGCCAAGTGACCCGGTGCCTTTGGCCATCTGAATGCCTGACTCTAGCCCCCATTTTCCTCTTCTGACGGCCACCTGAAGTCCTTTTTTTTATACATGAGAGAAACATCTTCCTACTCCAAACAGAGCAAGAAGATTTTTTAGAGGGAGGAGATATTTCAACAACTCTTTCTTTTTTTTTGAGACGGAGTCTCGCTCTGTCACCCAGGCTGGAGTGCAATGGCACGATCTCGGCTCACTGCAACCTCCACCTCCCAGGTTCAAGCAATTCTCCTGTCTCAGCCTCTCTAGTAGCTGGGATTACAGGTGTGTACCATAATGTCCGGCTAATTTTTTGTATTTTAGTAGAGACGAGGTTTCACCACCATGTTTCCCAGGCTGGTCTCAAACTCCTGAGCTCAAGCAATCCACCCGCCTCGGCCTCCAAAAGTGCTAGGATTACAGGCATGAGCCACCGTGCCCGGCCTTCAACAACTCTTTCAATAAAGAGAGGGAGGCAAAGAGCGAGAGTGACTTGGGAGGAGGCTTAGGGTAGAGACAGAATAGGAACTATTGCAGCTGCCTCACTCCCTGCAAGATTCTCGAAGCAGGGCACACCGCTGGTGCCCAATCTGTGTGTGTTCCTTCTCCAAAGAATGGATGATTCCCACAGGCATGTCCCTATGGCGACACCTTCCATTATTTCCTTTACTTTCTGTATCCATTTGCTCTCTCTCCAGAAAGTTCCAGATCTCAGGCACCTTCCCAGACTCTCAAAAGTCCCAGGAGAGAGGAGGAGAGGGATGAGGGCCCTGAGCACTGCTGCCACTCCCCAGAGAGGTCAGGGAAACAAGGCCCAGCTCCCCTTACCAGAAATCCCCTCTCCCCTTGGACCAGAAAAGGGTTAATTTTATAATTGCTAACATCAATTAGATCCTTACAATGTTATGGGCCCTCTGTTAAGCACTTTACACACATGATGTCATTTAAATAATATATTTCTCCTTACTTATCTGATGAGAAAGTGAGACTTGTAAAGTTTAAGTGAGAGACTTCAGGATCAGAATCCAGGTATCTCTTTTTCCAAAGCCAAAGCCTTAAGTACCATCGTCTGTTGTCTTCTACAGTAAGTGTTCCATAAATGCAAGGTGAAAAAAGGAAAAAAGAGAGAGTGAGGGAAAGAGGGCAGAAGGAAACTTTATGTCATTGTAATGCAGGGAATATAGCATCATTTGCCATAAGTAGAAGGTAACATTAACATAAAGACGTTATGATTACAATTTAAAATGTTGGTCTACATGTCATCTAAAGTCACTGTTTCTATTCTTAAGAAACACTGGAACATTTGATCTCTGAGGTCCATTTCTAGCACACAATTCTATAATTTCCAAGGATTAAGTAGCTATTTTCTTAAGATAAACTTCCACGGACCTTGGATGCATGGGTAATAAAATCCTAAGGGCAGATGCTGGGTCTTATTTATCTCTATATTCTCCATAAGCATTTAGTACAACATCTGGCCCAGGGTGAATGTATAGAAGATTAGTTATAAATTCCCTTCCCCTCTCTAGGTATTGGTGTTCCAATCCAAAGAATAAAAGGGCTAGATTAGGTGATCCTGAAGGGTGCTTTTGCTCTGCAAGCCACTGGTCCACTGAACCTAAGTGGTCCTTTCCTTATTGGTTCTCTGGCTTTCTGCTTCATCAGTCCTGTGGTTGGCAAAATTCTAAAGATGGTTCCCCAAGACTCCCATACCCTGGTTATTCAACCAAACACTAATCTAGGTACTGCTGTGGAGAATTTTTTTTTCTTTTGGAGACGGAGTCTAGCTCTTTCACCCAGGCTGGAGGGCAGTGGCACGATCTTGGCTCACTGCAACCTCTGCCTCCTGGGTTCAAGCGATTCTCCTGCCTCAGCCTCCTGAGTAGCTGGGATTACAGGCGCCTGCCACCACCCTAATTTTTGTATTTTTAGTAGAGATGGGGTTTCACCGTGTTGGCCAGGCTGGTCTTGAACTCCTGACCTCGTGATCCGCCCACCTCGACCTCCCAAAGTGCTGGGATTACAAGTGTGAGCCACCGTGCCCCACCGAGAATTTTTTTTTAAGACAGGTTTTCACTTTGTTGCCCATGCTGGAGGGCAGTAGCACGATCTCGGCTCACTGCAACCTTGGCCTCCTGGGCTCAAGCCATCCTCCTACCTTAAGCCAGCCTCCCAAGTAGCTGGGACTACAGGCACGCACCACCACGCCCGACTAATTGTTGTGTTTTTTGTAGAGATGGGGTTTCACCATGTTACCCAGGCTGGTCTCAAACTCCTGGGCTCAAGCAATTCACCTGTCTTGGCCTCCCAAAGTGCTGGGATTACAGGTGTGAGCCACCACACCCTGCCAGAATTTTTCAGATATAATTAAAGACCCAAGTCAGTTGACCTTAAGATAGAGAGATTAGCTGGGTGGGCTTAACCCAGTAAGACAAGCCTTTTAAAAGCAGAGAGTTTTCTCCAGCTGGTAGCAGAAAAATAAGGCAGGAGAATTCAATGCATGGGAATTCTCTGTTGCTGAGATTAAGGGGGCCACATGGAAGGATCTGAGAGTGGCCTCAATAGGCTGAGAGTGACACCCTAGCCAGCAAGAAGATGGGGACCTCAGTCCCACAGTTACCAGGAACTGAATCTGCCAACAACCTGAATGAGGTTGGAAATGGATTCTTCCCCAGAGCCTCCAAGAAGATCCCAGCCTGGCCAACATCTTGATTTTGGCCTTGTGAGATCCAAAACAGAGAAATCAGACAAGCCACCTGGACATCTGACCCACAGAGCTGAGACATAATAAACCGGTGTTGTTTTCAGCTGCTGTGATTGTGGTCATCTGTTATGCAGAAGAAGAAAGTGAGTGCAATTCCCTACCCTATTCCTACCAACCCATGCTCCTTTCCAGAGCTCCCTAACATTTAGCAAATGTGCCTCACTTCTAAGGCAAATAATAATAATAATAACGATGATGATTTGAAAATCAGTTTTGGGAATTTTCAGCTTAGGCTTTTTTTTTTTTTTTGACAATTCTGTATAGGTCTAACAAGGAAGTATTAAATATTGAGTTTCTAATGTGTTTCCAAGTCCTCCATTGGAACATGTAATTTGGACCTAAAATTGTGAATAGACAGGGTGAGTAGAAGCACAGGAAAAGCAGAAGAACAGTTTGCATTGGAGATGCTTAGTAGGTGTAATAGAAGAAGTGAAACTTTGAGGTGGAATAGACTGCAAATTAGCAGACAGACAGGAAGGAGTAGAGATATTCTAGGCCAATAAGGTAGCCCAAAGAAACAGAAGTAGAAATGAGAATGATGTTGGCCAAAGTCAGTTCCTGAGGGCAGGCCAGGTTTCTCCAGTCTTATGATTGGAAACTAGCTACCATGCCATGCTGCCAGTTGATAATGTCAGGGAAATAGATGAAAAGTGTGTTTCTAGTGAGGAATGGGAGATGTCTTAGTCTTGAACAGAGAAAGGTTAAAAGTCTTCAGCAAAAGGTCTGGAAGGATGAGTAGAAGAACAGAAAACAAAAGAACACATGGGAAACATTGCTATGAAACAGATTCAAGTTATGGTGAACTGGAAATGAAGGCCAGGAGGGAGGGACAAAGACAGAGGTTCATGCCTGTGTCCCCACCCACACCACCATGGAAGGGAGGGAGAAGAGATAAACCATCAGCTTCTGAGCCTTGCATGAGCCACCAGGAGATCATATAGGTGGAAGTCTGGACCTTGAATAGATAGGCTTGCTACAAGGAAATGCTCATGTTGGGATAAAGGAGAATTATGGTTAGAAAGATAGGTTGGGGCTAGACTGTTAGTGATCTTGAAAGCCAGAGGTTTTCAATCTTGGCTGAACATTGAAATCACCTGGGGGTCTCTTAGAACTACTGATTTCTAGATCCTATCTCAAAAATTCTAATGTAATTGGCCTGGTTTGGCTGGGTTCTCAAGAGTTTTAAAAGCACCACAGATTACCCTGCTATTCTACCAGGGCTGAGAACAGCAGATGTAGAGTTTGGACTTTATCCAGTAGCCAGTGGAGGCCTATTAAGGATGTGTCACTGAAATTATACAATGGAAAATAATTGGAAGGAAAATTTAGTCAAATAAAAATAATGATAGCAAACGCCAATATAGCATTTTTTGCATCTCAGTGTTCTGGGCACTTTTCTAAGTTTACACACATACACACACACACACATTCTAAATTATGACAACAACCCTATAAGGCAGTGGATACTGTATTATCCACATTTTAGAGATATGAAAACTGAGGCTCAGAAAAGTTAATACCTTGCTCATGATCACAATGCAAGTAAATGATGGAACTGAGATTTGAATCCTGGAAGTTTGATTCCAAAGTCCATACTCTTAATTTTGCTTCTGGATATGGTGGATTGCCTCATATCAGACCGACCTCCTTGCCAAAACCAACTAGGAAATCTGGTTTGAAAATGAAGAAAAGTTAACAGGGAAATGAAGACAAAGATCATGAAGAAAAATGAGGTCATTCATGTGAAGCAGACATCTGACTGCATTTTTCTCCAGAAGTAATTTGCAGATTTGCACACAAACAGTTGAAGGATCCAGAAGCTGAGCAGAGATTTCAGCAGTCTCCTGGGACTCAGGGTTAGAGAAAACAAAAAAGACTTCTGGGCTGGCATAAGCAAAGGAACCTAGCAAGCATCTCCAGCTTTGCACTGGGACTCCTAATGGGATATAGTTTTAAAATAAGGCCTAACCTTATTTCTAGAATATATAAATAAATCAGCCATTGCAAAAGCTGAAGCACAGATTTAAACCAGCCCGATCCAAGATGAGATGCAATTTGACCCTGAGACAAAAGAAAATCCTCTCTGGAGGAAGAAAGTGTTATCTAGAGCCTCAAATCTGCACTATAATTTCTTATCCACAATGTCCAGCATTTAATAAGAAATTATAAGACTTACCAGGGGACAAGACCAAGTGACCAAAAACCAGAGAAAGACTAAATAATAAAAATAGACTTCTAGGTGACTTATACATGGGAGTTCTCAGATACAGTTTTTTAAAATGTCATTAATACATTAAAGAAAATTAATTCCAAGTGGAGAATTTCAACAGAGAACTTAAATATGTTGTTAAAAATAATCAATTGAAAAATTTAGGCCGCCCGGGAGGCAGCGGCTGGAGGAGCGGACGGGCCCCGCGGGGCCCGAGGGCAAGGAGCAGCCGCCTGCCTTGGCCTCCCAAAGTGCCGAGATTGCAGCCTCTGCCCGGCCGCCACCCCGTCTGGGAAGTGAGGAGTGTCTCTGCCTGGCCGCCCATCGTCTGGGATGTGAGGAGCCCCTCTGCCTGGCTGCCCAGTCTGGAAAGTGAGGAGCGTCTCCGCCCGGCCGCCATCCCATCTAGGAAGTGAGGAGCGCCTCTTCCCGGCCACCATCACATCTAGGAAGTGAGGAGCGTCTCTGCCGGGCCGCCCATCGTCTGAGATGTGGGGAGCGCCTCTGCCCCGCCGCCCCATCTGGGATGTGAGGAGCGCCTCTGCCCGGCCGAGACCCCGTCTGGGAGGTCAGGAGCGTCTCTGCCCGGCCGCCCCGTCTGAGAAGTGAGGAGACCCTCTGCCTGGCAACCACCCCGTCTGAGAAGTGAGGAGCCCCTCCGCCCGGCAGCTGCCCCGTCTGAGAAGTGACCACCCGGCCAGCCGCCCCGTCCGGGAGGGAGGTGGGGGGGTCAGCCCCCCGCCTGGCCAGCCGTGCCGTCCCGGAGGGAGGTGGGGGGGTCAGCCCCCCGCCTGGCCAGCCGTGCCGTCCGGGAGGAAGGTGGGGGGGTCAGCCCCCCGCCCGGCCAGCTGCCCCGTCCGGGAGGTGAGGGGCGCCTCTGCCCGGCCGCCCCTACTGGGAAGTGAGGAGCCCCTCAGCCCGGCCAGCCACCCCGTCCGGGAGGGAGGTGGGGGGGTCAGCCCCCCGCCTGGCCAGCCGCCCCGTCCGGGAGGGAGGTGGGGGAGTCAGCCCTCCACCCGGCCAGCCGCCCCGTCCGGGAGGTGAGGGGCGCCTCTGCCCGGCCGCCCCTACTGGGAAGTGAGGAGCCCCTCTGCCCAGCCAGCCGCCCCGTCCGGGAGGGAGGTGGGGGTGTCAGCCCCCCGCCCGGCCAGCCGCCCCGTCCGGGAGGGAGGTGGGGGGGGTCAGCCCCCCTGCCCGGCCAGCCGCCCCGTCCGGGAGGTGAGGGGCACCTCTGCCCGGCCACCCCTACTGGGAAGTGAGGAGCCCCTCTGCCCGGCCAGCCGCCCCGTCCAGGAGGGAGGTTGGGGGGTCAGCCCCCCGCCCGGCCAGCCGCCCCGTCTGGGAGGTGAGGGGCGCCTCTGCCCGGCCGCCCCTACTGGGAAGTGAGGAGCCCCTCTGCCCGGCCACCACCCCGTCTGGGAGGTGTGCCCAACAGCTCATTGAGAACGGGCCAGGATGACAATGGCGGCTTTGTGGAATAGAAAGGCGGGAAAGGTGGGGAAAAGATTGAGAATTCGGATGGTTGCCATGTCTGTGTAGAAAGAAGTAGACATGGGAGACTTTTCATTTTGTTCTGCACTAAGAAAAATTCCTCTGCCTTGGGATCCTGTTGATCTGTGACCTTACCCCCAACCCGGTGCTCTCTGAAACATGTGCTGTGTCCACTCAGGGTTAAATGGATTAAGGGCGGTGCAAGATGTGCTTTATTAAACAGATGCTTGAAGGCAGCATGCTCGTTAAGAGTCATCACCAATCCCTAATCTCAAGTAATCAGGGACACAAACACTGCGGAAGGCCGCAGGGTCCTCTGCCTAGGAAAACCAGAGACCTTTGTTCACTTGTTTATCTGCTGACCTTCCCTCCACTATTGTCCCATGACCCTGCCAAATCCCCCTCTGTGAGAAACACCCAAGAATTATCAATAAAAAAATAAATTAAAAAAAAAAAAAGAAAAATTTAAACTGAAAAACACAATAACTGACATTAAGAAATAGATAGATAGGCTTAACAGCAGAGTAGACACAGCTGAAGAGAGAATTAGAAAGCTAAAAAATATCAGTAGGAAACATACAAGCTGAAACAAAAGGAGAAAAAAAGAAAACAAAATTAAAGATTTGGAACACAGTGAAAAGGCATAACATATGTGTAATTGAAGTCTCAGAAGGTGAGGTGAGAGAAAATAGAGCAAAAGTAATATTTAAAGAGATTATTGACTATGAATTTTCCAAAAACAAAAAACATCGAGCCACTAATTCAAAAAATGCTAAGACATCCAAGTAGAATAAATACAAGAAAACTACACCCACACTTTTGGCACATCAGAGTAAAACTGCTCAAAGACAAAGAAAAACCTTTAAAAACAGTCAGAAACATAGACTGAAGGTGAAGGGCTAGAAAAAGATATTCCAAGAAAAACAGAAACCAGAAGCAAGCAGAAGTAGCTATACTTAGATAAAACAAACTTTAAGTCAAAAACAGTAAAAAGAGACAAAAGTATCATTATATAAGGATAAAGGGATCAATTCAACAATAGGGTATAACAATTGTTAATATACATGCACCCAACACTGGAGCACCTGCTATATCAAGCAAATATTATTAGATATAAAGGAAGATACAGTAGCAAGGCATCAAGGCTTGTGCCTATAATCTCAGCTACTTGGGAGTCTGAGGCAGGACGATCACTTAAGGCCAGGTGTTCAAGACCAGCCTGGGCAATATAGCAAGACTTCATCTCTACATTTGATCTTAGCCAAAAGGCCAAGAAGCAAATGAGACCCCATCTCTAAAAACAAATTTTTTTGAGCCATGCATGGTGGCACACACCTGTAGTCCCAGCTACTTGGGAGACTGAGGCAGGAGAATCACTTGAGCCCAGGAATTCAAGGCTGCAGTGAGCTATGATCATGGTACTGCATTCCCACTTGGTGACAAAGTGAGATTCTGTCTCTAAAAAAATAAAATAAAATAAATTAAAGGGAGAGATAGACTCCAATACAAAATAGTTGGGGACTTCAACATCCCGCACTTAGCATTGGACAAATCATCTAGACAGAAAGCCAACAAAGAAACACTGGATTTTAACTGCACTTTAGGCCAAATGGACCTAACAGACATTTACAGAACATTTCATCCAAAAGCTGCAGAATGCATATTCTTTTCATCAGCACATGGAACATTCTCCAGAATAGACCACATGTTTGGCCACAAAGCAAGTCTCAACAAATGTAAAACAATTGAAATCATATCAAGTGTCTTTTCTGACCACAATGAAATAAAACTAAAAATCAATAACAAGAGGAACATTTGAAACTGTACAAATACCTGAAAATTAAACAACATAGGTCAATGAAGAAATTAAGAAGAAAGTTTTAAAAACACAACATATCAAAACCTATAGGATACAGCAAAAGCAGTGCTGAGGGAATTTAATAGCAATACATCCCAACATCAAAAAAGTAGAAAAAGTTCAAATAAAAAACCTAACAATGCATCTCAAGGAACTAGAAAAGCAAGCATAAACCAACCCCAAAATTAGTAGAAGCAAAGAAATAATAAAGGTCAGAGCAGAAATAAATGAAATTAAGGCCAAAAAATACAATATATTAACAAAATGAAAATTTGTTTTTTAAAAACATAAATTGAATGTACAAACCATTAGCTAAACAAACCAAGAAAAAAAAGGAAAAGATTCAAATAAATAAAATCAAAAATCAAAAAGGTATTACAACTGATACCACAGAAATACAAAGGATCATTAGAGACTATTACAAACAACTATATGCCAACAAATTAGAAAACTTAGTGGAAGCAGATAAATTCCTGGACACATACAACCTACCAAGATTGACTCAAGAAGAAATAAAAAGCCTGAATAGACCAATTACAAGTAACAAGATTCAATCTGTAATAAAAGCCTCCCATCAAAGAAAGGCCCAGGACCCAATGGCTTAACAGCAGAATTCTACCAAACCTGTAAAGAAGAACCGATACTAATTCTTCTCAACCTCTTCCAGAAAATGGAAGAGGAAGGAATTCTTCCAAACTCATTCTATGAGGCCAAGATTACCCTGACACCAAAACCAGACAAAGACACAACAACCAAAGCTCTCAGCCAATCTCCCTGATGAAGACAGATGCAAAATACTCAATAAAACATTAGCAAGCCAAATCCAGCAGCCCAATAAAAAGATCATTCACCATGATCAAGTGACCATGCAACCCCTGGATGCAAGGATGATTTGATATCAGCAGGTCAATAAATGTGGTACATCACATCAACAGAATGAAGGACAAAAACCATATGATCATCTCAATAGATGCAGAGAAAGCATTTGATAAAACTCAACATTCATTCATAATTAAAGCTCTCAATAAGTTAGGTATAGAAGGAACATACCTTAACCAATAAAGACCATAAATGACAAACCCACAGCCAACATCATACCGAACAGGGAAAAGATCCTCTAAGATATGGAACAAGACAAGGTTGCCCACTTGCACCACTTCTACTCAGTATAGTACTGGAAGTCCTAAACAGGGCAATTAAGCAAGGTAAAAAATATAAAGGATATCCAAATTGGAATGGAGAAAGTCAAACTGTCCCTGTTTGCAGATATGATCTTACACATAGAAAAGCTTGACCAGGCATGGTGGCTCATGCCTGTAATCCCAGCACTTTGGGAGGCAGAGGCAGGAGGATTGCATGAGGCAAGGAGTTTGAGACCAGCCTGGGCAACAAAGAAACACTCCATCTCTATTAAAAAACAAAAAAAATGGTTTAAATTGGCTGGGTGTGGTAGTGCATGCCTGTAGTCCCAGCTACTTGGGAAGCTGACGCAGGAGGATCACTTGAGTGCAGGAGGTCAAGGCTATTAGGTAGCTATGAGCACGCCACTGCACTCCAGCCTGGGCAACAGAGCTAAACTCTGTCTGTAACAAAAAGAAAGAAAGAAAGAGAAAGAAAGAAAGAAAGAAAGAAAGGAAGGAAGGAAGGAAGGAAAGGAAGGAAGGAAGGAAGGAAGGAAGGAAGGAAGAAAGAAAGAAGCTGTTTTATGATAGTCTCAATGAAAAAGAGAAAAAAGAAAAAAAAACCCTGAAAGTGCCACCAAAAAAACTCTTAGAACAGATAAATGAATTCAGCAAAGTTGCAGGATACAAAATCAACACACAAAAATCAGTAGTGTTTCCATACAGCAATAATAAACTAGCCAAGAAAGAAATTAAGAAAGCAATCCCATTCACAATAGCTACACAAAAAAATCAAACACCTAGGAATAAATTTAACCAAGGAGGTAAAAGATCTCTATGATCTTTTACTATAAAACACTGATGAAAAAAATTTAAGAGGATATTAAAAAATGGAAAGACAGGCCGAGCACGGTGGCTCACGCCTATAATCCCAGCACTTTGGGAGGCTGAGGCAGGTGGATCACCTGAGGTCAGGAGTTCTAGACCAGCCTGGCCAACATGGTGAAATCCCGTTTCTACTAAAAATACAAAAATTAGCTGGGCGTGGTGACATGTGCCTGTAATCCCAGGTACTCAGGAGGCTGAGGCAGGAGAATCACTTGAACCCGGGAGGCAGAGGTTGCAGTGAGCCGAGATCACACCACTGCACTCCAGTCTGGGAGACAAGAGCGAGACTTCGTCTCAAAAAAAAAAAAAAAAAGAAAAGACATTTCATGTTCATGGATTGGGAGAATTAATATTGTGATAATGACCATACTGCCAAAAGCAATCTACAGATTTAATGCAATCCCTCTCAAAATATCAATAACATTCTCCATAGAAATAGAAAAAAAAATCCTAAAACTTGTATGGAACCGCAGAAGACCCCAAATAGCCAAAACAATCCTGAACAAAAAGAACAAAGCTGGAGGCATCATAATACCAGAATTCAAAATATCCTACAAGCTATAGCAACCAAAACAGCATGGTACTGGCATAACAGCAGAAAACAAACATATAGGTCAATGGAACAGAATAAGAACCCAGAAATAAATATATGTGTTTACAGCCAACTGATTTTCAACACAGGTGCCAAGAACACTCACTGGGGAAAGGAGAGTTTCTTCAATAAATGGTGTTAGGAAAACTAGATATCCACATGCAGAATAAATGAAACTAGACACTTATCTCTCACCATATAAAAAATTAAAATAAATTAAAGACTTACATGTAAGACCCAAAATGATGAAACTACTAGAAGAAAACATAAAGGAAATGCTTCCAGACATTGGTCTGGGCAAAGTTTTTATGGAGAAGACCTCAAAAGCATAAGCAACACGCAAAAATAGACAAATGATATTACATCAAACTAAAAAGCCCCTGCACAGCAAAGGAAACAATTAACAGAGTGAAGAGACAACTTGAAGAATTGTAGAAAACATTTTCAAACTATTATCTGACAAGATATCTAGAATACACAAGGAACTCAAACAACTGAACAGCAAAATAATAATAATTATTATTATTTGATTTTTAAATGGGCAAATGAGCTGAATAGACATCTCTCAAAAGACAGCATACAAATGGTCAACAGGTATATTTTTTAAATGTTCAGCATCACTAATTACCAGAGAAATGCAAATCAAAATCACAATAAGATATCATCTCACCCCAGTTAGAATGGCTATTATCAAAAAGATTTTTTTAAAAATGCTGGTGAAGATGCAGAGAAAAGGAACTATTACACACGGTTAGTGGAAAAGTAAATTAGGACAGCCATTATGGAAAACAGTATGTAGCTTCCTCAAAAAACTACAAATAGAACTACCATATAATCCAGCAATTCCACTACTGGGTATATCCAAAGAAAAGGAAATCAGTATGTCAAAGAGATTATCTGCACTCCCATGTTTATTGCAGTACCATTCACAATGGCCAAGATATATAATCTATTTAAGTGTCTACCAACATATGAATGGATAAAGAAAATATGTTACATCTACATAATGGAATACTATTGAGCCATAAAAAGAAAAAGCCTGTTTTTCATGGCAACACGGATGTGCCTGGAGGACATTATGTTAAGTGAAATAAGCCAGACACAGAAATACAAATACTAAATGTTTTCACTCATTTGTAAAATCTAAAAGGGTTGATTTCACAGAGGTAGAGAGCAGAATAGTAGAATAGTGATTCCTAAGGGTAGGGAAGGGTAGGGGCCAGGGGCAGGGTGGGTGGGAATAGCCAAAGGTTGGTTAACAGATATCAAAGTAGAGCTAGACAGGAGGAATAAGTTCTAACATTCTAAAGCACTACAGGGTAAGTATAATTAACAACAATTTGTTGTCTATTTTCAAATAGCTAGAAAAGCAGATTTTGAATGTTCCTAACACAAAGAAATAATAAATGTTTGAAGTGATGGAATGCTAATTACCATGATTTGATCATCACACATTGTATACATGTATCAAAAATACCACACTGGGCTGAGTGTGGTGGCTCATGCCTGTAATCCCAGCACTTTGGAGGCCGAGGTGGGAGGATCACCTGAGGTCAGGAGTTGGAGACCAGCCTGGCCAACATGGTGAAATCGTGTCTCTACTAAAAAAATAAAAATAAATAAATAAAAATTAGCCAGGCATGGTGGCATGAGCCTGTAATCCCAGCTACTCAGGAGGCTGAGGCACAAGAATCACTTGAACCCAGGGGGCAGAGGTTGTAGTGAGCTGAGATGGCACACAGCGAGACTTTGTCTGAAAAAAAAATCACACTGTACCCCATAAATATGTACAATTAATTATGTGTCAAGAAAAAAAAATAAAACAATAAACATTTTAAAAGTCAAACAAAAAAAAAGGAAGATTGCCTTCAAAGTAGTAGCAATAACTTACTTCTCAACAAAAACAATGAAGGCCAGAACAATGAAAGATATCTGGAAAGTCCTAAGTTAAAAATAATTGCCAACTCATCATTATATATTTTGTAAAAATATCTTCCCAAAATAAATGGAAAATAA
Source organism: Homo sapiens (assembly GCF_000001405.40). Taxonomy (NCBI): domain Eukaryota; kingdom Metazoa; phylum Chordata; class Mammalia; order Primates; family Hominidae; genus Homo; species Homo sapiens. The sequence goes on along the minus strand of NC_000010.11, from coordinate 75,326,451 downwards.
AGACATTTCCAGCCAAGCAAAAGTTGAAGCATTTATAACCAGCACACTTATATCAAGAAAAGAAAGAAAGAAAGAAAGATCTGCAGGCAGAAGGAAAATAACCAGATTAAGATCACAGATATTCAGAAAAGAATGAAGAGCTAAAGGAATGGTAAAGATGTCTGTAAAACCGAAATGATATGTTGCCTATATAGAAAATTCCAAAGAATCTACCCAAAAAACTGTTAGAATTAACAAGTGACTTTAGCAAGGTCATAAGATGCAGGGCAAATATACAAAAAAATCAATTGTATTTCTACATAGTGGCAATGAACATTGGAATTCCAATTTTTGTTAGGCTGATGCAAAAGTAATTGATGTTTTTGCCATGACTTTCAATGGCAAAAACTACAATCGCTTTTGCACCAACCTAATAAAAGCAATACTGCAGTCAGGCACAGTGGCTCATGCCTTCAATCCCAGCACTGAGGGAGGCCAAGGCGGGAGGATCACTTGAATCCAGGAGTTGAAGACTGTAGTGAGCTATGATCACACCACTGCACTCCAGCCCAGGTGACAGAGTGAGACCCTATCTCAAAAAAAAAAAAAAGCAATACCATTTACAACAGCACCCCCAAAATATGTGCAGGATCTGTATGTTGAAAACTACAAAATACTGACAAAAGAAATCAAAGAAGAACTAAATAAATGGAAAGATATGCCATGTTTATGGATTAAAAGAATCAAATATTAAGATGACAATTCCCCCCAAATTGATCTGTAGATTCATTGCAACCCCAATCAAAATCTCCATATACTTTTTATTATCACTAACAACGAATTGATTCTAAAATGTATATGAGAAAGGCACAAGATCTAGAATAGCCAAAACAATTTCAAAAAGTAGAAATAATGTTAAAGAACTCAAACCACCCAATTTCAAGACTTACTCTAAAGCTACAGTAATCAAGACAGTGTGGAGCTGGGTGCTGTGCCTTGCACCTGTAATCCCAGCTACTTAAAAGGCTAAGGCAAGAGGATCACTTGAGCTTGAGAGTTCAAGGCTGCAATGAGTGAGCTGATTGTGCTACTACACTCTGGCATGGGCAACAAAGCAAGACCCTGTCTCAAAAAAAAAAAAAATATATATATATATGGTATTGGCAAAAAGATAGACATGTAGATCAGTGAAACAGAACAGAGTCTAGAAATAGACCCAGACAAATAGAGTCAGCTGATTTTTGACAAATGTGCAAAGGCAATTCAATGGAGAAAAGATAGTCATTTCAACAAACGGTTCTAGAATAATGAACCTCAACCCATACCTCACGCCTTATACAAAAATTAACTCAACACTCCTAGATATATACCCAAGATAATTAAAAGCATATGTGTACTCAAAAACATGTACATGAATATTCATAGATTATTCATAATAGCCAAAAAGTGGAAACAACCCAAATGTCCATCAAATGATAAATGGATAAGTAAAATTGATATATCCATAAAATGAAATACTTTTCAGCCATAAAAAGTCATGAAGTACTGATACATGCTACATAATGGATGAACCTTGAAAATATTATGCTAAGTGAAAGAATCTACAGAGACAAAAAGTAGATTAATAGTTGCTTAGGGCTGAGGGGAGGAGAAACTAGGAATTCCAGCAAATAAGCATGGGAATAAAATGCCCTAGAATTAGATAGTGGTGATTGTTGCACAACTTTGTGAATATACTAAAGATCACTGAATTATGTAATTTAAAGGAGTGAATATTATGGTATGTGAATTATATCTCAATAAAACAAATATATATACAGATATAATTAATTCTAGATGGATCATAGGCTGGATGCAGTGGCTCACGCCTACAATCCCAAAAATTTAGGAGGTGGAGGTAGGAGAATCACTTGAGGCCAGGAGTTTGAGACCAGCCTGGGCAACAAAGCCAAACCCTGTCTCTAAAAAAATTAAAAATTAGCCAGGTGTGGTGGTATGTGTCTGTAGTCCAGCTACCTTGGGAGGCTGAGGTGGGAGGATCCTTTGAGCCCAGGAGCTTGAGGCTGAAATGAGCAATGACCACACTTTTGCATTCCAGCCTGGTTGCCTGGGTGATAGAGCGAGACCCTGTCTCAAAAAAAAAACAGAAAAACAAACAAACAAAAAAAAGGATCATACACCTAAATGTACGATGTAAAACTACAGTACTTCTAGAAGAAATACAGGAGAAAATAATCATGACCCTAAGCATGATCCAAAAAAGCATTATCCATAAAAGAAAAAATGACAATTTTAACTTTACTACAATTAAAAAATTTTGCTTTGCAAATGACACTGTTAAAAGAATACAAAAGCAAACCATAGATTGCAAGAAAATATTTGCAAATCATATTTCTGACAAACGCATATAAAATGTATAAAAAATGCTCAAAATTCAACAATAAGAAAACAAGCAACCCTTTTTTTTTTTTTTTTTTTTTTGAGACGGAGTTTTGCTCTTTTTTGCGCAGGCTAGAGTGCAATGGTGCAATCTTGCAGGCTGAGGCAGGTTTAAGCAATTCTCCTGCCTCAGCCTCCCAAGTAGCTGGGATTACAGGTGCACACCACCATGCCCGGCTAATTTTTTGTATTTTTATTAGAGATGGGGTTTCACCATGTTGGCCAGGCTGGTCTCGAACTCCTGACCTCTGGTGATCTGCCCGCCTTGGCCTCCCAAAGTGCTGGGATTACAGGCATGAGCCACCGTGCCTGGCCGCAACCCAATTTTTTAAATGGCAAAAGTTCTGAACACACACTTCACCAAAGAAAATATATGGAGGGCTAATAAGCACATGAAAAGATGCTCAACACAATTAGTCATTAGGGACATGCAAATTAAAACCACCATGAGATACTAAAAAAACAAATGAACAAACAAAACCTGACAATATCAAGTACTACCAAAGTGTGGAGCAATTGGAAACCTCAAATATTGCTGGTGGAAACCTCAAATAGTGCTGGTGGAAATGCAAAATGGTACAGCCACTTTGGAAAACAATTTGGCAGTTTCTTAAAAATTAAACATACACATACAATATGAACTAACAATTCCACTCCTACGTACTTGGCCAAGAGAAATGAAAACCTATGTTTATAAAAATAAATAATTTTTAAGAGCTTTATTTATAAATACCAAAAACTGGGAGTAACCCAGAGGTCTTTCAGCTGGCAAATGGATAAACATTATATAGTGCAACCATACAATTAAACACTGCTCAGCAATAAAAGGAACAAACTATCGATTCATACAACATGTATGATTAATCTTAAATGCATTTTGCTATGTGAAAGAAGTCAGAGCCAGAAGGCTACACAGGAAAACAGGTACATCCAGGGGTTAGAATTGGAGAGAGGTTGATTGCAAGGGGAAAACACGGAACAAGGGAATTTTGGAGTAATGGATTGTTCTAAGTCAAGACTGGTGGTGGAGGTACAACTCTGTGAATTTCACATACCTGTAGAAGAGTACACAACAAAGAATAAAATTTACTGTATGTAAATTTTGAAAAATCGACCAGGATGTGGGGAAAACTCAAAATGAAATACAAATTACAACAAAAAAATTACATGTTGGTTGGTTGGTTAGTTGGTTTTGAGACAGGGTCTCACTCTGCTGCCCAGGTTAGAGTGCAGTGGCATGATACAGTTCACTTCAGCCTCAAATGCCTGGGCTCAAGCAATCCTCCTGCCTCAGCCTCCAGAGTAGATGAGACTACAGGTATGCACCACCATGCTCAGCTAATTTTTTTATTTTTAATTTCTTTTTTGTAGAGATGGGGTCTCACCATGTTGCGCAGGCTGGTCTCCAACTCCTGGCCTCAAGTGAGCCTACTACCTCAGCCTCCCAAAGTGCTGGTATTATAAGCATGAGTGACAGTGCCTGGCCAAAAAATAAACATTGTTTCCATAGAAAAATTATATCATGTGTGGTTTAAAATATATGTAGAACTAATATACATGAAAACGATAAACATGAAACTAATATACACGAAAGCATAAAAAATTGGCAGTGGGCCGGGCGTGGTGGCTTACATCTGTAATCCCAGCACTTTGGGAGGCTGAGGCAGGCGGATCACGAGGTCAGGAGATAGAGACCATCCTGGCCAACATGGTGAAACCCTGTCTCTACTAAAATACAAAAAATTAGCAGGGCATGGTGGCGCACACCTGTAGACCCAGCTACTCAGGAGGATGAGGCAGGGGAATCACTTGAACCCAGGAGGCGGAGTTTGCAGTGAACCAAGATTGACCACTGCACTCCAGCCTGGTGACAGAGCAAGACTCTGTCTCAAAAAAAAAAAAAAAATTGGTGGTGGTAAATAAAGCTAAAGTATTCCAAAAGTATTCCAAGGTGCTTGCATAGAATGAGAAGTGGTAAAAGTACTATTTCGTATTGGGCTTTAATAAATCAAAGATGTATATTGAGTGCTCCATGGCAACTACTAAAATAATTCTAAGAGAATGTATATTAAGATACTAGAAGAACAACAAGAAAAATACTTGTTATTAGTTATACAAATTTCTGTAGCCTCCTTAAATTCCTCTCTGAAAATAGGCTTTTCTTTTCTGCCAGATGACCAGGCTTCAAATTTTCCAAACTTTTACTCTCTGTTTCCCTTTTAAATATGCTTCAGTTTTAGGTCATTTCTTTGCTCATGCATATGAGCTTAGGTTGTTAGAAGCAGCAGGTCAAATCTTATATGCTATACTGCTTAGACATTTCTTCCACCAGCTACACTAAATCATCACTCCCAAGTTCAAAGTTCCAAAGATCCCTAGGGCAGGGGCACAATGCCTCCAAGTTCTTTGCTAATCCATAACAAAAGCAACTTTTGTTCCACTTCCCAATAAGTTCCTTATTTCCATATGAGACCTCCTCAGCCTGGACTTCATTGTCTATAGCACTAACAGCATTCTGCTCATAACCATTCAACAAGTCTCTAGGAAGTTCCAAATTTTCCCTAATGTTCCTTTCTCCTTCTGAGACTTCCAAACTGTTCCTGCCTCTGCCTGTTAACCAGTTCCAAAGCTGTTTCCACATTTTCAGGTATCTTTATAGCAATATCCCCATTCTGGTACCAATTTTCCGTATTAGTCCATTCTCACATTGCTACAAGAAAATACCTGAGACTGGGTGTTTTATGAAGAAAAGGTTTAACTGATTCATGGTTCTGCAGGCTGTACAGAAAGCATAATTCTGGCATCTACTCAGCTTCTGGGGAGGCCTCAGGAAACTAACAATCCAAGTAGAAGGTGAAGGGGAAACAGGTTCCTCTTACATTGCCAGAGCAGGAGGAAGAAAGAGACAGGAGAGGTGCTACACACTTTGAAACAACCAGATCTCATGAACTCTATCACAAGAATGGCACTAGGGGGATGGTGCTAAACCATTCGTGAGAAACTGCCCCCATCATCCAATTGCCTCCCACCAGGCCCCACCTCCTGCACTGGGGGTTACAATTTGACATGACATTTGGGATCCAAACCATGTCAGTACCCTTTACCTAACTTCCCCAAATGGTAACATCTTGCAAAACTATACCATGAATGAATGCGAAATTTTATCAAAAGCTTTTTCTTCATCAAATTCCTGTCACCAAGAATTATAAGATTATGATTTTCTTCTTTATCTTGTTAATATGGTAGATCACATTGATTAATTGATTTTCAAATATTAAAACAACTTTGCATCCCTGAGGAAAAAAACATATGTGATTGTGGTATATAATTATTTTTCTATATTGCTGTATTCTTTTTCTTATCTTTTCTTTAATTTTTTTTAGAGATGGGGTCTTGCTATGTTGACCAGCCTAGTCTCAAACTCCTGGCCTCAACTGATCCTCCCATCTTGGCCTCCCAAAGTGCTAGGATTACAGGCATAAGCCACCATGCCCAGCCTATATATTGCTGTAATCTATTTGCTAATTTTTTATTTTTATTTTATTTATTTTTTGAGACAGGGTCTCACTCTGTTGCCCGTGCTGGAGTGCAGTGGTGCGATCTCGGCTCACTGCAACCTTCCCCTCCTGGGTTCAAGTGATTCTCCTGTCTCAGCCTCCTGAGTAGCTGGAATTACAGGCACAATCCACCACGCCAGCTAATTTTTATATTTTTAGTAGAGACGGGGTTTCACCATATTGGCCAGGCTGGTCTCAAACTCCTGACCTCAGGTGATCTGCTTACCTCAGCCTCCCAAAGTGCTGGGATTACAGGCATGAGCCACCATGCCCAGCCACTATTTGCTAATTTTTAAAAGTTTATTTGCATTGATAATTATGAGGAATACTGGTCTGTAGTTTTCTTTCTTTGTACTCTCTTTATCTAGTTTTAGTAACAGGATAATACCAGCCTCATGAAATGAACTGAAAAATTTTCCCTCCTCCTCTATTTTTCTGGAAGAGATTGTTTAGAATTAATGTTATTTAAAGTTTTGTAGAATTCTCCAGTGAAACCATCTGAATCTGGAGATTTCTTATTTGGGATTTTAAAAAATTATAAATTCAACCATACCAATAGTTATAAGACTTCAAATTAATTCCTTCATATTGGGTGAGTTATGGTCATTGTTTTCCTCCAAATTGATTCATTTCATCTAAGTTACACATGCTCTCTTGTGATTAATGTATGCATGATACATCATTTTCTAGCCTTTTACGGTAAACCTGACTATATCATTATATTTGAAAGGAGTTTTTGTATACAGCACATAGTTGCCTAATATTTTAAAATCTGTTTAGCCAATCTCTGTCTTTTAATTATATCTAGACCATTTATATATAATGTAATTATTGATATGTTTAGGACTTAAGTCTGCCACTTTATTTTTCATTTGTTCTTTCTATTTTTTATCTCTTTTCTGTCTTGCCTTCCTGCAGTTACTTGACTTTTTGAAAAGAAGTTCCTTTTTAACTTAACTATAGGGTGTTTGAGAGTAACTCTTTGTATAGCTTTTTTAGTGGCTGCTCTAGGTATTACATTATATATACATAACTTGCTACAGTCTGCTTATGTTGTCATTGTACCAGTTCAAGTGAAGTATAGAGACTTACCTCCCTTTATGTTCCTTTTCTCTCCCCTGTTTACAACAAAGTTGTTTTAAATAATTCCTTTATATACATCAGAACCACTAAGATGGTGTTATAATTTTTACTTTAATCATCAAACATTATTTTGAAAATTTGGCCTGGCACAGTGGCTCATGCCCGTAATCCCAGCACTTTGGGAGGGATTGCTTGAGTCTAGGAGTTTGAGACCAGCCTGGGAAACATGGCAAAACCCTGTCTCTACAAAGAATACAAAAATAAAAATTAGTCAGGCATGGCAGTGCACACCTGTAGTCCCAGCTACTCAGGAAGGTGAGGTGGGAGGATTGATTGACCTCAGGAGGTCGAGGCTGCAGTAAGCCGTGATTGCATCGCTGCACTCCAACCTGGGCAACAAAGCAAGATCCTGTCTTGAAAAAGAAATAAGAAAGAGAGAGAGAGAGGGAAGGAAGGAAAGAAGGAAAGAAGGAAGGAAGAAAGGGAGGAAAGAAGGAAAGAAGGAAGGAAGAAAGGGAGGAAGGAAGGAAGGGAAGATTTTAAAAAGAGGAGGAAAGCCTATTATATTTTTACATATTTTTGCTTACTGTGTTATTTCTTCCTTCCCAATGTTCCAATTTTCTTCAGTTTATTATTTCCTTTCTGTTTAAAGAAATTCCTTTAGCTATTTTTTTAGAATAGTTCTGCTAGTGACAAATTATCTTACTTTTTTTTTTTTTTTTTTTGAGACAGGATCTTGCTGTGTCACTCAGGCTGGAGTGCAGTGGCACAATAACAGCTCACTGCAGCCTCCAACTCCTAGGCTCAATCGATCCTCCTGCCTCAGCCTCCTGAGCAGCTGGTACTACAGGCATGCACCACCATACCCAGCTAATTTTTCTATTTTTTTTAGAGACAGGGTCTCACTATGTTGCCCAGGCTGGCATCAAATTCTTGGGCTCAAGTGATCCCTGCTTCAGCTGCCCAAAGTGCTGGGATTACAGGTGTGAGCCACCATGCCTGGCCTCTTACTTTTCCATCATCAGCAATTGTCTTGACTTTTTCCTTCATTCCAGAATATTTTTGCTGAGAATAGCATTCTGAGTTGGCAGTTATTTACTTGCAGCTCTTGGAAATATTATGCTACTCCTTTTTGGCCACTGTGGCTTTCTTTTTTTCTTTCTTAGCTTTATGGGGTATAACTGACAAATAAAAATTATATAATTTAAGGCATACAATATGATGTTTTGATATATGTACACATTGTGAAATTATTACCACAATCTTACTAAGTAACATATCTATCACCTCACATAGTTACCTTTCTATGTGTGTAGTAGGAATACTTACAATCTACTCGCTCAACAAATTTCAAGTATAAAAGATTTATGTATGTATGTATGTATGTATGTATTTGTTGAGACAGAGTCTCGCTCTGTTGCCCAGGCTGGAGTGTAGTGGTGTGATCTCAGCTCACTGCAACCTCCACTTCTTGGGTTCAAGAGATTCTCCTGCCTCAGCCTCCCAAGTAGCTGGGATTACAGGTGCCTGCCATCATGCCCAGCTAATTTTTGTATTTTTAGTAGAGATGGGGTTTCACCATGTTGGCCAGGCTGGTCTCAAACTCCTGACCTCAAGTGATCTGCTCACCTCGGCCTCCCGAAGTGCTGGGATTATAGGTATGAGCCACCACACCTGGCCACAAGACATTATTTAATAACCATGATATATGTTAGGTCTCCAGAACTTGTTTGCTATGATCTGAACCTCTGTCATCTCCAAAACTTATGTTGAAATTTAATTTCTATTGTAACCATATTAAGAAATGGGGGCCGGGAGCAGTGGCTCATGCCTGTAATCCCAGCACTTTGGGAGGCTAAGACAGGCGGATCACGAGGTCAAGAGATCAAGACCATCCTGGCTAACACGGTGAAACCCCGTCTCTTCTAAAAGTACAAAAAAAAAAAAAATTAGCCAGGTGTGGTGGCGGGCACCTGTAGTCCCAGCTACTTGGGAGGCTGAGATAGGAGAATGGCGTGAACCCGAGAGATGGAGCTTGCAGTGAGCCGAGATAGTGCCACTGCACTCCAGCCTGGGTGAAACAGCGAGACTCCGTCTCAAAAAAAAAAAAAAAAAAAAAAAAAAAAAAAGACGTGGGATGTGTGGGATGTTGGGCCAGGTGTGGTGGCTCACACCTAGAATCCCAGCACTTTGGGAGGCCAAGGCAGATGGATCATTTGAGCTCATGAGTTTGAGACCAGCCTGGCCAGCATGGCGAAACTCTGCCTCTGCAAAAAATACAAAAATTAGCCAGGAGTGGTGGTGTGCACCTGTAGTCCCAGCTACTAGGGAGGCTGAGGTGGGAGGATGGCTTGAACCCTGGAGTTTGAGGCTGCAGTGAGCTATGACTGTGCTGCTGTACTCCTGCCTGGGAGACAGAGCAAGACCCTGTCTCAAAAAAATAAAAATATAAAATAATGTTTTAAAACTTCCCTCTAAGAACTGCTTTTGCTTCATCTCATAAGTTTTGGCATGTTATGTTTCCATTTTCATTTGTCTCAAGATATTTTAAATTTCCCTTTGATTTCTTCTTTGACCCATTGGTTGTTGAAGAATGTGTTGTTTAATTTCCACATCTTTGTGAATTTTTCAGTTTTCTTCCTGTTATTAATTACTACTTTCATATCACTGTGGTCATAAAAAATGTTTTATATGATTCCTATCTTCTTAAATTTGTTAAGATTTGTTTTGTGAGACTAGGTATGGTAGCACATGCCTGTAATCCTAGCACTTTGAGAGGCTGAGGCAGGAGGACTGTTTGAGCCCATGTGTTCAAAACCAGTCTGAGTAACACAGAGAGACCTTGTCTCTACAAAAAAATTAAAATAATATTGGCCAGGCACAGTGGCATGTGCCTGTAGTCTTAGCCACTCAAAAGGCTGAGGTGGGGAGATTACTTGAGCCCAGAAGGTTGAGGCTGCAGTGAACTATGATCGTGCCACTGCACTCCAGCCTGGGTGACAGAGTGAGACTGTCTCAAAAAAGAAAAAGAAAAAAAAAAAAAGGAAAAGAAAAGAAGAGGCTTGTTTGTGGCCTAACATATCATCTATCCTGGAGAATGCTCCATGTGCACTTGAGAAGAATGTGTATGCTGCTACTGTTGGATAGAAGGTTCTGAATATGTCTATGAGGTTGATCTGGTCTAAAGTGTGGTTCAAGTCCAATGTTTCCTTATTGATTTTCTGTCTGGATGTTCTATCCATTGTTGAAAGTGGGGCATTGAAGTCCACTATTAATATTGTGTTGCTGTCTGTTTCCCCCTTTAGATCTGTTAATATTTGCTTATATATTTAGGTACTCCACTGTTGGCTGCATATATATGTTTATAACCATTATATCTTCATCATAAATTGACCCATTTATCATTATATAATGACCTTTGCCTCTTGATACAGCTTTTGATGTAAAGTCGATTTATGTCTACCCCACCCTCTTTTGGTTTCTATTTACATGGAATATCTTTTTCATCCCTTCACTTTCAATCTGTGTGTGTCCTTAAAGGTGAAGTGAATTTCTTGTAGGCTGCCTAGAGTTGAGTTATCTTTCTTTATTCATTCAGTTCCTCTATGTCTTTTGATTGGAGAATTTAATTCATTTACATTTAAAATAATTATTGATAGATAAGTGACTATGGCTATGTTATTAATTGTTTTCTGGCTATTTTGTAGATTCTTTGTTCTTTTCTTGCTCTTTTGTTGTCTTCCTTGGTGATTTGATAATTTTCTGTAGTGTTACGCTTTGATTCCTTTCTCTTCATTGTTTGTGTATCTACTATAGGTTTTTGCTTTTTGGCTGCTATAAGACTTACATAAAATCTTATAGCTATTACAGTTTATGTTAACATGATAACAACACCATTTCAATCACATATAGAAACTCCACACTTTACTTCCAACCCCTATATTTTAAGTTCCTGATGTCACAATTTACATCTTTTTATATTCTGTATTCATTAACAAAATATTAAAGCTATAGCTTGTTTTCATTTTTGTTTTGAGACAGGGTCTCACTCTATCACTCAGGCTGGGATTCAGTGGCATGATCACAGCTCACCACAGCCTTGACCTCCTGGGCTCAAGCAACCCTCCCACTTCAGCCTCCTGAGTAGCTGGGATTACAGGTGCACACCACCATGCCTGGCTAATTTTTAAATTTTTTGTAGAGACAGGGTCTTGCTATGTTGCCCAGGCTGGTCTCGAATTCTTGGCCTCAAGCAATCCTCCTGCCTTGACTTCTCAAAGTGCTGGGATTATAAGCATGAGCTACCATGCCCAGCTATAGTTATTTTTAATATTTTTGTCTTTTGACCTTTATACTAGAGTTATAAGTAATTTATACACCATCATTACAATATTAGGGTAATCTGAATTAACTATATACTTAATTATACCAGTGAGTTTTATACTTTCATGTTTTCATGTTATTAATATGCATCTTTTCATTTTAGCTTGAAGAACTCCCTTTAGCATTTTTTGTAAGGCAGGTCTGGTAGTAATAAACTCCCTCAGCTTTTGCTTGAAAAAGTCTTTATGTCTCCTTCATTTCTGAAGTATAGTTTTACCAGGTAAAGTATTCTTGGTTGGCAATTTTTAATATATTATTCCACTTTCTCCTGGCCTGCCAGGTATCTCTTGAGAAATCTGCTGGTAGATGCTCATAGATAACTACATTGATGTACGTATCTCTCCCCAGATTTGTGAAGTTTTCAGCCTTATTTTATTACCTAATCTTTCTATATCTTTCTCTCTGTGTTCACCTTATGAGACTCCCATAATGTGAATGTTAGATCTTTTGATGGTGTCCCATAATTTCTATGGATTTCTTCATTCTTTCTCATTGTATTTTCTTTTTTCTCCTCTGACTGGATATTTTCAAATGACCTATCTTCAAGTTCACAGATTTATTTATGCTGCTTGATCAAGTCTGCTGTAGATGCTCTCTATTGCATTTTTTATTTACTGTATTCTTCAGCCTCAGAATTTCTGTTTGGTTTATTTTATGATTTCTATTTCTTTATTGAACTTCTAATTTTGTTCTTATATTGTTTTTCTGATTTCATTGAGTTGTCTGTGTTCTCTTGCATCTCACTGAGCTTTCTTTTTTTTTTTTTTTTTTTTTGAGACGGAGTCTCGCTCTGTTGCCCAGGCTGGAGTGCAGTGGCACGATCTCGGCTCACTGCAAGCTCTGCCTCCCGGGTTCACGCACTGAGCTTTCTTAAAACAATTAAATTATTTGTCTAGCAATTCGCAGATCTCCATTTCTTTGAGGTTGGTTACTGGAATATTATTGTGTTCTTTGGCAGTGTTACGTTTCCTTGATTTTTCATGTTCCCTGAAGTCTTGCACTGTTGTGGTATCTTCACATTTGAAAAAGCCTCCACTCTACCGGCTGGCTTTGGGAGAGAAATGACTTCACTCATGTGTTTCCTCCACATCTCTTGTTCCCTCTTAGGAGTGGCAAAATTCTTAAGATTGTATGCTTTCTCTATATTTTGCAAAGCTAGCCAAGACTCTGAGGTTCTCTCTTTTGTTTTCCTTAGGTCAGTGCCCTGAAATGCTCAAGTTCATGTCCCTTCTCCCAATCCCACAGATTTGAGCTGGCTGTTTACATGAGATATTTGCACCTGCTGTCTGCAGGGGCATGCCCAGGAATCCAGGTTGGGGGAAGAGTTGCAGAGCATTTGGAGTGCCCACAAGCCCAGTGGGGACCACAGGCAAGGCATCCCAAGTGGGTTCATGTGGAAGCTTCTTGACAAGGTCCATAGTGTTTAGTGGAGTCCCCAGACTCTCCTTCCTATTCCTAGCCTCTGCCACCCACTTAGTTTTGCTGATCACCTCTGTATCCTGGGTTGTGCAAAAAAGAAGTGAGCAGCATCCTACATGGCTGTGGGAACCAAATGCTCACTCACTACACTCTCACTTTTCCCTACTGACAAAATCACAGGCCTATGGGGGTCTCTCTTGGGACTGAGCTGTGCTACCTTGTGGGAGGGGTGACATGAATCTAATACAACTGTTCTTCCTACCCTTCTGAATGAGTCTATTATTGGATTTGTTGCTCAGTGGTGTGTTGGAACGTGTCCATTGGATTTCTGAACTCCCACAAAGGTATTCTCATTGTGGATGGAGACAAATTGCAAAAAAACCCCTATTTTGCCATCTTGCTGACATCGCTCTACCTCCATGGTTTCTAATGAGAAACCAAGTGTATTAGTCTGTTCTCATGCTGCGAATAAAGACATACCCGAGGCTGGGTAATTTATAAAGGAAAGAGGTTTAATGGATTCACAGTTCCACATGGCTGGGGAGGCCTAACAATCATGGCAGAGGGCAAAGGAAGAGTAAAGTCACATCTTACATGGTGTCAGGCAAGAGCATATGTGCAGGGGAACTCCCATTTATAAAACCATCAGATTTCGCGAGACTTATTCACTATCACAAAAACAGTATGGGGAAACTCACTTAATTATCTCCACCTGGCCATACCCTTGACACATGGGTATTACTACAATTCAAGGTGAGATTTGAGTTGGGACACAGAGCCAAACCATATCACCAGCTACTATTCTAATTGTTTTCTCATATAGTTAAGGTGATGTTTTTTGTTTTTTTTTAATCTGTCTACTTTCAAGATTTTTTACATTTTCTTTAGTTTTCAGTAGTTTACTTATCATGTATCTTAACATGGATTTCTTTGGGTTTACCCTATTTGGATTTCACCCAGCTTCTTGAATTGTAGGTTTATGTCTTTCAACAAATAGTGATGGAAAGGTTTCCACCATTATTTCTTTTCAAACTTTTTTAGGCCCACTCTCTTTCTCCTTTCCTTACTGGATTCTGGTATCCTGAATGTTAGGTATTTTGTGATATACCTACATGTCCCTGAAGCTCTGCTCATTTTTGATTTTTTAGTCTATTTTATTTGTGTTGTTCAGATTGGGTAATCTCCATATTTCCATATTCTAGTTTGCTGATTCTTTTCTCTTGATTCCATTCCACTTTCCTTCAATCCCATCCACTTGACTTTTTATTTTAGTTATTGTATTTTTGTTATAATATTTTCATTTGTTTTTTCCTTTTATATCCTATTTCTTGACTGAGGCTTTCTAGTTTGTCATTTGTTTCAGGAATGTTTGTTTTGTTTTGTTTGAGACAGGTTCTCACTCTGTCACCCAGGCTAGAGTACAGTGGCGTGATCTCAGCTCACTGCAGCCTCCACCTTCTGGGTAGATGGGAGGCAGAGATGCTAAAATTATCTGACAGATTTGAAAGCAGCCATGATAAACATGCTTCCATAAGCAATTACAAACATTCCTGAAACAGGCTGGGCGTGGTGTAATCCCAGCTGTTTGGGAGGCTGAGGCAGGCGGACCACTTGAGGCCAGAAGTTTGAGAACAGCCTGGCCAATATGGCAAAACCCCACTTCTACTAAAAATACAAAAAAAAAAAATTAGCTGGGTGTGGTGGTGCACGCCTGTAGTCCCAGCTACTTGGGAGGCTGAAGCCTCTACTTCTATGGTTTCTGATGAGAAAACAACTGTATTAATCTGTTCTCACACTGCTAATAAAGACAAACCTGAGACTGGGTAATTTATAAAGGAAAGAGGTTTATAAAGGAGGCCTCAGCCTCCCAAGTAGCTGGGAGGTGTGCACCACCACTTCCGGCTTTTTTTTTTTTTTTTTTGGTATTTTTAGTAGAGATAGGGTTTCGGCATATGGGCCAGGCTGTTCTCAAACTCCTGGCCTCAAGTGGTCCACCTGCCTCAGCCTCCCAAACAGCTGGGATTACACTGTGCCCAGCCTGTTTCAGGAATGTTTGTAATTGCTTATGGAAGCATGTTTATCATGGCTGCTTTCAAATCTGTCAGATAATTTTAGCATCTCTGCCTCTTGGTGTGGATATTTATTGATTGTTGCAATGGTTAATATTGAGTGTCAATTTGATTGGATTGAAGGATGAAAAGTATTGTTCCCAGGTGTGTCTGTGAGGGTGTTGCCAAAGGAGATTAACATTTGAGTCAGTGGAGTGGGAAAGGCAGACCCACCCCCAAACTGGGTGGGCACAATCTAATCAGCTGCCAGCATGGCCAGAATAAAAGCAGGCAGAAGAATGTGGAAAAAGTAGACTGGTTTAGTCTTCTGGCCTACATCTTTCTCCCATGTTGGATGCTTCCTGCCCTCGAACATTGGAGTCCAAGTTCTTCAGCTTTGGGACTTGGAGTGGCTTCCTTGCTCCTTGGCTTGCAGATGGCCTATTGTGGGATCTCACCTTCTGATTGTGTGAGTCAATACTCCTTAATAAACTCCCCTTTATATATACATCTATCCTATTAGTTCTGTCCCTCTAGAGAACCCTGGCTAAAACAATTGTCTTTTTAAATTCAGTTTGACATCTTCCTAGTTTTTGAGAATACTTTTTAGTTTTTTTATTAAAACCTGAACATTTCATATTATGTTATGAGACTATGGGACTTTTTTAAACCTTCTGTTTTAACAGACTTTTTCTGACACTGCTCTGGTTGGGGGAGAGAGGAACACCATGTCATTATTGCTAGGTGCAGGTAGTAGTCTAGTTTCTCCACTCAGAATCCATGATACCTGAAGATGAGAGCTCCTCATTATTTACAGGCAGGGGTGGGACTTCCAGCTTCTCACATGGTCTCCACTAGACTGCAGGAAGGTACTGCATTACCAGCTGATGAAAATGAAAGTCCTTGCTCCTTACTTAGCATTTTCTGATATCATTCTGGTAGGGTTTTGGAGTACTTTATTACAGACTTCCAAGGATTAAATATAAGCTCCTCACTTAGCCTTTGCTACTG
Source organism: Homo sapiens (assembly GCF_000001405.40). Lineage (NCBI taxonomy): Eukaryota > Metazoa > Chordata > Mammalia > Primates > Hominidae > Homo > Homo sapiens. Next base: position 75,310,532 of record NC_000010.11, on the reverse strand, counting down.
GGAGTGGAGCCCTATGTTTTCTGTGGTGTTTAGCTAGAGTAGAATGATTATTGTCTGAAAGTTTCCTATCTTGCTAGGCTACCCTTTTCCTGATCCTTTGACTGGAAAGAGTAGGCTTTTGTTGAGGTTTTATTTTGTTTTGTTTTTAGTCTACGCTCTTTGGCAATTCTGAGTTGCCAGCTTCTTTAGCTCCCAGCCTGGGATATATAAGACAAACGTAGAGAGCTCACCAGATCATTTCTCAGGTCCCAAACGTCCCTTGAGTCCATTGAGTGTCTTTCTTCTTTTATCCACCCTTCAGAGTTTTCTAATATTTGTTTATATATAATGACCATGGTTTTTAACTATACTTAGAGAAAAGTAAGCCTACTTCGTATTCCTCTAAGTGGAAGTTCTAGAATATAGATCTAAAGTACAAAATGCTCTTGATCTAATGGACATATTTTAGAGCACTGTATTCATAAATTTCAGAATTCATTTTCTTTTCAAGATGGACTATAAGACAACTCCCAGGAAATTTTAAAGTATAAAAATCATATGGAATGTGTCCTTTCACCATGATGGAATTAAGCTAAAAATCAGTAACAAAAAGATAACCAGTACCTTACCTAACACTATATACAAAAGTTAACTCGAAATGAATTAAAGACCTAGACAAAAGTTAAAACTATAAACTCTTAGAGGAAAAGATAGAACAAAAGCTTCATGACATTATATTTGGCAATTAGTTATTAGATATGACACCAAAGACATAGGCAACAAAATAAAAAATATAGTCATCTCTCAGAGATAATGCGAGTTCAGTTCCAGACCACCATGATAAAGTGAACATCACAGTAAAGCAAGACATTAATTTTCTGTTTCCCAGACATATAAAAGTTATATTCAAATTATACTGTAGTTTATTAAGTGTGCAATAGCATTATGTCTTAAAAACAATGTACATACCTTAACTTAAAAACACTTTATTGCTAAAAAATGTTAATGATCTTCTGAGCCTTCAATGAATCATCATCTTTTTGTTGGTGGAGGGTCTTGCCTCAATGTTGATGGCTGGTGACTGATCAAGGTAGTGGTTGTTGAAGGATGCAGTGGCTGTGGCAATTTCTTAAAATAAGATAATAATGAAGTTTGCTGCATCAATTGACTCTTCCATTCACAAAAGATTTATCTGTAGCATGTAATGCTGTTTGATAGCATTCACCCACAGTAAAACTTCTTACAGAGTTAGAGTCAATTCTCTCTAAACCTGCTGCTGATTTATCAACTAAGTTTACGAAATTTTCTGAATGCTTTGTTGTCATTTCAACAATGTTCACAGCATCTTCACTGAGAGTAGTTTCCATCTCAAGAAACCACTTCCTTTGCTCATCCATAAGAAGCAACTACTCAGCCAGGCATGGTGGCTCATGCCTGTAATCCCAACACTGAGCGGCTGAGGCAGGCGGATCACTTGAACTCAGGAGTTTGAGACCAGCCTAGGCAACATGGTGAAACAGCATCTCTACCAAAAATGCAAAAAAATTAGCCAGGTGTGGTGGCATGCACCTGTGGTCCCAGCTACTCAAGAGGCTGAGGTGGGAGGATCACTTGAGCCCAGGAAGCAGAGGTTGCAGTAAGCCAAGATCACACCACTGCACTCTGGCCTGGGTGACGGAGTGAGACCCCCATCTCAAAAAAGAAAAAGAAAGAAAGAAGCAACTACTTATCTTATCTGTTCAAGTTTTATGATGAGATTGCAGCAATTCAGTCATATGTTCGGGCTCCACTTCTAATTCTAGTTCTCTTGCTATTTCTACCACATCTGCAGTTACTTCCTCCACTGATGTCTTGACAACCTCAAAGTCATTTATGAGATCAGATGAGGGTTGAAATCAACTTCTTCCAAACTCCTGTTAATGCTGATATTTTTACCTCCTCCTATGAATCACAAATGCTCTTAATGGCATCTAGAATGATGAATCCTTGACAGAAGATTTTCACTTACTTTGCCCAGATCCATCAGAAAAATCACTATCTCTGGCAGCTATAGCATCTCAAAATGTATTTCTTGACTATTAAGACTTGAAAGTTGAAATTGCTCCTTAATTCATTGGCTAAAGAATGGTTGTTGTGTTAGCAGGTATGGAAATATTAGTCTCTTTGTACATCTCCATCAGAGTTCTTGAGTAACTAGGTGCATTGTCAATGGGCAGTGATATTTTAAAAGAAATCTTTTTTTCTGAGCAGTAGGTCTCAATAGTGGGCTTAAAATATTCAGTAAACTATGCTGTAAACAGATGTGCTGTCTTGCAATTTTTCCATATAATGAAAGTAAAGGCAAAAAAAAAAAAAAAAGATGTATTGTCACCCAGGATTTGTTTTTCCATTTAAAGAGCACAGGCAGAGTAGATTTAACATAAGTCATTTTTATCATTGCCTCTCTTCAGCATAGCATAACTCCTTTGTTTAAAGACAAGGGTCTTGCTATGTTGCCCACACTGGAGTGAAGTGGCATTATCATAGTTCACTGCAGCCCCTTAACTCCTAGGCTCAAGTGATCCTCCTGCCTCAGCCTCCCAAGTAGTTGGAACTACAGGCATGTGCCATCATATCTGGCTCATTTTTTTATTTTTTTGTAGAGATGGGGTCTTGCTATGTTTCCCAGGCTGGTCTTGAACTCCTGACCTCAAGTGATCCTCCCGCCTCGGCCTCCCAAAGTGCTGGGATTATAGGCATGGTCCCACCATGCCTGGCCTACCATAATTCTTAAGGGCCCTAGGATTTTCAGAAAGGTAAATGAATATTGGCTTCAATTTAAAGTCACCAGCTGCATTAGTCCCTAATGAGAGAGTCAGCCTGCCTTTCCTTTGAAGCTTTGAAGCCAGACGTTGACTTCTCTATCTATGAAAGTCCTAAATGACATCTTCTTCCATTAGAAGGCTGTTTCATCTATGTTGAAAATCTGTTGTTTAGTGTAACCACTTTCACCAATTGTCTTAGCTTGATCTTCTGAATAACTTGCTGCAATTTCTTGATCAGCACTTGCTGCTTCACCTTGCACTATTATGTTTTGGAGATGATGGCTTATTTCCTTAAACCTCATGAGCCAGCCTCTCCTGGCTTCCAACTTTTCTTCTGCAGCTTCCTTACCTCTCTCAACCTTCATAGAATGAAGAGAGTTAGAGCCTTGCTCTGGATTAGGCTTTGGCTTCAGGGAATGTCATGGCTTCTTTGATCTTCTACCCGACTAGTAAACTTTCTTCATATCAGCAATAAGGCTGTTTCACTTTCTTATAATTCATATGTTCACTAGGGTAGCACTTTTAATTTCCTTCAGGAACTTTTCTTTTGTATTTACAGCGTGGCTAACTATCTGGTGCAAGAGGCCTAGCTTTCAGCCTGTCTTGGCTTTTGATGTGGCTTCCTCACTAAGCTAAATCATTTCTAGCTTTTGATTTAAAGGGAGAAGTGTGCGGCTCTTTCTTTCACTTGGACATTTTGAAGCCAGTGAAATTTCAGGCCTAATATTGAAATTGGCCTAATTTGAATTGGCCTAATATTGAAATTGGCCTAATTTCAATATTATTGTGTCACAGGGAATAGGGAAGTCCAAGGAAAGGGAAAGAGATAGGGGAATGGCCAGTTGGTGGGGCAGTCAGAATGCACACAACATTCATCAGTTAAGTTCACCATCTTACAAGGGCGTGGTTCACGGTGCCTAAAACAATTACAATAATAACACCTAAGATCATTGATCACAGATCGCCATAACAGATACAATAAGAATGAAGAAGTTTGAAATACTGTAAGAATTACCAAATTGTGACACAGAGACACGAAGTGAGCACATGAACACATGCCATTGGAAACATGGTTCTGATAGGCTTGCTTGATGCAGGATTGCCAAAAATTTTCAATTTGTAAAAAACACAACACATTCAAAATACAATAAAACAAAGCGCAATAAAATGAGGTATGCCTATACACAAATTCAACATCATGAAAATTAAAAACTTCTATGCATCAGATGGCATCATCAACAAAGTAAAAAGATAGCCTATGGAATGGGAGAAAATATTTACAAGTCATATATCATATTAGAGATTTATATCCAGAATATGTAGAGAACTACTAAATTCAACAACAAAAATATCAGACAAACCAATTCAAAAATGAACAGAGGACTTGAATAGACATTTTTCCCAAAAAAAAGATATATAAATAGTCAATAAGTATATGAAATGACACTCAACATCACTAATCACTAGGGAAATGCAAATCAAAAGCACAATGAGATACTACCCTCACACCCATTAGGGTGACTGTTATTTTTTAAAATCCAGAAAATTAAAAATTGTTGGCAAGGATGTGGAGAAATTGAAACCCTTGTGCACTGTTGGTGAAAATTAAAATGGTAGGGCCACTATGGAAAACATTAAGGCAGTTTCTCAAAAAATTAAAAATAGAATTACCACATGACCTAGCAATTCTTCTGCATGTATGCACCAAAGAAATAGAAGGAGGATCTTGAAGAGATATCTGTACACCCATATTAATAGCAACATTATTCACAACAGCTAAAACATGGAAGCAATCCAACTGTCCACTTAACCACTTATGATGAATAAATTAACAAACAACATGTGGTATACCCATACAGTGGAATATTATTCAGCCTTAAAAAGGAAGACAATTCTGACACATGCTACAACATGGATGAACTTTGAATATGTTATGCTAACAGAAATAAACCATGAATAGACACAAAAAGTCACAAAATGATAAATATTGTATGATTCCACCTCTATGAGGTACCTAGAGTAGTCAGATTCATAGAGACAGAGAGGAGAAAGGTGGTTGTCAACAGCTGGGGAGACTGGAAAGTTACTGTTTAAAGGTTATAGTTTCAGATTTGTAAGGTTAAAAGAATTTTGAAGATGGATGGAGGTAATGGCTGTATAACAATATGAATACTTAACATTACTTAACTGTATACTACTTAAAATGGTTAAGATGGTAAATTTAATGTTATTTATATTTTACCAAAACAAAAAAACTTGTATTAACAAAAGATAAATAGTTAATCCTCAAATATCTAGAAATTAATTATATACTTTAAAATAAAAGTAGAAAACATAATGTGATCATGTGATCTCTACCAGTATGTTACACTTCTTATTTGACAACATGTATAAAGACATTTTTTAGTGAAATGGTGCTTTATACAGTAGAGGCCTTCTTATTCCATACAACTTGGATTTGAATTTGGTTGATTTATCAAAAAAGTCTGTTAATTTGTTACAGAACAGGGAAGGAGACTTTTTGGTTTTACATGAATAGTCTATGAAAAAATAAATAAGAAACTGACATCATTCGCTACCTTTAGGGAAAGGAATGAGGAAGATGCCTACTCAGAATGATAAAATTTATAATAATATTTTGATAGTGATAGCAACCGGATAATATTTATGATAATATTTTTAAATATTTAAAGTAAGTTAAAGCAGTGTAATCTTACACATTTTCAGTTAAAGTATACAATTATGCATTTATCTAGCCATCTTTTCATCTAAGCCTAAGACCTTTTTTCCCCTCATAGTTCCACTGTTTGGATTTCTACATAGCTTTTCCTACAGAAAAACTAAACCTTTAATGAGTCATCTGTGAGTTCTAGTTTTGTATTCTTTAAGGCATAGTGAGAATTTAGAAATAATCTTTATGCAGAATCCTTTACATATGGAAATTCCTTCTGGATATTTGTGATTTTTTTCTCCAATCTTTTCTAGTTTTCATGGCACTCTAAATTCAAAATAGTATTTTTGCTACTTGTCTTTATTGAGGCTTTCTAAAACATTTATCTAGTTAACATAGAAAATATTTATTTCTGGGTATAGTTAAATTTTATTATTTACATGATCTTTAAACAAATTATTAAAATGACAAGTACAATTGACATAAGCAGGTTTAGGAACATACACAACTGATTTGTAGTAGCATCCAGCCCAACTGGTGGACATATTGAGAGTAGTAAACCAGTCACGAGTGTTTATTGTACTAAAGGCATGACTCCATATGTTTTACAGAGAGAATGAAGAAATATTTAAAAGGAGGTCAATTAACAGAGCTTCTACTGTACATTTGGAGATCATGATATTTTCACTAATAACCAAGTTTACTAAATGAGAGTCTCACTGGGCCTGCTTTAATGAATAATGATACACATTAGTAACTAGCAAGATTAATTTGAAGAAAATGTTAGAGGCTTTAGACAAAGTAAGGTATTTTAAATAGTTTAAATGTATTCTCTGCAGTCTTGTTTATGCTGTTCACCTGATAAACAAAGACCAAAAAAAACAAACCAGAGACCAAAAAGAACAACCAAACCTGTCTATAAAGATTTAGTCAGGTTGCTTTGGCCAAAAGGCGTGGTGGCTCACGCCTGTAATCCCAGCACTTCGGGAGGCCAAGGCAGGCAGATCACTTGAGACCAGGAGTTCGAGACCAGCCTGGCCAACATGGTGAAACCCCATCTCTACTAAAAATACAAAAATTAGCCAGGTGTGGTGGCATGCACCTGTAATCCCAGCTACTCAGGAGGCTGAGGCAGGAGAATTGGTTGAACCCAGGAGGCAGAGGCTGCAGTGAACTGAGATTGTACCACTGCACTCCAGCCTGGGTGACAGAGCAAGACCCTGTCTCAAAAAAAAAAAAAAAAAAAAGATTTAGCCACTGTCATCCAGCATAGCGAAAGGATCCTTGGCCTTCAGTAGGCTGTAAGGGAGGGTAAGGGCCAGTTGTGCCTTGCTTACCGTAACATTCTCACCCTCTAGCACACCATCTGACACAAGTGGGTGATCAAATACTGCTTAAATGCATGCATGGATAAATAAGTGAATGACTGCTTGCAGAAAAGTGTAGAACCTATATTCAACACTAGAGTGTCTACTCACTCCAGACAGACACAAGTGTGAATTAAGAAAGAATCAGGAGCAGGGCCAGGACAGGGCAAGAGTGAGGCAAGAGCAGTTCAGCCTGGACAGGCCCACTCTGCTTGCCTTATCCTGGCTTTACATGGTACAACGTGGATCCAACAGCCTTGCTATCCACTATCCCAATCCTCCCTGAAGCAGACCCTCACCCAATCCTTATTTACATCACTAAAGTTGCCCAGAACCACTTTCCAACTATATGTGGGATCAGTTAGACTGGGGCAGAAACCACAATAAACAAATTGTGACATACACCTGGCCCTGGACTCATGCAGTTGTTTCTCTCACCTGAAGTTCTCCCCTAGCCTTCCCACCTCTTTCAAGGCAGAGCCAAGCAGCCACCTATGAAATGGCTTGGAGGAGGGGCATTGCCCAAGCCTGTTTAGACCAGTCAGATTCTTTCTATTGGAAATTTGAACTGAAAATATGGAGGACAGAGGTGTTTAGTAAGTAACAGAACTAGAAGCTCTGAAAATATACCAAGGGCCTTCTGACTTCTCACATAATGGAGTTTGGAGGTCTACAAAACCTCTCCCCAGAAAGCAAGGACGAAGCTGAACAAAATTGTCAAAAACCACTTCAACACTCTAGAATTCTACCAAAGGGATACAAAAACTGAGAAATATTTTTAATGAAGACTACTAAACTTTAGGTAAGAACAATATGAGTCTATAACTGCCCACACCCCATGTCCCTAACCCCAGCTCCTTCCAGCACCATGACAACCAGCAGCTTTGCCACTGATAATGGAAAGGACACACTTGGTTTAGAGTACTGTCAGATAAGTGATCTCAATGGCAAGCAAACAGGAAGGACCAGTGGCTCCATCAATCTGAGGTTGCAGTTCTGTTTCAGCTAAGCAAAGGACTGATGGACTAGAGGGGATTTATCAGGAAGTTTTAAAAGGTAAAATTTAAGCCACAGGAGATTCCTCACATATCCTGGGTTAGCCAGAGGCTGTGTGTATGTATACTAGACACCAAAGAGGACCAAAGGTACCTACACATCCCTGGCTGACAGAGCCTGTGCACATGTGCAGAGGAGATGTAAAGAAATATTAAGGGTACCCACATATCTGTAATTAGCATTCTAGAAGAAGAGTAGAGAGAATGGGGCAGAAAAAGTATTTGAAGATAAAATGGCCAAAATCTTCCCAAATATAACTTTACACATCTAAGAAGCTCAATAAACCCCAAGTAGGATATATAAAAAGAGATCTACACCTAGATCCACAGAGTAAAACTGTTGAAAGCCTAAGACAAAGAAAAACCCTTGAAAGCAGAAAGAGAAAAACAAATCACATGTATGGAAGAACAACAATACAATGGACAGCTAACTTCTCATCAGAAACAACGGAGGCCAGAGACAATGGAATGACATATTTAAAGTGCTACATGAAAAGAAAAATGTTCAACTAAAAATTCCATATACAGCTAAAATAATCCTTCAACATGGAAGGGAAATAAAGTTGTTCACAGATAAACAAAGACTGAGATTATATGTTGCTAGCATGTCTGCCTTACAAGAAATACTAAGTAAAGTCCTTTAGGCTAAACAGAAATGACCCCACATGGTAACTCTACAAAAAGAAACAAAGAGTGCCAGAAATGATATATATGTTAGTAAATATAAAAGACTCTTTGTGTATATTTTTTCTTACTTCTTCTCTTAGCTTCTTTTTAAAATGCAAGATTGCAATAAAAAATAATTATAACATTGTATTATTAGGTTTATAACATATTTCGATGTAATATAAATGACAACAGTATAGAGCAGAAGGGAAGAAAAGGAGATGTATTGGAGCAAAGTTTCTATATTTCACCAGAATTAAAGTAGCATTTTTCTGAAATAGATCATGATAAATTAAATGCAATTGTAATCATCAGAGCAACCACTGAGAAAATAAAATGAAGATAGTTTAAATTGTTATTTTTTAACTAAAAATATGATTATTCAACAAAAAATCAGGCAGTAAAAGAGAAATAAAAAAGACAATAAGCAAATACAAAACAAATAGAAATGGCCGGGCATGGTGGCTCACGCCTGTAACCCCAGCACTTTGGGAGGCCAAGGTGGGTGGATTGCCTGAGCTCAGGAGTCTGAGACCAACCTGGGTAACATGGTGAAACCCCATCTCTACTAAAATACAAAAAATTAGCTGGGTGTGGTGGCACATGCCTGTAGTCCCAACTACTCAGGAGGCTGAGGCATGAGAATTGCTTCAACCCAGGAGGCAGAGGTTGCAGTGAGCCAAGATCACACCACTGCACTCCATCCTGGGCAACAGAGCAAGACTGTCTCAAAAAAAAGAAAAGAAAAATGGCAGGTGTTAACCCAGCCATATCATTAATCACATTAAAAGGGAATAGACTAAAATATCCATTCAAAAGGCAGAGATTGTCAGACTGGATGAAAAAGCAAGATCCAACCAAATGCTGTCAACAAGAGACACAAAAATAGGAAGAGATATCCCAAGCAAACAGTAACCATAAGAGAGCTAGAGTGGCTATATTAGTATCAGACAAAATAGATTTTAATGTAAGAAATGTTATTAGAGAGGCCAGGTGTGGTGGCTCCCACCTGTAATCCCAGCACTTTGGGAGACCCAGGGGGGTGGATCATGAGGTCAGGAGTTCCAGACCAGCCTGGCCAACATAGTGAAACCCCATCTCTACTAAAAATACAAAAATTAGCAGAGAGTAGTGGCACACGTCTGTAGTCCCAGCTACTCGGGAGGCTGAGGCAGGAGAATCACTTGAACCCGGAAGGCAGAGGTTGCAGTGAACCGAGACCGCACCATCGCACTCCAGCCTGGGTGACAGAGTGAGACTCTGTCTCAAAAAAAAAAAAAAAAAAAGAAAGAAAGAAAGAAATGTTATTAGATGTTGCGGGAAGTCAGGGACCCCGAACGGAGGGACTGGCTGAAGCCATGGCAGAAGAATGTGGATTGTGAAGATTTCATGGACATTTATTAGTTCCCCAAATTAATACTTTTATAATTTCTTATGCCTGTCTTTACTGCAATCTCTAAACGTAAACTGTGAAGATTTCATGGATATTTACCACTTCCCCAATCAATACCCTTGTGATTTCCTATGCCTGTCTTTACTTTAATCCCTTAATCCCGTCATTTTCGTAAACTGAGGAGGATGTATGTCGCCTCAGGACCCTGTGATGATTGCGTTAACTGCACAAATTGTAGAGCATGTGTGTTTGAACAATATGAAATCTGGGCACCTTGAAAAAAGAACAGGATAACAGCAATTGTTCAGGGAATAAGAGAGATAACCTTAAACTCTGACCGCCGGTGAGCCAGGCGGAACACAGCCATATTTCTCTTCTTTCAAAAGCAAATGGGAGAAATATCGCTGAATTCTTTTTCTCAGCAAGGAACATTCCTGAGAAAGAGAATGTGCCCCTGAGGGTGGGCCTCTAAAATGGCCCCCTTGGGTGTGCCAGTCTTCTATGGTTGAGACTGTAGGGATGAAATAAGCCCCAGTCTCCCATAGCGCTCCCAGGCTTATCAGGATGAGGAAATTCCTGCCTAATAAATTTTGGTCAGACCAGTTGCTCTCAAACCCTGTCTCTTGATAAGATGTTATCAATGACAATGGTGCCCAAAACTTCATTAGCAATTTTAATTTCAACCTGGTCCTGTGGTCCTGTGATCTTGCCCTGCCTCTATTTGCCTTGTGATATTCTATTACCTTGTGAAGCATGTGATCTCTGTGACCCACACCCTATTCACACACTCCCTCCCCTGTTGAAAATCACTAATAAAAACTTGCTGGTTTCACGGCTCGGCAGGCATCACCGAACCTACCGACATGTGATGTCTCCCCCAGATGCCCAGCTTTAAAATTTCTCTCTTTTGTACTCTGTCCCTTTATTTCTCAAACTGGCCAGCGCTTAGGGAAAATAGAAAAGAACCTACGTGAAATATTGGGGGTGAATTTTGCCCGATATCTGGCTGAATTTCCCCCGATAATTAGAGACAAAGGATGTTTTATAATGATAAAATTGTAAATACATTAGGAAATACCAATTATAAATATATATGCACTGAACAACAGAACCCCTAAATACGTAAAACAAAAACTCATGAAATTGAAAGGAGAAATAGATAATTCGACAGTAATACTCAGAAAGTTCAATAGCTCACTCAGTAAATGCAGAAAAAACACCTGACAAAATCCCATGCAAATTCATGATTTAAAAAACGTTATGGGGGACAACTGGATATCCATATGCAAAAAAATAAACTTAAACTCTTACCTCATACCATACACAGAAATTAACTTCAAATAGATCACATTCAAAAAGTTAAACAAGGCTGAGCATGGTGACTCACAACTGTAATCCCAGCACTTTGGGAGGCCGAGGCGGGTGGATCAACTGAGGTCAGGAGTTCGAGACCAGCCTGACCAACATGGTGAAACCTCATGTCTACTAAAAACACAAAATTAGTTGGGCATGGTGGCACATACCTGTAATCCCACCTACTTGGGAGCCTGAGACAGGAGAATCACTTGAACCCGGGAGGTGGAGGTTGCAGTGAGCCTAGATCACACCATTGCACTCCAGCCTGGGCAACAAGAGTGAAACCTTGTCTAAAAAAAAAAAAAAAAGTTAAACATACACCAAGCATGGTAGGTCATGCCTGCAATCCCAGCACTCTGGGAAGCCAAGGCAGGTGGATTGCTTGAGTCCAGGAGTTCAAGACCAGCCTGGGCAACAAGGTGAAACCCCATCTCTGTTTATTTAATAAAAAATAAAACATTTTTTAATTTATATTAAAAAATTTTAAGTTAAACCTAGTCAGCGCATGACCCAGCAATCCCACTCCTACATATATACCCAAAAGAACTGAAAACATGGCCACATAAAAACTTGTACATAAATGTTCATAACAGCATTATTCATCATAAGAGCCAAAAGTAGAAACAATCCAAATGTCTATCAGTATAGGAATGGATGAACAAAATATTGTGAATCTATACAATGGAATATTATTTGGCCATAAAAAGGAATGAAGTTCTCATACATACTACAACATGGATGAATCTTGAAAACATTATACTGAGTGAAAGAAGCCAGGCGTTAAAGGCCACATATTATATGACTCTATTCATGTGGAATGTCTAGAATAGGCAAATCCATAGAGACAGAAAGGAGAGTAGTGATTTCCAGGACTAAAGGGAGGGAAAAGTGGGGAGTGACTATGAATAGATATGGGGTTTCTTTTTGGTGATTAAAATGTTCTCGAATTAAATAGGGGTGATATTTGTACAGCTTTGTAAATATATTAGAAACACATAATTTTACCTTCTAAAGTGTAGGCTTTACAGTATGTGAATTATATCTTAGTAAAATTATTTTTAAAAAATGGATCCCAGACCTAAACGTAAAACCTGGTAGTCTGGGGCTGGGGTTGGGGCTGGAACTGAGTACTGACTGAAAATTGACTCAGGAGGATTCTTTGGGATGATGGAAATGTTCTAAAACTGGATTGTGATCATGGTTGCTCTTTATAAACTTACTAAAAAATCATTGGATTGTTCATTTATAATGGATGATTTTACGGTATGTAGGTTTCACCTAAATAAAGCTGTTTATAAAATGAATCCAGTGAAAACAGAAATCAAAACATCACATGGTAAACAGTTGGGGAGAAGCTGGGATGAGAATGTATCTTAAAAATGAAATAAAGGAGGATAGGAGGTACTGGGGTAATGAATGTTATGTTTCTTCACCTCTTTATGGGTTGTAGTTTGTGAAAATTCATTGAGCTGTACTTTTGTGATATATGCACTTTTATGTATGTATTTCATATCACAATAAAAAGTTTCTTAAATGACATGGGCCTAGGAAGGGCCATGAATGAGCCAATTAACGAGTTACAGAAGCTGTGAAGCTCAGCTGTGCAGCTGCTCTTGGGTCTCTGTGAGATTTTCTGCCTTCCTTATTGCCACCATTTTACAGTAATACCCATTTCTAGAGCTAGCCTGAGCAAGTTTCTGTTTCTTACTATAAAAGAGCCTCATTAATACATCCACAAATACAGCTACTGAAATGAATGAAATCCACAAATACACCTCCAGAAGGGCAGGGGATTTTGTATATTGCTAAATCCCCAGTGTCTAGAACAATATCTGTCACACAGTAAGGTCTTAATGTACATTTCTTGAATGAGTAAACGAATGAGCAGAGGAATAGCTGTAGAGGAAGGAAGGTGTAGAGCAAGAGACTTGTAAACACAGACATTTTTCAATGCAGCCTAGCTAGAGTCGGGGGTGGGGGTCAGAGGATGAATAATGCCTCCTGGGAATGTCAGGAAAATGTCACAGAGGAGGAGATCTGAGAGCTGAGTCTTGAAGGATGAGTAGGAGTTTGCCAGGGAAAGAATACAGGAGAGTAGGATAGACAGAAATAAACACAGATAAAATCACACTGTTCTGAAAGAGGCTGGCACTCTTGGGGATCCTAAGAAGGCTCATGTGGCAGAAGGGCAAGGTCACAGTTGAGGACAAGTGAGAGATAAGGCTGGAGAGAGAAACTGGGGGTAGATGGAGAGGCTCACCTATTCCCAGCCAAGACACTGCAACTGACTCCCGTAGGAATCACAGCCAGGAGAGAATTTTTAGCAGGGGTCAAAATGGCTTTTTAGGAAGCTCACTTTGGCTGAGGCAAGAAGAGTTTCTCCTCTGAGTTCATGGGCCATCTCCTCTGTTGGTACCTACACGTCCTCTCCTGTATGTCTCTCTCTTTCTCTGCATTCTCTTCTCTCTCTCTCCCTCCCCCTGCCCCATGTTTTCATATCTAGATATCTCTTTTCTGCCTGTGGATTTCTTTCCATTTTTCTCTCAAGACATCACTCCTTGAAAATGTCCCTCAACCCCTTCCAGCTTACTTGTGCCCAAACAGCTTCGATTCCATCTTCAGGACTCATTCATCTCCACCAGGCTGGAGTCCTTCATAAAGAAGTAACACAAGATTTCCTCTTGAACAACAAGCTCTTCCGGGCTTCACCAGTTACAGATGAGAAGCCTGGAGGAAGGGGGGGTGTCTGAGCCACCCTCTACTTGGCCCAGAAAGAGTGGGCCACCACCCTCCAAGACCTGCATGGATCCAATGAAGCAAAAACACCATGCTCTCCTCTCAGACATCCTGATGCCACTCACAACGTGAAAGGGGCCAATGGCTCAGAAGCCACTGCCCTTCCGGTCTCCTCCAGCAAATCCTAATACCCAGTTCTCATGCCGATGACCTTCCGCTCTGAAATGCTTCCTGGCATCCACCCATCCTCCCAGGGGCTGGACAACTAGGTCAGGGAGAAAACAGCCCCTCTACCATGCTGAGACAGGGACCCCTCTCCAGGACAATTCTCTTCCCTGAGACAAGAGGGTCAAACAGCTCTCCTAGACATGACCTCAGAGATGTGCAGCCAGGGCCCTGGCCCAATTTATTACCACGGGGCTATAATTAGGTTTGTTAACATACAGTCGAGTGTAGTCTTGTTGACTAGGAACTTAATCACGTTACTATTGAGTTCCTGTACGTATTGCTCGGGGTGACTGTTTTACTTGTAGAGTTATAGCCAAGCCCAACGGGAGGAAATTAGCTTTGGACACAAGTTTGGAGGGGGGTTCTTTTTCCTCCTGACTTTGTCTCTCTCTCTCCCCCCTTCCATGTGAAAATATTTAGCAAACAGTGACAATGATGAAAAACAGTAGGAAACAAAATGTTCTACATTAGTATAAAACATGAAAAATGCAGAAGGACCCTTAGCGGTACAACATGTGTTATGCTGGCTGGCAGTCCATTAGCTCTGATAGACATTTCACTTACCTAAGTCAAATATAACAGTCGAGTATTCATTAATATAAGAAGGGGCTGTGGAATCAGAGCTACCATCTGGCTGGGCCGACAGAATAATCTACAACTCATGATTAGGTCTAAGGAGTGGGGTTTCACTTTAATCTTTCTCATTGCTCGAAATTTCCATCTGCGCAGTTCGGCACATCATTTTTCTTCAAGACAAATGTGCTGTTTTTCATGTTCCAAAATTAGATCAGAAGAAAACGATTAATCATGTCACGGCCTGGGAAAGGAAACAAAGCTCCGATACTCTCCTGCTCTCGCTCCCAGCTCCCGCCCCTCCCTGGCCCTGGACGGTTGCAAGTTTCGCTTTTCCCCCCCTCAACCTCTGGGTCTGCGGCACAACTTTGGGAGAGGCCGCCGCCCGCCAGGAGGAGGAGGGCGGGACTGCAGGGAGAGGTGTGAGGGCGCCCCGGGGCCCATGAGGGGGCGCGCCCCTGCCTCCTCCTGCCACCCCTCCCGGGGGTCGCCCAGGCGGGCCCGCCCCGCGCCGTGCCGCCTGCCCCCCGAGTCGGAGTCGCGGGCCCGGCGTGACAGGAAGGGCCCGGAGCCCGCCTCCCGCGCGTCCCCTCCCGGCCGCCGCAGCCCTGTCTGTCAGGCGGCTCGCAAGTCATAACAAATCCCTGGCGCGGGGCTGAAGCTGAGCATTTGCCGGAGCGTCATGGGGATGATGAATGACCCGTAGGCCTTTGAAGTGCTCTGCCAGTTCAGCTGGGTCCGCGGTGCTGACAGAGAAATATACACAACAGCGTAACCAATAATGAGAACATTAAACATTCCTGCGCCGTGACAGGCTGACAGAAAAACCCGGGCCCGCATCAATCATCGCGCAGATAGAACCCTGACAGGCGGCCCCTCGCTGACACCCCCTCCGCGCGCCCTCCCGGGCCTCCCCCTCTTCCTCTCCGGGGTCTCCCTTCTTTCTCTCCGGGCTCCCCGCCGCCCCTCCTCTCCTTCCCCACCCCTCCTCTCTCTTCCTTCCCCGCTCCGCTCAGTGTCCTCCCCCTCCGCCCTGTCCCCTGCCCCTGCCCTTGGGCGACTGCCTTCAGGGCCTCTCAGAGGTCAAGTGAGGTCTGGGCCACGTCCGTTCTGTGAGGCTGCCCGTGCCTGAACAGTGAAGAGATGCCACCCCAGAGTGAGAAGACTGCAGTCTTTGAAATTCAGCGTTAATAATTTGTGACTTTTCACCCATGCAAAAAAATAATAATAATACAATCATTTACATGAAACCTCATGTGGAACTAGGATCGAAAGCCCAACGCCAGGCCCTTAGGGAAAGGGAGCTCCAGGGGAACCCCGTCCGCCCTCTTCTTTGGGCGAGGGTCTTTTGGAGTATCTTCCTGTGTGACTTTGGCAAGGGATCCTTTTCTTTGTGCCAGCCCTGGCCTCAGCCCCTTTCTTTCAGCTGGATTTATCTGACTGAGATCTGATGTCTGGTCTGTCTGAAAGGGAAAAAACAGAGGAGAAACACAAAGATCTCCTCCTTTTCCTCCACCAGGAAATGAGATCTGCCCAGATAAGGCATGTGGGATGGACTCTCACCCACTTCCCAAAGGAGACGCTGGTAACCTCTTAGCTCCTCCCCGGAGCCTCCAAATCCTCTCTGGACTTGGTTTGGGCTGTGTTTTTTAGGATTGAGCCTCTACTGCGTCCTTGTGAAGGTGGGGCATTCCCCCACTCCTGTCACATACAGACCACCCCTGCCAGGCCCACTCCCCACTGTCCCTGAGGGCTCAGAGAAGAGCCCTGGGCTGGCAGTAAAAGCCAGGGTTCTAGTCGCAGCCATGAGAATTTGGGCAAGTCCAGGACTTTCCTGGACCACAGCATGACAACAGAAGTCTCCACCTTAGGATGCTTACAGATCTCTTTACATTCTCCAAATGCAAAGGGTTATTTTTCCCTCCTTTTATTCTTGGAGATTTTTTTTTTCCATTCTTGGCTTTTGAGGAGAGAAGAAACTCCTTGACTTTCCAAAACATCATGAAAAACTCCCCATAACCTACACACACACACATGCGCACACACACATACACACACGCACACACACAGATGGTGAGTGGACGGGGGGGGCACTCTGGTAATCCCAGGACAGAGGGTGTTATGAGAAGTCAAACAGAAGCCTCAGGAAGACCAGTGCTTATGCTCTGAGGAAAAGCTCCCTAATGGACAGGACTCTTCAAATCCATTTGCATATTTGTTCAGCAGGGCCAGCTCAGGTGTGAAGAAAAGAGCATCTGCTGAGGCAACGTCTCCTCCTCATGGCACAGGGTCATGTCCCTTCCTTCCTGCCTACCTGGAAAGGCCAGCTGCACTCCCACTGGCTCCAGGCAACTTGTTCCACCTGTCCTGGCCCACAATGACCTTGCCCTCCTCTGATGTCCTATGACCCCTGGCCCAGATGAGCCTCTCACCTGCTCAGCTAGACTTGAAGCTACTTGAGGGCAGGATGGTGCCATGCTTTGCTGTTCTCTGGGTCACCTGGGACGAGCAAGATATCTTGTTCTGAAATGCCTGCCCCACACACAGCCCCCTTCTCCAACGAACTGCCCCTACAGGCCAGCTAAAGGGGAAGAAGACCTCGGAAGCCGTGTTTATACTACAAATCCCTAACCCTTGCCACAACTGATGGGTCCAGTATTTAACACCTATCCCTGCAACCCATCGGATTCTCTCTTCCTTGAACATCTGAACTCAGCCACAGGTGGTGTGGAGCTCTCGAAAGTCACATAGGGCTCGGGGCTGGGGCAGCCATTTTGAGCCATGTACATACATGCTGAGGAAGAAAAAAATACCAAAGCCAATGTTCACAAGGAAACAGAAGAACGAGGAGGTAGGCAAAAAGAAGCAGACACGAGATCCCAGGGAGACCACAAGAAGACAGCTTAGCTTCTGTTTCTCCTCCTAAACTGCTGGACTTGCCTGTTCCCTGAGGTCTAGGTATCCTGTTTCTTGCCCTTAGGTGCCTGTGGAATCACTGGCCACTGGGAAAAACATATGACCCAGGCCTGGCCAATCATTCTATCCCATCTTCCTGCTAGTAATGATTGGCCCGGGAATAGGCATGTGAACCATGTCGGACCAATCAGGGTCCTTCTCTGGGATTTTTGTATATTGATTCCAAAAGAGATATGCTCTTCAATCCTTTTGAATTGAGTATAGTAAGGCTAGGACCCCAGAGCTTCTAGCAGCATGGCAGCTTCTATCTGGAAGAAGCCAATGTATCGCAGGAGCAAATGACGACAAATCCCATGCCTTTTTCCAGTCCATAGAGTTAGTCAAGCCTGAAGCCCACTCCATGCTTGGCCTTCCCAACAAGTGAGTCAATGCATTCTCTTTCTTGCTTACTCTAAGTTTAGTTTGTTTTCTGTCTCTTGCAATGAAAGAGAGCCCTCAGACTTGTGTTCAGGGAACATGTCAATTTAGGAGGATTCACCTAAAATAAATACATGATTCTACCCTCTTTTTATGTATATGTACATGAGTAAGAACCCACTGAGGCAGAGAACAAGGAGGGCTGTGATGGCCTTTTCTGATCCTCTCCTCCCCCATGGTCCCCTCTGTGACCTCACCCCTCATGCCAGGGAGTCAGTCTGAATAGTCTGCATGGATCTAGCTATTTCCAGGCCAGGGCCAAACCACTTGAGCTTCTGAGCCTGTCAGTAATGGTACTTCCCTATCCGTGTGGTTTGTGCCCATCCCCAAGCAAGACAGGAACAGGTACTGGGTACTGCAAGTGTCTGGCAGTCCTCACAGCCTCTGAATGAAGCTGTTTGTCTTGTCCCCACTGCCATCCAGCAGAAAGCCAGAGCTGCAGCTGACCCCTCCTCTACCTTGGACATGACCACAGGTCCCAATCTTCAGACACATTTTAATCTCAGAAGTCCTCCAGGGCCAAAAATTGACCTCTGGATGTTCATCCTTATCCTAGTCCTGGTGTGATGACAAGATTCCTGGACCAATGGGAGAGACCACAGCAGCAGCAGTTACAGTGAAAAATGACTGGAGGGTTTCAGCTGACTACAAGTTTAAGATGAGCTAGCCTTGTGTGATAAGGTTTTTTGGGGATTTTTTTTGAGACAGAGTCTCACTGTGTTGCCCAGGCTGGAATGTGGTGGTGCAGTCACAGCTCACTGCAGCCTCGAACCCCTGGGCTCAAGCAATCCTCCCCCTCAGCCTCCCAAGTAGCTGGGACTACAGGCATAAATCACCATGCCTGGCTAATTTTTCTGTTTTTAGTAGAGATGGGGTTTCACCATGTTGGCCAGGCTAGTCTTGAACTCCTGGCCTCAAGAGATGCTCCTGCCTCAGCCTCCCAAACTGCTGGAATTACAGGCTTGAGCCACCACACCCAGCCATGATGTGGCTTCTTTAAAAAATAAAATTAAAAAGATGAGCTAGGTTAGACTAGAGCATCATGTCCAAATGATGTTTTAGGAATTCTGAGAAACTGTAACACAGGCAAAGGTGATGAGCAGTCAGGAAATTCAGTCTTTGAGGAAAAGAAGAAAGACTTCAGGATGGCAAAGTGACATCTCCCTCAACACTGAGAGGCCTGACACATGCTTTTTCTCCATGAAATGGCTGTGAAACCCCCAGGCACAGGCTGGCACATGGTTAGCACTAAAGAGCGGACATTTCCTTCTAGCTTATCTGGTCCTCATTCATCAGAGGCAAAATCAGAGACAATGAAAGGGCCTTACAGGGAAGCAGTTTTTATCACAATCTAAGAACTTTTTGACAATCTCAACCATGCAACAATTGAAATGGTCCCTTTGTAAGGTAATGCTCTCCCCATCACTACAGATATTCAAGCAGAGGCTGGATGATTAGCTCCCACAAATGCTATAGAAGGAATCTCTAAATTGAATGGATGTTGGGCTTTCAGGGCTCTTTTTCAGTTCAACGACTTTGGCAGCCTCAGTTTCTCACTCTGTGAAGTGCATTTGAGACAACTCCTCTCATCTTCCTAAGTTTATGGATGTGGTAGATGGATTTTCCAAAGATGTAGTTGGTTGTGTTTTCAAAAATGGCTGCAGCAGTATCTCTCATTCCACATGCTCTTCTTAGAACATAACCTTGCCTCTCTCCATGAAGAGAAGGAGGCTAATTCCCATCCTGTTCCATCTGAGCCTACTTGTGACTGCTTCCACCAATAAAATGTGGCAGAAGTGACACTAAGTGATTTCCAAGATCATAGAGAGACCATGCAGCTTGTGGTAGCTCTCCAGCAATGCTGGTTCCTAGAATCCAGCTGCCATGGTGTGAGGAAGCCCAACTAGCTTGTACAGAGAGTTCACATGGAGAGGCCAACAGAGGTATCTGACCCACAGCCCAGCCAACGTCCCAGCTGACAGCCAACATCATTCACCAAAAGAGAAAGAAGACTTATTCATAACAGCATTATTCTTGATAGCTAAAATATGGCAGTAACCCACTTGTCCATCGATAGATGAATGGATAAACAGAATGGGGTATATGCACACAATGGCATACTATTCAGCCTTTGAAAGGAAGGGAATTCTGCAACATGATACATCATGTTGAAAATACTATGCTAAATGAAATAAGCCAGTCACAAAACCAAATTCTGCACGGTTCCACTTCCAGGTGGTACCTAAAGTAGTCAAATTCATAGAGACAAAAAGTAGAATGGTGGTTGTCAGGGGCAGAGGAAAGAGAGAATGGGGAATTATTGTTTAGTGGGTACAGAGTTTCTGTTTTACAAGGTGAAGAGGTCTCAAGAAGGATGGTGGTGATGGCTGCATAGCACTATGAATGTGTTTAATAACACTGAGCTGTACATTTAAAAATGGTTACAGGCTGGGTGCGGTGGCTCACACCTGTATTCCCAGCACTTCGGGAGGCCAAGGCGGGCAGATCACCTGAGGCTGGGAGTTCGAGCATAGCCCAGTCAACATGGTGAAACCCCGTCTCTACTAAAAATCCAAAAGTTAGCTGCAGTCCCAGCTACTTGGGAGGCTGAGACAGGAGAATTACTTGAACTCGGGAGGCGGAGGTTGCAGTGAGCTGAGATCACACCACTGCACTCCAGCCTGGGTGACAGAGCAAGACTCCATCTAAAAATAATAATAGTAATAATAATTGTTACCATGGTAAATGTTATGTGTACTTTACCACAATAAAAACAATTGAAAAAGTGAATGAAGACGTTTCCAGAAGATTCCAGCCCCAGTCTTCGAGTTGGCCCTGATGAAGTCTCAGAGACAAACCATTTTCAGTGTGCCCTATCCAAATTCCTGACCACAGAAACTGACATAATAAAATGATTTTGAGTGGTTTATTATGCAGCAGTAGTAACCGAACAATAGGGGCAAGATGGTCAGGACATGCCCAGAGGCCTGTGGGCAGGCGGCAAATCTAGGGCTGGGACTGGTCCATGACTCAGTTATCACCCTCTATTATGCCCTGGCCCTTCCTCTCCCCCAGCATGGCCCTCTGTCCCACCAGATTTTATTACGATTCAAAACCAAGCCTTGCCCCTAACATAAACAGTCTTTGCTCCCACTCCTTCTCACCTTGGAAATCTGCTCTGGCCCCCCAAGTAGCAAGAAGTATTACAAGTGCAGGAGTTGTACTCATGGGAAGATTCACCCTCCAGGGCCGCCCTCTTTCCATAGCCCTGAGGCAGTCTGTCTACACCTCCAGCCTTCCCCATGGTAACTCACAAGAGAGCTGGGCCAGTTCAGAGAGGTCCATGGAAGTGGACCACTGCTGACAAAGCCAGATCAGCCCCCCTCAACCAAGCGCCTGGTCCCTACTGTACCTGGTGCAGGCAGACCACAGAAAAAAACATGGATGCCTAGATGGAGGGGAAATTAACACATGCAGCAAAGTTTAGGGAAAAATACTTTTTGTTCTATGACTCCCATTGAGACCCCCACCCATGAATTCAAAGTGTCAGTGAATTTCCCTCTTTATC
Organism: Homo sapiens; assembly: GCF_000001405.40. Classification (NCBI taxonomy): domain Eukaryota; kingdom Metazoa; phylum Chordata; class Mammalia; order Primates; family Hominidae; genus Homo; species Homo sapiens. The sequence goes on along the minus strand of NC_000010.11, from coordinate 75,288,743 downwards.
CTGAGCCCAGTTTCCCATTGGCAACTGTCCTGCATCATCACAGGTTCTGAGTCACCCCCTTACCCTGAGTTGTTCCACAGCCCACCTGCTGGGATTTGTGGAGCAAGCTGGGGCTCTGCAGGCCAAGTGGGTCCAGGTGGTGGCAAATCGGAGTGTCCACTGTATCTGTGACTGGTGAGTGGCAGGGAGCCCCAACACAAAAGGCAAGGTTCAGCTCCCAGCTGACCCCACTGGAGCCTTTGGGAAGCAGTCTGATTTGTTACTAGATGACTTGTTGCTGCTACTGTTTGGGAATTGATGGCTCAAGAGTTCTCCGTGGTGATGGAGGACAGCGTGGTAAAGGCCTTGGACATGTAGCCCAACTGCACAGACTTCACCTGCTGCCCAGGTCCCGACATCATCTCGCAGCTCTGAGGCCCCAGGCCCAGGCACACTTCCTCTACTCTTGTCTTATCTGCCTAGACCTAGGCAGTGCACCTTGGTCAAACCTTGGCTGGGGCCACCCCATCAGAACTTTGCCCAAATTTCTGCAATTAACACTTCCGGTTCATTAAATAAATAAAAAGATTATGATCTTGCTGCCAATGTAACTGTGGCTCTCTTGAGACAAATCCCGACAGGGCAGGATCATCTGTGTTTGAACTCAGTGCCCTGTGTGGCTTGGCTCACAGCTATGGCTAGTGCTGGAATGTCAGAGCCATCCATCTCCACCTGCAGGGCAGTGATGTTTTCCTCGCTCAGCCGTGCATCTCCTTTCCTCTGGACAACACCATATCTAACCATGCACAAGAGTGGGAAGGGGCCCCGGCAGACTGACCCCAGTACCCTATCCTGGACAGTGAATGGTCCAGGGTTAAGCACATGTCCCCAACTTGGACAACTGGAGTCCTTCCTGAGGAATTTGCAACTAGACTCAGGGATAGATATCCTTCATCCTCCAGGGGCATGGATATGAGGTCATAGCTTTGGCAGCCATGACCTGATGTGAGGAAAAGCTGGGCGGAGGGAATGAAATCAACATGGAGCAGCAGAATGAGGAGGGAGACCTGGACCCTGATCTTGTCAGAGGCCCTGGTCCACTCACTCCTGCCCTGCTCAAGGCTCACTCTGTTCAACCTACCCTCAGGAAGCCTTAAGTCACAGGTCCAGAAAGTATCACAAAGGCCAGACCCTGGTAAGTAGGTATGGGAGGGTAGGTAACAGGAATGGGAGACTGAGGAATGAAATGGAAAGACAGCCCAGGAGAGAGTAGAGGGTGGGCTCCAGGGCAGGCTGGAAAGAAAGCCAGAAGGGGGGTCAGGAAAGGATGGGGAGCAGGCATGCATCCAGGCTGGTAGATGGATATGTCCCCTAGGACCAGGGGACAGCAGCAACTGGAAGATGGGAGAGAACATAGTGTGCTTGTGTTCAGATATTGTAGGGGAGAAGCCTGTAGTGGGGAGAGACGTGATAGAAGAGCATTACAATCTCCCTGAGCTGGGTCCAGGGAGCTGCAGCATGGGAGGTGGCAGACTGGTGGCAGCCACCCAACAGATGGTCACCACCATAAGCACAAGGAGAGGACCAGGATCCCCTCCTGCTAGGATCAGAAGCTGACCATGCAGAGGGCACTTCTGACCCCACGGGGACAGAGACAGACTGGCTCAAAGCAAGTAGAGGCTGTGGAGTCCCACATACCTGTCTGGCATCCTTCCCAGCTGACCCACCTGCAGATTCCAGGGTCATGCCCCTTCAGCTGGAACCTCCACATCAGGGCACATGAGACACCAGGATCACACCTCACTCCCAGTGGTGGGAGCTTAAGGAACACAAAAAGATTTGCAATAGCTGCTAGGAGTGTCATAAGTAAATTAGAAAGACACAGTTCACACACAACTATGAGGATGTGTGGCTTCAGCTGAGGATGCCAGCTTCTTCTGGAGAGGCGACGCAGCCCCTCTGTCTCAGCCCTGGCCCCCTGTAAGCCCTGGAAGCCAGGAGGTTGGTGTGGGACACCTTTCCCCCAAAAGAAGAGACAATACAAGGAAGAAATGGCAGCAACACTGACCATATACTGGGGGCTTCTCATGCACCAAGTCTCTTCCCAGCATCTGATGTGCATCTCAGTCAGGCTTCACAGCACCCATACGAGCAGGTACAATCCATTATCCTCATCTCACAGAAGAGAAAATGAAGACACAGAAAAGCTAAGCAACTTGTCTAAGGTCACAGAGAAGAGAAGAGGCAGTTTTCTGGCTCCGTTCTATCTTGCTCCAAGGCTGGAGAAGAAAGCAGGAGGAAGCCACGGGAACATGACCCATGCCAGTGGGGCTCATAGAGCAACATGGGCTCCACACACAGACCCACAGCCCTAGCCCAGTATTTAATCATGTAGTGGAACTGCCTTATATTTGAGTAAAAACATAATTAAATTCAAGTAAGTTTATTTCTTAGCTCCAGGCTCTTTTTTTTTTTTTTTCCTGAGACAGTATTGCTCTGTCTCCCAGGCTGGAGTGCAGTGGCGCACAATCTCTGCTCACTGCAACCTCCGCCTCCTGGGTTCACACAATTCTTCTGTCTCAGCCTCCTGAGTAGCTGGGACTACAGGCGCGTGCCACCAGGACCAGCTAATTTTTGCATTTTTAGTAGAGACGGGGTTTCACCATGTTGGCCGGGCTGGTCTTGAACTCCTGACCTCAAGTGATCCACCTGCCTCGGCCTCCCAAAGTGCTGGAATTACAGGTGTGAGCCACTGAGCCCGGCCATCCAGGCTATTTCTGAAAATAGTTCTATACCTATTCCTATGGCTGAGCCCACCCGATACAAATGAGAAAAAACAACTCAAGACCCGCTCCCTCAGCCGCAAAGCCAGGTCTAGAACATGATTCTCTTGTCTCCTTCTCTGGTGCTCCCTGCTGTCTCCTCCATGGACACAGACTGCCAGGAGGTTGCCATCAGCTACAGCCTAATGTTTTCCCCTTCCAAAGGACCCCTTGGGTCCTCTCCAGCAGTGTGCTGGTCAATGCTTAATGACCAGCTCTTCAGGAAAATAAACAAACACAAAGACCTGACTTGTAGCATTTGCCATTTTCCATAGTGTAAATATTCCTATCATGTCAGTGTCCGGCTTTCAACATGATGTCCCTGAATGGAATCAGGAGGACTCACCCACGTCACCGTTTCTCCCACAGTTGAGGAAGGATTCCAGATTAGCAGGTGCTAACTGCAAGGGCTTGCAAGTCAACTTAAGTCTCTCTCCAATTTAGTTTGAAGTCAATGAGTTCACAATCCATGGAGGCTGAGTGGGAGGGATGCTGAGAGCAGAAGAGAAAAATCTGTCTAGGAGGGCATCTGCTGCCAAGCAGACCAAGGCACCAATGTCATTAACTAGAAATTCAAATGATTCAGAATGAATTCAGGAAAATCTGGTGTCAGGGTTTAGAGGATAGACTCTGGAGCCAGATGGTATGGGTTCAATTTCTCACTACCTGTGAGACTTTGGACATGTAACTTAACCTGTCTGTAAAACGGAGATGGTACCAGCACCAACTCTGTAGTGGTTGTGAGAATTCAATGAGAAATGTGAACACAAAGCTTGCAGCACAGTGCCTGGCACATAATAAGCACTAATAATAACAAATAATAAACACAGATGTTAGTTATGTTGATAAGTCAGGGTTGTTGGCTGTTATTATCATTTAAGTGGAGATGGAAAACAAACCATGATCAATAAGTAGTAATGGGTCATTGGACTAGAAGCTCCATGAGGGCAAGAACCTTGTCCATCTTGGTCAGTGTAGTATGCCTGACTTATCTGTTAGGTAGGCACTCAAATATTGGTTCCATGTTGAATATTAGGATTATGGCATCTAATGGTGCTTAAATACTTGTATTTCTTTAGCTCTTGCTTTAATTGCATTCTCTGTTTAAAATAACCATCAGTAACCCCAGCTAATAGTAATTGTATTTTTAGAGTCCATTTGAGTGTAAATAAAGACTGACTCTCCCCTTAGTTAACCACACCCATGGAAATCGCTGGGCAGACTATAATCCAGACACTACATCCACCTGGTGGTGAGACCATCAGCTTGAAGGTGAAGGGCCCAGATGAAACCCTTTCTGGTATTAGCCTTACACACTCCACACCTGGAAGCGACAGACATAGCTAATCCCAGGCCAAGCCCTGACCCACCACTACCATTCCCCACATCAGGCCCAGGAATGATGATAGAAGGTTCTGGACCTGGGTAGGGGTTGAGAGAATTTTTTTCTTCTATTTCTGCTTTGCTCCCTTCCTGTCCTCTCTTCCCCATCGCCCTCCAGTCCCCTTCCCCCAACCCAGTACCCTTCCCCACTCTCCAGAGCAACCCTCCCCACCAACGCCCCCTCCCCGCCTGCTGCTCCCTCTTCTGGGCCTCTCCTCCCTACTGTCTGCTCTCTTAGGCTGGTTTGTTATGGCATGAAAGATGGCTCCGTGGAATAAAGATGTTTCCCCTCTGATGAGCACATTTGCAGAAGGTATGTCAGAGATCCTAGGGCTGGGGTTGGGCGGTCTTTCAAGAAAGTTGTTTTTCCCCCTTCTTTCCTTCCCTCCCTTCTTCTCCCTCCCCTCTCTGCTCCCTTACCCACCCCCTCCTTCTTTGCTTACTTATTGGAAGAGTAATAAATATTGGTCAGACAGGCCCTTCTCACAGTTACAAAGCCTACCTGTAAGCGAGCTCAATAATTAGCAGTCCTGAAGATGATATATGACTTTCATTACCCTTTGGGACTGGAGACTAAATGAGGACAGAGCTAATTGCCGTGCAAAGCAGTTTGGCATGAATGAGAAAAATGCAGGCCCTGTCTCCTGCCAAAAAAGAGCCCTATTGCTGCTCTGATCTCAAGGCTGGTTTCTGCCGCAGGAGTTCACTCGGTGTCCATAAATCACAGGCTGCTTACAGCTGAAGCTGCCCTGAGTCGTCAGTGAGCTGTACGCTGAATGACAGATCCCAGCCGACTGCATTAGAACTTTAACTCCCTCCTTTCTTCTCCTCCTCCTCATCATCTTCCTCCTCCTTTTCACACTGACCAGAAAATTAAACCCAGACTCCTCGGAGAGGGTGGCAGGAGGCTGGGGTAGGGGTGGGGGCGGTTGGCTTGGGTTGGGTTCCCGATGCCCACGTCAACCTGCTCCCTCCCTGCACTCTGTCTCCCCCCTCGAAACATACAGGGGACGACAGTTCTCTCCACCCTCAGGAAGAGGCAGGCCCCTCCTGGAATGCTCCAGGCTGAGCTTTTGTCCTTGGTTTGTCATCGAGACAAATGTGGCCTCCCTTCTGGCCTGCATGTCTCTCTCTTCCCCCACCACTCTTGCAGGAAATGCTTCTCTTCTCTTATAGGAGGAGGATTGACACCAGCCACACGTATGTCTGCTGCTGACAAATGTGCGCACGCCTTGGAGGGCGGGGCCAGGCAGGACAGAGCCGCCCATGACAGGGGGACACCTCCTGGTAAGATTTTCTTCTCTATCCCTCACACCTGCCCCTTTCATCACTCCTCAAGGAGCCCTGCTTCTGAAAGTCCCGGGTGGGAAACGCACTAATGTGCAAAGCACCATCCTTGTCCTCTTCCATCCAATTCCCTGGTGAGTAAGGGAGCTTCCCTAGCTTCCCTCCCTGTGCTTTTCTCCCTTCCTGGCTTTTCTAAGGGCAGTCACATAATTAATTCTTAGAACTATCAAATTATATTTGACACTTAATTTAAAACTCAAGGTTCCATAATGCAAATCTTCTCCTGGTAAGAAGGGTGACATGCACATTGAACATGTAGGCAACCTGACAGTTTGGAGGGGCAGTTCTGTGTGACTCCCAGAGAGGGAAGGGAGCTGACTTTTATTGAACACCTACTTTATATCCAGTGATTTCCATTGATTAGCTCACTTCCTTCCCACAACCCTATGAGGCAAGTACTGTTACTGCATCCATTGTGCAGACAAGGACACCAAGACCCAACACGACTAATTTACCCAAGGTCATCCTGTTAGGGAAGAGCCCAAACTAGGATTCATGGTCTTGAGATCTTGAGAGCCCCTTATGTCTTTGTGCGATTCAATTCCTCCTTCAAGGATGGAAGCAGGAATCCCCGAAAATGGAAGCTTCCTTCCCATGAGGGTGGGAGTCAGAGGCAGACTCCAGCTGCACATCACAGAATGCCTAGCTACAGCAGCTTACATGGTGCAGGTTACTTGTCCCACATAACAAGAAACCCAGAGGCAGGGCCATCCAGAGCTGGAGCAGCTCAATGATGACTTCAAGAACTGAGACTCTTTCTATCTTCCTGCTTCACCATCCTTGCATTCTAACTTCTTGCATTTTGGTTGCAAAGAGACCTCTGCAACACAAAGCATCATATCTTCAGTCCAGGGAGGGAAGAGGGTTTAAAAAAAAGGGATAAAAGGAATTCCCCCAGCCAAGGCTTTGTCTTTTTATTTGGGAAGAGGAACCCTCCCCAGCAGACTTCCCCTTGCCTGTGATTGGCCAGATCCCATCTCTCTCACCTTCTCCCCACCTACACCAGTCGTTGGCCAAGGGAATGAGTTGTCATGACTTGTTTAGACCAATCATGATTCACCTCCTGGGACTGCCAGAGGGCCCTTGATCTTTGCCTCCCTAAGATCAAAGAATCTCCAGTTGCTAATTACACAAGTCACATTGTTAACAGGGAAGGAGCGGGGATGGCTGTTGGATATGCAATGGACAGTGTCTGCCACACCCAGCTATTATCCTTAGCCACCTCTTGGTCTGATGGAAGAGACCTGAGTCCCAACTGGAGAATGACTCTGATATTCTGGGTATGTGCACAGACAGCTTTGAGGAGTTTTGGAAATTTGGTTCCCTTCTAAGCTACCACTATTTCTGGGGTCTGCCTACCTCAACACCCCTAAGGGGGAGGGGGAGAATTTGTGCTTTGTCCTCTGGACCCGGGTCTATGGATCTATGTGTGAGTGGACAGGGGTGACCCCATGATCACTCCCCCATGTGTAAGCTCCAGAGCAAGCTGTGGCCTCTTCTTTGGACAGACAATGTCCTGAGTGGTTAACTCTGGAAACCAGTGTGCCTGGGTATCAAAATGAGAGCCTGGACATCTTATCCATACATCTCACACTCCTGCTTTGTAAAATCATTGGGAAGGGGGTTGTTCCCTTCCCACCTCCATCTGCAGCTGGGGCATGACAGAGCATCCCCCAGTCGTGGTACTCATGAGGAAGTTCTTATCACTGTCTCCTTCCTATTCAGCTGGGGGCAGATTCACTTGCTAGGAGGAGCATCTGTCAGGAAGCAGGCAGGAACCAGGCGGCACACTCGACAGTAATGTGCTCATCACCTGTCCCACAGGATTACAAAGGCCATTTCTGGGCTCCTGGCTGCCTCGCTCATTTACCCCAAGACTTCTGATACTCTCCAAATCTTCTTCAGGTGTCTCCTCCATGCAGATGGGAAGGCTGGTAGGAGGTTTCTGAGTCCTATAGCCCCATCTCAGGCCCCTCCGGGTGCAAACTAGGTCACATCTCTCTTTCCTTGAGGCCCCAGTGGCTTCCCATATTCCTGAGACTAAAACTCAAACTCTTTACCCTGACCTACAAGTAGAGTGACCGTCATCCCAACAATATTATTAGGAGAGCGACCTTTCAGTTTCAATGCATTCTAGTCTGGATGATAAATTACATGGTCACCTTATCACACAGCAGGCTTTGTGTGTCCCCAGCCTCCTCTCCTCCAGCTGGCTCTGCTTACCTGCCTTGCTCCAGCCAGGCAGAGAAGTTCCCTGAAGCAGCCGCTCTCGCCCACCACATCACCCTCATGCACACATTACCTCCACCTGGAACATTCTACCCCTGTTTCTTCCCCTGCCTAATTTCTACTCAGCTCTCAGGCCTGATTTAGATGTTCCTTTTTTCAGAGGAGTCCTTCATGGCCCATCAACCTTAAGTTGGGTCCTCCCTCTCTCCTGTCATACAAATGCTTATTTCTCATAGTGCCAGAATCATCAGTTGTATCTGTTTCCCCCACTAGATTGTAAGCACCATGAAGGCAGAGGTCATTGTATCTCCAGAACCTAGCATGGGGCTGTTGCCCCATAACCGTATGTTTTATGAATGAATAAATGGATGAATGAAAACACAGTGTTTCCCATAAATGCACACACACACACACACACACACACACACGCATACACACCCCTCCAAGATACCAAGCCCACCACAATCATCTCCAGGGAGATGTAATTCTGGCACAATCTGAGCTTCCCAGCAGCAAAACACGCCACTCTGAGTTGCTTACCCCATGAAGGGTTCAAACAAGGGCCATCTGTCAGGAAAGGAGACACATGGACTGAGGAATATTGCCTTGCAGGCTTCTGAACCATGATTGATTCTCATCCTCCCTCACACAGGACAGCAGCCAGATTACCTCCAACTCCAGACCACCACATTCAACACCACAGTGAACATCTCTGTATGTGTCCCATTATGGACTCATGTGAAAATTCCCCTGGAATAGAGATGTCCCAGGTAGCTGAATTGATGGGCCATTGGGGATGTATATTCTTAATTGAATTAATCCCCCTTTTTTCTTTCTTTTTTTTTACTTTTGGCTTGTACAAGTTCTAGAATTCTTGGACTGATTATCCATCTTGACAAAGGAGGCCTTGAATCAAATTTAATCTGGTAAAAAAATAAATATACCTTTCTTTTCTGCAATAGACTAAATGTATAGTCCCCACAAAATTCATTTTAACCCCCAAGATGATGATGTTAGAAAGTGGAGACTTTGTGAGGTGAATAGGTCCTAATGGTAGAACTCTCATGCATAGGTTTAGTGCACTTATCAAAGAGACATCGGAGAGATCCCTTGTGCCTTCTGCCATGTGAGTTATAGTGAGAAGACAGCCATCTACTAGGAATCAGACCGTCATCAGACACCAAATCTGCCAGCACCTTGATCTTAGATTTCCCAGACTCCAGAACTGTTAGAAATAAATTTCTGTTGTTTATAAGCCACCCAGTCTATGGTATTTTGTTATAGCAGCCCGAAAAGACTAAGACATATGCCAAGCACCATAGGAAATGTGCTACCTGTTATAGACACATCTTCTATGTGCCATTATCCACCCTTTAAATAAAGGCCTTAGAATGAGCTGGGCAATGGAGGTGCGAAATGTCAACCTTTGCCTACTCCTTGGCATAGGGAAGGGGAGCAAGAGAGAAAAAGGAGAGAGCGCTGGTAAAGGCTGGATCTTCTGGGTGTATAATAGCTCTCCTGGAGACCCATGGAAAAACCCATTGTGTAGAACACTAGATTGTGCTCCTCCAAGACCTGGGCTGGGCTTATAGCAGCAACCAGACCCTTCCCAGTCCAAGAGAGACCCACACTTCAGCCAGAAGCCACAGGTGGGTCTCCAGAGCCTATGGGATCACTGTGGAAGGGAAGCGGGAGGCAGAAGCCCAGATCAGCACCAGCAGAGTCAAAACAGAAAAGCCCTTCTGGTTAGGAAGACCCTATACTGTCTTCCTAACTAGAACTACAAAAGGCAATTACTTGGCTCATCTGCACCCTGTACACAGCCAGCCCAGGCCTGATGGACTCGAGTGTGGACATCAAGAAATGTAGCAGGATGATCATGTGGGTGGCATGGAGTTTCCCCTGAGCAGGAAAAAGGACAGACTGTGTCCCAGCCACAGACAGCTTCCCAAACTCCAGCAGAATGCTTTCAGACATGCAGACAGATGTGCAGATAGATTTCCAGATAGATATGCAGGTACATGTGCAGGAAGATGTGCAATTGGGGAGGACAACTATGGGCACAGAGATGTACACCCTGTCATATAAAGTGACTCTTCTTCCAGCCACCTCAGTCTCCTCCAGCACAGCTAGCCTCTCAGTTTATCAGCACTATTGCCGAAAGCAAAAGAGCATCGAGGGCCTTCCATTTATATCAAGGCAGAGTAACAGACTGATTCCCCTTTCCCTCTCAGCCGAAACAACTAAAACACCATACAAAATATGGGAAATCATTTTCTTATCTTTTCCTTCTTTTTTTTTTTTTTTTTTTGAGACTGGTTCTCACTGTGTCACCTGGGTCACCCAGGCTGGAGTGCAGTGGCACAATCACAGCTCACTGCAACCTCCGCCTCCGAGGCTCATGTAATCCTCCCACCTCAGCCTCCTGAGTAACTGGGATTACAGGAGTGTACCACCATGCTCAGCTAGTATTTTTGTATTTTTGTACAGATAGGGTTTCCTGAATATTCCTTTATCTACTAAGGAAATTGAATTTGTAGTTATAAACTTCCCCACAAAGAAAAGCACACACAGACACACACACACATACACACAGAAAACTACAGGCCCAGATGACTTCTCTGGTGAATTCCACCAAATGTTGAAGGAAAAAATGACACCAATTCTACGCACTCTTCCAGAAAATTGAGGAGATAATACTTCTAATCTCATTCTATGAAGCCAGCATCATTCTGATACCAAAACAAGAGAAGTATTGACCAATATATTAATACTTCATGAACCTTGATGCAAAAATTCTTAACAAAATTTTAGATAATGTAATTATTGTGTACAATCATTGTACATATTGTAATTTTAGCAAATTACAATACATAAAAATGATAATACATTATGTCCAGGTAGGGTTTTATTCCAGGGATTCAAGGTTGATTTAACATTCAAAAATCAATTAATGTAATACACCATCTTAATAAAAGGAAGGATAAAAGCCAGCTGATTACCTCAATAGATGCGGAAAAAAAAATGACAAAATTCAACACCCAGTCATGCTGGAATTCTCTACAGACTGGAAATAAAAAGAACTTCCTCCACCTGATGAAGGGCCCTGTAAAGCTCACAGTTAGCATCACACTTTGTGGTGAAAGACTGAATGATCTTCCCTTAAGATATGGAATCAGGGCAGGGCACAGTGGTGGCTCACACCTGTAATCCTAGCACTTTGGGAGGGCGGGGCAGGCGGATTACCTGAGGTCAGGAGTTCCAGACCAGCCTGGCCAACATGGTGAAAACCCATCTCTACTAAAAATACAAAAATTAGCTGGGGGTGGTGGCAGGCGCCTGTAATCCCAGCTACTCAGGAGGCTGAGACCAGAGAATCGCTTGAACCCAGGAGGTGGAGGTTGCAGTGAGCTGAGATCATGCCATTGCACTCCAGCCTGGGCAACAGAGTGAGACACCGTCTCAAAAAAAAAATTAAAATAGGCCGGGTGCAGAGGCTCATGCCTGTAATCCCAGCACTTTGGGAGGCCAAGGTGGGCAGACCATGAGGTCAGGAGTTCGAGACCCACCTGGCCAACATGGTGAAACCCCATCTCTACTAAAAATACAAAAATTAGCTGGGCGTGGTGGTGTGTACCTGTAATACCAGCTACTGGGTAGGCTGAGGCAGAAGAATGGCTTGAACCCAGGAGGCAGAGGTTGCGGTGAGCCGAAATCGTGCCACTGCACTCCAGCCTGGGTGACAGAGTAAGACTCCATCTCAAAAAAAAAGAAAAAAAGAAAATAAAAATAAAATTAAAAAAAAAACTGTTAATGCAACAAAAAGGTAAGTAATAGATTGGGAAAATGTTTGCATATCACATATCTGATACAGGTCTTGTAGCCAGAGTATATAAAGAACTCTCAAAATTCAATAATAAGAAAACAAACAACCCAATATGAAAATAATCAGCAAAAGATTGGAACAGACACTTTATGAAAAAATATTTACAAACGGTAAATGGTTATTAGGGAAATGCAAATTAAAATCTCAATGATACCACTACATACCTATTAAAATAATTAAAATGTAAAAGACTGACCATACCACGTGTTGGCGAGGATGTGGAGGAACTGGGCCTCGTACACTGATGCTAGGAATGTAAAACGATACCATCGCCTCTAATTGGGACTCCGAGCCCGGGCGATTTCTGGTGCTGGCGCGGCTCCAAGAAGGCACCCGCATGGGCCTCAGAACCCAGCACAGTTGCTCCCAGCCCCGCAGCGCGCACCGCAGGGAGGTCAGAGCTGGCGCATTCCCGCCACCACTCTTCCACCTGCTCGGTGGAGAAGGGCAGATGAGAGGGTCCAGGTCGAAATCTAGCCGGCCGTGGGCCTCCAACCAGGAAAAGGACTACACTGAGCAGTGGGGGCAGGGCAGGCCGCAGGCAGCCTCCGTAGGAGCCCGGCCAACACCTGGGAGACCCGGGGCCACCAAAGGGCAACAAAATCAGGGGCGCTGCTGACACCCGGAAACCCACCACAACTCCAGGAAGGAAACCAAGGGGCCGACCCAAAAAACCGGGAAGGAGGGAGAGGAGGGCATCGGAGTGCTCAGAGGAGGAGCAGCTTCCTCCTGGGCCTGGACTGCTCTGCTCGCTCACGCTGTCCCCTTCCTTCCCCCAGGCCCACCTCCCCACCGCTTCACCCTGCCCTCTCACCACCACCCCCTGCGCCGCGCAGCAGCCGCTGCAGGGCCCCTGCCGGTCGACTGGGGAGCAGTTCTCTGGCCTCAGCTCCCAGCCACCCCGCCAACCCATGCACACACTTGCGCCACACCTTGCGTCCCACTTAGCCACACCCTGCCCCTCCTGCGTCCCCACGCGCATGTCGGTACGGACATTGCTCTCTGGGCTTTTGGTTTGGGGACCCCCCGCTCTGCTTCTCCACTGTTCCCTTTGGTTTCCCAGAGAGGGGCCTGGGAGGGTTCCCTGGCCTTAAAAGGAGCCCAAGCCCCTCTTATTCTGGCGTACCCTACTCCACTGCCCTGGCAGCAACAGGTGTGGCCAGTGGAGGGGGACGCTTGGCCCCCAGGATGCTCCCAGCCAACTTGTGTCTTTGTCACCACGTGGAGCTCACACCTATTTTTCTTCCTTCCCTCCTTTTGCTAGTCCCTGCACTCCTTTGCACGGCCTGCTTTGGGGTACAGAAAGGAAGGCAGGAGGGGTTTGAGCCACCTACCCTTCTTCACAGGGGCCCCAGCCCCCTTGCCCTCAGTCTGGGATCCGAGTCTCTATTGCAGTGATGCAGATGCAGGGTCACCTATTGTCCAGGTGAGGCCCAGGCTGCCTGTGGCAGCCACCTGAGGTGAGCTGGGGCTGTGCCCCAACCCTACCTGCTTCCACCACTCAGCCTGTTTCTCCCTCCTCAGATGGGGTGCCAATAACAAAGAGCTCGGCCTTCGAGAGCGCCACCCCCAGGCTCCCGTTCACAAACTACCTCTGGACAGTTGTTTTTTGTTCAGTGTTTCATTCTTAACATCTATCACGGCTGCTGCTCCCAGAACCGAATGTCCATCCTCATTACCTCTTATTCTGCTCACATTCCCCTCCCCCAAGATAGTCTTCTCAGGCAAGAGGGGCTGCATGTGTCAGGCTGCTTATGAACCACCTCAGTCCCAGGGAAGATGGGCCCGGACCCTCAGATGCTGCAGCAGAGTGACAAAGGGGACTGAACTGAACATAGCAGGTACAGGAGCTGCCTTCCCCTGTTCTGCCAGGGTGTGAGTAGGTCCCAGGCCAGGGACCCCCTCTGGTTTCCTATTTGCAGTTACTTGAATTTTTAAAATATCCTTTTCTGGAAAAAAAAAGGATACAACCACTTTGGAAAACAATTTAACAGTGTCTTTAAATGTACATCTAACAGGCTGGACATGGTGGTGCACACCTGTAATCCCAGTTTCTTGGGAGGCTGAGGCAGGAGAATCTCTTGAACCTGGGAGGCAGAGGCTGCAGTAAGCCAAGATCACACTACTGCACTCCAGCCTGAGTGACAGAGCAAGACTCCATCTCGAAAAAAAAAAAAAAAAAAAAAAAAATATATATATATATATATATAATGATCCAGTCCACTGGTAGATATTTGCCTAAGAGAAATGAAAACTTATGTTCTCACAAAGATTTGTAGATGAATGTTTATAGCAGCTTTATTTGTAATAGACAAAAACTGGGAACAACCCAAATTTCCGTCAACAGATGAATGAATAAATATGTGTGAAAAGAACAAAGTGCCAAAGAGATATTTGTACACCCATGTCCAGAGCAGCATTATTCACATAGCCAAAAAGTGGCAGCACCCCAGGTGTCCACTCACAGATAAATGGATAAGAAAAATGTGGTGTATATATATATATATAATGGAATATTATTTAGCCTTAAAAAGGAAAGAAGTTCTGACACATGCCACAGCACAGATGAACCTGGAAGGCATTATGCTAAGTGAAATAAGCCAGACACAAAAAGACAAATACTGCATGATTCCACTTTTCTGAGGGACCTAGAGTAGTCAAATTCAGAGAGACAGAAAGTAGAATGGTGGTTGCTGGGGCTGGGGGGAAGGAGGACAGTGAGTTATCATTTAATGGGTTTAATCAGTTTTGCAAGAGGAAAAGAGTTATGTGGATAAATGGTGGCAATGGTTATACAAGAGTGTGGATATATTTAAGTGTATTAGACTAGACACTTAAAATGTTAAGATGGTAAATTTTATATTATCCGTATTTTACCACAATTAGCCCTCCACTGACCAGGCACAGTGGCTCATGCCTGTAATCCCAACACTTCGGGAAGCCGAGGCAGGCGGATCACCTAAGGTTGGGAGTTCGCAACCAGCCTGACCAACATGGAGAAACCCTGTCTCTACTAAAAATACAAAATTAGCCAGGCGTGGTGGTGCATGCCTGCAATCCCAGCTACTTGGGAGGCTGAGGCAGAAGAATCGCTTGAACCTGGGAGGCGGAGGTTGTGGTGAGCCAAGATTGTGCCATTGCACTCCAGCCTGGGCAACAAGAGCAAAACTCCATCTCAAAAAAAAAAAAAAAAAAATAGCCCTCCACGGCAGACATTTATGCTGCAAATGAGTTAGAGGAAAGTTAAGAAGTATTTTACACCAAAAAAAAATTTTTTTTGGCTGCGCGTGGTGACTCACACCTGTAATCCCAGCACTTTGAGAGGCTGAGGTGGGCAAATCACTTGAGATCAGGAGTTCAAGACCAGCCTGGCCAACATGGTGAAACCCCACTCTACTAAAAATACAAAAATTAGCCAGGCAGTGGTGCATGCCTGTAATCCCAGCTACTTGGGAGGTTGAGGCAGGAGAATCATTTGAACCCAGGAGGCAGAGGTTGCAGGGTTGCAATGAGTGTAGATCACACCATTGCACTCCAGCCCGGGCGAAAAAGCAAGACTCTGTCAAAAAAAAAAAAAAAATTAAATGCCGGGGAAAAAAGAGATTTCTTAGACCCTGAAAGAACCTAGACAGCTTCCTGGAGGAGGTGTCATTTGATTGAGATTCAGGAAGGAGAATAGGATTTACCTTGAGAACAGGAATTGGGTATCCCAGGCAAAGGACAGCTTGAGCAAAGGCCAGGAGGCTGGAGTGAACACTCTCCAGCCCAATCCAACCTCCTGGGGTCAGAGAGCTGGCATCCGAGGAACACCCTGAGTTGGGGGTATGAAGTTGAGAAGTAGATGGGGCCTACCCTCGAGGGCCTCCCAGCCTCCGCTGGAGAAGAGAGACATTTGTAAACATCACTCCCAACTAAGCCAGACCCACAGCGCCACAGCTCCATCATGATGGCCACTCGGGAAGGGAGAGACTTGAGGTCAGCTCTGGACAGTCATCAAAAAATAAACATGTCCCTGGACATTCAGGAAACGCCCAGCCGAAACTGTGTCCAGGCGGGGCTGTTTGCTTATTTGTGACTTTCCTGCTTTCCATCACCCTGTCAGTGGCCACCCTACCCCCATCCTCACTCTGATGCCCAGTCCAGCCTGGCCTCAGTCATTGGCTTCAGAAAAAAACCAGTTCCTATGGCCAGACATGGTGGCTTATGCCTGTAATCCTAGCACTTTGGGAGGCTGAGGCAGGAGGATCAATTGAGCTCAGAAGTTCAAGACCAGCTTGGGCAACATAGAGAGAACTCATCTCTTAAAAATAAAAAGAAAAAGAAAACCGGTTCCTGAGAAGACAGGCAGGAGAGGAAGCAGCACAGTACGTGTGGGGTCGGTGGGTGAGTGTTGTGTCAGTGCATTTGCACACACATAGGTCTGGCCATGTGTGTGATGGAATGCAGGTGTGTTTGCCCACATGTGCAGGCATGGGTCTGTGTGTACGTGTGTGCACAAGTGTGTGTCGTACTATGGTAGGTGGGGGTCTGGATGAAGCAGTGTGGACTCTGGGCCCAGCTGGACTGGGTTGAAATCTAACTCCAACAAGTTACTTTGCCTTTCTCTGCCTCAGTTTCTACATTTGCTAAATGGAGAAA
This sequence comes from Homo sapiens, assembly GCF_000001405.40. Taxonomy (NCBI): domain Eukaryota; kingdom Metazoa; phylum Chordata; class Mammalia; order Primates; family Hominidae; genus Homo; species Homo sapiens. Next base: position 75,272,459 of record NC_000010.11, on the reverse strand, counting down.
ATAATATTACTGGTCTCACAGCTGTTGTAAGGATTGAAATGATTCAAGAAGGCATTTGATCAATGGTGCTGGTGCACAGAAAGTGCTTAATAAGTGTTAGCATTAACATTTGTCATGTATCCATGTGCATATGCGTGAGAGAGATGGGATGTGTATGCGTGTGTGCACACATGTGGGTTATGAGTACGGACATGTGGGCAGCTTTGCAGAGACTGCATGAGCACCTCGAGGGTACATGTGCTGGGATTCTGGAAACAGCTGCCACAAGCAGCCTGGTGCCCTCCAAGGAGCCCAGGACAACCCTCACCATAGAGGAAAGCCAGTTCTTTGGGCAGCCTCCTTCCCCGCAGCCCTCTGCCCTGAGGAGGAGGCCCCAAGCGTTGGTCTGATTTCTTCTTTCTTTGGGCTGCTCAAGTCTTTTGTTGTCTTTCCATTTCCTCAGGCTGCAAGAGTGTGGAGATTTTTTTCTATCAAAGGCCAGTGACCTCCAAAAGAAATCAAGCAGGGGTTATATGCAAAAATCAACTTAATCTGGGGTCTGTTTTTCCTTGAAAAATAACAAAGGAACTCAACTCCTCTGCTTTTTAAATCAAGAACAGTAAATGGCACCAATGCTTAAAAAAAAAAAAGTTCTCATATTATATATTATGTGAAATTGCTTTATAAAGGGTAAAGCACTTTACAGATGTGAGGAAGTCTTATCCTTTCAGAGGCAAAGCGCACCCCACCAGGGCAAGGGAGGAGCCAGTAAAGGGGGAAAGAGAGATTAAAAGGAAAAGCCATCAGCCTGGTACTGGGTGGTTCGTCGGGTATCCAACCTTCAATACTGATAAACAGACAACCATGTTGAACTGCTCTGATTCACAAACCTTTAGAATTTAAATTCTAGATGGGGGGCCGGGCGTGGTGGCTCACGCCTGTAATCCCAGCACTTTGAGAGGCCGAGGCAGGCAGATCACGAGGTCAGGAGATTGAGACCATCCTGGCTAACATGGTGAAACCTCGTCTCTACTAAAAATACAAAAAATTAGCCGGGTGAGGTGGCGGGTGCCTGTAGTCCCAGCTACTTGGGAGGCTGAGGCAGGAGACTGGCGTGAACCCGGGGGGCGGAGCCTGCAGTGAGCCAAGATCACGCCACTGCACTCCAGCCTGGGCGACAGAGCGAGACTCCATCTCAAACAAAAAAAAAAAAAAAAAAAGAATTTAAATTCTAGATGGAAACACAGTGGGCTTTGGACTCAGGCTGGCCTGGATTCAAGTCCCAGCTTTGCTGTCACCAGCAAGGCCACTGCATTAAACACTGTGTCCCTGGAGTTGTGCAACCCAGGGACCCGCTGACCAGTTATGTGAATTGAGCTGTAGTTGGATCAGTGGTGACCCCCACAAAAGATATGTCTGTGTCCTAATCCCAGAACCTGTGAATATTACCTTCTATGGTGAAAGATGCGAATAATCAAATGACTTAAGAAGAGTTTATCCTGGTTTATCTATGTGGTTCGTAAATACAATGACAAGTGTCCTTATGAGAGGAGGCAGAGAACAATTGGAGACAGACAAGAAGAGAAGACGTGGACACACAGAGGAGAAGGTGATGTGAAGACAGAGGCAGAGATTGGAGTGATGCAGCCACAAGCCCAGGAATGCCAGGGCTACCAGAAACTGGAAGAGCATAGGAAAGGATTCTCCCCTAAAGCCGCTGGAAGGAGTAGAACCGGGCTGACACCTTCATTTCAGACTTCTAGCCTCCAGAACTGTAAGAGAATAAATTTCTGTTGTTTTAAGCCTCCCAATTTGTGGCAATTTGTTACAGCAACCACAGGAAGATAACACCAGGGGAAAGTAGTGAATTTCTCTAAATCTGGGAATAGTGATCACTCCTCTCTCCTAGACGTTTTATCGAGGATAAAATAAGGAATGCACAGGCCAGGCATGGTGGCTCACAGCTGTAATCCCAGTGCCTTGGGAGGCCAAAGTGGGAGGATGACTTGAGCCCAGGAATTTGAGACCAGCCTGGGCAACATAGTGACACCCCATCTCTACAAAAAAAATTTTTAAGTAACCAGACCTGTTGGCGTGCCCCTGTGGTCCCAGCTACTCGGGAGGCTTGAGCTCAGGAGTTTGACGCTGCAGTGAGCTATGATCACACCACTGCACTCAAGCCTGGGCAACAGAGTAAGAGACCCTGTCTCTAAAAAAAAAAAAAAAAAAAAATTCATTCCTGAAGGGCCTTGGGGGAAAAATTCAAAAGAAAAAGAAAAAAAAGTTAGATAGGCAGATGAATGTACAGTTAGCTGTGGAGCTCGGAGGTCCTGTTTGAAGATTCAGGGAGGCAATGTTAACCCTTCAGTTGTGTCCCAGAATGCTATGTGCTGGGGATTCATGGTGAGCAGGACTCAGTATCTGCACCACAACGACAGTTTTGAGCTTTATGTCTGAGGCCTCACAGCCTGAGTATCAGCTTTCCTCACCTCCTGACTCCTGGCAACAGTCTAGAGTTGTCCAGTTTCCTTGTCTCTAAATGTCCACCAATATCCATTCTACCCATTTCTTCCTTTTAGGAACAGCAACTGCTGAACTCAGCAGGACTTACTGCTATCCAACTAGAGACTTCATTTCACAGCCTCCCTTGCAGCTGGGGGAGGGGGTGGCCATCTACGTAAGTCCTGACCAATGGGGTGTGAGAGGAAGTGATGACGCTCTTGAAAGGAAGCTGCTTGGGGGCCCCGGCCAGAAATCTCCAAGGTGGATAGGGGAGAAGCCCTTCTAGCCTCGCAGATGAAGGGGGTCTAGTGCTGTGCTGCCAGATACTGGAGATACTAGCCACGTGTGGCTACTTAAATTAATAAAAGTTAAATAAAATTTAAGCTCTTCCTTTCTCCGCCATCATGGTGTGTGAAGTTGACTGTTTCTCGCCATGTCTTCTCACAAGACTTTTCAGGGTCAGGTGATTCCTGGCCAAGAAACAAAAGCAAAATCGTCCCATTCCCCAGTGGATTCAGATGAAAACTGGTAATAAAATCAGGCACAACTCCAAGACGAGACATTGGAGAAGAACCAAGCTAGGCCTGCAAGGAATTGCACATGAGATGGCACACATATTAATGCTGGGTCAAGGTCACTATCTTACACTATCAAGCTGACAAGGTCACCACTATCTAGACAGTCAGACATGTTTGATTGAGAAAATGTGTTTTCTCTTTGTTTATATGTGCTGCACTAGTAGGCTGGTTCAGAAATAAATATGTGAAACCCTTTTGTTTGAATAAATAAATCAATAGTAAAATTTAAATAAAATGTAAACCTCAATTTCTCAGTCACATTGGCCACGTTTTAAGTGCTCACTGGACATGTGGCTATTGGCTGCTGTACTGGACAGCCAGATAGAGAACATTTCCATCATCACAGAAGGTTCTATTGGACAGCACTGTCCTAGAGAATGTACAACAGCAAGAAAGAAGGAGGCTGGGTTCCTGGACAAATTTGAGGAGCAGCCTTCCCTGCTCCAACTGCCTATCATCTTATATTTTTACTCTCTTGAAAAGAGAGAAATAAACCCTCTATCAATGCAGCCAAACCAATATCCTAACAAATACTTCCAAAAAAATTTGACTGGGTGTGGTGGCTCACGCCTGTAATCCCAGCACTTTGGGAGGCCGAGGCGGGCAGATCACAAGGTCAGGAGATGGAGACCATCCTGGCTAACATGGTGAAACCCCGTCTCTACTAAAAATACAAAAAATTAGCCGGGCGTGGTGGCAGGCGCCTGTAGTCCCAGCTACTCGGGAGGCTGAGGCAGGAGAATGGCGTGAATCCAGGTGGAGCTTGCAGTGAGCTGAGATCGCGCCACTGCACTCCAGCCTGGGTGACAGAGTGAGACTCCATCTCAAAAAAAAAAAAAAAAAAAAAAGAAAATTCAAACTGTGAGAAACTCTTCCTAACAAACAATCCATTTCTTTAACAAATCAACCTCAAGAAGAAGAAAAAATAGAGGAGAAACTTATAGTTTGAAAAAGAGATATATTAACTAACAATGTGAAGGCCTTATTTAGATCCTCATTCATACATACTAGATTTTTGTTAAAGAACTGTTTATGAAACATTTGGAAAGTTGGACAATGCCTGAATATTTGATTATCTTAAGTGCTATTAGTTCTTTTAGGCATAACAATATTTTAAGATAAAATGACATAATGTGCAGGATTTACTCAATATAATCTGGGAAGGGAGAAATGAGCGGGGATGTGGATTAAAAAATATTGGCCAAGAGTTGATCCTTGTTGAAGCTGGGCAATAAATACACAGGGATTTATTACACTATTCTCTTTCTGTCTTGAAATTTGAAAGCTACTTTTTGACTTTTTTTTTTAAAGAATCCTTTGACATCTGTATCTATTTGAAATTTTCTAAAAAAAAAATTTTTTTCTTTTGAGACAGAGTCACGCTCTGTCACCCAGATTGGAGTGAAGTGGCACGATCTTGGCTCACTGCAATCTCTGCCTCTCAGGTTCAAGCAATTCTCCTGCCTCAGCCTCCCTAGTAGCTGGGATTACAGGCACCCGCTACCATGCTCAGCTAATTATTGTATTTTTAGTAGAGACAGGGTTTCACCATGTTGGCCAGGGTGGTCTCAAACTCCTGACCTCAGGTGATCTGCCCACCTTGGCTTCCCAAAGTTCTGGGATTACAGGCATGAGCCACCACACCCAGTCAAATTTTCTAAAATAATTCAAAAAAATATAATTCACCACTGGCTGGGTGTAGTGGATCACACCTATAATCCCAGCAGTTTGGGAGGCTGAGGCATGCAGATCACTTGAGCTCAGGAGTTCAACACCAGCCTGGGCAACGTGCAAAATCCCATCTCTACAAAAAAGTACAAAACCTAGCCTGGCATGATGGCACACACCTGTAGTCCAGCTACTCAGGAGGCTGAGGTGGGAGGATCATTTGACCCTGGGAGGTGGAGGTTGCAGCGAGCCCAGATTACACCACTGTACTCCAGCCTGGGCAACAGAGCCAGATCCTCTCAAAAAATTAAAAATTATATATATATATATAATTCACCACATACAAAATTTCAGAGCGCAACTCAAGACAACTGAATCAAGGCAGATTTCCATGCCTGCTTTCCCCCACCACCCCCAGCACCACCTCCCCATGCTCCAGTCAGGCCACTGCTCCTATCCCTTTCCTGTGGTGATTTTATTTCAAGGACCTCAATAGCTTTCCCTGTCACCGGGTCTTTTTGTTGTCGTTTTAATAACTGCTCAGTGAAATATAATCCACATATCATATGATTCACCCATTTAAAGTATACAATTCAATGGTTCTTGGAGTAGTCACAGATATGTGCAATCCTTACCACCGTCAATTTATTTTTTTATTTTTTTTTGATACGGAGTCTTGCTCTGTCGCCAAGGCTGGAGTGCAGTGGTTCAATCTCATCTCACTGCAACCTCCACCTCCTGGGTTCCAGCAATTCTCCTGCCTCAGCCTCCTGAGTAGCTGGGATTACAGGCATGCGCCACCATGCGCAGCTAATTTTTGTATTATTAGTAGAGACAGGGTTTTGCCATGTTGGCCAGGCTGGTCTTGAACTCCTGACCTCAGGTGATCCACCAGTCTCTGCCTCCCAAAGTGCTGGGAGGCGTGAGCCACCACGCCCAGCCCACCATCAATTTTAGAATATTGCCACAGTCTTTATCAGACACACACTCCGACAGTTCTTAATACCTTCCAAACTTACACAAAAGGAGTTGGAGTCTTGATCCTTTCTCTCCCAGGAGACCCCTCTACCTTCTCTCCCAGGTAGACCTTCTCTACCAGTTCTCTTGCAATGATACACATTCCATGTACCATCCACCTTACATACATACAGTAATGTCCCCTCACTGGTCACCCTACCACAGAATAATGAATGATGGCCTTCCAGGCGCAGGCCCAGCATGAGCAAAGACCTGAAGGCATGAAGCTATGAGTGCAGGGGATCTCCAAGAACCTGAAGTCATTCAAAGGTGAAAGAGGGAGGAAGCAGGAGATGGAGAAATCCTAGCTGGCTAAGGAGACTGGACCCAAGCAAGCCCACAACACTGTAGGGGTTGCAGGTGTCCCTGCCCAGGGGGGTGGAGCCACTTGCCTCAGGAGGAAAGTCCCGTGCCCCCGGCACCCTTTTCCTGTCCTCGGCCCCTCTCCCAAGGCCTGCACATCACACAGGCCCAGGAGCCACACCTTTTAAAGCAGGAGTTTTCTTTATTCAAAGAAAAGAGATGTTTTCACCGCGGCAGGCCAGCTAGGAGCCCCCTCTCCTTCCCGTCCTCCCTTCTCAGGGAATCAATCTTCTTAAACCTCATCTTCCTAGAGACCATCTGGAGAAAACCGTTCAGGAAACTCAGCCGGGTACTAAGCCCACAGCTCCCATCCATCTTGCCCTGTCAGAGCCCAGCACTGGGGCCTTAAAGAATCCTTATAGCTGGGGCTGCCATAAGGCTCCTGGCCACAGGAGCAGGCCCTACTTGTGCTCACAGCTGTACCTTCCAGACATCTGCCCCCCGCCCCACCCCCCCAATGCCTCTGAACCCCTGGTCCTGCTCTGCTGGTGTCCCTCAGCTGTAACATCCAGAGACGTCATGTGGTAGTGTGGAACCTGGCTCTGTCGCGTGACTTTGGCCAAGTAACCTGACCTCCCTGAGTCTTGTCCCAATCAGTAAAATTGGGGTTGATAACACCCTCCTTGAGAAGCTGTGGTAAGGATTAAATGAGATAATGTAATTTAAAATGATTCTCCTAATTCGAAAATTAGCCGGGCGTGGTGGCAGATGCCTGTAATCCCAGCTACTTGGGATGCTGAGGCAGGAGAATCGCTTAAACCTGGGAGGCAGAGGTTGCAGTGAGCCAAGATCGCACCACAGCACTCCAGCCTGGGTGACGAGAGTGAAACTGTCTCAAAAAAATAAATAAATAAGCCAGCTGCAGTGGCTCACGCCTGTAATCCCAGCACTTTGGGAGGCCGAGGCAGGCGGATCACCTGAGGTCATGAGTTCGAGACCAGCCTGACCAACATGGTGAAACCCCATCTCTACTAAAAATACAAAATTAGCCGGGCGTGGTGGTGCGTGCCTGTAATCCCAGATACTCAGGAGGCTGAGGCAGGAGAATTGCTTGAACCTGGGAGGCAGAGGTTGCAGTGAGCCGAGATCGCGCCACTACCCTCCAGCCTGGGCAACAAGAGTGAAACTCCATCTCTAAATAAATAAATAAAATAAAATAAAATAATTCTCCTTGTTTATTCTGCTCCAGCCACCCTGGCATTGTTGTTCTCAAACTCACCAGCCATCCTCCCACCTCAGGGCCCAGGCACTTGCCATTCCCTGTGCCTGGAAACTCCCTGGATGGCTAGCCACAGCTCATATGTTACCTTCTCGGAGAGGCCTCCCTGATCAGGCTATCTACAATAGATCCCTGCTCCTTCAGGCCCATCCTTTCCTCTCCCTTACTCTGCTTTAACGTTCTTCAAAGTTCCTAATGCTACCTGACACGTTACAGAGTGATGTGCTGTTGCCTGCCCATCCTCTCCACTGGAATGTCAGTTCAGTGAGGGCAGGGACCTCGTCTGTGTTGTTCCCTGCCATAGCCCTAGTGCTAGGACAGTGCCAGGCATGTAATAGGTGTTCAGCAGATATTTAACGAATGAAAGAATAAATGACTGCCTGCATGAACAAGTCACCTTGCACAGTGCCTGGACCACCACAGGGGCTCAGCAAATAGGAGTTTTTTTGTTTGTTTGTATGTTTGAGACAGAGTCTTATTCTGTCGCCCAGGCTGGAGTGCAGTGGTGCAATCTCGGCTCACTGCAACCTCCGCCTCCCGAGTTCAAGCGATTCTCCTGCCTCAGCCTCCTAAGTAGCTGGGATTACAGACACCTGCCACCAAGCCCTGCTAATTTTTGTATTTTTTGTAAAGACAGGGTTCACCATGTTGGCCAGGCTGGTCTTGAACTCCTGACCTCAAGTGATCTGCCCTCCTCGGCTCTCAAAATGCTGGAATTACAGGCATAAGCTACCGCACTCGTCCAGCAAATAGTTTTTTTTGTTTCTAATTTGGAGATGCTGAGAGAGGCACAGAGCGGGCTTGGACTGGGCTTCTGGGAACAGGTGGAGCTGAAAAGAAGAACTTAGATGAGACCCAATGCTACCCACAGCCTGTTCTGAGGTCAAACACCACCGGGCATGACATTTAGTTAAAAGCGGGGCTTCGCCGTCAGAGAACTCCCTGGCCTGAGTGGGGCCTCCAGCCCTGCCATTGCAAGCCCTGCTCTCCAATGTCCAATGAGCTGGGTCAGAATAGGTAAGGGGATTGGGATGGGCCTGTTCCTGAGACTGGACAGACTCCTCCACCCTCACCTGGGCAAGGTGCCCAGCTGGCCCCAGCAATGGGATTGATAAGAGGCTCTCTGTCTCTGCTGCCTGACTAGTCACCAGGACAGAGTTTGCAGTAGACCTCTAGGCTGGGTATGGAATGAGATTAGGCCCCAGCCAGAGGAACTACAGGACAAGGTCATGAGTCTGTAGCCCTGAACTGTGCCACTGAGGCCTGGCATATCCCAATTCAGAACAAGATGGGCTCCAGCATTATGGAAGAAAGCCCAGGTTCATCCCCTTAACTGTGTAACTTCTGGCAAATCACTCAAACTCTCTGAGCCTCAGTTTCCCCACCTGTCAGGGGGAAATAATAATATCTACTGTAAGATGTTGATGGGATGATTATTAAGAATAATAATAGTTACCACTTACTAGCTCTTTGCTATGTGTGTTTGGGGGCAGGGGTTGTTACAATATCTCATTTGATCCTCAAAAACTCCCTAATGTTAGATGCTTCTATTTTGGTTTTTTGTTTGATTGGTTGGTTTTTTGTTTTTTTTTTTAGATGGAGTCTGGCTCTGTTGCCCAGGCTGGCGCACAGTGGCACTATCTTGCCTCACTACAACCTCTGCCTCCCAGGTTCAAGTGATTCTCCTGCCTCAGCCTCCCAAGTAGCTAGGATTACAGATTCGTGCTACCACACCCAGCTAATTTTTTGTACTTTTTAGTAGAGACTGGGTTTCACCATGCTGGCCAGGCTGGTCTTGAACTCCTGAGCTCAGGCAATCCACCTGCTTCAGCCTCCCAAAGTGCTGGGATTACAGGCATGAGCCACCGCACTGGCCCTATTTTGTTTTTTAAAGATGAGGAAATCAAGGTTCAGAGAGGGTAGTGATCAGCCCAGAGACACACAGCTCAGAAGAATCAAAGCAAAACTGAATTCATGTCTGCGGGTTGCAAAGCCCTATGTTAACCACCATCTAGAAAATGTACTTAAACCCCAGCACCTGGCCAGGCACAACCAGACCCCAAATAACTGTGAATATTTTTCTCCTTCCCTGAGCTTCAGGTCTGGGGGCAGGTGAGCACGGCTGTAAGGACTGGAGGGACAAGGAGCCAGGTGGCCCTTACACTGGGTTGAGGCTACAGCAACGGCCCCACCCTAGCCCCAGCCAAGCACAAGCAGCCTGGGCTGGTTTTCCCGGTCTTGACACCTCCTCCCTGGCCAGGGCAGGCTGAGGTCACCCGAGTAGAGGAAGTTCAGCCAGGTGAGCCTGCTGCTTCCTCACAGCTTTTCCACTCACCTTTTGGCCAGGAATTCCCCGGAGCCCCTGCCCAGGGCCTGCGAGGTTACGCCACCATCCGAGCTGCTCCCTCAAAAGGGGACAGCCTAATTCACGCATGACCCACACCAATAAATCAGGGAGGGGCGGGGGGGTGGGGACACTCATAAATCCATATCAAACAGTCCCCAAATTATGACAGATGACATGGCAGTCATAAAATTGCACAAGCAAAACTCACCAAGTCATTAATTTCATGGCCGCAGAAAATAAACAGACACATTTTCTCGCGGCCCTAATAAATTTTTAAAAACTCAAAGAATGGTCCATCTGCTTCGAATAATTTTTAATTTCCTATTCTGTCTCATTCCCATTAGCTATTCCACTGAGATATTTGCTAAATTCTTTCATTTACCTCCTCCCATCTGTATTCAATTACCCTGTTCCCAAATAGAGTGAGTTTTTGTTTCTCCTATGTGCGGGACAAAATACCCCCACCTGTACCTTAAAGCAAATGTTATGTGTGTTTTATTATCTGTTAGACCATATGAGTCATTCTAACTCGATTGCCTGTGCGGAAAGGCTTGGAGAGCAATGTGATTTTGATGTTTTCTGGCTTGGTTGGAAAACACCTGCCCGATTCTCAAAGCTAATCTATTAACGTGGTAAATGCTGTAGCAGATGTTCCTGAGTGAGCGAGGGGCTGCGCCGGGCTATGACCGGGCCCGACGTGTCGGGTGCACTATGGAAATGTTCAAAGATCAGAGGCCAGCAGCGCCACTGGGGGCCGAGCTGTAACGAAGTCACATTTTCCGCTGGCCCCCGGGCTCTGGCTGCCTGGAGGCTCCCCGCTGCCTCCGTGGGCTCTCAGCAGCCACTGGAGCTGGCAGGATATTTCAAGGTCATCTGGTCCACCCCACCCCCATGTTTTACAGAAGACAGACTGAGGCCCAGAGAGGAGGTATGCCTTGCCCAGAGTCACACAGCATACTGAAAAAGGAGAGCACCCTTAGAGGTCAGAGGTGGGTACAGAAAGCTGAGACTTGTTTTATGGAGCTGAGATGGAGGGAGGGAGAGGAAGAGAATTCTATGGGCACTTCCTTCCCCTAATGCCTTCTACCCAGCAAACAAGATCATTTAGAGATTTTCAATCTGAAATTCTCCAAGGCCATCTTTCCTCATTCTGCAGCAGTTGGGCCAGGCCTGTGACAGAGCACAGAACCAAGAATCAGCCAAGGAGCCAACGGCTTGCCCAGGGTTAGGTTGGTTTCAACACTGTATGCCCTGGCACATGCAATGCTCCTTTTGCAAAGCCCCAGGAACACGGGCTTCCAGGCTGAGCTGCAAATCTTAGGAGGAATCATGGTCTCCAATGCTACGCATGGCAAGATCCATGTAGCTGCACTATGAGTGCCCACACCCCCTCAGTCCTCAATATTTCCATACACACTGGTGGCTTCATACTATGGGTGCCTACAATACTGCCTGAGAGCTCCCTCTGGCCTGGGATCATGTTCAGTCAACCCTCAGGACAAGCTAGAGGTGCTAGGGACTTGATGCCCACAAAGCAGCCCTAAAACAATGACGAATGGGAGTTGGAGTATAAATACCCCAGCTCCCTCACCTCATGGATGGGACAATTCTGAGACATGTCCTACATCAGTGGTTCTCAATCTGAGATGATTTTGGACTCCCGGGGACATTTGGCAATATCTGAGACATTTTGGTTGAGTCGTTGCTATTGGCATCCAGAGGGTAGAGGTCAGGATGCTGCTAAACTTCCTACTGTGCACATGACAGCCCCCTGTAACACAGAACCATCCAGCCCAGGACGGGTACAGTCGCTCATGCCTGTAATCCTAACACTTTGGGAGGGCAAGTCAGGCGAATTGCTTGAGGCCAGGAATTTGAGACCAGCCTGGCCAACATGATGAAACCTCATCTCTACTAAAAATACAAAAATTAGCCATGCATGGTGGCACACACCTGTAATCCCAGCTACTTGGGATGCCGAGGCACAAGAGTTGCTTGAACCCAGGAGGTAAAAGTTGCAGTGAGCTGAGATCACTGCACTCCGGCCTGGGCGACAGAGCAAGACTCTGTCTCCAAGACATTTGGCCCAAAATGTCAGTAGGGCCAAGGTTGAGAAGCCTTGTTCTATACCCTCTCCCAGAGGGACTGAGCCTCAGATGCCCACAGTGATGCCCTGCTCATTTAGGCACACTCTCCTGATTTTCTCCCACCCCCCACCCAGCTCACTTCCCCACTGCCCTACCAGCGTCTCCTGGGCCTACATCCCACAAAACTATTTTCCCTCAAATCTTCATCTCAGGGTCTGCTTCCTGGAGGACCCAACCTAAGATCATCCATTACTACAGTCATGGTGACAATCTTAGAAGGGTCTCAAAAGCCTGGGTTTCTATTTCAGCTATCTAGACTCTGAATACACATGTTCAGTCCGAATAGCACTCACATTAATGGGGCCACTTGAGGACATACACATGGGGGCATGGCAGACCAACTTAGGCAGAAGGCCCTTTGTCCTCTGAAGGACTGGCTGATTGGAGCTGTGGTCACCCTACATAGTGACGTAAGACTATAGAGTCCAGATTCAACGCAGTCCCTATCAGAGCCCCAGCTGACCTCTTTATAGAAATTGACAAGCTGATTCTAAAGTTCATATGGAACTGCAAGGGACTCAAAATAACCAAAACAATCTTGAAAAAGAACAAAGTAGGAGGACTCACACTTTTGATTTCAAAACTTGCTACAAAGCAAGAGTAATCAAGATAGTTTGGTACTGGCACAAAAATAGGCATATAAGTCAATGGACTACACAAATTAACTCAAAATGGATCAAAGACCTAAATGTAAGAGCTAAACTGTAAAACTCTTAGAAGAGGCCGGGCGCGGTGGCTCACGCCTGTAATCCCAGCACTTTGGGAGGCCGAGGCGGGCGGATCACGAGGTCAGGAGATCGAGACCATCCTGGCTAACACGGTGAAACCCCGTCTCTACTAAAAATACAAAAAATTAGCCGGGCGTGGTAGCGGGCGCCTGTAGTCCCAGCTACTCGGGAGGCTGAGGCAGGAGAATGGCGTGAACCCGGGAGGCGGAGCTTGCAGTGAGCCGAGATCGCGCCACTGCACTCCAGCCTGGGCGACAGAGCGAGACTCCGTCTCAAAAAAAAAAAAAACAAAAAAAAAACTCTTAGAAGAAAACATAGAGTTTTTTGTTTAGTTTTGTTTTGTTTTCTGAGACAGGGTCTTGCTCTGTCACCCAGGCTAGAGTGCAGTGGCTCAGTCCAGACTCACTGCACCCCCTTGACCTCCCGGGCTCAAATGATCCTCCCACCCCAGCCTCCCAAGTAGCTGGGACCACAGGCGTGTGCCACCCTGCCTGGCTAATTATTTAATCTTTATAACCTTGGATTTGGCAAAGGATTCTCAGAATGACCCCAAAATCATGAGCAGCAAAAGAAACAAAATGACAAATTGAACTTAAAACTTTAAACTTTTATGCCCGTAGGACACCAACAATAAAGTGAAAATGCAACCCACCGAAAGGGAGAAAATATTGTAAATCATATATCTGATAAAAGACCTCATATATTTTGAAGCTATATTATTGGGTATCCATGAAGTTAGAATTATAATTTTCTCCTGATGAATTTAAATTTTGTTATTCACCCTCTATATTTCTTTTTTTAATTAATTTATTATTTTTTTAGAGACAGGGTCTTGCTTTGTCACCCAGGCTGGAGTGCAGTGGTCCAGTCTTGGCTCACTGCAGCCTCCAACTATTGGGCTCAAGTGGTCCTCCAACCTCAGCTTCCCAAGTTGCTGGGACCACAGGCACATGCCACCTTGCCTGGATTTCTTTTTTTTTTTTCTTTTTTTTTTTTTTCTTTTTGTAGGGACAAGGTTTTGCCATGTTGTCGAGGCTAGTCTTGAACTCCTGGCCTCAAGAGATCCTCCTGCCTCAGCCTCCCAAAGTGCTTGGATTATAGGCAGGAGCACCACATCAGGCCAACCCTCTGTACCTCTAGTAACACCTTTTTGCCCTAAAGTCTATTTAGTCTATACTGATATGTCTATGCTGGTTTTCTTTTGGTCAGTAGTTTTGAGGATTTTGTTTTTTTGTTGTTTTTTGTTTTTGACTGTTTTACTTAGAATTTTTTAATCTGTCCTCATGTTTTAGATGCATCTCACGTAAGCAGCATTTAGCTAGTCTCTTTTTTAACGCAGTCTGATAGTCTATGCCTTTTAATTGGAGAGTTCAGTCTGTATTTCTAGAGATTACAAATGTATTTGGCCTTATTTCTTTCTTTTTTTTTTTTTTTTTTTTTTTAGATGGAGTTTCACTCTTACTGCCCAGGCTGGAGTGCAATGGCACAATCTTTGCTTACTGCTACCTCCACCTCCCAGGTTCAAGCAATTCTCCTGCCTTAGCCTCTCAAGTAGCTGGGATTACAGGCATGCGCCACCACGCCCAGCTAATTTTGTATTTTTAGAAGAGATGGGGTTTCACTGTGTCAGTCAGGCTAGTCTCAAACTCCTGACAGGTGATCCACCCATCTTGGTCTCCCAAAGTGCCGGGATTTCAGGCATGAGCCACCGCGCCCAGCCTGACTTTATTTCTATGATCTTATTTTGTGGTATTTTGGGCATTGGTTTGGGTTTGGGGTTTGGGGTTTTGTTTGTTTGTTTGTTTTTGAGATGGAGTTTCACTCTTGTTGCCCAGGCTGGAGTGCAGTGGTGCAATCTCATCTCACTGCAACATCCATCTCCCAGGTTCAAGCAATTCTCCTGCCTCAGCCTCCCAAGTAGCTGGGATTACAGGTGTGCACCAACATGCCTGGCTAATTTTTGTATTTTTAGTAGAGATGGGGTTTTGCCATGTTGGCCAGGCTGGTCTCAAAATCCTGACCTCAGGTGATCTGCCCGCCTCAGCCTCCCAAAGTGCTGGGATTACAGGCGTGAGCCACCGTGCCCGGAAGGTTTTGGTTTTTGTCCTGCTTTCTACGGATTTCTTTTCTTCTTCTTTGCTGCATTATTTTGAATTGATTCAGCTTTCACACTTATCCCATTTTTTCCCCCATTTGCTAGTTTGGAAGACAGGCATTCTATTTCTTATTTTTTTATTGATGACTCTTGGCATTTTATTTCATTTTTTTGAGACGGAGTGTTGCTGTCACCCAGGCTGGAGTGCAATGGTGTGATCTCCGCTCACTGCAACCTCTGCCTCCCAGGTTCAAGCAATTTTGCCTCAGCCTCCCAAGTAGCTGGGATTACAGGCATGTGCCACCACACTCAGCTAATTTTTGTATTTTTTTTAGTAGAGACTGGGTTTGCTATGTTGGCAAGGCTGGTTTTGAACTCCTGACCTCAGGTGATCTGCCCTCCTTGGCCTCCCAAAGTGCTGGGATTACAGGCCTGAGCCACCATGCCCAGCCAACTCTTCAAATTTTAGAATGATTACTGAACTTAACATAGTCTAATATTAACCAATATCGTAGCCTTCTCCTGGACAAGGCAGGGCACTTTGAAGACTTTACTTCCATTCACATCAGGCCCAGCCTTTTAGCTTCATCTCTTGTTTAACCCCATGGAACAGACATTCTTTTGGACAGTAAGGGTGTTTAGTTTCACCCATATTTTTATTGTTTTCTCAATTCATCATTTTTTTTTAATACTTCAGACTTTCTCCCTGAGATCATTTTTCTTCTCTTCATGTTCATTCGTCAGAAATTCTTTTGGGGGAGCATGGGGTCTGTTGTATATAACTTCTCTCAGTTTTAGCGTAAATGAAAATGTCTTTATTTCCAAACTTAGTCTTGTTTTTTGCATTTGTTATTGAGATATAATTCACATACCATAAAATTCACCCTTTGAAAGCATATAATTCAGTGGTTTTAGTATGTTTATAAGGTTTTGCAAACACCAGAACTTTTCATCACTCAAAAAAGAAACTTCATGCCCATTAGCAGTCAATCCCTATTCCCCTCCAATACCCTGGGTCCTGGCAGCTACTAATTTACTCTCTGTCCCTATGGATTTGCCTATTCTGGACATTTCATAAATGAAATCATACAACATGTGGCCTTTGCATCTTTCAATTAGCATGGTTTCAAGGTTCATCTATGTTGTAGCATGAATTAGAATTTTATTCCTTTTCATGACAAGTAATACTTTATTGTATGGCTATACCCCTTTTTTTTTTTTTTTTTTTTTTTTTTTTTTACAGGTTTTCATTCTGTCACCCAAGCTGGAGTGCAGTGGTGCAATCATAGCTCACTGCAGCCTCGACTTCCTGGGCTCCAGCAATGTTCCCGCCTCAGCCTCCTGAGTAGCTGGGACCACAGGTGCATACCACCACGCCTAGCTAATTTTTGTTTTTTTTGTAGAGACACGGTTTCAACATGTTGCCCAGGCTGGTCTCAAACCCCTGAGCTCAAGCAATCCACCTGCCTCAGCCTCCCAAAGTGCTGGGATTATAGGTGTGAGCCACCTCACCCAGCCACTATACCACATTTTATTTATTCATTCATTAGTTCATGTACATTTCAGTTGTTTTTGTTTTGTTTTGTTTTGTTTTTTGAGACAGGGTCTTGCTGTGTCACCTAGGCCGGAGTGCAGTGGTGTGATCACAGCTCACTGCAGCCTTGATGTCCCTAGTTCAAGCGATCCCCTCCACCTCAGCTTCTCAAGTGGCTGGGACCACAGGCACATGCCACAACACCTGGCTAATTAAAAAAAAAAAATGTAGAGATGGAGTCCCTCTATGCTCCCAGGTTGGTCTCAAACTCCTGGGCTCAAGCGCTACTCCTGCCTCATCCTCCCTGATATGCTTTGGCTGTGTCCCCACCCAAATCTCATCTTGAATTGTAGCTCCCTTAATTCCCACATGTTGTGGGAGGGACCTGGTGGGAGATAATTAAATCATGAGGGTGGTTTTCCCCATACCACTCTCATGATAGTGAATAAGTCTCATGTGATCTGATAGGTTTTTGTTTTGTTTTGTTTTGAGACAGGGTCTCGCTCTGTCACCCAGGCTGGAGTGCAGTGATGTGATCTCAGCTCATTACAACTTCTGCCTCCCAGGTACAAGCAATTCTCCTGTCTCAGCCTTCCAAGTAGCTGAGACTACAGGCACACACCACCACGCCTGGCTAATTTTTGTATTTTTAGTAGAGATGGGATTTCACCATATTGGCCAGGCCGGTCTCGAACTCCTGACCTCAGGTGATCCACCCACCTCGGCTTTCCAAAGTGTCGGGATTACAGGCGTGAGCCACCACATCCAGCCATTCTGATGGTTTTATAAGGGAAACCCCTTGCACTTGGCTCTCATTTCCCTCTTTGTCTGCCACCATATAAGATATGCCTTTTGCCCTCCACTATGATTGTGAGGCCTCCCAGCCATGTGGAACTGTCAGTCGATTAAACTTCTTTCCTTTATAGATTAGCAAGTCTTGCCAGGCACAGTGGCTCATGCCTGTAATCCCAGTACTTTGGGAGGCCAAGGCGGGTGGATCACCTGAGGTCAGGAGTTTGAGACCAGCCTGGCCAACATGGCAAAACTCCGTCTCTACTGAAAATACAAAAAAATTAACCAGGTATGGTGGCGGATGCCTATAATCCCAGCTACTTGGGAGGCTGAGGCAGGAGAATTGCTTGAACCCAGGAGCCAGAGGTTGCAGTAAGTGAGATGGCACCACTGCGCTCCAGCCTGGGCAACAGAGCAAGACTCAAAAAAATAAAAAATAATAAATAAATAAATAAATAAATAAATAACCCAGTCTCAAGTATGTCTTTATCCGCAGCATAAAAACAGACTAACACACTCCCTAAGTGCTGAGATTATAGGTGTGAGTCACCACACCAGGCCCATTTTTTGGCTATTATGAATATGCTGCTATGAACATGTTAAGTCCAAGTTTTTATGTGGATATATGTTTTTAATTCTCTTGAGTATACACCTAGGATCCACACTTACTCCAAAAAGATAGTTTCACTGGGGTGTGTAGTTCTTCACTGGGGTGTATAGTCCTTAGTTTTGTGACTTTTTAAAAGCCTATTGAAATTAATATTCTGTCTTTCATTGCTAATATTGATGCTGTTATTACTAATCAGCCATTAGTCTAATTTCTTCTAATTATAGAAGTTGTGTGGCCGGGCACAGTGACTCACATCTGTAACCCCAGCACTTTAGGAGGCCAAGATCGGCAGGTCGCTTGAGTCCAGGGGCAACATGGCAAAACCCCACCTCTAGAAAAAATACAAAAATTAGCCAAGCACAGTGGTATGTGCCTATAGTCCCAGCTACTTGGGGGGTTGAGGCTGGAGGATCAATGGAGCCCAGGATACAGAGGTTGCAGTGAGCTGAGATCATACTACTGCACTCCAGTTTGGACAATAGAGTGAGACCCTTTCTAAAAAAAAAAAAAAAAAAAAGTTGTGAACAAAAAAAAACTTATTTTTTTGGTTCTTTTAAGATCTTCTTGTCTTTGGTATTCTTCACTTTGACTATGATGTATCTATAGATATGATGTATCTATGAAGTATGTATGGATTTCTTTCTGTTTATCCTGTTTGAGATCATTGGAATTCCTGAATCTGAGGATTCATGTTTTTTAATAATCATGGAAAACTCTCAGGTACTGTCTCTTTGAATATTGCCTCTCTCCCTTTTTACTTATAATTTTCAAAACTCTGCTTAGATGTATATTAAATATTTTTTATTCCATCCTTTATGCCTCTTAACCTGTTTCATACTTTCCATTTTTCTATGCTGTATTATGTGTAATTTTTTCAGATCTATCTTCCAGTTTACAAATTCCACCTCCAGCTGTGTCTATTCAATTATTTAACTGTGTCATTGAGTTTTTAATTTCATACCTGATATATTTAAATTTCTAGAAGCTCTGTTTGGTTCTTTTTTAAATCTTCCTGGTAATTTTTAAGACCTCTTGCTTCTTTCTTGTGCCTCAGAAGCTGTGGAGGTTTCAGGCGGCCCAGTGAGGTAGATGTCCTCAGGGTGTGCAGCAGTTTCACAATCACTTACTTCCTGGACTGATGTTTCCAGTTCATTTCTGGCCTCTGGTAATTCCCTTACCTTCTTAAAGGCTCTTCCATTAACTGAAGGGATTTCAAAAGTAATTTTTCTAGCATTGTTAGATGTTTTGCAGCTAATAGATTTGTGTGTCTTTAGTCATCATATAGATTTAAATCCAATTTGTTCCTTTTCCAATGTTCATGCTTTCAGCAAATAACTATGAACCACCTACTTTGTGCCAAGAACTTCTGAGAATTTAGTGGGGAGCAAGACTGAGCCTGTCCCTCCCCACAGGGTCATTTACAGTCTATGGGGAAGCCCAACACTTAACCAGGCAACTGCACCTCACAGTTAATCAGTGTTCTGATGGAGTAAGCATTAGTAAACAACACCATTCTGAGATATGTAGAGGCCAGAAACACTCTAATATTCAAATTGGTTCTCTTTCTATAAAAATTCAACATTTATTTAAGAGAAAGGACTATCCCACAAAGCAAAACCCAGGTTCTTTTCCTACTTTAGAAGGCATTAGGGAAGCTGTCTGTTATTATTCAACTACATGTTGCTATTGAAACATACACTTTTTAGGGGGAAGATCTGGTGCCCCACCTCAACCCCAAACTACTCAGAAAATAAATTATTCCAGCCACGTACAGTAGCCTCCCAGAGGATGTTCTGGTAAATTTTTTTCATCTCACTACATTTACACTGGTATTTTAGTTGCTGCCCCAGCCATCCCTTACTTCCAGTGTTCTGGGTAACTACTGCTGCATAACAAAGCACTCCAAAACAGTGGCTTCAAATGATAACTGTCTGTTCTGGATTGAATTGTGTCCCCCCAAAAGATATGCTGAAGTCCTAACTCCCAGTACTTCAGAATGTGAACTTATGTGGAAATACAATCATTGTAGATGTAATGAGTTAAGATTAGGCATACTGGGATAGGGTGAGGCATATTGGATTAGGGAATCCAATATGACTTGTATACTTATAAGAGGAGGGAAATTTGTACACAAAGACACACAGAGAACACAAGTGAAGATGGAGGCAAAGGTTGGAGTGATACAGCTACAAGCCAAGGGATGCCAAGCATTACCTACCACCAGAAGGTGAGAGAAGGGCCTGGAACAGAATTACCCTCAGAGGCCAGGTGCAGTGCCTCATGCTTGTAATCTCAGCACTTTGGGAGGCCAAGGCGGGCAGACCACCTGAAGTCAAGAGTTCAAGACCAGCCTGGCCAACATGGTGAAACCCCATCTCTACTAAAAATACAAAAATTAGCCAAGCAGGGTGGTGTGCACCTGTAGTCTCAGCTACTCAGGAGGCTGAGATAGGAGAACCGCTTGAACCCAGGAGGCAGAGGTTGCAGTGAGCCAAGATCACACCACTGCACTCCAGCCTGGGCAACAGAGTGAGACTCTATCTCCAAAAACAAAAACAAAACCCAAAAAAAGAATTACAAATTACCCTCAGAACCCTCAGAAGGAGCCAACCCCACCAACACCTTGACTTCAGATCTGGCCTCTGGAACTGTGATAAAATTAATTTATGTTGTTTTACCCAATTTGTGTTTTACCTAGGAAGGCCTTGAAAACTAATACCCTATCATTTTATTCTGCTCATGAATTTGGAGGTTACCTGGACACAACTAGGCAGTTCTCACTCTGGACCTCACACATGGCAGACAGCTCCAGAGTGGCTGGGGCTGGGACTGTGTCATCTCAAGGGCTTCTTCATGAGTGTGTCTGACACCTGGGCTAGAAAGACTCAAACAGCAGGGGCTGAATGAATTGGGGCCCCTGTCTGCCTCTTACTTTGTGTGGTCTCTACACATGGAGGCCTCCACAGGGGAGATGGACTTCTTACAGGACACCTGATGGCTCTCAGATCAAGGGCTCAAGAGAATCTGGGAGATGCGATGTGACCTTTTCTAACCCAGCCCCGGAAGTCACACGGCATCACTTCCACTACATTCTGTTCAAAAAGGCTGTCGTAGAGGCCTTTCTTGTCTGATCAGATTAGTTCAAGGTAAGGGACGTAGACTCCATCTCCTCATGAGATAAGTGTCTAAAAATTCTGTTTTTTGTTTGTTTGTGTTGTTTGTTTGTTTTCCTGAGACGAAGTCTTGCTCTGTCACCTAGGCTATAATGCAGTGGCATGATCTCTGTTCACTGCAATCTCTGCCTCCCTGGTTTAAGGAATTCTCCTGCCTCAGCCTCCCGAGTATCTGGGATTACAGGCACATGCCACCACACCCAGCTAATTTTTGTATTTTTAGTAGAGACAGGGTTTCACCATGTTAGCCAGGTTGGTCTCGAACTCCTGACCTCGTGATCCACGCCCACCCCTCCTTGGCCTCCCAAGGTGCTGGGATTACAGATGTGAGCCACCATGCTGGGCCGAATTCCCTGACATGCTTTAAACCCCCACAACAGCTCCGTAAGGAGACATCTGGCCCGAGGGATTGGGGAAAGCTCTGTGGAAACAGCAATGTCTGCCAGCCTGAAGTCATAGGCATGAGGCATTAGACAGGTGAGCAGGGCAAGTTCCAGAGAGAGGAGCCACTCCCCTTCTACCCCCAGCCCTGCGCCTCCTGACTAATGCTGGAAAACTGCTCCTTCCTTTCCTCACCCACCAGCCCCAGGCTCAGTACTTCAGCTGAGGGCACTGGCTGTATGCCAGGCCCTGAAGGCATATGATCCAGCCCCTCCCCAGTTATTGCCCAAGCCAAAAGTCATCACTGGGATCCTCTCTACCTGCTACCCAAGCCAAAGGCCAACCCCAGGCTCCTCTCTGCCCACTGCCCAGGCCAAAGGTCATCCCTAGGCTCCTCTCTGGCCACTGCCCAAAGGCGGTGGAGGCGAAGCTCAGGTGCTTTCTGTGCCTTCATGAGTGTATCCGACACCTGGGCTAGAAAAAGGACACAGGCCCTCCTTTTTTTCCCTAGTCTAAGGCCATTCCTGCCCCTGCCTTCCCCATGAATCTGGGGCAGCCCTCAGAGAGGGCTCCCTACACACACAACAACCACCCAGGGTTTGGGGAATCAGTTGCAGGGTCTGGAGCAGTTACTCTCCCCCTGCTCACCCCACTGTGGCTCTCAAATTCTCTGCCTTCTGAAGGACCTCTTCGAATCTCCCTACCCTACTAGGTCACCTACTCGTCAGTGTCTGGACTGAGATTCAATGTCAGGCCTGTCAAACTCTAACCTGAGATCCTCTCTTCTCCCATCTTCTCACCCTCCTCCTTCTCTACTCTTTCTCCTGCTGTTTTTCCCTCCTTTCCTCTGTCTGTCTGTTTTTGTGTCCCTGAGCTCTTTCTTTCTTTTGCTATAACACCTCCCCGAAAGAGGGGCTGTTTAGAGGCCAGAATTATCTCTGAGTTGGGTTTGGGTTTCTCCACAGTCATTGGTACCAGAATCTGGCCACACTCATTAGGGAAAGTCCATCGAGGAATGCACCATGGTGACTTGCTGCCTCCCCTCTACTCCACAATGGCTTTTCCTGGGTCTTTAGTCTGAGACCCAGAGTGGGATGGATAGAGAAAGAGAGAAGGCCAAAGACCAGAATGGCAAGGGAGGAGGTTATGCCCCATGGTCAGACTATGATAGGACAGATGCAATGAAGGAGACAGAAATTAAATTCTTACCAATAATCAAATCATCCCAACCTAAAAGCTCCTGCCCAAAGAGGCACTGCCACTTGCCAGCTGACATTAACTATGTCACTTCATTTCTCTGAGCCAATAATAATCCCCTCCCTAGAGGGTTGCTATTACAATTCAGTGTGATAAGGACAGTTGATTCCATTTGGAATGCTTTGGGCTGCAAATAGCAGAAGAGTCAACCAAGACTTGCTTGAGCAATATAGATATTTAATTATTTCATATAGGAAGTAAGGGTCTTCAAGCTTGGTGCAATGATTCAGAAATGCCAGCGAAAACCCAGCTTCTTTTTATGTTTCTGCTTCACTATTCTTAGCTTGTTGTTTGCATGCCATGCTCTTTCCTCATGGTTGAAAGCTAGCTGCTGCAGCCAGCCCAAGGTATCACATCCAAGAAAAGGAGAGGAAGGCTGGGCGCAGTGGGTCACGCCTGTAATCCTAGCACTTTGGGAGGCCAAGGTGGGCAGATCGCTTGAGGTCAGGAGTTCGAGACCAGCCTGGCCAACATGGTGAAACCCCGTCTCTACTAAAAATACAAAAATCAGCTGGGCATGGTGTTGCAGGCCTGTAGTTCCAGCTACTCAGGAGGCTGAGGTGGGAGGATTGCTTGAACCTGGGAGGTGGAGGTTGCAGTGAGCCAAGATTGCATCACTGCACTCCAGCCTGGGAGACAGCTGTGTCTCAAAAAGAAAAAGAGAGACAGAAGAGGGAAATTAATAATAATAATAAACACCCCTTCAGGTGAAGAACTCATTGCAGGTGATCCAAGAACCCCACACTGAGAAATTCTGCCCTGTGGTGTGATCACCTGATTGGATGCTCATTCTCATCTCAGATGCTTTTGCATTGTGAAAACTCCTTCGAGGAAAAAGTGATGCCCCAGTGGCAGAATTCCATGTGCCTGTGGGGCTAGGCGGGGGAGGGAGAAGGCTTCCTGGCACCTCAGGTCACGTCACAGAACTTCAGAGCTGGAAGGGACCCTGAAAGATCCTCCTGCCAACCAATCACACAGATGGGGAAACTGAGGCCCAGGGCAGACCAGTGATTTCCTCACAGTCATGTAGTGGAGCCAGGGCCAGGGCCAAGGAGTCCTGGCTCTGAGCCCTGTTGGTGCTCTGGGGCGGTGCTCAGAAGGGAGGCTTGGGCCAGGAAATATGGGGTCTTAGGTGGACTCCCAGAAGCAGACTCTGAGACCGAACTCCATTCAAATGATCTGCTGTGGAGGTTTGGAGGAGAAGGGGAGTGAGAGAAGTAGGGTAGGGAAGGGGGTGAAGGCGAAGCTGGAATGTGGTCTCAGCTGGAGTCCCACAGTAGCCTTATTCCCCGGGGATTCTGGAGCATAGAGAGCGTCACACAGTTACTCCCGCTCTTGTACCACCATGGAAGTCAGCCACAGTGTGCCCAGGTTTTGGCAGGCAGAGCGTGGCCTTCCACGTGGCGGTGGCTCTCGTTTGGCTAAGGACACATCTCCAGTGAAGGGGCAGCTGTGGGGCATTAGCAGTGACACCCCCTTCCCCCCAGCAGCTGGGGGACAGGTAACTGCAGACTAGAAGGAAAATACACAGGTCTCTTCCCCAGAGCCACGAGTCATCCCTGGTATTGTCAGCACAGAACAGTGTCCAGGGGCATAGGCAGTCCCGCCTGCCACCTCAGTTTCCCTGTTCATGAAATGGGCGTGCAGGACCAAGGGCAGCCAGGCTCCCTTCAAGCTCTGCCTTTCTGAACTCCTGGGATTCTGCTTCCACCTCTCCCCAAAGTTCCACTCAGGCCTCCCCCTGCCCCAGACTCCCCACTTCCCCAAGCAGGGGAAGAACCACTGAGACCGAAGTTGGGTCCCCACTCTGTCAGGCCTGAACCCCACGAATAGGCAGACGCAACAGTTTCTCGGGGTGTGTACCTCCCTTGCCTGCCAGTGGGCCTACGGAGTCAGTATTTCTCAAAATGTAAGTACAGAGACCACACCAGGCTGTCGGTAAATTCATTATCCCATTACGTGGGCCTGAATTATTCAGTGCTCTTGAGGCTGCTTCAGTAACCTGCCCAAGCACAGTCAATGCTGGTGTGAGCAGACTGGATGGAGTCAGGCCAGGCCCGGGGCAGGATGGGTGCCAGTGTGACGGATCTGGGCCCAGAGAGGCTGCCAGGGCTGGAAGGCACAGGAGGCTTTGGCTGGCAGGGCCTGGGCCCCAGGTGTTCCTGGGGCAGGGGAGGGGGTTGTGCACCAAAGCCCAGTCCTTCTCACCCCCAGGAAATCAGCAGGGTGTGCCTTTGGGGCCCCACTGGCTCCTAAAAGCCCAGGGACAGAAGATCTAGGCTCCACTTCTTCCTGGCTGCGTGACCTCCAGCAGGTCATGCACCCCTCTGAGCCTTAGTTTCTTCATCCGTGAAATGCAGCAATGATGCTAAAGTTTCCATCTCCATTCTCCCCTGTAAGAGTAGAGCTGATTTTTTCATTGAGCTCATAATCACTGGAATAAAGACCTTTTCTTGGCTGAGGTGTTGCTGTGTGACTAAATGCCAGTCAAAGGGAGGCAAGCAGGAGCTCCCTGTGAAACATTCAGCAAGGATCCTTAAAGGAAGGGGTGAGTCCTGTGCTGTCCCTTGCCTTTTCCCTGAAAACTGGAGTGAGGTGTAAGGCCAGAGCTCAAACAGCTATCTTACTCAATGAGGAGAAGTCACATGATGAGGATGGCATGTCCTCCAGGATAGTTCAGTGGTTAGGAACTGTGGGCCCTGAAACCAGAGGACCTGGCTTCAAATCCCTGCTCTACCACTTATAAGCTGTGCAACTTGGGGCAAGTGGCTTAGCCTCTCTATGCTTCAGCTTTCTCCTCTGTAAGACAGGGATAAAAGTGGTACCTCCCCCCTTACAGGGCTGACTTGAGGAGTAAGTGGGTTAATATGAAGCCTCGTCCCATGGGGAATAAGGCTTCATAAGAAGTGGCTGGTACACAGGAAGTGTAATATATGTGTCGGCTGTTATGATACCATTTTATTTCATTTATTTTATTTTTATTTTTATTTTTTTCTTGCTACAGAGTCTCACTCTGTCACCCAGGCTGGGTTGCAGTAGCTTGATCTCGACTCACTGCAACCTGTGCCTTCTGGGTTCAAGTGATTCTCCTGCCTCAGCCTCCTGGGTAGCTGGGACTGCAGGTGTGCACCACCACCACACCTAGCTAATTTTTGTATTTTTAGTAGAGACGGTGTTTCACCATGTTGGCCAGGATGGTCTTGAACTCCTGACCTCAGGTGATTCACCCGCCTCGGCCTCCCAATGTACTTGGATTACAGGTGTGAGCCACCATGCCCAGCCAACGATCCAATATTAAACATCTGCAGGGCTTCGCTGTATAGCTCAGAGATATGAGCCCCCCTGCCCCCCATGTCTCCCAGAGCCTCTTGTCAGTCTGGACTTTTTCCTCGGGTGAGTGTACCCCTGGGGCAGCAATGCCAGGGAGCTTTATTAAGCCAGGACACAAACAGCTTTGCCTGGAGAGAAAGCCCCTAGCCTGAGCCACTGGGGGCAGGAAGCAGAGACTGGGCCTCTGGGTTGGAGTCCACAGGAGGGATCCAGATGAAGTTCTTGGGAAGAGAGAAAGAGAAATAAGGTCTCCTGACTGGCCATAGACCCCAGACAGGAGTCTCCCCTCTCTGGGCCTCTGGGAACTGGATTAAATCAGAGGTCACAGCTCATATGCCAGCAGCATAAAGACCAATATAGAAAATGAGTGAAGTTGTTTGGGTGTGAGGCAGCAGGGAGTGGTGGGGGCTGGGGCAGGGGTCCTTAACCCATCTGAGGTGGGGGGTGGGGGGTGGGGCACCAGGCAGCCCCAGCAGACCTGCTCCGCAGCTAAGTGGGCCCCATGTAGGCAAATCTTTCACTGTTTCAAAAGGAATAGAAATTAAATCTGAATTCTTTGTGAAATCTGACTGTTTAGTGTTGGCTCCATTGAAACAAATAAAACCCTGAGCAAGGCAAATAAAAATCTGTCCCCAGGCCAGCTCAGGGGCTGCCAAATGCAAACAAGAGCTGAGAGGTCCCCCGAGCAGGGCAGGCTGCACCCTGCAGTCCACGGCTGCATTTCCCTGCATTTCTGCAGGGAGGGCATAGGCTGAGCGTGGGGGTGGCATGGAGGAAAGGGGCAAGTGGCTGGGAGTGTGTCCCTCCTGGGAGGCAGGTGCTCAGGGAGGCGAGCCTGACCACTCAGCACCTCCCTGCTGGGCTCAGGATGGCAGTGGGGGTTGGGCAGAGGCAGGGAGTCTGCCCTGCAATCTTCAGCCACACCCTGGCTCCCTGAACTTCAAGTTCTTCCTCTGAGAAACAGACGGAGTCTTTGGCTTCCCAGAGCTGATGGGAGGCAAGATGGGAAACCCTGAACTCTTAGGAATTGAGCAAGAATGGATCTGCAGAGGCCCTGGGGCCAGCCAGACCTGAAGGCAGCTCCTGCGTGAGGCAGCACCCCCGCCCCCCTGCCCTGAGGAGATCCTGCCCAGTGGTGTAGGTGGGGTTAGAGTGTTACTGTGGCTTTGGGGTCACTGTGGAGCATGTGGGACCTGTTAGATTGGATTGTTCATCCTGACCTTTCACTCATCCACCTGTAATAGGATTACACAGGTGGCCTTGCAGGGCCACCCCACAGAGCGGGTAGAACACACTCACTTACCCTGATACTACAGGCTTGGCCAAGTGAGTGGCTTTGGCCAATGGAACTTCAGCAGACTTGGCACGGGCAGGGGCTTTCAACGCACCTGTGTGGTGCACCTCTCGTGCTTGTGCTGCCCACCAGGCAAGAGCATCCCCAGGTCTCTGCTGCTTCCCAAATGATCTGGACCCACAACTTGAAGCAAAACCATGCCAGCTGACTCCTGAACCAGGAGAGAGAAAGTAAATGATTATTTTGGAAGCCACTGAGGTCCAGGGCTGTTACAGCACTGTTGCAACAGAAACCTGTTTCTCAGGCCCAGGAGAACACAGGCTTCCTCAAGCCCGCTTCAGCTTGCTGCCCGGAAGCGCCCACTCCACCTGGTCATCCACTGTCCCAGAAGTCCCTGTGACCCTGGCCCTGGGGCAAATAGAGAGACTCCTACTGGAGTGGGACCCCCAAGCTTGGATCCTACAAAACTGGAGCCAGCCCCTACACCCTGCCCGTGGGACTTTGGATAAGTCACTTCTCCGCCAGGGCCTCACCTGCAGAATGTGGGGATCTCATCTCACCCACAGGGAGATCCAGAGGGGCCATGAGACCCCACGGGCCTGCCATAGGGTGAGGGTGGGCTGCCCAGGGCTGGCAATTGGGTTTCTCAGGGAGGGGAGGGACTGGCTTGCCATAAATCTGTCTGCAAGGGGACTGGGCAAACTCACTCCTGAGGAAATGGAGGCCTCACTCATGCAGGGCACGATTCCAAAGTTCATTGTGGAATCTGCCACTCTAGCCTGAAGAAAAAGCAAACAGGGTTATCCAGCACCAACTCTAAACCATCCCTGTGGGCATGAGCCACACTGCCTGGGGACTGGAATAAGTTAGGACAGCTCTGAGCCTTAACTAAAAGGATATGTATACAGTTAATCATTCCTTAAACACAAAGGGCTCCATTTTCTCCTAGAACAGAGTGTGGAGGTAGATGCTGCTGATGTTGGTTCAAGGGCTTGACAATGTCTTTGAGAACCAATAAACCGTATTTCCTCTTGCCATCCTCACTGGTGTTTTTTGTTTGTTTGTTGTTAATCCTTAACTTTGTTGCCTCATGGCCACAAAATGGCTGCTATGGCTGCAAGCATTTCATCTTTATACAACTCCATTCAAGGTAAGAAGAGACTAAGCAGGAAAAGAGGATTTCTTATTATCAGAAAGAAAAATGTCCTGAGAAGCCCCCCTTTATCTGTGGCCAGGAACGAACCACACAGTCACCCCTAGCAACTATGTGGGTAAGAAAGTAGTATCCTGGGAAAAGGACTAGGATGGTTATGGCAGCCTGAGACTGATCATAGTTCCCCCACAGAGTTGCACATGTTGCTGCTTAAACAATATCAGGCCCATGTTGGCAAGGCAGGAGGAGGAATGGCTCCGAGCTGAACAGTAACAGTGTGGGCTGGAGGTCCAGGACTCCAGTGAGTTCTATCAATGGGAGTGGACCGGGCAGGGCTTTTAATTATAAGCCACAGAAGCCACTCAGTGGTAAAGGACAGATTCTACTTTGTTGCAAACAACAGAATTCACTTTGTTACAAACAGCAAGTTCACTTTGTTACAAACAGCAGACTCTGGGAAGACCAGAGAAGCAGGCTTGGATGATCCACTACCAGGAACAATACAGCCGGGGAGCCCCACCCAATCTCACCACAGGACTGTCCTAACTACAACACAGCTACCGCCACAGCCTGCCTCTTGGTAGAGGCTCCACCACAGCCACCCCAGTGGAAACAGGCACCTGCACCGCGTCATACCTGCTTGCCGGGAGATCACTCTCCTCCACGCCCAGCTAGCTCACCTTGCCCACGTTTACTTGCTTCCAAGTCTTGTGCATCTGATCGGTGGAAGCTAGGTCATGTGCCTGCAGGGGAGTCTGCAAAGTGTGTTTATCTTCTTTTGGGGGAAGGAGGGACTCACAATGTAGTCCCGTGTCTCAATGTGGAGAGATAAGTGCTGCAAGGGGGCCGAGCATGGTGGCTCATGCCGGTAATTCCAGCACTTTGGGAGGTCAAGGCAGGAGGATCACTTGAGGTCAGGAGTTCAAGGCCAGCCTGGCCAACATGGTGAAACCCCATCTCTACTAAAAATACAAAAATTAGCCGGGCGTGGTAGCAGGCACCTGTAATCCCAGCTACTCGGAAGGCTGAGGCAAGAGAATTCGCCTGAACCCAGAAGGCAGAGGTTGCAGTGAGCAGAGATGGTACCTTTGCACTCCACCCTGGGCAACAGAGGGAGACTCCATCTGGGAAAAAAACAAACAAACAAACAAACAAACAAACAAAAACAGAGCTGTAAGACTTTCTTTGTTAATTTTCAAAGAGCCCCATGAAGTCTCCACCACTGGAAGGTGCCTGAGAATCAGCTGAGGTGTCCGGCAGAAGCAACGATACCCAAGAGTGGCCGTGATATGCAGCCCTGGCCACCTCCAGGTAAGAAAGGAAAAAAACAGCACAACCAGAAAACACACACATGTAAGCCATCCACTGGGGACTCCTATTAACACCTACGTGCCAGGACAGAATTGAACCAGAGAAGCTGCATCACATGTACATTGCTGGTACATGGTGGATGCCTCCCAGAAGGACTAAATTTCCAAAGGATTCAGGAGCCCTGGACTTGGGCCCATGGTGAGATGACAAGCCTTTATGTGAAGCTGAGACAGAGACAGTTTCACATATTGGCTCTGCCACCTATGTTCCTTGATGGCTGGGATCTTGGTGTGCACATCTGGAAGATGGAGACCATGCTAGCTCCCTTAGAGAGTTGCTGAGAGGAACAGTCCCACCACCCAGTGCATTATGCAGGAGCAAGGACCATGTATTTAAATGTCTAATACCAGCACTTCTCAAGGATGGGGGACGGGATGGAGGTGGTGCATTTTCACCCTTCCAATCATCCCAAGCAGTTAGAGGCTGGGGCAGGCAGTATTTTGACCCCATAATCTCTGCCACCAATGTCACTCCCTTGTTTGTGTTGTTTGGTTATTTTGTTTTGTTTGAGACATTGTCTCACTCTGTCGCCCAGGGAGGAGTGCAGTGGCACCATTTCGGCTCACTGCAACCTCTGCCTCCTGGGTCCAAGCAATTCTGATGCCTCAGCATCCCGAGTAACTGGGATTACAGGCGTGCACCACCACGATTGGCTAATTTTTGTATTTTTAGTAGAGACAGGTTTCGCCATGTTGCCCAGGCTGGTCTCGAACTTCTGAGCACAAGTGATCCATGTGCTTTAGCCTCCCAACGTGCTGGGATTACAGGCATGAGCCACTGCACCTGGCCTGTTTTTTGTTTTTTGAGACAGGGTCTCGCTCTGTCACCCAGGCTTGAGTGTAGTGGTGTAGCCACAGCTCACTGCAGCCTCGACCTCCCAGGCTCAAACAATCCTCCCACTTCACTTCCCAGGCTCAAGCAATCCTCCCACCTCACCCTCTTGAGTAGTTGGGACTACAAGTATGCACCACTAAACCTGGCTATTTTTTTTAAAATTGTTTTGTAGAGAAGGGGTCTCACTATGCTGCCCAGGCTAGACACTAACTCCTGGCCTCAAGTGATCCTCCCACCTTGGCCTCCCAAAGTGCTGGGGTTACAGGTATGGGACTTCAAAGATATAACCAAGTTTACTAGGCAGCTCTCTTAAAATAGGGAGATTATCCTGGATTATCTGAGTGGGCCCAATGTAATCACAGGAGCCCTTAAAAGCAAAAGAGGGGCCAGGTGCCGTGGCTCACGCCTGTAATGCTATCACTTTTGGAGGCCAAGGTGGGTGGATCACCTGAAGTCAGGAGTTCGAGACCAGCCTGGCCAATATGGTGAAGCCCCATCCCTACTAATAATAAAAAGTTAGCTGGGCATGGCGGCGCATGCCTGTAATCCCAGCTACTCAGGAGGCTGAAGCAGGAGAATCACTGGAACCTGGGAGGCAGAGGTCGCAGTGAGCTGAGATTGTGCCACTGCACTCCAGCCTGGGTGACAGAGACACAGTCTCAAAAAAAAAAAAAAAAGGCCGGGCGCGGTGGCTCACGCCTGTAATCCCATCACTTTGGGAGGCCGAGGCAGGCAGATGACGAGGTCAGGAGATCAAGACCATCCTGGCTAACACGGTGAAACCCCGTCTCTACTAAAAATACAAAAAAATTAGCTGGGCGTGGTGGCAGGCGCCGGTAGTCCCAGCTACTCAGGAGGCTGAGGCAGGATAAGGTGTGAACCCGGGAGGCAGAGCTTGCAGTGAGCCAAGATCACACCACTGCACTCCAGCCTGGGCAACAGAGCGCAACTCCATCTCAAAAAAAAAAAAAAAGCAAAAGAGGAAGACAGCAATTGGGAGCACCAGAAAGATGCCAGGTGCCTCTGCTGGCCTTGAAGATGGAAAGGTTTCAAGAGAAGGAACTGAATTTTGCCAACAACTGGTGAGCTTGGCAGAGGCCCCACAGCCCCAGGGGAGAACTTTGTCTTGAACCTGGTGAGACCCTGAGCAGAGAATCCAACCCGGCCTTGTCAGACTTCTGACCTACGCTCTGCGAGATAACAAGTGGGTGTTGTTTTAAACTACTAACTTTGTGGCAGTTTGCTGTACAGCAATGGAAAACGAAGACAGAAGGTTCATGCCCATTTCCTAGTTTTCTAGAGTTTCTCAGAAACTCTGAGCTTACTCAGCTGCAAAGTGAGTGGTGGGGCAGATGTTTGAACCCAAGTCCATCTGTTCTAAAGCCCATGCTGTAGCTTTCCCATTCAGCCTCTCCAGATGAGGAAAGTGAGTCACTAGGGGCGCTGCCAGGGTCAGCTCCCCAGGATCTCAGCACAGAGGAGGTGGGACCAGGTTGTGGCCCCGTCATGCTCCCAGCTCATGTGAGGAGCCC
Organism: Homo sapiens; assembly: GCF_000001405.40. Taxonomy (NCBI): domain Eukaryota; kingdom Metazoa; phylum Chordata; class Mammalia; order Primates; family Hominidae; genus Homo; species Homo sapiens. Next base: position 75,240,555 of record NC_000010.11, on the reverse strand, counting down.
CAGGAGCCCCCAAGTCGCCATCTGTCTGTGTCTACCTGTGTCAGTGCACTTGGCCTGAACCGTCCTAAAGCCCCTGGAGTTACAGCCCTGCCTCCCGACGTCTTAGGTAAAAGGTACTGTCCTCCTTGGGGAGCCCAGTAGACCTCACCCAGACATCGGCGGTGGTCTGCTGGCCACTGAGGCCCTTCTCACTCTAGGGGACTCCACTTCAAGCCCTAACTTCTCTCATTCATGCTCAGAGTCAGAGGAAACTGGTGCCTCATGAGCCAGAGCAGACATGAAGCTCAAATATGTGTTCAGTTTGGCCAACAGTGTTTAAACACATACACACACACACCCCGATGTTTAAAATTGTGAAGTTTCACACTGAAAGCCATATTGCCAACCTCTGTTGGGGAATCGGAAGCTCTGGCCATACTGGGCCCATCTTCCCACTTGGCATCCAAGGCTAAAGCCAAGTGGCCACCATGTCCCCTGGTGGAGGGTGAGCTCTGGAGTGCTCCAGTACCCACCACCCCCTATCACCTTGCCCTGCTTACTTCACCTGCCTGGCCCCAAAAAACATCTGAACTCCAATCCCTTAGGATTGATTCTACGACCTTACCTTCTGCCTCCTGCCCTGCTCAGTCCCGGGGGATCTCGGGCGACAGCGCCCAGCCTGTGTGATGCTAGCAGGGCTATGAGAAATAGGAGTGGGACCAGTAGGATGGAAACTCAGGGGTCTGTTCCAGACCTGTTTGTGTGGAGAGCTGTTCCCAGTGACCCAGTTCAGCTAAGACTGTCAGGCTATCTGCGTCTGTCTGTATCAGTCTACTCAGCCTGCCCCCTCTCTGCCTGGTGGGGGCCTAAGTGCAGGTGCTGATGCCCATTTTCTCTGCCCTGATGAGGCTTCAGGTTCCTTGGTGCTTAATGGGGCAATGGCATTTGGCCAAAACGCACCTGAGACAGGTGGAAATGACCTCCCCTGCCCATTCCCTCCCCTGGGGGCTGCTGCCCACATCCACAAGGCCCTTTGGGGAGGCTCAGCTCCCCCCACCCTCTACCAGGCCCACTGCCTGGAGAAGAATCAAAACCCACTCTGTCTTCAGCCCCCAGGCTTCTAGGAAAAAGCCCTAGAACAGATTCGGAGGCGACACTTTGCTCCCTTCCTGGTGAGCTGAGATACTGGTGCCGCCATGCAAGAGACAAGAAATGAGTAGCAAAAAGGGGAGGGGGTGGAAAAATTAAATTCTGCGTCATCAGCAAGGTTTCAAACAATCGCTCGCCAACTGAAGTGGGTGCCACGTCTATAAGTCATTCTGTTTTATAGACCATTAGGATCTCCAGAGAGAACCTGCATGGAGACCACTGCTTTTTGTTGAAATTAAAATGTCAGAGAAAAAGAAATAGAACAAAACAGGGAATCTGCAATTAATTACCAGGCCATAAAAATTCAATAATCAGGAAGCAGAGCGGCCGCCGGCCCAGAGGTATCAGAGCCAGCGTAACAAGAATGGAATACATTAATCTTTTCAAATTAGTTTTTTAATCTGACGGGGATAGATGGTGACATGCCTCCCCTCCCCACCCGCTCCCCCTCAACCTCCACCGCTCCGGCCTAAAGCCAGGCTGTAGGAGGGAGTTTCAGTGTGAGCTGGGGGCCTGCTGCAACCTGGACCCCCGGGCTGAAGGGAGAGAGCGGTCAGCGGCACCACCTGAGCGCAGGGCCCTCAGGCCAGCTCGAGCTGGGCCCTCGTCCCAGCAGAGGAGCCAAGAAGGCCTGTTCCCTCTGGGTCCCAGGGTTCAAGGGAGAGGTACGCGCGTTTCCTCTGTTGGCTGCAGGGTCTGGGCGGTGGTCTCTGAGCTTTCCTGCTCTGGAAAATGGGAACAAGATCACAGCCGCCCCCGGATCCTGGATGCATTGTGCCTGGTGCCCGGCAGGTCCTCAATAAAGGGGCCCTGCTGTTACTATTTTTACTCCTGGCAGCAAGGAGCGCCAGGCAGCGCCAGAACTCTAGTCAAGAGCATTTATTTAGCGCCTGCTGTATGCTCAGGCCTGGGAAGGAGAGACCAGCAGCCTCAGTCCTTACCCGCAGAATGAGATTCACGGTCAAGTTAGAGGCCAAGCGGGACGTAGAGGGTCAAAGAGTAAAGGGCAAGGAGCTTGTCCTCGAGCAGTGCTGCTAGCCCGGAGGCAAGTCCCAGGAGGGCCGAAAGGGCACGCATGCACGGAGACAGCAGGTTCTGCCCCCACACAGCCATGTGCTTCGGGGGCTGCCGGCTGGTTGGTCAAAGAACCAGCCCCACCCTGTCTCTGATTAGAGGCCGGCCCGTAGCCTCACCCCAGAGCTCCGCCTCCTCCTTCCTCGCTTCCGCTAGGCCCAAGGTTCCTGCAGCTCAGATCAAGAAACTGCAAGTTTCTGGCCTTCATCCTCAGCCAAGCCACTCTCTCATTAACTACTCAACAAGCTGGCCTCTGGGCCTCGCTCAGGTTGAGCCCCCGCCTGGGAAGCCCCCCAGTGGAGCTCAATGCCTAGTCAGCGTTGTTAAAATGGATTCTTGGCCGGGTGCGGTGGCTCACGCCTGTAATCCCAGCACTTTGGGAGGCCGAGGCGGGCGGATCACATGGTCAGGAGTTCGAGAACAGCCTGGCCAATATGGTGAAACCCCGTCTCTACTAAAAGTACAAAAATTAGCCAGGCATGGTGGCTGGCGCTTGTAGTCCCAGCTACTCAGGAGGCTGAGGCAGGAGAATCGCTTGAACCTGGGAGGCGGAGGTTGCAGTGAGCTGAGATCGCGCCACTGGGCTCCAGCCTGGACGACAGAGCAAGACTCCATCTCAAAAAAAAAAAAAAAAAAAAAAAAAGGCTCTTACAGCCTCCACCCCAGGGGACATCTGCAGTGCAGCAGGAAGATAACCGGCTGCCCTTCGGACTTTGACTCCTTTTAAAGGTAACATGACAGCTCACTAAGTGCCAGGATTTTCTCATTTGGTCCCCTGTGTAAGTCCTCAGCCTGGATTTTCTCATTTGGTCCCCTAGGAGGTTGGGACTATTCATAACGCCATTTCACAGAGGCAGAAGTCGTGAAGCTTAGGCCACCCGCCAGCTGTGTGTGACCTGCATCTCTGAAACCAGCTTCACTAAGAATACCAACCAGAGGCCAGGCACGGGGGCTCACACCTGTAATCCCAGCACTTTGGGAGGCTGAGGCAGGAGGATCACTTAAAGCCAGGAGTTCGAGACCAGCCTGGACAACATAGTAAGACCCCTTCTCTTTAAAAAAAAAATTTTTTTTTTTAAATTAGCTGGGCACAGTGGTGACCGCCTGTGGTCCCAGCTACTTGGGAGGCTGAGGCAAGAGGATTGCTGAGCCTGGGAGCTCGATGCTGCAATAAGCAGTAATCTTGCCACTGCACTTCAGCCTTGCCAGAGACCTTGCCAAAAAAAAAAAAAAGAACACCAACGCCAGGCACAATGGCTCAGGCCTGTAATCCCAGCACTTTGGAAGGACGAGGCAAACAGATCACTTGAGGCCAGGAGTCTGACACCAGCCTGGCCAAAATAGCAAAACCCGTCTCTACAAAAAATACAAAAATTAGTTGGGTGTAGGGGTGCGTGCCTGTAGTCCCAGCTACTCCAGAGTCTGAGGCAGGAGAATCGCTTGAATCAGGAGGTGGAGGTTGCAGTGAGACCAGATTGTGCCACTGCACTCCAGCCTGGGTGACAGAGCGAGACTCAGTCTCAAAAAAAAAAAAAAAAAGGACAGCGTCAGCGTCTTTCACCTCCTCCGGAGTTTGGCGCATGGTAGGGGTTCAATCAGTGTTCTCTGGACAGTGTTTCAACAGAACAACCTTGCAAGGGAGCTTCACCGGCTTTCTCCCCAAGATGTCTTCATTCCAACCTACCAACATAACAGCAGCTGCCACTTATGTATTGTGCTACTGTGTGCGAAGCTGTGGGATCTGGTGCCTTTTATGGTAAGATTGTAGGCCTCATTTTACAGGAAGGAAACTGAGGCTCAGAGAGACTGGCAGGACCAAGATTAGACACTCGTATCCATCTGGCCCCCAAAAGCAGGATTTTAACAGCTAAGAATATGGTCTCAGTTCCACAGGCCCACCCCAGGGCTCCTGAACCCCAATTCGAGGCTGCATGCCCTCAAACCAGTTCCCTCACTCCTTCAGCCTGATGCTTTGGGGCATCTTGTCCAGGAGGCCTTCCCCCTTTAATCTCTATCTCTTGTACTTGTGACTATCTTGTAACTTACACTGGCGCCCTCCATACACAATTCACATATGCCCCCAAGGGGCCTCAGAATAAATGGTGGCGAGGAGAAAAAAGCATTGGCAGGAGGGGAATGGAGGCAGGCACCTGGACTGCGGGCACAGGCGGGAAAATTCAGATCTAGGCGCTTGGCCTGCTCCCCGCAGGGGCGCAGTTCCCGGCGCGGCCACCAGATCGCGCCCGGCTCTCTCGGGCGGGGCTTGCAGTAAGGCTGTGTGGCCGCCAGATGATGCCCGAGACCGCGGCTCCGCGGGTAGTGCCCCGACAAGGTGGAGCCCGGCGGGCCCGCGAGTCCGAGACCTGTCCCAGGAGCTCCAGCTCACGTGACCTGTCACTGCCTCCCGCCGCCTCCTGCCCGCGCCATGACCCAGCCGGTGCCCCGGCTCTCCGTGCCCGCCGCGCTGGCCCTGGGCTCAGCCGCACTGGGCGCCGCCTTCGCCACTGGCCTCTTCCTGGGTGAGCAGGACCTGGTCCCGGCGGGCGGGTGGGCGGGCGCAGAGTAGGGCGCGGCGTGGCTCAGGTTAATCCAACACCCTCTCCCCGTCAGGGAGGCGGTGCCCCCCATGGCGAGGCCGGCGAGAGCAGTGCCTGCTTCCCCCCGAGGACAGCCGCCTGTGGCAGTATCTTCTGAGCCGCTCCATGCGGGAGCACCCGGCGCTGCGAAGCCTGAGGCTGGTCAGCAGGGCGCGGGACGGAAACGGGCGTCCCTCTCGACCCCTGCGGGTCCCACGTGGCTGTGTGACCTTGGGCTGGGCCCTGGCCCTCCCTGGGCTTCCGGCTTCCCTGGGCCGGGTGCGGTGGGCGTTCCGAAGGGCCAGTCCCCCAGGCCACGCCCAGAACCGCGCCCCTGGGGCTTGGGACCCCCAGGGCGAAGGTGGGTGACCTGCATGGCTGGTGCCACCCTCTCCTTTCACGCAGCTGACCCTGGAGCAGCCGCAGGGGGATTCTATGATGACCTGCGAGCAGGCCCAGCTCTTGGCCAACCTGGCGCGGCTCATCCAGGCCAAGAAGGCGCTGGACCTGGGTAGGGGCACGCGGCCGGGATCCCGGAGGGCCGAGGTTTCCGGGCCGACCCCCACTCTGGGCTGAGCCCGTCTGTGTCCTGGTCCCAGGCACCTTCACGGGCTACTCCGCCCTGGCCCTGGCCCTGGCGCTGCCCGCGGACGGGCGCGTGGTGACCTGCGAGGTGGACGCGCAGCCCCCGGAGCTGGGACGGCCCCTGTGGAGGCAGGTGAGCGCCCGCGCCTAGCTCTGCAGCCCCAGGCGGGGGCGCAACGGCTGACCCGCTCCCTCCGCAGGCCGAGGCGGAGCACAAGATCGACCTCCGGCTGAAGCCCGCCTTGGAGACCCTGGGTGAGCACCGAAGCGGGAAGGGCTTTGAAGCCATTCATTGCAAACGAGGCTGCTGTGTGGCCGAGCTGTGACTGGGCCTGCCGGGCAGGTTAAGGGCAGGGCCGGTTGTCACAGAGCCCGGGCCGGCCTGGGAGGGGCCTCAGGGCCGCCGGGGCCGCGGACTCAGCCGCACCTGCCCTCCCTCCCCCCGCAAGACGAGCTGCTGGCGGCGGGCGAGGCCGGCACCTTCGACGTGGCCGTGGTGGATGCGGACAAGGAGAACTGCTCCGCCTACTACGAGCGCTGCCTGCAGCTGCTGCGACCCGGAGGCATCCTCGCCGTCCTCAGAGTAAGGGATCCACTGCGGGGGAGGAGAAAGCACCCTGTCGGGCCGGGTCCCCATCTTTTCCCTTGACTCCTCTTATACCCCAAAGCCCCACCCAGTCCAGTCACGTAGGCTACACCCCCTCCGGGGCTCCGGCCCCGGTACCCAGGCTTTCCTCCGCTTTGGTTCTGTCTCCAGCTCTGGTCACCTCCTGCCCGGGCACCTCCCTCCGAGGCCCCGCCTCCCGCCCAGACACCTCCCTCCGAGACCCCGCCTTCCGTCTGGGCACCTCCCTCCAAGACCCCGCCTCCCGCCCGGGCACCTCCCTCCCAGTCCCCCGCCTTCCGCCCGAGCACCTCCCTCCGAAGCCCCGCCTCCCACGGCCCGGTTGGCCCCGCCCTCCCGCAGGTCCTGTGGCGCGGGAAGGTGCTGCAACCTCCGAAAGGGGACGTGGCGGCCGAGTGTGTGCGAAACCTAAACGAACGCATCCGGCGGGACGTCAGGGTCTACATCAGCCTCCTGCCCCTGGGCGATGGACTCACCTTGGCCTTCAAGATCTAGGGCTGGCCCCTAGTGAGTGGGCTCGAGGGAGGGTTGCCTGGGAACCCCAGGAATTGACCCTGAGTTTTAAATTCGAAAATAAAGTGGGGCTGGGACACACGACCTCCTGAGCCTCCGTGTGTGGCGCTGGATGGGGAAGGGAGGGAAGGCCCAGCACAGACAGCTCCTGCCTTCAGTGAAAGGGGCCTTGAGATTCGTCCCCTCCCTGGCGCCAGGTCTGTGGCCCAACTGCAGGAACCTCCAGCTGGCAGGAGGCAGGTTATAAAGTTTTAACTGGCCTGGCCACGTGTAATGGCCAGAGACCCCAGCACCTCGGGCTTGTCTGCCTCCTACATCTCTCCCTCAGGGCAGGCGAAGCTCTGGTTCTGAGCAGCTGGGACTGGTAGAGAGCCACGTCTGGTGTCTGACAACATGAAAGAGGATTGCAGGGGACCACGGGTGTCACTTGTGTGCTTTTGTAGGTGATGCCAGTTCTGCTGGCGGCTTGCTCATGTCTTCACAGCACAGTCAGCTCCCCAGCCTCACCTCTCCAGTGGAGGCCCTGGTGGGGGAACATCACCTCTAAGAGCCAGGCCAGTTGGCCTGGACCTGAGGACCTCGGGGTTGACTTGAGTATCCTGCCGTGGGGTTGACTTGAGTATCCTGCCGTCTCCTTGAAATTCTTAAGTGAGGGGGATCACTGGCCAGGGAGGCGTGAAGCAGACAAGCCTATAGGTACAGCAGTTGTTACTACACTCCCTAGAGGATGAAGAGAACTTCAGGCTTTCCTGAACCATCTGCCTATGAGGGGAGGTGGAGAAGGAACCAGGCCTCATGGAGCACCTTCGACCCAGGTGCTCTGCTTATTTAAATCTCCCCAACCTCACAGATCTTATCTCCACTGGCAGATGGTCAAATTCTTTCCACTGACACTGCCTCAGGCATAAGTGGCATTAGCCTGGAATTCAAGCAGCTTTTGCCACTACCTGGTAAGCCTCGGTGGTGGGAAGTGTCCCTGGAGACTGATGGAAGCAGAGCTAAAAGAGCCACATGAGGCTGGGCACAGTGGCTCACGCCTGTAATCCCAGCACTTTGGGAGGCTGAGGCAGGTGGATCATTTGAGGTCAGGAGTTCGAGACCAGCCTGGTCAACATGGTGAAATCCGGTCGCTACTAAAAATACAGAAATTAGACAGGTGTGGTGATACACGCTTGTAATCCCAGCTACTCGGGAGGCTGAGGCAGAATTGCTTGAACCCGGGAGACGGAGGTTGCAGTGAGCCGAGACCGCACCACTGCACTCCAGCCTGAGCAACGAAGTGAGACTCCGTCTCAAAAAAAAAAAAAAAAAAAAGCCACACGAGCTCACAGCTCCTGGGACAAACTTTGCATTTTGGACACTACGCAAGACCACGGCTGGAAACCTACCCTTTTCTAACTCATAAAAGCATATTAGGATGCATGTGGGTGAATAGGTTCAATTTACTCTAAGGAAATCCTTGACAAAACAGTTAACTCACTCGTGCCACACCTCAGTCCAAATTACTGTAGCCACTGCCCAATAAAGGGCCACCCATTAGCTAAGGGGCAGCAGTCCCCATGACTAGGGTTTTTCTCTTTGAAGGACCACCAGCAGTGGTTAGTTGCCTGCGGGTCTACTTCACACTGCTGGAGTTGCTTTCAGGCCTAGCCTGCATGGACATCTTTTCATGTTTCTCCTCTTACCTGACTCAAGCTGGCTCAAATTCTAACCCTCTGTCACTTAAGTCATGTCTGTCTGGAGAGGGCCTTCCAGAGAACCATGATTCACATGGGCCATTCAAGCCAGTCCCCTAGGAATAGTGGGACCAGAGGGGTCTTCATGCCCCCAACCCTCCTGTGTGGAGAGCTTGCTTGAGCTCTGGTCTCTCACCAGCTTCTTCTCAACCTGGAAGTTTGTAGCATGTATCATTTCTTGGGTGATAAGTCCTTCCATTTTCTTACCCATTTCTTATCACTCAGGTTCTACCATTCTTCAGGTCTATTACAGATTTGTTGAACAAATCTTCTCCAACCTTTAATCATATCCAATTATCTTCTCCCATCAGAAAACGTACTCTTACCTACTTTTCCAGCCAGAACCACCTATTAATGTCTCATTCATGCCCAGATGAAGGCCAATGCCACGCAGCCTAAAGGGGTTGTCTCTGGTCTCCTACCTATACCCACCTTTCAGTGTGTCTGCCTAGAAGGAAATGAGTAATGACCTCTCACAGTCCCTCAGGTTACCCTCACTGTCTACACCTTACTCCTCTTCTGTATGCTTAACACCATCTCACCAAACCAGGGCCTACTTTATGTTCCTAGCAGTAGCTCACAGGGGTATGGTGTGTTTGTGTAACTTTTCAGCACCTTCTCTTTTTCCTTTCAATGATGCAGGGCAATTCTGCACAGACTTACAAACTGTGCATGTAAAAGTGTAAAAGCATGTATCCTCTTATTGTAGTCTTAAAAAGCTCGTGGAATCTAGGGACACAGAAGATTCTGTGGCACAGATTTAGGTACAGAGCAAAATACTCACTGGAAAAATCAAGTATTGGCTAGCTACCACGGGGATTTGATCCTAGCTGGCAAACGTGGAACTCCGCAAATACTTGGAGCCATTAATTATGTATACTTGTTTTATTCATAATTTGTCATGTTCTGGGATACCAAAAGTAATAATGGCTGAACTTAACAAAATTTGTAACCTCATCTTAATATCCACTGATCCATCTCATTCAATGGTAACAGTCAATGTTTTCTAAAGGAACATAAAAACAAACATGCACACAATTGCACAGTTTTCATAAAGGTCTATTTCATTATTGGTGGGTAGCGCATTTAACAGTTAAATACATTTAAATAATGTATAGGTGACTGCAGGACTGCAGCATTGGTAACTAGATAACCAACTAGAAACCAGCTAACAAAGAACTGTCTAAATACTTAAAATACAGCTCTTGTTGAGATCATCCTTTGTTTTGATCATCTTCTTGGGGGAAAAAAGCCTGCTGCTGGTCACAATGGAAATATATTAAGGCCAAATCTTCTGATATCCATTCCCAAAGGTTTCTTTCAGCTGGATTAAGCCTCCAACTCCAGGGCGAGCCCAACCTTGTGGCCTCCAGCATTAATGCTCTTCCCATCTACCAGAGCAGAGAGTGTAAGCTTCACACCTATTAAGACAAAAAAACACAAAAACAAAAAACCGTGATGTACCTGGCACGTCACTCAGTCTGGGCCTTCTTTCACAGTCATCCCCAGAGCCTGCCTGTCACTTCCTCAGCCTGTCAGCTGACCTACTAGTGCTGGCCACCAGAGGGCGCTTGGAAGTATCTGAGACACCAGAAGAACTGGGTTACCATTCTAGCTAAGGCACCAAGTCACAGAGAAATGTTTTAATAACAACTTCAAAGTGTTCTAGAATATACTATAATGTTGAGTATACTATCCCGATGAAAAGAGACTAAAGACATAATCATAATTCGATCCTAGAAAGGAAAACCTACAATAAAGACACATTTGGGAACGGGGGTAAATCTGAATATGTATTTGGTATTACATTAATGTTAGTTTTCTTAGATGCGACAATGGTATTGTGCTTATAAAGAAAAATGTCTTACTCTTAGGATACACATGCTAGGGGCTGCCATGTCTGTATGTCTGCAAAACATACATTTTTTTAAAAGTATGTGAAGTTTCAGACATAAAATAAATGTAGTAAATGTTAATAATTGTTAATAAATTGTTAATAATTGGTCAATGCAAGGTAAGGACATATGATGTTCATTGTACCATTCTTCCAACTTTTCTTTAGGTTTCAAAATCACCAAAATAAACTTTGGGGAGGAAAATCCCTATCTGAAGGGGGAAGTCTCCAGTACTTTAAGCAGATTCCAAGATGAGTCATGTGCACTCTGAAGTTGGAGAAGCGCTGTTCTAGACACAGCACGCTTCAAAATATTATATAAAGTCAACAAGACTATAGGCAGAACCAAAGCAATGAGTGAACTTTGATCAACAAAATAAAAATTACTACAAAACATTTCAGATACAAGCGAGGAAACTGACAGGAAGTGGGTATTAAATAATAAGGAATCACTAACTTTCTTAGGTGTGATAGTATTATAGTTATGCAGAAAAGAAGAGACGGGCCTTATTCTGAAGAGAAGTGTCATGACCAAATGGCCCAGCAAAAAAAAAAAAAGCAAAGAAAAAGAAATAAAAAATTGTGGTAAAAGGTAAACACGTATTTATTGTACTCTTCTTTCAACTCTTCTGTGTGCTTGAAAGGTCTGAAAAGTAAGCTGAAGAATGAAAACTAAATTTTTTAATACTATCAAAACAATCCTACTTTATCAAGAATACTTACCAGGCCTCAGAGTCTGAGTATAGCCTACTCCAATTAAGCTAGAGTTGTTGACTTTTGCCTAAAATAAAATACAAAAACAACTGTAAGAAAAATATTTCAATAGAGACAAAGCCCCTACATGTTTCCCCATCATGTAATCATGAAGTGTTCAGTTTTATTCACGTGAGACAATAAAATTCAATATTATGTATTAAGCCAAACAAACCAGGTACTATTTAATTCGTATCCATTCAACTCAAAAATCAAATTCTCAGTAGGACACAATACTCTTGATAGCCACTGGAATGTATCCAAAGACCCCAAACTGTCCATACAGCACAAAAGCCTAAGCACTCTCATAAAAATCATCTTTGTTAATTCTAGTCTAGCACAACAAACCAGACCAAAATGTGGTACAAGTCAGGCTCACTAGAGGTGACACACAGCAGCCTTAAAGCACAGGGTATAAAGTTTAAATTCATGACTTAGTTACACACATTACTACTTCCAGGACTCTTCCTAAAGAATCAAAACCATGAATGTTTAAAAAAAAAAAAAAAATCTCCAAACGACAAGTAATTCCTCTGAAGAATCAGATCAAACAATCCTTTATCCTCACATTCTTACACCTCTCATAAATGCCGGTGCTGCTGAGTTCTGGCTGTATGTAACCACTGCGTTTGGGAGGAGGTCCCAGTGAGGTATCATGTACCAATCCAGGCCCCTGCCTTCCTTGCACAATCCCAACATTTTAGGACTTAGTTACCGACTTCAAGGGCTGGAATGAACCCTGAAGAGTAAGACATAGTAAAGAGTAGATTCTTTCTAGCTCCATTCTCTACCACCCCTAACATTATGAAGACACACCAGAGGCCAGGAACACCTGCCTTCATTTCCAGGGCCTAGGTTGCCTAGACATGCAACTTTGCTTTGCTTTCAGCATTCTGAGGGCTACAATATAAAGGTAACAAACAGACTATGTGACCAAAACAGATCTCCAAATGATTCGATGTCTATACTCTTATAATGTGTAACATCCAAAGAGCCCAATCCAGAGAAAGAAATGATGTAACTATACAGACACAAACCACATCCAAAACACCTGTATTCACTTGGCACTACAGCCAAATATTCATGAGCTACCAATGACCATCTAAAGAAAAAAACAGGCCTGGCGCAGTGGCTGACACCAGTAATCCCTGCACTTTGGGAGGCCAAGGCGGGAGGACCACTTGAGCCCAGGAATTCAACAGCCTGGGCAACACGGTGAGACCCCTGTCTGTCTGTACAAAATTTTCCTAGCTTGGTATGATGGTGCACACCTACCCAACTACCAGGGAAGTGGGGGGTGAGTGGAAGGATCTCAAGCCCAGGTGGCTGAGGGCACAGTGAGCTGTGATTGCACCAGTGAACTACAGCCTAGGCAACAAAGCTCAAAAAAAAAAAAAGAAAGAAAAATACCTCACTAATGACCATCTTGTACCCTACAAATAAGAGCCTCAGACAGCTGGATAGACATTCCTATTATTGGCCAGGCGCAGTGGCTCACGCCTGTAATCCCAGCACTTTGGGAGGCCGAGGCAGGCGGACCACAAGGTCAGGAAATCGAGACCATCCTGGCTAACACGGTGAAACCCCGTCTCTACTAAAAATACAAAAAATTAGCCGGGCGTGGTGGTGGGCACCTATAGTCCCAGCTACTCGGGAGGCTAAGGCAGGAGAAAGGCGTGAACCCGGGAGGCGGAGGTTGCAGTGAGTGGAGATCTTGCCACTGCACTCCAGCCTGGGCTACTGAGCGAGACTCCGCCTCAAAAAAAAAAAAAAGAAAGAAAGAAAGAAATTCCCATTATTGGCCGGGCTGGGTGGCTCATGCCTGTAATCCCAGCACTTTGGGAGGATCACAAGGTCAGGAGTTCAAGACCAGCCTGGCCAAGATGGTGAAACCCCGTCTCTACTAAAACTACAAAAATTAGCCAGGCACGGTGGCAGGCGCCTGTAATCCCAGCTACTCGGGGTGCTAAGGCAGGAGAATCACTTGAATCCGGGTGGCAGAGGTTGCAGTGAGCAGAGCAGAGATCGCACCACTGCACTCCAGCCAGGGTAACAAAGTGAGACTCTGTCTCCAAAAAAAAAAAAAAAAAAAAATTCCTATTATTTAACAGTAAGAGTTAAACCATGAAACTGTGATAAGGAGTAGAAAAAATAAACTCAGTTTCTCCCTCTATACTCTCATAAGGCCTAGGGAGAATTTCCCACACATCAAGCAAACGATTCTGCAGCAGACTCCAGCTAGATGTTCTCTAATTCAATTCTGATACTATCTACCTGGAGAGAGAGCATCGGATCACACAGGTTCAGGGCTCAGTTTCATAAAACTGCCCCGCCCTCATTTTCAATGCTAACTGAAAGCTCCAGGTTCTTTTGCCTCTGCTTCTTACAGACTGGTTATAAACTGGGGTTCCCACAACCCCCTGGGGTTCAAGTAATTTCCTAGGGTGGCACACAGAACTCAGGGACTAACACATTTACCAGTTATATAGGATATTTTAAAGGATATAAATGAACAGCCAGATGAAAAGATACTTATATATCTTTTCCTTTATAGGTGAGGTCTTGAAGGGTCCCAAGCACAGGAGCTTCCATCCCTGTGGAGCTGGGGTGCCCCACCCTCCCATGACATGAATGTATTATTGTTTACCTTCCTGAAGGCCCCCTGGACTCAGTCCTTTGGGTTTTTACAGAGACTTCATTACAAAGGAGACTTCATTACAAAGGCACGATTAATTAAATCACTGGCCACTGGCTCAACCTTTAGCTACTATGCCCTCCCCAAGGCAGAAGGTTTGTTCCCTAGCAACCAGCACCCCCTACCATGTGGCCATCTAGGGACTATCCAAAAATCACCTCATTAACATAAGTTCAGATGTGGTTGAAAGAGGCCTGTTAAAAATAACAACATAGCCCAGGGCGCAGTGGCTCGTTCCTGTTACCCCGGCACTTTGGGAGCCAAGGCAAGTGGATCACCTGAGGTCAGGGGTTGGAGACCCACCTGGCCAACACGGTGAAACCTCATTTCTACTAAAAATACAAAAATTAGTCGGGCTTGGTGGCAGGCACCTCCAAACCCAGCTACTAAGTAGGCTGAGGCACGAGAACTGCTTGAACCCGAGAGGCGGAGGTTGAGGTTGCAGTGAGCAGAGATGGTGCCACTGTACTCCATCCAGCCTGGATGACAGTGAGATTTCATTAAAAAAAAAAAAAAAAAAAAAAACCCACAAAAGACTGTCTTTCACTTTTATGCTCTGGAGCTGTTTCAGGAACCGAGGACAAATGGCCAAATATCTCAACAAAATACACTCTTACGGCTCTAGTCACTTGGGAAATTGCAAGGGTTATAGAAGCTGTGAGCCAGGAACTTGACAAAAACCAAAATATATACACCATAGTATCATAGGCCACCCCCTGGTTTCAAACAGGGATCCCTTACAGCAAAAAGGTCCATATATCTGTCAAGGATGTTTACACTTGTTGCATTTATATAACAGACATATCTACAAGAGTACAAACACAAATATGCCTATCATCTGGAGAAGCTACTGTGGGATAGGGATAGGTTTAAAGAAGCAACTAGGATGGGCGCAGTGGCTCACACCTGTAATCTCAGCACTTTGGGAGGCTGAGGCGGGCGGATTACCAGAGGTCAGGAGTTTGAGACCAGCCTGGCCAACACGGCGAAACCTCATCTCTACTAAAAATACAAAAATTAGCCGAGTGTGGTAGTGGGCACCTATAATCCCAGCTACTCAGGAGACTGAGGCACAAGAATGGCTTGAACCCAGGAGGTGGAGGTTGCAGTGAGCCGAGATCACGCCACTGCACTCCAGCCTGGATGACTCCGTCTCAAAACAAAACAAAACAAAACAAAAAAAACCTACTCGGTCCTATGAAGAGAAAAAAAAATAGCTCAGCAGTATGAGGAATGTGAGGTATGCAAAGTTTATCAGGCCCAGAGAGACATGAGAATGAGACTTTAGTCACAGGACACACCCCCATGCCTAGGGGAAATTGTTTAAAAACACTTTGTTCTTTTTTTCCTTCCTTGTAGTTTCCAGGCTCGCTGGCAAATATCTAAAGTGTTACTGCACAATGTGACCCTCACCCATTATCTTCATGTTCCTGGAATCTGTGATACAAAGAACAATGTATAGCCAATCACTAATCAATGTTATTTCTGTAAACCAAAGAGAATTCCTGCCAAACAACTTTGTATCAGCCCACATCCTGTCCCGAATTTTTGGCCTTTAAAAACCTGTTTGTAACAAGGGCCAAATGGAGCTCAAATCCACTTGGATCTGAGTCTGCTGGGCAGCTGTCCTCATTATGGTGCAAATAAATTCTTTAAAATTGTATTTTGTGCCTTAGTTTCTTCCTTTAGGTTGACAGAAGCCATTAGAAACATCTTTATCATCTTGTACCAGCTTTCTTTTCCCTTGATCTACTGTTATTTGTACCTTGTGCAGAACTATTCAGGATGGAAATCAGCTGATAGTGAGATCCAGTTCCTCCTCAGGCCAGTCACTTTCCATAGGTATTATATCCTGAGGAGGCTTCAACTCAATTTCACAATACATATAATCATCAATCAGTATTATAAGACTTATTTACACAAGGGAGTTTAATCTGCCAACAATATTACCATATGGCAGTATGAGCATGGTACAAAAAAAATCAGTTTCGTTACAGATCAGTAAGAATTAGAGATATTTGCTTTGCCTTTCCAACAGAAATCTACCCTTCCCCATTTGTCAGCCTTTATCTTGATTAATAAGCCTGACTACTGCCCCAGGCAATTTCAGATCACATTTCTCAATGTAATCTCTAACTTCTGACTTTTTAAATTTCTCCAAACTGGGCAAAATACAGCAAATACAGGTCTTAGGGGTACTTTTTACCCTTGCAAGGTGGCTTTGAGGCTGGTGGCCAAGGCTTAAACCAAATGAAACCTGAGCTTGGTCTAGCATCAAGGTACAATCCAGCACTCTTTCACTTTGATTTTAGCTATCACAAATAACAATAATCAAGGGATTGTATATTTTGTTTGTTTCTTATTGTTTGCGTTTCCTTATGCACCCAGTGAACCAACTCCCTTGGAGTTGGATCTATCTTTGAATTCCACTGGTAATTTTTAAGTACCTGAGCACAGCACAGTTGTGGCTCCATAGCAGGGGTGACCATCTGACCACCCAGGAGTCAAAAGTTCCTCATTTCCCATCCATTTATCCTTTTTCTTCCTAAACCATGCTTCGATGAGCCACTCTAGCTAGAGCCACTCTAGCAAATCCCAATCCTGACATCAATTCTGAGGATACAGAAAAAAACCAACTCAGTTTCTCCTACTATTCTCTCACAACACAGAATGCTTCTGTGACCACATGTGTGAGGGCTTTCCTCACACACCAAGCAAGCAATAATTTCTGCAGCAGACACTGGCTAAATGTCCTCTAATTCTACCTGGAGACATCAGATGCCACAGGTTAAGGGCTTAGTCCCACAAGACTGCCCTCCTCCCACTTCAGATGCCAACTGCAAGCCCCAGGTTGTTTTAACTCTGCTTCTGACCTGGCACCTCTAAACAGAGGTTCCCACAAGCCCCTTCTTGGGTTCAATTAATCTCCTAGAGCAGGTCACAGAACTCAAGAAACACTTTATTTACATTTACCAGTTTTAATAAAGGATATTACAAAGGATACAGATGAAGAGATGTACAGTGCAAAACATAGGAAGGGACACAGCTTCAATGCCCTCTCCAGACATGCCACCTTCCAGTAACCTCAGCTACCTAGCTCACTGACCTCTGTCCTTGTGGGTTTTCATGAGGCTTCATTATACAGGCATGACTGATTAAACCACTAGCCATTGGTGAACAATTAAACCTACAGCCCCTCTCCCCACCCCCTCTAATCACACCTTGGTCTCTCCACTGACTAGCCTCCAGCCCGAAGCTACCTAAAGGTGGCCAGCCACCAGTCAAAACTCATTAGCATACAAAAAGATACTTAATACTTTCGGGATTCCAAGGATTTTTTAGGAGTTCTATGCCAGGAGAGGGAAGGAGAACCAAATATATACTTCCTAATATCACAAGGAGCATTAAGCAATGCTTCTGGGTACTGCTGAATTGGAGTGGCAGCTAACATTACTGAAGTGGGAAAGGCTAGGTACATTTCCAAACTAATTCCCAGGAGTCATTAAATGACACAGGGGTCCCAAGCTGCCTTCCCATTTTAACTATGAACTCCTAGTAGCTGAGAGAAGCTTCTTCCACTTACATTAAATCTGTTAAAATGCCACAGACATCCAAGAACATCAATGTAAGTAACAGAATAGTGTACTGTATGAATCTTGAGGTTTTTATTGCTGTAGTGCAATTAGAAATGGAGAAGGCGGCCAGCTGTGGTGTCTCATGCCTGTAATCCCAGCACTTTGGGAGGCTGAGGCGGGTGGATCACTTGGGGTCAGGAGTTTGAGACCAGTCTGGCCAACAAATCCCATCTTTACTAAAAAATACAAAAAAATTAGCCAGGTGTGGTGGCGGGCACCTGTAATCTCAGCTACTCAGGAGGCTGAGGCAGAAGAGCTGCTTGAACCCAGGAGGCGGAGGTTGCAGTGAGCCAAGATCGCACTACTGCACCCCAGCCCGGGCGACAGAGACTCCATCTCAAAAAAGAAAAAAAAAAAAAAAAGACAAAGTGATGATTAAAATACTAGCCAGGTGCAGTGGCTCATGCCTATAATCCCAACAGCCTCCTTTGGGAGGCTGAGACAGGATGATAGCTTGAGCCTAGGATGGGCAACATATGGAGATCCCATCTCTACAAAAAAACATCAAAAAATTAGTTGGGAATAGTAGGAGGCTGAGGTTGAACCCAGGATGTCAAGGTGCCGGGAGTCGTGATTGTGCCACTGCAGTCCAGCCTCGACAACAGAGAGCCTTAAAAAAGCACTATTATTTCTGACACAGTAAGAACCACTCAGGGACCAAACACCAGCTATACCTGGACTTAGACAGGCCTATGGCTCAAGGTTATCATCAACATTAACTCGGCAGCTTTTGAGGTTAAACAAACTCCACCAGCCTGGCCTGGAAATAAAACGTCTAACACTGTATCCATCAAAAAAGCGCATTTCAAAATCTAAAACTAATCTATCTGTAAACTGGGGACTGTGTGAAATCAGTTCAAATTTTCAACATAATTCAGTATACCCAAAGACTCATTCCCACAACCAAAACCCCCATTCTAAGTCCACAAAAGTACTCACAGAAATGGAAGCAGTGGGATCCAACTGATATTTAGCTGCAATGCCAAAACGAGTGCAGTTGGTACCTGATGTCCAAGCAAGGTTTACTGAAGTGTCAAGATCTTCACAAACTTTCTGATAAATTGATCCTCCAAATTCTGTCCCATCATTGCTATAAGATATTTTAAATTAGTAGATCTAGAATAGACAATGTAATAATGTCTAAGGCACAGGCTGATTTGTAGCATTACATTTAAATAAAAAACCACAGCTCAAGTGGGTCTTTAGTGTTCCACTGAAAACTTGCAAGTTTTAACAGGTTTTTTTCCCCAACCCATACCCATACAGGGATTGGTAAAATGAACCACAGAATATCCATTCAGTGGAATTATCACACTGTATTAAACATGCAAGAGGTTCTCAAACAGCCTTTTGGTTACGTATTTTATATATAAGTATATATACACACACATATAAAAAGGTGAACCACAACATTAACAAAGATTATATACCTAGCTGGCATGATTGTAAGAAACGTAGGTTTTCTTCTTTGTGCTTCTGTTATTTACCAATGAATTTTTACAATGGAAAGAAAAACATTTTAAGTACTTTCTATGTATCTATCTAGTTTGGGCTAGGTAAAAACACCAGGCTGGATGCAGTGGCTCACGCCTATAATCCCAACACTTTGGAAGGCTGAGGCGGGAGGATCGCTTGAGGCCAGGAGTTTGAGACAAGCCTGGGCAACATAGCAAGACCCCATCTCTACAAAAATAATTAAAAACAAACAAACAAAAAAACAACAATAGCCGGGCACAGTGGCTCACGCCTGTAATCCCAGCACTTTGGCAGATCACGAGGTCAGGAGTTCCAGACCAGCCTTGCCAGCATGGTGAAACCCCGTCTCTACCAAAAATACAAAAATTAGCCAGGCATGGTGGCACACGCCTGTAGTCCCAGCTACTTGGGAGGTTGAGGCAGGAGAATTGTTTGAACCCGGGAGGCGGATGTTGGAGTGAGCCGAGATCGCAAAAGAGCAAGACTCTGTCTGAACCAAAACAAAAAAAGAAAGAAAAAAGAAAAAGAAAAAAAAACCCAACCACAAAACACCATACATTTTAGGCAATCCTATCAAGTCAGCATCTCACACATCAAAATAATTAAGTAAAATGAATGTACTGGTAGCAGTCTGCCAATATATAATGCCTCTTGTAAAAATACAAAGCACATTAAACCCCATATAAAATGAACATTTACTCTCTCAGCACCAAAGGTCAGACTAACAGTCTTCTACTATAAACTTTCAAGGGGCACCCTAGAAATGACCAAGAATGATTTTGTTTTTAAATGTTATGAGAAATCCTTTAGGGTGCACCCAGATCAATAAGATGACAGACATCAAAATCATCCTCTGAGGGCCCACATCACAGTATCCTATGAAAGAAATACTTACACATTAGTGTGTAGCTGGAAGTCCCCAGTCCTGTAGCCCACTGCAAAGTTATTCCTTGTCAGCTTTGATTTGGCACTGTCAAAGGTCATCTGGTAGCCAGCAAGCCAGCCCTCATAACCAAAGACAGCTGAACCATGGATTGCAGGTCCAGCAAAATCAAAGTCAACATCACAACCAAGGTTTATACACTCCCTCTTGTAAGAAGACTTGATTTTACCACTTTTCTTTCTGGAAAAAGAACAAACTGATGTCATTGGGAAAAATTTACACACACTTCTGCACAAGAGAGCACAAAACAGACTTAAATAAACTGCAGTATGACCAGGGAGTAAAAATCAGCAATACAATAACAGGGAGTAAAAAAGTCAGCTCAATGAACTACAAGACAAGGACACATGAAGCAACTGGACAGCCATCTAGGAAAACTGCTTTGCAGAACAAACAATCAGTCACAAAAGCCTGTTAGAAACACATTAGTTGCCCAAGTTAGTGCAACAACAAAGAGGCAAATATTTGAAGGCAAGCCAATGATAGCAACCATAGTATTCTAAAAGCAGATATGGGCCAGGCATGGTGGCTCCCGCCTGTAATCTCAGCACTTTGGGAGGCTGAGGCGGGCGGATCACCTGAGGTCAGGAGTTTAAGATCAGCCTGGCCAGCATGGTGAAATCCCGTCTCTACTAAAAATACAAAAAAATTTAGCCAGGCACGGTGGCATATGCCTGTAATCCCAGCTACTCAGGAGGCTGAGGCAGGAGAATCGCTTCAACCCAGGAGGCAGAGGTTGCAGTGAGCCAAGATCGCACCATTGCACTCCAGCCTGGGTGACAGAGAATAAACAAACAGGCTGCGAGCGGTGGCTCACACCTGTAATCCCAGCACTTTGGGAGGCTGAGGTGGGCAGATCACGAGGTCAGGAGTTCAAGACCAGCCTGATCAACACGGTGAAACCCTGTCTCTACCAAAAATACAAAAATTAGGTGGGCGTGGTGGCACATGCCTGTGATCCCAGCTACTCAGGAGGCTGAGGCAGGAGAATCACTTAAACCCGGGAGGCAGAGGTTGCAGTGAGCCGAGATCGCGCCACTGCACTCCAGCCTGTGTGACAGAGTAAGACTCTGTCCCAAATGAAAATAAAATAAAATAAAATAAATACAATAAAATAAAATATGGAAAAAAAAAAAAAGGCTGGGCGTGGTGGCTCATGCCTGTAATCCCACCACTCTGGGAGGCCAAGGTGGGCAGATCACCTGAGGTCAGGAGTTCCAGGACAGCCTGGCCAACATGGCGAAACCCCGCCTCTACTAAAAATACAAAAATTAGCTGGGCGTGGTGGCACGCACCTGTAGTCCCAGCTACTCAGGGAGGCAGAGGCAGAAGAATCGCTTGAACCCAGGAAGCTGAGACTGCAGTGAGCCAAGATGATGCCACTGCACTCCAGCCTGGGTGACACAGCAAAGACTCCATCTCAAATAAATAAATAAAAGCAGATACAGAGATTTCACCACCACAAGGTAGCTTAATAAGCTATCAAACAGTAAATGTACACCTTTTCTAAATATACAAAAGAGAAATACTTTTAAATGTAATACAGATAAAAATGTCTGTGCTTACCCTGTGTTTGGTGAGAAGGTAGTATCAAATGTCAGTTTCAAACCTTGACAAATCTATTTTGAAAGAAAAGTAATTTGTTTTCTTTTTTTGAAATACAAAAATAAATTAATAAAATTAATACTAAAATTTTCAAAATGTTACCTGGTCTTCAATTGCGATTTCTGTTCCCAGAGTGTTATCAGTGTTCCACTTTTCTGTGAAAGTCAGACCATACTCACACCACTTGTATTTGGTCTCCAAGGTCCCAGTAACTTTACCAGTGTCTGTATTAGATGAACCGGACGTTGAAAATTCCTAACAAGACAATCAATAACTTCATGAACATTCTCATAAGCCTAGAATTCATCACTGCCTTACACACGCACACACACACAAACCCCCTGAAACATTTGGTAAATTCATGAATCCTTTTTCTAGCTTCCTAAACACTCGTATCCTTCTGCACTGTGCTACTCTCTAAGCATATATAAGAGTGACAAATAAGCCTTTGAGCAACTGACTGCCACTTTACATACACAGCTGACACTTCCAATCAATCACAAGTTAACCTGTAGTGAATTCTCAAGTGAACAAACTGTACACCTTTTTTTTTTTTTGAGACAGAGTCCCGCTCTATCGCCAGGCTGGAGTGCAGTGGCGTGATCTCGGCATACTGCAACCTCCGCCTTCCAGGTTCAAGTGATTCTCCTGCCTCAGCCTTCCAAGTAGCTGGGATTACAGGTGCCCGCCACCACACCCAGCTGATTTTTGTATTTTTAGTACAGATGGAGTTTCACCATGTTGGTCAGGCTGGTCTCCAACTCCTGACCTCAGGTGATCCACCCACCTCGGCCTCCCAAAGTGTTGGGATTACAAACGTAAGCCACCACCCCAGCTAACTGTACATCTTTTAAGGAAGGTTTTGCTAAGGTGATTTTATTTGGGATTCAAAAATCAATGGGGGACTGAGTGTGGTGGCTCATGCCTGTGATCCCAGCACTTAGATACCAGCCTGGGCAACATAGCAAGACCATGTCTCTACAAAAATTAAGAAACCAGCTCAGCGTGGTGGTGTGCGCCTGTAGTCCCAGCTACTCAGGAGGCAGAGGTGGGAGGACTGCTTGAGCCTGGGAGGTCCAGGCTGCAGTGAGCCATAATCCCACCACTGCACTCAGCATGGGTGACACAGTGAGACCCTGTCTAAAAATAATAATGTGCCAATCCCTGGTTGCACACGAACTGAAAAAGAAAAAATACGGAGGGCTTATCTGAATTTTTTTTTTTTTTTTGAGACAGCATCTTGCCTCTGTCACCCAAGCTGGAACACAATGATGTGATCACAGCTGACTGCAGCCTCAACCTCCCAGGCTCAAGTGATCCACGTACCTCAGCCTCCTGAGTAGCTGGGATCACAAGCATCACCACGCCAAGCCTAAGGAAGACAGCTGATGTGAAAATAATAAAGAGACTACAGCCAGAAATTGTGATATCTGTAGAGTGAGAAATATCAAAAATTGTATCAATAGGAGGAAAGGCCAGTCAACCTTCTCTCAGAAAATAGAACATTTGTATAACTATTGCTCTGCTGTTAGAGACAAATCCTTAGGTCTTACATCACTCTCCTAAATTAGACCCTTTCATTAACAGGAATTTCAAGTCAAAGCATAGCCCTCAATACCTATACTAAAAAGCACTGGACTGGCTGGGTGTGGTGGGTCACACCTGTAATCCCAGCACTTCAGGAGGCCAAGGCGGGCCGATCACTTGAGGTAGGGAGTTTGAGACCAGCCTAGCCAACATGGTGAAACCCCGTCTCTACTAAACATACAAAAATTAGCCGGGCATGGTGGTGCATCCCTGTAATCCCAGCTACTCAGGAGTCTGAGGCAGGAAAATCACTTGAACCTGAGAACCTGAGGTTGCAGTGAGCCAAGATGGCACCACTGCACTCTAGCTTGAGTGATGGAGTGAGTGAGACTCCATTTCCAATTAAACAAAAAAGCACTGGATCATGTTAGGAAACACTAGATATAAAAATTAGGAGTTCTGATGTCCAGTTCTTCGTGTCATTTACTAAATGCATCACACTGAGCAGGACACAACATTTTGCGGTTTTTTTTGGAGACAGGGTCTCACTCTGTCGCCCAGGTTGGAGTACAGTGCCACAGTCATAGCTCACTGCAGCCTCAAACTCCTGGGCTCAAGCGATCCTCCTATCTCAGCCTCCCAAGTAGCTGGGACTTCAGGTACCCACCAACAAGCACAGCTAATTTTTAAATTTTTTTGTAGAGACGGGGTCTCACTATGTTGCCCAGGTGAGTCTCAGAACTCCTGGGCTCAAGGGATCCTCCTGCCTTGGCCTCCCAAAGCGCTGGGATTACAGGAATGAGCCACTGTGACCAGCCTCACTTAACTTTTTTGGGTCTGTTTCTGCAACTATAATTACAAAGCCTACCTCCGAATGATTAAATTGAACTGACACTGTGAAAGTTTGTACGTTTTCATATGCTCCACAGAAAAGGAAAGCATTACTAAAACAATATATATGGAACAGGTTTTTCTAGCAGTTTGAATGGGGAATGTGTGAGTAGCTATTTTTAATCCTGAATGACATTAATGACTCTTGGGGCCCCACCTACGGCCATTCATCAGCCCACAGATCAAGAGCCAGCCTATATACACATGCCAAGGAAGCCTCAAGAAACAAAGCCAACACCACCCTGTGGGACCAGAGTTGGGCCAGATTACAGCTCATACCCTTTACCACCAGAAATTTTGGCTTCTACATTCTGGGGTGGCTTCAGTAGCTTTGCTGTTCAGGTAAGAAAACAGAGCCAGGTATTAATGGGACTTATCTGGGGCCAGAGACATACTATAGGATCAATACCATGGTTGTTGAGTTACATGTATTAAATGTGAATAAAAACATGCTATATCTAATCCAGCTCCTACATATCCTTCATGCTCTTAAACCTACTTCCATAAAACTTTCCCTAACCCTATACACAACAATCTATTCCTTTCCAACAAAGATTTGATTATCCAACGATCTAATATTTGATATTAATTACCTCAGTACTCTCAGTTTATTTTGTCTCTCCAACTAGAAAGTAAGCTTTTTAAACACAAGGACTGAATCTTTTTTAGAAGGCCTTTTGTGTTTCAACAAATACACTAGGGGCCTCAATAGACTAACAATGGGAACATTAAAAAACACTAAAAATCACTGCTCTGTAACCTGTTAACTTGGCCAAATAAGTCATCCAATCATAACTAAACACCTAAGCTTCCTTTCAGACCAAAAAAACCAAGCGACAGATATGATCAATGTAAATCCCCAGAAATCCAACAGGCCTAGGCTTTTAAACTACAGGGCTAGCGCTGTGGCTCACGCCTGTAATCCCAACACTTTGGGATCACTTGAGGTCAGGAGTTTAAGACCAGACTGGCCAACATGGCAAAACCCTGTTTCTACTAAAAATACAAAAATTAGCGGGGCATGGTGGCAAGCACCTGTAATCCCAGCTACTTGGGAGGCTGAGGCCGGAGAATCACTTGAACCTGGGAGGTGGAGGATGCAGTGAGCTGAGATCATGCCACTGCACTCCAGCCTGGGCGACAGAGCAAGACTGCGTCTCAGAGGAAAAAAAAAAAAACAAAACAAAAAAACTACAATACGATTAAATAAATATCAGTTACATGCACTACATCAAAAATGTCTATATAGGCCGGGCGCGGTGGCTCACGCCTGTAATCCCAGCACTTTGGGAGCCCGAGGTGGGCAGATCATGAGGTCAGGAGATTGAGACCATCCTGGCTAACATGGTGAAACCCCATCTCTACTAAAAATACAAAAAAATTAGCTGGGCGTGGTGGCCCGTGTCTGTAGTTTCAGCTACTCATGAGGCTGAGGCAGGAGAAAGGCATGAACCTGGGAGGTGGAGCTTGCAGTGAGCTGAGATCATGCCACTGCACTCCAGCCTGGGTGACAGTGCAAGACTCCGTCTCAAAAAAAAAAAAAGTCTCTCTCTCTCTATATATATACATACATACATATATCAAAATAACCTATAGTATTCTAATGTGCACACACACCCACCCCTAAAATAATCTCAAAACAAAAATTTTTTAAGTAAAAAAAATTTCACAAAGTTAAATTTTACTAGCTGGGCATGGTGGCTCACATCTGTAATCCCAGCACTTTGGGAGGCCAAGGCAAGTGGATCACTTGAGCTCAGGAGTTCAAGACTAGCCTGGGCAACATGGCAAAACGTCATCTCTAGAAAAACTACAAAAAATACTCAGGCATGATGGATACGGCCTGTACTCCCAGATGCTTGGGAGGCTGAGGTGGGAAGATTGCTTGAGCCCAAGAGGTCGAGGCTGCAGTGAGCTGAGATTGTGCCACTGCACTCACTGCACTCCAGCCTGGGCAACCGAGTGAGACCCTGTCTCGAAAAAAGTTAAATATTAGTTTATCCCCTTTGTAAACAGTTCATTGAACTATCAAGACACCCAAATACCAAAATATTAACCTCTTTAAAAATATTCTTGGCTGGGCATGGTGACTCACACCTGTAATCCCAGCACTCTGGGAGGCCAAGGTGGGTGGATCACCTGAGGTCAGGAGTTGGAGACCAGCCTGGCCAACATGGTGAAACCCCAGCTCTACTAAAAATACAAAAATCAGTCAGGCGTGGTGGCAGGCACCTGTAATTCCAGCTACTAGAGAGGCTGAGGCAAGAGAATCACCTGAACTCAGGAGGCGGAGGTTGCAGTGAGCCACAATCACACCATTGCACTCCAGTCTAAGTGACACAGTGAGACTCCGTCTCAAAAAAAAAAAATTCAGATCAGGACTCCCTAAACTCATAAAATACATGTGGAAATCTTCTCCAGGGAGAACTGCTAGAAAATGGACATTATATAAATGATTAGTACACTCAAATTAATGAGTTCCTGATATTTTTATGCCCATAACTCTGACGAGCATTGTTGACAAAGGGTTACAAAAAAGTCTAATAATGGGTTCCCTGCCTTCAAATGTGTAATCTTACGAGTAAAGAGTACCACCTGACTGGTCTTTCCTAAGTTCCTTGTGCATACATAATATGACGAAAGACCACATGAAAATCAGAAATCACATTCAAGGCCAAAATAAATCAGGTTACACGCAAATCTCTTAAAACAAAGTTAACTTCTGCCTCTTCTTTAAGACAAAACAGGTAGACATCTTTCAGTTATGACCATTTTACAAGTTGAAAAATTATAAAGGTTCAATAGAACTTATTCAACAGTAACACTCACCACGCCACTGCAAGACTTTGTTTTCACATCCAGTTTCACCAACCCAAAACCTTCAACAAATAGACAGCAAAAGAAACAAAATGATTCCTTTGTATGAAAGATGCATAGCAATTGTTGACTATACATAAAAAACAAAAAGATTCCACATATTCAGAGGTGGATAAAAATGTGTTAATATACAATATTTAAATGAAATTGTTACAAATTCGTCTTTTGTAAACTGGCTTATAAAGGGC
The DNA here is from genome assembly GCF_000001405.40 of Homo sapiens. Classification (NCBI taxonomy): domain Eukaryota; kingdom Metazoa; phylum Chordata; class Mammalia; order Primates; family Hominidae; genus Homo; species Homo sapiens. The sequence continues at coordinate 75,213,834 of NC_000010.11, read as the reverse complement.
AGAATTATCCCTATGCTGCTTTGTCTAGTTTTTGGTAGTTGGTACACAAAAGAATGCTTTCAAATTATTTATTTATTTATTTATTTATTTTGAGACGGAGTCTCACTCTGTTGCCCAGGCTGGAGTGCAGTGGCACGATCTCAGCTCACTGCAACCTCCACCTCCTGGGTTCAAGCGATTCTCCTGCCTCAGTCTCCCGAGTAGTTGGGACTACAGGTGCGTGCCACCACGCCTGGCTAATTTTTTGTATTTTTAGTAGAGATGGGGTTTCACCGTGTTAGCTAGGATGGTCTCGATCTCCTGACCTCGTGATCTGCCCGCCTCGGCCTCCCAAAGTGCTGGGATTACAGGTGTGAGCCACCACGCCCAGCCCCCAAACTATTCTTAAACTTAAATATCAGATTAAAAAATCATTCAACTGAAATTTCAGAATAGCTAATAACTTATCATGATATGGCCAGGTGCGGTGGCCCACGCCTGAAATCCTAGCACTTCGGGTAGTCGAGGCAGGCAGACCACTTGAGATCAGGAGTTCAAAACCAGCCTGGCCAACATGGTGAAACCTCGTCTCTACTAAAAATACAAAAAAAAAGCTGGGCATGGTGGCATGTGCCTGTAATCCCAGTTACCAGAGAGGCTGAGGCAGGAGAATTGCTGGAACCCAGGAGGCAGAGGCTGCAGGGAGCCGAGATCACGCCCCTGTACTCCAGCCTGGGCAACAGAGCGAGATTCCGTCTCAAAAAAAAACAAAAACAAAACCAACTTATCATAATACAGACATTTAGGACATTTATGCCAATGGGGTATTTCCAACAGTCTAAATAAAGGGGAGGAGGGTATGGAACAAAATTTTCAAGAAAACTCAAATTCACCTGAAAAAGCTCATAACTCTAGATAAAGTATTAGGAGTCACCACAAAAGCAAAACAGTAATATATCGTAACTCTAGTCAACCAGGGCCTAAGCTATAACTGAAAAAAAATTAAAGCACGAGCCGTTTTTCTTAAAGGCTCAAATCTTCTAAGTACAGTTTTTAAAAATTTTGGGAAATTGGGGGAGGGGGATGTAGACTGTAAAAGAACTATTTTCACATAAGTTTAATCTAAGTATCTTAAGTTTCTAATAGAAGAATTAATACAAGGCTGGGCACAGTGGCTCATGTCTGTAACGTAATCCAACCAGGCTTTGAGAGGCCACTGTGTTTACTGGGTAACACAGTGAGACCCCACCTCTACGAAAAATAAAAAAAATTAGCCAGGTGTGGCAGAGCGTGCCTGTAGTCCCAGCTACTTGGGACGTGGGAGGCTGAGGAAAGATGATCGCTTGAGCCCAGGAGGTCCAGGCTGCAGTGAGGTATAATCATGCCACTGCATCCAGCCTGGGCAACAGAGGGAGACCCTGTCTCAAAAAAATAAGTAACTCTAAATTTAAAGCAGCAAGATATTTACAATTTGCAATGATTGATCTGATTTCGCTAAGCAACCCAAACATACATTTTCACTCTTTATCTAAAACGTTTTAAAAATAAGGTTCTTACCAAATCCTTTGTTGAAAATATCTCTGGCAGCTTTGCCAAGGTCAGCATATGATGGAGGAATACACATTGCTGGTAGAAAAAAAACATTCCAGTGTTAATGTCTCTATTCTCCCACCTTCTATCCAAGAACAAGAGCATGACCCACTGCTGATATTAAAATTCAAGCAATCCCATTTGTTGGAATGTTTTTTATGCGGTCAGGAGCTACAATAGAACTATAACGACCCATAAAGGAGATACCACCAACGAATTATTTCTAAAACAGATAACCATGATTATACAAACTTGGGGAATTCGTTTCAAAACGGAAAAACAGTCTATTACCTACAGCCTCACTTCCTAGGACTGGACAAGTACAAAGAATCAAACAAGTATTTGTGTGTATGGATATTTATGTATCTGCCAAAATTCACTGAGATGAGCTGATTTAACTAAATTAGATAAAACCGAAACCTAAGACTAGGCCCTTTACCCTGATACGTCCTTTAATATCTTCGCTGAGGGGAAAACCAACACCCTGGAGTGGGAAGAGAATTTAATACTGGGAATTTAAATATTGAAACTTGGAAAAAATACTGCCATGTGTGTTTCACTCAAATGTCTACATCAACTAAATATCAAATAGCGCTTCAAACTTACTAATGTGACTCTCAAGTCCTCGGCCAATGCTGTGCTGCTTAAGGGCAGGCAATCTGAGCTCATTACACCAGCTCATTCATTCCACAAAGCACGTCCACGCCCTTAGGAGCACAAGTAATGACCTTGCGCTCTCACAAGAGGGACTGCTACTTCCTCTAGAAAAGTGATTGATCCGATCCTCCAAAGGCAGAATCCCCAATTAACAACTTTTTACTTCTATACGTCAAAGACATGTACAAAGGCTGAAAAGTCCATGCGGCCACAGACCAACTCCCCGGGCCTTGTTCCCCATTTGAAATCCAGCAGCCCAGCCCCTCCTCCGCAGAGGAGGTGGTCAGACGGTGGGGCGACCACCAAAAGCAGCCGAATTTCCAAGTTCTTGGAAAGATAGGGGGAAACAAACTGGGTTTCTGGTCGACAGGCTTCGACTCTCCGCCGCCCCATCCCGCAGAGATCCCAGCTTTACTTACGACGCGCGCAAGTCTGTCCGTGGGTCGCCATGGCGAGGCCGCGGGAAGAGGGGAATCTGCGGGAGGGACAAGAAGTGCGGTAAGCTGGGGTCAAAGGGCCAAAGGGAGATCCCGGGCAGAGAGGGGCGAGGGGCCGCGGGGCAGCGCGGCCATCTTAGGAAGCCAGGGCCGACTCCGAGTCCGGCGCGGGCCTCCGGCTTGGCCGCCGCGGCCTAGGCCCCTGGGTCGGCGTGAGGCGGGCGCGGCGGTACCTGGTGGTGTCCTGAGGGGGGCCGCCGCCACCGCTCCGCTAGCTGCTGAAGCCGCTTGGCACGCTCGCGGTCGGGCTGCAGCTCCAGCAGCTGGAGGGCGAAGTGAAGGAGACACCGTTCCGCCCGCCGCAACCCTGTCCTCTCCCAGACAGGACCCCGCCGCTGCCCCCGGGGCTGTCCGCCGCGCCTGTCCCTGCAGCGCAGCCCGCTGCCAACTCCAACCTGCTCCAGAGCGGCCACGTGGACCGACAGCGCCCCGGTCCTGCAGGTGGGCTGCCTCCGTCCGTCGGTGGGGATCCGGAAGGCAGAAGCTGCTGGGCCTTGGATCAGGCAGCTATCCGGGCAGCCTCAGAGGCGAGGGGGCGGGGAACGGCGGAGGCAGCGCGCTGGGGACCGCCTGGGAGGGGGATGGGGCGGAGGCCCCGCGCGAACGCGTCACGGACGGGGCGGGGCGTCGGCGCGTGGCCGGGGCGATAGGGCGCGGCTGCGCACCAGGGTCACGTAGATCTCTCCTACTCCCCTTACGCGCTGGTGCGGGTTCCCCCCCGAAACAAAGCCCTGCATAGGGTGCCTGCGGGGAGTCAGCTGAGCGTTACCCACGTCCATCCTAAGCTAGCGCAGCCTGCGCTTCTGAGGGACCGCTTCTCTTTCCCAGCCCAGGGAGAACGAGTGGGACACAGGGGCGCCACCTCCAGCCCCTCGCGCTCTTCTGCCCTCTTTTCCCACCTTGGTGTGACTGCCTTGCTGTGCTGGGTTGTGTGCCTGAGAGGCTTTTTGGGACTGCCTCTCCCTGAACAAATGTGAGCGGGTCCTAGCGTGCCCCACCCATTTCCACGCCGCCTTACGCTTTCTCTTCCGCGGCTCCTCCCCACTCAGGCATGGCACTGCTTCACACACGCACGGAGCCGGAGCTTGGCGAGGCAAGCCTGCTCCGGGCCCAACCTCCTCTGGATTATGGGCCTGGAGAAAATGTGGAATCATGCTGAGCAGGCGTTAGAATGCCGCACCCGAGTTCCCCGGGTGTGCAGGAAGGGTGACAGAGCTATTAGATAAAATGTATATGGGAGACCGTTAGTTTAGACTGACCTCCTGCATTAGGCCCATCAGACCAAACCAAAATGGGGTTACTCATGCTGAAGTTTCACACTACCACGCCAAAGCTAGGATCTTTATCTGACCTTCCAAGAAATCAGGAGAGAAACAGATGCTAGCCAGATCCCCAAACAGGCTGGGCGCGGTGGCTCACACCTGTAATACCAGCACTTTTGGATGCCGAGGTGGGCGGATCGCCTGAGCTCAGGAGTTCCGGACCAGCCTAGGCATAGTAATACCCTGCCTCTACCAAAAAAAAAAAAAAAAAAAAAAAAAATAGCCGGGCGTGGTGGCTGGCGCCTGTAGTCCCAGCTAATTGGGAGGCTGAGGAGGGAGGATCGCTTGAGCCTGGGAGGTTGAGGCTGTAGTAAGCTTAGATGGTGCCACTACTGCACTCCAGCCTGCCCGCTGGAGTAAGACCCTGTCTCAAAACAAAAATCCCCAAACAGGTCAGTTTTAGCTGGCATGAAGAAGTCCCGTGTTCTTTAACCTTTACAAGAAAAGTAACTTTCTACCAACTAATCCACTTTTTGTTTCTGCTTTCCTCGGTCCTTTTCTGTCTGTAATACCAACTTCCTCTTCTCATTGGAACATTCATTCCATTTTACAGAATGAAGCGTTGCCCAATTGTAGAATTGGAACTAAAAGCCAGTTAAGATGTTTAAACTAAATTCTTTGTAATTTTTTCTTTTAACAGAGCCAAAGGAAAAAGAAAAAATGAGCAGTCTAATGAAATAGAAATGGGTTCAACTGGAACTCCCAAAGCAGTCATCTATCCAATAATGTCGCCGGTAGACCTCAGTGGTTTTTTTGGGTTTTCTTCTTTTTTTTTTGAGACGGAGTCTCGCTCTGTCGCCCAGACTGGAGTGCAGTGGCGCGATCTCGGCTCACTGCAATCTCCACCTTCCGGGTTCACGCCATTCTCCTGCCTCAGCCTCCCGAGTAGCTGAGACCACAGGTGCCTGCCACCACGCCCGGCTAATTTTTTGTATTTTTAGTAGAGTCGGGGTTTCACCATGTTAGCCAGGATGGTCTCGATCTCCTGACCTCGTGATCTGCCAGTCTCGGCCTCCCAAAGTGCTGGGATTACAGGTGTGAGCCACCGCGCTCGGCCTACCTCATTTTTTTAATCTATAAAATGACAAATGAAACGAAGTGATCTTTAATAGCCATCAGCCATAGTCTCTGAGCAAAGCCTTTTCCCCCTTGACTTTCTCTGGCTCTGAAAGCCATGTCTGCTCAAATGCTCTCAACGTTCTACCCTCCTCCTAAACCAGAAAAGGATAGGCTTCCACAGTTCAAAACCCAGATGAAAGCTGCAGCCTGGAAGATTTCCCTCCCATGAGCAAGCCCAGCCAGCTGTCTTGCCTGGTCATGACTGGGCTTACTCATGTTGCAAAAGGTTAGCAGAATTTACTTCTAAGACATCAGGCACCAGAAGCCCTCATTCATTCCTTCATTCGAGCTCAGACAGGTCGGTTTGCAGTCATCCTGGCTCTTCTGGGAAATAGTCTGGTATGTTTGATGTTATTGTGAGGCTAACAACAAAGACCGGCATTTCCATCCCAACTGCACCACAGCACCCTACCTCCCCGAAACACCCAGTCTGATAAATGAGTCACCTCCACTACCTGCAGCAGGGCTTATTCACAATGTGAATTTTCTGTAGCAATTTGTAGCCCCCTGCACTTCACTTTCTCTGTGGCTTCACCTTCTGCAAACCCAAGGAATGTACACAATACCTAATGACCAGGGGAAGAAGATCTGTGGCTAAACAGGGGAATAATGGCAGTTTTTTCCAGAGCTGAATTTAGTAAATAAATATGAGTGCTTACATCCAAAGTCCTTTAGACCAAAGCGGCATTAGTAGGTAGTTACTACCTACCACAAGCAACTACTTTGTGTCATCCACAGGGTAAGCAAAGTCCACTGAGACACAGTCCCTACTCTCAAGGCACTTAACAGTCAAGTGTGTGTAAAGATGTCAAGAACAGGGGAGGGTCCAAAAGTTTACCCTACTTGCAAACTATCAAGTTAGTCTGCCATAGTTTCAGAGGCTCACAGATGCTAGCAGAAGACATGAGACGTATGGGTCAAGGACAAAAGACTCTCTTACTTGTGGCCCAGCAGGCAGTGTAAGCTTCGTGTTTTGCCTCAATTCCCCCTGTCCTCTGTGTCCCTCAAGGATGATGCCAGAGCAGCTTAGGTGGATGCTGTGCACAGCATGCATTCGTGTCACAGCCAAGGAACCCTAAGCTTACAAAACCACGTGTCTTAGAAGGAGCTGCTAACAAATCTGCCCAACCTTCATACTGTGAAAGGAAAATATCTTGGGCCCCCAAGATCATTAAGCTAAAGGGAAAAGTCAAGCTGGGAACTGCTTAGGGCAAACCTGCCTCCCATTCTGTTCAAAGTCATCCTTCCGCTCACTGAGATAAATGCGTATCTGATTGCCTCCTTTGGAGAGGCTAATCAGAAACTCATTGCAACCATTTGTCTCTCACCTACTTGTGACCTGGAAGCCCTCTCCCCACTTCGAGTTGTCCCGCCCTTCCTGACCACTTTAAGTTGTCCTGCCTTTCTTGACCGAACCAATGTTTATTTTACATATGTTGATTGATGTCTTACGTTTCTCTAAAATGTATAAAACCAAGCTGTGCTCTGACCACCTTGGTTACATGTCGTCAAGACCTCCTGAGGCTGTGTCAAGGCTAAGTGTCCTCGACCTCGGCAAAATAAACTTTCTTTTTTTTCTCTTTTTGAGACTGAGTTTCGCTCTTACCACCCAGGCTGGAGTGCAATGGTGTGATCTCTGCTCACTGCAACCTCTGCCTCCTGGATTCAAGCGATTCTTCAGCCTCAGCCTCCTGAGTAGCTGGGATTACAGGAGCGCCACCACCACGCCCGGCTAATTTTTGTAATTTTACCACACTAAAGAGATGGCTGCTTTACTGTGTTGGCCAGGCTGCTCTCAAACTCCTGACCTCAGGTGATCCGCCCACCTCGGTCTCCCGAAGTGCTAGGATTACAGGCGTGAGCCACGGCGCCAGGTTTTTTTTTTTTTGCTTTTTGTTTTTTTTTTTTGAGACAGAGGAGATAGAGTTTCGCTCTTTCGCCCACACTGCCACACTGGAGTGAAGTGGCACAATCTCAGCTCAATGCAACCTCCGTCTCCCAGGTTCAAGCGATTCTCCTGCTTCAGCCTCCCAAGTAGCTGGGATTACAGACACCTGCCATCACACCCGGCTGATTTCTGTATTTTTAGTAGAGATGGGGTTTCACCATGTTGGCCAGGCTGCTCTCGAACTCCTGACCTCAGGTGATCCACCCACATTGGCCTCCCAAAGTTCTAGGATTATAAGCATGAGCTACTATGCCTGACCTGGCAAAATAAACTTTCTAAATTCTCAAATTTAAATTCTAAATTCTGAAATTTCTCAAATTTTCGGGGTTCACAATCCCTGAGGGGGAGATTATTATACTGCTCAGGAAATAAAATCTTTTCTCTGCCCCAGAGAGAGATACTATCTTCCAAGGCTGTTTGCTAAGTAAACATCCTTGGAAAGATAGTCTGAGACAAAAGCTGCCATAAGATGGGTAGAAACACCATGGAGAATTGGCCCCAACAAAGGATGGGGTATGGGAAAGACAAGCTCAAGATGTCACAAGTACAGTATTTTTGTGGGGAGCAGGGTCTTGCTGTGTTGCCCAGGCTGGTCTTGAACTCCTGACGTCAAGCAATCCTCCCATTTCAGCCTCCCAAGTAGCTGGATCACAAGTGTGAGCCACCACACTCGGCTCCTGCAAGTACAGTTCTAAGATGTAAATACAGAGAACCTTGAGCACAGTCAGATGGAGGAGCTACTTGCACTAAAGTTTGAAAGCAGGACTTACCAAAATTAGAAAGCCAACAGGTGGAGGCTGGGAAGGCAAAATTCTAGAAAGAGGATGTGCAAAATCATAGGAGTGCTTGAAGTGGCAAGAATTGTTTGGAAACCACATATGATTTTTTTGCTTTTGATTTGTTTTTGTTTTTGTTTGAGACACAGTCCCGCTCTGTCACCCAGGCTGGAGTACAGTGGCACAATCTTGGCTCACTGCAACCTCCGCCTCCCGAGTTCAAGTGATTCTCCCGCCTCAGCTTCCTGAGTAGCTGGGACTACAGGCACGTGCCACCATACCCGGCTAATTTTTGTATTTTTAGTAGAGACAGGGTTTCGCCATATTGGCCAGGCTGGTCTCAAACTCCTGACCTCAGGTGATCTGCCTGCCTCGGCCTCCCAAAGTGCTGAGATTACAGGTGTGAGCTACTGCGCCCAGCCAGTTTTTTGTTTGTTTGTTTTTGAAACAGGGTCTCCCTGCATTGCCCAGGCTGTTCTCAAACTCCCAAGCGATCCTCCTGCCTCAGCCTCATGAGTAGCTGGGACTACAGGTGTGTACCACAGGGCCTGGTGGAAACCACAAGTAATTAAGTAAAGCTGGAACAAGCTATCAAAAAAGTTGAGAAATTAGACTAAAGATGTTGGCTGGAGCCAAATGCTGAAGGTCCTGAAAGCAGCAAGTGAGGACAAGTCTAGGGTGGCTGGGAGCAATATTTCTGATTTAAGCAATGGGGAGGACAAAGGTTCCACCCACTGTGGGAAAGTCTGCAGGAAGAGGGGCAGGTGTAATGGTGAAGACCATGATACCATTTTGGATGAATATGAGGAGCCAGGTCTACATCGCAATGCAGTTGTCCAATAGGCAGTTAGGAAGTTTTGGAGAAAGGTCTGGCTCAGAAGCATGGGTGTAAAAGTTAGTTTTAATTATGACTAACCATGGGTGTGGTTTAAGTCAGTGAGCTATGGGATAGGAATAAAGACACTAGCAGCCTAAAGGACGAGGCCATGGGGAGCATTAGTCTTTTGTTGTTGTTGTTGTTTTGAGACAGAGTCTCACTCTGTCACCCAGGCTGGAATGCAATGGCGTTGTCTTGGCTCACTGCAACCTCTGCCTCAGCCTCCGGAGTAACTGGGACTACAGGCATGTGCCACCATACCTGGCTAATTTTTTTGTATTTTTAGTAGAGACAGGGTTTCACTATGTTCACCAGGCTGGTCTCGAACTCCTGACCTCGTGATCCACCTGCCTTGGCCTCCTGAAGTGCTGGGATTACAGGTGTGAGCCACAGTGCCCAGCCTGGAGCATTAGTCTTTTAGGGGCAAGCAGCAGAGAAGGAGCTAATGAAGAGAACTGACAAAGACTAGCCAGGAGGATAAAAAGAGAACTCAAGAGGAGCATTTTCGTGGAAGCCAGAGGAAGAGAGCACTGGGTAGAGAAGGGAGTGCTCAACAGTGTCACAAACTGAGGAGAGGTCAAGTGAGGCAAGGGCAGAGAGCATTAGGGCCAGACACAGTGGCTCACACCAATAATCCCAGCACTTTGGGAGGCCAAGGCAGGAGGATCACTTGAGTCCAGGAGTTTGAGACCAGCATGGGCAACATGGCAAGATCTCATTTCTGCAAAAAATGAAAATTAGCTAGGCACAGTGGTACGTGCCTGTAGTCCCAGCTACTCGGGAGGTTAAGGCTGGGAGGATCGCTTGAGCCCAGGAGTTTGAGGTTACAGTGAGCTATGATTGTGCCATTGCACTCCAGCCTGGGCGAGAGATCAAAACCTTGTCTTTAATAATAATAATAAATAAAAGAAATAGCAGCATTAGCTGCGATTACTGTGTAACAAATTGCCCCCAAATTTAATGGCCTAAAACAAGCATTTTATTATCTGAAAGTTTCTGTGGGTCAAAAATTAAGGACTGGCTTATATGGGTGGTTCTGGCTTGGGGCCCCTCAGGGGGTTGCAGTTGAGATGCTAGCTGGGGCTGCAATCATCTGAAGGGTTAACGGCACTCAAGGACCTGCTTTCAGGATGGCACCCTCATGTGGCTTTTGGCAGGAGGCCTTAGTTCCTTGCCATGTGAGCTTCTCCATGTGGCCGCCTGGGTGTCCTTGTGACATGGCCGCTGGCTTCTCTCAGAGCAAGTGATCCGAGAGAGACACTGAAGCCACAATGTCTTATATGATCCAGCCTCAGAAATCGCACTATCATTTCTGCCTTATTCTGTTTGTTAGAAGTGAGTTAGTAAGACCAGATCACACTCAAGAGGGGGAAGTTAGGCTCTAGCTTTTGAAAGGAGTATCAAAAAATTTGTGGATATTCTTTAAATCCCCACAGCCTTTTTTTTTTTTTTTTTTGAGTTGGAGTCTCGCCCTGTTGCCCAGCCTGGAGTGCAGTGGCACGATCTCACTGCAACCTCTGCCTCCTGGGTTCAAGCAATTCTCCGCCTCAGCCTCTTGAGTAGCTGGGATTACAGGCGTCGGCCACCACGCCCGACTAATTTTTTGTATTTTTAGTAGAGACAGGGTTTCACCATCTTGGCCAGGCTCGTCTTGAACTCCTGACCTCGTGATCCAACCACCTCAGCCTCCCAAAGTGCTGGGATTACAGGAGTGAGCCACTGCACCAGGCCCCCACAGCCTATCTTTTGAAAGGAGTGTCAATTTGTGGATATTCTTTAAATCCTCACAGCCTATGCCATGGTCACATTTACTTTCATTCCTCCCACATGGAAAACATACTCACTCCCTCCCAAAACCTCCCCGAGATCCCAGCCTTCACGGTAGCCACATGAGGCTCCTTGGGTGTAGTTCCTTGAGTACAGCAGTTCCTCTCCATCTGAAGACCTGTGAACTAAAGAGATATCAACACACAATGGTGGGATAGGCACAGCATAACTGCTACAGACACCCCTGTTCAAAAAGGGGGAAACAGGAGGTACCCAGAAGTCACAGGTCCACAGAGATTCTGAAATCCAGCCAGGCAAACTTGGAGGTTCCCTTATTAGGACTCAGTCCTCCTCCTGCCTGTGCCAGATGAGGTCATGCAGGGAGAGCCAGCCCTAGACACACACTCCTCTTCCTGCCCCTGGCCTCTGTCCCACACTGGGAGGGGCACACCCTAGCCTGCACATCCAAGCTCTCTCCCCATCACATACATACCCTGCTTGACCACCCCAACGGCTTAGGGGTATGTCACTGGCAGTTCAGTCCATCTTCTGAAGGAGGGACTCTGAGGGAAAGTCCATGCAGGCCCCAGAAGCAGGCTCAGGATGGCTTCAAATAGGAATTCTGAGGTCTCCTGTATGCAGAGTTTGGTCTAGATATGGAGAGGGTGGGCATGGGCTCTGGTGGGCATGTTCACTGGGCCCTGCAGGCTCCTCACCTCATAGGAATGGGCACAACCTGAGAAGGGTTCTGGTGGGGCCTTCCAAAGCATGAGACCCAGGGGGGCCCTCCAAAGCCTGAGACTCAAGGCAGGGGCCCTCCAAAACATGAGACCCAGGGGGGGCCCTCCAAAACATGAGGGCCAGGGGAGGGGCCCCTCTTCCTAGGTTGAAGGGCAATACTGGGGCTAGGGACTGAGAATCTTCCTGTGATTGAAACATGTTAGGATGAAATGAGAGAGAGAGAGAGAGAGGACTGCAAGCTGGGGTTATGGTTAGAATGTGAGACACAGGGAGGCAAGATTTCGCCATGGCACATTCAAGGTGGTGAGCAGCTGTAGAAGCGTGGAGTGAAGTGAAGCCCAGTGGAGCTGAGGTGATCAGGGCTGTAGCTGAGGCTAAGATGTTGAAGCTATGCACCCCCCCCACACACACCCAGCAAACAGTGGTGGGGTCGGCACAGGTTATTGACAGAGGTACTGATGTCACCAGGGTGTTGCCAGGATAAGAGATGAGGAGGACAACGATGAGTCAGGTACCAAAGTCTTCAGGGGACATGGAGGTGTGACCAGGAAGCTGGCCATAAAGGATGGCAGGAAGTAAAGGATGGCAGAGCTGATGGCATGAACCTCGAAGCAGGTGATCTTATAGGAGGTGACGAGCGAAGTAAGTGGCCCCCTCCCAGCCCCAGTCCAGTCGTGGGGTGTGGAAGGGAGTCTTCCCTGGGCTCCAGTATCCACGGGGAAAGGTGAGGAGAGTGAAAGAGCATTCAGTGGTGCAGCTGAGAACTTAGGGTAGTTTGTTAACAACAGCACAGGCTTCTAGAGGGGCACAATGGGATGGGGTGAGGAGGGCAACAGTAGAAGTTCAAACCAAGGAGAAGGAAGTGCAGACAAGACTGGGATAAAACTAGGAAGAGCAGAAATGAACAGATGAACTCATATTTTGGGGAGTTAGGGCCAACGGCCAGAGGTGCGGGGCATGCTAGGGTTCAGTGGGCTCAAAAGTCAAGCCAGTGCCTGTGAAAATCCATTAAATCATGCATAAAGGACAGTGTGCCTGGTTTTGGGTATACAACCTCGGGCTGCCATTTTTAGCCACACTAAAACATGAAAACCACTGATCTAGACTGTCTATCAAATCCTAGGAGTGACTGGGAGAAAGGAGGAGCATTCTGCGGCTTTCCAGATCACATTCAGGGTTAATCTGCCCGATTTAGTCTTTAATATACAATGTGATTATTAAAGCAGATAATGGAGTTATAGCTCAACAGTCAGGACACAAGTTAAGTACAAGCTTCATGCAGCTCCTCTCAACTGATATCCCAGTTTAACCATTCAGAGTTGATATAAAGTTTGATATAAAAGGACTTTCCCGCCGGGTGCGGTGGCTCACGCCTGTAATACCAGCACTTTGGGAAGCCGAGGTGGGCAGATCACTTGAGGTCAGGGGTTCGAGAGCAGTCTGACCAACATGGTGAAACCCCATCTCTACTGAAAATACAAAAATTAGCTGGGCGTGGTGGCGCATGCCTGTAATCCCAGCTACTTGGGAGGCTGAGGCAGGAGAATTGCTTGAACCCAGGAGGTGGAGGTTGATCCTCCAAGATCGTGAGCCAAGTGAGCCAAGATCATGCCACTGCACTCCAGCCTGGGCAACAAGAGCCAGACTCGGTCTCAATTAAAAAAGAAAAAAAAAAAAAGGGACTTTCCAGCCAGGCTCAGTGGCTCATGCCTGTAATTCCAAAACTTTGGGATGCTGAGGCGGGCAGATCACTTGACCTCAGGAGTTTGAGGCCAGCCTGGGCAACATGGCAAAACTCCATCTCTACCAAAAAATACAAAATAATTAGCTGGGTGTGGTGGCACACACCTGTGCTCCCAGGTACTTGGGAGGCTGAGGTGGGAGGGTCGCTTGAGCCCAGGAGGCGAAGGTTGCAGTGAGCTGAGGTCGCGCCACTGCACTCCAGCCTGGGTGACAGAGTGAGACCCTGTCTCAAAAAAGAGAAAAAAAAAGGCTTTCCTATTCATTGTTCAGTCAGTAACCTGTGGCCTTGCTCAGAGTTCTGGTTGGAACACTGGTGAAACACTGTTTTGTTTCTTTAAAAAGCTCAGCACAGCTGGGCGCAGTGGCTCACGCCTATAATCCCAGCACTCTGGGAGGCCGAGGCAGGCGGATCACGAGGTCAGGAGTTCGAAACCAGCTTGACCAACATGGTGAAACCCCATCTCTACTAAAAATATAAAAATTAGCGGGCCGTGGTGGCGCACACCTATAATCCCAGCTACTCAGGAGGCTGAGGCAGGAGAATCACTTGAACCTGGGAGGCAGAGGTTGCAGTGAGCTGAGATAGCGCCATTGCTCTCCAGCCTGGGCAATAAGAGTGAAACTCCATCTCAAAAAAAAAAAAAAAAAGCTCAGCACATTCTGTGGGAATGCTTAGCCCCAATAGTGGGGATAACGCAGAGACTCCTGCTCAAGGATCTTCAGTGGCTCCCATTTACCCATAGGATAAGGTCCCTGACACAATGATGATGGAACCATGATCCTATCTTGCCTCTGTCACAGTCATGTTTCCCACCTGCCACCTGTGCCAATTCAGGTCACAGGCAATTCCCAAATCACGGTTTGTTTAGTGTCACTGCCATTGCTTATGCTCACTGTACCTAGAATGCCTCCTTGTCCCCACTGTTTTAAGTTAAATTCTCTGAATCCTTATAAAGCCCAGCTCAAATATACTCCCACCACAATTTTCTTCTGTCTTACCAGCTACAAGTTCATTTTATTTCCTCTGAAATTCTATGGAATTTGTTACCTTATAACATTTATTACATATTTTCTTTTTTTTTTTAATTTTCCGAGTGAACATCATTAACACAATATTTTCGTTTTTCTTTTCTTCCTTTCCTTTTTATATTCTTTTTTTCTTTTTTTTCTTTTCTCTTATTTTTCAAAACAAATGCAGTGGCGCAATCTCAGCTCACTGCAGACTTAACCTCCCAAGCTCAAGCAATCCTTTCACCTTAGCCTTCCAAGTAGCTGGGACTACAGGCACGTGCACCACCATACCTGGCTATTTTTCTTATTTTTGTAGAGACAGGGTCTCTCTATATTGTCCAGGCTGGTCTTGAACTCCTGGGCTCAAGTGATCCTCCTGCCTCGGCCTCTCAAAGTTCTGGGATTACAGGCATGAGCCACTATCCCCAGCCCACTTTTTTTTTTATACTAAAAAAAACCAAAAACCACAACTCTGCTTTCCCCATCAAGCTCTTCAATAGAATCTTGCCCTGCCCTGCCCTGCCCTGCCCTGTCCTGCCCTCCTTTCTTTTTTTTTTGAGACAGAGTTTCACTCTTGTTGCCCAGGCTGGAGTGCAATGGCGTGATCTCAGCTCACCACAACCTCCGCCTCCCAGGTTCAAGTGATTCTCCTGCTTCAGCCTCCCAAGTAGCTGGGATTACAGGCATGTGCCACCACGCCTGGCTAATTTTGTATTTTTAGTAGAGATGGGGTTTCTCCATGTTGGTCAGGCTGATCTCAAACTCCTGACTTCAGGAGATCCACCCGCCTCAGCCTCTGAAAGTACTGGGATTACAATTGTGAGCCCCCCGCGCCCGGCTGAGAATTGTTTCTTACTCAACTCTATCCCCACCACCCACCAAATATCTAATAATGATGACACTAGTCATGAATAATAAACACAATCAAAGTAGTCATGGCTAACACATATCAGGCACTTCCTTTGTGCCAGGCATTGCTCGAAACAATTCATGTGCTTTATTTAATTCTCTCTCTCTTTTTTTTTTTTTTGAGATGGAGTCTTGCTCTGTCACCCAGGCTGGGGCGCAGTGGCACGATCGTGGCTCACTGCAACCTCTGACTCCCAGGTTCAAGTGAGTCTCCTGCCACAGCCTCCCAAGTAGCTGGGATTACAGGCACCCACCACCATGGCCGGCCTATTTAATTCTCATAACAACCCTATGAGACAGGTACCATTAAGCGTGAAACACAAGCTTACGGAGATGCACAGGCCTGGCTTGGGATGCATAGCTAGTTCTTCAAGAGCTAGAGACAGAATCTAAGCCAGCTCTCTCTGAGTGTGAGGCGCATACTCTGAGCCACCACTTATATTGCCTCCTCATTGTCAAAGCCTTCCCCATGGAGGGTGACTAGTAATATTTATACAACATTTAAAGAGTCCACTGCTTTGGACTATTCCAGTCATGACTTGCATCCATTGACAGAGTTGCCTTCAAAATTCTTTCCTTTTAAATTTGTAGTGAGGACAGGAGCTTCCACAGTGAGGGTAAATTGGGCAGCAGGGAGGGGGCTTCTCCAAGACCTTTCACTGGGTCACCACTGAGAATGTCTCGTGATTCACATCCCACAGCTGCCTGAATCTACTATGTGGCTGCCCTGTGTCTCTGGGGCCAGTGTGGGAGGCAATGGAAGGAGGGAAAGGGAGCATTCTGAAGCCTGGGAAAGTCACACAGGCAATTTGGCTGGCAGCCGCCTGGACACTCAATACAGAGGGAAGCTGATGAGGAGGCCAGAGGGACAAAGGGCCATTATTCTGGCTGTAGGAGTTTGGTCAGTTTGATACTGGGTGACCCACCATCTCTCCCACCAATTTGAGTTCTCCTAGAGCTTTGGTGGGAAGTAAAGCAATTGGATTTCAAATGAGTCACATCCTATGTCTGGAAACTGAGGCAGTGTCAGGGCTAGTTATGGCTGTAAGGACTGATCAGCCATGACTTTGAGGACTTTTGAGGACCACCCTCTCGCTCCAATCCCCACTACACCCCACTGCGAGATGAACACAGCTCTGAGTACATGACTCCCCTTTTCAGAACCTCTCCATGAAGCAACCCACATACCAGGTAACATACAGGTTAAAGCTCTCCACGGCATGGCCTAAACTTAACTTTCTAAGCCAGCACAGCTTTGTTGAATAATTACACATGTCATTAATATAATTTACATATACAGAAAGAGCTCTGTGATCAAATAGGTTGGGGAAACTTTGGATTAAACCAAGATTAACCCATTTTGTAAGTGTAACTTCTCAGAGCCCCACTTTTGTGCAGGATGAGTCTCTGAGAGAATGCAGTATGGCTCCAGTTTTTTACAGAAGGATCTTGAGAGACTAAAAAAGTATGCTGCATTAAATATCATTCCCACCCTGAAATTTAACCAGTTCTTCCAGGCCCACTGTGGCAATCATAGAAAGGTGCTGTTCCGATCTGCTGTTGTGAGGAGCAGAGGGCTGACTGCTGCAGCTGCTGGGCTCTGGACCTACTGATGCCAGGCAGGCTGCTCCCCGCCAAAGACCTACACTCATGCAGGGCCACCCCTGCAAAACCCGGGACTCCTCTAACAGGCTGCAGCTTTGGCTTGAGGATGACCTTTTGTCCTGGCTGAACTTTCTTAGAACTGTGTTGCCATCTGAGGCTCTTCCCACTTTATCTCCCCTCCTTCCTGTGTCACAATGTGCACACTTACACAAAGACATATAGTTTGGAACATATATAAGCTCTGGAAAACTTTGTAATTTTGAGTTGGTCTGGTGATAATTTCCAGGCCTTTGCACTGGTTGCAGAAATAAAAACTCTCTTCCTCCCTAGTTCATCTGCATCTTGTTACTGGGCCATGAGAAATAGCAGCCCAACCCTCAGTTTGGTCCAGGAACAAGAGGGTCTTACCATGTTGCTTGGTCTGGCTTCAAGGGATCCTCCCACTTCAGCTTCCCAATATGTTGGGATTACAGGCGTGAGCCACTGCGCCCAGCCTGGTGGTGCTTGTTAAGCCCTGTTAAATACAACCTGGAAGGGCGGTTTGAGCAGTGAAAGCCTCAGACTCAAGTTCAGCAAAAGTAGAAAAAAATGGCAGAAAACCAAAGGAAGGAAATTCCAAAGGCTGGTGAGAGACAGTGTATCGATGAGGGAGCACAATGAGGACACACAGAATCCAGGCTTTCCTGGCCTTCTCCATTAGTGCAGCATGTCAGGCCACCTTAGTTTTAGAGTTTTCCCAAGGAGTCTGACTTGGCAAGGGAAACCACAGCTCAGGAGTGGTGGCTCCCAAACTAACCTGTTGCAGGTCTTTGTAGGAGGAAGCTACTGGAATTCTTAGATCTTCTGCCTATGTGTCTAGCTGTGGCCTGGCCTCTGTGGAGGCTCAGTTAAGGGCTTCACTCTGTCCCAGGAGTCCAGCATTGCTCTCAGAGGGGAGAAAAGGTTATTTTCACTTACTCCAGCTCTTCCCAAAATCTCATTAGTTCCTTGAAACCATAGCACCAGGACATTTTACTTCCAGCTGTAAGTCACAGCAGGAAGAAATGCCTACGGCCCTACTTTGGGGGCATAGCCCAGCCCTAAAGGCCTCCTTGCTCTTTTTTTTTTTTTTTTTTTTTTTGAGACTGAGTCTTGCTCTATTGCCCAGGCTGGAGTGCAGTGGCGCCATCTTGGTTCACTGCAACCTCCACCTCCCGGGTTCAAGCGATTCTCTTGCCTCAGCCTCCCAAGTAGCTGGGATTACAAGTGCCCGCCACCACACCCGGCTAATTTTTGTGTTTTTAGTAGAGACGGGGTTTCACCGTGTTGGCTAGGCTGGTCTCGAACTCCTGACCTCAAGTGATCTACCCGCCTCAGCCTCCCAAAGTGCTGAGATTACAGGTGTGAGCCACCGCACCGGCCACCTCCTCGCTCTTATAGGTAAGGGAGCTCATGTGTAGCAAGGTCTCCTCCC
The DNA here is from genome assembly GCF_000001405.40 of Homo sapiens. Taxonomy (NCBI): domain Eukaryota; kingdom Metazoa; phylum Chordata; class Mammalia; order Primates; family Hominidae; genus Homo; species Homo sapiens. Next base: position 75,195,840 of record NC_000010.11, on the reverse strand, counting down.
CACAGGATCCTTCTTCTGTTCTAACTGGATGATCCTCCATGACCAGTCTCTGTTTTTCTTCATTTAAGCCCTTATGTAACAGGGAAGTTCTACGTGTATGTGTATGTATACAGATGTGGGCTTTTGTGGTTGTAGTTTTTTTGGGGGGTTGGAGGAGGGGAAGGTAGGAGGAGTTCTTGTTGAGAGTTGAGGCTGCTGCCACAGCTGCCCTACAAGTAGAAAGCCACCGGGTTTATGAAATTCAAATATAGAGGCCAAAATGTACCAGGGACGCCACCGTCACCTCCAAAACAACATCGATTTATCTGCATTTCCAGCAATTTTATGAGACAAGCTACAAAGATACACCATTTAGATGAATCACTCTGCTCTCTGCAGTGCCAAGAACTTCAAGCATAGTTAATTCAGAATGACTAGGTCCAGTTAACAAGAGTTGGTTTGTCTGAATCAAAGTATATTTAAAGAAACTCCATTTTATTACCTCAGGAATCTAGTGGAACTATGCTAATAAATTGCTCCTCTGTGTAGATCTTAAGGGAAATATGCTTTAATGAACAGATGAGAATATTTCCTAATTCAGTCTATCCATTGTTTATATAGAAAGGGTTACTCATCAAGTGTTTAAGTTTACTTGAAATGCTTGCTCTTGTTTACAATCAGTATTTTAATGAACCCTGTGTTTATAAATGGTTTAAAATAAACTATCCATCTTGTCATTCCCTCTAAATTAGTGAAGTCCCAACTAATGCCTCAATGGCTCTGTTAGCATAAAATCAAAAGTCATTGTACCAGCTGGGTACGGTGGCTCACACCTGTAATCCTAGCTCTTTGGGAGGCCGAGGTGGGAAGATCACTTGAGGCCAGGAGTTTGAGACCAGCCTGGGCAACATAGTGAGACCTCGTTTCTACAAAAAATAGACCAAATTATTTTTTGTGGCCATGTGCCTATGATCCCAGCTACTTGGGAGGCTGAGGTGAAAAGGATCACTTGGTCCCAGGAGGTCAAGGCTGCAGTGAACCATGATCACGCCACTGCACTCCAGCCTGGATGACAGAGGGAGATCCTGTCTCAAAAAAGAAAGGAAAACAATAAAAAAAAAAAAAAAAAAAAAAAATCATTGTACCCATCACTGGAAAGAAATACTTAGCTTTTGCATGGGCTGTTCTTCCAGGGGTGGGGGTTTGGGGATCCGGCCCTATTCTTTCATATTTTGTGACACACATTCTTTCTCCCTCCTTTCTATGAATGTTTATTAAGGAACTAGTAATGTGTCAGACACTGTGCTGGGGTCTAAGTAACAGTCAACAATCTCACAGTCTAGAAAGGGAGACAGACATGAACAATGGGCAAGTATTGTAAAGTGCTGTAGGTACAAGGATAGCTGTATGAACAGAGGACAGTGGGGTTAGAGGAGTCAGTTCACCTAGGGAGCTTCATGAAGGCTTCAGCGTTGAATGGATTCTTAAAAATGGGGGATACGGCTGGGGGCGGTGGCTCACGCCTGTAATACCCACACTTTGTGAGGCTGAGGCAGGTAGATCACCTGAGGTTAGGAGTTCGAGACCAGCCTGGCCAACATGGTGAAACTCCGTCTTTACTAAAAATACAAAAAATTAGCCGGGCATGGTCGTGGGTGCCTGTAATCCCAGCTACTCAGGAGGCTGACGCAGGAGAATCACTTGAGCCCGGGAGGTGAAGGTTGCAATGAGCAGAGATCGTGCCACTGCACTCGTCTGAGCAACAGGAGCGAAACTCAGTCTCAAAAAAAAAAAAAAAAAAAGGGTGGGGAGGCCATAAGGCCGGGCGTGGTGGCTCACGCCTGTAATCCCAGCACTTTGGGAGGCTGAGTCAGGCAGATCACCTGAGGTCAGGAGTTTGAGACCAGTCTGGCCAACAGCCAAGATAGCACCACTGTATTCCAGCCTGGGTGACACAGGGAAACTCTAGTCTCAAAAAAAAAAAAAAAAGGAGGATATATTTAGTTGCACCATGGGCTATTAAAAAAAGAGAGGATGCTCCAGGCACAGTGGCTCACGCCTGTAATACCAGCACTTTGGGAGGCTGAGGCGGGTGGATCACGAGGTCAGGAGATCGAGACCAGCCTGGCCAACATGGTGAAACTCTGTCTCTACTATAAATACAAAAATTAGCTGGGCGTGGTGGCGGGCACCTGTAGTCCCAGCTACTTGGGAGGCTGAGGCAGGAGAATCACTTGAACCGGGGAGGCGGAGGTTGCAGTGAGCCGAGATCGTGCCAACTGCACCCCAGCCTGGGTGACAGTGCGAGAGTCTGTCTCAAAAAAAGGAGAATGTGTTTGGCAGACAGGGAGAAGAAGGGCAGCACATGAAGGAAAGGTGCTCGGGCCTGATACTGCAACTGCAAGACATATTTAGCCAGCTGCAAACAATATGGCAAGAATGAAAATGACAATGGATGGGATATTAGGGGAGAAGGTTACCCAGCAAGACCAGGCTGGAGAGGTCAGCTAAGGCCCGATTGGAACCTACGCAAGACAGTGCCTGCTCAAGTTCTACCTCCTCATGAAATTACAAGCATGAAATAAGACATAGACCCCCAGGTGTTGCTTAGCCCATATCCCCAGCCATGTCATGACCCATATATGCCCAGTCCAGGTCAAGGGAGAGCACGGGTTGGCTGTCCTCAGCACCAGACCCATATCGCATCTGGAGGATCATATTTAGGGCCTCAGTGACAAATTAGGGGGCATTGATGAGGCAAAAGAGTAAATCTCATCCCTGTTACTCTGTCTGGGCCATAGGCAGATGTCTAAAAATATGATTGCTGGCTGGGTGCAGTGGCTCACGCCTGTAATCCCAACACTTTGAGAGACCAAGGCAGGGAGATCGCTTGAGCCCAAGAGTTTGAAACCAGACTGGGCCACAAAGTGAGACCCTTTCTCTAACAACAACAACAAAAAATTTAAAAATCAGCTGCGTGGGCTGGGCGCAGTGGCTCACACCCGTAATCCCAGCACTTTGGGAGGCCGAGGAAGGTGGATCATGAGGTCAGGAGATCAAGACCTGCCTGGCCAACATGGTGAAACCCCGTCTCTCCTACAAATACAAAAATTAGCTGGGCATGGTGGCGTGCACCTGTAGTCCCAGCTACTCGGGAGGCTGAGGCAGGAGAATCACTTCAACCTAGGAAGCGGAGGTTGCAGTGAGCCGAGATTGCGCCACTGCACCCCAGCCTGGGCGACAGAGCGAGACTCTATCTCAAAAAAAAAAAATTAAATTAAATTTTAAAAAAATTAGCTGTGTGTGGTTGTGTGCACCTGTATCCCCAGTTACTCAGGAGGCCGAGGTGGGAAGATTGCTTGATCCCAGGAAGTTGAGGCTGCAGTGAGCCATGATTGCACCACTGTACTCCAGCCTGGGTGACAGACCAAGTCCCTGTCTCAAAAAAAAAAAAATTGTGATTTCTCAATTGAAAAATGTAAAAATCATTTGCATTGCTCCACTTAATTCCAGGCAAAGCCAAATGACGATGCACCAGTGAGTCACCAGTGAGATTGCATTTAAAATCTAGCAGCCTCAGAGCCAAGACCAGCCTTGTGTAAACAGAGTTCAGGGAGGAGGGAAGATAGTGGAGTGAGACGTGCCGAGGCCAGCCGGCCTCTGGGCTTGGGGTGCGCTGACCTCTGGGGAGCCGAGTGCATCTGCTGGACTGAAGGCAGAGTAATTTTTTCATCTCATGCAGAAGAAGAAAGAAGATATGTAGCAGAGGAAAGGAACGGAACATTCTCCCTCCCTACCTTACACAGGAGAGTGGTCATCTACACTAAAGCAAAACTTCCTTATCATAGGAAGACCATTTTCCTTGACCTTTAGGTGATTTTATAGTCATCTCGAAAGGGAAACAAAACTCAACTCAGGACTTGATTGAACACAGAGAGTCCACTAGGATGCAGTATTCCTGCCCACTTCTCCAGGAAGAAAGAAGCAAATGACGTGGGTCTTTTGGCACTGTTTGCTTAATTATAAAGAAATTATTTTGCAAGCTGAATACTGATGCTTTATTTGAAACAGGTGCTTAGTTGGTGGCATTTATGAATTCTTTACCTTTTGTTCCAAACCAAAAGACTAATTAAATAGCAAGTATTGGTGGGGAAAAAAAAGAAAAAAAAAAGACTTTGTTGGGCGCGGTGGCTCATGCCTGTAATCCTAGCACTTTGGGAGGCCAAGGAGGGCAGATCACGAGGTCAGGAGATCGAGACTATCCTGGCCAACATGGTGAAACCCGTCTCTACTAAAAATACAAAAATTAGCTGGGTGTGGTGGCACGCGCCTGTAGTCCCAGCTACTCGGGAGGCTGAGGCAGAAGAATTGTTTGAACCCGGGAGGCGGAGGTTGCAGTGAGCCAAGATCGCACCACTGCACTCCAGCCTGGGTGACAGAGCGAGACTCCCTCTCAAAAAAAAAAAAAAAAAAAAGACTTCAAAACAGTGTGGAATTATGGAAATGGATGCCATCCAAGAAGACTGGAAAAATACACTCTGACCTCTTTATGCAGTAGAGCTAGGCTTTTCAAGATACAGGAGACCAATGAGAAGGGTTTTTTTTAGGCCGGGCACAGTGGCTCATGCCTGTAATCCCAGTACTTTGGGAGGCTGAGGCAGGCGGATCACTTGAGGTCAGGAGTTCGAGACCAGCCTGGCCAACATGGTGAAACCCCATCTCTACTAAAAATACAAAAATTAGTAATCCCAGCTACTTGGGAGGCTGATGCAGGAGAATCACTTGAACCTGGGAGGCGGAGGCTGCAGTGAGCCGAGATTGCATCACTGCACTCCAGCCTGGGCAACAGAGTGAGACTCCATCTCAAAAAAAAAAAAAAGAGAGAAGGGTTTTTTTGTTTGTTTGTTTTGAGACAGAGTTTCACTCTTGTCGCCCAGGCTGGAGTGCAATGGTGCGATCTCCGCTCACTGCGACCTCTGCCTCCCGGGTTCAAGCGATTATCCTGTCTCAGCCTCCTGAGTAGCTGGGATTACAGGTGCATGCCACCACGCCCAGCTAATTTTTGTATTTTTGTATATATTTTTTGAAACAGAGTCTTGCTCTGTTGCCCCGGCTGGAGTGCAGTGGCATGATCTCGGCTCACTGCAACCTCCGTCTCCTGGGTTCAAACAATTCTATCTCAGCCTGCCGAGTAGCTGGGATTACAGGTGCCTGCCACCATGCCCAGCTAATTTTTGCATTTTTAACAGAGACGGGGTTTCACCACATTGGCCAGGCCGGTCTGGAACTCCTGACCTCAGGTGATCCACCTGCCTCGGCCTCCCAGAGTGCTGGGATTATAGGTGTCAGCCACCGCGCCTAGCTTAATTTTTGTACTTTTAGTAGAGATGGGATTTCATCATATTGGTCAGGCTGGTCTCAAACTCCTGACCTCAGGTGATCTGCCCGCCTCGGACTCCCAAAGTTCTGGGATTACAGGCGTGAGCCACCACGCCTGGCCTCAAAGTACTTCTATAATATGAACTCAGTAGGTCCTTATAATATCCTTAAAATATGCTAATAATAGCAATGTTTAACATTTATAATAATAATATTTAACACTTTACATCCTTTGCATTTTATCCTCAGAATAACCCTATGAAGGTAAGTACTATAATCACCTCAAAACGGAGAGAAAGCGAGGTTACGTGATTGCCCAAGGTTACTCAGCTAGTAAGTGGGGGAGCCAAGATTTGAATCCAGGCACTTGGCTTCTGAGTCTGTGTCCTTAAACCACTATGCTATCTGCCTTCCAAATATTATCATGCGTTATATCAAAGGAGGAAATTGAGACAGTGCAGTTTGGTGACTTGCCTGACCTCATACACAGTCCCATTACATCATGACTAAGAGACAGAACCCAGGTCTTCCCCTTGAAAGCCAAGCCCCATTAGAGTGTGGCAGTTGAGATTAGCAGCCATTTCTACTTTAGATGGCTTTCTTAATAGGAAGGATTGCAGAGGGTGAGGGGTTGAGTCCAGAGTGGAGGCCAAAGGCTTGCTGATATTTGCCTTGAGAAGACAATGGCTACCTTTAGGTTTAGCAGCAGAGGGTGGATGAAGCTGTGTAAACAGGAGCTGCTTGGTGAGCTGACCCGGGAAGCCAGTCCACAGGATGGGGGTTTGGCAAAGGTTGGGCCAAGGGAGGCGATGCTCCCTGTGCCTCTCTGTGAAGACGCCCAGCAGCGTATGGGGGAGAGGGCGCAAACACATTACACTGCCACCCCCTCGCCAGACGCCATCTGCCCCCATTTCACTACTGTCCAGGAAAGGGCAAATTCACTCTCCCTGCTGCCTAGATCAGAAGCCCCGTCTCCTGCCTTCCTTTTGAAGCACTCCGAGAGAGCAGCTCCCGATTCCCACTGACCTATCAAGTGGGCTGAGGGCCACCTCCACCTCTGCCAAGCCCTGTTCCACCCAAGGCTTTGCCTCAGAGTCCCCTCGGATGCCACAGCTCAGATACTGGACCCATTCAGGAACTCTGGCTCAGAGAAGCAGGACTGTGCTCAAGGTGAGGCTCAGGGCTAGGCACTTCCCCACTGTGGGCAGGTAGGGGTTCCACTCGCTAGCTCTGGCCAATGAGAACAAACTATTTCATCAAGGCTAGGTCTCCCTCATTTCATGGACAGTGGCCTGATCATTTCAGATGTTTTCCCCCTCATTGTCCTTAGTGGTCTTTGCTAGGATTCAGAATACTGTCAAGTTGCTTTGTGAACTAGTGTGTTATCTGCCCCTAAATATCATGACAGAATGTGGTCGGCAGATCTAGTTCTGGCCACCAGAGAAACCAGAGTTCAAGATGGAATAGGGGGAAGGATAAAACTGTTCCTATTCAGAAATGATGTGATTGTCTATGACTATGTAAACACACTAACAAATCTACAAAAGAACTCCTAGAACATGACTTTGGCACTGTCACAGGTTAAAAGGCCAGCAATTAAAAATCAATTGTATTTCTAGCCGGGCACGGTGGCTCATGCCTGTAGTACTAGCATTTTGGGAGGCTAAGGCAGGTGGATCACTTGAGGTCAGAAATTCGAGACCGGCCTTGGCCACCGTGGTGAAACCACATCTCTACTAAAAATACAAAAATTCAGCCAGGTGTGGTGGCGCACGCCTGTAGTCCCAGTTACTTGGGAGGCTGAGGCACAAGAATCACTTGAACCCAGGAGGCAGAGGTTGCAGCGAGCCAAGATCACGCCCCTGCACTCCAGCCTGGGTGACAGAGTAAGACTTTGTCCAAAACAAACAAACTAACAAAAAAACCCTTCTATTTCTATACACTAAAAATGCACAATTAGATACCAAAATGAAAGCATAGGAGGGAGGAATAAAAAGCTAAGATGCTGGCAGTGATCATCTGTATGGAGATTACTAATTTACAGCGTTCAGTACTTTCACAACAGCCCAGGGGAGGGAGGAGGGAACCCAGGAGCTTGGGGAACACCTGCGTCTTCACTCTAGCCTGTTCTGAAATGCCTTTGGGGGACGCTGCCTCAAGCTGTGGGTGTTGGTGAAAGGCTCTTCAGGGGGTTCTGATCACTTCCTGAGGAAGAACCAGTCTGACTGGGAGCCTCAGCCTCACCTGGGAACCTGTCAGAAATAAAAATTCCTCCCACTTAGGCGGAAGGTAGGGGTTAGCAATGTGTTTTAACAAGCTAGGTGATTCTGATGCACACCTATTATGTTGTTCAAACCAGTGACTTCCTGTGACAAAGGCACAAGGGCTGCTGGAGGTTTGTGGCACCCTCTGCTGGTAACCAACAGCAAAGGTTGACTTCTGAACCAAAAAAAGGTTCTCATAACTCTAGTTTGTCAGCCTGTGCATTAAAAAAATAAAAAATTTAAGCAAAGAAAAGTTAAAAATCCTGCTTTCCGGCCGGGCGCGGTGGCTCACGCCTGTAATCTGAGCACTTTGGGAGGCCGAGGCGGGCGGATCATGAGGTCAGGAGATTGAGGCCATCCTGGCTAACACGGTGAAACCCCGTCTCTACTAAAAATACAAAAAATTAGCCAGGCGTGGTGGCAGGCGCCTGTAGTCCCAGCTACTCGGGAGGCTGAGGCAGAAGAATTGTTTGAACCCGGGAGGCGGAGTTTGCAGTGAGCCGAGATTGCGCCACTGCACTCCAGCCTGGGTGACAGAGCTCAAAAAAAAAAAAAAAAAAAAAAAAATCCTGCTTGCCATTCTATCCAGGGCTGCCTCGTCCCACTGCAGCACTTCTGAGATCACGCTGTATTTTCCTTTGGCTCTGCTGCAGCTTTCGTCTCCTTGAGCATCCTTCAATTCTTCCATGCTCCTAATAAAGCACCCAGAAGCATTTGATGAAACCTTCAAGGTCCAGGGCCAGGCAAACTGGCCTACGCAGAAAGAGCTGGGTGGGGGAGGCCTTCTCTGCCTTGGCCTACACATGTCACTCCAGCTACAATGGAGATGTGAGGTGGGGATGTGAGTCACTCCCCTGCACAAAACCCAAATCCGCCAATGGCTTCCCATGTCACTTGAAGCAAAACTTAAATTTTCACCAGGACCTTCAAGGATTGTAAGACTAGAGCCTAGCTACTTCTCTAAGTTCATGTTCAGTCACTTTTTTTTTTTTTTTTGAGATGGAGTTTTTGCTGTGTCGCCCAGGTTGGAGTGCAGTGGCACGATCTCGGCTCACTGCAACCTCTGCCTCCCAGGTTCAAGCGATTCTCCTGCCTCAGCCTCCTAAGTAGCTGGGACTACAGGTGCCTGCCACCACACTTGGCTAATTTTTGTATTTTTAGTAGAGACAGGGTTTCACCATTTTGGCCAGGCTGGTCACGAACTCCTGACCTCAAGTGATCCACCCGCCTCAGCCTCCCAAAGTACTGGGATTACAGGCATGAGCCACTGCGCCCGACCCACTTTCAATGACTCTTCCACTTGTTTACTCTTAAACCAAACTCTTTTTTGTTTGTAGAACATGCCAAGTCTGCTCCAGAGGCTTGTGCAATTGCTATTCCCTCTGCCCCACATGGCCCCTCACTTCATCCAGGGCCTCTGCTCGAATGCCACCTCTGCAGAAGGACTTCCGTTAGTGCTATCTCAGTAGTGAGCATTCCCTATCACTCTATCCTTTTAGCTGTTCTCTTTTTTTTTTTTTTTTGTCATAGCTGTTTGGGCTGCCTGAAGGCAATTTCTGCTAGCTAAATATCACCAGGAGCACACCTTAGTAAAGCTAAGTTAGGTTTTGTTTTTGTTTTTTTTTTTGAGACAGACTTTCACTCTGTCCTCCAGGCTGGAGTGGAGTGCATGATCTTGGCTCACTGCAACCTGTCTCTCAGGTTCAAGTGATTCTCTTGCCTCAGCCTCCCAAGTAGCTAGGATTACAGGTGTGCACTATCATGCTCGACTAATTTTTGTATTCTTAGTAAGAGTCGGGGTTTCACCACGTTGGCAAGGATGGTTTTGAACTCCTGACCTCAAATGATCCACCCACCTCGGCCTCCCAAAGTGCTGGGATTATAGGTGTGAGCCACTGCACCCAGCCAAAGGTAGGTTTTTAATTAAACTTCCTGCAGCGAGAAAGACTAAACACCTGGAGAAGGGAGGGGAATCTCAGTAAGAGAGTGTTAGGTGGGGCTGGTACAGGATTTGGGCTTGTGTTAGGTGTTCTTAAGGAAGGTTTAGGAAAGCAACCAAGTAGGGTGCTGCTCTGGATTGAGTGCTTTCAGAAACCTGGGGCAATTCGGAATCTTAATTCTTATGAAGGAACAAAGTAATAGTTGCCCATGTTAATCAGGAGCGGCGTGTATGGCTATTTTTATGGCTGCACAGTGTCTTTATTGCTGTTCAGGCATGATTACAAGTGAAGAGGATCCATTACAGCCAGGCAGGGTCCTCATCTGATGATGATATTCTATAGAATTGCTTATGTTCAGTAGGAGAATGCCACTGTACCCAGGTCAATTACTAGTTGACAACTGCCAGGAATGCTTTTTTTTCTCTCTCTCTCATATATGTGTTTATTGTCTAGAAAGTAAGATTCCTGAAGGCCGGGGCTTTGTTTTGTTTACCACTGAACCACTAGCACTTAAACAGTGCCTGGCATAGAATAGGTACCCAATAAATGTTTAATAAATATTCTTTCAAAACATCTTCCATAGCTCAGATCTCACACATCTATAATGAAGCCCTCCACAGGTAAAGCTGGGTCTTTGGAAGGTCTTCCAGGTGATGGTAGGGCCAAAAATAGCTACTGCAGGCAGACCAGTATCAACATGACTCTTTACAGAACTTTAAAACAGAGAGCAACTGAGTCCTCTGGCCTTTCCCTTGGGCCAGACAGGACTTAGCCTCCTACAGGTGCTCAAGGAAGACAATGATCAGAAAAAAATGCTACTTTTGAATGACAAGAGATGGCCAATGTAAAGACTATGTTAAAAATTAAACAGGAGAAACACTCCTCAATCTGCTAAATCATCTTCCTGGCTGGGCACAGTGGCTTATGCCTATAATCCTAGCATTTTGGAAGGCCAAGGTGGGAGGATCGCTTGAGGCCAAGAGTTCAAGATCAGCATGGCCAACATAGTGAGACCCCCATCTCCACACACACAAAAAAAGATTAAAAAGTATAATTGGAAAATCATTTCTTTTCCCCCTCAACATCTTACAGTCATATGGTCTTTAATAAGTCATAGTTGGCAGTTTAGTCTTCTAGAAAGTTTTGTATACCAAGTTGTCACCACTCCACCAATTTCCTTATCATTTTACTATTTTAAAAACACTTTTTTTTTTTTTTTTTGAGACGGAGTCTCGCTCTGTCACCCAGGCTGGAGTACAGTGGCGCGATCTCGGCTCACTGCAACCTCCACCTCCCGGGTTCAAGCAATTCTCCTGCCTCAGCCTCCCGAGTAGCTGGGACTACAGGCGCACGCTGCCACCCCAGCTAATTTTTTTATTTTAGTAGCGACGGGGTTTCACCGTGTTGCTCAGGCTGGTCTCAAACTCCTGAGCTCAGGCAATCCGCCCGCCTCCCAAAGTGCTAGGATTACAGGCGTGAGCCACCGCGCCCTGTATCTTAAAAACACTTTTGGGCCGGGCACGGTGGCTCACGCCTGAAATCCCAACACTTTGGGAGGCCAAGGCGGGCGGGTCACGACGTCAGGAGATCGAGACCATCCTAGCTAGCACGGTGAAAACCATCTCTACTAAAAATACAAAAAATTAGCCGGGCGTGGTGGCGGGCGCCTGTGGTCCCAGCTGCTTGGGAGGCTGAGGCAGGAGAATGGCGTGAACCCGGGAGGCGGAGGTTGCAGTGAGCCAAGATCGCGCCACTGCACTCCAGCCTGGGCGACAGAGCAAGACTCCGTCTCAGAAAAAAAAAAAAAAGAAGAAACACTTTTGAAGATTACTTTTGTAGCTAGGGAATTAAGATATCATTTTAAAATCTATAAATTTAGGCCAGGCGCAGTAGCTCACGCCTGTAATCCCAGCACTTTGGGAGGCTGAGGCGGGTGGATCACCTGAGGTCAGGAGTTTGAGACCAGCCTGGCCAGCACAGTGAAACCCTGTCTCTACTAAAAATACAAAAATTAGCAGGGCATGGTGGCAGGTGCCTATAATCTCAGCTACTTGGGAGGCTGAAGCAGGAAAATCACTTTAACCCGTGAGGCAGAGGTTGCAGTGAGCTGAGACAGCACCATTGCATCCAGCCTGGGCAACAAGAGCGAAACTCTGTCTCAAAAAACTAAATAAATAAAATAAAATCTATAAAATTGGCAAACATAAAAAAATTCTGTAATATATTGCTTTGGCAATGGTGTGGATTAAGCAATTCTCCTGCCTCAGCCTCCCGAGTAGCTGGGTCTATAGGTGTGCACCACCACGCCCAGCTAATTTTTGTATTTTTAGTAGAGACGGGGTTTCACCATGTTGGCCAGGCTGGTCTCGATCTCCTGACCTCATGATCCGCCCACCTCAGCCTCCTAAAGTGCTGGGATTACAGGCGTGAGCCACCACACCCAGCTCCTCCTGCCTTGTTAAGATATATTAAGATATTCAATAATAGAAATACCCCCATCTAATCAGAACAGATTCCCACTTCAGTTAAACCTTCCCCAGAAGCTGCATAACTCAAGCCCACATCCTATCCTTTCCAACACCTTCCCACTGAGACGCCCCACAACTCCCCATGGTGTGTATTCTCCATTATAACAAACAATAAACCCAACTTATTCAACTAAGGTGTGTCCTTCATCCTTGGCTGGAAGGCACTGGAACATGTTAAGTGAAATAAGCAAGGTATGAAACCACATGTATATGTACATATATATGTATATGCTACAATTGGAGTAAAATAATGTAAACCTTTAAAATTAAAAAAATATGTTTGTAGGCTGGGCGCAGTGGCTCATGCCTGTAATCCTAACACTTTGGGAGGCTGAGGCAGGCAGATCACCTGAGGTTGGGAGTTTGAGACCCGCCTGACCAACGTGGAGAAACCCCATCTCTACCAAAAATACAAAATTAGCTGGGTGTGGTGGCGCATGCCTGTAATCCCAGCTACTTGGGAGGCTGAGGCGGAAGAATCGCTTGAACCTGGGAGGTGGAGACTGCGGTGAACCGAGATCATGCCACTGCACTCCAGCCTGGGCAACAAAAGCAAAACTCCGTCTCAAAACAAAACAAAAACAAAAAAACCCATCAGGTACAGACATTCACTTCATAATGTGACCCAGGGCTCCTAAAGCTGGAATATGAGCAGGTCTTGGTGGTTCTGTATTTCTGGCTCTCATGGGAGCCCCGTGAACTGAGAATATACGGCATTTAAATGTCATGCTACTCTACCAGAAGCCTTAAAACTATCATTTGTGCATCTTCAAAGTTCCAGCTGAAGGTGGCAACTGAGCTCCTCTGAGGCACTCTCTTAACTCAGCACCCTCATCTTAACATCTCCGTGAGCAAGGCTACAGTACTTTCATAAATTGGCCCTTAATACAACCTATGTGGTAGGCACTTTTTTCCACTTAAATAAGGTTAAGTGGAGGTTTGAAGAAAAACTTAATCAGTGTCAGAAACACAACTCATACCCAGGTCATCAGAGCCTAAACCCAGTGCATTTTCTACTCCACCAAGCTCCTTGAGGTCTCTTCTGGACTATTTTTTTCCCAGAGTTCTCAAAAAGACTAGCTGGGCCAGCGCTACAGAGGCTACATATTAGCAGTGATCAAGAAGACAAGTTCAGTTGCGGATCAAGCTGATACGGTCCTGTACCTGTGACAATGCTTAGCATTCTAACTACTCCACAGTTCTGGACTAAGTTCCACAGATTTAAAGTTGCAGAGCTCAATCATTTGCTTGTTTTTTTGGAGACAGGGTCTCACTTTGTCACCCAGGCTGGAGTGCAGTGGCATCATCTCGGCTCACTGCAGCCTCGACTTCCCAGGCTCAAGCGATCCTCCTGCCTCAGTCTCCCAAGTAGCTGGGACTACAGACACGCACCACCACACTTGGCTAATTTTTGTATTTTTTGTAGAGACGGGGTTTCACCATGTTGCCCAGGCTGGTCTCAAATTCCTAGGCTCAAGCGATCAGCCTGCCTTGGCCTCCCAAAGAGCTAGGATTACAGGCGTGAGCCACCACACCTGGCCAATCATTTGCAAAAACTAAAATTCATTATATAAAAAACTGACCAGCTCCATTAATAATGCAAAGACATTTCAATAAGAAACTGTAATCCAACTTTCAAATGTTTTATTTTTAGTGTTTTTAAACATTTTAATACAACAAAGATATAAAATAATATATATTAGTTAAATCTGGATTTAATTTAGAATCAAGATATTTACTTATGTACAAACACTGTGCTTCAAGGTATGGCTACCACAGGAACTTTCACATCTTCAAGTAATACTAGTTTCTCTGTGGATAGAGAGACATTTAGGTAGAATTCACAAAACAAAACATGTCCGTTTTAGTCCCAGCTAATTTTGCTTCCCCCATTAAGTACCAGTTTCCACTTTCTTTGTTCCATGTCAGAAATACTTCATTTTTCTAATAATACATAGATCCTCTGAATAAAACTTAGTAAAAGTGAACATTTTTAAGATGACATTACTAATTGATAATATTGCTTGGCTATGTTCAATTCTCCAGACAACCCAGTTCTTCAGATTGAAAGAGACCTGAAGTAACAATGAAATTACCATAGTGTTCTTTCTCCTGCCATATCAGGCACAAACTTTCCTTATGCTGAAACATGGAATACACTGAATAAAAAGTCCTTTGGTTAATTTAGGGTAGAATGTATTATAAAAACCAGAATAGCTGAAATATGGCTTACAGATTTCAGAGATATTTGTATAGAACTTGAAGCAAAGTAATTGGTCACATTTTAGTTATTTGAAATTGGTGGCATTACATCCGGGTGAGGTGAGAAGGGGGTCCAAAACCTAGTTTCATACTAATTTTAGTCATTCAAAGTTACTCAAAGACAGGGAAAAGAAACAAAAAACCTACTCAGTCTCTTTCCATTCTTATTAGTCACCTGAAGCATTCTGACCTTTGATGTTACTAACAATTCTCCTCTACAGCAGTATGGGATAATTCAGGCTAAACTGCTTACAAACACTAACTGTTAAACTGTCAAGTTGGCATTAAAATTGACACCTTTGCTGGCTTAGAAACTGTCTAAATGAAACCAGTACTGTTTAAGAAAGCAATTGGACTATTCTACAAGACAGCTTTCTTGTCTCAAATGCCTGAATACCTTAAAGTACTGGCAAATGACTATATTATCATTACCTTTAGTATGAAGAAAATGTAAGTCTATAAAAGACTATAAAATAATTACATTTATTAAATTAGAGAGTTTAAAACAAGAATGTGGTTAACATTCTTAGGCAATTTAGATCTAGAATCCTTTAAAAAAGCTTACTATGAAATTAATGGTGAAACTGCCTTTTGTTGAATACAGTCAAAGAAGACTAGTGTTATAAATATGACTTTGTGAATACATGAGTAATACTTTCCAAACAGATGTTTCTAAAACAGACTGTTTCTTATCAGCTATAAAACAATCTGGTTCCTCTGTTTCCCATTTACAAATTACAGGATTTCTGGAATTCTTAGTAAAAACACACAGGCAGAGACAGGGCACGAAACACCGCTGCTCACAGAGTAAAGAGTTATAATCCCTGCAGGTCTCTTGATCCAATGGGTTCTGGTCTCTCTGTCACTGACTTTTTCTTCTGAATAGCCCACATTATTATTTTATTTTGTTTTGTTTTTTTGAGATGGAGTCTCGCTCTGTCACCCAGACTGAAGTGTAGTGGCAGTATCTCGGCTCACTGCAACCTCCGCCTCCTGGGTTCAAGCGATTCTTCTGCCTCAGCCTCCCGAGTAGCTGGGACTACAGGCATGGGCGTGCACCACCACGCCCGGCTAATTTTTGTATTTTTAGTAGAGACGGAGTTTCACCACATTGGCCAGGCTGGCCTCGAACTCCTGACCTCGTGATCTGCCTGCCTCAGCCTCCTAAAGTGCTGGGATTATAGGCATAGTCCGCATTATTTAACTGACTGGTTCTAAGGATAAGTTCTGATTTCAAAGGATACAAATAAATAGAGCTAGAAGTTCTATTTTTGCCCTTGCAATTCTGGTCAGAAAACTATGGAGAGGATAGCCACATAAAGAATTCTTGCAGCACAGCCACGAAAGGTTTCCCCCAAATTATTTTGTGATAACAGCAAACCTGCCTCCTTCAAAACCTCTTACTCTCTACCACTCTTCAATTACCCTTCAATAACACTACCCTACCTGGTCTTTAAAAAAAAAAAAGGAAAAGAAAAAAAAAGGCAACACTGCTGCCAGGAACACAGAAAATGCATTGAAGACTTGTAACATAACCTCCAGTTTGCATCCCCAAACCAAAAACCTTTTGGTTCCTTCCTTACTAAAGTCTCCATGATGATGTAAGCCTTCACAAGTCTGCAACTACAGAACCAAATACAAGGTCAAAAAATATGTAGACCAAAGCCATGTAGCTTCTCTGCTTAGCCACATTCACAGATAAAATGTAAACATAAATACTATCTTCACTATGGTTTAGATTTTAACCAGGAAAAAAAATGAAGACAAAATCTGGAAATTTCTGGACAAAACAAAAAGCAACTAAAATACAGGTTTCATGTTTAAGTAAAACTGAAAATAAATTTGTCTCAATGTTTTCCAAGAAAGAGATGATTAATTTATGTAAACACTGCCTTATAATAGTTAAAACAATAAGTTATACCTAACTTACATTTTTCTCAAAACATATATGAGCAAGTGCAAGGCTGAAAAGTTATTTTACAATCCCCATTGCAGTCTGTTGTTAGGTCTCTCAATGTCAATAGCTCTGCAAAGTTAGTTACATTTATTTTTCTATTTGGTCTTAGAATAGAATTTATATGAAGGAAAGAAGACTGAGGTTAATAGCTATTTAAGTTTTTGTTATTGATTGATTGATTGATTGAGGCAGGGTCTCACTCTGTCCCCAAGGCTGGAGTGCAGTGGCATGATTACAGCTCACTGTAGCCTCAACCTCCTTGGGCTCAAGTGATCCTTCTGCCTCAGCCTCCCATGTAGCTGGGACCACAGGCATGCATCACCACGCCCAGCTAATTTTCTAAACAACTTTTTGTGGGGATGAGGTCTCACTTTGTTGCCCAGGCTGGTCTCTTTTACCTGAGCTCAAGTGATCCTCCTGCCTTAGCCTCCCAAAGTGCTGCGATTACAGGCATTAGACACTGCACCCACTCTAATTTGTTTTGTTTTGTTTTGTTTCGTTTTGAGATGGAGTCTCACTCTGTCACCTAGGCTGGAGTGCAGTGGAGTGATCTCAGCTCAATGCAAACTCCACCTCCTGGGTTCAAGTGTTTCTTGTTCCTCAGTCTCCCAAGTAGCTGGGATTACAAGTGCGTGCCACCATGCCCAGCTAATTTTTGTAGTTTTAGTAGAGATGAGGTTTCACCATATTGGCCAGGCTAATCTCGAACTCCTGACCTCAAGCCATCCGCCTGCCTTGGCCTCCCAAAGTGCTGGGATTACAGGCGTGAGCCATTGCACCCAGCCATGTTTTTAAGAGAATGGGTCTTGCTACCTTGCCCGGGCTGGAATGCAGTGGTTATTCATAGGCGTTATAACACACTCTAGTTTCTAACTCCTGGCCTCAAGCAATCCTCCTGCCTCAGCCTCCTCAGAACCTGGGACTATAGCCTTGCACCACTGCACTCGGCTTAACATTTTAGCATTAATGTTGCCATACAGTTTTTTGAACCCTTTCCCAAAAGCCAACATCACTGCCTCCCTAGCTAAATTCAGTCTGTTCTGTCACGTAGAAAAATAACAGTAACATATCTTTTTACCTGAAGGGTCAAACCACTCTAACTGGCATAGGAAACATCCTTTATTTTTCATGATTATGCAACTTCTTTACATGAGATGTTGGCATTTTGTTCCTAGCATGTAACAGAATCAGTGATTTAAGATATCAGATTCTGAGTTGTGAGATTTAAAAGCATAAAAGTTGAATTGCCTTGCAGCATTTCTCAAGTGAGAAATACAAAAATGATGTTCACAGCAGACCCAAATTGGGGTCATTCAGCACTAGCTGAGACTTGTTTGCATAATTTCCTTTCCTACCCAATTCATTCAGGCTCCTATGTAGCTTATACAGGGGTGGGAATATGACTCAAAGTGCAAAAATAAAATATTTCACCCAGATAAGGAAGGAGCAAGCTTCTGCTATGTGGCCTAATTGCAGGCCTCAGAATGCCAGCACCTTTTCTAAGTTTTTGTTTTAAAATGGAATGTAAAAACTACATAATTAATATTCCAAGCAGCTTAAGCTCATTAGTTGGGAGTTTAAATTCCAATTCCATAACCATCCTACTGTCATAACTACTGTAAAAAAATCATTAAAAATAAAGTAACAAATGTTATCATAGATGTGAAATTACTTAAAGTACTAAATTTCTAGTGTTGTAAATAGCAGCTAAGTTATATCACTTCCTGACTGCCAAATTAAGACTAAATAGAAAGAATGTATATACACCATTATATTTAAAAGTAAAAAACAACGAAACTTTTTCATATCCAAGTATGTCTGAGACTGTTTACTTCCAACAGCCAAGAATGATAAATTTCAAAAACCAAAAAGTTATATTTTGCGTGCTGTAAGTTTCTTTTCAGGAGAAAACAATTCTTTGCATGCATACCTCCCTACTTAACGGCATTAAGAACTTTATCTAACATCTGGTAAAACACTCCTATTTGGCTCATTTAATAACACCATTAAAAAAGCATAAAATTGAACTGTCATCTAACAACTATAGCACAAAGAAGTTATTCTGGGTACCTATACCACTAACATTAAGCCCATTTATTTTTATGGATGCAGCCATTTTTCCCTCATGAATACTCACTGAGGGTCACACTGGCACTGCATCTTTTGTTGCATCTTTGGTGAAATATGCCAGCCCTACATTTGCATTAATGAGGAGACCAATGGCATCCTAGCCAGTACTCTGTCACGTCATCTATGGCCTCTTTCATTCTCTTCTTATTTCAGGCATCCTGGTATGCTCAGTATATTTAAAGATGGTTCAGAAGGCAAAAACTCTTTGTCAGTAAAACAGATCATGTCCCAGGGTTGCATTTTTTAAAATGAAACAAAGATTAGTCCAAAGAACAAGTACTGTCACTTGTTAGGGTTTCTTCTTCTAAAGGTAATAAGGAGCTTCAAAACATATTATTTCTTGACTAGAGCCCTACTGGAAATCAATGAAAATTCCTCAACCAGCAAACTGCTCAAGTTGACTTGTTTAAAGTTCAATAAGCAAATACTCAACAGGTAAGGGTACAGCCTGACTTCAATCACAACATTAAGTCTTCCTAAAGAGAAGGGGCAGAAAACATCTACTTAAGCTTTCTGTTCAAATAGCTACATAAGGACTCTTGATTGTTCTTTCTTGCTTTTTATAATCATAACTTTGCTCAGAACAGAAAACTTTACTTTGTCAACACATAAGCCAGGCATCTAAGAACAACCTAGGGGGAGAACGCAAAGTTACTCATTTTCAACAACTATTATATATTTAATCACAAATTCATTAGAAAGATAGTATTCATCCAATTAGTCTTTTCATTATTGCTGGTTTTGAAAATGGCCAACAATATTCATTAGGTACTGTGCCATTAACATTGCATTCAAAAAAAGAGAACATGGGAAACCAAATCCTTGCTCTCCTACTCTGCTGATATGCTCTGGTATTGGCCAGAGTATGGTAGTACAAAAAGAGTCTTGTTGTTATATAAAAAGCAATAAACACATCAATAGAATAATGTTCATGGGCAGCCAAGATGAAGAAGATTCCAAAGAGGTTGAGAACCCAGGATAAAGTGTGCAAGAAATTCCAGCTTCTTGGTGTATCTAGGAAAAGGACAGAAAGATCATTTTAAAGCTACATTCCTTCCAATGCTTCTCAGTCACGTTTCTCAGGTCAGGCTGTTTTGCCATTCTTCACAGGATCTGACACCCTTCCCACAGCCTTCACTGCAGCTAGTTACCTAATACGCATAGAAGCACTAAAAAGATACTTACATTCGGTGACAAAGAAATTCAGCATAGTTAGGACGACTGTGTGGCCACTAAACATGTAATCTCCACATGTGTGAACGCCAGTCAGGGTCATACCAAAGCCACTCCAAATGGCAAAGGCTCGATGTAATTTCTCCCATACACTGCCATATATCTATGAAGAAAAGTTATGAATTAGTGCTTCAAATGCTTAGGGAGGTGGGAACTTCCCAACATCCATTCCTATTGAAATTCAAATGCTGAATAACTTAGAAATAAGATCTAAGCCAAAGCATCTAGGCCTTCAGTCTAATGAATTCCAGCCAGACTTCAAGAATGGGTGGGCAAAGCTTGGCTGTACTCAGAAATATTTTGGTAATTAAATGAAATCAGACTGGGCACAGTGGCTCATGCCTGTAATCCCAGCACTTTGGGAGGCTGAGGTGGGTGGATCACCTGATGTCAGGAGTTCAACATCAGCCTGGCCAACATGGCGAAACCCCAACTCTACTAAAAATACAAAAATTAGCCAGGCATGGTGGTGCACACCTATAATCCCAGCTACTAGGGAGGCTAAGGCAGGAGAATCACTTGAACCTGGGAGGCGGAGGTTGCAGGGAGCCGAGATCGCGCCACTGTACTCCAGCCTGGGCGACACAGTAAGACTCTGTCTCAAAAAAATTGATTAATTAATTAAAAATAAATAAATAAATAAATAAATAAATGAAATCACTGTAACATGAACTCCTTTACTAGGAGTTCCTTTATAATAAAAAGTTCTCTATAATACAAAAACATCTCCAAGTTTTTAATCCAATATCACAGTAGTAGTTGCTTGGCTATTCTTGCCAATAAGACATAGGCTATGACAGACGGAGATCAATGTCTACCTTTCAACATCCACTCTCCCCTTCTTCACTGGTAACACAATCTCAAATATATTGAGGCAGCAATGAATTCAGCCAAAATATTGCCTTTCCCAGCCTCCCTTGTAGCTAGGTGTGGCCACGTGACTAAGTTCTGTACAATAAGATCTAAGTAGAAGTGTTAAGGGTTTCTGGGAAGGCTACTTATCAAGGTAAGAGACAACAGTTTTGAGGAAGTCTTTTCTAACTTTTTACCTTTCCTTTTTTTAGTCTACAACTCAGACTCATTCAACTGGAGGTGAAACTCCAGCAACCATCTTGGACCACAAAGTGGCCTTGAGGATACAAGCCAAGTATTGGGATAGCAGACCAGAAAGACAGAAGAATTATGGGGTTTTTTTGGATGACTTCGTAAAATTATCATACCAGACCTTGTGTACCTACCTTCAGACTCTTTTTTGAGAGAGAATAAACCATTGTGTGTTTATTAAACCATAGCCACTTTGAATTTCCAGTTATCAATAGCCAAACCTAATCCCAACTCCCACACATACGCCTAAAAAAGCAGTCCATTTTGAGGAAGACCTTGAGTGACAACTGCTTTACAAAAGAGGGACAGTCACTTAAAAAAAAAAAGCATACTGCAGGGTGCGGTGGCTCACGCCTATAATCCCAGCACTTTGAGAGGCCGAGGTGGGTGGATCATCTGAGGTCAGGAGTTCGAGATCAGCCTGACCAACATGGAAAACCCATCTCTACTAAAAGTACAAAAATTAGCTGGGCATGGTGGCACATGCCTGTAATCCCAGCTACTCAGGAGACTGAGGCAGGAAAATCTCTTGATCCCGGGAGGGGTAGGTTGTGGTGAGTAGAAATCGTGCCATTGCACTCCAGCCTGGGCAACAAGAGCAAAACTCCATCTCAAAAAAAAAAAAAAAAAAAAAGAGGCCAGGCACGGTGGCTCACGCCTGTAATCCCAGCACTTTGGGAGGCCGAGGTGGGTGGATCACAAGGTCAGGAGATTGAGACCATCCTGGCTAACACGGTGAAACCCCATCTCTACTAAATATACAAAAAATTAGCCGGGCTTGGTGGCGGGCACCTGCAGTCCCAGCTACTCGGGAGGCTGAGGCAGAAGAATGGCGTGAACCCGGTAGGTGGAGCTTGCAGTGAACAGAGATCGCGCCACTGCACTCTAGCCTGACTACACTCTAGCCTGGGCGACAGAGCGAGACTCCGTCTCAAAAAAACAACAACAACAACAAAAACCACACACAAAAAGGCATACTAGTATTATTATAATAATACAATTTAATAATAACATAATAATGGTACAAAAAGGTGCTAAAATTTTATGTACATTTACTATGTGCAAGGCATGCTGCTAAGTGCTTTATATGTTACTGCATTTAATTTCCACAGCAATCCTATGAAGTGATTTAATTGTGCAGATGAGGAAACTGGCTTAGAGAGGTCACATAGCTAGTAAGTAACACAGTCAGGATGTGAACCCAGGGAACCCAATTCCAAAGCCCTATGTCTTAAAGATTCTATCAAATATGACCAAAATAAACAACCTCATAGATATCACAATCTCATTAGGAATCTCACCTGCTGATTATACACTGCCCAGCTTTCCCTTTCTGCCTCATTTGAGGGAAAGAAAGGAAGAAGAATTTATTATTAGAGAGAAAGAAAGATAATACACATGGGTTTGGTTCTTCTGTGATCGCTATGAACACGGGCTTAGAGATATATTACTCTTGAGAAAGTAAAAAATCATGTAGTAAATAAACAGAAGAGACTGGTAGGAAAATGTCTCAACCAAGGATAGGAAACTAGTGATGCCAGTCAAAAGGCAGTTATCTCTCCATCCTTTCCCATCTTAAATGTCTCATATATCCTTCCAAAAAATAAAAACTGAAACACAACGGAGCAGAATGAATAGGATGTTTTGACAAGAGAAGGTGTAGAAATATGCATTAAGTGTTTCTAAATTTCAAAAATAGGCATGTTATTGGTTCTGTCCTCAAACCCCTTACTTCCAGGAATGCAATTTCAAGCAATTAATTTATTATAATGAAACTACCTTATGGAATTCACTGTAAGGGATTTGATTTCTATTTATAACAATTACTGCAAATAATACGGGTCAATAAGTAGGTTATATTATAATTCAAAGCAATTAACAGTATTTAGGTCAGATTGGAGTAGAAATATCTATATATAACCAACTGATAAAAACAGTCATTAGAGACAGAAAAAGGGCTGTTTATACCATAGAAGGATGGTATCTAATTTATTTTTGCAGCATATGTTGCAGCCCTATGCACGGATATCCCTCTCCTCAGTGGCTGTCCTACAATTAAATCCCTTAGCTATGGAAAATTTTCTCTTTTCAGTGTAATAAGCTTATATTTTTCTTCTTTAAAATCTGTCCTGGCTAGGTATGGTGGCTCATGCCTGTAATCCCAACACTTTGAGAGGTGGAGATGGAAAGAGCACTTGAAGTCAGGAGCTCGAGACCAGCCTGAGCAGCAAAGTGAAATCCTGTTTCTACAAAAAAAAAATTAAAATTAGGCCAGGCACGGTGGCTCACGCCTGTAATCCCAGCACTTTCGGAGGTCGAGGCAGGTGGATCATGGGGTCAGGAGTTCAAGACCAGCCTGGCCAAGATGGTGAAACCCCATCTCTACTGAAAATACAAAAATTAGCTGGGTGTGGTGGCAGGCGCCTGTGATCCCAGTTACTTGGGAGGCTGAGACAGGAGAATCCCTTGAACCCAGGAGGTGGAGGATGCAGTAAGCCAAGATCGCACCACCGCACGCTAGCCGGGGCGACAGAGAAAGACTCCGTCTAAAAAAAAAAAAAAATCAGTTGGCTGTGGTGGCGTGTGCCTGTGGTCCCAGCTACTCAGAAGGCTGATGCAGGAGGACTGCCTGAGACCAGGAATTTTAGGCTGACAGTGAGCTATGATCATGCCACACTATACTCTAGCCTGGGTGACAAAGCGAGAATCTGTCTTAAAAAAACAATGACTAAAATACAATAAAATCTCCCCTAATCAACTAGAATACTATTTGGGTGAAACGCTTCATACCATGTACACAGCATACTATTTTGAAGAAACTGCGCACACCATGCACAGAAACAAATTCAAAATAAATTAAACATGTAAAATATAAAAAAATAAGAACATAAAAGCATTAGATATTACCTTTCATCAATCAGAATGGCACTGCTGGCAAGAGGGTGAGAAAGCTGACACGCATACATGTTGGCAGTAGTGAAAAACTCATCTTTTCAAGTGTGTATTTCAGCAACACATACCACTTTTTTTTTTTTTTTTGAGATGGAGTCTCGCTCTGTCACCCAGGCTGGAGTGCAGTGGTGTGATCTCAGCTCACTGCAGCCTCTGCCTCCCAGGTTCAAGTGATTCTTCTGCCTCAGCCTCCCGAGTAGCTGGGATTACAGGTGCCCGCCACCATGCCCAGCTAATTATTTGTATTTTTAGTAGAGATGGGGTTTCATCATGTTGGCCAGCCTGGTCTTGAACTCCTGGCCTCAAGTGATCCGCCCACCTTGGACTCCCAAAGTGCTGGGATTACAGGCATGAGCCACCTTGTCTAGCCCATATTATATTTTTTAATGTGCATGTCCTTTAATTCTATAATTTTACTTGCAATAATTTATCTTAAGGAGATAACTGAGTAAGTGCAAAAGCACAATGTACAAGAATGTTTACTATAGCACTGTTTATAAATACTAAAATTTTGAAACAACCAAAATGTACATCATTTGGAGCCTGGTATCCACAATGGAATACTGTTAAAAAGATGAATATGACCACATGTACTTCTTCAGAAAAAAGTAAACAACATACTATTAAATGAAAAATAGGCTAAAGAGGCTGGGCGCGATGGCTCACGCCTGTAATCTCAGCACTTTGGGAGGCCAAGGCGGGCGGATCATGAGGTCAGGAGATCGAGACCATCCTGGCTAACACAGTGAAACCCCGTCTCTACTAAAAATACAAAAAAATTAGCCATGCATGGTGGCGGGCGCCTGTAGTCCCAGCTACTCGGGAGGCTGAGGCAGGAGAATGGCATGAACCTGGGAGGCAGAGTTTGCAGTGAGCCGAGATTGTGCCACTGCACTCCCGCCTGAGTGACACAGCGAGACTCCATCTCAAAAAAAAAAAAAAAAAAAAAAAAGAAAAAGAAAGAAAGAAAGAAAAGGAAAACTAGGTTAAAGAACAATGTTTGCAATATAATCCTACCTTGTTTCAAAAGTATCTATGAAAACTTATATGAGGGCCAGGCGCTGTGGCTCACACCTGTAATCCCAACACTTTGGGAGGCCAAGGCGGGTGGATCACCTGAGGTCAGGAGTTCGAGACCAGCCTGGCCAACATGGAGAAACCCCATCTCTACTAAAAATACAAAAAATAGCCAGGTGTGATGGTCCCAGCTACTCGGGAGGCTGAGGCAGGAGAATGGCTTGAACTTGGGAAGAGGAGGTTGCAGTGAGCCAAGACTGTGCCACACTACTCCAGCCTGGGCGACTGGGAAAGACTCCACCTCAAAAAAAAAAAAAAAAAAAAACCCAAAAAAACTTATATGAGTGTGTAAGTATGCTTAAAAATGGTCTGTGTGGCTATACACACAACTGTTAACTGTATTATTTATAGGGTGTGGTAAAAAAGAATCAGGTGAATTTTTACTTTTTAATATATACATTTCTATATAATTTGAATTTTTATAATAAACATATAATTTTATAATTTGAAAAAATTACTTTTCCTTTTTGGAAAAAGAAAAAAAGACCTCAAAACAGCTTTTACCTTAAAAATAAAACATTTCCTTTACATGAAATCCTGTGTCATATCAACCCTTCCCCCTTTCTTACTGGTCAGTCTAAGCCTTCCTAATACCAGGAGAAAGTTTTGTCACCCTTCAGCTCAGGGGTATATTTTTAGCTCTTGATCTCCTTTGGCTGCTTAATCTTCCCTTGTTGGCATTTCAGCTATGATATTGCAGTACAAGAAGTGAACGTGAATGCTGTTACAAACAACATTAAAATAATTACAAAGGTGTTAACACATACATTTATTTGAATATGTGAGAACACAGAATTAAAGCATAGAGGCCTAGAAAAGTAGAGTTCTTTTGTCCAAATTTGTATATAATTTGGACAAAATTCTTTGCAAATTTGTATACAGATTTTAGCCAATTTTGTATATAAAGTACAGGCGATTTTAACAGTCTTATTTTGTTCCCATCTGCATAATTTCTTCTGTTTAATGAGAAGAGATGTCTACAGTACACCAAAACAAATCCACAAAATATAAAATGAAAACCAAAAGTCAGCCATTATTTTGTTTATCTCAGAAAGAGTAAAGTTTAGAGTGCTGAGTATGTCGTCAAACTGCAACTTTCTTTTTGTTTGTTTGTTTGTTTTGTTTTGAGATGCAGATTCACTCTTGTTGCCCAGGCTGGAGTACAATGGTGCCATCTTGGCTCACTGCAACCTCCGCCTCCTGGGTTCAAGTGACTCTCATGCCTCAGCCTTCCGAGTACCTGGGATTACAGGTGCCCGTCACCACGACCAGGTAATTTTCTGTATTTTTAGTAGACTGCACCATGTTGGCCACGCTGGGTCTTTAACTCCTGACCTCAGGTGATCCACCCGCCTTGGCCTCCCAAAGTGCTGGGATTACAGGCGTGAGCCACTGCACCTGGCCGGCAACATTTTTAAAGGAGTGAGGAGGACAGTGAAGGAACCAGAGCATGCCATATGAGAAACTTTTAAAATGCTAAGGATGGTGGGAAAGGGAAAATGATAATTGAAAGAAAATTGTTTTCTTTCTTTCTTTCTTTCTTTCTTTGTTTTTGAGACAGAGTCTTGCTCTGTTGCCCAGGCTAGAGTGCAGTGGTGCGATCTCGGCTCACTACAACCTCCGCCTCCCAGGTTCAAGCGATTGAACCTCAGCCTCCCGAGTAGCTGGGATTACAGGCGTCCACCACTGCACCTGGCTAATTTTTGTATTTTTAGTAGAGATGGGGTTTAACCATCTTGGCCAGGCTGGTCTCAAACTCCTGACCTCGTGATCCACCCACCTTGGCCTCCCAAAGTGCTGGGATTACAGGCATGAGCCACTGCGCCCGGCCAAAATAAAAACTTTTTTTTTTTTTTTTTTTTTTTTGAGATGGAGTCTCGCTCTGTTGCCCAGGCTGGAGTGCAGTGGCACGATCTCAGCTCATTGCAACCTCCACCTCCCGGGTTCAAGCAATTCTCTGCCTCAGCCTCCTGAGTAGCTGGGATTACAAGTGCCCACCACCACGCCCAACTAATTTTTGTATTTTTAGTAGAGACGGAGTTTCACCATCTTGGCCCAGCTGGTCTTGAACTTCTGACCTCATGATCCGCCCGCCTCGGCCTCCCAAAGTGCTGGGATTACAGGCATGAGCCACTGCGCCCGGCCGAAAGAAACTTGTTTTCTATAGCTCCATAGCATAGAACGAGTTTCAACAGAAATAAGAGAGAGGTAGAATCTGGCTTAAGACTTTTACCAAATTATTTCTATAGTTTTTTTTATAGACATTGCAGATACTAAAAAGCACATTTTAATACTATAAGCAAAATCTTAGCCCTATTGCATATAGTGTGCCATCAACCCACCAAAAACAAGAATGATAAAGAAGGTAGCAGGCTACCTTTCCAGTACACTGCAGGTGTTGTCCTGGCACGGAGAGGGAGGTCACAAACATGGTAAAGCAGCGAAGCAAGAATACAGTTCCCATCAGACTACAGAGCCTTCGCAGAAGTATTGACCTGTAACAGATCAACCAAAAAGGGGGAAAGATCAGAAGAAAACAAACCAAAAAACCCCAGGCATCAAATATTTACTTCAAGGAAGAGCAAACAGAAAAATCACTAGACTCTTTGAAGAGGACAGAAATCTTAAAGACCATCAAAAGCATCGTTGTCCAACAGAATTCTCTGCAATGACGGAAATGTTCCATATACTGTCCAAGAAGCTATTTATATACTATGTGGATCTTACGGACTTGAAATGTGGCCAGTATGACTGAGGAACTGAGTTTTAAATTTTATTTCATTTTAGTTAATTTAAATTTTGCCATAATGAACAATACAGACCTAAATTAGATTCTAAGAGCATCATTTCACTGATAAGAAAATATGGCTAAGAGTCCAGGCGTGGTGGTGTGTGCCTGTAATCCCAGCTACTTGAGAGGCTGAGGCAGGAGAATCACTTGAACCCGGGAGGTGGAGGTTGCAGTGAGCCAAGACTGCGCCATTGCACTCCAGCCTGGGCAACAATAGTGAAACTCCGTCTCAAAAAAAAAGAAAATATGGCTAAAAGAAAGTAAAAGAGTTATACAAGACAGAAGACAAGTAAGCCTGGTGTTAGTCCTATTACTGAAAATTGCTCTTAAATTATTTATAAGAGATAAAGTTGGCCGAGGATGGTGGCTCATGCTTGTAATTGCAGCCCTTTGGGAGGCCAAGGTGGGAGGATTGCTTGAGTCCAAAAGTTTGACAACAGCTTGGGCAACATAACCAGACCTCATCTCTACAAATAATTTAAAAATGAGCTGGATGTGGTGGTGCACACCTGTGATCCCAGCTACTTGAGAGGCTGAGGTGGGAGGGTTGCTTGGGCCTGGGAGTTGGAGGCTGCAGCAAGCTATGATTGTGCCACTGCACTCTAGCTTGGGTTACAGAATGAGACTTGTCTCAAAAAATAAAAATAAAAAACAAAAAAAGGAGGTAAAGTTAAACACCTGTGATTCCAGGGAATTTTTTGCTCATTAATAACACTGTAGGCTAGGTGCAGTGGCTCATGTCTATAATCCCAGAACTTTGGGAGACCAAGGCAGGAAGGAGGATCGCTTGAGACCAGCCTGGGCAACACAGTAACATCTTGTCTATAAAAAATTAGTCAGGCATGTTGGTGTGTATCTGCAGTCCTAGGCTGAGGGGAGAGGACTGATTGAGCCTAGGAGGTCAAGGATGCAGTGAGCCATGATCATGTCACTGTGCTCTAGCCTGGGTGACAGGGCAAGACCCTATCTCAAACAAAACAAAAAAACCCACTGTAAATTAGTTAATGATAGTAGCTATCGAATACTCATTCTAACTTCTCTTAACTTAAACTTAAGCTATAAAACACTATGTTTTAAAAAAAATGTTTATATCAAGTATATATCAAATAAAAATTCTGAGTAACTGTCACTTGGGTAATCATGAACTGCACTGTGACAACACCAGTACTGTTGGACTAATATTCCTGAGGACAGGGACCATACATCACATATTTTTGAAATGATCCTCCCACCCTCAGAGAAAGCACTGAACACAAGGCTAGGTATGTTTCAAGCATTAGTGTGCACTCCTGAGATGGAACCTAGGAATCTGCATTTTAACAAGCACCCAGGTGATTCTAATGAAAGTGGTACAAACACTTTGAGAAACACTTTCTTTGACTAAGTAAACATTAACACTTGGATTTAACGGGTTACCTCTATGCTTTGTTAAACCTACCAAGGTTTCCTGTAAGGTAAACTCCAGTTTTGAAGAGTAGATAAATTCAAGTTCATGAGATCTTGTGAGGCAAAGTTAACCAGAAAGCAGCAATGATACACATGTTTTAAAACCACCTCTGGTTTTAAGCAATCCAGAATTTAAAATATTGCTGCAAAACAGGACAAAATGGGAGAGAATATGGCTCAATGTGGCCTAAAAGTATGATAAGAATAGTAACCACCAACCTTTCTTTTCACCTTCAGAACACTGAAATAACTGCTGCTTAGGACCTAAAGCTCATCACTGTGGTTTACCTCAAGCACTTCCTGGTGAGGAGAAAGGTCAAAACCTCAAGCAACTACCCTTGTTCCTCTCTCCAGTGTTCCAAAGACAATGGAGAGCAGAAGCTACAATTTTTTTTTTTTTTAAGCAATCTCAAAAGCTCACATATCTACAGTTTTTTAAAAAGCCCCTCAGGAGCTCTTATGCAATATCTACTAATTTTATCTTTAAATTTTTTGTTTACAATGCCTTGTTTTTTACTTAAATCCACTAATTCTTCCTGCCCATTAAACTAGGAAAGGAGCCCCCCAGGCTTCCTTTTTTTAATTAAAAAATTTTTCCTGGCTGACTCTGGGTACACTGCCTGTGAGTTAGCCCTGCTCCACAAGAAGCAGTAAAAGTAAATAAAATGAAAGTAAATAAATTCTTTCGTCTATATTTTTTGGTGAAAGTGCCAAGACACACTTTCCAATTTAGCAACTTCCCATACCATCTGAAGTAAACCACACAGACTATATGTACATGTTGTACAAAATAATCTTTCTTTTTTTTTTTTTTTTTTTTTGGAGACAGGGTCTGGCTCTGTCACCCCACGCTGGAGTGCAGTGGCACAATCACAGCTCACTGCAACCTTGACCTCCTGGGCTCAAGCAATCCTCCCACCTCAGCCTCCTGAGAAGCTGGGACTATAGGCATGTGCCACCACACCTGGTTAATCTTTAAATTTTTTGTAGAGACAGGGTCTCCTCATGTTTCCCAGGCTGGTCTTGAACACCTGGGCTCAAGCAATCCTCCCACCTCAGCCTCCTAAAGTACTGGGGTTACAGGCATGTGCCACTGTGCCTGGCTAATAATCTTTTTTTTTTTTTTTTGAGACAGAGTCTCACTCTGTCGCCCAGGCTGGAGTGCAGTGGCACAATCTCGGCTCACTGCAAGCTCTGCCTCCTGGGTTCATGCCATTCTCCTGCCTCAGCCTCCCAAGTTAGCTGGGACTACAGGCACCCGCCACCATGCCCAGCTAATATTTTGTATTTTTAGTAGAGACAGGGTTTCACCGTGTTAGCCAGGATGGTCTCAATCTCCTGACCTCGTGATCCGCCTGCCTTGCCCTCCCAAAGTGCTGGGATTACAGGCATGAGCCACCGTGCCCGGCCAATAATCTCTTTTTTAATGGGCCTCCTCAAAGCAGAGAAAATTTCTTCCATCTAAACATGTGACCAAAGAATGTCCTTGGAAGAGTTTCTATCCTACAGAAAGTAACTTTTCCAGTTTGTTTCTAAGGAAAGAAAAGGCTTTCTTATCTCAGCTCACCACAATGTCCGACCCTGGGGTCCAAGCGATTCTCCTGCCTCAGCCTCCCAAGTAGCTGGGATTATAGGCATGCGCCACCACGCCCAGTTAATTTTGTATTTTTAGTAGAGACGGGATTTCTCCATGTTGGTCAGGCTGGTCTCGAACTCCTAACCTCAGGTGATCCGCCTGCCTCGGCCTCCCAAAGTGCTGGGATTACAGGCATGAGCCACCGCGCCCAGCCTCTTTTTTTTAGATCAGAGATGAGCACGATCAGCCATAGGGCATCTCTGATCTTTCCGTGCAAAATGCATTCAGGATTATTACTAAATATGTAGATATTATCTTAGGCTGACTCTTACTGATCAAACTCAAAATCCTTTGTTAATAACTATGTCACAATGACCAGAGAAGGAAATTAACAAGGAAACTGCAAAGAGAAAGGTTAAGATTTTATGATCTTGATACAGGAGTCAAAACATTTTCAGTCATTTAATGGAGTAATGAGGTACCTGTGCTTGTGAAGAAGAAGAACCAGGAGCCAAATATAGCACAGAATCATGCCACATACTTCCGTCATGGCAAAGGCCCATGGGATTCTAGGAACGCTGGAACAGAAAAAAATGATTTTGAATTGAAGAAGTATACATGTGAATGATGCCACCCTTTTCAGTAAGGTGCTCTTTTAATAATGACCTTAAAATTGGTTTTATATAACTTATCTCTTACAGAAAATGATATTTGGAGAAACTGGGAGAAAAAATCTGTGTCATAAAGTACCCCCACCTATCGGAACCTGTTTCTTGTCCATTGATTCCCAGTTAGGGTTCTCTGACAGCAAATACCAGAGGAAAAAAAAAAAAAAAGAAGTGGCAACCCTTTTCTCCCATCCTATAGCACAGCAGATCTGGATATAGGACTACCCACAAAGGACAATGGGAGAAAGGCCCATTTCTTGCATGAAGTGCTCTTTTCAGAGTGCAAACAATCAGGGTTTGAACTTGATGCTTTGTTGTTATTGTTGTTGTTGTTTTTGAAACAGGGTCTTGCTCTGTCACCCAGGTTGCAGTACAGTGGTGCCATCACAGCTGACTGCAGCCTAGACAGCCCAGGGCTCAAGTGATCCTCCCACCTCAGCCACCTAAGTGGCCGGGACTACAAGGCCCGTGAAACTATGCCTGGCTAACTTTTTGTATTTTTTGTATGGGGTCTCACTTTGTTGCCCAGGCTGGTCTCAAACTCCTGAGCTCAAGTGATTCTCCCGTCTCAGACTTCCAAAGTGCTGAGATTACAGGTGTGAGCCACAGCGCCTGGCCCCTTGTTTTTGTTTTTTGTTTTACCTCTTTCTCTCTATCCCCCCTTGTTTTGTAACCCTGGTTTTTTTTCTATTTTCAATTTGTCCCTTTTTCCTCCCCACCAAACAGCTCCTATGATTACCCACTAATAAAGGACAGGTCACTTTAAGAAAGAAAAAGGAGAGAGAGGGAGAGAAAAAGAAAGAAAGAGGCTGGGCATGGTGGATCACGCCTGTAATCCCAGTGCTTTGGGAGGCTGAGGTGGGCCAACTACTTAAACTCAGGAGTTCAGGAGACCAGCCTGGGCAACATGGTGAACAACCCCAACTCCCAGGTCTCTACAAAAAATACAAAAATTAGCCAGATGCGGTGCTGCGCGCCTGTAAGTCCCAGCTACTTGGAAGGCTGAGGTGGGAGGATGGCTTGAGCCTGGGAGGCAGAGGTTGCAGTGAGCCGAGGTTTCATCACTGCCTCCAACCTAGGCGACAGAACCAGACCCTGTCTCAAAAAAGAAAAAAAGAAAGAGGGAAGAAAGAAGGAAGGTAGGGAGGAAGGGAGGAAGAAAGGAAGGGGAAGGAGACTGAAACGAACAAAATAGTCCAATAGGTCATCTCTGGGTGCCAGAATTATTGACGTTTCTTTTATTCTTTGTACATTTCTACTAAAAACTTTTCTACAATGACATGTTAATTTTATAACTAGGGAAATAAAGGTATTTAAAAAAAGAAAACATGGCTGGGCACGGTGGCTCACGCCTATAATCCCAGCACTTTGGGAGGCCAAGGCGGGTGGATCACGAGGTCAGGAGTTCAAGACCAGCCTGGCCCACATGGTTAAACCCCGTCTCTACTAAAAATACAAAAAAATTAGCCGGGCATGGTGGCAGGCACATGTAGTCACAGCTACTCGGGAGGCTGAGGCAGAGAACTGCTTGAACCCGGGAGGCGGAGGTTGCAGTGAGCCGAGATCGTTGCCACTGCACTCCAGCCTGGGTGACAGAGCGAGACTCTGTTTCAAAAAAAAAGAAAAAAAGAAAAAAAAATTCCTCTCTTGTACAACTTTTTGTAATTCTCTGGAGCTAATAAATTCTTCTTTTTTTTAGTTTGCTCTGTGTTTCCTGAGTGCTTATTACTAACTCATCCCCAAACTATCAATTTCAATTTTTCCTCCAGGGCAATCTCTCCTAGAGCCTTCTCCCTTTTATTCCAATTTAGAATGGTTGTATTTTCCAATCCTCCTGCATGGTTATTTCCTAGAATAAAATTAACTCTCATCTTGGCAATTCAGTTTTTTTTTTTTTTTTTTTTTGAGACGGAGTTTCACTCGTGTTCCCCAGGCTGGAGTGCAATGGCGCGATCTCGGCTCACCACAACCTCCGCCTCCTGGGTTCAAGCAATTCTCTTGCCTCAGCCTCCCAAGTAGCTGGGATTACAGGCATGCAGCACCAGGCCCGGCTAATTGTGTATTTTTAGTAGAGATGGGGTTTCTCCATGTTGGTCAGGCTGGTCTCGAAATCCTGACCTCAGGTCATCCGCCTGCCTCAGCCTCCCAAAGTGCTGGGATTACAGGCGTGAGCCACGTGCCCAGCCTCACTTTTTTGAAACACAGTCTCGCTTTGTCGCCCAGGCTGGAGTGCAATGATGCAATCTTGGCTCATTGCAACCTCCACCTCCTGAGTTCAAGCAATTCTCGTGCTTCAGTCTCCCGCGTTGCTGGGATTACAGGTGCCCACCACCACGCCCAGCTAATTTTTGTATTTTTAGTAGAGAAAGCGTTTCACAATGTTGGCTAGGCCGGTCTCAAACTGCTGACCTCACGTGATCCACCTGCCTTGGCCTCCAGAAGTGCTAGGATTACAGGTGTGAACCATGGTGGCTGGCCAATCCTGCTGGATTTTATTTTTTATTTATTTATTTTTTTGAGACGGAGTGTTGCTCTGTTGCCCAGGTTGGACTGTAGTGGCGTGATTTTGGCTTACTGCCACTTCTGCCTCCTGGGTTCAAGCAATTCTCCCTGTCTCAGCCTCCCGAGTAGCTGGGATTATAGGCACCTGCCACCACGCCTGGCTAATTTTTGCATTTTTAGTAGAGATGGGGTTTTCCCATGTTGGCCAGGCTGGTCTTGAACTCCTGACCTCAGGTGACCTGGCCACCTCGGCCTCCCAAAGTGCTCCCAAAGCGCTCCCAAAGGATTACAGGTGTAAACCACCACGCCCAGCCCCTGCTGGATTTTAAATCTCTACTTTTTTTTTTTCCCCCAAAAGCTCTTTTTCTCTGAATTTTCTTTGGGCCTCTCATTACTGTCACATAGAATGCAACATCTCTTATTTCTCTTGAAAACACGAAAGTTTTTTTTTAAGTGTTCGTCTGCTCCTTATTTTGTTTTCCAATTTACTTTTTTTTTTCTGTTTGCGCTTATGTTTTTCTCAGACGTCTGGTTTCTTGACTGACCATTCATATTTGACAGTAAAGTACTAAAAAAGATGAGACATTCTGTGGGCATAGACTGAGCTCTGTCAAGCTTTGGGTTTCTCTGCGCACTCAGGGTGCGCAGAGATCTGGTTGATTAGAAAAGGATATCCCAACCAGCTATTTACATTGTTTTTCTTCAGGTTTTCCAAGGAAAGGAATCTTACCCTTCTTGGAAGGCTGGGGTTGGGTAGGAGGGGAGATGAGAAATAAGTCTGGCTACTTAAGGAAGGGAGCTAGAAGTCTCTGTGATTGGTATATAGACTTTTAATGAATCCTCTTTAAAACATGGCAGCTCTGTTCTCATCTGGACACGGTATCCCTAAGTCAACAGTGCTTCATATTCAACTGCTCTGGAGAACAGACCACTAGTCTTCTGTCAGAGTAGAGCAGGTCTAAAAGCTTAAGTAGATTTTTTTTTTGAGACAGGGTCTCACTCTGCGGCCCAGGCTGCAGTACAGTGGCGCAATCGCGGCTAACTGCAACCTCCACCTCCTGGGATCAAGCCATCCTCCCACCTCAGACTCCCCAATACCCGGGACTACAGGCACACTCCACCATGCCTGGCTAATTTTTGTATTTTTTGTAGAGAAAGGGTTTCACCATGTTGCCCAGGCTTAAGAAGATTTTTAACCAACTTTCCCCTATTTAGCTCCTATCTGTACCTGGCCTTGAGTGATGCTTGGTACTTTCTGTTTTATGGGAGCTCTGAAGTACAAATAAACTTACCTCTTGGGCAGGGCCACCTTCCACCCACAACCTCACAACAGGTACTTAGCGTTCTACTTTCCAAACTTTCATTATTAGCACTGTTTTTGCTTTCATGGGATTATACAGTTTCTTCACTCTTTTACTGCCATTTTAGTGGACTGTTGTGAGGAACCTGTCAAATGTGTATTCAATCCCTTATATTATTTTGAGCTAAGCTTTTAAAATGCATTATACATGGATATGTCTTTTTTCTGGATATAATTTAATTTTCTTGGCTGGGCATGGTGGCTCACGCCTGTAATCCCAGCACTTTGGGAGGCCAAGGTGGGCGGATCACAAGGACAGGAGATCGAGATCATCCTGGTTAACACAGTGAAACCCCGTCCCTACTAAAAAATACAAAAAAAAAAAAAAATTAGCCTGGCGTGGTGGCGGGCGCCTGTACTCCCAGCTACTTGGGAGGCTGAGGCAGGAGAATGGCGTGAACCCAGGAGGCGGAGCTTGCAGTGAGCCGAGATCGCGCCACTGCACTCCAGCCTGGGCGACAGAGCAAGACTCTGTCTCAAAAAAAAAAATTTAATTTTCTTTAGTAATTTAGAGTCATCACTATGAACACTGATTATTACACTGTATATGGTAATGACCTTGGAGACTACTGAGAAATGAAGGGCAGTTAAGCCCCAGATTGATGCAGTTTTTCCATTATTTATGTTTGCTTTTTATAGTGTTTTGTTTCCTCCCTTGCTATTATGGTTATCAGCTCTCACTTCTCACTGCTGTAGGTGGGCCTGCTTCTAGAAACATTCCTATCTTCTTCTAATTTTCTGTTTCTATATGCTGAACATATTGGATTTGTGTAAAATAAGCTTCAGAAGCAGACCCTGAAACAAACATCAGTGTGAAAGTCAATTACAGGGAAATGTTCTCAAAGAAAACCCACAGGGTAGTGGGTTATGAGATTAGAAGGCAAGGAAGCAAAGCAAGGGTGAGACATCAAGCAAAGCCCTGTGGAGAACTCAGGAAAGGGTAACTTTCGCTCAGGCTTATGGGTAATTTGGGACAGTGTAGGTCCAATCTAAATGTCGTCCCAATTAGGGCAAAGAGAAATGAGTCACTGGTTAAGAACAGCTGCTGGTGGGAAGTAAATTTCCAAGTATTTTTTGGCTTTCTCTCCAAGTAGGCAAAGAGCAGCCCTCCAACGGAGACGTATCTGCTGGATGTTGGGAGTATCCATGTGCAAGAAAATGGAAAAGGGATCTGAGGGGATATAGAAGGAACACTGACAGCATCTGCTACCATTCTCCTATGAATAAAGTTTAGATGTTTAAGACCATGGAGTTTTAGTGAGTGGCATAGTAAGTAAAAAGAATTAGGCAAAATTTGGTTTGAAATCCTCACTGCAAATTGATAATACATGTCCCGCTGGGTGTGGTGGCTCACACGTGTAATGCTTGCACTTTGTGGGGGCTGAGATGAGCGGATCTCTTGAGGTCAGGAGCTTGAGACCAGCCTGGCCAACATGGTGAAACCCCGTCTCTACTAAAAATACAAAAATTAGCTGGGTGTGGTGGTGTGCACCTGTAATCCCAGCTACTCAGGAGGCTGAGGCATGAGCACCGTTTGACCCAGGAGATGGAGGTTGCGGTGAGTTGAGATTGCACCACTATACTCCAGCCTGGGTAACAGAGTGAGACTCTGTCTCAAAAAAAAAAAAAGAAAAAGAAAAAAAAATTTGTCTACACAAAACTTTGCATATGAATGTTCATAGCAGCATTATTAATAATAGCCAAAAAGTAGAAACAACACAAACACCTATCAACTGATAAATGGATAAACAAAATTGGTACATCCATACAATGGAATATTATTTGGTAATAAGAAAGAAGGTAGTGCTGATACATGCTACAGTACGGATGAATCTTGAAAATATTATGCTGAGTGACACAAAAAGACCCGATATTGTATGGTTCCACTTATACGAAATGTCCAGAATAGACAAATTCATAGAAACAAAGTAGATTAGTGGTTGCTAGGGTCTGGAGAAAGGAAGGAATAGAGTATGACTGCTAATGGGTATGAGTTTCTTCCCAGGATGATGAAAATGTTCTGGAATTAGTGGTGATGGCTCTACAACTTTGTAAATACACTAAAACCCACTGAATTGTATACTTTATTATTATTTTTTTTTTGAGAGAGTCTCGCTCTGTCACCCAGGCTGGAGTGCAGTGGCATGATCTCGGCTCACTGCAACCTCCACCTCCTAGGTTCAAGCAATTCTCCTGCCTCAGCCTCTGGAGTAGCTGGGACTAAAGGAGCATGCCACCACGCCCGGCTAATTTTTATATTTTTAGTAAAGACAGGGTTTCGCCATGTTGGCCAGGCTGGTCTCGAATTCCTGACCTCAGGTGATCCACCTGCCTCGGCCTCCCAAAGTGCTGGGATTACGGGCATGAGCCACCGCACTCAGCCTGTATACTTTAAAATAATAAAAGCCTCATTGTTCTGCTGGACCATTTCCTGCTCTCCCACTATGCTTTGTTTTTTTATTTTTTGCTTGTTTTTTATTATTTTTTCATCTACCTTATATCCTTTACTTCCTTCTTTTTTTCTTTTTTTTTTGAGACAGAGTTTTGCTCTTGTTGCCCAGGCTGGAGTGCAATGGTGTGATCTCAACTCACCACAACTTCCGCCTCTCAGGTTCAAGCAATTCTCCTGCCTCAGCCTCCCGAGTAGCTGGGATTACAGGCATGCACCACCATGCCTGGCTAATTTTGAATTTTTAGTAGAGATGCGGTTTCTCCATGTTGGTCAGGCTGGTCTTGA
Source organism: Homo sapiens (assembly GCF_000001405.40). Taxonomy (NCBI): domain Eukaryota; kingdom Metazoa; phylum Chordata; class Mammalia; order Primates; family Hominidae; genus Homo; species Homo sapiens. The sequence goes on along the minus strand of NC_000010.11, from coordinate 75,157,955 downwards.
ACTCCCGACCTCAGGTGATCTGCCCGCCTCAGCCTCCCAAAGTGCTGGGATTATAGGCGTGAGACACCGCGCCCGGCCTTACTTCTTTCCTCATCCATATCAGTCCATGGTCCCTCATTAAAACCACTCCCTTGCCACTTTTCCCTTCATTGTACTGCCTAGCAATACTCAACCCTGCTTAAATCCAGTTCTCCACCTATTCCATACCTGTATCTGCTGTTGAATGAGGCTGGTAAAAACACACAATGCTAATATGACTACTAACCTCAAGGAGACCATTAAGTGCTGCTAATGCATTACACAAGTCTATTCACTCTCCTACTCTCCTAGATGGCTTATTTTATACATCTCATCCTTCCTCCTCAAGCCTCCATCCTCCTCTCCATTTTGTCTTTAAACAGAGAAAATAAAAACAATCAGGAGAGCACTTCGTTGTGCTCCACCATCACATATGGCAACCTCCACCTATTTTCCTATTTTCTACCTTCCCCTCTGTTATGAAGGAACAGCCCAAGGGCCTAAGGCCAGCCTCTCCCAGCCACAAGGTACCATTCCTTTTCATCTACTCAAGGGCACTGTTCTAACATTATACCCTCTCTTTCCTCTACCATCATTACCCCCCTACATTGAGTCATTCTTATTATCAATACAACAAACATGCTATCATATAGCATATGTCTCCAATTTCTCTGTTCCTATTCTCTCTCTCTCTCTCTCTCTCCCCCTCATCATTTCTTTGCCTAATTCTTTTAACGTGAAAAATTCTGATCTACAAAAAAAGTTAAAAGAATCAACACTATATTATTCACCTAAACTCATCATTTACAATAATTAACATTTTGCCACATTTGCTTGCTTTCATTCTTTCTATACATACCTACACACATATACACACATACTCTTTTCGGGGAGGTGAACCCCTCCCCGAAGTAAGTTGCAGACATTATGACACTTCTCCCCTTTGTTTCTCTAGGAACAAGGATATCCTCCTCATAACCCAATATACTATTACACCAAGGACATTGTAACACTGATTTAGTACCATTATTTAACATGCAGTCCATATTCCAATTTTCCTAATTGTCCCAAAAATGTCCTGTATAGCATTATTTTTGTTTTCTTGATATAGGATCTAATTAAATTTCACGTGGCTCTTGGTTGTCTCTTCAATTTCCCTTACATTTCCCCCTGGATTTTGCCTGCCATGACACTGACATTTTTAGAGTCCATGTCAGCTGTCTTGTAGAATGTTCCATGTTCTGGATTTGTCTGATTGTTTCTTCGTGATTAGATATAGGTTAAAGTTTTTTTTTTTTTGGACAAGATGATTACATAGGTGATGCTGTGGACATCACGTCCAATGCACATAATGTCTGTTTGTCCCACTGTGATGCTACTACATTTGATCATTTGGTTAAGGTGATGCATGTCAGATCTTGCCATTGTAAAGCTACCTCATTCCCTCTGTAATTAAGTAATAGGTGAGATGAAACTTTCAGATCATGTGAATAAGCTCCCCCTCAGTGGCCTTTCACCTAATAGATTTTATCATCTACTGATGACTTGCCTGAATACACTGGAGGAGGCAGAATAATCATGCTGCCCACATTTATTTGCTCGTATTATTCTTGAAGAGCTTCCCCTCTCACCCCACAATTTTTGTTTGCTTGGTCTCAGCCCTGGTCTAGTTCATTTTCGTGAGGAATGGTATGTATTTATTTGTTTACTTACTTACTTACTGAGACAAACAAAAGGTCTCGCTTTGTTGCCCAGGCTGGAGTGCAGTGGCATGATCACAGCTCACTACAGCCTTGATCTCTTGGGCTCAAGTGATCCTCCTGCTTCAGCCTCTGAAGTAGCTGGGACTGCAGGCATACACCACCGCACCTAGCTAATTTTTAATTTTTTGTAGAGACTGGATCTCACTAGGTTGTCCAGGCTGGGCTAGAATTCCTGGGCTCAAGCAATCCTCCCGCCTGGGTCTCCCAAAATGCTGGGATTACAGGAGTCAGCCACCATACCTGGCCTGGGAACAGTATTTTAAAACCACGATCTGTGTGCTCATAGTGCTATTGTTGCTGAGTTTTTCCTGCAAATCATTTTGTATCAGCTCACAGAAATTGTCTTCATTCTTTTCTATGATTAAATAGTATGCCACTGTATAGATGTATGATAGTCTACTCAACCAGCTTCCCATGGGTAAGCATTTAGATTATTTACAATATTTATAATTATTACAAACAATGTCACAACAAATACTGTTGTGCTCATGTTGTTTCACATTTGTGGAGTACCTTCATGTAAATTCCAATACATCTCACATTCTCTCCTGAACCTATTATAACCCATTTTTGCCCTTATTAACTCTTGTCATAGTCACTGATGACCAACATGTTGCTAAAGCCAATGGTCAATTATCCTCATCTTACTTGACCTTTCAGCAGCATTTGCTACAGCCAATTGTTCCTAAACTTCTTAAAATACTTTTTTTTTTTTTTGCTTGGCTTCTGGCATACTGTTCTCTCTCTCTGCCCATTCCCAAATCTTAGCCTAGATTTCTGTCTCTCTCAATCTCTCTGAACTTCTGCTCATATTTCCATCTCTTCCTTGACATCTGAATTTGCTACAAAACATATTTCAAACCTGACATGTCGAAAACCAAACCCTTAATTTTCCCTCCAAGTCAGCTCCTTCCACAGTTTTCCCATCTCTGTAAATGGCAACTCCATCTTTACAGATGGTCAGGTTAAAAATCTTGGAATAGGCTGGGGGGTGGTAGCTCACACCTACAATCCCAGTGCTTTGGGAGGCAGGGATGGGAGGATCACTTGAGGCCAAAAGTTTGAGACCAGCCTAGGCAACATAGCAAAACCCCATCTCTACAAAAGATTTAAAAATCAGGCAGGTGTGGTGACACACACCTGCAGTCGTAGTGACTCGGGAGGCTAAGGAAGGAGATCACTTGAGCCTAGGAATTTGAGGTTACAGTGATCTATGAATGCACCACTAAACTCCAGCCTGGAGAACAGAGTGAGACCCTGTCTCAAAAAAAACAAAAAACAAAAAACATCTTGGAATAATATTTGATTTCTCTCTCTTAATTCATCAAATCCAAATTCATCAGCAAATTCTGTTAGCTCTAATTTTCTAATTTCAAAATATATATAGAATTTGACTCTTTCATACCACCTCTACCACTGTTCTCATCCAATCTAAAATCTTTGTCTAGATGAATTTAATAAATTCTTAAATGATCTCTAGATCCCCACCCACACCCCAGGGTATTCTCAATACAACAACTAGAATGACCTTTTAAAATAGAAGTTAGATCCCTCAACTCTTGTCCTCAGTACTTTCCAGTGCCTTCCCTTTTCATTTAGAATGAAAGCTGAAGTCCTTACAATGGTCCTCAAGTCCTTACACAACCTGGCTTCTTGTCTCCTCTCAGATCTGCTCATCTCTCACTGGTTGTTCCTTAAACCTGCCAGGAACACTCCCAGTTCAGATTTTTGCACCCAGCTGTTTGCTTTGCCTAAAGTACTATTTTCCCCAGACAGCCACATGATTTCTTCCTTACTTCCTAGTGGTCTTCTGTTTACAGTTGGAAAAACTGTATAGAAGGGGAGACAAGATACACGGATATAACAACTTCTTAAACAGCTTTCAGTAAGTTCTCCTTACTTTGGAGAAATCTGCAATATAAACGGGGTTGGTTCTCAGTTTTCCCCATTGCTCAAATTTTATAATTAGGTTAATTTTGGGTTTGTCAATTGCCACTCATCCATCCATCTTCCAACTTCCAAAAATGTATGGCTGTTTTCTCCTATTTTATCCACTCCATCCTGTGGGCTTACTTAAAAAACAAAAACAAAAAACTCTTTACTACAGCTCACCGGGCATGGTGGCTCACACCTGTAATCCCTATACTTTGGGAGGCCCAGGTGGGTGGATCATTTGAGTCAGGAGTTCGAGACCAGCCTAGCCAACACAGTGAAACCTTGTCTCTACTAAAAATACAACAAAATTAGCTGGGCATGGTGGCACATGTCTGTAATCCCAGCTACTTGGGAGGCTGAGGCAGGAGAATAGCTTGAACCCGGGAGGCAGAGGTTGCAGTGAGCCGAGATTGTGTCACTGCACTCCAGCCTGGACTCTATCTCAAAACAACAAAAACAAAACAAAAAAAAAAACCTCTTTACTATAGTTTTAGTTGGGGTTTGACAGGGAGCAAAATGAGATGTATACATTATTCTGGCATAGGAACACGGACATTTTAAATTCATTTCATTTTCAAATACAAATACTACACGGCAGTTTTATTTTACTTTATGTATTTTTTTTTTTGAGACAGTCTCACTCTGACACCCGGGCTGGAGTGCGATGGCGCGATCTCGGCTCACTGCAACCTCTGCCTCCCAGGTTCAAGCAATTCTCCTGCCTCAGTCTCCTGAGTAGCTGAGATAATTACAGGTGTCCGCCACCACATCCAGCTAGTTTTTGTATTTTTAGTAGAGACGGGGTTTCACCATGTTGGCCAGGCTGGTCTCGAATTCCTGACCTCAGGTGATCCCACCAGCCTCGTCCTCTCGAAGTGCTGGGATCACAGGTATGAGCCCTAATGCCCAGCAAAGGCACTTTTAGAAGGGCAAAATGTTTTATAAAAAACAAACAAGGGGCCAAGCGCAGTGGCTCATGCTTGTAATCCCAGCACTTTGGGAGGCTGAGGTGGGCGGATCATTTGAGGTCAGGAGTTCGAGACCAGCCTGACCAACACTGTGAAACCTCGTCTCTACTAAATATACAAAAATTAGCCGGTCGTGGTGGTGGGTGCCTGTAATCCCAGTTACTCGGAAGGCTGAGGCAGGAGAATCACTTGAACCCAGGAGGCGGAGGTTGCAGTGAGCTGAGATCGTGCCATTGTACTGCAGCCTGGGTGACAGAGCAAGACTCCATCTAAAAAACAAAAACAAAACCAAAAACTAACAAACAAGAAAGTAATACCCAAATTTTTAAAAGATTTAAAAATCAAAAATGTGAAAACAGTTCTGAGTACTTGTTTACTGTTTTATTATTATTATTGTTGTTGGAGACAGGCAGGGTCTCGCTGTGCTGCCCAGGCTGGAGTGCAGTGGTGTAACTATAGCTCACTGTAACCTCAACCTGTTAGGCTCAAGTGATCCTCCCACCTTGGCCTCCTGAGTAGTTAGGACTACAGGCATGTGCCATCATGCTTGGCTAATTTTTAATTTTTTGGAGAGATGGGGGTCTTGCTATGTTGCAAGTCTTGAACTTGTAGGCTAGTCTTGAACTCCTGGACTCAAGCAATCCTCCCACCTGGGCCTCCCAAAGTGCTGGGATTATAGGCATGAGCCACCATGCCTGGCCTACTGTTCTATTCTTATTTTTCTTTTTTTTTTTTCTTTTTTTTTTTTTTGAGACGGAGTCTCGCTCTGTCGCCTAGGCTGGAGTGCAGTGGCGGGATCTCGGCTCACTGCAAGCTCCGCCTCCCGGGTTCACGCCATTCTCCTGCCTCAGCCTCCCAAGTAGCTGGGACTACAGGCGCCCGCCACTATGCCCGGCTAATTTTTTGTATTTTTAGTAGAGACGGGGTTTCACCGTTTTAGCCGGGATGGTCTCGATCTCCTGACCTCGTGATCCGCCCGCCTCGGCCTCCCAAAGTGCTGGGATTACAGGCGTGAGCCACCGCGCCCGGCCCTATTCTTATTTTTCATATGTTACACATATACTACATTTTTTTATGTATTCAATATTTAATAAAACAGCATGCTATCACTGAATCCACTTGTCCTCTTTGTGATAGTTCCAATTCATTTGGTGATATGACACCATCAATATTTTTGAAAAAGCAGAACCCTATTCTTCATTTAAAAAAAAATAAAAAAAGGCAGCCAAGTTCCATTTATTACAAACATCATTCCAGATACCCTCTTAAAATCTAAAGTACCTGGCCAAGCGCGGTGGCTCACACCTGTAATCCCAGCCCTTTGGGAGGCCGAGGTAGGCGGACTGCCTGAAGTCAGGAGTTCAAGACCAGTCTGGCCAATATGGTGAAGCCCCATCTCTACTAAAAATACAAAAAAAGTAGCTGGGCCTGGTGGCGGGCTCCTGTAATCCCAGCTACTCAGGAGGCTGAGGCAGGGGAATGGCTTGAACCAGGGAGGTGGAGGTTGCAGTGAGCCAAGATCATGCCACTGCACTCCAGCCTGGGTGACAGAGCGAGACTCTGTCTCAAAAAATCTAAAGTACCCAAGGAGCTATAACTACACAAAAATAAATTAAGCAGTCCAGGCCATGATGGCTCATGCCTGTAATCCCAACACTTTAAGAGGCCAAGGTGGGAGGATCGTTTCAGCCTAGGAGTTCACCCAGCCTGGGCAACACGGTGGGACTCTATTTCTACAAAAAACTTAAAAATTAGCTGGGCATGGTGGAACATGTCTACAGTCCCAGTTTCCTGGGAGGCTGAGGTGGGAGGATTGCTTGAGCCCGGGAGGTTGAGACTGCAGTGAGCCATGGTCATGCCACTGCATTCCAGCCTGGGTGACAGTGCAGTGTGAGACTGTCTCAAAATAAAAAATTAAATTAAAATTAAAATTAAATTAAATTGAAAAATTAAAAGAGCAGTGGTTTTTCTCACACACCTAGGCTTAAGGCCTAATTTACTCTAAGTGAAAAAGGTAATTTCAAAGCATTTTATACCGCCAGATAAAGCAAATGGAAAGTATACATCTACCACAATAAGAAACAATATAATTATCATAAATATAGTATCATTGCTGTTAATTATAGCAACATCCTACAAACTTAGCAACTAGAAACAAAACTTACCTGTCTAAGAATATATCTGGGAGTGGTGGATAGGTCTGCATGTCAGGCACTCGCTCATGGACTATAACCATAATGAAAGATGTAAATCCAAATACTATAAAAACATATATACAACTCAGTATAGTCTTCCAGTATTCTGGGTCCAATCTTCGAACAGAATGTTTGTTTTTACCATTCATGTACTGGTACTGATCAGAATTCAAGTCAGTTATGGGTCCGTCACAGTCATGGGAAAGCTCCCCATTACAGAGCCAGTCTGTACTCTGAAGAGCACTGATGAAAGGGGTCATGGAACCCATGGGACTGTCACTGTTGTAGCCCATCTCTTCTAAAACATCAATATGTATTTTCTGCAATTTTCGGACTGAGAGCATTAACCTTTTAATGTCCCCTAAGACTTTGATTTCCAGAGGAGGAGACCGGAGATCATATTCAGTCAATGTTAGCAATGTGATTCCATCAAGTCGGTGCTTATTGCATAAAATGTCCACATATTCAAAAAAGCCTTCATCCTTCAGCCACACAGCTACATGCTTGGTAGTCCAGCGGCGAATGCAGAGTTGATTAGGACCTGCCATTTCCTCCTCCGCTGCCTGTAGAGAGAAAACAGGAAAACAAAACAAAAGCTTCAGTATGTCCTAACAATTTCTTCAAAGACAAACACACATAAATACACCAGAAACAGGCCAGGCGCAGTGGCTCATGCCTACAATCCCCAGCACTTTGGGAGGCTGAGTTGGGAGGATCACTTAAGCCCAGGAGTTCGAGACCAGTCCTGGGCCACGTAGCAAGATCCTATCTCTACCAAAAAAAAAAAAAAAAAAAAATTTTAGCCTGGGCATGGTGGGACACCTATAGTCTCAGCTACCTGGCAGGCTGAGGTGGGAGGATCACCTGAGTCTGGGAGGTCAAAGCTGCAGTGCGCCATGGTTGTGCCACTGCACTCCAGCCTGGGCAACAGAGGGAGATCGTCTCAAAGAAAAAAAAACAAAAAACTATATATATATATATGTAGAGAGAGAGAGAGAGATGTACACACACACACACGCACACATATGTATATACACACACGCACCCCAGAAACAGTAATTTACCTACACTATCCTATTGGTTTCTAGAGTAAAAGAAACAAAAATTATTCAATAATGAATGGTTTTCAATAGATTAACACACTAATAATTTTATGCATATGACTCCAACAGCAGAAGAAAATTTAATAACCAAACATTTTTACAGAACGACATTTTACAAATGGCTTTTCCACTGCATGAGTCACAATTTAATTAAAAAGCCTACTCGAGAACTGAGAAAAATCCCATTTTAATACTTTTCATAAAATCAAGAAATATAGGAAGATTTATTATATTTTTAAAAATCAAAGAAAAGAGAAAAAAATCCGATTTCTGAAATCTCCATGTTCATGGAAAACGTATCTCCCCACCTGGGGGGAAATAAACATAAAGGAAAGTAGATAACTGTAATTCCAGGGAACCCTTTAGATTAAGCGTATTTCTAACTACTGCACACATAATGATTTCTATAACAGATATGAAGCCTTTAAACTAGACATATATTTGAATCTCAATAATAACTCAGTTCTTTCTACAGCTTTGAATATTACATTATAGAACTGAATAGGGCATTTTATTCTTAAACTATCACGGACTTTAGCAATAAAATTTTTAAAAGAAAACTGTCATTTCCATGTACTCACAAATTTGATGACCCAGACTTTATACTGCAGAATAAAAGGCCAATAAGGTGCTATGTTTTAAAAAGTACCAATAATTTTTACTACTTTGATTTCACACAGCTCTATTTATGTTCTTCTTTTATTGTAAAACATTCAGTTACTTGGGCCTTCTCAGGTTTATAAAGTATATCAGATACATAGGAGACAAAGGCCTACATGGAAAAAAACACTATTTCTCAAAAGTACTTTCTCAACTATTAAAGCCTGTAGGTTTTCTGACACTTTCCAGACCTCTGAAGATTGTATTTCCACCTGAGATAATTTTTTAAAAATGGTAGGCAAACTTCAAAGCATAAAAGAATAAAATGATACAACGAACACCTATGTGCCTATTACCCAGCTTGAAAAAAAGAAAAACTGTTCTAATACAAATGTTCTTTTTTAAAAATCTGCATATTAGTTACATGAGTTTGTTCCTTTTGTGAAAATTCATCAAGCTGTATAATTGTGATCTATACTTTTCTCTATATATGTTAGATTAAACTTTATTTTCAAAGTCTTGAAAAACCAAACAAAACATCAATACAAATGAATATCCTTCTATCCTGAAGGACAAATGAATGAGGACAGCATCCTCTTCCTTTTCCCACAATGTAATAATTCTTGATTTGAGTGTTTATCATGGCCTTATAAATGCATTGTTGGCTATGAAAAACTTTCTGTGCTTCCTTACAACAAGCAAAGTTAAAAGCTGGTACTGCGGCCGGGCGCGGTGGCTCACGCCTGTAATCCCAGCACTTTGGGAGGCCGAGGCGGGTGGATCACAAGGTCAGGAGATCAAGACCATCCTGGCTAACAAGGTGAAACCCCATCTCTACTAAAAATACAAAAAATTAGCCGGGCATGGCAGCGTGCGCCTGTAGTCCCAGCTACTTGGGAGGCTGAGGCAGGAGGATGGCGTGAACCTGGGAGGCAGAGCTTGCAGTGAGCCGAGATTGTGCCATTGCACACCAGCCTGGGCGACAGAGCAAGACTCTGTCTCAAAAAAAAAAAAAAAAAAAAAAAAAGCTGGTATTGCTCTGCATTCTTTCCCTACCCACATAAACTCCTGCCACGAAGACTTACAGTAACTTGGCAAAGGCAGACACTAACTACATGAGCACCATTTATATCATCAAAACTATTTAGAAAACAAGAAATAAGCTTGATAAAATCCACCCACAGATGAATGTCAGGGAAGTGTCAGTTAAACATTAAGTATTTATTTCTTTATTACTAAAAGCAATCGTAATTTTTGGAAGACTTAAGTCATATTTTGTTTCACAAAAGAACTTATATTATTGACCCACATAGTTTCCCTGTCTTTGAAAATTATTATAACATCCATTTACAAGGAGTCTGTATTTTTTACAAAGTTGTCTAATTCTTATGCATTATGGAATAACAAAAACTCTTAACTCTTTTTAGCTGTAGCATATCATCACCACCTCAAATGTCAAAGAATTATGATTTATTCACTTTAACACATGGAACTTATACATTTATTATATTATTTTATATCATTTATTATATCATATATACAATTCCATTAGAAATATGATTTTGCTGTTTTAGTTCACATGGATAACTAGATGCTTTCACCCTACCTACTATACATATCTTCTTTTACCCAAAGTATCTCTGACTAAATTACTTCATCCTTGGATATCCAACAAGCACATGCTATAATCTCTGTAGTGGTTATGATATAGCAAATCTGAGAGACAAGTTTCCTTCACATAAAACAAAGCCAGCCGGGCATGGTGGCTCACGCCTATCCCAGCACTTTGGGAGGCTGAGACGGGTGGATCACGAGGTCATGAGTTCAAGACCAACCTGGCCAAGATGGTGAAACCCCGTCTCTACTAAAAATGCAAAAAAATTAGCCAGGCATGGTGGCGGGCGCCTGTAATCTCAGCTACTAGGGAGGTTGAGGCAGAGAACCGCTTGAACCTGGCAGGCAAAGGTTGCAGTTAGTAGAGATCACACCACGGCACTCCAGCCTGGGCAACACAGTAAGACTCCGTCTCAAAAATAAAAAAAAATAAATAAAAAATACAAGGCCAGATTTCTTCAGTCACATTATTTCTAGTCTGTTAACATTCCCCTTTCTCTAACAGCTTACCACCAATGGGTTCCATGTCACTCCCATTCTTGTAGCATTATTCGTTAGGACAGTTTCCTCTCATACTCTGTTCAAAATGATTCTTCTCTTCTTTTATATGTTTTTTTCCACTGTCTTAGCTCACCAGTTCTTTACAACCTCAATCAGGCTAATAGGCTTTGATGCTGACGTTTTAGCTGCTAGAAAATATAAGTTATACGTGGAAGTCTCTTGGAAGTCTTTGAGCCTGCTGTGGGAATGCCCTAAAAGCATGACACATTTCACTGTTCTGCTTTATCAGGTCAGTGCATGCCCTTTAATTGTATGCTACTATATAATAGTTAAGAGGCCCATACTAAATCACTACTTAGCTAACCCTGTGAAAGCCTGCATGAAAGAGGTATATTAAAAGATGATAAAAAGCTTTAGGGCCAATTTAATATTTATGTTGTACCAAAGGAATTACAGGGAACAGGAGACTTTGAATGATAAATACAAATTGATAAAATAAGGAAATTAGATTAGTAAATGTTTAAGAATTCAGCTTTTATCAATAATTAATACAAATAAATGATCTGTTAAAGGACATGTGCTTCTGACCAAGATTTACTAACAAGAACCAGATTTATCCTCTGACCTGAAACAACCAAAAAACAAACAAAATATATGGGGAAAAAAAAGTTTCAGCCAGGTGCGGTGGCTCACGCCTGTAATCCTAGCACTTAGGGAGGCTGAGGTGGGCGGATCACCTGAGGTTGGGAGTTTGAGAACAGCCTGACCAACATGCAGAAACCCTGTCTCTACCAAAAATACAAAAAATTAGCCAGGTGTGGTGGCAGATGCCTGTAATCCCAGCTACTTGGGAGGCTGAGGCAGAAGAATGGCTTGAACCCGGGAGGCGGAGGTTGCGGTGAGTTGAGATCGTGCCATTGCACTCCAGCCTGGGCAACAAGAGCGAAACTCTGTCTCCAAAAAAAAAAAAAAAAAAAAAAAAAAAAGTGTCAAGACACTGGACATCAGGAAAATCCCTGAGAGCCAGGAAACAAATAAGGTGAACCCTACTGCCCCAGGTTACGGCCTTGAGTTTCCCAGCCACAAGAGGCACAGGATGGGAAACTCATGTGAGGCCTGGCAGGCTCACTGAGTTGAAGAGATGGAGCTGAGAGTTTGGGGCAATCAAGATGGCTAGTGTTTATGGGGCACAATACTGGAGACGAGATACACAGACAAGAACTCCAGAGATCTGCGGGTCTCTCTTGAATATTTAGCTGAATGCCTATCAGCACATGTATGTAAGGAAACTAACCAAGACCAAGGAAAGACCACCCAATTGAATTCCCAGCACTCACATGAGGCCAAGAAAAGTACCTATTCCAAAGAGCCAGATTGAAAAAAGGTCTCATGAACAGCTTTGGGTAGAGTACACAGAAAGATCTTGCCATAGTAGTAAGGCAAAACTAACCCTAAGGCAGCAACTCTCAACTGCGGGCAATCCTCCCCACTTCCTGGAACATTTGGCAATGTCTGAAGACATTTTTGGTTGTTACAACTTTGGGGGGGAATGATGTTAAACATTCTATAATGCACAGGACTATCCCCTCCCCCAACAAAGAATTATTTGGCCCCAAATGCCATGGTGCTGCTATTGAGAAACCCTACCCTTGACTAAACATGTCTCTGGGTTCATCCTAACAAATCTTAAAAGGAAGACTCAAAAGGATCAAACTCTGTTCAAGTAGTTGAACAGCATCCCACAAAAAGCTCAAGAATATTAATAGAAATACCAAAGTATCTAGAGCCCAACAATGAATTCATAATGTCCAACAACTAATTCATAATGTCTGGAATCTATTCAAAGATTGTCAGGCATGCAAAGAAGCAGGAAAGTATCACTTATAATGAGGAGAAGAATCAATCAATCAAGAACTGACACATTTAATAAAATTAGCAGATAAGGAAATTAACTCAGTTATGATAATTGTGTATTACATTTGTCCAAAAAGTTAAATGAAGAAATAGACACATAATGGCCAGGTGGTGGCTCACGCCTGTAATCCCTGCACTTTGGGAGGCAAGGCAGGAGGATCCCTTGCGGCCAGGAGTTCAAGGTCAGCCTGAGCAACAAAGGGAGATGTCCCCTGCCCCTGCACCATCTCAACAAAAAAGGAAATAGATAAGTAAAAAAAGACTAACGCAACTCCAAGTTCTAGAGATAAAATGAAATAATCTGAGATGAAAAATACCCTGGATGGGACTAACAGCTGCTGAGCCACTGCAGAAGGTAAGAGCAATAAATGTAACTAAGTAACAATAGAAACAATTCAAGGGCGCTGGTTGCAATCCCAACACTTTGGGAGGCTGAGGTGGGAGGATTGCTTAAGCCTATGAGTTCAAGACCTGCCTGGGCAACATAGTGAGACCTCGTCTCTATAAATAATTTTTTAAAATTAGCCAGACATGGTTGCCCATGCTTGTAGTCCCAGCTACTCAGAGGCTCAGGCAAGAAGGTCACCTAAGCCCAGGAGTTCAAGGCTGCAGTGGACTGAGATCGCGCCACTGCACTCCAGCCTGGGCAACAGAGCAAGAGCCTGTCTCAAAAAAACAATGAAAAGAAAAGAAACTTTTCAAAATAAAACACAGAAAAAAAAGAGAACTTTAAAAAAGAGACTATTATTCAGCCTTAAAAAGGAAGGAAGTTCTGACGCATGCTACAACATGGATGAGCCTTAAAGACATTATACTAAGTGAAATAAGCCAGTCACAAAAGGACAAATACTGTATGATTCCACTTATACGAGGTAACTAGAGTAGTGAAATTCACAGAAACAGAAAGTAGAATGGTGGCTGTCAGGGACTGGGAGCAGGGAGAATGAGTCATTTTTTAATAGGTACAGAATTTCAGTTTGGGAAGATTTTTTAAAAGTTCTAAAGATGGATGGTGATAATGGTTGCACAACACAGTAAATGTACTTAATGCCACTGAACTATATAAAAAAATCATTTCAGCCGGGAGCAGTGGCTCACGCCTGTAATCCCAGCACTTTGGGAGGCCGAGGTAGGCGGTCACGAGGTCAAGAGATGGAGACCATCCTGGCTAACACTGTGAAAACCCCATCTCCACTAAAAATAGAAAAAAAGAGCCTGGCATGGTGGCGGGTGCCTGTAATCCCAGCTACTCTGGAGGCTGAGGCAGGAGAATCACTTGAACCCGGGAGGCAGAGGTTGCAGTGAGCCGAGATCGTGCCACTGCACTTCAGCCTGGGTGACAGAGCAAGACTCCAACTCCAAAAAAAAAAAAAAAAAAGTTTAAATTATAAATTTGGTTGTATATATTTTACCACACACACAAACACACCAAAGAAAGAACATCAGTGAGAGGTGGAACAACATCAAACAGCTTCCAAAAGACAAGAGAGAACAGAAAAAATATTTGAAGTAACAATGGCCAAAAATTTTCCAAATTTGGTGAAAACCATAAACATGTGTATCCAAGAAGCTTAACAAACTCCAAAAATAAGAAACAAGAAGAAAGCTATACCAAGGCATACCAAAATCAAATTACTTAAAAACAGTGACAATGAGAAAATCTTAAAAGCAAAAAGAGAAAACAGACACATTAGGAACAAAGGTAAGAATGATAAGAGATTTCTTACTGGGCTCAAGCCAAGCTAGAATACAGTGAAACAACATAAAGTACTGAAAGAAAAAAAAAACAACAACCTAAAACCGTAGGCCCAGTGAAATATCATTCACAAGCAAAGGCAAATACTTGTTCAGACACACAAAAGCTGATTTCATCACCAGCAGACATGCACTACAAAAATTTAAGGTCCTTCAAGCAGAAAGAAAATGTTACCATACCAAAATATGAATCTACACAAAGAAATGAACACCAAAATGGTAGCCACATGCATAAATATATACATTTTTTCTTACTATTTAAGTTAGTTAGTTTATTTATTTATGAGACAGAGTCTCACTCTATCACCCAGCCTGGAGTGCAGTGGCATGACCTAGGCTCACTGCAACCTCTGCCTCTGGGTTCAAGAGATTCTCCTGCCTCAGCCTCCCCAGTAGCTGGGATTATGGGCCCGTGCCACTGCACCAGGCTAATTTTTGTATTTTTAGTAAAGACGAGATTTCACCATGTTGGCCAGGCTGGTCTTGATCTCCTGACCTTGTGATCCACCCGCCTCGGCCTCCCAAAGTGCTGGGATTACAGGCGTGAGCCACCGCGCCCAGCCGCAGTACCAGCTTTTAACTTTGCTTGTTGTAAGGAAGCACAGAAAGTTTTTAATAGCCAACAATGCACTTATAAGGCCATGATAAACACTCAAATCAAGAATTATTACATTGTGGGAAAAGGAAGAGGATGCTGTCCTCATTCATTTGTCCTTCAGGATAGAAGGATATTCATTTGTATTGATGTTTTGTTTGGTTTTTCAAGACTCCTGACCTCAGGTAATCTGCCTGCCTCGGCCTCCCAAAGTGATGGGAGGCACTGCACCCGGCCTTAAGTTTCTTTAAAAGATAATTTAGGCCGGGTGGTGGCTCATGCCTGTAATCCCAGCACTTTGGGAGGCCGAGGCGGGCGGATCACATGGTCAAGAGATCGAGACCATCCTGGCCAACATGGTGAAACCCCGTCTCTACTAAAAATACAAAAATTAGCTGGGCGTGGTGGCACGCGCCTATAGTCCCAGCTACTCAGGAGGCTGAGGCAGAAGAATCGCTTGAACCTGGGAAGCGGAGGTTGCAGTGAGCCAAGATCGTGCCACTGCACTCCAGCCTGGTGGCAGAACAAGACTTCGTCTCAAAAAAAAGATAATTTACTGTTTAAACAAAAAGCAATGTACTGTGGGATTTATAACATATGTAAAACATATGTTAACAATAGCACAAAGGTTGGGAGAAATGGAAATCCACTAATATCAGCTAAAATAATACCACCAAGAAGCTAAAGAGAAAATTAAACCCAAAGCAGAAGGAAATAATAATGATGAGGGCAGAAATCAATAACAAAGGCTGGGCATGTTGGCTCATGCCTGTAATCCCAGCACTTTGGGAAGCTGAGACAGGCGGATCACCTCAGGTCAGGAGTTTAAGACCAGCCTGGCTAACATGGTGAAACCCCATCTCTACTAAAAATACAAAAATTAGCCAGGCATGGTGGTGGGTGCCTGCAATCCCAGGTACTCAGAAGGCTGAGGCAGGAGAATTGCTTGAACCCAGAAGGTGGAGGCTGCAGTGAGCCACCTGGGCAACAGAGTGAGACTCTTTCTCAAAAACAAAAATAAAAATAAAATTTTTTTAAAAAGCAAGTGTAAGGAAAAAAAAAAGATGCAAGGCAAGACCGTCACTCTCACCACTTCTACAAAACATCAGAAGTTCTGGTCAGTGTAATAAGATAAAAAAAAGAAGCAAAAGGCAGGCCAGGCGTGGTGGCTCACGCCTGTAATCCCAGCACTTTGGGAGGCTGAGGCAGGTGGATCATGAGGTCAGGAGATCGAGACCATCCTGGCTAACACGGTGAAACCCTGTCTCTAATAAAAATACAAAAAATTAGCCGGGCATGGTGGCAGGCACCTGTAGTCCCAGCTACTCGGGAGGCTGAGGCAGGAGAATGGCGTGAACCCGGGAGACGGAGCTTGCAGTGAGCGGAGATCGCACCACTGAACTCCAGCCTGGGAGACAGAGTGAGACTCCATCTCGAGGAAAAAAAAAAAAAAAAAGTAAAAGGCATACAGATTAAAAAGGAAGAAATAAAACTCTATTTGCTGACAACTTGATTATTTATGTTGAAAATTCAATAGACTATACCAAAAACAGTTACTAGAATAAGTCAGTTTAGCAAGATTGCCACATATAGTATCGACAAACAAAAATCAATTGTCTTCCTTTCTTTTTTTTTTTTTTTGAGACAGGGTGTCACTCTGTCACCCAGGTTGGAGTGCAGTGGCACGATCTCGGCTCACTGCAACCTCCACCTCCCAGGCTCAAGCCATTCTCCCACTTCAGCCTTCCAAGTAGCTGGGACCACAGGTGCATGCGCACCACACTTGGCACACTTGGCTAATTTTTAATATTTTTGGTAGAAACAGGGTTTTGCTATGTTGCCCAGACCCATCTCGAACTCCTGAGCTCAGGAGATTCACCTGCCTCAGCCTCCCAAAGTGTGGGATTACAGGCGTGAGCTATCACACCCAGCCATCAATTGTATTTCCATATACTAGCAACAAACAATCAAAAATTAAAATGTATAAAATACCATTTATAATAGCATAAAAAATATTAAATACTCAGGGATAAATCTGACAAAACATGGGCAAGACCTATATGCTGAAAACAACAAAAAACACTGCTAAGACGAACACCTAAAAATGAGAAATGAGTAGGTCAGAAGAATCAATACTGTTAAGAGGACAATTTTCCCCAAACTTATCTGCACATTCAACCCAATTCCAATCAAAATCCCAACGGGCCTTTAATTTTGTAGATATTGATACATTTCATAAACAGCTGATTTAAACACTTATTATACAACTACCTGTATTTGTTTTCTATTGCTTTGTAACAAATTACCGTAAGCTTACCGACCACTCGAATTCTTTACTGCATGGCCTCCTCTTTTCCCAAAAATCAGCAGCTTCTTCTGTGTTGAATTCCCTTCCCTTGTACTTGGATTATTTCTCCAGGAAAAGCCCAGTCCCTTTTAAGGGTTTGTCTGATTAGATCAGGTCCACTGAGGATAATCTCCCTTTCTTAGTCACCATGGGAGTGATATCCCATGATTAGGTGGGATTACAGGTCCCTCCCATTATACAAAAGCATAGGTCATTAGGAGTCATTTTAGAATTCTGTATCTTGACAGGGCGGGGTGGCTCAAGCCTGTAATCCCAGTACTTTGGGAGGCAGAGGCGGGTGGATCACTTGGGGTTAGGAGTTCGAGACCAGCCTGGCCAATATGGCAAAACCCTGTCTCTACTAAAAACACAAAAATTAGCCCGGCTTGGTGGTGCTTGCCTGTAGTCCCAGCTAATCAGGAGGCTAAGGCAGGAGAATTGCTTGAACCCGGGGACTTCTGCCTATCTCAGTACTCAAATCAAGACAAAGTGGTGTTAACATAAATCAAGGAAACAGAATATAGAGTCCAGAAACAAACCTATACATATATAGATATCTGATTTTCTACAAATGTGCAAAGGCAATTCAGTGGAGAAAACACAGTCTTTTCATTAAATGATGCTGGAACAAATGGATACCCATATGTAAAAACCTCAATTCATACTTCTACCACATATAAGAATTAACTGAAAATGGATCATAGACCTAACATAAAACCTAAGACTAGAAAATTTCTAGGAGAAAATCTTTCTGACCTGGGTTAGGTAAAGATCTCTTAGATGTGACACCAAAAACAAAATCCATATAAAAACAAATTGATGAATTGGTCTCCATTTCTCTAGGTCGGGGACAGAGGAAGGATTTTTAGGGTTTTTAGTCTGCAAGTTTCTGCATGGTTTGAATCTTTTATAATTAAGTCTCTCTATAATAAAAAGCCAAATATATAGAAGCAATATATATTCACTGAAGAACAGAAAATTTGAAAACTAATCCCTAAAGGATCACTCCTTATAATTTGTTATATTTCTCTCACACACAAAATTTTCTATAAAGAGAAATCACATCATACATAATTCTGTATCATTTTGCTTAACATTATTGCATGAGTCCTGTCTAATGCTATTAAATATCTTTTGAAAAGATAGTTTTAAAACATTCCATTGTATGACTATACAATAATTTATCCATCTCCCCATTGTTAACAATTGTTCACTATTTTATTATTATTATAAATGGCATTGCATTGCTTTAGGTTAAATTTCTAGAAGTGGAATAACTGTATCAACAAATCTGATTTAAATACTAACTCTTATTACACCATTAAAGCGTGGTCCACCTTAAAAAGCATTTCATGCAAAGCTTGGTACTTGTCCAAAATGTTAATGGGTGGTGACCCACGCCTATAATCCCAGTACGTTGGAAGGCCGAGGTGGGCAGATCACTTGAGGTCAGGAGTTTGAGACCAGCCTGGCCAATGTTGTGAAACCCTGTCTGTATTAAAAATGCAAAAAAAAAAAAATTAATCGGGCGTGGTGGTGCATGCCTGTAATTCCAGCTACTCAGGAGGCTGAGGCGGGAGAATTGTTTGAGCCTGGGAGGCGGAGGTGGCAGTGAACTGAGTTCACACCATTGCCCTCTAGCCTGGGCAGCAAGAGCGAAACTCCGTCTCAAAAAAAAAAAAAAAAAAAGAAAAAACCACTTAAGCATCAAAGGTCAATACCTATCAAGGTGCTGAGAGAACAGTCATTCCTGCAGAATCCGATTATCAACAGGAATTATTCAAACTTAGTTTTAAGTCACAGATAACAGATAAAAACACCGGACTGTTCTGAACAATATGAAATATCTTATCTTTTGGGTGACCTCTGGTTAGAATTTTTGAAAACTGTTTTTAAGAAGTGCAATTTTCAGCAAGTAAATGCTTTACTAGTAAATTTGTTTCTTTTCTCTCCAAACAAATTTAGTTCATACTAATTAGAGATTTCAGCAGCCTAAGAGCAAAAGAACTCAGTATATTTTCTATTATATTCTTATATCCATACTTGATGAAATGAAAAAAGCTTATCATAAACATAACAACCTTACATTTGGTACTCCTAAACATTAGCCCAGATAGTCTTTAGTCAATGAGTCTTTAATGCATCCCATTAGAGTGACCCAAATCTCTTTACAATAATTTAAATAATCCAAATGTGTTCTACCACATTAAAACTGCAAATACCATAGCACAATCAGCCCATTAACTGCAAAAAGAGATAATGACTTTGTCCCCACCCTACCTCTCCAACTTATCAGCTGCAGGACATTCTCAATACTACTGGAAATGGTGACCTGACTAAAAGGAGCACTGCCATCTACGAATCACCTCTGACTCAGTGCCTGTGGCAGATATGATGAAGCAGCACTCAGTATCCTTTCTAGTCTCCCTCTAGTCGTTTCCTCCTACTACACAGTCTGAAAAGCTAATCATTATTCCTCAGGGTCCCTTGCTACTAGGATTCAAATGTGAATCAGGTTCAGCCAACTAGATGCTCATGAGATGCTCATGAGATATGGAAAACAGATGGTGAAATGGGAGTTGTTTTACTGAAGTTTTGGCTATCCACAAGGATTATGGAAATGCTGACCACATGCACATAATTCTCCAGGTTTCAGTCACTAACTTTGTAAGGGTCATGAAGCAGCTGCAGTTGTGGGGCAAGTAGTAGTGGTTTCCTAATACCTGCATAACAGATACATGCTCTTTTCTGTGTGTGTGGTTAACTATACATAAAATTTACCATTTTTACCATTTTAAGTGTTATAGTTCTGTTTCCTTAAATACATTCACAATGTTGTGCCACAATTACCACCATCCAACTTCAGAACTTCATCATCACTCCAAGCAAAAACCCTGTAACCTATTAAGCAATAACTCACTATCCCCCTCATGCTCAGTCCCTGGTATTCTCTAATCTATATTCTGTTGTTATGAATTTCCCTATTCTAGATATTTCACATAAGTAGAATCATGCAATATTTGTTCTTTTGTGTCTCATTTCACTTAGGCTTCAAGGTTCATCTGTGTTGTAGTGTATGTCAGAATTTTCTTTCTTTTTTTTTTTTTTGAGACGGAGTCTCACTCTGTCACCCAGGCTGGAGTGCAGTGGCACGATCTTGGCTCGCTGCAAGCTCCGCCTCCCGGGTTCAAGCAATTCTCCTGCCTCAGCCTCCCAAGTAGCTGGGACTACAGGCACCTGCCACCACACCCAGCTAATTTTTGTATTTTTAGTAGAGGTGGGGTTTCACAATGTTGGCCAGGCTGGTCTCGAACTCCTGACCTCAAATGATCCACCCACCTCGGCCTCCCAAAGTGCTGGGATTACAGGCATGAGTCACCACGCCCAGCCCAGAATTTTCTTTCTAAGGCTGAATAATATCCCCTTCTATGTATATATCACATTTTGTTTACACATTCATCCATCCATGGACACTTAAGCTGCATTCATCTTCTGGCTATTGTGAATAATACTGCTTTGAACATGGGTAAACAAATATCTGTTCAAGTCCCTGCTTTTACTTCAGGTATATACCTAGAAGTGGAATTGCTGGCTTGTACAGTAATTCTGCTAAATTTTTTGAGGAGTCACCATATCATTTTCCACAGCAGCTGAACCATTTTACATTCCTACTAGAAATATGCACAAAGTGTTCTAATTTCTCTATATTCCTGCTAATACTTGTAATTTTCTGTTCTTTTTCTTAATAGTAGCCATTTTATGACATAAAGTAGTATTTCATTGTGATTTTGATTTGATTTCAGTAATGATTAGCCATGTGGAACATCTTTTCATATGCTTACTAGACCTTTGTATATTTTGCTTGGAGAAACACCTACTCAAGTCTTTTGCCTATGTTTTTACTGGGTTTTTTTGGTATTGAGATGGCGCATTCTCAAACTCAGCATTTCATGTTGGCCTCCTAATGCCAACCTTCTGACTGTAGCAAAGGTAGCATTCCTCTGACAGGCCAATTTAAATATTGTAGTAGAAGTCATTCCTAGCCCAGACCAAAGAAGTTTCTCTCTCTTGCAAGTGAACCCTGACTGATTACCAAAGGCTCTTTAGTCCTCTGAATTGTTGATTTCAGAACAAGCTAAGTACCCAAAGGTCAAGGCTTCAAGCTGTCTCATATAAGGTCCACATTCTGGTCCAATTCTAGGTAAGGCAAGGTAAGTTTATGTTTTTTCCCCTTAGCTTCCTGGGAAACTAAGCAGGATATGTTTTTCAGCTCTCTTCTCATTAACTATATGTACTTTTGCATTCTTTGGAATGAATGACATGTTTTATTTCAAAAAGCTATTCAATTATTTTTTCTCAACCAAGTACTTAGTGACAGGGGAAAAAGACTTGAATAGTAAAATAACCTATTAGTAACTTACACAAAACAAAAGCTCTGATCTGGCTACTTCATCTACCAAGCAGGTTCAACAGTAGTAAGAACATGAAAGCAGACAAGTACCATACTACAAATTAAAGAAAAAGAAAAGGGAGGAAAGGCAAAATGAGAGTGTATCTAGCCAAAAAAAAACCAAAAGAAAAGAAAAGAAAAGTAGCACTCAGTGCAGCAGAAGAGCTTAGTGGGTTTTTGTTAGGTTATTTTTGTTTTATTTTTAGGAAAGATAGAGTAATCAAGATGATTACTAAGGCCTATATGATTAGCACATGGTAGGTTCTCAATAAACATTTATTAAATAAATGTGCAAAAAAAAAGCAGCAATCAAAATAATAATTCATTCAGTTCCCCAATGTCCTTCTAAACAAGATTTTTTTTTTTTTGATACGGACGGAGTCTTGTCCTGTCGCCCAGGCTGAAGTGTAGTGGCGCGATCTCAGCTCACTGCAAGCTCTGCCTCCCAGGTTCACACCATTCTCCTGCCTCAGCCTCCCAAGTAGCTGGGACTACAGGCGCCCACCACCATGCCCAGTTAATTTTTTTGTATTTTTAGTAGAGAGAGGGTTTCACCATGTTAGCCAGGATGGTCTCGATCTCCTGACCTCGTGATCCACCCGCCTCGGCCTCCCAAAGTGCTGGGATTACAGGCATGAGCCACCGCGGCCAGCCACAGATCATTTTTAAAATTTCAACTTTATTTATAATTGACACATAATTGTACACATTTATGGGGTACAGTGTAATTTTTTTTTTTTTTTTGAGATGGAATTTCGCTCTTGTTGCCCAGGCTGGAGTGCAGTGACACGATCTCAGCTCACCGCAACCTCTGCCTCCCGGGTTCAAGCGATTCTCCTGCCTCAGCCTCCTGAGTAGCTGGGATTACAGGCATGCACCACCACTGCCCAGCTAAATTTGTATTTTTAGTAGAGACGGAGTTTCTCCATGTTGGTCAGGCTGGTCTTGAACTCCCGACCTCAGGTGATCAGCCCGCCTCGGCCTCCCAAAGTGCTGGGATTACAGGCATAAGCCATCGCGTCTGGCCCAGTGTAATATGTTAATACATGTATACACTGTATGATGATCAAATAAAGATACTTAGCACATATATAATTTTAAAGTTATCATTTGTTTTTTGTTTTTTGTTTTTTTCTAGAGACAGGGTCTTGTTCTCTTTCCCAGGCTGGAGAGCAATGACACAATTATAGCTCAATGAAACCTCAAACCCCTGGGCTCAAGTGATCCTCCCACCTCAGCCTCCTGAGTAGCGGGGACTACAGGCATGTGCCATCATGCTTGGCTAATTTTTTTTTTACTTTTTTGTAGAGACAGGGTCTCACTATGTTGCCCAGGTTGGTCTCAAACTTCTAGGCCCAAGTGATCTTCCTGCCTCGGCCTCCCAAAGTGTTAAGATTACAGGCATAAGCCACCACACCAGTCACATCTATCATTTCTTTGTGGTGATAACATTCAAAATCTTCTAGCTACCTTGAAATATACATTATTATTAGTCATAGTCACCCTACTGTACAACAGAAAACCAGTTACGCTTCTCATCTAACTGTAATCTTTTTTTTGGGGGGGGGAAAGTCTCACTCTGCCACCCAAGCTGGAGTGCAGTGGCGTGATCTTGGCTCACTGCAGCCTCCACCTCCTGGATTCAAGCAATTCTCCTGCCTTAGCCTCCCAAGTAGCTGGGATTACAGGTGCCCACCACCACGCTCAGCTAATTTTTGTATTTTTAGTAGAGATGGGGTTTTACCATGTTGGCCAGGCTGGTCTCTAACTACTGACCTCAGGTGATCCGCCGGCCTCGGCCTCTCAAAGTGCTGGGATTACAGGCATGAGCCACTGCGCCTGGCCTGTTATTTTATTTTAAATTCCGGGATACATGAGCAGGACATGCAGGTTTGTTATACAGGTAAACGTGTGCCATGGTGGTTTGCTGCACCTATCAACCCATCACCTAGGTATTAAGCCCTGCACGCATTAGCTATTTATCCTGATGTTCTCCCTCTCCCGGCTGCCCCCCACTGACAGGCCCAGTGTGTGTTGCTCCCCTCCCTGTGTACATGTGCTCTCACTGTTCAGCTCCCACTAAATGCCATTTGTCCCAGCAATACCATTACTGAGTATATACCCAAAGGAATATAAATCATTCTATTATAAAGATGCATGCACACGTATGTTCACTGCAGCACTATTCACAAGAGCAAAGACATGGAATCAACCCAAATGTCCATCAATGATAGACTGGATAAAGAAAATGTGGTACATATACACCACGGAATACTATGCAGCCATAAAAAGGAATGAGATCACGTTCTTTGCAGGGACATGGATGGAGCTAACTGTAATTTTGTACTTGCTGACCAACCTCTATCCATCCTCCTCTCCTATCCTTTCTCTCTAGCCTCTGATAACCACTATCCTACTTTCTACTTCTACAAGATTAACTTGTTTTTAGATTCCATATATGAGTGAGATCATGTAGTATTTGTCTTTCTGTGCCTGGCTAATTTCACTTAATATAATGTCCTCCAGATTCATCCATGTTGCTGCAAATAACAGGACTTCATTCTGTTTTGTGGCTGAATATGAATATGGTGCATGCACACAGACATACACACATTTTCTCTATTTATCTGTAGACGGACACTTAGGTTGATTCCTTATCTTGGCTATTGTGAATAGTGCTGCAATAAACATGAGAGTGCAGTATCTCTTCAACATCCTGATTTCATTTCCTTTGGACATATATCCAATAGAGAGATTGCTGGATCGTATGGTAGTTCTATTTCATTTTATTTTTTGAGACAGGGTCTCACTGTGTAATCCAGGCTGGAGTGCAGTGGTGCAGTCTTGGCCCACTGCAACCACCGCTTGTCAGGCTCAAGCAATTCTCCCACCTCAGCCTCCCAAGTAGCTGGGGCTATAGGCACGCACCACCACGCCTAGCTAATTTTTGTATTTTTTTTGTAGAGATGGGGTTTTGCCATGCTGCCCAGGTTGGTCTTGAACTCCTGAGCTCCAGCAATCTGCCTGCCTCAGCCTCCCAAAGTGCTGGGATTACAGGCGTGAGTCACCACACCCAGCCTCTATTTTAATTTTTGAGGAACCTTCACAGTGTTTTCCATAATGGCTGTATTTACATTTCCACCAACAGTCAATCAGGATCATTATAAACAAAACAAAAACCTGCCTTTTTCTTTCTTTATTGATTGACTGAGACAGACTCTTGCTCTGTTGCTCAGGCTGGAGTGCAGTAGTGTGATCACGGTTCACTGTAGCCTTGACCTCCCAGGCCCAAGGGATCTTCCCACCTCAGCTTCCTGAGTAGCTGGGACCACAGGTGTGTACCACCAAGCCCAATTAGTTTTCTTATTTTTTGTAGAGATAGGGTCTCCCTAGGATGCCCAGGCTGGTCTTGAACTCCTGGGCTCAAGTGATCCTCCTGCTTTGGCCTCTCAAAGTGCTGGGATTACAGCCGTGAGCCACCATAGCTGGCAAAAAAAAAAATCTGCCTTTGGACAGCTATTTCAGTCTTAAGAGTATACAGGAAAGATTTTATTACATATTTCTCTTTATTTATATTTTTATTATAATACTTTATTACAAATTCTTCACGGCTTCAGGGAGTTTTATATCCATAAATTTAAAATGTCCAAATGTCAAGAGATAACACAGGGTCACTAATTTGGTAAATTTACCAGGAATCAGGATCTGGTATTCACCCTTAGAGATCAAAACTTGACCCTGTCAGTTCCCCAGAGTTGGTCAAACCAAGAGAGACTAAAAGCAAACTCACAAGGTACTAATGGATAAACTAGAGAACCAATTCTAGACACTCAAGTGTCTAAAAAGAATGCTCAAGCATTATCTCAGGCACATCCTTTTATAATTCTGAAGTGTCTAGGAGGCTGATTTAATAATCAGAACGCTACTTGTAGAGCAAGTAATCAGGGCAAAGAAAAACAGATCGTCTTGGGCAAAATCTAATCCAGCTTCCTGTGAGACCTAACGTAACATCAGTGCCACAGAGCAGAGAGTACCTGTCTAGAAAAGGTTGTTTGCATCTCCCAGTTTCAGTCTCTCTCTCTCCTAGACAGTGTAGGATATAAAAAGCCAATTCTCTTTGATGCCTCCTTTGCCTAGGCTTCCAAGGAAACTACATATACAAAGGTTTTCAACCCTGGCTATACATTAGAATAGTCTGAAATTTTACAGTGTATTTGTATCAATGTCCATGCCTCATCCTAGGACAACTGAATCAGAATCTCAGAAGAGACAGAAATTTTATATCTGCATTTTTTAAAAAGCTCCCCACGTGATTCTAATGCACAGTGAGGCTTGAGATGCCAAGATGTTTAGAGTATTTAAAGTCATCTAGAGAGTTAATATTGGTGTTGAAATTAAACTCCAAGAATTTCGACAACAAATTCAGTGTTCTTTCCACCATTTCATGCTGCTTTTCCTTGGAGCTAAAGGATGAGTTAATAATGCTATCAAGTTCTAACAGAGATTTAAAGATTTATTATAGATTTTTAAAAAATATTCTTACCATATTTTGGAGACTCACTTATTTCTTTAATTATCAGAAATATATAAATTGTAGATAAATTTGATCAGTTATTTTTAATAATCAAAATTCTGTTTTCTGGCTATTAGATTTTGGTATTATAGACAGATTCTAAGCTTCTAATTAGTATATGTTTTAATATAAAATAACCTATAATTTTTCTTAATATTATATATCTTCAGTCAACACTAGAGCGTGATTTTTCTTTTCAGACAGTTCTGTGTATATGCTTAAACTATATTTTATTCAACTGTATTATGTAGTAATTAGTAGAGGCAACAAGCCAACATCAAATCAAAATGTAATAGATGAAATAAGATGTGTGCAAAGGCACCTCGAAGACTCAATGTTATACAAACCAGAAGCAGAGAAGAAGCAGAATTAGAATGGATGGTCACATAGTGCTCTGCAAGCCTCAGATTAAATAATACTATAAAATGAGGAAGGAAAGAAAGGGATAACAGAAGGAAACTAACATTTATGAATACCTACTACAGGTTAGACCCTGCAGGGTGATTTCATGTGGGATCTCATTTCCTAATTATAACAACAACTGCTTGATCTTTGCCTAGTTGTTTTGAGGGTTCTGCCTGCCTGGACTTCTGTTTTATATTTTCTACCTCTTGAGTCTTCCAAGCTCTCTTCAAAGTAATAGATAATAAAATAAATATAAAACAATAACAGCAGCAGCAGCTACATTTGTTGAATGCTCAGGCACTATTCTGAGCACTTTATCTTTATAATACTATTTAATCCTCACAACACTTTTATGAGGTAGACATTACTATTATCTTCATTTTACACGAGACAATGAAGGCACAGAAAAGTTAAGTGAAGTGACCAAGGTCCTACTTGAAATTGTCCGAGCCAGGATTCAAATTTGGGATTCAAACATTTTGCCAGATTTGCTTTACACAAATTATTTAAATTATTATAATTTAAATGATTTAAAGTCACCTAGAGAGTTAATATTGATGCTGAAATTAAACTCCAAGAATTTTGACAACAAATTCAGTACTCTTTCCATCACTTCATGCTGCTTTTCCTTGGAGCTAAAGGATGGGTTGAAAATAAAGCTACTAAATCCTACCAGAGATTTAAAGAATGATCATAGTGTTTTTTTTGTTTTTGAGATGGAGTTTCGCTCTTGTTGCCCAGGCTGGAGTGCAATGGTACGATCTCGGCTCACCACAACCTCCACCTCCTCGGTTCAAGCAATTCTCCTGCCTCAGCCTCCCGAGTAGCTGGGATTACAGGCATGTGCCACCAAGCCCGGCTAATTTTTTTTTGTATTTTTAGTAGAGACGGGGTTTCTCCATGTTGGTCAGGCTGGTCTCGAACTCCTGACCTCAGGTGATCTGCCTGCCTCGGCCTACCAAAGTGCTGGGATTACAGGCGTGAGTCACCGTGCCTGGCTGATCATAGGTGTTTTTTTTTAAGCATTCATATCTTATTTTGAAGACACTTCTTAACTGTTTAATATAAAGACATTATGATATTCACCATAAATATTTCGGCATCCAGTTGTTATTCATCTTCTAATAATAATGACAACTTCCTAAATAAGTACAATACACATTACCACACCTAAGAAAATTAACCATAATATCTCCCCTAATTGCCCCTCAAATTTATTTTATTTCTGTTTCCTCCAAAAATCAGGATTCAATTTAGGTTCATGTATTACACTTGGTCATCACATCTTGCTAGTGTCTTTTAGTCTAGAACAGTGCCCTAGCTCTTGTTTCTTTTTAGGGGGAGACAAGTTCAGGGTAGTTCTTTGTAGAATAACCTGTATTCTAGATTTACCTAGTTGTTTATTTCCTCTACTCTTAACCACTATACTATGATGTCAAGGGTTAAGATCACAGCTAAACCTAACACAAATCTCCAATCATATGTATTCATGTAGCTACTCAGATGGCTTTGGGGTGTTTCTTAAAACATTAATGGCTTTGTTATGTATCTAAGGCTATATAAACAAACCATTTTCTACTGTCCCTAAGATTATATAACTTCTTTTTCCTACGTAGATGACAAATTCAAATCTAAAGATGCCAAATGAAACTAGCTAATCATTTTAACTTTAAAGAAGTCCAGGCCGGGTGCGGTGGCTCACACCTGTAATTCCAGCACTTTGGGAGGCCGAAGCAGGTGGATCACGAGGTCAGGAGATGAGAGCCTCCTGGCCGACATGGTGAAACACTGTCTCTATTAAAAATACAAAAATTATCTGGGTGTGGTGGTGCATGCCTGTAATCCCAGCTACTTGGGAGACTGAGGCAGGAGAATCACTTGAACCAGGGAGTTGGAGGTTGCAGTGAGCCGAGATCATGCCACTGCACTCCAGCCTGGTGACAGAGCAAGACTCCATCTCAAAACAAACAAAAAAACCCAGAAGTCCAAAAGAGTCACTTGAGCTGGGGACTTCCAGGCTATAGTGAGCTATTACTGCACCTGGGCAACAGAACAAGACCTAGTCTTTAAAAAAAAAAAAATAAGAAGAAGAAGAGGAAGTACAAAGAAGATATAATAAATATCTTTAGAATTAGAAGAAAAGCACACTGGAAAAAAGATCCAGTTGAGATGGTTTTTTTTTAGGTGATTCAGAATACAGAAAGAAGTATGGAGGAAAAGTAGGGCTTCTATATTACGAAAGTGTCAACTTTTGTTAAAAGACCCTTTTGCAGAAGAAGTAATACATTTTCGTCAGTATGTGTCTGAAATTTTGCTATTTAGGCACTAAAACCAATTATATGCATGTATTAATAATGCAATACAAACAGCTGGATAAAAAAGCAAATCTTTTCATCTCAGGCTTGCAACTATTCACTTCCTTTAATCTGTAATCACCCCAAGGCACCAGCCCAGTATCACTGTGTACCACTTCTAATCAATAATTCCCTTCCCCACCCCCTGCCGACCACCCATAGTAACCACAAACCTATCTTCATGATAATCCCTTGTTTTTCTTTATAGCTTTACTACCTAAGCATATATCCATAAACAATATAGTTTAGTTTTCCCTGCATTTGTACTTTATATGAATGGAACAATACCATATGTATTCTTTTAATCTTACACCAATGTAGATTTCAGAATTCACCTGTTATTAAAAATATCTAAGCTGGGTATGGTGGCTCATTTCTGTAATCCCAACACTTTGGGAGGCGAACTCAGGAGGACTGCTTCAGCGAAGAAGTTCAAGACCAGCCTGGGCAACATATGGAGACCTTGTTTTTATTAAAATTTAAAAAAACAGAAGGGCGGGTGCGGTGGCTCACGCCTGTAATCCTAGCACTGTTGGAGGTCGAGGCAGGTGGATCACTTGAGGTCAGGAGTTCCAGACCAGCCTAGCCAACATGGTGAAATGCTGTCTCTACTAAAAATACAAAAATTAGCTGGACGTGGTAGCATGTGCCTGTAATCCCAGCTACTCGGGAGGCTGAGGTAGGAGAATTGCTTGAACCTGGGAGGCGGAGGTTGCAATGAGCCAAGATCGCGCCATTGCACTCCAGCCTAGGTGACAGCGACTCTGTCTCAAAAAAAAAAAAAAAAAAAAATTAAAGAAGAAAAAAAAATCAGAGCCAGATTAATTTTAGAGGGCTGTTAAAACAGTTTTAAGGTTCAAAATAATACAGGGAACGTTAAATAGTCATTTTAATTTGTCAGTAAAGACCGGTAAAGGGTTTATCACCTAGGAAGAGTTAACTGCACTGAATGGGAAAGTATATTCAACCAGAACAAATAAAATATTCTTCAAAGGAAATACAGTGAACAAAAGTACATGTTGTTCCTTAGCATGAACTAGTTAATCCTTTCTGAGTTAAAATGTCTCAAGAGGACTTGTTTATTTAACATTTACATGCTGAATACTGTCTGTCATGTAACTGGGATTATCAGCTATCCATTCAATACCTAGTTAAAATAGTAGGAAGCAGACAGGATGTACAGCTAGAGGATATGTGATGTCAGCAGAGTGTTATTCCTTAAAAAGAATGTACACCCTAACTCACAAACTCAAGTTCTGAACCGTGTTCAGTGCATTTTCAGGAAGTAACAATAAATTAGCTAACATTCATGGCATTTACAGTGTCTGAGGAACTGTTCTACGTGTTTGACTTATATGCCCAAATAATCCTCACAACTATATAAAGTAGGTACTATTAATTTCCTCATTTTATAGATGTGACAACTGATATAAATGGGTTAAGTTCCCCAAGATCAACTTGTACTAGCAAGTAGTACAGAGAACTGTTCAACCTAGGCAATCTCATTTTAAAGTTCATATTCTTACCCATGACAATATACTGCCTCACATGAACTGAGGGCTCTTGTACTTCTGCAAGAACTAAATCTCAAATATAAAATACTAAATATTTTCTAGTTATCAGCAGAAGAATGTATCAAAGTTACATTACATAACAAAGATTTTTTTTTTTTTTTTTTGAGACAGAGTCTCGCTCTGTGCCCAGGCTGGAGTGCGGTGGCGCAATCTCAGCTTATTGCAACCTCTGCCTTCCAGGTTCAAGCGATTCTCCTGTCTCAGCCTCCCGAGTAGTTGGGACTACAGGCACAAGCCGCCTCTCTCCACTAATTTTTGTATTTTTTAGTAGAGACACGTTTTCACCATGCTGGCCAGGCTGGTCTCGAACCGTTGACCTCAGGTGATCTACCCGCCTCGGCTTCCCAAAGTGCTGGGATTACAGGTGTGAGCCACCGTGCGCAGCCTAATGAAGACTTTTTGAATCACAATTTTGCACTGTTCAGTCTCAAACATTTACTAAGTGTCTATTATATAGAGATGCCAGACACTAAGGCACTGAGGATACAATCCGGCCAACCCGGTGGCTCAGGCCTGTAATCTCAGCACTTTGGGAAGCCAAGGCCAGAGGATTGCTTGAGCCTAGGAGTTTGAAATTAGCCTGGGCAACATAGGGAGACCTCATCCCTACAAAAAAAAAAAAAATTAGCCAGCGTGGTGGCACGTGCCTATAGTCCCAGGTCCTCAGGAGGCCAAGGTGGGAAGACCACTTGAGCCTAGGAGGTTATGGCTTCAGTGAGCTATGATCATGCCATTGTACTCCAGCCTGGATGACACAGCAAGATACTGTCTCAAAAAAAAAAAAAAAAAAAAGCAAAAGCACTCATATGTTACATTTATTCATCTATTAAATATTTACTGTACACATACTATATGAAGGGTATTACACTAGGCAATGTGGCATTCATCCAAATGAATCTGAATCAGATCTTGCTCTCAATGATTCTACAGTCTAGAAAGGGATATTAAAGAGAGTCATAATTAGTTCACTCAATCCTCAAAAGACTAATAAAGTGGATATTTATCTAATTTGCTAAAAATTGGAAAGTTAAAGGAGTTGGAAAAGAGAAGTTATTTCCAGTTGGTAAAATCAGAAAAGAGTTCTTGGAAGTGACTTTTGAGCTAAGCGTTAAAGGAGTAGTAAAATTATGTGGATAGAGATGAATAAAGTACAATAGCAAAAATTTAAAAATAAATAAATAGATCAATAAATAAAAATAAAAGTATACTAGCAGAGGAAATTGCATGACCAAAGTATGAAGGCAGGAAACAGTGGTGAACCATCAGTATGTAAAAGGCACAGGGGAATAACAAGATAAAAAGTTGAAAATATAAACTGGGGCCAGATGATGAAAACCTTTTTGTTTTTGTTTTTAGTATAATCTCCACTTTATCTTTTTCCAGAAGATAGTTTTTCTTCAGTCCTTAAGGAGTCGGCTCCTTATACGGACTTTGGTGGAGGTCATGGGGCAGCACTCAAAAGTCTAAGTCAGGTAGACATGTTTGGTCCTTGCAGGCTTTACAAGTTCGATTCTTGACTACCTTTCTGCGAATGGCACAACTCATGTAGTTATGTAGCTTCACATACAGCTTTGGAAGCACATAGGTGCCCAAGGTACTTGTTTCAGAAATGTCCCTGATAGCTGTGGGCTCGACTATGTTTCAAATAATGAACTTTATTTTTTTTTCCTTTTTTTGAGACAGGGCCTCACTATGTCACCCAGGCTGGAGTGCAGTGGCACAATCTTGGCTCACTGCAACCTTTGCCTCCTGAGCTCAAGTGATCCTTCCACCTAAGCCTCCCAAGTAGCTGGGACCACAGGTGTGCACCACAACGCTGGGCTAATTTTTGTACTTTTTTTTGTAGCGATAGGGTTTTGCCATGTTGCCCAGGCTGGTCTCAAACTCCTGGGCTCAAGTGATCCTCCCGTCTCAGCCTCCCAAAATGCTGGGATTACAGGTGTGAACCACCACACCCAGCCTCAAATGATGAACTTCTTAAAAGGCTTGTCCCTGGGCATACATCATGCACAGTTCATGCAGCAAATAGGCTGCATAAGGCAGTAGCCCTTTTAGACACAACAGTTGTTCCTTCTTGGAAACGAGGACCTGAGAGAGCCATGGAAACCTCTGTCAAGTTAAAAACATTCTACACACAATGGGATTCTCTGCAGATAGCTGAAAAAGAGGATGACATAATCAGAGTGTGTTTTAGAAAGAATAATTGGCTAGGTGTGGTGGCTCATACCTATAATCCTAGCACTCTGGTAGCTGGAGGCGGGAGGATCACTTGAGGCCAGGAGTTCAAAACCAGCCTGGGCAACATCGTGAAATCCCATCTCTGTAAAAAACAAACAAACAAAAACAACAACAACAAAAAAATTAGCTGGCTGTGCTGGCATGTGCTTATACTCCCAGCTACTTAGGAAGCTGAGCCATGACTGTGCCATTGCATTCCAGCCTGAGTGACAGAGTGAGACCCCATCTTAGGAAAAAAAAAAAAGAAAAAAAGAAAGAAAAATTGTCTTAAGAGTGTAAAACAGATTGTGAGACAGGATGGAATATAATGACAGACATGAAGACAGAATGAAGGAAACAGCTTCTAAAAAGTAGAGGAACAGAAGAGAGAGCTACTCTTCAGTATGTGTACCGTTTTGCTCTCTAGATTTTTCTGACAGGTACCTTTTTTTTTTTTTTTTTGAGATGGAGTCTCGTTCTGTCACCCAGGCTGGAGTGCAATGGTACCATCTCAACTCACTGCAATCTCCGCCTCCCGGGTTGAAGCAATTCTCCCACCTCAGCCTTCCAAGTAGCTGGAACTACAGGCGTGCGCCACCACGCCTGGCTAATTTTTGTATTTTTACTAGAGACAGGGTTTCACCACGTTGGCCAGACTGCTCTCGAACTCCTGACCTCAAGTGATCTGCCCGTCTTGGCCTCCCAAAGTGCTGGGATTACAGGCATGAGCCATGGTGCCTGGCCTCTGACAGGTACATTTTAAAAAATAAATGGATTTCTGCTTGCAGGAAGATGGAGTAGACATACTTTTTCCTATTACTCTATGGACATTATATATAAAATAAACATAAGAAGACTCTGAGAAATGAAGAGGAAGACTGACTGGCCAGGCACCTTGGGACCCAAGGAACAACACAGTAGTGAGCTCTTTGGGTGTTTTGTTTGTTTATTTTGCCATATATATCCCAAAGTGGATACTAGAGAAGCTAGCAACCTGGAAATGTCAAAGGTGCAGATAAAAAAAGCTCCAAGAAAAAACAAAAGACCGGCTGGGTGCAGTGGCTCACGCCTGTAATCTCAGCACTTTGGGAGGCTGAGGCAGGCGGATCGCTGGAGCTGAAAAGTTTGAGACCACCCTGGGCAACATGGTGAAACTCCGTCTCTACTAAAATACAAAAAATTACCTGGGCGCGGTGGAGTGTGCCTGTAGTCCCAGCTACTCTGAGGCTGAGTAGCTACTCTGAGGCTGAGTAGCTACTCTCAGGCTGAGGCTGGAGAGTCGCTTGAGCCCTGGAGGCAGAGGTTGCAGTGAGCCGAGATCATGCCACTGTACTCCAACCTGGGAGACAGTGAGACTCCACCTCAAAAAAAAAAGAAAGAAAAGAAAAACCAAAGGACCAGAAAAAGAGACAGCCTAGCAAGATGTAAGACTTTTAGACAATAACCCACTCTATTCCAGCCAAACACCACATAAAAAACCAGCCCCATTTCCACTCCCACCCTCACCAGGAAAGGCCAAATGGAGAGCCTTGATTTTTAAGCCTGTCAGGTTATAATCCGGCCATATCTCTCTCCACACCAGGGTGGTATCAGAGAAGACCAAGTAGGGAGCTGGGATTGTCATCATTGTCTAGCAGTAACAAGTCTCTCCCCCTCTCTTAACATGCTGTCAGAGGAGTCCATTTGGGGAACTTGGACTTCAAACCCAAACAGCACTTATGAGGCACCCCTCCTGCTCCTTGCCGAGGTACTACCAGAGGAAGCCTGCTGGAGACTCAGGATTAACACCACTCAGTGGTATATCGGAGGTAACAAAGCCACCCACAACCCTCATCTCCTTTACCCGCCCAACCCCCTGCACAGGGTGGGGTGGGGTGGGGTGGGGTGGGGTGGGGTGGGGTGGGGTGGGGTGAGGTGGGGTGGGAAGCAAGCATGAGGTGTCCATTTCCTTCCCAGCAAGCAAGGTACAAAACTTAACCCTTCTCCACCTGGCACTATGGAGATGGTGTCTGTAGAAGGGCCAATATCCCTCACGAATATAGATGCAAAAATACTTAACCAAATATTAGCAAACAGAATTCAGCAATATATAAAATTAATTATATATCATGACCAAACAGGGTTCATTCCAGGGATGCAAGGCTGGTTCAATATTTGAAAATCAAACAACGTAACTCACCATGTTAACCTGCTAAAGGAGAAAAAACACAGGAGCATATAAATAAAAAAAGCATCTAACAAAATTTTTATCGCAAATACCCATTTATAATACAAATTGTCAGAAAACTGCTAACAGAGGAGGATTTTTTGGGGAAGGGGTAAGAGACGGGGTCTTGCTATGTTGCCCAGGCTAAACTCCACGGCTCAAGCATCCATTCCTGTCAGCCTCCCAAAGTGCTGGGGTGCTGGGTTTACAGGAGAGAGCCACAGTGCCCAGCCAAGAATTTTTTTTTTTTTTTTTTGAGACAGAGTCTCCGTCTATCATTCAGTCTGGAATGCAGTGGCATAATCTCAGCTCACTGCAACCTCTGCCTCCAGGGTTCAAGTGATTCTCATGCCTCAGCCTCCCAAGTAGCTGGGATTACTGGTGCCCCCACCACGCTCAGCTAATTTTTCTATTTTTTTTCTGGAGACAGGGTTTTGCCATGTTGGCCAAGCTGGTCTCGAATGCCTGACCTCAGGTGATCTGCCTGCCTCGGCCTCCCAAAGTGCTGAGATTACAGGCGTGAGCCACTGCGCCCAGCCTATAATTATTTCAAAATAAAAACTGAGAAAATTTTAAAAGAAGCACAATGTCCCAAAAAATAGCAAATATGGTATATGTGTATATTTTTAAATAAATAAATATCAAACTAGTAATATTTACTCCTTGAATGGGCCCTTTCACTGTCTACATTAAAAATTTCTAAAATTTCTATATTCCATACAATAAGAATGTAATACTTATAATCAGAGAGAAAAGGTTTTTTTAAGAAAATGATGTGATATGATTTTGAAAAAAGAAAGAAAATGAAAGCAGTATTATTTTTCACTGTTTGAAGCAAATCTCATTTAAACAGATATAAATAGAAAATTAAGAAAGTCGCTGGGCATGGTGGCTTACTCCTGTAATCCCAGCACTTTGGGAGGCCAAAGAGGGTGGATCACTTGAGGTCAGGAGTTCAAGACCAGCCTGGCCAACATGGTGAAATGCTGTCTCTATTAAAAATACAAAAATTAGCTGGGCATAGTGGTGGATGCCTGTAATCCTAGCTACTTGGGAGGCTGAGGCAGGAGAATCGCTTGAACCTGGGAGGCAGAGGTTGCAGTGAGCCAAGATCGCACCACTGCACTCCAGCCTGGGCGACAAAGTGAGACTCAGTCAAAAAAAAGAAGAAAAAAAAATTAAGAAGGTCAATTAAATTCAATTATTAACCCATATATGCATATACACACTAAGTATATGCATGAGGCAACCAGCAAAACCAGGAAGTCCCAGAAAAGATCTGATCCAGTTCCATGACCCATTAACAGTGTGATGTTGGAAACAGCTTAACCTTTATCTCATAAGGGATCCAGAGATTACAAACAGAAAGTAATTTGAAACATTAAACGTGTTGTGTTTTGTAAATCAGGATGACAGAGTTCTTAGGTTAGAAATGGAAGTGACCTGAGAGATCTAGTACAATTCCTCAATTTACAGCTGAAGAAACTAAGGCTAGAGAGTTAAGCTTCAGATAAATAAGCTATTTGCCAACAACATCTGATATACAGCCCAGAAAGTAAAGAGTACTGGCTCTAGAATTAAACTGCCTAGGTTCAAACTGAGGATTTACCACTCACAGTTATGTGACCCTGCAGAAGTTACATAACTTTCTTGGGCCTCACTGTCTTTATCTGTAAAATGAGGAGAATTCCTACTTCATAGGCTTGTTGTGAAGATTGCATGGAATTATACATGTAATGCACTTACAATAATGCACTTATAATAATGCTTAGCAAACAGAAACTGCTCAAAAGTCCGGGTGTGGTGGCTCCCGCCTATAATCCCAGCACTTTGGGAGGCCGAAGTGGGTATATCACTGAGGTTAAGACTTCAAGACAAGCCTGGTCAACATAAAACCCCACCTCTACTAAAAATACAAAAATTAGCCAGGTGTGGTGGTGCACGACAGTAGTCCCAGCTACTCGGGAGGCAGAGGCAAGAGAATCGCTTGAACCTGGGAGGCGGAGGCTGCAGTGAGCTGAGATTGCACCACTGCACTCCAGCCCAGGCAACAGAGTGAGATTTCGTCTCAAAAAAAAAAAAAAAAAAAAAAAAGATGGAAATTACTTTTCAACATAACAACGTAATTAAGCTACATAAACTGAGAAACAATAATATAAAATAGAGGTTCTAGTTACTCAATGCATTGCTCTACACATCAATATGCACTGCTCATATAACGACTTAACATAAAATTTAACTATTAATAAATATTTCCACAGGAGCATACCACTCACCAACATTTTAAAAAGTATGACGCTGGCCGGGCGCGGTGGCTCACGCCTGTAATCCCAGCACTTTGGGAGGCTGAGGCGGGCGGATCACGAGGTCAGGAGATAGAGACCATCCTGGCTAACACGGTGAAACCCCATCTCTACTAAAAATACAAAAAATTAGCTGGGCATGGTGGCAGGCGCCTGTAATCCCAGCTACGGGAGGCTGAGGCAGGAGAATGGCATGAACCTGGGAGGCGGAGCTTGCGGTGAGCCGAGATCGTGCCACTGCACTCCAGCCTGGGCAATAGAGCGAGACTCCATTTCAAAAATAAATAAATAAAATAAAATAAAAAGTATGTCAGTGATGTAACTGATTACTGTTGATACCTGAAAGCACTTCTGTACAGTTTGGGAATTGGGAAACTTCCTAAAGTGATAGGCACTAAAAACTAGAAAGACACAGCTATTCCACTGGGCTTAATTATACCAACACACAAGAGACCAAAATAGCCTCTAATCCATCACTGGACAATCTTTACTTTTTTTGAGACAGTGTCTCACTCTGTCGCCCAGGCTGGAGTGCAGTGGTACAATCTCGGCTCACTGCAACCTCCACCTCCCAGGTTAAACCGATTCCCTTGCCTCGGCTTCCCGAGTAGCTGGGATTACAGATGCGCGCCACCACGCCCAGCTAATTTTTTTGTATTTTTAGTAGAGACGAGGTTTCACCATGTTGGCCAGGCTGGTCTTGAACTCCTGACCTCAGGCAATCCGCCTGCCTCGGCCTCCCAAGGTGCTGAGATTACAGGAGTGAGTCACCGTGCCCAGCTAACAATATTTAAAATACAGAGAATATATCAACAAAATGAAACCTTTACAATATGCTTACTTTTACAGAAGCAAAATCCATGTTCAGATGGTGATTACAGTGACTTAAACATGCTGGATTTTTCTTGTAGTTTCACTTCTCACGTGTGCGCACGTGTGTGTGCATGTGTGTGCAGAAAATCATCAAAAATATTGGAGTACAACCAGCTGAAGCAACTGTCCTCTATTCTAAATTCTGTGATTGTATTTAAAAGCCCTACATTCAAATGCCCCTAAAGGAATTCACAACTGATAAAACTTGACTCATAAATACAATATGTGCTATTTGTATAAATTATTATTGATTCACGCCTGTAATCCCAGCACTTTGGGAAGCCAAGGCGGGCAGGTCACCTGAGGTCAGGAGTTCGAGACCAGCCTGACCAACATGGAGAAACCCCGTCTCTACTAAAAATACAAAAAAATTAGCTAGGCATGGTGGTGCACCCCTGTAATCCCAGCTACTCAGTAGGCTGAGGCAGAATTGCTTGAACCCAGGAGGCGGAGGTTGCAGCGAGCTGAGATCGCACCACTGCACTCCAGCCTCAGTAACAAGAGCGAAACTCCGTCTCAAATTAAAAAAAAAAAACAAATCATTACTGATTTAGTTTACAAAATTTAAAAGTTAAACAGCTTCCAAATGATGTATAAAACGTAAAAAAATTAAGATCCATATCCCAAGATAAACACTGAGGAAGAGACTTCAAACATTATATAAAGCTAGAGTTAATAAATTTTTCTTAGGGCAATTATATATTATAGATGCACTGAAGCTGAAATACAGCTAAATCAAATACATTTAGCTTATCTAATATCCACATAATAAAGACTACATGTTTGCAGATCCATAAACCAGAACATAAAAACAATTCTTATGAAAGCAAAAAGCCTAAACTATGATGTAGGAGGATAAGGTTTAATTTGGGCATATATGGCTAAACTTTGTGATTAATAACTCTGTAGTTTATAGTATTTGGGATTATCCAACTTTTTTCCATACTATTTTAAAATTTTTACCATAAATGAAAACATTTTCATTCAGCAAACAAAAACTACTCTTTTCTCTTTATACTTATAGAAAGATATTTTTCTTTTTCTTTTTTGAGACGGAGTCTTGCTCTGTCGCCCAGGCTGGAATGCAGCGGCGTGATCTCAGCCCACTGCAGCCTCTGCCTCCCAGGTTCAAACAATTCTCCTGCCTCTGCCTCCCAAGTAGCTGGGACTATAGGGGCACACCACCACACCTGGCTAATTTTTATATTTTTAGTAGAGACAGCATTTCACCATGCTGGCCAGGCTGGTCTCGAACTCTGATCTCAAGTGATCTGCCTGCCTCACCCTCCCAAAGTGCTGGGATTACAGGCGCAAGCCACTGTGCCCAGCCTATTTTGCATTTTCTTAGCAAGCACAGGGTATTGTTTCCAAAACATCGATAAAATCTGCAATAATTACAAAACAGTTTCAAAGACCTTGCACTAACTCCTACCATCCATTTTGAAACTCTTTAGTGGTGATTTTCTGTTTTGTTATGTCCCACTTCTGAGCAGTAGAATTTAGGGCAGCATCTTTAAAAGAATTAAATTCCCTCCTCAGTTACATCATCATTCTCTTGGCTGCACTTCAGTTCTTGGACTTTTTTGCTGCTCTAACCGTGAACTCTTATAATTTCACTCAAAAAAAGTTGTCATATATACCAAATAACATCTTTTTCTGGTTCCAAATAGCCTTTAAACTAACTTCTACTATCAGGCTGCACCAAGTTATCTACACCAAATCCAGAACTGTCTCCCCTCAATGAGTAAGAATCTGACAGATATTACCGTCCATTTTATATTCTCAGTTATACCAAAAATTTTTCCACGATGATAGGACTTTGGTGATAAATTTGGTAAAGGGTTCCTGACCTGGCTGCAATGCCACAGCAAACCAGTAAAGAAGCTAAGTATCTAAAATTCTAATTTTTATTCTAACCAGGCTAGCAGTTTAACATATCAATTTGGTAAAATCTTTTTTGTTTGTTTGTTTGTTTGAGAAAGCATTTCACTCTTGTAGCCCAGGCTGGAGTATAATGGCGCAATCTCGGCTCACTGCAACCTCTGCCTCCTGGGATCAAGCAATTCTCCTGCCTCAGCCTCCCAAGCAGCTGGGATTACAGGTACGTGCCACCACGCCCAGCTAATTTTTTTGTACTTTTAGCAGAGAAAAGGTTTCACCATGTTGGCCAGGGTGGTCTTGAACTCCTGACCTCAAGTAAGCCACCCACCTTGGCCTCCCAAAGTGCTAGGATTACAGGTGTGAGCCATCACGCCCACCCTTTTTTTTTTTTAAGATAGGGCCTCACTCTTTACCCAGGCTGGAGTGCAGTGGCGCAATCACAGCTTACTGCAGCTTTGACCTCCTGGGCTCAGGTGATCCTCCCACCTCAGCCTCCTGAGTTCTGGGACTATAGGTGCACACCACCACACCCGGCTAATTTTTGTATTTTTAGTAGAGACGAGGTCTCACTATGTTGCTCAGGCTGGTCTCAAACTCCTGGGCTCAAGGGATCCACCCACCTCAGCTTCCCAAAGTGCTGGGATTACATGCATGAGTCACCCCACCCAGCTGGTAAAATCTTTATTTTTAAATATGCTACACTGGCAGGCTGCGGTGGTTCACGCCTGTAAACCCAACTTTGGGAGGCCAAGGGGGGTGGATGCCTTGAGCCGAGGAGTTCAAAACCAGCCTGAGCAACATAGTGAGACCTCGTCTCTACTAAAAACACAAAAAATTAGCCGAGCATGGTGGCACGCGCCTGTAATCCCAGCTACTGGGGAGGCTGAGGTGGGAGAATTGCTTGAACCCGGGAGGCGAAGGTTGCTATGAACTGACATCACGCCACTGCACCAGGCTTCGGCAACGAAGTGAGACTCTGTCTCTAAATAAATAAATAAATATGCTACATCCAAAATCTAATCAATATAATGGAAAATGAGAAACTGGCTCAAGACTTCAAACTCCATTAAATATTGTGAAAATGGATTGGATTTGCAGCCAAATTTTAATGTATGGTTTTGGAAATCTCTGGCTTTCATGCTAATATTATATTGATGGAACTGACATCAATTCCATTTAATCTCAAAGTTCCAAACTAAAACAGATTTGCAAGTATTTCCAAAAACTCAGTGACACCAGTTAACCTATAGGAAGGCCCTAAATTAGCAGAATCCATGGTTCTCACCTCCAACTAGAATTTATCTGTCAAAAATTTCAAGACAACAGAACAAGTATCAAGATAACAGATACTCATGTTACTACCTCTTGTCCTCTGCCACAACTCATAAGCTTAACTAAATGCACTTCAAAAATTTAAGACACTCACACCTGTAATCCTAGCACTTTGGGAGGCTGAGGTGGGAGGACTGCTCGAGGCCAGGAGCTCTAAACCAGCCTGGTCAACATAGCTGATACCCCATCTCTACAAAAGAAAAATTTAAAAAAATTAGCCAGGTGTGGTGGCACACGCCTATAGTCCCAGCTACTCAGAAAGCTGAGGCAGGAGGACTGCTTGAGCCCAGGAGTTCAAGGCTGCATAAGCCATGATCGCGCCACTGTATTCCAGCCTGGGAGACAGTGAGACCCTATCTTTAAAAAAAAAAAACTACCAAAAAATACTTAGACAAATATAAATATAATTCACTGCCCTGCCCCACAACACTCTTTTCTGAGGTACATATCATAAAACATTGTTTTATGGTGAAACACTGTGGTGAAACTATTATAACCAAGTTTTTCTTAGTTAATAGTCTTTTTTTTTTTTTTTTTTTGAGACGGAGTCTCGCTCTGTTGCCCAGGCTGGAGTGCAGTGGTGTGATCTCCGCTCACTGCAAGCTCCGCCTCTCGGGTTCATGCCATTCTCCTGCCTCAGCCTCCTGAGTAGCTGGGACTACAGGCGCCTGCCACGAGGCCCGGCTAATTTTTTTGTATTTTTAGTAGAGACGGGGTTTCACCGTGTTCGCCAGGATGGTCTCGATCTCCTGGCCTCGTGATCCGCCCGCCTCGGCCTCCCAAAGTGCTGAGATTACAGGCGTGAGCCACCGTGCCCGCAGTATGTTACATTCTATAGTATTGTGAGGACCCAATAACAGAACATTTCAATACGGAAACATGAAGTCACTGAACTCAGCTAAAGGTTAGGCTTCAGATCTGTGATGATGGTACTGTGTGTATGGGAGGAGGGGGTTCAGGAATATTCACATCACAGGTCTGTTACAAATCCATACCCACACATTCATATGGCAAATTACCAGGAAGCAACAGCGGTAGCATGTAAACACCAATCTGTTTTCCCAGTGTGCCTGGCCCATGCTCTCCTATTTTTAGTTAACATCTTGATTTCTCAAGGCCAAGAAAACCACAAGACCTAAAGTAAGCATCACTGTCCTGATGATATCTGTTGTCAAATGGCTTTCTCTGTTCTTGCCCTACTATTAACCCCTCAATGTGTTACATCATACCCTTAGAGCAAAACAAAAACAAGAACAAAAACTGGTTCCAAAAGAATTCCCAAAATCACATGTAAGCAAGTATTAAAGATACGGCATTTTGCAAATAAGTAACTCTTTATTTGTAAACAAATATAAATACATGAGACGTGAAAATAATCAAGGCTCTCCCCTGTCATCTCTGCAAATAAGTAAAACATTTAATCTAATCTGGGAATGAAATAGTATAGTCCTCCTCTATAACCTAAATCCCTTAAAAGAATTTTGATTAGCTCATACTGTATTTTTTCACCAAATACCACAATCATTCAAAAGAGCTTCATAGGTAATTTAGCAGAATATGCAATTGTATTCATATCTCGTATAAATCAGTTTGATGTCCAAAGAGAATCAAAGCTACAGAAGCTTTAAAATTAAAAAGTGAATTCAATCTTAGTTCATTAACAATCCACTGGCATATGAAAAATGAAGGGGGTAGAATCTGAAGACAGGAAAGATTTCCATCCATAAATTAACGGGCATGCTAGGTACACCCAACAATTAACACCATATATTACATCAGGCCTGGAAGTAAAAATCTTGAAAGAATAGCTTGTTAACATGGCATTCTTATAAAACAATAATAATACTATTCATGGAAACATCTGTGATTTAAGTTTCTCAAAAAAAGTGTTCAAATTTCAATTCTTAGAAAAGCCATGAAAATGTCTTAATCAGTAACAGCAAAGTTTTGAAGAAGTATTGAGGATCTAATGATTAACAAAATAAAAAAATGTTTATAAGCAACTGTGCAATGTGAATAAGCTTTTGCAGAAGGGGGGTTATGGTACTGAAATCAAAACTGATTTACCTAAATATGTCTGCATATTCTGCCATCGCAGTCATGATGGCTTCTTCTGCCTTAGAGAAACCGATTTTTTTTTTTTTTTTGAGACATATCACTCTGTTGCCCAGGCTGGAGTGCAGTGGTGTGATC
Organism: Homo sapiens; assembly: GCF_000001405.40. NCBI lineage: Eukaryota > Metazoa > Chordata > Mammalia > Primates > Hominidae > Homo > Homo sapiens. Next base: position 75,114,286 of record NC_000010.11, on the reverse strand, counting down.
TCAGCTCACAACCTCTGCTTCCCGGGTTCAAGAGATTCTCCTGCCTCAGCCTCCTGAGTAGCTGGGATTACAGGTGTGAGCCACCACACCTGATTAATTCTTTTTATAGTATTAGTAGAGATGGGGTTTTGCCATGTTGGCCAAGCTGGTCTTGAACTCCTGACCTCAAGTGATCTGCCTGCTTCGGCCTCCTAAAGTGGTGGGATTACAGGAGTAAGCCACCACACCTAGCCAAAAACTGATTTTCTTTATTCAATGGGTGTGAGAACTGACAAAGGGAAACAAAAATTAAAAAACTATTAGACATGCTAATATGTTAATTGTACAACTCCATCTAACAGTTTCTCTTTAATTTTGCAATAACATTAAGCTGTAATCTTAATAGAGTTCTTATATTGCAGTTCAGCAAATTTTTACATGCCATGACTTTTATTCACAACTAAGTATGAAGATAAGGTCTCCAGAGGATCTCACTCTAAAGATAAAACCAACAAACAGTAATATTACATAAACTTCAACTGAAGATAATTTGTATTAAGTTAAAGAAAAGGGAATTAATACTTTAACAATCTCAGCATTTTTAGCTAAGAATTCACATATCCTTTGAAGAAACAATTACTATTCCACTGTGCATCTGAGGGTATGTCACATAGCCCATACACATAAACTAATTTAAAAGCTGTTGCAAATCAAATTATCATCTCATGAAGATTAAACAGTAGATATCCATTTAGATTTAATCAAGCATTTAGAAAACGCTTGATGCTAACAAAAATTAGCCAGCCATGGTGGCGCCCACCTGCAGTCCCAGCTACTCCCAGCTACTTGGGAGGCTGAGGTGGGAGGATCACTTAAGCCTGGGCAACACAGCGAATCTCTGTCTCAAAAAAAAAAAAGAAAGGAAAGAAAAGAAAAGAAGGAAGAGAAAAGAAATGGCCAACAACTTTACAAACCTATAATCACATAAAAAGTTGTAAAACATATGAGACATGTGGCTAAAGTCAAAGACTTCATGGAACCATGTTATGACTTAACAATCACAAAAGGAAGTCAATTTATCTCTACTAAAGTGAATATAAATATTGCAATCATTCTTTTTCTGGCATAATTATGTTTTGGAACTATGTCTTCTATAAAAAGCATCTGTATACCCACCTGTCCCAGTTGTGTTGGCTGCCAACTACAAGCATCCTCTGTCCTTATTTTTCCAAATCACTCTACTAAAAATACTATTCACACAATACCTGCAAAATAGTATTTCAATATTGGTTTTGCCAATCAGTCAAAGGTACCTCTCCAATTTTCAAGAGATAAGTCCAATCCTGGGGTTATCAGTGAGAGGAAGATTTGGTATTGCGCCTAGACTGTGGCAAGTTCACTGTGCCCCCTTCACCCAGAAACTTGCATTGACCATACATTTACTATGTGGCAAATACATGTGTCAACTTAAAACTTTGAAAGTGGAACCAGTCCATGTTGAGTATCTGTAAAATCCAAGTGTCCAAATTCTTGTTTCAAGTTTAATTTTTAAAATCTGAGTATCCAAAGTCTTGTTTCAAGTTTTTAAAACTTAAAGGTAATATAGTAAATTTTTAGGATCTTAACATGTCTGGTATTTAAACTTAGCTACGAAAAAATTACAATGAAAAAAAGGACACCATTACTGTCAATAAATCCAAATGATATCTTCATTTTCAGAATCACGTCTTCCACTACCTTCTTCAAACATCACTTCCTCTCCACTACTTCCCCCAGTCCTTTAGGCAAATCAGTGATTCACACCGCCCCTTCCACCCAAGATTCTTAAAATGATCCACTGTGCACGAACGAGAAAGCCCCACGATCCAAGTACATTGCCCTAGTGATCTTTGATGTTTTAAAAGGCACCTGTAAAAATGCCAAAGCCCAAAATTAGATCCCCAAGGGCTCCTTTTCTTTCTTGACCACACTTCTCTTTTTCAGTGCCTCCCTCACCCCTTGAGGCCAGACGATTTCCCATCCAACAGCCCTCCTCCTTCTAGTCAAACCTAAATCCTGCCCTCCATCACCACCAGCCCCACCCGGGGTGGGAGGCGGATAAGAGGGCTCCGTAAGAGGAGAACCCCATGAGAGGGCTCCAGTCCCAGCCCCGATCGCCCTCCCTCGCCCTGGGAAGGGAACACCGGCCCAGGTCTTGCTCCTCTGACTCCTCATCCCCGCTGCCAAACCCAGAGCATCTCTTCTTCCGGGTCCACATTCCCGCAGGACCTTCGATCTTTTTCCCCCACTGCGCAGCTTTCAAAAGCCCCCAAGCTCTGGGCTCTTCAAGCCTCCCCCTCTCGCTCTCTCCCTCTCGTTCCTCGGCCTCCACTTATCCCTCAGCCTTCAGGCCCTCAGTTCGACAACCTCCATTTGCTTCAGATTCCATTCCAGAGCTGACTATCCCGGTTCCCTCAACCGTCTCCCCGGGGCCCCTCCAGGTCGCGGTCCCTCGGCAGCCCCCGGCTCCATCCCAGACTCCCCACTCACCCTTGGCAGCAGGCGCCCCCCAAGCTCCCCTCTCCTCAGCCTCAGCTCCCGCTCACCTCCGCGGTCCGAGTCGGGCTCCCCGGACCCACCTCCGAGTCGGCGTCCGAGCCGCCGTCGGAGTCCGGGGCCCTCCCCGCCTCGCCGGAGTGAAGCGCCTCAAGCGGCGGGGGCGGAGCCCGGGGCGGGGAGCCGGAGTGGAGGCGGGGGCGGTGGCGACTGCGCGCAGGCATCGTCCCGGCCGCCGTCACCGCCGCGCCGGCAGCTGCTCGGAGCCGAACCGGAACTGCTTCGGGAGGCGGGGCCCTACCGGCCGGGGACGGGGTTCTACCGGCAGGGGGCGGGGCCCACACTGGAAAAGACGCGAGGCTCCAGATGGGCCCGAGAGGAGAACCGAGATGCTGCCGCGGAGGAGCCCGAGGGCGCATGCGTCATGCCGGAGGCCAAAGCGACAGGAGGAAGCGGGGCTAGCGGAGCCGGGGCGGGGCCTGTGGGATCAGTAAATGGGGTTAGGGCCTAGAAGGAGGTAATCCGAATTCCTCTGGAGAGAGCCAGCTCTTCTCCAATAGCCAGCCCCCAATGATCATTGTTATAATTTATTGCCCATTTACTCTTTGACAGTGTCTATGCCAAACGCCATATAAACATCTCATTTAATCCTTGTGCTAAGGCCGGGAGCGGAGGCTCACGTCTGTAATCCCAGCACTTTGGGAGGCTGAGGCGGGATCACCTGAGGTCAGGAGTTCGAGACCAGCCTGGCCAGCATGGGGAAACCTCGTCTGTACTAAAAATACAAAAATTAGCCGGGCGTGGTGGTGCATACCTGTAATCCCAGCTACTCGGGAGGCTGAGGCAGGAGAATCGCTTGAACCCGGGAAATGGAGGTTGCAATGAGCCGAGATCACGCCATGGCACTCCAGCCTGGGCGACAAGAGCAAACTCCATCTCAAAAAAAAAATCCTAGTGCTAATTCTGCAAGGGGGATCCTATAGCACAGAAAAGTAAAGAAACATACTGCCTGACATATTGCAAACTGATATTCCAACCCAAATCTCTCTAACATCAGATCCTGTATTTTCCTCACTCCACCATGCTGCACCACCCTGAGGGAAGGTCTCCTCCCAAGCCAGGTCTAGCATTGGCATAAACCAAGTCCAAACCCAGCTGTAACCTGGACACGAGCCCCTCCTTGGTCTTGCCTCCCCACACAGTGCCGGGCCGACTTCAATGGTTCTGAATGGGATAGACATGAGTGTAGACTGCTTCCATGGGATGCCCTGGTGTGGCCTTTCCCTTCAAACTGGTCTTAAGGCCAAGGGCAGCTGGGAACCTCCCCACTGCAGCTCATACCCTTCCCAGCTCCATTAGGGCCACTGAGAAGTCACATGAGAGAGGGTGAGACATCTCATCTCTCTTGCTGATAACCAGCTCTGGCAGAAGGACAGGTTGACCTTTCTCAGTTTCTATTTTGGGACCCAAAGCCCTTATAGGCAGAGGAATCTCCCTCCCACTGTTTCTGATGACAGTTAGCCCCTTTGGCTCTCAAAGTCTAGGGCAACACTCACCTCCCGTCTCCCCATTTGACATACAAGGCCCTCTTCAGCCTTCTCTTCTGAGAAGTTAGCCATCTTCACTACAGGACCATTGTTCAAACCTTGCCCCATTGGCCCGGCACGGCGGCTCACACCTGTAATCCCAGTACTTTGGGAGGCCGAGGCAGGCTGATCACTTGAGGTAGGAGTTCAAGACCAGTCAGACCAACATGGCAAAACCCCATCTCTACTAAAAACACAAAAATTAGTGTGGCATGGTGGCACATGCCTGTAATCCTAGCTACTCAGGAAGCTAAAGCAGGAGAATCACTTGAACCTGGGAGGTGGTAGTGGCAGTGAGCCAAGATGATGCCACTGCACTCCAGCCTGGGTGACAGAGTGAGACCCTGTCTAAACAAAACAAAACAAAAAAAAACACCTTCCCCCTCCCCCCATGAATCTTGTGGGCACCCTTTAAAGGAAGCTCTCCATGTCTCTTACCCATATTTCTCTGACTCTACAACTCAGAAAACTGTCCCTGACCTCCGTAATTCAGAGACTCATCCAACAGACATCCAATCCAGCTCCTGCCCAATTTGTGGCCCACCTAGACTGTACACTTCTTTCAGTTCTTTCTATCATTCATCCTTGGAACCAGCCACCTCCTCTGCACCCTGGATCTCTACTTTAACTCAGTCCTCAGAACCTAATAGCCTTAGGCAGGGCTCTACATCTACTAATTCCACAGATGTTTCTAAGCACCTACTATGTGTCAGACCCAGCATGTCCTTTGTTTCATCTAATCCTCAAATTCTCTGAGGTAGGTGTGATTATCCTTACTTTACAGATGAAGAAACTGAGGTTCAGGGTGGTAGCTGACTTGCAGAGGTCTCTCTGATTCTGTGTTCTCATGGAGTTTGGGGGTGGGGGGAGGCTTGGGGAGGAAAAGGTCTTGTCCACTCCAGAGGCCCCTGTGACTTGCTGAGTCACTTGCTTCTGTCACCTGTCCCTGTCAATCTCTGGGAAGGAGAAATGACACTGGAGAGGCAGAGAGGAGTGACCACAGAGGCAGAGGGGTGGGCGGGCTGGCCCATGGCTGAGACCTCTCTCCCAGAGCTGGGGGGAGAGGACAAAGCCACGCCTTGCCCCAGCATCCTGGAGCTGGAGGAGCTCCTGCGGGCAGGGAAGTCTTCTTGCAGCCGTGTGGACGAAGTTTGGCCCAACCTTTTCATAGGAGATGCGTGAGTGGTAGCTGGCCAAGGGGCATGGGGGTGGGGACGTGGAGAGGCAGTTCTTGGTCGCTTTACCAGACACAGGAGGGTGGAAACAAGGAGAAATAGCTCTGCTCTGACCATCCCAGGCCAGGGACCTTCTCCAGGACCCCCGGGGGTGCTGAGGTCAGTGCAGTGACCAGGTATGGCCACCAGGGAGAGCAGGGACTTCGCCTGCCTGAAAGCAGGGAGTCTCCCAGGAGTTCCAGGAAACATTTCCAGGACAACTGTCAAGTGTAGAGGCAGAGGCCCAGGAAATAGTATTTGGGGCATGAGATAAGGTAGACAGAGAGCCCCCTGTTTCTGGGCCCAGCCTCCCTCCTCTGGATACAGACGGTGGAGAAGCCTGACTGAAGGTGAATCAGAGAAGGTGTTGCCTCTAAACATTTGTAGGTTAGAAGCAGGTATGAGGTGGTAGCCAGTAGAGGACGGATATGCGTGGGAGGACATGGGGCAAGAAGGGAGGGGCAGCCAGGTTCCAGGGCTGAAGCAATCCCTTCCTTCCTGTCCTGGCCAAGGCAGGGACAGATGCATTGAGGAAGCAAAGAGGGTCTAAAGATCCCCCGACACACACACCGCCGGCTCAGCCACCAGAAAGTGCGGGGCTCTGGGTATAGGGCTGTGGAGTCAGACCCCACTTGGAGCTTGCTGGGGTTGGACTCTCTTTGGACCCTAATGGCTCGGTCCCTCTGCAGCAGGGGGCCAGGCACAGCCTCCCTCCTGGTCCCATGGCTTGGCCGGCATCAAGTGCCCTTCCTGCCCTCCCCAGGGCCACGGCAAACAACCGCTTTGAGCTGTGGAAGCTGGGCATCACCCACGTGCTGAACGCCGCCCACAAGGGCCTCTACTGTCAGGGCGGCCCTGACTTCTACGGCAGCAGTGTGAGCTACCTGGGGGTGCCAGCCCACGACCTCCCTGATTTTGACATCAGTGCCTACTTCTCCTCTGCGGCTGACTTCATCCACCGTGCCCTCAACACGCCTGGGGGTAGGACTTGGGGTCCAAGCCCATATCCCATCTTGCTCATTCATGGGGAGGATGCCTCATTTCCTCTCAGTCATCAGTGCCCTCCCATCCCTGCTTTTTAAAAATCCTCTGCTTAGGCCGTGTGTGGTGGCTCATGCTTGTAATCCTAGCACTTTGGGAGGCCGAGGTGGGTGGATCGCCTGAGGTCAGGAGTTCAAGACCAGCCTGGCCAACACGGTGAAACCTCGTCTCTACTAAAAATACAAATATTAGCCGGGCATGGTGGCACCCACCTATAATCTCAGCTACTCTGGAGGCTGAGGCAGGAGAATTGCTTGAACATGGGGGGCGGAGGTTGCAGTGAGCCGAGATCATGCCACTTCACTCTAGCCTGGGCAAAAGGGCGAAACTCCATCCCCCCCCGCCAAAAAAAAGTCCTCTGCTTAGTGCTCCAGCATTTTGTCGAACCCGATTCCTTCCCAGATGGGGAAACTGAGGCCTGGAATACAAGGTCATGCCATGAGTTAGGAGCAACCCTGAGGCTGAAAGCCATTTCTCCCAAACAGCAGAACAGCTCTTTCTCTGCAACACTCAACTTTGGGAAAGCACCATTTGGTACCTAGATGTCTGCCCCAAAGTACTTTTTTTCTCCTTTTTTTTTTTTTTCTGAGACAGAGTCTCAGTGCTACCCAAGCTGGAGTGCAGTGGCGCGATCTCTGCTCCTCCGCCTCCTGGGTTCAACCTCTGCCTCTGGGCTTCAAGCAATTTTCGTGTCTCAGCCTCCCAAGTAGCTGGGACTACAGGCATCCGCCACCATACCCGGCTAATTTTTGTATTTTAGCAGAGACAGGGTTTCACCATGTTGGCGAGGCTGGTCTCGAACTCCTAACCTCAAGTGATCTGTCTGCCTCGGCCTCCCAAAGTGCTGGGATTATAGGCATGAGCCACCGCACCCGGCCCCCAAAGTACTTTTAACTAGAAAAGAAATATATCTTCAAATACTCAGGATACAGCATAGGAGCCCAGGGAGGCTGGTGTCCTGGCTTTGTGTCCATCCTAGAAGACAGCTGTGTCCCTCACTGTGTGACCCTGGGCAAGCCAGTGTCCCTTTCTGGACTTCAGTTTCCTCATCTATGTGACAGGAATGACAAGATTACAGCTCACATGACTTTTTAGTATCCAACACACTTTGACATTCTTTTGCTATTTATCCATTCATTCACCAGCTATTTACTGAGTATCCACTACGTGCCTGGCACTGAGCTAAATACTGGGAATCCAGACTTTAAGAAGCAGGATCCCTGCCCTCTTGGAACTGGTGGAAAGACAGCCAAATTGCGAATAGTATAGTGAGAGCTACTCATAAGAGTGGGCCAGTGTGGAGGGCTCTGGGAGCACACGGCGGGGGTGCTAAGCCCAGAGGATCGGGAAGGTGGGGGGACTTCCCTCTACAAAGGTATCCATGGGTAATATGCAAAAAAGATGAGCTGCTTTGTGATTCAAGCAATACTTTGAGCGGTCAAGAAAGCCTGTGGAGGAAGCCGTGTCTCAGCCAAAACCTGGTGGATGAGTAGTGGAAGTTAGTCAGACCGAGACCAGGGGAAACAATTTGCAGGTATTTGGAATAGCATGTGGTAAGGCTGGAGGTCAGAAACCATGGCAGCCTCAAGGAACTGCAAGTTCCTCCATGTTTCTCGAGCTGAAGGTGGGGGAGGGACAATCTGAGATGAGGCGACAGGGGCCAGCTCTTGAAGTGTTAAAAAGGTTTGGAGGCCAGGAGCGGTGTCTCACGCCTGTAATCCCAACACTTTGGGAGGCCAAGGTGGGAGAATCACTTAAGTTCAGGAGTTCAAGACCAGCCTGGGCAACATAGTGAGACTTTGTCTCTACTAAAAAAAAAAAAAAAAAAAAGAAAAGAAAGAAAAGAAAAAAGAAATTCGGACCCTATCCCAAGGGTAGGCAGAACAGGTGTTGATCTACCCATTTTACCGATCAGGAAACTGAGGTCCATAAAGGCTGAGTGACTTGCTCAGGATCACAGAGTGCACCCAAGGCAGGGTCAGGAAAGGAACTTGGGTCCCCATCCCAGCCCGTGGGTGGGCCGGTGTGTGGGACAGGGTTTTTCACCAGGATGTCTTCCTCAGCCAAGGTCCTGGTGCACTGTGTGGTGGGCGTGAGCCGCTCTGCCACGCTGGTCCTGGCCTACCTCATGCTGCACCAGCGGCTGTCCCTGCGCCAGGCGGTGATCACCGTGAGGCAGCACCGATGGGTCTTCCCCAACCGAGGCTTCCTGCACCAGCTCTGCAGGCTGGACCAGCAACTGCGGGGTGCCGGCCAGAGCTGAGGGGCCAGGTGAGGCCTCAGGGGGCAAAGCTGGATGTGGTTGGCCGGAAGAGGCCAGGTGAGGGCCTAGGCTGCAGACATAGGATTGGATTCTTCCAGGATTGGTTGGCAGGGCTGTGTGTGGCTGGAAGTGAGGATTAAAGGGGGCCTGGCCCTCTCTCCAAACTGCTGGGTTCCCTTAACCTACCCAGGGTCTCACCCAAGGGCCTGGCCTAGGCAATTCTCCTGTAGGACCCCCAACCCATATCCCCCACCCCACCTGGATCCTTCAGACCCCAAAGAGAAGAGAAGGACTAGGATGCGAGGGTGTGGAAAGCATAAAATGGAAGAGGGGAGACTTTCCTACCTGGTCTTGGGGCCAACCTGCCCTGCCTCAGCTGAAAGCCTGTGGGGGCTCCCCTAAATCTCACTGAGGCATCTGCACAGCCAGCCTGGACCCTCCTGAACCTCCACATCCCCTTCCCCCTAGGTCTGGACCCCAGGTACAGTGCCACAGAGAAAACTTTCCAGGCTTAGCTAATTCTCATCAGTGAGCTAAGGCCAGGCCTCCACGGTGGCTCCCCACCCAGCAGGGCCTGCCTCCACCTCTGCTTCCTCTACAACTCCTTGCCTGTCTCGCCTCAAGCCTGTCTTTGGCTGTCCCTACCACCCCATGCCACAGACGGGCTGCCATTTGGGGGTGGGTGACTGGCCTGGGCATGCTTGGGAGCTGGAACAGCAGTAGCTTTTTCCTCCCAGAAACCTCCCAGGGCAGGGCCTGACTCTCTCCCTGCCTCCCACCCCTAAGAGCAGTTCCTGTCTCTGAAGGCATAGCCAGCCCAAGCAGAAGGGAGGCCCTTCAGCAGCATCGACCCCTTCCCCTGTGCTGGCTGGAGGATAAGCATCTTGAGGAGCAGGATTAGGGAAGGATCAGGGGCTAAGTTTAGAGTTTGGGGGTGACTGTGATAAGAAACTTTGGGTTATAGCTGGGCTTGAGATTGGCCTGTAGCCAAGCTGTGGCATGGAGCTCTGTGGGTAGAAGGTCTGAAGGGGGCATGTTTCCCATGGAATGGCAGATTCCCTGCCTGCTCTCTCTCCTCTAGACAGGACCCAGGAACCTGGCGGAGCATCAGATCTCGGACCATGCCCAGTCACCCTTCTCCCTCAGCCTGGGGCCTTAGGCTCCCTGACCTCTGACCTCAGCATCTTTCCCATCAGGCAGCTGACTTTGGGGAAGTTGGATAGGCAGGGGTACAGCATTGCACAATTCATGGAGGTGTCATCCACCAAACTGTGCAACTGGAGGCCCCAGGAGTTATGCAGTGTGCAGCCTGTGCAGCCATACAGAGCAGCTCTGGGTCCAGGTACTCTGAAAGATAAGGGGCCCATGGGGAGAGGTCATCTCTGTCCCTAAGCCATGGATACCAAATCTACCTCCTCATCTCTCCCAGCAGCTGCACTCACTTGACCTTATGCACAGGGCTCAAGGCAGAAGCAGGTTTAGGTGACAGCTCTTATCCCTGCCCCAACAAGTCCCAGCCAGCCTGGGCCTTGGTTCACCTGCCTGTAACACAGAGCTCATCTCTCTTCCAGAGCTGGTCCTTACTCCCTGCCATGGGGCTCTGCCACTTTGCCACCCTGGCACTGATCCTGCTGGTGCTGCTGGAGGCTCTGGCCCAGGCGGACACACAGAAGATGGTGGAAGCCCAGCGTGGGGTCGGCCCTAGAGCCTGCTACTCCATCTGGCTCCTCCTGGCGCCTACACCCCCTCTCAGCCACTGTCTTCAGTCTCCACAGGTGGGAGTGGGCTCCCCTCTCAGCCAAGCCCTCAGGCTTCTTGGCCAGGGACCCCAAGTTCCCTGGGAAAGTGGGGAGGGGAGGAGAGAGGAAGGGGGTTCCAGATATTTGTGATAGCTGTTGGCCACAGCTGTCTCCAGCAGCTCCCCTCAGGGCTCAGAGAGCCCCAGGAGGGGCTGAGCCTTAGCTCCCTGGAGCTCAGACCTCAGAGACCCAGTGCAGGTATGGCTGCAGGCATGGGTGTGCCCTGTTCCCACCATCTGGGAGTGCAAGCGGGGAGTAGTATCAAGGTATGTGTGTATGACAAAGGTCTGTGGATGACAGAGAAGATTTCTAGTAGGCCCAATTGAAGGTCCTAGCTGACCACAGTTAGCATGGGGAGAGACCTTAAAGACCATCTCTCTGGCCTCAGGGGACAGTGGGGCCTGGGTGTCCCTGCCTTTTGGGTTGGGGGAGGAGCTTGGCAGAGGGTGGGAGTGGCCCTGGACACACTGCTTCTGCCTGCAGCCCAGGGCTGTCTGAAGACCTGCTCTACACCTGTGTCTGTGTGTGGGCCTGTGCTGCTTCCCTCAGCCTGAGTCTTCTAGGTCTTTATCCTGGACCTGTCCCATCGGCCTTGGCCCCTAACTGAGGGCCCCGGACCTGGGTCCTGCTGTTGGCAATGCCACCAGTTTACATGTGATTTTTGGCTAGCCTCTTCACTGTCCTCCTCCACAGAACATCCTTCCAACTTGAACTTCCTGCCCTTCTTCTATAATACCCTTGAAGGCCAAGGGAGAGGGTCTCACTCCAGTTGCTTAGGCTGGAGTGCAATGGCATGGTCAAGGATTAGGGCTCACTGCAGCCTTGACTTCCTGGGCTCAGGTGATTCTCCCACCTCAGCTTCCCGAGTAGGAGGGACTATAAGTGTGTGCCACCACAACCAGCTAATGTTTTTTTTGGAGACGGAGTTTCGTTCTTGTTGCCAAGGCTGGAGTGCAATGGCGTGATCTCAGCTCACTACAACCCCCACCTCCCGGGTTCAAATGATTCTCCTGCCTCAGGCTCCCGAGTAGCTGGGATTACAGGCATGCGCCACCACGCCCAGCTAATTTTGTATTTTTAGTAGAGGCAGGTTTTCTCCATGTTAGTCAGGCTGGTCTCGAACTCCCGACCTCAGGTGATCCGCCCACCTCGGCCTCCCAAAGTGCTAGGATTACAGGCATGAGCCACCGCGACCAGCCCAACTCACTAATTTTTTGTATTTTTAGTAGAGACAGGGTCTGGCTATATTGCCTAGACTGGTCTTGAACCCCTGGGCTCAAGCAATCCTCCCACCTCAGCCTCCCAAAGTGTCGGGATTATAGGCATTAGCCACTGCATCCGGCCAAGGGACCTTTTAAAATGGTTTATTTGATCTTCCTTCTCCCACTATCTCTTTTTTTCTTTTTGTTTTTTCTTTTTTTCTTTTTGAGACGGAGTCTCGCCCTGTCGCCCAGGCTGGAGTGCAGTGGCGCGATCTCGGCTCACTGCAAGCTCTGCCTCCCGGGTTCACGCCATTCTCCTGCCTCAGCCTCCTGAGTAGCTGGGACTACAGGCATCCACCACCACGCCCGGCTAGCCTGTTAGCCAGGATGGTCTCGATCTCCTGACCTCATGACCCACCCTCCTCGGTTTCCCAAAGTGCTGGGATTATAGGCTTCAGCCACCGCGCCCGGCCCCTTCTCCCACTATCAACATACATGTACACAATATGCCACAGTCAGACCTGGGCTGAGCTGCCTTGATTCTTAGCAGTGCTGGGACAGAGGCCTGGGCCTGGAGGGAAAGGTGCCTGACTGTGCTTGGCACTGGCCATGCCATGGAACCAGTGGACAAGTTGGGAGTGGCAGGGGAGGCTGGAAGAGGGGAGTAGACAGCATGCTTTATAATTAAACTCAAATCAAAAAATAGAAACAGCATCAAGTGTGCGGAGACAGGCGGCTGAAAGCCAGCAGCACGAACTGCCCGTCAGAGAAGTGCACAGCCTGGGCCAGATACTCCCACAGGTGGGTGAGTGCTCCTAATTTGGGGGGGGTAGGATGTGGTCCCTGAGCATGCTGGGTAATGAGGGCCAGGACACTTGTGCCTGTGTGGGGAGGGGTGGGGTTTGGGTTGGGTAGAGAACCGACTGGGTCAGAGATGAAGGCGCAGACAAGGTATAGTAGAGTCAGAGAGACCTGGGTTTGAATCCTGACTCCCACATCAATTGGCTATGTGACTCTGGGTATGTTGCTTAACCTCTCTGAGTCTCGGTTTCCTCATCTGTAAAATGGGGATGATAATATTACCTGCTCCATAAAGGCACTGTGAGGATTCAATGAGAAAATGTGAGCACCTAGCTCTGTCTGGCACATAGTACATCCTTGATGAGTGCTAAATATAACAATTATTGCTGGACAGAGAAAGAAATATCAAGAAATACAGAGATAGAGAAGAAATCTCACTGTCCCGTAGGGAAGTTACCCTCCACATAGGATATGGCTGGGGCTGGAAAGGGTAAGAGTAATTATAGTAGTGATAATAATAGTAAGACGTGCCATTTATTGGGCATCTACCATAAGACAGACCCTGTGGGAGGTGCTTTACATTAATTATTACATGGAATTCTCACAGCAGCCCCACTGAAGAAACTGGCTTGGTGAAGACAAGACCACATAGCTGCAAGTACCAGACCTGAGATTTCTACCCAGGTCTGCCCTCCCCAAGACCCTCAGGCTGAGCACAGAGACCCACAGCTGTTCCCCACTGGCAGCCACACGCCACCCTTCTGCAGGCCTTCTCCCCACACTCCTCACTGGTCCTGCCCTGAGATCTCCAGCCCCACATGGCCTGTGGCCACACTTCTGTCTGGCCTCCCTGGAGTGGAGTCAGAAAGGATGGGCAGGAAGAAAGTCCAGGGGACTATCTGAAACTGCAGCTGAGAGGTGGATGGCAAACAGCTGCCCCCTGCCCCAAGGAAGCCTGTGCCTCTGCCCGATGTCTTGGGCACACAGAGCAGCGTCATGGGAGGCTGCAAAGGCACATGAGCTTCCTGGGGGAGGATGGGAGACAGAGGCAAACGGGGGAGTGACCCAGGGAGGAGAGATGCAAACACAGAAAAGAAGTGCATGGACTTGCAAACAGCAGCAGCACAGGAGCAGCCAGGAAAAGCCCTGCCTACAGAGGCAGCTGCTCTGCTGAGCGGGGGAGGCAGGAAGGGGGCGAGGAGGAGCACGGGATCAGGGAGAGAAGGAAGACTGCAGGGAGTGGGAGGGGAGCTCGGCCGGGCCCTGGCCCTGCTGGACGTTGGGCCTGTGCTTCACCCAGCTGGGGACAAGGAGACATGGAATGTAGTGTCAGGCAGGGCCCTCCGAAGACCAAGTCTCAGGTGTCAGAAACCGGCGGAGCTGCCACAACCACCGACTTCCCCTCCTTGGGAGGGACTGGGGCTTAAAGGACGAGTCCCTGGGGGGGTGGCCGGGCCTGACTCTGACTGATGGGATGGGCTGGGTCCCAGTGGGTTAGAGTGGACAGGTGGGGCAACACCCTGAGCATCGGGAGCAAGGCATTAGGTGGAGCCTGACCAGGCATAGCGCTAAGTCCAGGGGAGAGCCCCGTTCTTCAGACCTGGGCCTAGGTCCCCTCGGAGGCAGAGGCATGCACTGTGGCCTACCAGCCCCCAAATCCTTGACCCCTCTGGAGCCTCCTGGGGGTGGAGCCTGGCTGCCTGCTCCCTGGCAAGGCTGGGCTGTGACACACCCATTGGCCACCAGGGGGCAGCCTCACCCCATGCCAAGCTCCGCAGGCCTGAGCCCGGAGCCTGTCCCACTTCCCAAAGCCCCATCTCCTGCCTGGGGTGGTGCAGCCCCACCTGATGGCTCCAGACCAGTGTGGCTGTTGGACTCCTCTGGGTCCTGGGGGCTTCCCCAACTCCACCACACTACACTGCCCTCTGCCCTGCAGTGACCGCATATCCAGACACTCCTCTCTCATTCTCGGGTCAGACCCCCAGAGCATCCTGAAAATTAAGTCCAGCATCCCTAGCATGGGAAGATAAACTGTGGTCCAGATGGGAGCAAAGACTTGCTCGTGGCCACAGAATGAGTTATGGCAGAGTGCTGGGGGAGCCAGGCTCTCCTCCCTGCCTCAGAAGTTCTCTTCCCACCTCTTCAGGTAGACTCCCATCTTCATGGAGGTTTATGGAACCAACGGTCTTCAATCCCAAACAGATACCAAGCAGAGAGGAGGCCTGGGGGTTTAGAGGGACCGGAGGGCCCACTGCAGTCCACAAGGCCTCAGTCGGCTCTCAGGCCCCACCCCCCATGGGCGCCCCAGCCAGCACCTGGAATTCTAGCCGCTTCACAGTGTTTGTGTTCTGGGCAGAACCTGCCCAGCCCTGTTCCGCTCAGGCAGAGTCCTGCCCCTGCACCCACTCCCCCATTCCCGGCCCCAGGCCATGCCCCAGGTAGGTGGCAGGCCACTCAGCCACCTGGAGAGGTCACAGTGGGGGATGAGGAGGACAGCTTGGTCTTCACTTCCGCCTTGCCCGACAGCCTCCCACTGGGTGAGCCTGGCCAAGCCGGCAGCCTCCTGGGTGCCTGTTTCTTTTTCTGGTCCTGGCACTGCCTACCAAAGGGAAAAGATGTTCTTCCCAGTATGCACCTTCCCTAGTCACTGGTCCAGGGGATCAGGGGCAGTTAGCAAAGACAGGACCCCCTCTCCAACACGGCACCAGGCCCATATTCTGGTGCCGCTGAAAATCCAGCTCCGCAGGGTCCCTGACTCCTTCAGCCAGCAGATGCCTGAAACAAGCTACCTGACCCGGGTGGGGCCTGACATCCAGTGCTGGCCTGAGTCGTGGGGGTAAGGAGGAAAACCCAGGGCCTGTAGGCAGGTGTGTGGCTCAGCAGTACCAGGCTCCCTTGAGGAAGCAGATGGGTTAGTGACCACTCTCTGGAGGCCCCAAAGATGGTAACTGAAAGGCTTGGGGATGGACTAAAACCCCAGCCTTGCTACTCATGAGCCGTATGGCTTTGGGCATCACTTTTAAAACATTCTGAGCTTCAGCTTCCTCCTGGGTAAAATAGGAACAGATATCCCACGAGTGAGACATCAGGCTTTTTGTTGTTGTTGAGATGGACTCTCGCTCTGTTGCCCAGGCTGGAGTGCAGTGGTGTGACCTCAGCTCACTGCAACCTCTGCCTCACAGGTTCAAAAGGTTCTCCTGCCTCAGCCTCCCTAGTAGCTGGGACTACAGGAGTGGACCACCACACCTGGCTAATTTTTGTATTTTTGGTAGAGACAGGATTTTGCCTCATTGGCCAGGCTGGTCTCGAACTCCTGACCTCAGTTGATCTGCCTGCCTCAGCCTCCCAAAGTGCTGGGATTACAAGTGTGAGCCACCGTGCCCAGCCAGAGGCATCAGGCTTATAAGAGGCATTAGCTCATTCCATGCGGAGTTGCTAACAAATACCAGTTCACAGTCCTGGCCTCTTACCTGGAGATAGGCTCTGATCTCCAAGCCCCTGAAAGTGGGAGGGGACGGGGGTCTGAGGATGAGTACTGGAAGTAGCAGGTGAGGGGGCTTGAGATGAGCTGCTTAGGTTGGTGGGGGCTTCCTGGGTGCCCTGAGAGCCACAGCCATCTGGGGCTTTCATCCCTACAAAGTCCAAGCTGATTTAGGGATGAGATCTGCACTGACTAGTGCCACAAACAGGGAACTCCAAGGGCCCCTTGGCCAAAGCTTCATACATCTGCAGCTCAGCAGAGGGCAGGAGAGAGGTCTGCCCAGCTCCATAGCAGTGACAAAGGCTTGATTCCCTTGTTCCCTGGGGAAGGGTTCTAGGCCTCAGCCCCAGCTGAGCTTGTTAATACCTCATGTGAAATAGATGAAGCCCTTCCTGCAGCATCCCCGTGGCACCTAGGCACTGCACCATGGGCTTCCCCATCAGCTGGATCCACCCTCTGGGAGCCTGCCTCCAGCCACTGCGGTGTCCACTCTGTTCCAGGATGGACTCACTGCAGAAGCAGGACCTCCGGAGGCCCAAGATCCATGGGGCAGTCCAGGCATCTCCCTACCAGCCGCCCACATTGGCTTCGCTGCAGCGCTTGCTGTGGGTCCGTCAGGCTGCCACACTGAACCATATCGATGAGGTCTGGCCCAGCCTCTTCCTGGGAGATGCGTGAGTAAGACCCACGTTAGGAGTGGGGATGGCGGAAGGGTGTGAGGTTCACACGGGAATGGGGGCATGAGCCTCTCTCAGAGCCCTCTAGGGCAGAGGTGGCACGCTTGCCTCCCACCGTCTCTTTCCCTATGTTTCTTTCCTTTTATATTATTACTGCTTTTAACTGTGGAACTAGAATGCACATAAGAAAAGTGCACAGGGCCGGGTGCGGTGGCTCACGCCTGTAATCCCAGCACTTTGGGAGGCCAAGACAGGTGGATCACTTGAGGTCAGAAGTTCGAGACCAGCCTGGCCAACATGGTGAAACCTCATCTCTACTAAAAATACAAAAAATTAGCCAGGTGTGGTGGTGGACGCCTGCAATCACAGCTACTCAGGAGGCTGAGGCAGGAGAATCACTTGAATCCAGGAGGCAGAGGTTGCAGTGAGCCGAGATCGTGCCACTGCACTCCAGCCTGGACAATAAGAGCGAAACTCTGTCTCAAAGAAAGAAAAAAAAAAGGAAAAAGGAAATGTGCACAGAGCACGTATGAACAGCTTCATCACCCAGTGAAGAAAAAGGATATTACTTGTCTCCCAGAAGCCCCTACTGAATCCTTCTCATTATAACTTTTCTATTCTCTGTGGTTAATCACTATCTGTTGAATTAATTATTTTCTGTAAAGTTTTACCACCTATATATCTAAACAGTGTAGTTAGTTTCACCTGTTGTTTAAAATGATATGAGTGGAATCATGTTGTGTGTGTTTTGTGCCTGGGATCATTTGCTCAAATTTGTGAGTCACCCACATTGTTATGTGTACCTGAAGTTCATTCATGTTTTCACTGCTGGAGTCATCATATGATTATGCCACAGTTTATCCATTTTACTGAATATGGACATTTGAATTGTTTCCACTTTTTGACTATTATGAACAGTGATCCTAGTAATATTTCATTTTAAAATTTTTATTTATTTATTTAGAGACAAGGTCTCTCTCTGTTGCCTAGGCTGGAATGCAGGGATTATCATCATTCACTGCAACCTCAAATTCCTAGGCTCAGCAATTCTCCCACCTCAGCCTCTCAAGTAGCTGGGAATACAGGTTTGCACAACCACACCTAGCTAATTTTTCTTTTTTTTTTTTTTTTTGAGGCGGGGTCTCACTGTGCCACCCAGGCTGGAGTATAGTAGTGCAATCTCCACTCACTGCAGCCTCAACCTCCCAGGCTCAGGTGATTCTCCCACCTCAGCCTCCCAAGTAGCTGGGACTACTGGCATATGCCACCATGCCTGGCTAATTTTTGCATTGTTTGTAGAGATAAGGTTTTGCCATGTTGCCCAGGCTGGTCTCGAACTCCTGAGCTCAATGAATCCTCCCGCCTTAGTCTCCCAAAGTGTTGGGATTATAGGCATAAGCCACAGTGCCTGGCCTGAAAAGGAGTCTATTTTTTGTTGTTGTTGTTGTTTTTTTGAGATGGAGTCTAGCTCTGTTGCCCAGGCTAGAGTGCAGTGGCATAATCTTGGCTCACTGCAACCTCCGCCTCCTGGGTTTAAGTGATTCTCCTGACTCAGTCTTCTGAGTAGCTGGGACTACAGGTGCCCACCACCATGCCTGGCTAATTTTTGTATTTTTAGTAGAGATGGGGTGTCACCATGTTGGCCAGGCTGGTCTCAAACTCCTGACCTCAAGTGATCTGCCCACCTCGGTCTCCCAAAGTGCTGGGATTATAGGCGTGAGCCACCGCACCCAGCCCGAAAAGGAGTCTTAAACTCCAACAGGAGGAGCCCCTTCACCCTGGGCCAATTTGCAGGCTCTTGTCTCTACCCTTGGTGGGTGGTGGGCGGGGGTGTTTGCAAACTTCAACCCAGCCAGAGCTGCCACAGTGAGATCTACCTCCACTCTCCTAACCCCTTGTGCCCTCTCCTCCAGGTACGCAGCCCGGGACAAGAGCAAGCTGATCCAGCTGGGAATCACCCACGTTGTGAATGCCGCTGCAGGCAAGTTCCAGGTGGACACAGGTGCCAAATTCTACCGTGGAATGTCCCTGGAGTACTATGGCATCGAGGCGGACGACAACCCCTTCTTCGACCTCAGTGTCTACTTTCTGCCTGTTGCTCGATACATCCGAGCTGCCCTCAGTGTTCCCCAAGGTGCACTTCTGGATCAGGCATGGTGGAGGGTGGAGGGTGTGCTTTAGGACTCTCCATTATTCCAGTAGCACTGGTGGGTGGGAGTCCAGAGAGACAAACCCTTTCAGTAACCCTCCCACTCCATAGGGAAAATAGCTACTACCATTCAGTGAGTGTCCCCTTCAGGGACACCCTGGAGGCTAGCAATTGCAGACATAACTAAGATGCAGTGTGGTCATCAGCATCACCACATCCCTCCATAAGAGGCCAGGCACTGGACAGAAGGTATAGGACCCAGTGAAGCTCTTGAGCGGGTTCCTCTAAGATGAGGCCTTGGCATAGAGCTGCAGGGGCAGTCGAGAGGGCAGAACTCGGGGGAAAGGGAGGTAGATGGACACCCCCTATAATCTGATGCAAACCCAGTGACCTCAGGAATTCAGTAAACCCCCTTCCCCTGGCCCAGAGTTGCAAAGGATGCCTGAGGAAGCACCTGGACTGGAAGAAGGAAATCCCGGCTGCTAACCTAAACCCTGCCTCTAACTTGCTATGTGACTTTGAGCCAGCCTCCTCTCTTTGGGCTTCAGTTGCCCCATTTGACAGAGTAGACAGTGTCAGTATTCCAGGATACTGTAGAGGATGGCCATGGGTGTCTCTTCTTCCCAAAGGGGTGGGTGGTTCAAGGGCAGGTAGCTGATGCTAAGTTGGTTCTCCCTACAGGCCGCGTGCTGGTACACTGTGCCATGGGGGTAAGCCGCTCTGCCACACTTGTCCTGGCCTTCCTCATGATCTGTGAGAACATGACGCTGGTAGAGGCCATCCAGACGGTGCAGGCCCACCGCAATATCTGCCCTAACTCAGGCTTCCTCCGGCAGCTCCAGGTTCTGGACAACCGACTGGGGCGGGAGACGGGGCGGTTCTGATCTGGCAGGCAGCCAGGATCCCTGACCCTTGGCCCAACCCCACCAGCCTGGCCCTGGGAACAGCAGGCTCTGCTGTTTCTAGTGACCCTGAGATGTAAACAGCAAGTGGGGGCTGAGGCAGAGGCAGGGATAGCTGGGTGGTGACCTCTTAGCGGGTGGATTTCCCTGACCCAATTCAGAGATTCTTTATGCAAAAGTGAGTTCAGTCCATCTCTATAATAAAATATTCATCGTCATAAAGACAGGTGATCTTTTGGTGGTCTGTGGGGCAAGGACTTACTCTCGGGATGGTCACAAGGTTCCAGATGGCTTGCCAACTCTGATTCAGTGGGATGGCAGCCTCGGGGAGGAGTACAGGTGGGAATAATTCGTGATATCTGCCTTGGGTGCAGGAGGAAGGTTTGGGGGTACAAGTGTGAGGATTAGATAACCTCGTCCTCATCTTGTCCTCCTCATCTTGTCCTCCTCATACCCTCACCCAATAGTTAGGTTGTCTGATAAAGACCCAAGTTCAATGCATCACCATTATCTCCATGCCCATCCTACCCAAGGCTAAATATCAAAATTCACTGTCCACTAGTAGCATCTCTTGAAACCAGTCAGTCTTTTCACTAGCACTCTGCTTTCAAACGGACTGCTTAAAATTAGACTCCTAACAAATTAAAGCATTAAACAAGAGGATGATGGGGTTGGGAAGGAGACATACCAGAAATACTAGGCAAAGGACAGTTATATGATGGAACAAAATAGCTCTGAGTTTCTTAGTTCTTATCTTGGCACAACATAAAATAAAACAATAAAGAAAGGCCCCCTCCCAGGTTCCTCACCTGTAAAATACATCATAAAAACCCAAGGTATTTATGGGGTTTAAATGGGCAGCTTTCCTCTACCTCTCTGGCTGCTGTTAGTGAGGTCTTGCCTCCTCTGTTTGTGTGTGTGTGTGTTTGGGTTTTCTGGTTGTTTTGAGACAGGGTCTCACTCTGTGGTCCAGGCTGGAGTGCAGTGGTGCAGTCAGCTCACTGCAGTCTTGATCCCCACACCCCACCTCGAGCAATCCTTTCATCTCAGCCTCCCAAGTAGCTGGGACCACAGGCGTGAGCCACCACACCCAGTTAATTTTAAATTTTTTTTGTAGAGATGAGGTCTCACTATGTTGTCCAGGCTGCTCTTGAACTCCTGGACTCAAGTGATTCTCCTGCTTCAGGCTTCCAAAGTGCTGGGATTACAGGTGTGAGCCACTGTGCCTGGCCCCTTGCCTCCTTTGGCTGGCCCTTCAATATCAAGGTTTCTCAGAGTTCCATCCTCTGCCTCCTCTCTCCTGCAGTGTTTCTGCTCTCTCAGTTCTCTGCAACACTTGCTCCCAATCCCACATTGCTGTTGGCTGCCTCAGGTGCTCTCTGGGTCTTTTACAGAGGATATACATATGTCTTAGGTGGAGGATGGTGGGAGGGCTGGTGCTGCCGTGTCTAGCTTAGTCACAGGGCCCAGCCCCCTCCTGGCAGGTGCAAACACCCCTGGGCTCCCCACCCTAGGAATGGAAGACTGTTCTCAATTCATCCTGGGGTTGATGGAGTCTATGATTCTCTGGAGCAGACAAACCCAGTTCCAGCTCAGTAGCCCCACCTGCCCATTCCCAATTCCCTTGGATCCCTCTTCCACCTGACAACTCAATGCTTGTTGCGGTTTCTTGCTCATGCACCATCAGTGGGACCCAAGATAGTGGCTCCAGAAGCCAGTCATCCCCATCTGAGTATGGGCAGCCTGCCCCTGTTGGCTGGGGTGGATGCACTGAGGCTGCGACAGAGCCACACTCTGGGCCTGGGGCTTGGGTTCCAGCAGGTCACCTTCTTGGGTCTCTGTGGATTGGGTGCAGAATCTGAGGCTGCAGGGGGAGATTGAAGGAAGCCATGAGGAGGCAGGTGGAGGGGAAGCCAAACATTCCCCAAGTACTGAGGAAATCGAGGCCGAGCTCCAGGCTGGTACCTCCTCTGGGATGCCTTCCTGCCTGCCACACTCACCCAGGGCAGCCTGTAATAACATATCTCCCTCTTCTATAGAGCAGCCTTGTGAAAGAAGTGGTGTATTGTGAGGAGCACCACTTTGGAGCCAGACTCTTTGGGTGCAAATCCTACTTCTGCCCCTTGTCAGATGTATGATCTCAATCTCTCCATACCTCAGTTTCCCTATCCATAACACAGGATTAATGACAGCCACCACATAGGATTGCTGTAAGGATTAAGTGGGGCATATAGAAAGTGCTTTGCACAATATGTGGTGAGTTCCCAGAAATGGTAGCTGTGGCCAGGTGCAGTGCTTCATGTCTGTAATCCCAGCACTTTGGGAGGCCAAGGCAGGAGGATCGCCTGAGCCCAAGAGTTCGAGACCAGCTTGGGCAACATGGCAAGACCCCATGTCATTTATAAAAATAATAAAATACATAATTAAATGATAGCTGTGATCAATCATCATCACAGCACATAGTACTGGGGCTCCAGTCTTGGACTGAAAGCTGGCAGCATTCTCAGTGCATTGAACGAATGGATGAATGAGTAAAAATTAGCTGACTTAAAGGCAACATGGTATCCTGGATTGGATCCTGGGTTTTTTTTGTTTGCTTTTTGTTTTGAGATGGAGTCTTGCTCTGTTGCCCAGACTGGAGTACAGTGGCACAATCTCGGCTCACTGCTCACTGCAAACTCCGCCTCCCAGGTTCAAGTGATTCTCCTGCCTCAGCCTTCTGAGTAGCTGGGATTACAGGTACCTGCCATCATGCCTGGCTATTTTTTGTATTTTTAGTAGGAACAGGGTTTCACTATGTTGGCCAGGCTGGTCTTGAACTCCTGACCTCAGGTGATCCGCCCACCTCGGCCTCCCAACGTGCTGGGATTCCAGGTGTGAGCCACTGCGCCTGGCATATTATTTATTTATTTTTTTTTTAGTAGAGACAGGGTTTCACCATGTTGGTCAGGCTGGTCTCCAACTTCTGACCTCAAATGATCTGCCTGCCTCAGCCTCCCAAAGTGCTGAGATTACGGGAGTGAGCCACCCCACCTGGACTTGGATTGGATCCTGGAACAGAAAAAGGACATAAGTGGAAAAACTGGTGAAATCTGAATAAAGTTTGTGGTTTAGTTAATAGTGTTATAGCAATGTTAATTTATTTGATAAAGGTAGCAAGGTTATGTAAGAAGCTAACATCAGAGAAAGCTGAGTGGATATACAAGAAATGTCTCTGCTATCTTTGTAAGTTTGCTGTAAATCTAAAATTATTTCAAAAATAAAAAAATTAGCTGACAATTACCAACTGCTTTGCATATGCCGGGCACTGTGCCAAGTTCTTTAGATACAAATTTTTTTTTTTCAAATTTCATCCATAATGTTTTATGTCTTTTGAAAACACATGAATCGGAGCCCAGGAGCTATAGGCTACAGTGAGCCAAACTGTGATTGCACCACTGCAGTCCAGCCTGGGCGACAGAGTGGGACCCTGTCTCTAAAAAGGAAAAAAAAATCAAGTATCAAATACAGCAAAATGTTAAGATTTGACCATATTTATGGAGTTGTGGGAATACAGGTGTTTATTATATGATTTTTTATATTTAAAAAAATTTCATCACTTTAAAAATTAAAAATAAATAAATCTACTAACTTCTAAATTAGGAACATCCTACTCTGTATTTAGGTTTGGAAACCATCAAGTCAAATGGATTTTAGGAAGTATTCTGGGCTGGGCGCAGTGGCTCACGCCTGTAATCCCAGCACTTTGGGAGGCTGAGGCAGGCAGATCACTTGAGGTCAAGAGTTGGAGACCAGCCTGGCCAACACGGTGAAACCCTATCTCTACTAAAAATACAAGAATTAGCGTGGTGTGGTGGTGCATATCTGTAGTTCCAGCTACTTGGGAGGCTGAGACACAAGAATCGCTTGAACCTGGGAGGAAGAGGCTGCAGTGAGCCAAGATTGCACCACTGTACTCCAGCCTGGGTGATAGAGCGAGACTCTGTCTCCAAAAACTAAATAAATAAAAATAAAACTTTAAAGAGGCTATATTACAAATAATCTTGCTTAAGAAAAAAGGTAATGATGACTCAGTTGGTAGTATTTAGATAAAGTAACCGTGTTGAAGAGAAGCTAAGCCAGTAAGTCATACTCTCCATCATTTCTTTCACTCCTCAATCCTGTAGGGTGGGTCGTGTGAACACCATTTTATGGGTGAGAACACAGGCCCAGGGAGATTAGGCCAGAACAGCAGCTAGTATTGATTGAGAACTTTATTATCTACCTGTGCCTTAGTCAGTCAGGCTAGGCCAATGACTCTGACAGCCCCAAAACCTGAGTGACCTAAACTCAGCAACACTTTATTGATTGATTGATATTTTTATTTTTTAGATAGCGACTCACTCTGTTGCCCAGGCTGGAGTCCAGTGGTACAATCACAGCTCACTGCAGCCTCGATTTTCTGGGCTCAAGGGGTCCTCCCACCTCAGCCTCCCAAGTAGTTGGGACCACAGGCACATGCCACCACGCCCAGCTGACTTTTTGTAGAGACGGGGTCTCCCTATGTTACCACTCTGTTCCCAAACTCCTGGACTCAAGCGATCCTCCTGCCTTGGCCTCCCAAAGTGCTGGGATGACAGGCATGAGCCACCACACCTGGCCAGGCCATGCTTTATTTTTTATTCAAACACAGGTAGATGGAGGGCCAGGAGAGTAAGCATGGAGGAATGGAGGCCAGGTCTACTACTGCCCCTCAAGTTCCATGGGCCAGAACCAGTCACATGGCCACACCTAACTGCAGGGGAAGCCAGGAAATAGTCTAGGGTGGTGCCCAAGAAGAAGAGGAAACTGCAGATATTGATGATCATGAGCTTTCTACAGCGGGCATTAAAAAAAACAAAAACAGGCTTTGCAGACGCCACAGCCACTGGCAGGAGCCCTGTACTATCAGCCATGGTTAACCCCACCATGTTCTTTGACATCGCCGCGAGCCCTTAGACTGTGTCTCCTTCGAGCTGTTTGCAGACAAAGTTTCAAAGACAGCAGAAAACTTTCGTGCTCTGAGCACTGGAGAGAAAGGATTTGGTTGTAAGGGTTCCTGCTTTCACAGAATTATTCCAGGGTTTATGTGTCAGGGTGGTGACTTCACATGCCATAATGGCACTGGTGGCAAGTCCATCTACTGGGAGAAATTTGATGATGAGAACTTCATCCTAAAGCATACAGGTCCTGGCATCTTATCCATGGCAAATGCTGGACCCAACACAAATGGTTCCCAGTTTTTCATCTGCACTGCCAAGACTAAGTGGTTGGATGGCAAGCATGTGGCCTTTGGCAAGGTGAAAGAAGGCATGAATATTGTGGAGGCCATGGAGGGTCCAGGAATGGCAAGACCAGCAAGAAGATCACCATTGCTGACTGTGGACAACTCTAATAAGTTTGACTTGTGTTTTATCTTAACCTCCAGACCATTCCTTCTGTAACTCAGGAGAGCATCCTTCCACCCAATTTGCTCGCAGTATCCTAGAATCTTTGTGCTCTCACTGCAGTTCCCTTTGGGTGCCATGTTTTCCTTGTTCCCTTCCATGCCCAGCTGGATTGCAGAGTTAAGTTTATGATTATGAAATAAAAACTAAATGCCAAACAAACAAACAAAATATATACATACACATACACACATGTATAATTTATATGTATAATTTTTACATTTGTATTAATTTAGAAATTATATATATGTATATACAATTAAACTCTCATAAACCCTAAGAGGTAGATAATGTTGTTATTCCCATTTTACAGATAAGAAAACTGAGGCTTAAAGAGCTTAAGTAAAGTTTCTCAGGTTGCTTAGCTAGCAGGGTAGAATCATACTACCAACTCAGTCAGTGAACCTGTGTTCTTAAACACTTCGTGAGCCTCCATTCTGGATTGGCCTTAGTGACTTGCTGGCCAGGAGAATGCAGCAGAAGCAGCATTCTGGGGCTTCCGAGGCTGTCATAAGACACTTTGCATCTTCTACCTGGGTCTCTTGGAATGTGCTCTCTGGGAATCCTGAGCCACCCTGTAGAAGTCGGCCTGTGCCCCACTCTGCCATGCTGGACTGGTCATGGGTAGGCCAACTGGTTGACAGCCTCACTGAGCCCAGACACTAGACATTTGTGTGACCCTTTCTTGTTTACTCCATACCAGCATATCTGCCAGCGAAATACCACAGAGTGACCTCTGTCAATGCCACATGGAACAGCAAAATTGTTTACTGAACCCTCCTGAATTACTGACCTAAAATGAGATATCAGAAAATGCTCTTGTTTGGAGTCACTAAGTTTTGGGGTAGTTTGTTACACATCAATGGGTAAGCAGCACAGGGGCAGAGCCAGGTCTGACCAGCAGCCCTGGCTTGTAGCCACTTCATTAGCCTCCAGAGGAGTGTGTGAGTGAGGAAGCGACAGGGCGGCTACATCCATCACCCCGGTGCTGAGTGCATGGAGATGAGAGGCCCTGTGTCTACAGGGGAATGAAGACGGCAATAGAGCTCCACTGGAGACCAGGAAAGATGTTAGGGGCCCAAGGGGGATATTGGTGGCAAAGGCCTTGAGATGGGGAGGGTGGAGAGGCTACCAGAAAGAGAACCTTTCCCCACTCCTCATCCACATCCCCAGCTCTTTCCTAAGCTCCCGCCATCCTACCTTCCTCCCAGGACAATAAACTCCAGCTGAGAGGCCCGAGACCTCCTTCCTGCCCTCGGCAAGGCCTCCTGGGGGTTCTGCTGGCCTCTAGCTCAGAGCCAGTCCTTGATGACTGCCTCCTCTGCTTTCTGCCCTGGGGTGGGGAGGGCAGTTGCAGTGTGGACTCCGTAACCAGGGAGGCCTTGGGGGAAACTTGGTTGGGGAAAACTCAAGGGGAACTGGCCTACCCCATGACATCCTCCCCAGGTACTACCCTCCCTGCCAAGCAGGAGGAACCACCACCATTATTCTCCTTTGCCTCAGATCACTCTGCTTTTCTCAGCTCATTCCCCCAGGTGTCTGCATTCATCTCCTCATCCGTGCTTCTTGATCCGTATGATGTCAGGTCAGCCTGGTCTCTCTCCTTGGGAGCTGCTAGCATTTCCCCTCCTCTGAGATTTTCTGCGCTCCGGCTGCTACTTCAGAGCCTTCCATCAGCCCATTCTTCCCCCACCCCCACCCTCCCGCTCCCTCCTCAGAACCCTTTCCCTTTCACACCTGTGCAGGTGTTTGGGCTTTGCCTCCTGGACCCTCTGAGCCTGTGATGGGGCTCCTGGGACCCATGACTATGACCCCGTCAGACTAGGCTTGTGGGCTCCAGCTTAGTGATAGTGATTGCTAGGACCATCCTGACTTGGATAGTGATTGTGAGGGAGGGCCCAGGATCAGGGGCACACTTTAAAAGGAGTGCTGGAGAAGGCATCACTTCATTTGAGTGATGAACTTGCAGGCAGCAGTGCTAAGGGGGAAGCTTGGGAGTGGGGTGAAGAGGCTCTTCTGGTTCCTTTGCAGCCATGCCACATGAATATGAATGAGCACTCTGTCCAGCCTGTGCAAGGCACCCATCGTGCCAGCACCCCTTTCTGAGGGATTCCTGGCCTCACAAACTCTTTACAGGGTGGATCTGCTGTCCTAGCCAGAGACGGCTGCATTAGGATGAGCCCTGTTAAAAAAAAAAAAATTGGTGATGCTTGTTAAAGCACAGAAAGGAAGACTTCAGGACCACCGAGATGGGTATGGGGACCACAACAGTGGGATTTTGCAGTGGGAAGAAGAGATTGGGTTCAACTCTGAATACGGCATGGACAAGTGGGACTTTATAGACAAGGAGAGGGGTAGAGTTAGTGGAAGGAAAATTACCAAGAGGAAATATCAGGGATAAGAGGGATTTTGGCTAAACTAGCCTAATAGGATTTTTGCTGAAAACAGGCCAGGATGGCTCGATATCACCTGAAGAAGGGTGGAGGAGGAGAAACCTGATCAGATATGCAAGGGAGCGGGGGCAGGGAGGAGTTCCTGATAAACTGACTTAGCAGGGTTGTTGCTAAAACTCAATTTTACCAGGAAGTGCACAGGTGGGCCGAGAAGAAGGTTCAGGAGCCTGACTGAAGTTTGGTCAAGCCAAGAATCTTTGTCTGGAGCTGGATAGCGACTTCTACTTGCCTCCCAATATTTATTCTCCCCTTTACTTTGGCAAAGAGCCTCGAGTGTTATCTGGGTGGCCATGAACCCAGCTAAAGTAGAACATCTCCCAGCCTCCTTGCAGGTAAGTGTGACCAAATGACTACATTCTGGCAGATGAAACGTAAGTGGAATTCTTGTGTGGAACTTGTGAAAAGTCTCTTTGAAAGGGAAAGACTAGGCCGAGGCGGGTAGATCACCTGAGGTCAGGAGTTCAAGACCAGCCTGGCGAACATGATGAAACCCTGTCTCCACCAAAAACACAAAAATTAGCCGGCCATGGTGGTGGGCACCTGTAGTCCCAGCTACTAGGGAGGCTGAGGCAGAAGAATCACTTGAATCCTGGAGGGGGAGGTTGCAGTGAGCTGAGATGGTGCCACTGCACTCCAGCCTGGGCGACAGAGGGAGACTCCATCTCAAAAAAAAAGAAAAAAATCACCTCCGTGGTGCTGCCTGGAGTGTGAATGTGAGCGTGGGGCTCCCTGCTTGTCCTGAACCGCCTCTGCAGTCCAGGACGAGCGAGAGAGAAATGATTATCTTGAGAGAGAAATAAGCAAAGTTTATAATTTCTGAGAGAGAAATGATTATCTTGTTTAAGCCACTATTTTTGAAGTCTCCATTACTTGCCCCAAACCTGGTCTTAACTGTTCTGTCTCCTGACCCACAGGTAGCCAGAGGCCTGTGAGGCCCTTTCATGTAAGAGCTGCCATTGACAGGACGGGGAATTGCCCACCCAGTGAGGCGCTTTCTGGGAGAGTTTGAATGGGAGACAGAGTCAGAGGTGGCAGGTTGGGTTGGAAGGTGCCTGGAGAGAGAGATCAGGAAGCAGGAGCCAGAAGGCAGCAGAAGTCACCAAGAACCAGAGGCAGGCAGCTGCAGCCACAGGAACCTCAGAGGCAAAGCAGAGGAGAGTCTCCGTAACCAGAGCACTGGGAGGCAGAGCAGTCTGCACTTGAGAACCCATGCGGAGCCGGCCAGGGAGCCATGGCCATGCCGGGAGGCACTCCCATTGCCCAGCAGAGTCCTTGCTCTTAAGTGTGTTACTCATGAACCTCTGAGGTCACCTGAGTGGGGGTCCACCTTGTGGCATCTGAAAGAAACTCATCATTCACTTCTTGAACCTTGATAGGACCATGGGCACCACCTGAAGAGAGGGAGCACCTTTGGGAGGATGGCGGGTCGATGGATCCAGGACTGTCCCAGAAATGGGCACCACACAGAGGTATGTGGCCGATCTCACTCACTCTCCATCCAGCGCTGTCCCTCTTGAGAAGCAGCCACATGTCTCCAGCAAGGAGATCGTAACACACCCCGCCACCCACGCACCGCCACCACCAAGCTGCGCCGCTGCCTGGGGCAGGAACTGAAAGGTAGAAAGAACCGGGCCTTGGACACGGGTGGACTCGGGTTTTCGCTGCGACTCCTCCTGCGATCAGGAGCTACGACCAGCTGTGTGAACCTGAGCAGATATTGAACTCCTCTGAGCCTCAGGTTCCTCAAG
Source organism: Homo sapiens (assembly GCF_000001405.40). NCBI lineage: Eukaryota > Metazoa > Chordata > Mammalia > Primates > Hominidae > Homo > Homo sapiens. The sequence goes on along the minus strand of NC_000010.11, from coordinate 75,084,991 downwards.
TGTCAAAGTGGGAAGGATTAACAGCCTTGCGCAGCTCTGCTGGGAGGGTGGAAATAACAAAGCAGCCCAGTGCCTGGCACATAGTAGGCGCTCAGTACAAGCTTGAGTATCTCTCCTTCTGCTGAGACAATCAAGAGCACAGAAGGAAGACCTGTATCTCCATCCTTCCTGAGTGGGCGGTGGGAGGGCTGGTAACACAGACCCCAAGAGAGACGCTGTCTTTTCCTGCAGCTTCTCAGAACAGCAGTGGGGGGAGGTGCGTGAGTGAGGCAGGAGGACATAACAGGGCCATTTGAGTCTAAAAGACCCTCATCTGGCTTTACTTCACATTCTTTAAATATATGTATATAATTTACAAACTTTTGCCAAGCAGTTTCACAGAGATAACAGGCTCTGCATTCTATTATAGATTTCGTAACTATGGTTGTCAACTTCCATTAGGATATTAGGCTGTCATGACAAGCACAGCCCTCCTACGTAACACTCAGATTCTCCAGCTACTGCAGTATTTGCTTAATGAAAAGATTCTTGCAGGCTCTCCAGAATCCCTACTGATCTTTATTCTGATCCTTAATTTAGAGAAAAGGAGAGAAAAGTAAAATGCCTTACATGAAACCTCCTCACTTTTTCAACAAAGACGCCGGTGTGGTCTGGCCAAAGTATATGCATGTTCATACATGCGCACACACACACACACGCATGCATACACACCTGAAGCAGGCTTATGAGAAAAATCTGGAATGTCTTGGAATTTTTTTTTCAATTACAGCTCAATAAAAATGTCCTCATAAAATCCTAGGTAAGCAATTGCTTTGCCGACAGGATGGGGCTACCCACATCCCAGGGAAGCCTGCCTGGTGTGATTGGGGGAGGAAGGGCAGAAAACCAGAGTTGATTCCTCCATCCTCCCCCCAACTCCACCCCCCTCACACACAACAGACACAATGGGCTCCTCTAAGGAACAGAATAGCCCATGCTAGGGGGGAAGGTAGGGAGAAACCTACCTTCTTTCTGAAGCCTGTGTAAGTCTGTCCAGACAAGAGGCCAGAAGGAGGTAAGCCCTGTATTAAGCATAATATTTTGAAAATACTGAATGGCTGTACTTTTCATTCCTCTCGCCGACAATTAGGTTGTCTAGAAGTAGGGTTGCCAGATAAAATACAGGACACCCGGTTAAATTTGAGTTTCAGATAAGCAACAGATAACTTTTTAACATAAATACGTCCCAAAGAAGCATGGGACAAACTTAATCTAAAAATTTATTTGTAGGCCGGTGCAGTGGCTCATGCCTCTAATCCCAGCACTTTGGGAGGCCAAGGCAGGAAGATCACTTGAGACTAGGAGTTCAAGACCAGCATGGGCAACAAAATGAGACCCCCATCTCTACAAAAAATAAAGAAAAAAAGTAGCCAGGTGTGGTGGTGCATGCCTGTAGTCCCAGCTACTCAGGAGGCTGAGGTGGAAGGATTGCTTGAGCCTGGGAGGTCAAGGCTGCAGTCAGCTGTGATCGTGCCATTGCATTCCAGCCTAGGTGACAGAGCAAGACCCTATCTCAAAAAACAAAACACAATAACCCATTTATTTGTAAATCTTTCAACCCTACCTGGAAGTCATTTTGTCATTATTGTCCCAGAAAAATGGGAAAGGGGGGCCACATCCAGTAGGAGGAGGCCAAGAGGAGAGGATATTCTGGTAAGAAAGGAAAAGAAAGAGGATGCTTGAAGAAGAGGGAGGTGAGGAGGGGCAGCAACAGAGGTCTATGGAGGGTGACCTCCCTTCTCTAAGACAGTGTCCCAGATGTAGGTGGGGGTGCCATATAGAACGAGGAAGACACTGAAAGAGGGGGACTTTGCTCTTTACTCAGGCTTCTGGAAGATCATTTTGCACCAACGTAAACGTGTAACAGCCAGACTCAAGGGGCCCATAGCATCAAGGCCTTCTTGCCACCTTGCTTCTTGCAATAAACCCTGATGTCATCCATAATCCATCTTGGGCAGGAGAAGGGAATTTGAAGTGCTTGAGGTGTTGTTTTTTTGTTTGTTTGTTGTTGTTGGGACAGGGTCTCACTGCTACCCAGGCTGGAGCGCAGTGGTGCATTCACTGCTCACTGCAGCTTCAACCTTCTGGGCTCAAGTGATCCTCCCACCTCAGTCTTCTGAGTAGCTGGGACTACAGGCGTGCACCACTAGAACTGGTTGGTTTTTTATTTTTGTTTTTTTGTTTTTTGTTTTTGTAGAGATGTTGCCCAGGTTGGTCTTGAACTCCTGGCCTCAAGTGATCCTCCCATCTTGGCCTCTCAAAGTGTTGGAATTACAGGCATGAACCACAGCACCCAGCCCACTTGAGCTTTTAACTGGGAAGGGACTGTGGCATTATCATTTAGCCATTTAAATGTCCTCAATTCCCAGCAGGGTGGGGCCGGTCATGTGGGGAAAGGTAGAAGAGCCAAAGAAAAATAGACACCTCACATTCTTTGCACATCCCAGTGGAAAGAATAGCAGCAACATGAGGGCAGTGCACAGTGTCTCTTGTTGGTACTTTTCACTCAGATTCTAGAGTAATTTTCAGCTCGTAATAGGCAATGGGTCACTATTTGCTGTACAGGAATGGGTAGAATGAGTGAGTTTTTGACTGGTTTCAAGCCCAACTGCAGCCACGAGGGTCTCTCAGATTCCTGGGTCATGCCCGCAGACATCCTTCCCTCCTGAAACTGGCCTCGGGGACAGTCCCAGACCTTGTGCCCAGACACCCAAGTAGTGAGTTGCTTTGCTAGCCCAACCCACCAGCATCTTGTGGGAAAAGCTACAGCAGTAGGATTAGAAAGCCTTTCTTAAAACAACAATGGTTATGTGCTAGGGCCTGTGTTAAGCACTGTGTATTATTTCATTTATTCTTGAATATACAAACCCCTCAAAGTCAAAATCGTCAGATAATCCTTTATAATCCACCATCAAAACATATCCAGAATCTGATTCACTTCTCACAACCTCTGCTGCTACCACCCTTGACGAAGGCAACCAGCAGCTCTTGCCTGGACATCCAGAATAACCTCCTCACTAGTGTCCCAGCCTCTACTTTTGTTCGTTGCATTTCATTCTCCACAAACCAGAATGTTCTTTTTCAAATGCAAATTAGATCGTGTAAACATCGCTCCCTAGAATAAATTCCAAACTCTTTACCTTGGCCTGCGGGGCCCTATGAGATCTTGGCCCTCATCTGCTAACGCTCACACCCTCTTTCACTCTATTCCAGCTGCATTGGTCTTTGAACGCATAAGGGCACAGGCCAGTTGTTGTAACAGAGACTCCAGAATACAGTGGCTTAAACAGACAGCTGCTTATTTCTCCCTCATGTCACTGTACAGAGGTAGGTGGGCAGTCTAGACTGGCAAAGTGATTCGGCTCCACAAGGTCATGCAGGGACCCAGCTTCCTTCCACCTTGTTGCTCTGCTGTCCCCGAGAATGTTGTCTTTATCTGCTGGATTGAAGCTGGGGCACAGCCACATCTATATCCCATGGCTTTCCACTGTTGCTACTTCCTGGATGCTGCAGCATTCCTTGTTTATTCCCTTAACCTTGTTCACGCTCTGTATGTAGTCCCTTCATTAATATTTTATTGTTTAAAGCAACCCTGGTGAATTCTGTTCCTTGCTGGTTCCTGACCAGTAGAGGATCCTCTGCACAATGTATCAAAGTCAACCCCTTCCTAAAACTGAACTCAGTCCAGCCTATACATTATCATCTTTTTTCTCTTCGAGATAAAGTCCCTGAAATTTAACTGGGGTGGGCTCAAGGTACCTGTCATGACTAAACTATCATGGGTTGGCTGGGTGTGGTGACACCTGTAATCACACCTGTAATCTCAGCATTTTGGGAGGCTGAGTGGGAGGATTGCTTGAGGCCAGGAGTTCAAGACCAGCCTGGGCCACAAAATGAGACCCTGTTTCAACAAAAAATGAAAACAAAACAAAACAAAACAAAACAAAAACTTAGCCAGGCATGATGGTGCACGTCAGTAGTCCCAGCTACTTGGGAGGCTAAGGCAGGAGGATTGCTTGAGCCCAGGAGTTCAAGGCTGCCATGAGCTATGTTCACAACACTGCACTTTAGCCTGGGCAACAGAGTGAGACCCTGTCTCTAAAAAACCAAACAAACAAAAAACCAAACGATCACAGACTGGCTAATGTCTGCCTCTGAACAAAAGGCCCACGGCAGTTTGGAATAACATCACTCTCTGTGCAACAAGTATTTGACTTGTTGAGTGCCCACTGGGTTCATGGATGACCAGCACATCATCATAGGATACTCCCATCCAGTGCCAAACTGGCCACTTCTGAGCAGTCTTTATGGAATCTCCCGGCTCTATGGGACAGCCCTTCCCTGTGTGCACCCCCAGCACAGCCCGCATCCACTGAGCCACCAGCATGTGCTCAGGAGTGCATTTCCCCACCAGACTGTGAGTTCACCCCAGACAGGTCCCGATTTCCTGCCTCCCTGACCTGCTGGCTGCTTCTAGAACAGGGCCTGGACACAGAGTAGGGCCTTACCTGGGTCAACTGCTGAATCCATGGGGAGATTTCAGCCCCCATTGGTCGGTTAGTTTAATCCTCTTTAGGGATTTCTTAGTCCAATCAGAGCTAAGACAATGAACCAGAGTTGAGGGAAAGCAAGAAAAAGCACAGTAGTGACTGGCACAGACTGGTTGCTTAGGACAAGCCAAGAGCTTTATATGCATTATCTTATTCAACCTGCACCATAATGCTAGAGGTGGATCCTGTTACTGTTCCTGTTATTATGCCCAACGTAAAGAGAGATGAGCTTGAAGAAGTTAAGGAATTTGCACAAGTTCAGAGGTAAGTGGGAGAGGCAGGATTTGAACCCAATTCCTTATGTTTGAAAGTACACGTCCTTCACTCCTCTGCTCTCCTGCCTCCCCCATGCAAGCAATCACCCTGTCAATCCTCACCAGTGTCACTTTGATGCACTAACAGGCCGTGAAGAGGAAACAGCCATCTATCTGTAAAATAAACAAGTCTTGGCATGCAGACAGAGGTGCTAATAGAGACACAATTGACCAATTTGCTGCGATCACTGACAAGCTTGAGCAAAGCATTCATCCCTTAGGAAATGCAGAATTTGGTGAGGACCCCTACCCATAGCCCCTGCTGTGGGTCCTAAGTGCTTCAGAGCCCCCCAGCAGAAGACTGACAGCAGCTTTCCCAGTGTTTTGACAGCCAGGGAGAGAAACAGAGGTATCGATTTCAGAGAAATATCCTTGGCCCTTAGGCCTTCTCGCCAAACACAATGTCCTCACATAGCTCAGCCATCAGAGTCAAAAGTGACAGCTTCACAGCAGACGGGGCCAGGCCAGCTGCTGGCAAACTCCTTCGAGAGTGACTGAAACCTCCAAAGGCACCCACAGCTAGACTTTAGGAACTGTGGCCAACCCAGGCAGGGCAGGAGGGAAGGTTTGTAATCAGTTGAGGAAACTTGTCCTCCTGGTGGGAGGAAGGTAGGTCAGGCCTTGGTCGGAGGATAAATGGAAGCCGCGCCACCCCATATTCCCATCACCACACTGACTTATCCCATTCTCAAAGATTTAGACCTGGGCTGTCCAGCATGGGGGCCACCAGCACTGTGGGGTTGTTAAGCACTTGAAAGATGGCTGGTCCAAATTGAAATGTGCTATAAGTATCAAATACTCACAGATTTCAAAGACACAGTATGAAATAAAAAGTGATGTCAAATATCTAATTTTTTCATATTGATTACATGTTGAAATAATATTTGGGACAGATTTTGTAAAATGTATTATTTATTTATTTATTTGTTTGTTTTTTTTTGAGACGGAGTTTGCCCAGGCTGGAGAGCAATGGTGCAATCTCTGCTCACTGCAACCTCTGCCTCCCGGGTTCAAGTGATTCTCCTGCCTCAGCCTCCCACATAGCTGGGATTACAGGCATGCGCCACCACGCCTGGCTAATTTTGTATTTTTTATAGAGACAGGATTTCTCCATGTTGGTCATGGCTGGTCTCGAACTCCTGAACTCAGGTGATCTGCCCACCTCGGCCTCCCAAAGTGCTGGGATTACAAGCGTAAGCCACCATGCTTGGCCTTGTAAAATGTATTATTAAAATTAATTTCACCTGTTTAATTTGTATTATTAAAATTAATTTCACCTGTTTAAGTTTAGGTTTTCTTTTCTTCTTCTTTTTCTTTCTTTTTTTTTTTTTTGGAGATAGAGTCTCACTATGTTGCCCAGGCTGGACTCAAACTCTGGGCTCAAGTGATCCTTCCACCTCAGCCTCCCAAGTAGCTGGGATTACAGGCACTATGTCTGGCTCTTTTTACGCTTTTGAATGTGCCTACTAAAAATTTTGAAATTGTGTACATGGCTTACATTATATTTCTATTGGACAGTGCTGCTCTGAAGGATCAAAAACAAAATGATTCATTGAATTCAAAGTGAAAAAAAATATGAACATATTCTTTATCAGAACCAAATTAGGCCGGGGATGGTGGCTCACACCTGTAATCTCAGCACTTGGGTGGACTGCTTGGGCTCAGGAGTTTGAGACCAGCCTGGGCAATATGGTGAAACCCCATCTCTACATAAAGATGCAAACAAAAATTAGCCAGGCATGGTGCTGCACAGATGTAGTCCCAGCTACTCGGGAGGCTAAGGTGGGAGAATTGCTTGAGCCCAGGTGACGGAGGTTGCAGTGAGCTGAGATTGCGCCACTGCACTCCAGCCTGAGTAACAGAGCAAGACTCTGTCTCAAGAAGAAGAAAAAAAAAGCAAATTAAATAAAAACAATAAAAACCTAAAATTATTTTCATATAATTTTCAAGCGTTCTTTTCTTTCTAAGATATTCAATGTTTCTATTAAAAATAAAAAGAAATATAATCATTGACTATCGAAGTTTTAAGACAAAATGATCTAAATGAACCTGAAAATCTTGTCATTTTTTTGAAAATTTTGTTAAATCTCATAAAATTTTGTTATAGGCTGGGTGTAGTGGCTCATGCCTGTAATCCCAGCACTTTGGGAGGCCAAGGTAGGAGGATTGCTTGAGCCCAAGAATTCAAGGCCAGCCTGGGCAACATAGGGAGACCTTATCTGTACAAAAAAATTTTAAAATTAGCTGGGCGTGGTGGTGCACGGATGTGGTCCCAGCTACTTGGGAGGCTGAGGTGGGGGGATCGATTGAACCAGGGAGGTCGAGGCTGCAGTGAGTTATGATCACACAACTGCACTCCAGCCTGGGTGATACAATGACACCCTATCTCAACAAATATAAATAAATAAATAAAATATTATAAAAATGAAACTATTTACAAGTCTAGTAGCCAATGTAAAGAACTGTCATTATGTGTTACGCTCATTACATCTAGACCTACATATATATGCTTTAAAGAACACTATGGGGCCGGGTGAAGTGGTTCACGCCTGTAATCCCAGCACTTTGGGAGGCCGAGGCAGGTGGATCACCTGAGGTCAGAAGTTCGAGACCAGCTTGGCCAATATGGTGAAACCCCGTCTCTACTAGCTGGACATGGTGGCGGGTGCTTGTAATCCCAGCTATTTGGGAGGCTGAGGCAGGAGAATCACTTGAACCCGGGAGGCAGAGGTTGCAGTGAGCCAAGATTGTGCCATTGCACTCCAGCCTGGGCAACAGGAGCAAAACTCTGTCTCAAACAAACAAACAAAAAACCACTATGAACTGTGTAATATACGAAAATATTTCTCAGCTATTGCAACTGTCAGAATACCATGCTAATTCTGGAGTGCCCCCAGAACTGTGAGGTGAAACACAGACATCAGGACGCTCAGCGCTACCAGGTCCTTTATACTATCTGAGTAGATATACTTGACAAATAGAATAAGCCCCCTTTCTTCACCGGGAAGCCCTTCCATAGCTCAAATCCTCCTAGTACTCCAAAGCAGTGTCCACCTCCAAGGTCAGTGGCAGCACAGCCCACCAACCTTCATTTAATTCATATTTAGTTACCTTTGATTTTGAGAACACAGAGCAAGAGAAAGGGAAAAGCATTCTCTGTGGCCTGTGGATGGTTTTAATTACAAAAATGGGTAGAGTTACAGTCACACTTTGCCACTGCTGAAAGCCAGATCCCAAGAGAACAAAGCACCTACATATTCTTCTTCTTTTTTTTTTTTTTGAGACGGAGTCTCGCTCTGTCTCCTAGGCTGCAGTGTAGTGGCACAATCTCGGCTCACTGCAACCTCACTGCAACTTCTGCCTCCCGGGTTCAAGCAATTCTCTTGCCTCAGCCTCCCAAATAGCTTGGATTACAAGCACCCGCCACCAAGCCACCTGGGTGAGCTTGTTGGATGAGAATGGGGGCACCCTAGGCTTAGTCTGCCTGGGAGGTTGAGACTAAGAGGGAGTTGAGCTGCTCTGCATGACAATAGGAGGACTCTCGAGCCTGTTGAGGCACTCGGCTCTAGAGAGGAGGGGAGAGATGACGAATGAAGAAAAAGGAAGGCTGTGACAATCGCATGTACAGAGAGGAGCCTCATGAACACAGCAGGACACAGAAAGTCCTTGGAGATGGGGCCTAGCCAATAATTTTCAAAGAATGGGGAGGTTAAACCTTGAATGTGGACTTGTCTCCTGCTCTGTGCTGCAATCCCTCTGCCCCACACAATCCCTTGGGTGAGTGATGGAGGAATAATAGAAGATGGTGGTGTCAAGCTCAGAATGAGGTTGTAGGAGTGATAGGCCAGAGAGTGCCAGCAAGGGTGGAGAGGCCACAGCAGAATTGACTTTGGAGAAATGAGAGCCATCCTACTATTCTTTTCCCAGGGATAAACAGTCCTCTGAGATGTTGGAGAGGGCTTTGGACTTCCTGCAGAACATAGGCCTCAGTTTCTCTTGCTTTGCTTTGCTTTTTAATGTGAAGGAAAAGAGAGCCGTCTGGGAGAGCTGCAGACTTACAGCCCTTGGATCCGGCCTCTGGGTGGGCAGGGAGGCCTCTCCCCTGGGCTGCAGCTGGACTCAGCCTCCATGCATATTCAGGTATCCACAGGGCACTAAAAGCCTCTGGATCTTCTGGACCCAGAAAAGTTTGGGTCCAGGACGGCAAACTTCATATGTTAGTTTCCCCTGTTGGCCGCTGGTTTTGAACTCTTGACATCAAGTGATCTGCCCGCCTCGGCCTCCCAAAGTGCTGGGATTACAGGTGTGAGCCACTGCGCCCAGCCAGTAACAGTTGTTTCTACAGGATTATACTTGACCTGCATGAATGGAGCTTGCTTTTTCACAGAATCCTAGGAAATCTCCTTGGAGTTGGGAACAATTGGACACATCTCTCAGTCCAACTGATGCTTACCTGGCTCGCTCCCATCTTGATGGGATGGTGTGTTTCCTTCATCTACATGAGGCAGCTCTTGGGGTGTCTCCCAAGGTCCAGGTTCTGCCCTTAGTGTTGTGCAGAGAATGTTGGTGTTTCCCCTTAGCTCCTCGAAGACAGACCAGGTATCCTCTACCACCACCACCACTCTTTTCTAAGAAAACCTTCCCAGGGCTTCCTTCAGTTCCCCATAGTAAATGATGGTTGTTTTTTTTTTAACCCTTCTCTATCCTTGTCACCCTCTTTTGGGCCTATTTTAATGTGTGAAGGATTAGAGGAGGGGCCATCAGTCTTCTGGTTAACCACATGTAGGGTCTACTTTACTGGAGGTGATAATCCAACAACCCACCAAATTCTCCTCTTGACTTCCTGTAAATTAAGTCATTGAACGTTTCCTAGATGGTGTGAAATACTCTCTCTCTCCCTCTCTCAGTCATCTAGCTAGCTCAGATGTCTTTAGATATGTTATGTTTGCTCCCTGCTGAAGCTGCATCTTCAGAGCTCCCTTTTGCTTCCTCAGCCCTTGACTGGGGCTGGGGCTGCCCCCCAGGCTTTCAGCTAAGGAGAAATCTTTCTTCTCTATCTTTGGCAATTCCAGCATCTCTGACTCCCTTAGTTCTTGGGGTAAGTGCAGAAGGGCCTTTCGACCTTGCTGTTTTGACTCCAGCACTTGACAGCAGGGACATTTGGACTCTGACATTCTGACTTCATTGTACACTCAGATTCTGTGTATTTGCCTTGGGAATTTTCCTCACACCAAGAAATCAATAAAAGCTAAGTCACTTAGCAATGAATAGTACTAGTAGAAATAATTGCTATAAATTAAACTGGCAGTAGCTAATGTAGCAAATTGTGAGGAAGATCTTTGGTTGGGTGAATAAAGTTTCAGAGGACAATATAATGACCCCAATGCAAGAAGATTGTGTTAAGTGAAAGATGTGGGAGCCTGGTGCTTCCTTCCCTACTTCTCCCAGTCCTTCACACACTAAAGCATGCCCCAGAGAGGATGACAAGGATGGATACGAATGGAGAACCACGTCATTCATTATAAGGAACTGTAGCAAGCCCTGGGAAGATTTTACTAGAAAATTAGAGGAGACTGGGCAGGATTTTGCCCGTAAGTATTAAAAAGCGGGGCTACATTGGTAGGGCTTGGTGGGAGGGATCCCAGAGCAAAGAACTCTGGAGCCATTGAGGAGGAAGGTTGACAGAAGAAAGGGCCAAGAAGAGAGACCTGGGAACGACTGTTAATGACTGTTAACGTTAAATATATATATATATATATATATATATATATTTTTTTTTTTTTTTTTTTTTTTTTTTTTTGAGACAGGGTCTTGCTTTGTCACCCAGGCTGGAGTGCAGTGGCACAATCTTGGCTCACTGGAGACTGTTAAATATTCTAATACCACCAAATTCTTTATCTCATTCAGTCCTCATAGCAATGTAAGAGGAGGATATTATGATCATTATCCCCACTGAAGCCCAGCATGGTTGGGTGCTTGCTGGGGTCTCACTGGAAGCCACACAGCACAAACTCTGCCCAGAGTTTCATTGATTACCCTGTGTGATGTGGCATCCATTCCATTGGCCTCCCAGAGATAGCTCCACAAACTCTCAGAAAAGACTGGAATAGAGAGCTGTGCCAGTGGGCAAACCTCCCCTGTTCTAGCTGTTCTGGGACAGGGCTCAGGGCAGGGCCTGTAGACACCTGGCTTCGTCCATCCCAGGAAAACAAAGTTGGAAAATTCCTGTCTGTCCCTGCCCTGGTGGCCACATGTCCTGCCTCTGTGGCTGGGCCGGGGACAAGCGTGTAGGCTTCAGGTACAGGGCTTCCTAAGTCAAGGGTTTCAGGTCGCACTGGAAAATCATTTTGCAAGCAGATGTCATAGGTCTCCTCTTAGACTGGACGGCACGCAAGGTCAGCGTCAGCAGATCTGACCCTAAAAATAGGCCTCTGTTGCCAGTGGGGGTGGCTGGGCGTGCGGCTGCTACATGCCCCACGGACCAGAACCTCCCGACGCGGCCAGGCCCCGGCACACCCAGGTAAGGCCGCTGGGTGGGGAGGCCGGCACCCCTTGGGTTCACCCACGTGTTCTTTGGGGGCCTGGGTGTGGGGATTAGAAGCCCCTTTTCCACCCTGTTCCTGGTGCTGTGGGGAATAGCCGACCTCCTTCTAGTGTGAAAGGTTTCTTGCTGTCCTTTTACGAGAGACACCATGGAATTTTCTCCATTTCCCTTTCTCCAAATCTGAACTTCCAGTTCAACGACCATTTCTAAAGGATAATGGGGTGGATTAAAGCTCATCGAGCCCTTGTGAAGCATTGGATGTATTGTATCATATTCCACATTCCAACGAGGTTCTACGTTTGTCCATTTAGCCAGTAAAGGGGGAGAAATCTCGGGGGCGAGAGAGAGAGAGGCCCTGGAGTGACTCGGATCCTGTGTAGGGCAGCATCAAAGACAAGAAAGTACTTAAAGCTCCAGGGATGAGAATTCTCCCTGTGTCCCAGGTAACACAAAAGCGTCATTTGGACAGAGTGGCGGGTTTGGGAGCATTTCTCAGTCCTGGTGGGAGGATGGGGTTGGGGATGACGCTGCCGTGGTAGAGATGGGGGGTGGGACTGGGTCATGAAGGATCAGAGCCACTGGACCAAGAGTGTAGGCTGTACCGCGTGTGGGCAGGAGGCGGGATGGGCCTGTGTCTCAGACCTGTGTGGGCAGGAAGTGGGACGGGCCTGCGTCTCAGACCAGGGCTCTCCCATTAGACCCTGGTGCCCTTGTGCTGTGACCCCAGGGGTCCCTTCATGGGCCTGGAACCCAAGAACAGTTGGGCCCGGGGGCTCTGATCGTTCGGGAAAGCGGAAAATGCTCCAGCGAACAGGAGGAAGGGCACGAGGAGGATGTCTGGAGAGGTTGCCACACTCACGGCCGCCAGCACCTGAGGGTCCCTGGCCCTGGATGTTTTTTCCGCTGCCCCCACCTTTAGCTTGTGATCCCTCCTTGTTCTCATCATGAGAATATCATTTGGTCCCACCGACAAATCCGAGGACTCTGACATTAATAAACAACACTTGAAGGGCTTCTGAGCTGAGTTCTTAACAAGGAAGGCGCGTTGGGCATGGAGGCTGGGGTGGACATGGGGTGGGTCTGAGGAGAGTTAGTGGGAGTGAAACAGGAAAGGTTCCTTTGTCCCTCTCACAGGGCATGCGACGGGGGTGTGGCTCGCTTGTTCAGTACCCAGCTGCTCAGACCTCTAGAGGAGCATACAGACGGGCAGGCTGTGGGGCTCTGACCCCATGGCAGTGTCTAGGGGTGAATGTTTACAGCTGAAGCCCCAGTGGGTGTGTGTTACAGGGTGCTCTTTTAGTTTGCTGTCTATAGGCGGCTTGTGTTAACTGGCTCAATTAGACCTCCTTCCTTATCACAAGGACAGAGGGATTTCTGTATCCTGGGGTTTCTTGCCTTGGTGTAGGGGAAGAATCAGATCACATGTGGGCTTGGAGAAGAGTGCAAGGTTTTATTGAGTAGAAGTAGCTCTCAGCAGATGGGGGAGCCAGAAGGGAGACAGTTTTTCCCTGGAGTTGGGCCACTCAGCAGCCGACTCTTCTCCTCCAACCGCTCTGGCCAAACTCCGCATCATTCCGCTTGTCAATGGCCTGCAGGCCTGCCAGTGCCTGTCGGCGTGATCTTCTGCCGGCGCGCTTTTGACAACCAGCCGCTTGTGTCTTCTGCCTATGTGTTCCTCAGTACGTCCAGCCGGTTGTGTGTCTCAGGTTTTTATAGGCACAGGATTGGGGTGTGGCGGGCCAGGGTGGTCTTGGAAAATATAACATTTGGGTGCGAAGGCAGGAGTGCCTGTCCTCACCTGGGTCTGTGGAGGTGGAGCCCTGGCCAGGGACCTGCCTTTCTCTACCCAGCACTTCCTGGCCCTCCTCCGGTATCAGGATCTCACTTGGCTCTGAAGGATCTTCATGGGCAAAGGCAGATCTGCGCTGAGGGTGAGGAGAGAGCCAGTGGTCCTCTGCCATCAGACAAACTGGAGCCCTTACTGGGGACATTTCAGTCATGGCTGACACCTGGGTTGGGTGGGAACCTGGTCCTGTCTGCGGGTGGCACTCCCGTGGCTGTTGTTGACCCCACAGTAGATGAGGGGCTTAGGGGAGGCCCTGAGGCCAGGGGCTGGGCTGTGAGCATCTTCCAGCAGCCCCAGGGAGGCCCAGTTGAGTCCACCAGGGTGGGGGTGAGCAGCCTCCACCAAGCCTTCCCCAGACACTGCGGCCCCGAGGCCTGGCGGTGTTTCCTGTGCTATGTGTCTGGCACTGTTCCAAGAGCTTTCCTGACAAGCAGGAATCATTTATTCCTCAGAATTGCAGCAGCTTAATGAGGGATGGACAGCACAGCCCCATTTCAGATTGGACACGGAGACACAAATACTAAGTGTTCTGCCCAAGGTCATGCAGCCTAAACAGGGGCAGAGGCCAGAACCCAGCGTGCCTCAGAGTTTCGGGGTGTAGCCCCTTTGCTCTGGTGCCTCTCATTGGGGTAGAGGCCTGGTGGCATCTCACTCTCCTACTCCTCTCAACCCCTAAACTCCAACCAGGGCCCCTGTCTCAGGGAGGCCCGGCCTGGAAACAGCCACTCCAGGTTCCTGGGCCAGGAGTTAGCTGTTTGTCCTCTTCGGCCTGATTTCAGAGCAGATGGTGTTTTAATCTCCTCTTCTGGTGACCATTCACGTTTCTGGGCCTACCCGTTCCACAGTAACGAGGGGGTCAGATCTCCTAGCAGCCTGACACAGCGACCAGAGGCTGACTAGCTGGGGAGAGTCCTTTCTCCTACTCTCTTGCATGTCACGCAGGAGGCGATGGGTCCTGTCACCCACAGGACAATGCTCAGGCTCACATGAGTCCATCTCCTCCGCCACAGCTTCCCTACCAAGACCTCCGCCCCGGCCAAACTGCTCCACCCACTCTTTCCTATTCTCGGTTGGGAACACAACTCCCAGTACAGCTGGGAATTCCCCACCCACCCTCCAGGCCGCCTCCTTGTCTCTGCTCCCTGAAACCCTCTTTGAGCTCATGCGGATGTGCCAAGGGCTTACATTATCTCATTTAATTCAGCAACCAGTGAGGTGCAAGTTATCCCCATTTGACAGATGAGGAAGCCGAAGCCCAGGTAGTGAGATTCCAAGGCCCATAAGAGCTGCTTGCTGCAAATTTACATGACTGTGTGCTCCACTCTAGGGAGGGAAGCATACAGAATTGAGAGGCCCAGGCATGCCCTCAGGAGCTTATACTTTGTGACCAAGAATATAGTGAAGTATCTATTGTGGTGGGTTGGGATGTGGGGCTGTTGGGTTGAGTCCTATTTGCACCCTTTACTAGCTTGGTGTGTTGTTTCTTAACCTCCCTGACCCTCATTTTTTCATCTGTAAAGTGGAGGCAGTTATTCCCTATCTAGAACGTTTCTTTCTTTTCCTTCCTTCCTTCCTTCCTTCCTTCCTTCCTTCCTTCCTTCCTTCCTTCCTTCCTTCCTTCCTTCCTTTCTTCTTTCTTTCTTTTTTTTTTGACAAGGTCTCACTCTGTCACCCAGGCTGGAGTGCAGTGGCATGATCTTGGCTCACAGCAACCTCCACCTCCTGGGTTCAAGTGATTCTCATACCTCAGCCTCCCTAGTAGCTGGGATTACAGGCACACACCACCACGCCCAGCTCATTTTTTTTTTTTTGTATTTTTAGTAGAGACAGGGTTTCACCATGTTGGCCAGACTGGTCTCAAACTCCTCACCTCAAGGGATCCGCCTGCCTTGGCCTCCCACAATGCTGGGATTACAGGTGTGAACCACCGTGCCCAGCCACTATCTACAAGGTTTTGAGAGTAGATAATCACTGGGCACACAATAAAAGCAACACAATCATTTCCCTGGGTCCAGCCAAGGCCTTGATTTCTCTGCGAGCTTTTGTGGGTGGCAGATTTAAGAGGTGGCAGCCTTAGCCCCTCGCCTTCCCAAGGCCCAGAGCGTCCTCTGTGTAGCATCTGAGACAGGACCAGTGACGAATAAGTGGCCTGGACAGGAAGTGGTGGAGCGGCAGGACCATGGTGAGGGCTGCACCTGCGGAGTCTTGCCCTTCCCCGAACAAGGAAGGCTTGTTCTGAGGTGAGGCCCAGTGGGAAATGGTTCCTGTGAAACCGCCTGTGGTGTTTCCACACATCTTCAGAGGGAGTGAAGGCCCAGCTGCTTAGGATTCAGGAACCACAACGGGCCTGGTCAGACATCATGGTCTGGGTCTCCAGTGCCACAGCTCCCTCTCCCCTGGCCGCTCGAGAAAGTCCATCCCGGCCGGCTCCCTTGTCTGAGAAGGAAGCTGAGTGTGGCCTCCAGCCTCCTCAGGGCTTCCGGGAGGCCCTCCTCTGCCAAACCAAGATTGGGGAAATCAATTAGAAGTTCATAAATTACAACCCCAAGCGCTTTGAAACCATTTGAAGAGTTAATCAAACAAGTTCATGACATCAACACCATCAGAGAAGGAATATTAAATTACTTTTAAAATGAAGGCTCTTCTGTATTTTTTAATAAAAGGATTTTATATTAATTCACATAATTGCCTCCTGTTAACATACTTGCCAGAATCCAAAAGAAAAAAAAAAATCTGTTAAACTTGGAATATGTCTGATACATTAGGAATTAAATTATAGGCCACAAAAAATTCCTGAGTTTTTACGTCCAAGTTTTCTTTTTAAAAAAAATCCACTTACTTCATTCCCTAGTTGGGATCATTTTTGTATATCTAAAATGCGTAAAGACAAGCACTAACTTGTACTAAGTTAAAAATATGTACATATTTACATATGGACACTGCTGCCAAATTCCGCCCCTCCCCACGTACCCTAGCAGTAGGTATTACTCTCCTAATAGAGTAATTCACCCAACCACAATAACATTTTTACTCTCCCCCTTCTTTCCAAGCATATCCAAGCCCAACTTGGGTGGTGTCATGGAAGAAACGTGGTACACAGGCACTTAAACACAGACCAGCTTTCCCCATGAGCGCCATGCTTTAGAAACATGAAAATGCAATGGATCTACACACAGGCACAGATACAGAATGCCTTCGAAGGGAGAGGAGGATTTTTCATATTTAGAAGGTTCTCACTCTGTCATCCAGGCTGGAGTGCAGTGGCATGATCATAGCTCGCTGCAGCCTCAAACTCCTGGGCTCAAGCAATCCTCCCACCTCAGCCTCCCAAGTAGCTGGGACCACAGGTGCATGCACCTCCATGGTCAGCTATTTTTTTCTCTATCTTTTGTAGAAATGGGAGTCTCATCATGTTGCCCAGGCTGGTCTTGAACTGCTGGACTCAAGCAATCCTCCCGCCTCAGCCTCTTAAAGCTCTGGGATTACAGGCCTGAGCCACTGCACCCAGCCTTTACTGTATTTTAAAATGCTAAGGTGGTAACTTTTCTGTTATATGTATATAATTTTTAAAAATTTTCTTGCAGAAGGCTAGGTGCAGTGGCTCATGCCTATAATCCCAGCACTTTGGGAAGCTGATGGGGGTGGATCATTTGAGGTCAGGAGTTCAAGACCAGCCTAGCCAACATGGTGAAACCCCATCTCTACTAAAAATACAAAAATTAGCTGGGCGGGATGGTGAGCGCCTGTAATCCCAGCTACCCTGGAGGCTGAGGCAGGAGAATCGCTTGAATCTGGGAGGCGGAGGTTGCAGTGAGCCTGGATTGCACCATTTTACTCCAGCCTGGGCGACAGAGTGAGACTCTGTTTCAAAATAAAATAAAATAAAATAAAATATTTTCTTATAGAGACAGGGTCTCATAATGTTGCCCAGGCTAGTCTTGACCTCTAGGGAGAGGAGAATTTTTTAAATGTTTACACTATAAATTGTTCTACTCAGCTAAAAACCTCTAGAAGGCAGAGACCTCCCTGGCTTAGCTCAGCACACCCCTTTCCGATCCCCTCCCATGCTGGCCTGGCCCAGCCCAACCCTACACAGGGGCATACACGGTAAAGCTTTGGAGTCAGGGCCAGGCCTAACTTCTGAGGGGAAGTCAAGGAGGGAACGATGCCACTCCTCATTCCTTCTCGTGACCCGCCAGAGCACCCCCATGTCAGCTGAGTTAGACTAAGACCAAGCTAAGCAGAATCAATGATGCTGGCTCTGACACTGTAAGGGATGGGGTGGGGAGGGGGGCTGCCCTCTTCATCTGAAGTCAGAGGGGAAGGAAGATCCCCCCTACTCCGAGGTGGATTTACCCCAAGCTTCAGAACCCTGCACTTGCACCAGCCGCTTCCAAGGCCCTATACCTGTTTGGTTTTCTTTTACTTAAAGAAATTCAGGCCGGGTGCAGTGGCTCACGCCTGTAATCCCAGCACTCTGGAAGGCCGAGACAGGAGGATTGCTTGAGATCAGGAGTCCGAGACCAGCCTGGTCAACATGATGAAACCCCATCTCTACTAAAAATACAAAAATTAGCCAGGTGTGGTGGCACACACCTGTAGTCGTGTCTGCTTGGGAGAGGCTGAGGCAGGAGAATTGCTTGAACCCAAGAGGCAGAGGTTGCAGTGAGCTGAGATTGCACCACTGCACTCCAGCCTGAGCGACAGAGTAAGACTCTGTCTCAAAGAAAAAAAAAAAAAGAAAAAGAAAAAAAAGAAAAAAGAAATTGAATAAGCTTCAAGATCCACAAAACCTAGATTCCTCCTGCTTTCTCAGGAGGCACAGGCGGCTAGGATGACCTTCTGACACCACGGAGGCCTGACTGCTGCCATGGGCAGCCTCGGGGAGGACACAGAGCTGCCTTCGGGGGGCTCCCACTTGACAGGAGGCACTCGGTGCCACTGGAGAGATGTAAGGAGCAGGGTCAGACCTTGTCCTGAGGGCCACCTTCCTGCCTCGGCCCGGGGGTTTTGGGTGAGCTTCTACTCCGTGCAGAACACTTCTAAAATAGAACTTTCATGGAATTTTGTTTTTTTCCCTCCATATGCTCAAGTAAAACATGTCTAGCACAGAAAATTTAGAAAAGATGGTTACTTTAAAAAAAGAAAACAAAAATCACATATAATTTCGTCACCCTAAAACGAGCATGTAGCCAGTGTTAATATTTTGGGGAAATTTATTTTTGTACAAGAAGGGGATGGTTCTGTATCTGCTGCTTCACAAACTTCTGCTTTCTCTCTCTGCCAGCGCCAGCCTCTTTCCCTTTGATTTCTTGGAGTCACCGAGAACATGGCTGTTGTGTGTAACAATTCTGTTGAAGGGTTAGGGTCCCAATGAGAGGGCTGCCACAGCTATGGGGCACTGCCAAGTTGAAGGTTGGGAACCCCCGTTCTCAGTAATCTCGTGGCTATTCCTCCCCCAGAAACTCCTCACTTGGTGGTCTCTGGCCCCAGTTGGTCCTTTCCTCAGTCCTGCCGCAGGGCCCCCTCATACTCCTTCTAGAATGTTCTAGGAAACTCAAAAGTCTCTTGCTTTATTGTACAGAACAATTTAGTTCTCTTTGTTTCACTCCACCTCTTTCTGGGCCATGCCACAGAACTCATGTTTTTCCCATCAAAGGGACCCTCAAATAGGCCAAAGTGGCTCACACCCGTAATCTCAGTGCTTCAGGAGGCTGAAATGGGAGGATCACTTGAAGCCAGAAGTTGGAGACAGGCCTGGGCACCATAGCAAGACAATGTCTACAAAAATAAAATAATAAAATAAAATAAAATAAAATAAATGATAATAATAATAGTAAATTAGCTGGGTGTGGTGGCACATGCCTGCAGTCCTAGCTGCTCTAGAGGCTGAGGTGGGAGGATCCCTTGAACCTGGGAGATTGAGGCTGCAGCGAGCCATGATTGAACCACTGCACCACAGCCTGGGCAACTGAGTGAGGCCCTGTCTCTACGGAAAAAAAAAAAAATCCTTAAATTGTGCTTTCTGTTAAGCAAGAAGCCTGTATGTGGCTCTTCAAAATATTAAGATGGCTGGGCGCGGTGGCTCATGCCTGTAATCCCAGCACTTTGAGAGGCCAAGGTGGGTGGATCATTTGAGGTCAGAAGTTTGAGACCAGCCTGGCCAACATGGTGAAACCCTGTCTTTACTAAAAATACAAAATTTAGCCGGGTGGGGTGGCGGGTGCCTGTAGTGTCAGCTACTCCGGAGGCTGAGGCAGGAGAATCGCTTGAACCCGTGAGCTCCAGCCTGGGTGACAGAGCAAGACTCTGTCTCAAAAAAAAAAAGAAAAAAGATAAGCCTTCTTTCCTGACACATGCTCTCATTCCTAGGCATTGCTCCCTAGCCAATCTCTGCAGCCTCAAGGGTTCTACTTAGAGATTTTAATTTTCCCACTGAAATGAATTATGCATCTCTCCAGGCCGCTTCTCCCATCTGCCACCTTAGCAAGCAAAAGAGTTCAGCTTGAAATTTTTTTGTTTTTTTGTTTGTTTGTTTAAAAAGCATTTTGCCCCTCTAGCTTTAGCTCCATTTTTGTCAAAGAAGGCACTGGAGCTCAGGGAGGATGGAACATGTAGATCTGAGGGTCTTCAGTGATTGCTGGGGCCAGTGACAGTGCCAGGCCCCAGGAGCAAGTGAGATGGGGTAGAAATCGCAAAATAGAAGTCACAAGCAGCTTCCTGCCAAGACTGTTCTGCTTGGCCAGCACAGTTTAAAAATATACACATGGTTATTTATTATAAAATATCACTATTTATTAAAAGAATCCCAAATTAGGAAACAGAAGAAAAAGTCACCCATGGTATTGACATTTTGATGTATTTTTTTCCTAGTTAAAAAAAAAAACTATAAAAAGTTTTTTGCTTGTTTGGGTTTTTTTATGCATAAAGTAAAATAATGGTGTCAAATTACAGTTTCAAATTCAGATTAAAACCTTTCCTACTTGGGCAAAGGAAACCTTTAACTAAATGCAAGCCTTGCAATAGAAAATTCTGAAATAAGCCAGGTGCAGTGGCTCATGCTTGTAATCCCAGAATTTTGTGGGGCTGAGGCAGGAGGAACGCTTGAGCCCAGGAGTTCAAGACCCGTTTGGGCAACATGGTGAGAGCCCATCTCTACAAAAAACTTTTTTTGTTGTTGTTTTTTGTTTCTGAGACGGAGTCTCGCTCTGTCACTAGGCTGGAGTGCAGTGGCGCGATCTCGGTTCACTGCAACCTCTGCCTCCCAGGTTCAAGCAATTCTCCTGCCTCAGCCTCCCAAGTCACTGGGACTACAGGCATGCGCCACCACACCCAGCTAAATTTTGTATTTTTGGTAGAGACGGGGTTTCACCATGTTGGCCAGGATAGTCTCGATCTCTTGACTCTGTGATCCACCTGCCTTGGCCTCCCAAAGTGCTGGGATTACAGGCGTGAGCCACCGTGCCCGGCTACAAAAAAACTTTAAAAAAAAAATTAGCCAGGTGTGGTGGTGCAACCTGTGGTCTCAGCTACTTGGGAGGCTGAGGCAAGAGGATATTGAGCCCAGGAGTTTGAGGCTGCAGTGAGCTGTGCCACTGCACTCCAGCCTGGGTGACAAAGTGAGACGTTATCTCAAAAAAAAAAAAGTCTGAACTAGAGTCTGAGTTAATGAGGAGTCCCTGTGCTGATAGCTCTTCAAAGGCAAGGTCACTTTCATGGAAGGAAATGGCACTCCAGGCCTTAGTGGTCAAGTACTGCTCGGCCTCTTGCATCTTCTGTTATCATGGTAGCTTTGTTTTTTCTTTTCTCCTTACATTTTTATTTTTAATTGACAAATAATAATTGTATTTGTGGGATACGATGTGATGTTTTGATATATGTATACCGTGTCTTTCACCTTTAAATGTTTTTAAATTAGCTGTACCTTGGTTTAGTTTCCTTTAAAAGCACACTCTGAGACTAGAGTTTGGGTGCATGTTGTTTATTTGAGAGGTGCTCCCGGGAGCACGGTGTGGCATGCAGAGCACCCAAGAGGGAGGAGAACCAGTGAAGGATGTGTAAGCGAGCAGAGTCCCACTCTGGGCAACTGGAGCTCCAACACACGGGCCAGCCTCCAGGAGACTGTGCAGGACATATTTCAAAAGTGGTCCACTCAGGGTTGAGGAAGTGGGGATGTTTATCCACCAACTCCTGCCTCTAATTGGTGACAACTTCTGGGGGATGTTAACTCCACATACTGCAGGCCTGACCAGCACAAGGACTAGAAAATGCCCTCAAGCAGGAAAACAGGCATCTGAGGTAGGAAGGCTTTTATGTATATAAAGAACTGTCCACTTCTGCTGCAGTGACTTGAGCTGAGGAGGCACCTGTAGGCACCTGTAGTAGATGCTATCCTTGTAACAGGGCAAGAATAGCATCGATTACAGGGGCTTACATTTAAAAATCAATAGATTTCTCACAACAATCTATGAGGATCATAAAAATACCAGAAAATCTGGGCTTGCATTCCCACATGGGACAGCAAGCTGCTGCCCCCTTAATGGAGGCATATGCTCCCTGATGTGCCACACTCCCCACCACTCCCTAATGTCTCTTGCCTGAGGCCAACAGCCAGGTTTTTGTTTGTTTACTTTTTAACACCCAACCTACTTCCTTCCTCTATGTTATCTGCCTGGCCCCTCCCTGAAGGAGCCTGAGTTTGTCACCTTTTAAGGAGGAGACAGGCTGCCATTGCATGTAGGCCAAGTCGTCTCGGAGACAGCATTTGATTTCCTGGGACCAAATCTTTAAATATGAAGCTGTAACAGGAACCTGGGGGCCTCTCTTGACAGCCTGCCCAGCTCTCATTATGACATTTAGCCTGTGATTGATATTGTGTGTGTCATTGAGACCTTGGCAGTTAATCTCTGGGTCGAATCTATGGAAACCAAACAGAACAGATTTGTCTTCCCTTCCATGTTGGCTGTGATCTGGGAAACAGATGCTCCTGGCCTCTCTGAGAATTAGAGAGTTGGGAGCCATGCAGAGAGGGTGCACACAGGCCGCCTTCAGGATTTGGAAAGATTACAGGTCTGTGGTTTCTGGACGGTTCCACACTTTGTTCTCTTTCCCCATCAAATCTGCGTGCTGGAGGATAATAGATCCCAGGGCTCACTCTGCGTGCCAAGCTCCTCGGGGTAGACCGCACCACTTCCTCCTTTGTCTGGAAATCCAGCCGAGGCTTTCAGCACAGAGATGGAGACGGGGATGGTTCCCTCCACAGTGTAATGAAGGAAGAATGGCCTCACCAAGGGTGAGGTCAGCTTCAGTGATCAAAGGAGGCAGACGGAGGTTTCAGAACGGAATTGACTCTAGCGTCTCCCGAAAATCACCTCTTCTGAAGCTTCCATTAACCGCAGGCAGGGTTCAAGATGGCCTAAACCACCTTTAGGTGTATGGTGCCCAGCTTCTACTCACTTCGAACAAGAAGAGTGGGTGCCATGGACGAGCTGAGCTTCACACCTTTAGACACTGTGGGCCTGAAGCAAGGAGGGCTATAACTACGTATGCTCTTAGGGGACTGAAAGGTCTGGGCTCGTTTCTGTGAGAAAGATTTCTGGCCACTCCTTAAAATAATTTCTTCCTTCCTGACTGGAAACACAGCAGGCAGGCCCCAGAATAGAGTTTGGGCCTGAATGACCACCCGTGGGGGAGGGCAGCCCACCCTGCGCCTGCAGTCCCCTCACCTTCTCCCTCCTCCAAATCAGCCTGGAGGCTCAGTCCTGCCTTAGCAGCTCTTGCTGAGCCCCTTGCACAGGCCTCACAGCCCTTAATCATTCCTTCACCCCTCAGTCACTCATTCACTCATTCCATTCATTCACTAAGCCACTTCCTCATCCAACCCATATCTCCTGAGCACCTCTTACGTGCCAGACACCAAGGCTACAGAGAGAAGCCACACTCAGGAGCCCCGAAGCAAGGTCCTCTCTCCTCCCAGCCTGCAGCTGCATTCTGGGCCAAAGACCGGGCCTCCCACCCCACTGGGACAGCGGGAGGCATTTTGAATGAGCACCCTCACTACCTTTCCCTTGACTCCGCAGCACCCTGGCTCTCTAGCCACATCTCAGACAATTATTATCAAACTTTACTAAGCGTCAGACTCACTTCGGAGCTCATTGAGATACAGATGCCTGCGCCCCTACGAGGGTGCAGCCCGGATATCTGTATTTTTGGTTAGTGCCAGGTGACTCTGACAGACGTGGTCTTCAGACCACACTTTGAGAGACTTCACAGGAGGGTCCCCTTTGCTGCCTATTGCCCTCTCCACACTTCACCAGGAAGCAGGAAGTTGTTGGAGGAAGTCACAAACCCTGGCTTCCCACAATCCCTACAGACACTCATGGCTAGCTAGTGATCCTTTAAGTCATCTGCTATGGACTTGGGAGAATCCAATTCCCCAAAGCAGTGGTCTCAACCCTTTCCTTTTAAATTTCTATCATGGAGAATTTCAAACACACCTGAAGAGAAACAGCAACTGGCCAGGTGTGATGGCTCACACCTGTAATCCCAACACTTTGGGAAGCTGAGGTGGGAGGATCACTTGAGCTCAGGAGTTCGAGACCAGCTTGGCCAACATAGCGAGACCTCATCTCTATTTTAAAAAAGGAAAAAAGAGAAACAACAACTACCTTATAACCATCATCCAGCCCCAATCACCATCACTCATAGCCAGCCCATCTCATTCACACCTACATCAATACCTTGCCCCAACATTATATTATTTATATTTTCCAACTATATTATTTTTGAAGCAAATATTTCAGTATGTTTTTCTAAAAGATAAGGCCCTGTGGTATAACGTAACTGTCCTCGGAATCTCCAGCAAGTCGGCTGATAGATATAGACCTCTTTGGTGAGATGATTCCCGCCATGGTGGTGTGCTCTTCTATTCGAAGGCATATGATGTCTGACCATCTCTTCTTATTCATACGTGGCTGGCAGTTTATGCTCAGTCTCTGGATGCAGCAACTCATCAGGTGGTGTAAAATGGTGCTTCCTTCTTTATTCATTATCTGGAATACTTCTATAAAAGAACATTTCCCGTATCAACCCAGTAGTATATAGTTTGTAAAAGAGAGAAGCAATACATGCAGATTCTTCTCCTTTATCTATCCATCTTCAAAATAAGGAGCTGGTTCCCAAACATCTTCCAACCGTGCATAATAAGTTTTGGGTTTTTTTTTTTTTTTTTATAAGGTCTCACTGTGTTGCCCAGGAGAGCAGTGATATGATCTTGGCTCACTATAGCCTCAGCCTCCTGGGCTCCAGTGGTCCTCCCACCTCAGCCTCAGCCTCCTGAGTAGCTGGGACTACAGGCATGCACCACCACACCCAGCTAATTTTTGCATTTTTTTGTAGAGATGGGTTTTGTCATGTTGCTCAGGCTGGTCTTGAACTCCTGGGCTCATGCAATCTGCCCACCTCAGCCTCCCAGAGTGCTGGGATTACAGGCATAAGCCACTGCTCCCGGACTGTTTTCAGTATTATTATTATTATTTTGAGATGGAGTTTCACTCTTGTTGCCCAGGCTGGAGTGCAGTGGTGCGATCTCAGCTCACTGCAACCTCTGCCTCCTAGGTTCAAGCGATTCTCCTGCCTCAGCCTCCCAAGTAGCTGGGATTACAGGCACCCGCCACTACACCCGGCTAATTTTTTGTATTTTTAGTAGAGATGGGGTTTCGCCATGTTAGGCAGTCTGGTCTTGAACTCCTGACCTCAGGTGATCTGCCCGCCTCGGCCTCCCAAAGTGCTGGGATTACAGGCATGAGCCACCGCGCCTGGCCTTCAGTATTATTATGACCTAAGTGTTTGATGTGTTTTGATCCACTGGAATTATTTTTATTTTTCATGTTCAAATTGTTCCAGTTTTGATAAGTGGAAGCTTCTTCAAGTTGTATTCTGAGTCCCTTTGACATGTTCCTAATGGTCTTTGAAGCCATGAACCCTTTCCTACATTCTCTGCATCCCCGGCCTGCCCCTCCTCACACTGCACCTCCCATCTCCCTCCCCCTGACACTAAGACCCTGTGCTACAGACAGCCTCAATTCATGATCCTCCTTATCTGTAAAATGGGGCTAATGATAGGGTATTAGGATAACCCTATCTCAGTGTTGTTAAGATTAAATGGGCTTACAATCATCAAGCACTTGGAATAGTGTCTGGCACACAATAGGTGTTATATAAGTATTTGTCAAATAAATAAACAAATAGCATTCACCTCCATGGTTCTCAGTCTTCCCACCTTTTCCTCCTTCTCTCCAGTCTCCTTTCCCAGGCTGACCATAGGTGCATCATTTACTCAGCTCAGGAAACAATCAATGTCCAATTCCACTGCAAATTCCTCTCCTTGGGGACAATGGAAAGTCCTCTCCCACATTCCACTGGCAGAGCCTAACAAGCTCTCCAAATGCACATTTCAGTCTCGAGGCACAGCTTTCTATCTTGGGGCATCTCTTCCAATCCCCTTGGTAAGTTAACACAGTGATGGCCAGGCTCCCAGTGTGAGAGTGTGAGCATTGCCTTCAGCTCTTCTGACAGGTTAACCCTCATGCAGCCAGGTTTCCTCCCCTCTCAAGGCTTCTGAAGTCCTGCTGATGTGCGTGTGGCCCAGACCCAGGCCCGGGCAGGTATGGCCTTGGCGATGTACTCTTTCCACTGGCTGACGGCTCCCTGCAGACACTGAGAGGGCCACAGGCCTGGAATGTCAGGAATCTTCTGGGCCTTCCTATTTTGGGTCCCAAATGGCCCAAACCAGTAGGTTTCAGTCAGATAAAGGAAAAAGTAGGAACCAAAGGAGTAAAGTCTAAAGAAAGGTGGGAAGGAACTGGCTGCTTGCAGGATTTCTTAGCTCCAGAGCCCGCCTTGGCCCACGTCCAAGGACCCCAGCTCTCCTTCTCTAGAAAGATTGGAACATTGGGGAAGTGTCATTTAACTGCCATCATGGCCTTCCTTGTTTACCTGTGTGGCCTGGGAAGAGGAAGCCGGGGCATAGCAGGTTGGGGAAACTCTTTCCAAATTTTAAGATAAGCTTATTCCCACCTCTTTTTGTAAAGCCTATTCCCTGCCTCAGTGTCCCCTGCTAACCCCCATCCTGCTTCTCTCTCATAACCAGCTGCAGAAAGGAGAGAAAATCCCTTGGCTCTAAAATGACATCTGGAGAAGTGAAGACAAGCCTCAAGAATGCCTACTCATCTGCCAAGAGGCTGTCGCCGAAGATGGAGGAGGAAGGGGAGGAGGAGGACTACTGCACCCCTGGAGCCTTTGAGCTGGAGCGGCTCTTCTGGAAGGGCAGTCCCCAGTACACCCACGTCAACGAGGTCTGGCCCAAGCTCTACATTGGCGATGAGTAAGTGCCCAGGCCCAGGCTCGCTTGGGAGCAGGCAGCAGCCCCTCCCCAGGCCACGCCCTGCGCCACCTCCTAGCCATGGGCTTTGGAATTTGTAGTCGTTCTGTGAGAACTCAATTAGTTAGGGCTGGGCTTGCCTTCACATTACAGAAAACCTAAACAAAGTCTTAGGCAAGATAGAGGTTTATTTCTCTCTCACATATAAGTGCAGAGGGAGGTGGGCTGGGGCTGGCACGGCCACTGCAGGGTCATCAGGGACTCAGACTCCTGTGTTTCTGCGCCACTGTCCTGGGGACGTGGCTTCTTCCCTCCAGGTGCTGCAGGGTCCCAGATTGCCGCCAGGACCCCAGCCATCAACTCTAGGACCCAGACAGCAGGAGGGTGGAGGGAAAGAAAGAGCAGAAGGGCATCTTCCGAAAGCAAAGTCCCATCCCAGACTTCCCCTGCCCCTAGCTGCAAGGGAGCCTGGGAAATGTAGTCTTTTATTTTAGCTAGCTATAATACCCTCAAGAATAAAATCAGTTCTTAGGTGGATGGTGCAGGAACACATCAATATATGCCTGGAAGTATGGGAGCCTAAATTTAGGTCACTGTCACCTCCTTTAGATTTTTATAACCACCATTCCCCACTCCCTACACAACTGAGATGCACCTACTGTAAATAATATTAATAATGATAACGACTATCCTTTCTTGAACACTGTATGCCAGGCATTGTGCTAAGCATCCTGCATGCATGATCTCATTTTACTCTCCTGATAACCCAGTGATAGAGGCTAATTACTCCCATTATAAAGATAGGGAAACTGAGGCACAGAGCAGTTAAATAACTGGCCCAAGTCCCACAGCTCAGTCAGTGGCAGAGAGCTGGGATTAAAATGCAGCTCTGCCCAACCCAGAGGCTTGTTCTTAACTGCTCCTCCCTCCACTCTCCCGGACTCCAGCCATGTTCCATCTCACCAAGGAGCAGATGCAGATGCTGTAGGACCCCTCCATATATTATTGTATTTATTTTTTTTCTTTTTCTTTTTTTTTCGAGACAGTCTCACCCTGTCACCCACGTTGAAGTGCAGGTTGGAGTGGTGTGACCTCGGCTCACTGCAACCTCTGCCTCCTGGGTTCAAGCAATCCTCTGTCTCAGCTTCCCAAGTAGCTGGGATTACAGGCACCTGCCTCCACACCTGGCTAATTTTTTATTTTTAGTAGAAACAGGGTTTCACCATGTTGGCCAGGCTGGTCTCCAACTCCTGACCTCAGTTGATCTGCCCACATCAGCCTCCCAAAGTGCCGGGATTAAAGGTGTGAGCCACCGTGCCCGGCCTATATGTGATTTTAATACATATCTTGCTGCTTAATACCTGGAGATAATCGTCTAGCCATAGGAAGATCCAGGGTAAGCATCCCTTGCCTTTCGTCTTTCTTTTTTTAAATTGAAAAAGTTACAAATATGACATGCTTAATTATACTAGGTTAAATGAGGTAGAGGGTTATAAAGACAAACTGCATAATCTCCCTTTGTCTCCTCTTAATTCTACCCCTGACTAACCAGTGTTAAATTTACTTGCATACTTCTACTACCTTGTGTGGGCTATTGCCAACATAAGGAAACATATACACACATATAAAGGGTTTACTTTTTTTTTTTTTTGAGATGGAGTCTCCCTCTGTCACCCAGGCTGGAGTGCAGTGGCACCATCTTGACTCACTGCAACCTCCACCTCCTGGGTTCAAGCGATTCTCTTGCCTCAGCCTCCTGAGTAGCTGGGATTACAGGCATGCGCCACCACGCCCAGCTAATTTTTTTTTTTTTTTGAGATGTCCCTCAATGGCGCAATCTCGGCTCACTGCAACCTCCACCTCCTGGGTTCAAGTGATTCTCCTGTCTCAGCCTCCTGAGTAGCAAGAGTAACAGACACCTGCCACTATACCTGACTGATTTTTGTATTTTTAGTAGAGACAGGATTTCACTGTGTTGGCCAGGCTGGTCTCCAACTCCTGAACTCAGGTGATCCACCTGCCTCAGCCTCCCGAAGTGCTGGGATTAAAGGTGTGAGCCACTGCACCCAGGCCTATATATTTTTTAAGCAATTAAAAATGAATCATAGGCTGGGTGCTATGACTCACACCTGTAATCCCAATACTTTGGGAGGCTGAGGCAGGAGGATCGCTTGAGGGCAGGAGTTGGAGATTAGCCTGGACAAAATAGTGAGATCTTGTCTATACAAAAAAAACACAAAAAACAAAAAGCACCAGCATGGTGGTGCACACCTATAGTCCCAGCTACTGGGGAGGGAGGAAGATTGCTGGAGACCAGGAGAGTGATGCTGCAGTGAGCCAAGATTGTGCCACTGCACTTTAGCCTGAGGGATAGAGCAACAGTTTGTCTCCAAAACAAACAAAACCCCATACTATATATACATACTGTTGTATACTTTTATTAATCCATAGTTAGCTGTGCCACAATTTACCCACAATTTCTCAGTTGTGAACATTAGGGGAAGGAAGGAGAGGGGTGTACAGAAACTCTCTAAGGTTTTCTTCTTTGAATTTGGCTTTATTGAGAAATAATTCATAGACCATAAAGTTCACCCTTTTAAAGTATACAATTCAGAGCTTTTGTTATATTTACAGAGTTGTGCAAACATCACCACTCTCTAATTTCAGAATATTTTTGTCACCTCAAAAGGAAACCCTGAACCCACTAAACAGTCACTCCCCATTCCCTACCTGCCTCTCAGGCCCTGGCAACCACCAATCTACTTTCTGTTTTTATAGATTTACTGATTCCCAGACATTCTGTATAAATGGAATGTTATAATATGTTCCTGGCTTTCTTTTACTTTGTATAATGTTTTCCAGGTTCATCCAAATTGTACTTGTATCAGTATTTGATTCCTTTTTATTGCCAATCTCTGTGTGATATTTGCACGTTTCTGTAAGTCTAAAATTAGTTCAGAATAAAAAAGGCACACATATATTTTGACCCAAAATATCACTTTAAGAAATGTAATTTACAGAAATAAGAGTAGCAATAATGAGAAAATATGTGCAGCGATGCTTATTATAACACTGTTTGAAGTAGCAAAAAAAAAAAGGAGGGACTGACATCTCTAGTCTTTTAATAACAAAATATTAAATAAATGTAGTAAATATTTCCTATAATGAAAGTAATAGGCCGGGCATGATGGCTCACCCCTGTAACCCTGTAACTTTGGGAGGCCAAGGTGGGAGGATTGCTTGAGCCCAGGAGTTTGCAAGTAGCCTGAGCAATATAGCAAGACACCATCTCTACCAAAAATTTTTAAAAATTTTCTGGGCTTGGTGGCATGTACCTATAGTCCCAGCTACTTGGGGGGCTGAGGTGGGCGGATCACTTGAGTCCAGGAGGTCATGGCTACAGTGAGCTGTAATGGTGCCACTGCACTCTAGTCTGGGTGACAGAGTGAGACCCTGTCTCAAAAAAAAAAAGTAACATATGCTCATTGTGTAAATAGAGAAGTCTCGGTTTCCCTATTGGTAAGAGGCTAATAAGATAACCTTCCTCACAGGGCTGTATGGATTAAGTTGGGTAATGTGTGTAAAATAGTGCACTGCCTAGTACATAGGAAGTGCTCAGTAAAGTTTAGCTATGATAATAAAAAAATGATAAATGTAAGAAAGATTGCTTTCAATATCCCAAAGCAGTCACCAAAGGCCATTACTTCAAAGATACTCCTATTAATATTGTGGTATATTTCCTCCTAGACTTTCCGAATATTACTTTTGGTTTTGGAATTTGTTTTTATATAATTGTAACTATAATGATTATTCATTTTCTCTTATTTCTCACATAGCATCATTCATAAACATTTTCTTTTATTACTTCTTATATATTTAATTATAATAGACATGACAATATATCAGATGAACAGAAGAGCATTCATTTAACTACTTCCTTATTGTTGGGCATATCAGTTATTTTTATGTTTTCACTTTTATAAACAACACTGCAGTGGACATCTTTACACATAATGTTTTTTCTATATTTAGAATTATTTCCTTAGATCTGACCCTAGAAATGGTACAACTGAGGAAAGATTAAGATTTTAAGACTTAAACTGTCTCTGTATCTTTATCCATGCTGTTCCCTTTGTCTAAAATGTCTTTCCCTGCACCTCATGTCCAAGTCCAGATCCTATGCATTCTTCAAAGTCCATTCAAGTCACTTCTGCCATGAAGCTAGCTTCCTCCAATCCCCATAGTGAGAAGTAAGCTTTTTCTCTGTATATTATATACTGTATTTACCTTTCCTATGGCTTATAATAATAATAGTTAAGTTGTATTGAATTCTTAGGTGGTAGGTGTCATGCCTTGTGCTAGGCATCATTTAGACTCCTCAACAACCCTATAAAGGAGGAACCATTTTACAAATATTATTCCCATTTTACAAATGGACAAGTCACAGCTCAGAGAGTTCATTCATTCATTCAGTCAGCCAGTAACCCTTTACTGGACACCTTGCTTGGAGCTGCGGGGGAAAAAAAGAAGACACTGAAGCTCAGAGAAATCAAGTGACCAGCCCAAGTTCTCACCACCAGAAAGGGGTAAAATTTATACTCAAATCCAGATCAAAAAAAAAAAAACATGGTCAGTCAGGTAAAGAAGCTGTTTCAGAGTTGAGGAGGGGAGAGGGAGGAGATGGGTAGAAATGTAACAGGGAACAGAAACAGCGGTGAGTACTAGAGGGGAAGGAGCACGGGGTTTGAGTCTTGGCTCTGCCAATTACCAGTTGTGTGACCTTGGACAAATTATTTTACCTCTCTTCACCTTATGTGGCAACAATAATGGGACTTATCTCACTGGGTGAAGATTAAATGAAATCAAACAAATGCTAGAGTAGTATCTGGCAAGTAGTAAATGCTCAGTAAGTGCTTGGTGCTATTATGGATCTGAGAAAGATCACAGAAGACATGGATCTAGGCTCGACTTTTGAAGATGGGTAGGATTTCAAAGAAATTCCAGGCAGAGGAAGCAGGATGGGAATAGCTACAGAGGTGAGAAAAGCAGGGAGATTCATCTGGAATATAGGGGATGAATGTGGTACACTTTCAGAAGGTCCAAGATTAAGCCAAATTCTACTGCTGTGTGGTCAGTTTCGATTAGCTGTGCTAGTCTAATAGCTCACCCCAACATCTTGGTGGCCGGCCACAGCAATGATTCTTTCTCACTCACAATGCAGTCCATGGTGGGCCAGCTCTGCTGCGCTCCCGGCCACTTTACTCTAGGACCCAGGGTGATAGAGCAGCCCTGATTTGAGATCTTGCCAGCCTTGCAGCAGAGAGAAAAGAGAGACCTAGCAAACCATAAGCTGATTTAGAAGTGACACATGCCATTTTTGCCCACATTTCACTGGCAAAAGCAAGTCCACGCCAAAGCCTCATGTCAGTGGGGCAGGAAAGTATAACTAGCGCAGCCAGAGGGGCTGCAAACGTTCTAACAATAATGCCATCTGGCACAGCCTCCTGGTCAGGTGCATTGGCTTTGGGCAGGTTATTTTACCTTTTCCTCAACTTGAAGAATAGTTGGCCAGGCGTGGTGGCTCACGCCTGTAATCTCAACACTTTGGGAGGCCGAGGCAGGTGGCTCGCTTGAAGTCACAAGTTCGAGACCAGCCTGGCCAACATGGCAAAACCCCGCCTCTACTAAAAATACAAAAATTAGCCGGGGATGGCCGGGCGCGTTGGCTCACGCCTGTAATCCCAGCACTTTGGGAGGCCGAGGCAGGCGGATTACGAGGTCAGGAGATTGAGACCATCCTGGCTAACACGGTGAAATGCTGTCTCCACTAAAAATACAAAAAAATTAGCCTGGCATGGTGGCGGGCTCCTGTAATCCCAGCTACTCGGGAGGCCGAGGTAGGAGAATGGCGTGAACCCGGGAGGCGGAGGTTGCAGTGAGCCGAGATCGCGCCACTGCACTCCAGCCTGGTGACAAAGCGAAACTCCGTCTCAAGAAAAAAAAAAAAAAAAAAAAAAGTAGACAAATGCAAATATTATAGTTAACAAAAAAGAAATCTGGAAAGGTAGGTCAGGGCCAGCTCATGGAAGGGTGAATGACGGCCAAGGGACTTTATTCAGAAAACCATTGAGTGTCTGAGCAGAACTGACGTGTTCTAGTTAATCGAGTGCTAGACAATAAAATATGCTTGCCTCCTTGATGTTTGACCTTGAACTTGCTTCTTTCAACCAAGAAAATGGAAAATGTCACTGCCCTTTTAATTCAATCCAACTGTGCCTAATCGAGCCCCAATACAAGCACACACAGGTGTGTGAGACTTTACACCCCCAGCTGAGGGAGGGAGCCTCAAGTCAGCATGGTGTGTGCTTGTCCCTGATTTCTGTGACACTCACTTAACAAGGTTAATGAGACTCACAGACGCTTATTGCAAGAGCAATTAACTCTACCGCCAATGCAGCCATGCAAAGGTTATAAGCTGGGCTGTGAACAGGCAAGGCTGCCTGTGTTTCTTGGTCTCTTTGCAGGGGTTGCCCAAAGCAGCCAAAAGCTCCAAGCTGGTTCCTCATGCACAAAGCCTCAGTTTTAATTTGATATTTACATTTCGGTTAGGTTTTTCCTTTCCCTAAAAGCACCTAAGATTTTTGAAAGCCCAGTACCAAGGCTCTGGAAGTGAAGGAGGTCAGGACCCAGGAGTAAGGATGGATGTCCTGGGATGGCCAAAGCTACTATCTATCCTTGGAGCCCAGGCCAGTGACTGTGGGGCCTGCAGCGGGGCATACTTACCTCTAAGATGAAGCTCACTCTTTTCCTTGCTCCTTTTTGTGGAGATAGGTGGAGCGGCCAAGCATCTGCTCTGGGTCCACAGTGTCTGGACTGAACACTGGTTTCTGTGTGGCCTTGGGCAAGTCACTCAGGCTTTGTGACTTTCAGCTTCTTCGCCTATGTGGATTCTATGCGTTAATGCAAGCAAAACATGTCTCACGGTGCCCAGTACATTCATCAAGTTTGAACTATGACAAATCAGGCAGGTTCTGGAAATTCGATTCACAGTGTATGAGGAAGGTAAAGCACAGTCACTGTGCCTTGCCACCCAGGGTCCCCCATGCTAGGGGAAGCCTTGGGAGAGAAAACAACCCTGGGTCAGATTTCTCCCATGAGAATTCTATCATGACCCAGGGCAGAGTGTTGGAAGGAGGGCCTGCTCTCCTAGGCCTTCCAGGGAGGTGACCTAAGGCCTAAGAAGGCAGCCATATCAAAGTTCCTTGGGCCTGCGGGTTTCAAAATCGCTAAAGCATTTTCTCCATCCCAGGTTAGCTCAAGGGGATTCACCAAGTGGGCTGCCTGGTAATTCCAAGTCCTCACTGCTCAGCAGCCCAGGGAAGGGGAAAGGTGGCCCTGCCAGTGCAGCCTGATGAGAAAAGGCCACAAACAGGAGGGCAACGTGGAGGGTGCTCACTCTGCCGGCTCAGCAGAGGGGTCGAAGGGGTGGGGCCTGGCTGGCCACCTTGCAGATATTCCTGGGGTTCGGGGGAAGTCTTCTTCACACAAGGTGTAGCCACCCACTCCCCACTCATTCCTCTAACTCGATAGGGGTCTGAATCTGCCACAAGTGGAACTGCAGGCTCAGCGTGGAGCGGAGGGCTCAGGCATGACTCGGCACAGCGTCCCAGTCCCCACTGTGTGTGGGTGGCCACCAACTATGGGTGGCCTTTGGCAAAGCATTTTATTGTTCTGGGACTCAGTTTCTTTATTTGTAAAATAAAGGATGATTTCGAAGGTTCCCTTCCAGCTCTAAAATAAAATTATTTAAGAAATGGCCTATTAAATGAATTAGGCTTTATTAGTTTCAAGCACACACTTGTTTTATTACTTTTAAGTCATTCAAATTAGATTCAAATTAGGTTAACCAAGTGTTGTCCTCCAGAGAGCCAGGGACTGGCGTCAATGATGAGATAAGAATAATTCATCACCTCTTATCAATCAGCAGTCCCTAAATGGGTGCTTCAAAAATGCTTGAGTACGCTCGAAAGCACTAAGTTTCTGTAATTTAAATATTCTCACTTTAATCTCGTTCACATCTTTCATTTGCTTAGCAAAATCTTTTTTCAGTCCTTTTTTTCCCTATAGTCAGCAGGAGGGGAAATATCCTGGCTACCATCAAAGTGATTGCAAATTCCTAGGCAGGGCAGCCTCCAGTGATAAGGCTTGGCTGAAACGGGATAATTGAGAAATCTCTCTTCCCTCTCCACAATGCGGGTGTCGGAGAGCCAGTGCCAGGGTGAGGTTAAACTTCTGCTGCTCATGGAATGGTGCGGGCCCTCAGGAGCTCCTTATTTTTGTGTAAACTACAGTTGCCTCCAAGGTCCGGCATTTGGGCTCAGATTCCTGCCAAGGCCTGCAGCCTGCCCCACCCACCCAGCCCAAGCTGGCTTTCCAGGGAACCTCTGTCTTGTCCTTTCTGCTTTTCTGCTTCTGACCAGACCCACAGCCTCAGAAGCCAGAGGCATCGCCACAGCTGGCCTGGCGTTGAGAGCCTGGGAAGTGAAGTGAAGGCAAGTCAGTCAGCTGAGACAGCTCCTTCTCCCCGAAAAGGAGGAACTAATTCCGCCTTAAGGCACCGAGCACGAATGAAATTAACCTGCTTCTTCGAGGTGTGGGTGGTGTGGCCAGTTTAGGATGCAGCAAAAAACAGTCAAGGTTGCGAATTTAACATGCTGGGCGTTACCTGAAATAACTAGGACTTCCAACTACTGAAGGCAACTGAGGCATAGCTGGGCAGCAGTCACAGGCAAGACGGTCGGGGAGAGAAGCCTGAGGCCCTGGCCTGGCCTGGCCTTCTCATTGCCAGAACACGGCTTAGCAGTCAAGGCCTCAAGCAACATAAACCATCTCCTTGCATGGTTAGGCAAATGCCGAGTCCAATCACTCACACGACATCATTTCTCAAAACCAGACCTCCTGGGTACTCTCTTCTCTTCACCTCCATCCTTGGAGGAATAGAGTTTGGGAGAGTGGGGCAGACAGGAGATTTCCAGTAGAAGTTAAAAACCCCGAGGCCACCTTATGCCTTTACAATGGTCTCTCCTGAAAACTAAGGAAATAACAATACAAATCATGCTATATTTACATAGTAAATGAATATATGACTCGTTCATTACTGAAAATGTACAAAATGTAGAAAGACAAAAACAAGAAAATTTAAACTACATATAATCCCATTACCACATTTTGTCATGGGATAAGCACATTCTGACATAAATCTTTCCACTGCCTTTTCCCCTTGGAGTCATCTTTTAACCTCTCAAAGAAGCTTCAGTATTGCATCATTCAACTTCACAAGACTCTCACAAGGAAAGTACTGCCAGTGTAATCGGTACTATTTAGCAAACAAAGAAAACGGAGGCTCCCAGCAGTTCTGCCACCTCAGTTCATGCGTCAGTTTCAGCTGTCAGCCCTATGTTTTCTCAGGTGCCTCAACACGGAGGAGCTTCACCCTCAAGTAACAAGAACACCCAAGACACCGGAAGGCCGGTTCATTTCACTTTCCCATCAGGTGAACTAACCGAGATCAGATGCCAGAAATGTGCCCACTGTTTTAAAGTCCACTTGCAAGGAACGGGCACACTCAAGACTGCACGGTTAAGACTCCACTGGGTTTGGGAGGTGGAGGCAGGTGGATTACCTGAAGTCAGGAATTTGAGACCAGCCTGGCCAACATGGTGAAACCCTGTCTCTACTAAAAATACAAAAATTAGCCACGCATGGTGGCACACACGTGTAATCTCAGCTACTCGGGAGGCTGAGGCAGGAGAATTGCTTGAACCTGGGAGGTGGAGGTTGCAGTGAGCAGTGAGCCGAGATTGCGCCACTGCACTCCAGCCTGGGCGACAGAGCGAGACTCTGTCTCAAAAAAAAAAAAGAAAAAAAAAGTAAACTACATGATTCCAGTGAACTGGGAAGAGTAAAAAAAAGGTTACAAAAAAAAAAAGTAAACTGCATGAGTCCAACAAATGTGTAAACAATGTCCATCACTGCTAAAATGAATCAGTGAAAACAAGACACCATTAATTTTTTTTGTCTATGAAATTGACAAAGAATACGGACTGCAATTTTTAGCAATTTTAGCAAGTTTTCTGTAGGGTAATTTAGTAACAAGTATCAAATGTATTTTAAAATGGCCATATCTGTTGACCCAGCAATTTCACCTTTAAAAATGTCTCCTACGGACATAAACAGAGGAGTGCCCAAAGAAACACATCAAAATGTTTGGTAAGAAAAAATTGGGACATACCTATATAATGAAATAGCATGCAGTTATTGAAGTCTTATATGTTGCCACAGGAAGATGTTTACAATATATCACGTCAAAGGTTTTGAAACTTTATATATATAGTATTGTACCAAAAAAAAACCTTTCTATAAAATATACAAATCTATGCATAGAGAAACAATGGGAGGTTCTTACATCAAAAGCTAACAATAGCCTTTATCTCCAGGGGAGTAGAAATACAGGTGATTTTTTTGGAGGGGGGAGTATGTTTTCTACATTCTACATTGAGCATGTGTTATTTTTGTCATGAGACGACATATTATTTAAAAATTGAACAGACTGATCACATCTAGGATTGTGCCTAACCAGAAACTAAAGCTCCTGTGTCATCTAGATTCTGGAAGTACATTCTTAAATCTGTTTTTCTTTCTGAAGTCTTTTCTCCCTCAGCAGAGGCATTTATGTGGACCCAGGAGTGGGGCACACGGCCTTTTCTCCATGCCCATCACCTCAAAATGCCCCTGTGTTTCTTAGTCTCTTTTTAACATATGTGAGCAGATAATGTATGTGGCCCTGAAATTTAAAAACAAAACCAAAGCAATCTAGTGTCAGACACCACCCTCTGAGCCTGCCCCACTCCCAATAATTGCTGAGCTGGGCATCTGTCCCATCTGGGGACTGGACGATGGGTGTCTGTGATGATGGCTCTGCCTCCCCCACAACATCTGTGTAAGAGGCACTCCATTTATTTGCAGATTCCCATTCTGCTGTGGATGCTCTTTCAAGCCCTCAACTGAACTCTGAGTGAATGAAGCTGGGGGAAGTCCCCAGAGTGATGTGTGAGGATACCAACTCCCCTTCCCGTCCAGGGAGCCAAGACCCTGAAAACTTGTGGTGGGCCTCAAATACCCACCGGGTCTCAGGGTCCTCACGAGCCCCTTTCTCTGCCTCAGGCACAACCAACGTCAGCCTGGTGTGGTGGATATGGAGGTGTCAGGCAATGAGTCTTGTTGCATATCTATCCCGCTCCCCAAAAGTGGCAAAGTGCAAACTGTTATTCATTCAAACTGCCACTTGATTATGTTGAAAGCCAGTTACTGAACCCAGAGAGAACAGTCTTCATGGTGGGTAGGAGCTTCCTGTCAAGAAGAGTTAATTTTAATTTTTCCACTGAGCTCAACCTCAAAGTGAGGTTGATTGCTACTCAGCAAGATGGACTGCATTAGCGGCGGCTTTAATTGGGCGCAGATCTACGTCCCCAAAGCATAATGTTTGTTGTACACATACTTTGGGGCAAGACGAAAAATGAAAAGCAGACCTTTCTAAGGAAAAATGGAAAGCACAATGTGTCCCACAGTCAGAATGGCCACACTAAGAGCCAAGTGGAGGGGGGCTCAGTGGGACTCCCCACCTCCCCATGCCACAGTTCTGATGGGCTGTCTGCAAATGTTTCCAAATGCTCAATTCCCTTCCCAAACACTGGACACCATCATGGTTCTCATGCCAAATAAAAAGCTCCAGGAAACCAATGAAAGACAAGCGCACCCTTGGCCGAGGGGCCATGGCATATATTTCTGGTGTGAGGCTTCCTCCTGGCTCAGGGTGTTGGTCCCTGCTAGCATCTAACATGGTCACTTCTGTCCACATGCTTTTACCAGTGGCCTTGAGATGAGCCCTCAGCTGGAGTGCAATGCCACTTTTACCCTCTTACTGGTACGGCTCCAGACCCTTGTCACATCTTCCCTGAGCTGAAGTCCTGGTCTTCATGCTATTGAGGGAAGTGTCTTCTTAAACCCAGATTGTATCACTTCTCTTTAAACACTCTCTAGAGCTCTCTTTGACTCCCAAACACAGATCCTAGCATCCAGGATCCCCACACATCAGCCAGATTGATTTTTCTTTTTCTTTCTTTCTTTTTTCTTTTCTTTTTTTTTTAAAGACAGAGTCTCTGCTGCTCAGACTGAGTGCAGTGGTGCAATCACAGCTCACTGCAGCCTCAACCTCCCTGAGCTCAGGTGATCCTCCCACTTCAGCCTCCCCAGTAGCTGGGACTACAGGCACATGCCAGCATGCCCGGCTAATTTTTTTCCCTTATATCTTGTAGAGATGGGGTTTCATGATGTTGCCCAGGCTGGTCTTGAACTCCTGGTCTCAGGCCACCCTCCCGCTTTGGCCTCCCCAAAGTGCTAGGATTACAGGTGTGAGCCACCTTGTCTGGCCAGATTGATCTTTAAAAAAGTAAACAATGCTTACTTCTTTCTTAAAATCCTCTAGCAGACTTCCACCACACTTGCAATAATACTCCTTCCTATGGCGGGCAGGGCCCACCATGCTCCAGCCCCTCTACCTTTCCAAACTCCTATTCCCCTTGCCACTTCAGCCACACTGGCTTCCTTTCTGTTCTCAGCAGTTGTTCCCTCTGCCTGGATGAAACGCTTTCTCTCCAACTCTTCCTCAGCCTTCTCATCCCTCAGTCTTGGCTTAAACACCACCTCCCCACAGTGGCCTTTCCTGACCGCCTTGCCTGAAGCAGGACCACAGTCATTTTGTATCATGTCATGAAGTTTTAGGTCCTTCGGATAGCTCTCACTGCTATCTAAAATTATCTTTGTTTATTTCCTACCCCCATTAGTATCTGACCTTCCTGAGGGAACTTCACTAACCTGTTCTTTTGTTTTTTGAGACAGTTTCACTCTGTCACCCAGGCTGGAGTGCAGTGGCGTGGTCTCAGCTCACGACAACCTCCACTTCCTGGGTTCAAGCGATTCTTGTGCCTCAGCCTCCCAAGTAGCTGGGACTGCAGGCATGCGCCATCACACCTGGCTGTTTTTTGTTTTTTCTTTTTGTATTATTAGTAGAGACAGGGTTTCGCCACGTTGACCAGGCTGGTCTCGAACTCCTGACCTCATGTGATTTGCCTGCCTCGGCTTCCGAAAGTGCTGGGATTATAGGCGTGAGCCATTGTGCTCGGCCCCTGTTCATTTCTTTACCATCAGCACCCAGCACAGTGCCTGGCACATAATAGATTGCAAATAATTATTTGGGGATGGATAATTGATTACAGGAAATAGACAATGCTTCCTGAAAGGCCTTCGTTGTCTCCAGCCTCCATACCTCAGGTGGTGCTGTTTCCTTGGCTTGGCCCGCGCTTGCCTCCTTCTTCCCCTCCATCACCAAATGTTGACACTTGTAGTGACACAGGCCTCTCCCTGCCCCACCCCACAGGCAGGAAGAACCCGTGTTTCCTCTGGCAGCCCATCTCCACTCCGGCCCCACCATGCTGCCTTCTCATCGAGTCATATTTCAGAGCCACCTACTTCAAGAGGACTTTACTGTTCCTGGAAATTCTTGCCTAGAAAGATAAAGCTGTAGCCCATTAAATAACTTCACTGCTGGCTTCAAGAACTTCCCTGCAATCAATTCAAACAACAGATGGCTCAAAAAGCCCTCCTTCTCAGAACAATGCTCTGCCCAGCTGGGCAACAGCTCCCCAAAGCAACACTTTCCCGTTCACATCGTGCCAACGTGAATTTGTGAACTTTGCCCAATCCCAATCCAATCCTCTTATGGAAGGCCTTGCTTTAAACCATTCAGTTGAGCGTCCATCTCCAAACCCTAAA
This sequence comes from Homo sapiens, assembly GCF_000001405.40. Taxonomy (NCBI): domain Eukaryota; kingdom Metazoa; phylum Chordata; class Mammalia; order Primates; family Hominidae; genus Homo; species Homo sapiens. The sequence continues at coordinate 75,044,427 of NC_000010.11, read as the reverse complement.
AACATCCAGCAGGTTCAGAGCAGAGGTTGGGAGAAGGCAGCCCTGATGAACAGGTTATTCTGGAGGGCTTTCAGGCGATTTGGCAGGTCCAGATCTGCGACCACCGTAGAGGCCAGCACCAGGTTCCGCTGTGTATACTGAATGATGAAAGAACTAATGGACGAACGAATAGCTCAGCTTGCCTACCCCAGCCTCCACCCTGTCCTTTCTTGAGACAGCCGAGCCAGAATCACAAAACAGTGCAGGTGGCCTAGGGGACCGGGTAAGAGCAGAGCTTTGGGACTTCATTTGCAATAACTAGTCCTCATTCTGGAACTGGAATCCACAGCGGAAAGCGTGGGTGGCCCCTGAGTTTCCCGGACCCGGGGCAGGGCGCCGCGCGCCCACAGATTTCTCTCCCCTGCGCCCAGGGCGACGGCGCTGGACCGCTATAGGCTGCAGAAGGCGGGGTTCACGCACGTGCTGAACGCGGCCCACGGCCGCTGGAACGTGGACACTGGGCCCGACTACTACCGCGACATGGACATCCAGTACCACGGCGTGGAGGCCGACGACCTGCCCACCTTCGACCTCAGTGTCTTCTTCTACCCGGCGGCAGCCTTCATCGACAGAGCGCTAAGCGACGACCACAGTAAGAGACCCGCGGCCCCGCCCCGATCGGCCCCGCCCCGCCCCGCCCCGACTCGCCCCGCCCGTAGCTTAGGCCCCGCCCCTTCCCCGCCCCACTAAGGCTCCGCCCCTAGCCTAGGCTCCGCCCTTAGCCCAAGGTTTCCCCGTCTGAGGCCCAGGCCGGAAGCGGGATGTGCGCGTGCGAAATCTTTGTCGCAAAGCTGGGCCACTGGGGCTGCTTGTGGCCGAGGGTAAAGGTCCGAGCCCCTGGAAGCTGTGAAGGTTTAAGGACCTGCACCACCCAGCGTGCTGCTGGTGGGGTTCGGGCCTTGATTGCAGCTCTGGGGAATGGAAATAGGGCGTAAGAATAAAAGGCCTTTTGGTCGGAGTCTTTGCTAAAGAACATTTGCCATCCTTCAAAAGGCGGAGGCGGTCTGGGAGCTCTCAAAGCTGGGACTGCGGCCGGAGACACTAATTGTGCCTGGGCCTGAACCCAACTAGTAGCCAAGGGCTTTGATGCCAGAAAACCCTCAGGGAGCTGACTTGAGTGGGAATCCATGGAGAGACCTTAAATTCTCCTGCCCACCAACCAAGTTACACTCCCCAGTTACACTCAGCCTCGTGAGGCCTCCAGTAGAAAGCTGACAAGCTGGGCTTTACTGGCACGCTGTATTTGAGGTATAATTTGGGTTTTGCACCCCCAGCGTCCAAGTTTTCCCAGTGTTAATTATCCAGCTTTTAAATCACAGTGCTAGTCTTTGTGCTCAGAATGCACTGTTGGCTACCCTAATCCAGCAAAGGCTACAAGGCTATTTTGGAGAGAAGGGCACAGCTTAGGGACGCATCGGGGGTAAGACAATATACAGTTATTGCTGCAGGGTGTACTTCAGTGGAATTCCACAGAGGCCAGAGGGACTTCAGCTCCCTAATCTGTGCTCTGACTTCAGCCCAATGTGTCACACACCCCTTTGTGGAGCCATCACATAATTCAGGGTATCTGGTTACTGAAAGCCTTTCTTGCCACAAGAGGTTGTGATTACAAGGCTCAGTGACTGACCAAATAGTCTGCTGCAGGAACTTGCAACCTGGGGCTGGGCCTAGGCCAGGTCTGCTGGACAATATCAGACCTTAATGGACATCCCAAGGTGGCCCTGGCCCCACAGCCAACCATAGCCACCAACAATTTGTCATTATTTTGGCTCAGAAAGCAATGTCACAATGAAAAAAAACCCTTAGAGCTAACATGCCTGTATTAGAAGATGCCTCATTTCCAGGCCTTCCTTTTATGAGTCTATTTATGAACCATCTTTTGTGCTGTGTACATTCTGGGTTTCCAAGCAGGATCAAAAACACAACTGAACTGAGTCATCACCACAAGGTAAAATTTGCCTCATAGTATTTGAAGTTAACTGAAAACACATTTGACATGAAAAAAACAAAGACTGCAACAACCTAATCCTTCAGTTTCTGTTTAATGCACTCACTTGCCATTACTATATTTTAGACCTTACCCTTCATGGAAGGGGCCTGGCAGGCTTCGGAGAAGACAGGGCTGGGTTTACATTTCTGTCACACAATTTACTAACGATGTGATTTCTCTGAGCCTTGGTTTCTCCATCCGGTGATAAAAATATTTACCTTCAGAGGTTATAATGAGGATCAGCAGTAACGCGCGTAAAGCGCTTAGCATAGAACCTGGTGGACAGCAGGCTCTCGGATGTATTTGATAAAGCGTGGTCATACACTGTGAAGCATATAACCACGCCAGCATGTGCACATCATCATCGTAAAGTTTCCAATCCTCAAAGAAAAAAAAAAGACATTCCAACTTTGAACTGTAAGATATACTCACATGAAAGCTTGTTGTAGGTTCCTGGCACTCAATTTTAGGGTCTGCCCCCACTGCCAAATCCAGAAAGAATCAGGCTCTCAAGTTGAAGCTTAGGCCTAGGCAGATGACAGAACATTATGAGGAGGTGTCAGGCTGCTGTGGATCATGACTGTTAGACCAGGTGGCACCTAGCAAACAAAGGGCCAACGGAGGAGAGTAGATACTTGGATCAGAGACTATGAGTGGGATAGAATGAATGGATGGGGGTGCCGGGACTCGACCAGATGGCTAGGGATGGGGAGCAGGACATGACCCCACTGGAGATGGCAGGGTAGGCTCTGCTCTCAGCACCTTTGCACTGGCATATCTAAATAATTCAAGTCAGGGCTCAAACGCCTACCCTGCAGAACCATGCAGAGTGTAAACAAATGAAGATGGCTGCATGTACAGCGGAGGGGTGTGGGTAGGGGGCACTTGTGGCTAAGCAGAGAGCCCTGTACCCCTTCAGAGGGGCACCTGCCACCCAGCCTCAGCTAATGCTTGTCTTGTGAGAGTCAGTGCAAATGTGGGAGATCTGACTTTTCAGAAGTCTCCAATCTGGATTATAAAATCACTCGATTTTTAGGTCTTGGCAACAGATTGAAATTTCTTAAAATGCTGCAAAGGACAGACTAAAGCAACCCAATGGCCATCAGGTTGTAACCTGTGCCCTGAGTGGCCAGAGCAACCAAACAAAATGCCCGCTAGCTCAGCAGCAGCAATGCCACAGACTTCATACCCAGTGGACGGCAGGTGCTCAGCCCACCTGCCACATGCAGTTGTGTCTAGGCAAGGGACACTGCTTGGCATTTTAGTGCTGGACCTACTTGTATGTTTCTTACACTCTCTATGTAAGTGGTGTGGATAGACAGTCTGGCCAAAAAGCAAGGCATCACTCCTTGCTTCCTCTTGTCTATGTTCTTTGTTCTCATTGACTGGTTTCAGCCAAGTGTACACCATTCCCCCTACCTGGCTTCTCACAGCCGGTCATTTTCACTCTTTTTGAAAAGCGTTCCTTGTGGAGCTGTACTCGTGGGCTGTAATCAGCCCCTGGGGCCCTCTCCCATCCCATCACTACCCTGACTTGACCCTTTATAAAGAACTCCCCAGGCAACCTCAGTCACTCTTAAAATATCTCGGAGATAATCCAGTCCCTGGTCCTGCCCTGACAGCTGGGCAAACAGAGGCCCAGAGAAGACAAGTGAGGTGCCCAGGGTCACAGAGCTAATCAGAGGCAGCGCCATCAGGACACCTGCCTACCAGCGGGGATTCCTTCTGTCACCGAGGCCTCACAGAAGAGTCCTCTGCCCTTATTTTGAGCACCTGGTGACTTTGCTGTATAAGAGGTCACCGAATATCATGGAGGGCGAGTCATGCCAGCTGGTTATAGGATCTGAAAAAACTGAATTTGTCACTCTTCATCAGAAAAAGAAGTACTCACAAAATACTGTCACAGGAACCCCACTTGGGTTGCTTTAACTGCCCCCGATTCGGCATCCTCCGAGGTGAATTAGTGTGGTTTTAATTTAATGAAGTCTTCTAAGAAACTCCAGGGCAAATGCCACGAGGCGCTAAAGATCAGACTTTAGTATCACGCTCTCCTTTTGGCAGTCCATGGCCTGCTTCTGAAGGCATCTTAAAATATATTATGGATAAGGGAAGTATGAATAAATAAATGAAGCCTGCTTTCAAGCAGGAGGTTGATTCTCTGGTGCTTCTAATAAGCTTTAACCGACCAGATTTTCACTGTTTGGTTTTTGTTTTTGTTTTTTTGAGACGGAATCTCGCTCTGTCACCCAGGCTGGAGTGCAGTGGCGTGATCTCCACTCACTGCAACCTCCACCTCCCGGATTCAAGCGATTCTCCTCTTTCAGCCTCCCAGGTAGCTGGGAGGTGCCCACCACCACACCTGGTGAATTTTTGTATTTTTTAGTAGAGACAGGGTTTCACCATGTTGGCCAGTCTGGTCTCCAATTCCTGGCCTCAAGTGATCCACCCACCTCGGCTTCCCAAAGTGCTGGGATTAGAGGCATGAGCCACCACGCCCAGCCGATTTTCACTGTTGGAAGGGTCTCTTGCCCTATCTCCCTCCAGCCCCGGCAGTTCATAATACACCTTGCACCTTGTTTCTCAGAACTTCCACACACCTAGAACCTCTTGGGAAGAAGTAAGGGCTCTACCAGAATTTCTTTGCAAGTTACTAAGAAAGGCAGGTTCCCAGATAGTGCATGGGAGATGGGCAGAAAGCATCTCCTGAAAGCAAGGAAGGAGTCTGCTTAGCAAGGAGCACACCTGGCTGCGGGGCGGAGCGTGGTGCAGGGTAACAGTCTTAGCCTACGTCTGATTTTCGTGACAGAGGCCTACCTTCCAGTCACTCCTAAAAGCATGCAATTGAGGAGCAGTAGAGATTCTGGATTTGGGTTTCCTTTTCTTGAGATGCAGTCTTGCTCTGTCGCCCCGGCTGGAGTGTAGTGGCGCGATCTCAGCTCACTGCAACCTCTAACTCCTGGGTTCAAGCAATTCTCCTGCCTCCGCCTCCTGAGTAGCCGGGACTACAGGTGCACCACCACGACTGGCTAATTTTTGTGTAGAGATGGAGTTTTGCCATGTTGGCCAGGCTTTAACCACATGGGCTCCAGGTGCTCTGACTGTATGTGAGAACATAAGGACCTGCAAGCATAGGTATGCACTAGCTGCTGCTGTTCCTAAAGATGAACTGTGGTCAGGCATGCCTCAAGGGCTCTGACTGTAGTCATGAAGAAAAGTATCTCCAAGCATGAGAGGGGCGCTGATCTCTCCCACTGCAACAAGTGTGCTCTGGCCAGGGGGACCCTAGGAGCTCTGACAGAAGTTGGGAAATAAAAGCCCAACACAGGTATAGTGCTGGCCCCTGTGATGGTAAGAGATGTGCTCTGGCATGATGGGTCTCAGCTAATCTGACCACAAGAAGGAACAAAAGTGTTGCCTGGACCTTGATTCTTCTCAATAGGCCTGACTCCTCCAATAGTAACACATGTGCATTCACCCAGCTTGAACTCCCAACCTCAAGTGATCCGCCCACCTCAGCCTCCCAAAGTGCTGGGATTACAGGTGTGAGCCACCGCGCCCGGCCTCATGCCCTAGTCTTGGAAACAAAATTCAGCTCTTGGAACTCCTACCAGAGCTTAGTGTCCTCTGTCCCTCCTTTTCCCCTTTCTCTCCTGCTCCCTCCACCTCCCCCTCTCCTCCCACCCCCTCCATCTCCCTTCCAACTCTTTCTCCCCTCCCCTCTGCCACTTAACAGAATTCAGGCCCCCAAAAGGCTTAATGAACTACAGCTTTCATCTGTTTCAAGTACTGAGTCATGACAGAAAGAATTACCCTGTTTTCTGGGAGAGGAAGAAACGCTTTGGTTATCAGCAGGGCTGGCCAGAGGCCCGGCAGCCTCCAGAAAGGTCCGTGGGATTTGAATGCCAGGGGTGGACATTCATCCAGCTGGACACGTTCACACCCCAGGAGCGCGGTCATGCCAGGGAGAACCTGGGACCAGCCTCCCCCAGATCCGAAACAGCAATCAAGAAGTGGGTGCTTGCTTTCTGGCCATGGTGCTCAGGGGAAAGGCAGCCCAGCCACACTGTAGGAGCTCAGCAGCCATTCATTAGCACAAACAAATTGTGCTAAAATCGAGTTATTTACAGGGTTATTTGCCTTCTCAACAACCCTATGAAGAAGACACCGAGAGTGTCCCCGTTCTACAGAGGCAGCTGTGGGGCACAGTGCTGAGTCACTTTCTGTGGGCGAGAGGGTGACAGTCAGGATGGGAGTGGGCCCTACCTGTGCCCCCAACACCTGCCCCTCAGTGTGGGTTTTCTCCTCCCTGCTCCATCTGCAGGTAAGATCCTGGTTCACTGCGTCATGGGCCGCAGCCGGTCAGCCACCCTGGTCCTGGCCTACCTGATGATCCACAAGGACATGACCCTGGTGGACGCCATCCAGCAAGTGGCCAAGAACCGCTGCGTCCTCCCGAACCGGGGCTTTTTGAAGCAGCTCCGGGAGCTGGACAAGCAGCTGGTGCAGCAGAGGCGACGGTCCCAGCGCCAGGACGGTGAGGAGGAGGATGGCAGGGAGCTGTAGGCCCGACTCACAGGGCCAGCAGAGGCACTTGGGGACAGAGGGGAGAGGCAGAACATAGCCCTGGCCTAGGACTCCAGAGAAGGGATGGTGAAACCGAAGCTCGACTCTTCCAAACCATCTTGTTCAACTTCCCCATGTGTGCTGGGGACAGGGAGGACCCAGAGCTGCCCCCGGGCAGAGCTGAGCGCTCAGCCTCTCAGCAAAATGGGAGGGACGGGCTCCCCGGCTCTGGGTCACAGAGGAGCATGCCACGCTGCACCAAGTCTCCTGCTTTGGTTTTGTTTTTTTGGTGAGAAGGAAGAGGGAAAAGATTTTAAAATGTGTAGGCAGTATGTTGTGATTAAACGTTTGGCTTTGTCTGAAAGGAAAGTCATCTTCTTATAAAAAGTATTTTAAAATAGAAATTGCTTTTCCAACCACAGAACCGTACCAGGTGAGCAGTGTCACGGGAGTGCCTGCGTAGCTGTGGAGGCTCCTTCCCGGGCATCCTGCGTTTCTGTGGCATCCCTTGCACGCCGCTTGTCTTTTCAGCGGAACCCCTAGGCTCACGCCACCATCTCTAGATGTGCTCCTCCAGCAGGGTGGGGAGGGGTCCTGAACCTCTGTACAGAGGCCCCTGCTTTAGGCTTCCCCCACTTTCCCAAGGGACGCAGGGCTCCTCAGACTCTTAGCCAGGGCTGCCACTACTCAGAAAAATTCAATGAATTGTGGTGAGTTTGGACAAGTAGGAGTTTGACTTTCTAATTTTGGGGAAAAAAAGGGAGGAGACCCTCTCTAGCGGGGACCTCAGGGAGGCTCTTTTCACGTGGGTTCTAGTCAAAGCAACACGAGCTGCTTTTCAGTCATAGCAGAAAGTATTTGCAAATTGTTGTCTGCTGTGGAATGGGACGATGGGGCAGCCAGGTAAGCTCAGGTGTGGAGTTTGCCTCCCTGAGAGCTAAGCCAGGCACGATGGCTGCGTGATTTCCACTCTGAAGGAGAAAACGGCAGCAGACATGAAGCGGGTAGTGACAGCTTCCAGGGCCAGGAATCCCAAACCAGACAGAAACCAAAGAGAGTTGCTGCTGTTGGAGATGCCGGCCGTCAAGGACCAGGCATGGAAATGGCCTGGAGAAACCAGAATGTGATAAAGGCCTTCTAGGAAAAAACGAAAAGGGGCCCGGTTCTTCAGTTTGGTTGTAGTTTTCAGCAGAATGAAAGAGGAAGTTATTGATGGGTGGAGGAGAGAGTCCAGGGCCTCAGCAGAAGTGTAAGCCACCTGAGAGTCACCCTGTGACCTTTGGGGATATGCCCTGCTTTTGTGCCCCTGTGGCTAGGCCTGGCTTCCTGGGACTGCCCTGAGTCTGCTCTGAGAGTCGCCTTGGCCCAGGAGGAGCCAAGGCCCTCATGTTAACATGCACACAGGGCTTGGGGGGGCATTCCCCGGGGACTCCCTCATGGTAAGAGCACTGGTCTTCTAATACATTTTGAAACCTGAAACATTGCAAAGGGGTCGCAAAGCAAAAAGGCAGAGATGATACAGAAATAGAAATGTGCAGTGAACTGGTATGTCCTGGTGCTAAGACAGAGAAGGGGGACATGTTCCCTCTGAAAGCGCGACAGTCCTGAACTGGACAGAGATTGGGTGTATCAGTCACAACTCATGTGGCTGTGAGGGAGAGAGCAATACTGGGTGTATGACGACTACGGATGATGGAATTGCTTAGTGACTCATACTTGGGTGTGAGAGGACCATATTCCAGCTCTTGGGAAAGAGATGCAGGCCAAAAGGGATCCAGGGTCATAGTGGCCCCAACCTAGGCTTCCCCATCAGGATCCTGCTACCCCGGTCTGAACTCAGTTATTGCTTAGCTCTGATCTGTTCCATGTCCAGAGAGAAGCCAATATTTCTATTTTAATGAATATTTACATTTAGATGAATTCACATCAGGGAGGATAGAGTGTAGCTAGGTGCATTGTTGGTGTTTCCTGAGCACCCCACACCTTCCTCATGCTCTCATCTCTTTGTGGGACTCTGGGTCCTGCTGAAGGCAACAGAAGCTGAGAATGGCAAAGTTGCGGTTCTGGTCTCTTCTACATGACTCCTGGGAGCCAGAAGCAGGAGAAAGGAGGAACAGAAGTTTTTGCAAAAGTGTTTCAAGTCTTCAGAAATAAGATATGAAATATTTGTTTGGTCACCAAGTGTCTATTGAGAACCTACCACATGCCAAAACCTGGGTTAGGGGCCAACAGGAAAAATGAAAATGCACATTGTGATAGAGCACAATGCAGGAAATAGGCATGGAGGCAGAGAAAAGTGGGGAAAGGGGAGAAACCCTCTTTAGGCGGGGTGGTCAAGGAAGACCTCTCTTAGACTTGAAGGCACAAACCTTCCAAATGTGCCGGAGCATTCGAGGCTGAGGAACTGCCCATCAGTAAGGCTGGAGCTGGTGGCTGAGAGTGGGAGTGGAAGGAGAGGGGCAGAGGGACTTGATTCTATTCCAGGTACACAGAAGATTCACTGAAGGGTTTTAAGCCGGGGAATGGTATGATCTGTTTCAAGATCACTCTGGAAAGATCCTTTGGCTGAAGTATGGAGAACAGGTTGTAGGGAGTTAAGAAGCGAGGCAAGAGCAGTTAGGAGGCTGTTGACAGGAAAGGAAATGGGCTGGACTGACAGCACCAGGGGATTAGTATTCAAGATTATTTTGGAATTAACCCAGAAAACGGACGGGACCTCCCGAGATGGGGAGGGAAATGAGGGCTAACTGATCGAGGTTTCTCGGCAGTGCTTTAACACTGAGATGGGATGGACCAGAGCAGGAACGGAGGAGCGGTCGGAAATCACCAGTTCGGTTGTCATGCAGATGTACAAAAGGTGTCCCAGGTCATTTGACGTGGCATCTAAAGCTCAGAGGAATATTCACAACTGGGGATGTAATTCCGGGTGTCACCTGCAGAGAGGTGGAATTTGAAGTCATCATACTAGATGAGATGATGAGAGAAAACAGAGAGAACACTCCCGGCCTGAGTGTTGCAGAACATCAATGTTTATAGGTAAGCCTGGGTGGAGGAGGAAGGTCCAGGAAAGGGGATGGAGAAGGTAGAAGGAACGATGGAAACCTGGGTACAGAGAAATGGAAGGTGCTGCTTCATAATGTAACAGTACGTGTACTTTGAGTATCGAAGATTGATTGTAGACCAAGGCTTGCTCGCAGCCACAAAGGGATCTGTATTTATATAGCACTTAACAGTTTTTACAGCAACATGTATTCATTAGCCAAGCCTTTAAATCAGAGAGGTGACAAATTAGGGCCTTTCAGAATACAGTGTCCTAGAAAAAAAGAGCTGGGATTTGGAAAGACCTGGGTTTGTTTCAGCTCACACATTTTAGCTGGGTGAGTTTGGGTAATTAATGTAGCTTAATCTGAGCCTCAACATCCTGATCTGTACATTGGAAAGAATGGCCCCATTTCCTGCACAGGGTGGGTGTGTGGGAGGAGTTTGTGAAAGCTTTGTGACGATATTGTGAGTCATTACTTCTAAAATAGAATGTTGGTGAGGAAGGTGGATGCCCTCCCACCTGGCGTAGGCACCACTTGCAACTATTAAAACGTGAGGCTGGCAACTGACCACCACTTGGTACGACTCTTACAAATAATAGAACACAGTTAGGGTTTAAATGATGTGGCCTGTTAATGAATCTCAATCGAATGAATTCAGCTTTGATGAATCCAAGTTCCTGTTTCGCCAAATCCTTGGCGTCACATTCAGATGTGAACTGATTTCTCTAGTGAGAGTGGGTGAGGTGGAGGGCAGGGTGTTCTGAGGCCATCTCAGATCAGCAGTTTCCTTCCTATGCTAAGCCTTTCTGTTCCATCAAGGAATGTTGGGACTGGGGCCAGCACGGAAGCTCCTAGTCCTAGCTATGCTGCAGTCCTTAAGGAGCCTGGGCAACCGAGGTGTCCCTGGGACTGTTCTAAGATTAGGGTTTGGCAGGTCTGGGGCAATGATTGGGACTCTTCCACAAGCTCCTTTAGAGGGCTGTTAGGCTGGCAGGGTATGGGAACTCAGACATCGCACAAACCACAAGGTGTGATTAGCAGGTCATGGCCAAAGGGAACACAGAGGGGAATCTCAGCCCCCAGAGAATCTTAACCCAAGAGGAAAGAGACAAAATATGTGACAGGTCGGAGCCCGTTCGGGGCTCTGCTTCCCGATCAGATTGCTTCCAGGCCCCAACCCCACCTCCAGGGCTCGGGCAGCCTCTTGCCCGATGTGTGGCCCACTGGGCTGCCCAGTCCTTGGCCACTCCTGAATGGACGCAGTGTTCGATTTGTGCAGGCATAGACCACCACTTCCTACTCTGAGGATGGCTGATAGGTTTCTTTTCCTATTAGCACAGCAGCTTAAATGGATCTTTTCCCTTTGTGCTGACGGCCCTTCAGACGTGTCTTCTTGAAAGCCCTCCCTCAGCTGTTACATATATTACCCCCATTGACTTTGCAGTTGAGGAAGGAAGGGACTAAAAGATAAAATTGTGACACTAAACCCAATACACTTTGTAACTGTGAAAGAAAATAACGATAAGGGTGAGAGTACAAGGCAGAACTCCACTGGGCACCCTCTGTCTGCACAAGGCCTTTTATTCTGGTGTGTACGCTCTATCCTGCCCTTGCACGATTTTGGGTCCACTTTAAGGCTTATGTCTATGCTTTGTAAAACATCTAATTTTTGTGTGTGTGTGTTGAATCAACAGTGCAAAAGCAACTTTTTTCCTCCACAGGGTAGTGACCTGCTTAACAGAGGAGTTGCGAGCACACGTGTTCAGACACCTGGAGAGCTTAACGGGCTAGTTTCACACGGGTGCTAGGTCAAGCATTCATTTCTAGACTTGTTGCTCAAATAACCAAATTCAAGCAACACTCAGAACTTTCTCTGAACGCTATACTTGTGAATATTCACTTTTGGCAGGGGGTCTAAACTTTAGACTCTAAAGAAAACATACAATTAATCATTCACAACAGAGCAAAACGTTCACACTTTTTAAAAAGAAAATGATTTTTCAAACATACAATCCCAAATTGGGTGCTTTTTTTGGTATGAATCTTTATAAAAAGGAAGTTTGCTACCCTGGTGCGAGGCTTGGAGGGATGTTTCTACAGACTGTGCGAGTGAGGCAGCTGGATATTTGTGCGGGATCTCTTTGCAAATGAAGATCAAAGTCCAAAAGAAAAAAACAATTTCACTTTATTTTAAAGACAATGATTGGCATACAGAAGGTATGCACTCGCATAAAATAAACTTTCATGAAAAGCATTAAAATCCATTATAAATTAATTTATTAAATAGGTATTTGGTATATGTGATGGTTTTATTAGATATTACTCTTATTTATTGCCAACCCCTCCCCCAAAGTCAAAACAAATCAGAAAATCCCATAACTCCAATTTACACTAAATAATTTATTTTCCCAAAATGTGTATGTGTTCTGAGGCGTGACACATGATACAGTTCCATTGGTCATTCTCTATCAATCATAATATGACAGGACACAAGAGGCTAAAAATGGCTCATCATAATTTATTTTATGTTAAAATGTACAGCTTTTTTTTGTTTGTTTTTTGTTTTTTTGAAGTGACTGACTAAAAAGAGAACAGATAAATACAAGAGTGTCGCTGGATCCTATTTTATACAAGGATTACGCCTCTCCTGCTTGGCCCTTACTGTCACCCTGTACAGGTACAAAGGCTACAAAAAAGGAAGCAATATAAACAGACACAAATAACTTTTTTGCTTTTTTACATGCGATTTGTAAGCTTAGTTTGAGCTATTCACAAGCTACTTTTCTATTTTTCCTTAAAAAATAACTCCAATATTTTATAAAGATAGAAAAATCTACAGATGGAATGAAAATGTAAAGTTAGAGGCATTTCCATAAAATAGCAACTTTACACCAAATTCACTATTTTTTTTTAAATCCTGCCAAGTATTTGGACATATATGAAATGTTTCAAAACCTGACAGATAAACACTGAGATATGCTTCATTCAATAAACAGAAGTCTGCATTTATAAAACAGAAAGCTGCCTTTTTTCCCCAAAGAAATCTGTCACCAAAATGGAAAAGGGTCTCAACTTTACACCAAACATTTAGCAATAAAACCCTTTTGACTAACCAAATGGGAATAGCTTTTATAGCTCTTTACAGTTTTATAATTAACAAAAATATAGTTTTTTTTAAAACCCTCAAATTAGGGCACCCTAATCAAGGCAAAAAACTTAAGAAATGGCTTACTGTTAGCACAACACTTGTACAGTACTACAAAATGCACTGTCACTAACAAAGACATTAGCGGCATGCTGAAGTGTCACCTTAAACAAAATATACAATAACTGAAATGCTAAAGGCATTTACATGGAGTGGACAGGGAAGGGAAAAAAAAAGCTCTAGGTTCAATATTAAAACAGATAATTTGGGGGGGCTTGATATCCACATTGTTTAACAGAAGCAGGCACAACAAGTGGCTGCCTCCAAATTGTAGTCCAAAGAGAGGCCTTCCTTTGCAGAGAATTTTATATAAAAGTAACAGAAATGAAGGTACCAAAAAAAAGAAAAAGGAAAAAAAGAAAAACAACTTGTATAAGGCTTTCTGCTGCATACAGCTTTTTTTTTTTTTAAATAAATGGTGCCAACAAATGTTTTTGCATTCACACCAATTGCTGGTTTTGAAATCGTACTCTTCAAAGGTATTTGTGCAGATCAATCCAATAGTGATGCCCCGTAGGTTTTGTGGACTGCCCACGTTGTCTACCTTCTCATGTAGGAGCCATTGAGAGACTGTTTGGACATGCCTGTGTTCATGTAGCCGTGATGTCCGGGGGCCGTGTACATCATGTTACCGTGGGGTGGGGTCTGCATTGGCTGCTGGGCATATGGCTGGGTGCCCATCATGCCCATCTGCATCTGCATAGGGTATTGGGGCGTTTGATTCATATAGCCATGATTGCTGTGGTAGCCACTGTTCATCATTGGCTGGGACATGCTGTACCCATTCATGGCGTTGAGAGTGTTCATGTTCATGTTCACAGAGTTGACATTGTAGGCTGGCGCTGGCATCAGGTTCACACTCATGTTCATGCCTCTTTGCATCGTTAAAGTCCGTGCAGGACCCTGCATGGCTACAGTCTGGGAGCGCCCATAGATTTGTGACTGATGGGTGGCAGCGGCTGGTGACAGAGACGCTGACTTGGTTCTCATGGAGATGTGGCCCTTGCTGGCAATCTGGGTTTGCAGTCTTTGGCTGTGAGAGATGCCAATATTTGATGCAGCCATGTTCCGTTGCAAAAGAGGCGGCGGCAGATTCATTGGAGGAGGAGTCAGGTTGGGGGGTGGGGTCATGGTAGCTTGTGCTTGGGGTCCCCCAGGGACGGAGTGTGGAGACTGAGAAAGTTGAACAAGCCCTGTGTTACTTAATGGTGTGGACAAAGAGGCACTGTTTGCATAGGAAGTCACAGCAGCGGAATGGCTGTAAGGCAATGAATGATCAATAAGTGTATTAGTTAACTGCTGCAGTTTGGCAAGGCTGAAGGTGGCTGACGGCTGCGGGTAATGCCCAGCCCCAAAATCACTCTGACCCATTCGCTCGTATAAGCCAATGTTGGCGTTGCTCGTCTCGGGGATTTCAGCCAGCTGCATGGGTGGGGTGAAGTTAGCAGCCATGCTGCACTGAGCCAGCTGCTGGCTGCTGCTCGGAGGCCTCTCCACCACACAGCCTTGAGGAGACTTGACGCTGCAGGTCGGAGGGGAGCTGATGCTGGTTTGCTGCAGCATGCTGCAGCTCCCGCTGATGTTGGACATCTGCTGGGTGACAGCACAGCTGCTCTGTGTCAGACTGCTGGAGGTGAGGTTGCTATAGGAGCAGCTGTTCTGTGAAGAGCCGTTTCCACAGATGCTGCCTCCCATAGTAGAATCGTAGCTGCTTGGGTTTTCGTAGTTCTCAGTTGTGCTCTCGATACTGCCCAGGTCACTAAATCCACTGTCTACGACTTGCTGTGAATGATCTGAAACTGATGGGACATCCATCATGGGACTGGTTTCCATGTTCTGCAGAGATGGCACTGAGATGGCACTTTGATCTGGGCTGATTTGGGCGTAGCTGTTTTCCAGAGCAGGGACACTTGGGCTGTTGACAGAACGTACGGACTGGCCAGGATGGGAGTGGACGGATGAAACTGGGCTACTGTGGTCCGACTGTTGGCAATCGTCGAGCGTGGTGGCAATCTGTGGACTTTGGTCTGCACGGGTGTAGTTCTGTAGGCTTCTACAGGCCTCTTGAGTCTCGGCACAATCCTGAAAGGTGTCGTCCTGTTCGCTGCTCTCCTGGGTCAAAGACTGAACGGCCTGGACAGTCTCAGAGTCGATTTCCATGGTTGCTGGGTTTCCCTCTTTGAACTCTGTATCGACTTCCTTGCTGTTCTTTTGGTCCTGCTTCTGTGCCTGTTCTCCTGGGGGTGGCTCCTCGTCAGATTCGGGTACAGCTTCAGGGTCCCCAGCAAGCTCCTTGGGCTCACTGTTACAAGAAGCTGTCAGGTCGACGCCACAGTCCATTAAGACCTCTGGGTTCGAGTGACCAGGCTGCACATTAAGGTCTAAAAAAGTCTCCTGGTTTTCCAGTACTTCTTTGAAGCTTTCTCTGGGCAGCTCTTCCTTCTCCACTTCGGCAGACTCCATGTGGCTGTCATCCTCGTCATCGGCATCATGGTCCTCGTTGTGGGATGGCTCTTCATCCTCTTCCTCCTCCTCTTCGTGATCATCCAAACGTGCAGAGTCTTCTTTTTCCGTGGAGATTTCTGGTTCCTCTTTTTCTTGGCTTTTAGCACCATCTGGATCTTTTTCTACATTTCCTCCTCCTTCTTCTTCTTCCCCTTCCTCTTCTTCCTCTTCTTCCTCTTCCTCCTCCTCCTCCTCTTCCTCTTCCTCAGGTTTGATGAGATCATCTTCTGGTTTTTCACCTGGTGATGTGTTTGGACTTACAGGGGCACATGTTTCTTCCCTTCTGTTTTCCTCTTGAGGCAACAGGGCTTCCCCAGTTTCCTTGACCTCCTCCTCAATCCTGATGGGACTGGGGCTGGTTTTTCCTTCTGAAGTCTCCTTCTGTTCTTCCACTGTTACCTGCTCGTCAGGCTCCATGGGTGTTTCTGGCGGGGTGTACAAATTCAGTTTAAATCCGGTCTTCCTCTCTTTGTTTTGCCTCCACTTAGATAGACCGCGCTTTGTTCCTTTTGGCCACACTTGTTTGCACTTTAGAGGTTCGGGATTGTCTTTACTGCCTTCTTTCAAGTTACTTGAATCATCATTCATATTGTCTTAGTGAAGAGACAAAAACGGGAAGGAAAAAAAACAGTCTTAGAAAGCATAACCATGGGCAACTTGAATTCATTCCTCTAAATTAATTAGCAAACACTGCTTTCAATTTGGCATGTTAAAAGTTGATGGTAAAGACATAATCAAGGCTAATGTGTAATAATATTGTGTTATAAACCAAGTAAATAACCTAGGCCTGGGAGAGTAACATATTGGGAACACATGGATATAGGCAATGCTAATGTGCTTATTTGAATTTAATGAACAAGACATTCTCTGATGCAAAAGCCCAGAGTTCCACAGTGTAAAAAAAAAAATCAATTTGAACATTTACAAATTAGGAAATATAGGGGAAAGGAATTAATGCTAGCTTATATACAAATCATTACTGTCCTGGAAAAATGACTAGAAGCCTTAACTCTCATATCTACCTAGAGAAAGTAAACCTCTGTTTGTGGACATTTATAGGATGTAAATGATCTTGGAAGACATGATTTATTTACTTTGATTTGAATGTTCTCTCTGGCATAAAAATAAGCTGTGTACCTCTGAAACAAATCAGTAAATAACTAAATACCCAAAACAAATGCATTTGTAATCATCATTTTTAGGATCATCATTTTTGCATGATACAAACTACAATGTAATTACTAGCAAATTCCTGAACATTTAAAATACAGGTATTCTTTTTAACACTAATTCTGTCCACACTGAATTCTGGATCAATATGTTGCTGATGTAAGGTTTGCATATTAAAGACACTTAGAAACAAACCATAATTGTGAAGTTCATTTCAGTTCAGGTGAGCTTTTTACTGAACCTATATGCACATGTTAATATAAATGTAAATATGTACATATTTATACAAGCAGATGAATAGCTATATACATATTAATAAATATATATTAATAAATATATGCATGAAGCACCCAAGTATTCTTAAGATCTTTAGATTACACCAATCTTCTAGAATCAGTGGTCAATTTAAAGGAAAAGCTTTATATAGAACAATAGTCTTATTAGAAACTCTATTTTGGAGAATAAAAATAAGATCTCACAATCATCATAAAACAGATATCCCTTCTGCCAGAATAGAGTGAGTTCTAGTCCAACTGGTGGACAGCAGAGTAAGCACTGGCTGATTTAGGTAATAAAAGGATTACAGATAAACTTACCTGCAAGTATTACATTCAAACCGACCAGCTGAAAAGAACACATATGTGATGTAGAATGTTTCCTTGAGAAGTGCCGAGTACCATGCCCGAGTTAAGAGTCATCTCAGGACATTTCTATTCACAATGGCAGGTAATAGCCATGCCAGTGCCCCCGGATTCCACATTCTTTTTATTTTTGAGACGGAGTCTTGCTCTGTTGCCCAGGCTGGAGTGCAGTGGCATGATCTCGGCTCACTGCAACCTCTGTCTCCCAGGTTCAAGCGATTCTCCTGCCTCAGCCTCCCAAGTAGCTGGGACTTACAGGCATGCATCACCACACCCAGCTAATTTTTTTGTACTTTTGGTAGAGATGGGGTTTCACCATGTTGGTCAGGCTGGTCTTGAACTCCTGACCTCAGGTGATCTGCCTACCTCGGCCGCCCAAAGTGCTGGGATTACAGGCATGAGCCACCATGCCTGGCTGGATTCTGCATTCTTATTCTACGTGCTACTGGACCTACCGGCTTTTGTTGGAACACCTCCCAAAATCAGAAGATGAGCTTTCTGACAATTATTTTTAAGAAAGAAGGACATCCTGAAAGGAATCAGGCATAATATGAGAAGACAGCCAAGAAGGGGAAATAAACCTCATTTTCACACACAAAATGATCGCTCACTGCAGTTTGTTATTTGTTTAAAAAAAAAAAACCCAAAGAATAAGGCTTGGTTTCTCTATACCCAGGGTAAGAAGTCATTCCTTCAGCAAAATACTGTATGCAGGAATAGCATTTCTGTGAACTAAGAAAATCAAGAAGATGCTTGCATATGTTCTTAAAACTGTGGCTTTTCAAAAGCTAGAGTGATCCTGTGGTTCCCAGGGAAATGAGATGGCCTGTTCCCCAGATTAAAGTAAGTTCTGAATAGAGTCATCTTGGCCAGGGAATAGAGAGAGTATACCATAAACCCTCATGATTCAGCTGGGAGCACACGTTCTCAACCTGACAGGCAAGGATGGGTGCTTTTAAAGACGATTCACTGGTGTTCAGTGTATTTTTTAGAGGATGGGGTAGAGGTGTCCCTGTCAACTTAAAAGGAAAGTCAGTTTACTGATTTTTATGTTATGCAATATTATCAAAGCTAATATTGATGTGTGGGTAAGTTTAGATGGTTCCTTTTTTTTTTTTTTTTTTTGAGAAAGGGTCTCATTCTGTCACCCAGGCTGGAGTGCAGTGGCACGATCATGGCTCACCCTGAGCTCAGGTGATCCTCCCACCTCAGCCTCCCAAGTAGCTGGGACTATAGGCACACACCACCACTGCTGACTAATTTTTGTATCTTTTGTAGAGATGGGGTTTTGCCATGTCGCTCAGGCTGGTCTCAAACTCCTGGGCTCAAGTGATCCAGCTGCCTCAGTCTCCAAAAGTGCTGAGACTACAGGTGCACACCACTACATCTGATTAATTTTTGTATTTTTTTTAGAGTAGGGGCTTTGCCATGTTGCCTAGGTTGGTCTCAAACTCCTGGGCTCAAGTGATCCACCTGCCTCAGCCTCCCAAAGTGCTGGGATTACAGGTGTAAGCCATCATGCCCAGCTTAGTTTAGATGAATCTTTATAGTAGTATATACTACGACACTACTGATTATAAAATGTACTATTGATTTACTAATATTTGTTTTCCAGGAAAAAAGAAACGATTCCATTCAATGCTCACACTGATAATAATATATACCTTGATTTCAGAAATAACTAAATGTGAAAAAAAAAAGTACATATTAGAATCAAAGAAATGTAATGTGTTTCTTGTCAACAGACTTCAAAGTTTTTGGGGATAAGCCAATTTCTGGTAAGTAAGATGAACCCACCTAGAGGAATGTTCTGGCCTTAGAAGTTGTTTAACATAAAATCCAATTCCAGGAAGAAGGGAGAGAAGCTTGTAAGGATGGGAAAGGGCAGATGGGCACTTGCTCCAGGTGCATCAGCACCACTTCGCAGGTGCCTCTGGGCATCACGCCAGAGGCCTGCTCTTTGGCACCCAGTCAGATACAGACATTCTCAAGGGTAAGGTTTTTATCATTCCTCTACTTACTTCTACAAGGGTCAGCATTCTTGAAGCAATGATTGTCTTTTCCTTCCTCTTCCTCTGTTTGTCTTTTCTTCCCAGGCTGATGCTGGAATGCTTTTCTCAGGACTGGCTTCCTGCCATCTTCCTCCACTTCAATCTCACAGGTAGGCTCCAGCTGTGGCATTGGCCTCTCTTCATCTGAGTTGTCAAAGGGCTCATTCAGTACTTCTGTCGTCTCTGAAATGGTCTCTGTTGTTACACTGCTGTTGATCCTCCTGCGTTTACGACCCCTTTTCTTCTTTAGTACAAAAGGCCTCTGAAATTAATTCCAAACATAACACATAAGAGCTCATGAGAAATTAAATGGTTGAGTCGATATGCAGTAGACATGTACTGAACGCGTGTCTGAGAATCTTACACGTGGTGACTTCTGTAATGCCTTTGTACTTAACCTTCCATTTGATGTCTAACATCCCTCTCGGGCTCCAACTACACAGGCAAGTGTTTTCCAAATAAAACAGTTGTTTACTCAAGCAGATGCTCTGAGAGGGAACATCCTAGCAGCTTGACTGGAGATTTTAAAAACTAAGCTTTGCTTTTCTAGCATATATTTTTCCAATGGTACTTGCTGGCTTCAATATTCCTCACATCACAGACATTTAAGGTCATCACAGACTCTAATGTCTTTATAAATGGTGCTGTAATTAACTAGCCACTGGGTTAACCCATTTAATACTTGAGAACTCTTGAAGGAGCACCCACTATGTGGACAGCACTGGGAAATATGATACAAGACCAGCCTACTTTTTCTCATTCCATAGGACTTCAGGGCTATGAAAAGGAAAGGAAAGGTACCTGAAGAAAGGATTACTGTTTAAAATGTTAACAAAGTCAAGTATTGGTGGCTGCTGAGATGTGAGCAACTGATAACCTGGCAAAATATTTTAATAGAAGGAATCTAAAAATGTTAAAGACATGCCAGATGTCTTATTTGTATGATATAAAAATATTTTTTTCTTTTATTTTTCTTTTTTGTAGAGACAGGGCTTTGCCATGTTGCCTAGGCTGGTCTCGAACCCCTGAGCTCAAGTGGTCCACCCGCCTTGGCCTCCCAGAGTGCTGGGATTATAGGTGTGAGCCACCGCACCTGGCCTAAAAATATTTTTTCTGTTTGCACTAAAGGTTGGCACAAATGACTGTCCATAATTGTAATTATAAAATGTTTTTCGCCCAGCAAAAAAGTTTTTAATGACACAAAATTCAAATAGAGGAATAGCAGGTAGATTTGCTGCTAAGATGTAATTGTTGCCCCCCAAATTATTGAAAATACACTGCAAAGAAGGGTTCAATATGCTTGGTTAAAAGCTAACCTTCAGGTAAACTGTATTCAATTATTATTATTATTATTTTAAAAATACTTATTTATTTTTTATAGAGACAGAGTCTTGCTTTGTTGCCCAGGCTGGTCTTGAACTCCTGAGCTCAAATGATCCTCCTGCCTCAGCTTCCCAAAGTGTGGGGATTATAGGCGTGAGCCACTGTGTCCGGCCTCCAAGAATTCTTGTGTCTTACTTTTGTTAACGCTCTGAATGCTCACTGAAGCACACACGTAGCCAGTTAATCATATTCTGTAATTAAACATTTACGGTTATTATTCCCCCCAGTCTGCCTGCCCTCTTTAATCCATGAGAATTTTCCCTAATATGAGGGAAGCCAAGGTAGAGAACTGGTTTTCTTCAGGTTGAGTCCAGTTCAGATCATGCCTTGGATGATTCTGGTTTTTGATAGTTTTAGAACAAATTTCTTTTATTATATATACAACACATGAATACACACTCCTCCTAAGAAATGGAAACATTATTCTTAAGCCTGAAGTCTACTTTGTGGGATGCTCCTTTCTACCACCTCCCCATGGAGACCCTTCCAGAAGACTGCCAGGCCTAGAAGAGCGCTGAGCTGGGAGTTAGAACAGCAAGTTCCCTAACAGATGCCACATCAGATGGCCTTGGGGCGGAGCCTTAGCTTGTATTGTGATATCTCTATCAGTCTTGGCTCTCCTCTATGTCCCAGATAGATACTGAAGACAAAGATATCAGATCTGGGTGAGCAGTTACCTAAAAACAAAGTCAATTCTTTACTTTCTGTACCATTGGAGATGATATGGTCTATCTAGAGACATCACTGGGCTACTAAGATCTGAGGAGATTCAGTAATGCGCAGTTGGCCACAAATGCAAAATATCACCATCAAAATTAAGGGCCTAAAATGCTTTCTAACAATTCTGTGCCAAGAACAAGAGAAAGAAACAGCATGAAGAGCACTGGGCTTGGAGTCTTTTTGTTCTGTTTTGAGACAGAGTTTCGCTCTTGTTGCCCAGGCTGGAGTGCAATGGTGCGATCTCGGCTTACTGCAACCTCTGCCTCCCTGGGTTCTCCTGTCTCAGCCTCCCGAGTAGCTGGGATTACAGGCGCGTACTACCGTGTCTGGCTAATTTTTTGTATTTTTAGCAGAGACGGGATTTCACCACGTTAGCCAGGCTGGTCTTGAACTCCTGACCTCAGGTGATCTGCCCACCTTGGCCTCCCAAAGTGCTGGGATTACAGGCGTGAGCCACTGCGCCCAACCCAGGCTTAGAGTCTTGAGCACGCATTTGGTTCTGCTTCCATCTCTAATGAGTCATATGACCTTAGAGAAGTCTCCTGGCCTCTAGGTCTTGGAGGGTGGTTTAAGTGCTTTCTGGGGCCCCTTTTTGTTCCCATAAACCTCAGTTACTCTACTCCTGCAGACCAGCAGGTGGCAGTGACTACTAGACTAGGAGGCTGGCCTGTCCCTGGTTTCCTGTCACCGCACTAACAAACCTGAAAAGTAAACATAATCATGACTGTGAGATAAACGATTATGATATATGATCAGCGGGACTGGGTACACATAAACTACGACTAAAGAACAGAGAGTGAAACAAATACTAATAGACAGAATGTCTGCAATGACAAATAAGATTTGATTGAACGCGACTCACAGAAAATCTAAACAGACACCTACCTTTCTCTTTATGGCAACTGACTGTGGTTTCGTCAATCTTGGGGGAGAGCTTTGAATATTTTCTTCTTCTTCTTCTTCTTCTTCCTCTTCTTCCTCCTCTTCATCCTCTTCCTCTTCTTCCTCCTCTTCTTCCTCCTCCTCGTCCTCCTCCTCCTCTTCTTCTTCACTGCTCTCTTTAGACAGCTCCAGCAGCTGCCCTCGCTCCCCTGTGACTGGCCGGCTCTCCGGGGAATGCAAATATTTATTTTTCGATTGTACTTTTGCAGGTGATTGCCTACTGTTAGCTCTAGTTGACAGGATTTCTTGTTCCTCCTTCTCCCAGCAGCTAGCTTGTTCCATTAGCCGCTCAGCCTAAGTGGGGAGGGTAAAAATGGTGGCCAGTGAGAGGGCAGTTACACAGCCAGAGCCTCTGAGGATCAATGGCAAAGTGTCTCTAAGTCGGTTCTGATCAGGACAGCCAGCCAGCCAAGCACATTCCAGCTGCATCATCTCAGGAACCTTTTGCATCAGTTAGGATAACAAATCAAAGAAGATTGGGTTTCATGGGATATTTAACAGTATTAATGATGCAGCGAATTGATTTGAGTCCTTTATCACTACATTACATGCTCACTGGCAAGGAGCACTTTAAGCAAGTTCATAAACACAAAGAATCAATTGACACTGCAGCCTTGGAGCTCAGCACCGAATTTGATCTGATTACATGCTCTCAGTAGTGAAAAATGCTGCTTTGTAATCAATGATAAATGTTTCATTTTTCATACTCAATTCAATAAAATTATCATGTCTTACCATGCAACCTCAGTTAGGATAAATTAGTGCCATATCATTTCACATGCTATCTCTACATAACCAAGCTTTTGACAACGATCTTAATGACTTTCTTAGCTTAAGAATGCTACAAGATTGAAGTTACACAACTTAGGATGATAAAGACAATCATTACCTCTTTCTCAGCTTCTCGCTCTTCTTCAGACACTGCAGCATTAGAAATTAAAATTGGGGTCCACCTCAGACTGTCTGGATCAAGTTCATTGGCTCTGGAACAGGTTTTCAGCTTTTCCATGTGGCTCAATATCAACTTTTCCCGTCTAATGATGACAAATCTGTAATGTGATAAGGCAGAACAAGATGTAATCACAAGCTGAAATTTCACTTCAGCTTCACATACGGACATATGCTAGCACTAATGTTATCTGCGTTAGGAAAAATCAGAAAGCACCTCAATGAGAGGGTACAGAACACTGGAATCCAACCAGTAAAAAAGTGTCATTTCATGTGTTATTTTTAGGAGAAAAGGTTTGATAATACTGTTAGGGAACCTCAGTCTTTAACTGGAATGAATGCACCTATCTCCAGGGACCCTTTCTGGTGTGGGATGCCTGAGCCACGGAGCTGCCCAGGGTCCCAGGACTCACCTGCCATCTCTCTTGTCGATCATGTGGAGGTGCTGCAGAGTGGTGGCAATGTCATGTGGGCACATGCCCGTCGCTCTGCTAATTGCCTTGATGCTGATGTGCCTCTCATGGTGGTGGTAGAGATACTCCAAGATGACGCTCTTCCAATATGCCAGGTAGGAGAGACGGCCCAGATCGGAGAGAGGCTTTTCAGGAGACCCTGCTTGGCCTTCTCTTCTAGAAAGCAAATAGCCTAGGGCAGAAAAAATAAATGGGCATTCCTCACTGTGGCATTCCCAGAGCTTAGAACAGGAGCCACTAGAAATAATATGAGTAGTGACAAGGTAAAAACATCACAACAGAGAAGTGCATTCGCTTTAGGAATGTAGCCTCTTCCCAGTTATAGTGATTTGATCTCCGTGAAGTTTACGCTCCTGAATCTTTGACAGTGGCACTCTAAGTCAATTCACGCAGCTAGCAGCAGCATTCCAAACACATATTGTGACATATTTAACAAAGACTAAAAGCTATGGTTGAAGACATTACTCCTGCTAAGTCTCAACATCTAAGTCTCCCACAGCTTTAGATTCTTTCAAAAACGAAATGTCAGGCACTTACTCAGAAATCCTGTCGAGGGACCACCCCCAACATTAATGGGCAAGTTGTTTTCCACAGGAAGGACCTAATGACCCTTTGACAGCTGGGTCTTAATAAAAAGAGAAGGACCTCTGTTGACTCAGAGTCTATATTGCTTGTTACATTTAACTAGCAGGTTGATCTGAAGCTTTGTTTTAGGACTAATAAAAGAATGTCTTTCAAGTCAACTGCTGCAACTCCCATCAGCTCCACTAGCTCCATTTTCACCTCTTTCATAGAAATTAATTTACAATCCAATCCCAGAATATTGCTCCTACAAATTAAGACAAAACAAAACAAACTCCTTAAAACAACCTATTGCATGTATGCTCAGAAAATCCCCCAGCATCTTAAGCTTTTGAACGCATTTTACAGCATTACTGTGAAGGTTCCTTGGCAAAGGAACTTTAAAAATGGAAAAAAAAAAAAAAAAAGAAACCAGCCCTTTAAATCCACTTGAAGGTAATGAATGAAAGCTGGCGGCTGTCTCAGTAATTAAGAGCCACTTATGGGGTAGAAAAGAAATGCTATAAGCTAATGATGTCTACCTTGCTCTAATTATCTATTTCAACAGCCTCACCTTCATGAACTTCCTAAGTTTAAACAAACATCAACCACATACAGTAGGTGGCAGCAATGACAAAATCATACGGCTCCATAAACCACCCAAATCTTCAGCATTTTTCTTCTTTATCTACATTTCCAAAATGGCTGCATTCTCAAGAATTTTCTCAATTTTAGGGTTATTTTTTGTTAAAGAAGAAATCAATGCCTCTGATGCATTTTCCTGCATCTCAAAATCACTGCAAATACAGTAATGCAGAAATACAAAACAAGAATCCAGCCTGAACCCTCGAAGGGTATAATCACAGCATTTTGCATTTTGATGGCTTTAATCTGAATGCCATTATGAAGAATAGGCGTAAATTTAACTTCAGGTTTTGCTAAGGTCTTTTGACTTATTTGTCTCTTTAACCCATGTTTAAGTGCAAAGTATTTGACTGAATGCAAACAAGCACCGCAACATTTTACAGTGAAACCACTGTCTACATGTAATTTGGCAGCAGATTGGGGCTTTCAATAGCAGTGTGTCAGGAATGCTAACACAGTGATGGCCACTGTGCCGAAGCCAGCCCATATTGTGTCCTGTCAACACGAAGAAGAGCTCTCTACGTCTCTGTGTTGCCAGAGTATGAAGGGAGCCCACACCTCAGAATACAGATAATTGGCACATCCGTCACCTGCCTCCAAAGTGCTTGGCACATGCTGAGAAACGTACCCAGGAGGCTGGGGGGTCCCAGCTTTGTACTCCTGGGGGGGTGAGAACCATAGAGCCGTGGATATAGAACCATTCCCTTTTGTCCATGAGATCCCACAATTGAAAGTCCCCTGCAGTGAGTGTGAAAGTCCCCAGGTCCTCTACTGGTGCTTATTTGAATCCAGCAGTCAAGGACAGAAAGCCCCACTCCTCTCAGCCTTGCTGAAAGAATTCTGTACAACCAAAGTGTTCATACCAAGGTGGTATGTGCCCCCCCATACCTTATGTCCCCCACTATGATGGGCCAGCTTACCCAGAAGCACATGTGTTCCTTTGTTCTGTCTCCCCGCTACAGTCCCTAATCCGGAAGGCAGCAGCAGCCAGCATCAGAAAACCCACGCTTTCCGCAGCTGTTCATGCTTTCACACCCCGAAGTGGTGCACACACACCCTGTCAGGGCCTGAGCCTAAATGGGTTAGGCCACTCAAACCAGCAGGCAACTTGGGGTCCATGGGGAGCATTTAGGCATAAACCTTTTAGCACCTGCTACTCCTACCATGTTAAGTGGCTGTCTCCTGAGACACTCCCTTGGACACAGACTTCAGGCTATGACTGATAGTCACGGAAGAGTCCTGGGGAGGTGGCAGCAGGGTGATCAGCCCTGATGGGTGTGGGTACACTGAAAGCCCAGTGGTCTTTTTCAGCAAACACCCTTGCACTGTGCTTGCAAAGGCCAGGAGAAAGCAGGGAGTGGCCAACACCTGCCAGGAGGCCATGCTTCCCTGGGTGCTGTAAAGAAGACAACTGCAAACCCAAGCTCCAGCCAGAGCACAGCAGGCGGGTGTGCAGGGATGACGTGCACCGACACTGCAGACTGCACAAGGCCACTATCCGAAGGGACCCCTGCATGGCTTGCAGTGGGTTTTTCCCTCTCCTCTCTGACTCATGAGACCCTCAAGGAACTAATAGCAGGAACTGGCACTTATGCCAGGAGCCATTTGGAAGTCCACAAAGTCTACTCACGTAAGAGAAAACAGAATCCATCAAAACGATCAAAATGAACAAAGATACATTTCTGATTCCTTACTAGTTAAATGAACTCACTTGTAATATGTTAAACTGTACAGCTTAGAAGAAAAGTGTGTGTCATGTCCACTCCACTGGCGTGCTTGGTGGATGTAGGACAGAATTCCATTTGAACCAGCAGCAGCACTTCCTCTCAGAAGGCTGCAGCTGGTGGCACTTCACTACTCTGACCCTCATAACATGCGATGTTTTAAAAAACGAATTTCTTGCCACCTTTTGTTTCTTTGTACTTTTTTTTTTTGAGACAGAGACTTGCTCTGTTGCCTAGGCTGGAGTGCAATGGTGCGATATGGGCTCGATGCAACCTCCGCTTCCCAGGCTCAAGCGATTCTCCTTCCTCAGCTTCCTGAGTAGCTGGGATTACAGGCGCCAGTGGCCATGCCTGGCTAAGATTTGCATTTTTAGTAGAGACAGGGTTTCACCATTTTGCCCAGGCTGGTCTCGAACTCCTGACCTCAGTCCCTCAAGTGTTGGGATTACAGGCGTGAGCCACTGTGCCCGGCCTCTATTTTTTTCTAGGCTCTTCACAACATAATTATGATATAGCCCATTGGAAGAAAAATTTTTGGTAAGAACATTTCACTTATTGAGTACATCATAGAGATGTGGTGGTTTAAGTTACAGCTCTTAACTTACCAAAAAAATTCCAAATAATTGATCTAAGATGCAGGGAAATAAAAAACACTTATCTTGGCTGGGCGCGGTGGCTCATGCCTGTAATCCCAGCACTTTGGGAGGCTGAGGTGGGCAGATCACCTGAGGTCAGGAGTTCGAGACCAGCCTGACCAACATGGAGAAACCCCATCTCTACTAAAAACACAAAACTAGCCGGGCATGGTGGCGTGCGCCTGTAATCCCAGCTACTCGGGAGGCTGAGGCAGGAGAATCACTTGAATCCGGGAGGCAGAGGTTGCAGTGAGCCGAGATCATGCCATTGCACTCCAGCCTGGGCAACAAGAGTGAAACTCCATCTCAAAAAAAAAAAAAAAAAAAAAGCACTTATCTTAGAAGCTGGTGTATTATCCTGAAGCATCTGAAACAAGTACAGTACACCCCTGGTGAATAGATTCCCATGGTGCTCTAACACTTCTCCTTAACTCGGGATACTTTCAATCAGAAAACCTCAGCTCTCCCTGGAGAAACCTGGCTGTTTCAGATGGAAAACAAAGTGATGTTTGGAGGACAAATCCCAGTAGCTGCAGTATAATTAATCGCTGGTGAAATTATTCCCTGGAACTTGTCTGTGAGCCAGAGGTGCTGGCCAACAGCACTTACTCTGTGAGTGGGAGCCTTGTAATTGAAAACGGGGTAGCCCATAAACCCCTCATCCACATCAACTATCTTGATCGTAGCAAAAGCTGGCTTCCTCTTTTGCTTTACTGGAAGTACTTATCCTGGGGAAGGTGACATCTGACTTTCAGTATACAGGCCACATAATCAATTCAAAGGATTGTCAAGATGTCTGCTTAAAGGGAAAGGAAGAACAATGTGATTTCTGTCTATAAAAAGTAAGCATTTCTAAGCTGTACTGCATGGAACCCGAGTGTGCCTCACCTCTGTTAAGGCTTAACTACTTGCAGTAAAAGAATCAAATCTCATGTTAACTAGCCCTGAGTTTGAAATGGTTAACTCTCTCCCAGTGGGAGAAAATAAAAGTGGTAGAGAGTTATCTCATGTAGACAGATCTATTAGGATAAGGAAGGAACTATCTAGACAAGGTCAAGATATGTTTTTGCAGACCCAAATTCCCAAATTAAATTTAATTCCCAGCATAATAACTGTAATGTTAACGCTCATTGAAAATGAAAATTCCTTCCCTTTAAACTAGGAGTATTCAAGAGTGTAAATGGACCATAGTAGAATAATGTTCTCAGGCAAGGGCATGGATAGGGACAGGGATCTCCCCCGACAGGGGCAGACACCCTCACCCCTGCACACCTCCATCTTCCACTACCTGGAACCAAACCAAACCATATGAACCTCCTCAAACACCAAAGTGTAAACTTTGGCAAGCTACTCACTCCCAACTTCCATCTCTCTGGATTATGTGAGTTTGGGGTCACCAGCTGCTTTTAGGGGATGATAATCTTTGAGGATTACACACTTTTCATCAGACACCTGTTTAGCTCAGCAAATCCTGCTGAAAGGTCTGTATCAGTCGACGGCACTGGGTTTGCAAGCCTGGGAACAGACACGAGGCCAGGGATTTATGGCAGCTTTTGAGCACAGGAAATCTGATGACTCTAACCAAGTTATCTCATGCTTGGAGATGGCAATTCACTGGTTTGTACGCTCATCTGTTCCTGGTTTCTGGTGCAGAGCAGCACTGACCAACTGGATGAATGGCATGTTATCAGTTTAAATAATGACAAATGAACTTGACAGGCTATTTATATCTCCTCGTTTAAATTTTGTGGTGATTTTGCAATTAGTGCAGAAGGATGCTGAACCTTAGTTCTCACATCATTTTAAGAGAACAGCCGTGCTCTAAATGACCTGTGACCTGCCTGATATCTTACTGCTTTCCACTTATTAAAAGATACAGGTGCCTCCTTGGCAAAGACGGAAATTTTGAATTTTTCATATATTTTACTTTTAAGAGATTGGTGTTGAAACAAGTTTAAGACCTCTCTCCCATAAGTCCTATGGGCATGACATAATTATATAAGAACTTGAATAAATGCTGTTTATCAAGATCTCAGTGTGGAGACCTGTGGCATCAACATCACCTGAGAACTTGCTAGAACTTTAAATTCTCAGAACCTATCTCAGACCTGCTGAATCAGGATCTTTGGTGGGGAGAGGCAGAGCCCAGCATCTGTGCTTTCAGAAGTCCCCCAGGTGATTCTGATGTACCCGAGTTTGAAAACCACCACTAGAACCCTGCTCTGAAGCTGCTGGCTTTGATGAGGGTGTGGCCACTTAAGAGACAGTAGGACTGAAGAATCTCAAATAGGTAAGACCTCACTCAGCTCCTTGGATGCAAGATAATTGGAGAATGGACTCGCCAAAGCCCCACCAGACTGAAATTTGGCTAGAGGTCACTGAGTTGCCAAATCGCTTCGTGCAGATGTTCTACACCTCTGCTTCTCAACTTCCATTGTGCAGACAAACTAGTTCTGGTTAACAGCATGGACTCCGGTTCAGTAGGTCAGGGGTGGGGCTTGAGATTCTGCACCTCTAACAACTTCCTGTGCCATGGACCACACTTGAATAGCAATGGTTTATACTTTAAATCGGTAGTTTTCAAATGCTTTGGCCTCAGCACTCAGAGAGCTTTTGCTTTTAAGGGCTCTATCTATTAATTTTACTGAGAAATTTGACAAATATTTATTAATTCATCTAAAAGATAACGATAAACCCATTATGTAACATTTTTTTAAATTAAAAAAAATCCTATACTTTCTAAAATATAAATAAAATTTATAGTGAAAAGAGTGGCATTATTTTACATGTTTTACAAATCTCTTTAACTTCTGGCTTAAGAGAAGCCAGTTAGATTCTCTCTTTCTCTCTTTATTTTGTTCTTTCTTTTTCTTTTTCAAGAAGACAGGGTCTCCCTATGTTGCCCAGGCTGGTCTCAAACTCTCAGGCTCAAGCGATCCTCCCACCTCAGCCTCCCAAAGTGCTGGGATTACAGGCGTGAGCCACTGCACCCAGCTTGCTAGATTTTCATAGATTGCTTTGGTATTGAGTCTGCTGTGATATCACAGGTCATGACATTCTGGAAAACTCCTCTGTATACTCATGAGAAAATGAAAGTAAAAAGGAAAAAGAGTATCTTAGTACTACTTGGAAAATAATTATGACCTTGTAGACTCCCTGAACCATACTTTGAGACCATGTGCACTAAACAAAGATGAGTTTTTTAAAGCTGGGTAACAGGGCACCCGTATTTTAAAACAATATGTCATATATTGCATACAATACGACAGATCGTGAGAGGCTCTATGGGTGGGTGGAAAGCATGGGCTCTGGAGCCAGACTACCCAGAATGGAATCTGGGGTCCACCATGTACCAGCTGTGTGACCTCAGGGATTTTATTTAACCTCTCTGTGCTTCAGATCCCTCATCCATAAGATGTGAATAATAACTGTACCTAACTGTTACAGTTCTGGTAAGGATTGAGTTAATATGAAACATGCAGAACAGTGCTTGACGCATCACAGTAATCCTAATAAGTGTTAGCTATGATTATTATTCAACATACTGAATGAATCAAGTCTCAAGGTGATCATTTGGGTAACTAAACATCCTTAAGGTAGGGGAAAGAAATAAAATTTGGACAGAAGGGAAACAACAGAGACAGACTGCTCTATAGAATCAGATTGAGAAAAGCTAACTTTGTTTTCCTACTTTTGCCTGAGGAACCTAAAAACCATTCCATGAACTCAGACAGAAGCTCTCCTCTCATCCCACCCTTCCTTCCTCTCCCCTCCCCCCAGCTAACCACCCAGATATCAATTGAATTAAAGAAAGAGGCTATGAAAAAAAATTCTGCCTCAGGAGTGGTCTTAAGAAATGGCAACAAAGTTCCCAGCAAACACAGTTCTGTGCCCCCAAATTCCCTTTGGCCCCTTAGTCCTTAACTTCAAGGACTACCCTTAGGAAATGGCTAGCCCATCCAACCACAGAAACAATGACTGCTTAGGGCTTCAGCAGAGCCCAGGGACAGTCCCAAGACAGATGAAAGACTCAAATATTCAACAAGACTCAAGTGTGTCTCTGGGAAAATGGCCTGACCCAGTGAAACCCTGAGCATGGACACAGCATGTCTTTGGGGAAGGAGGCTGGCTGCCCTGGGTCACATACCAGCCTGTTACTCTAAGCCCCACTCTTAGATCTCTCTTCTCTGGGATCCCACAAGTTCCTCAGCAGACCTCCACTGCTGAGCTCTTCCCCAAAGGGCCACTGATTTTTCTTACTGAATGTCCCCATCCTTTCAAGTCCATTCCAGAGTGGAATGGTCTTCCTTCAACTCCCACAGTGGAAGATGTATGGCAGGAGTGTGACTCCCCGATGCCGTGTGGTGTGCCTGTGTCTCTGAGCTGACTGACCATGCTGGGATTTACCAGATGGTTCCATGGTTCTGTGGGTAGGTGTGGACTCCCTTGCGGGGTTGGTCATTCTGCATGTCAGTCCCCCAGGGAAAGGTACAGGTGCTCAGAAAGAAAATGAACTCACAAGTAGGGCATCAGGCAGCACGAAAGGGGACTTCCCTCCCTCTGCACCGCCCCTGTGTTGAGAAGCGTAGACCTCTGTGGATGTGCTCCTGAGCCGGAGGTGCCAGGATAGCACGTGCCACATGGAAGCAGCCTGAGGGCCAGAGACATCTGTGTGAGATGGCATTTATACCTGATTCTCTTACCCAGTGAGAGAATTAATTGCTCCTTTTTCTTTTATTTTTTGGACACGGTCTCACTCTATCACCCAGGCTGGAGTGCAGTGGTGTGATCTTGGTTCACTGCAGCCTCAACTTTCTGGGCTCAAGAAATCCTCCCACCTCAGCCTCCCGAGTAGCTGGGACAACAAGTGCATACCACCATGCTTGGCTAATGTTTGTATTTTTGTAGAGATGGGGTTTCACCATGTTGCCCAGGCTGGTCTCAAACTCCTCGGCTCAAGCAACCCTCCTGCCTCGGCCTCCCAAAGTGCTGGGATTACAGGTGTGAGCCATTGCACCTGGCCTATTGTTCCTTCTTCTGTCTTCAAGTATAGCCCAGTGGTTCTCGACCCTGCCTGCACATCAGACTCACTTGGGGCTTTAAAAAGCCACAGATGTCTGTGTTCCACCCAACCTCATGACTTGCCTGGTTTCAGATATATTATGGGTCCCAGTAAGGAAAGGGCCTTGGGGGACTATACTTGGGCCAGAATATTAAATGGGGTACAGCACCACTTCTTCATTTTTGCCACCTCACAGGGCTATAGTGGTAGCAGTGGTGCCTAATGAGAAATCCCAGCAGCAGGCAAATCTCTGAACTGACGCAGGGGAGGATGGCCACTCCGTAAACAACTGTGTGATACACTTCACAGAGTTTCATTTCATTAAACATTCAACTGAGGAGTATTTGTGAGTGTATGGTGTGTCACCACAACCGAGTTCCTGGTCTAGTGGATTAGAAGAATAAAAATTTTTTAATAAGGTGACTGACTATGATATAGATTCATCCTTCAATTTCCTTGTTAGGAAAATGAGGCACCTGCCACACAGATAAAATGATCATGGAATGAGAGATGTTATACTCTGTCAGTATCATTTATGCCCAAACTAAAATTGGGGAAGGCAAGAATTTTTAAAAATATGTTGATGTAAGAATAGCTTACCAAATTGTTGAAGTAACCAAATTGTTCACGAAGCCCATTGCCTATCACCAAACTAAGTTAATGCTCTGATTTGTGACCCAGAGGCACTTTCAGTTAGGTAATGAGAAAGCCCCAGTGCTATGGCCTTCAGCATGACAGAAATTAGAAAGGCATGCAGAGGAAGGTCTTCCTCTTTGACCTTTTAAGTTTTCCACAGTTCAAACCACTTTTAAATTCTAGGATATTTTAGGAAAAACACATTTATTTTTAAAAATTTAAAGATGAAGTAATTTGGCATTTTAAAATTATTTCCTCTCTTATAAATAGGCAAAAGTCTACATTAGAGATTCATTAAAAAAAGAAATAGTTTTTGAAATAGAAAATAACACAATTGAAATAGAAGACAACTTAATTCTTCAGTTTTCACTAAAAGAAAGCATTTTAAATACCTGGCTCCCCCTAGGCTTGCTCCCCAAGTTGAAACTTGGATAAAATTTTCATGTCTAAGTTACAAAATTCTGGTAACAAGAACTTACCACTGAAAGGCTTTAAGATGGCAAACTTAATCGAACACATATACACTTTAAATAAAGCATCTGCGCCAAACAAATGACTGCATGCACTTAAAATGCTTTACCTTTAAGATTGTTCTCCTGCTGCGAAAACACTGCGATTGAACATTTTCCTTAACTAAATCACTAAATGCAAAAACTGAGACTTCTTTTGCCTACTTTTATAGGTCTGAGGTTCTACTGAGGCAGCTGAGACACTTCATTCTAATATCTAGTCATCTGGTCTGGTCCAACCCCACAGACCGATGGTGGAGGGTGGGAGAGGGGTGCTATTTACATAATCATGGCAGTACCACTGATTTCAGAACCAGGTTTGGGAGACAGGATGGTTGGAATAGCAACTTGCCTTTCCATTTGCTCTCCTACAAGCCCCCTAAAATGCTGTGTGTATATGTGGAAGGGAGTGTTGTGTGTATGTACCAGCTGTAATTTTTAAAAATAGGACAAAGTATGTTGTAATTCCAATTCTGGATGATGAGCTTTCACACAGCAAACAAAAATACACAGCAAGATTGAAGAAAGAAAAAATGAGAATACAAATCTCCTTAGAAATTTTCTTTGTTTTCAAACAAAGTACATTTCAAAAAGGAATCTGTCAGTTTTGGAGATAACTTTCTAAAATCAAAGTACAGCCCATCACCTAATCTGACTGATCAACCACTGTTGGAAATGTAAGAGAAACTGTCGCTAGTTGTCCTCAGGTTATCTAGACAAACAATCCCACTCCACTGGTCTACTTTTCTTTTCGCTTATTTTTTATTTATCTCCCAAATGCTTTGAAACGTGATTTGAGGTAAGAAGCCTCTGGAGATCAATGGTTGTGTCCCCCCAGGGTTATTGCTGAGCCCCCTCTGAAGCTGTGCAGCACAAAGGCACCCTGGGTAGCGGAGCTAGGGTGGGAGGGGGGCCAGACAAGTGACTGGCTGGTTTGCCCATGGACTTGGTGTCATGTAGGGACTTAGCTTTTTTAATTTGAGATGGAGTTTCACTCTTGTTGCCCAGGCTGGAGTGCAATGGCATGATCTCGGCTCATTGCAACCACCATCTCCCGGGTTCAAGTGATTCTCCTGCCTCAGCCTCCCGAGTAGCTGGGATTACAGGCATGCACCACCACGCCTGGGTAATTTTGTATTTTTAGTAGAGATCGGGTTGCTTCATGTTAGGCTGGTCTCGAACTCCTGACCTCAGGTGATCTGCCTGCCCCAGCCTCCCAAAGTGCTGAGATTACAGGCATGAGCCACTGCGCCCGGCCAGGGACTTAGCCTTTAATCTTAGGGAATCTTAAAGTCCAAACTGGCTACAGTAGATGTTAGCTGTTAGAAAAACAAACACATATGCAGTATCGTCACCAGCAGCATTAAAGACAGCAATGACTACCTCTTAGGTTGTAGATGACACATTTCTCTAAGCCCCTGGAATGAACCGCTATTCTGTCCACTGTTTGGCTAAATTTTAGACTTCAGTAACAATACATTAATATTAGCAGAGCTTCACCACAATATACTAATATTATCCCCATGAGACTTTATATTATGTTAATCAAAGAATCTCCATTCCACCTGCAAAGGCTTGAAATGGTTTTGTGCTATGTCCAACAGTTGAGTGCCTACTAGGTACTAGGTACTTTTCTATTTAGGTTGTATACAGACACTCTATTTTCCAAATTTAATGAGAAAAAAAGCTCTGGGAGTTTAATTTGTTAGCTGGTATGCAACTGCTGAACACAAGAACCACAAACTACGTAAATAACAGGAACTCAAATAGACATGTTAACAGCTAAAGTTCATTTTTAAAAAATGAATTCAATATGCTACATTGCAAGGAATCAATCACACTGCAATCATCATTTACAAATCAAAGTACAACACACATACTCATGGGGGTATATACAACTAGGTAGAAGTGTGTGATTATAGACAAGTAGATTGGAAGTGTAAATTATGTAACTGTCTCTTGTAATTACCCTGCTTGAGAACTGAAACAAACTTCCTGTATAAGTTTTGCAGGAGAATGGAGATTGAGATACAGAATTGCTTTTTAGTTGGTTTTAACCCTTCCACAGCTATTTAATTATGTGTGATGAGGTCAAAGAAAGTTTATGCTTAATTTATGAAAAATTGGCAGGGAGGTATTTCAAAGTAAATCCTCTAAAAAGCTTCCAATTATTAATTAAATCTGGTAATTTCTCTTCCTCTTCAAGGAAGATTTATATAAATTATTAGGTAAAATAAACAATGTTTAAAACAAATTCACGGGCATCATTCATTTTATTTCCTCTCTAAAAACATTCATTATGTTCTACAAGTTTTTAACTGGATGCAACTCAAAAGCTACAGGGATGAAAGGCTGTCTTCAGAGCATCTTCTGCTTTGGTAGAGAAAAATCTTATTAATGTCCTTAACTTCATGGAGAAAAGCTCCAACGCTGGGTGAACCCCAGGGCAGGACTCCTAGTCTATGAACAGACAATCACCTTCTTAAGAAGAAGGAAGCCTGTTTTTCTGATAAATAGCAGAGCCTCATTTCAGGACATTTTAAGTCATCGTAGCCTTTTTCTTCCCTTTCTTAAAAATCTAACTTTTAACATCTTTTCTCTAAGTTCTGTTTCTAGTGCCTAAAGAT
The DNA here is from genome assembly GCF_000001405.40 of Homo sapiens. Taxonomy (NCBI): domain Eukaryota; kingdom Metazoa; phylum Chordata; class Mammalia; order Primates; family Hominidae; genus Homo; species Homo sapiens. Next base: position 75,008,354 of record NC_000010.11, on the reverse strand, counting down.
CTACCACAAATTTTAGAACTGCTCAGCAACCTAGGAGGAGGAAAGAGCAATTTTCCTGTACACATCTTACAGTGTCTGCTGGTGCTGTTCTTCCCACAAAAAAAGAAAAATGGGAAAACAGTTCTCATGCTGCAGTGTCTCTTCTTTCTCTCCTCGGGCTCACAGTTAAATATTTTCTCTGTACTCCATCCTCACTCTGCATCACCATTCCTTGTCCGAATCCTCCATTTCATCCTCATTCTGTTAACGCACAACCCTTCAATTATGTTTTTCTAAGTTTAAGAGTGAAAGTGAAATTTACAGGAATGCTGTTCTCTAATGAACTAGACTCAACACTTCAGAGGATTTGATTCAAGTAAATTTCAGTACATTTCCTTCACATAAAAATGGCTCTGCAAAGGCTGACATGGAGTTGATGCCCGTACACTAAATACTTGTGCACTCAAGTTTTCATTTTCAAGCAGTCAAGGTGAAAACTGTGTCTCTCTTTAAAACATGACTAGTAGGATGCCACCAATAAATCGAGTAAGTTTTCAGTTTCAAGAGTTACAAAAACCCAAGCACTAAGATACCATAGGATGTCACCTCCCATTTTAAGATGATTGCTTTCTAAAAAACAAAAATAAAACAGAGATACATAAAATGACAAAAAACAAATACACAGCTTAATGGATTATTATAAGGCAACTGTCCTTGTAACTATCACCCAGGATCAAGAAATAGAAGTTTGCCGGCTACTCCAGAAAACTTTCTATCCGCTCCAGCCAATCACCTCTCCTTTCTCTCTCATAAGTAACCACTATCCTGACTTTCACAATAATCTCTTGCATTTTTTTATACTTTCATCACCAAAACAGTCCAGGCACTAGAACAGTCTTGCCTATTAAAAAAAAAAATCTTAATGTCATTTTAATCTAGGGGTTCCACCTTCACCCCTTTCTTTTCCTTGTAATCTATCTGTGGTTGAACTGGGGCCACTTGACCTATACTGTCCTCACTCTGGATTTTGCTGATCTCCTACTTGCACTGCAGCTCAGTATGCTCCTCTTTACTCTGTATCTCTTGCAAAATGGTAACTAGATCCAGTGCTTGATTGATTAGACTTGGGTTCCATCCACTGGCAAGACTACAAATATCCTTGATCAGAAGATAGATAATTTCTGGTTGTCCTTTTTGCAACTGTTGATGTTGTTCATTGTCTAGATCCATTAATTCATGGTGGTGGTGGGGATTACAAAATGGTTATATTTTAATTCTGTCATTTTCTTTTCTTTTTTTTTTTTTTTTGAGATGGAGTCTCACTCTGTTGCCCAGGCTGGAGTACAGTGGCACGATCTCAGCTCACTGCAACCTCCGCCTCCCGGGTTCAAGGGATGCTCCTGCCTCAGCCTCCCAAGTAGCTGGGACTACAGGTGCATGCCGCAACACCCGGATAATTTTTTGTATTTTAGTAGAGATGGAGTTTCACCATGTTGTCCAGGCTGGTCGTGAACTCCCTGAGCTCAGGCAATCCGCCTGCCTCGGCCTCCCAAAGTGCTGGGATTACAGGTGTGAGCCACCGTACATTTTATTTTCATTGGTTAGCTGGAATATGTTTATAAAAAGATGTTTCTGGCCAGGTGCAGTGGCTCATGCCTGTAATCCTATCACGTTGGGAAGCCAAGGCAGATGGATCGCTTGAGCGCAGGAGTTCAAGACCAGCCTGGACAACATAAAGAGACTACAGAAAATGAAAAAATCAGCTGGGCATGGTGGTGTTTACCTGAAGTCCCAGTTACTCAGGAGGCTGAGGTGGGAGGATCTCTTGAGTCTAGGAGGTGAGGCTGCAGTAAGCTGAGATCGCACCACTGCACTACAGCCTGGGTGATAGAGCAAGACCCTGTCTCAAAAAATTTTTAAAAATTTAAAAAATAAAATGATGTTTCCCCTCCTTTACTACTTGATTACTTCACTGTACAGTTTATGTAAGAAAGGCAGGATAAATGTTTTAATTGCAATTTTTGCAGCTTTCAAGAAAATAAACTGGTTCCTATTATCCTCTAAATCAGTTTGTTTTTTAGTATCATTATGAACTTGTGAATTTAAACATTTGACAAGTTGCAATAAATTGCAATTTTTTATCTTTATTATTATATTTATTGTCTGGTCAGAACCTCTTCAAATTGACTCCTGAGTCTTTTTGACATGACCCTAACAATTTTTGCTTCCTTGCTGTCTAGTATGACAAGGAGGACTTTTGTTTTGTTTACAGAAATAACTCTTCGACTTCATTTAAAATGATGACTGTATTTGCCCCCAAAAAAGGACATATGCAAATTTATTGTGGAGACTGACGTCCGCCTGTATTACATTTTCTCATGATTTCAGCAACACCTTTTCGTACCTTCTGCCGTGTAATTGTGCTGCATATTTATTTCCATGTGGACAAATGGTTCATGTGAAACTGAATTGCTTTTAATCCACCCAACCATTTTTATACACTTTAGAAACATTAATTTAAAACAATTTTGCTGAAAAAAAGCGTTCCTCTATGATGTTAACTCAAAGCAGGACTCCATATAAATAATTACAAAAAAGGTTTTTATATTGGTAAACATGAAAATGTAGCATGAATATTAGAGTACAAACATGCTAACCACAAATCCATGGGGGAGAAAAAAAATCAGATTCCTAACTAGTATTTTCCTAAACAATTCTAAACAAGTTAAGGAAAACCTTTTGTTTTACCCAATATGAAATTATATTTAAAAACAAACAAACAAAAAACCAACAACCAACCAACCAACCAACCAAAAAACTACCTTACAACCAGCTGAAGTTATAGTTGTGTTGTTTAGGGCCAGGCGTGGTGGCTCATGCCTGTAATCCCAGCACTTTGGGAGGCTGAGGTGGGTGGATCGCTTGTATTCAGGAGTTTGAGACCAGCCTGGGCAACATGGCAAAACCCTGTCTCTACTAAAAATACAAAAATTACCCGGGCATGGTGGCACGTGCCTGTGATCCCAGCTACTCAGGAGACTGAGGCAGGAGAACTGCTTGAACCCGGGAGGCAGAGGCTGCAGTGAGCTGAGATCGTGCCACTGCACTTCAGCCTGGGCAACAGAGCAAGACTCGGTCTCAAAAGAAAAAAAAAAAAAGAACAAAAAAACGAAATGCCATCATGAGAGGGGTAAGTGGAAGCAAACTTTTATCTTAGAATATTCTATCTCAAACATAATGTCTCTATTACAAGCTGGAATATATGTTCAAGGGGGAATAGTTCTCTTGAAACCCAAATGAGGTATAGCACTAATTTCAACCAAGCAGAGCAAAATCTTTCTTGATCTTGTTTTAACAACAGCTCAGGGCATAGTGGCTCACACCTGTAATCCCAGTGCCTTGGGAGGCCGAGGCAGGAGCATAACTTGAAGCCAGGAGTTGGAAACCAGCCTGGGCAACAAAGCAAGAGCCTGTCTCTAGCTGACCCCCCACCCCTCCCCCTGAAAAATGGCCAGGAATGGTGGCATGTGCCTGTAATCCCAGCTACTTGGGAGGCTGACATGGGAGGATCACTTTAGCTCAGGAATTCAATGCTGCAGTGAGCTATGATCACGCCACTGTACTCCAGCCTGGGTGACAGAGTGAGACCCAGTCTTTAAAAAGAAAAGCAAGGAAAAATGCGTCTCTTCTATATATCTTAACTGGGTAAATGGAAAATAGAGTTGGAAGCATTTCCTCCTCTGCACTGCCACAGCCTCTCTGAAATTTGAAATTGCAGGACTGGGAAGAATTTTGTGTCTGACCCTCTACTTCCCTATGGGCAAGGACTAAATCATTCATCCTTATGTCCTCATCACCTAGACCATCCCTGGCACAGTGTATTTAAAGCATGTTTGCTGAAGGATGGGATGAAGGGATAAATAAAGTGTAAAAAACAAAGACTGAGAGGAGATCTGAGTTTAAGCACTACTGGTCAAAAGCTAGCTGGATGCATCTGGCAGGTGTTGACAGTCATACAAAGAAGTGGATTAACTAGACTCAGGCATTCATTGATTTCCCCCAACAATCCTTTATTCTGTATCCTCTATGTGCTAGGCACTGTGCTCATGGCTTGGAGTTTAGCAATGACCAAGTTCCTGCCCTCTTGATGGTCCCACTAAGGTTTCATTTTGTTCCAGTTCTGCTGAAGATTAGGTTATTCTCATACCAATTATTTGAATGGAATTTGTCCAGTAGTGGATTTCAAAATAACTCAATGCAAATGCCAGTCAACGTTAGAAATCCAAACAGACAAAAAATTTGTTTGGTAAAAAAAAAAAACCAACCACCTGCATGCCAAAACTTGAAAAAATTCTGAGCTATGTAAGGCAAAACACTAGCTTTCAGAAAAAATGAGAGAGACTGCAGACCGTATGTTTCATATTTACAATGTTTTCATTGAGGCAATGAATACAAACTATTCTATAAGAGCTATTTATTTGCTCTTATTTATGACAAGCTTAGCTTAAAAAAAGATACACAAATAAATCGTTAGCCGCACTGTCTCATGCAACTCATTTCAATGCATTCAGCAACAGTCAACCTCTGAATAAATCACTGAGAGCTCAATTTTCAACCTTGATGTTATCTTTAGCATATTAAAATATATTGTACCTCAGACCAATATAATAAAACAGTAATGGCAGAAGCTTTTAGTGTAACATATTATAATGAGAAAATAAGGAAAAATAGCCATTTTCCTTATTATATTACAGACTAGAATCCTATTAAAATAAATGTCATCATTATACTTGATTACATAGGTCAAAATGTGTCTTCCAAAACCCAGCAAAAGCCCAAGGATATAGCTGCTGGTCCAGTATTTTCCAACAAGTGTCATGGGGGCAAAGGTGGGAGGCTCCTTATCTTAGAAAAGGCTATGAAGTACTTGAGCACCATTTCAAAAGCATAACTTATTATTCTTTAATGATTGCCTTGACTGCACTCACCCAGGAGCGTAGCTGCTGGGAAGGCTAAGCAAAGAGAAGCTTTCTTGACAGCTTCTTATGGCTAAAGCTGGTATTTTCCTTTCAAAAATAAATGCAATCAAGAAATGAATTATCTGATAAGAGAAAAAGTAAGCAAAAGATTTAAGTGTCTCTTCAACCTGCTATGTACAAATGTGGATTATGTCACAGCTCTGCTTTCTCCGCCCAAGGTTTAGAGCAGGCAGTGACATCTTCTTTCTGATGCAACTGAAATGATCTTAAGATAGAGGCTGCATTTCAGCAAAAGTACCAGACCTCGAAAGAAGACAGGGCATACCTAGCATCATTTGGAAGTAAGTAAACCAGTGCTGATGGTTTATGTTCTAATAAAATAAAATTGTCCCTAAGAATCACACACTAGAAGGGAAAGCACATTTTAAAAGTTCTTCCCGTCATAATTAATTTAACATTTGTTCAACAATTAATAAGAACCTACTAAGCGCCAGGCTCTTCTAGAAGATCAGAATGCAGCAAAGAGCAAAGTCCACACTCTCATGAAGCTTACTTTTGGTGAAAGACATGGGCAATCAACAATAAATACAGTCATGCACCACATAATGATGTTTAGGTCAACGATGGACCACATATTCAATGGTAGTCCCATAAGATTATAACAGCATATTTTTACTGTACCTTTTCTATATTTAGATATGTTTAGATACAAAAATACCATTATGTTACAACCACTAACACCTACGGTATCCAGTACAGTAACTGCTGTCCAGGTTGGTCACCTAGGAGCAATCAGCTATGCCACATAGCCTAGGTGTGTAGTAACCTATAGACTTCGACTTAGGTCTGTCTAAGTACATACACTATGATGTTCACACGACAATGAAGTTGCCTAATGGTGCATTTCTCAAAATGAATCTCAGTTTTTAAATGATAAATGACTGTATATAAAAGACCTATGCAAGTTTATAAATGACTCTGCACTTGCTTAGCCTAGTTTGTTGTTGTTTTTTTTTTTTGGTTAGTGCCACTAAAAAGAGAGAGAGAGAGAAAACTAAATAACACAAGTCCCTAAGAGATGCTGTCATGGTCCCTCCAAACACATTTCTGAGGCTTGTTTGTGGGGCCTGTAAGTGGGGAAAGTGGAATATTTACTCTGCAGCCTCCCCCAGACAGACTTTATGATTCAAGTGAGTGCTTCATGATCTCCCTCATCATGTATATGACAGAATTTACACAGCTCCTGAGGCTGCTAGAGGTGAGGTGACAGGCACTGGAGCTCTGGACACCCAGGAGCAAAGGGAGCAATATCTCTGCTACCCATACCCATCCTCAGGTCCTGTCTTGGGAGGCACAGCCCTAAGCTGACCACACGGTGCAGAGACGGCCAGAGACCCTTGCTGGAGAGCACAGTTTCTCACCAGGGCCTTGAGGCTGGGATGCAGCTCCTGAGGGTAAGCCATGTGCCCTGATACTGTGCTCACCCTGCCCTCTGGGAGAAGCCGGTGGCTCCTGCACAGCCCTGGTTCCAGGGGGCGTAATACAGTCAGGTGAAACGGCTTACTGGAATCCAACCAACTGGACTTCTAAATGAAAACTCCTGTTTTCCAGAGGAGATAGGCCAGTGGGTATCAAACATTTATTTCAAGAAGGCAATTTTCAGGTAGGATGAAACCACTTAGTCTCTACTTAAAAACACTCTTAAGTTTCACTTAAATTGTATTTTGAAAAGCTTGTAAGTGGAAGCTCTTTTAAACAAAATAGCCCACTGAAGGCAGACTGTGAAAACTAGTAGTAGCTGGCAACCTGAACTACTATGACACGTACTTCTGTATTTAGCCATCATATAATACAACATTTAAACCAGTAGCTTGCATCTAAGATTCTGGGAAGAAGCAGCTTTCTCTCTGAGAGAGTGGATATGATTAGCCTCCTGACATGATACCCCCCTGGGTAGAAATGAAGTATGTGGCTTTCTTCCTAATTCGCTTTATGGACTTAAAAGGGCAGAGAAGCAGGGAGCAGGAAACCAAAGAGAAGATGCTTTTCTCTTCCAATGCGGTGCTTCCTCAAGAAATCAGCCAAGAACTATTCAGAGGCTAAAGGAGAAACAAGCCCGGGGATCTCTACGGACGTGGGTGGTTGTGGCACCTAAAGAAGAAATCTCTGTCATTAAACCAGAGGAGGAAAGAACGACGGTGCAGAAAACCACACTGATTAATACTCAAGTGAGAAAGGAACTAAGGTACTAAATCATACCCTAAAGCATCTTTCCTCAAAAGTTTATTGTAGTTCCTGCTTTCCTTAAATCCGGTTGGCTGTATATGTGTGTGGGGGGCAGGGGTGGAGGGGAGTATCATTTCTAAAAAAGGGGACATGTAGAAGGACGCTGCAAACCACACTGAAGACAAGAGCCAAATTCATAACCTGGAGGCACAAAACTGGGCCATTTGCACCATCTTCTAGCAGCGCTGATTAATTATAGACTCAGTTTTTAAATAGCACACGGACCTCACAAAAGCTAAGGTGAAACCCTCAACATATGAAGAGCCAGCAAAGGGAATTCCCCGAAGTGAATGCCTAATTCATTCAATCACTTCTGCTTCCTATAGTTACAGCCTTGTTCCATGAAGGACTGCCCAATATTTTAATACTGAATAAAGAAAGCCAAAAATTGAAACTGCTGACACATTTTTATGATTATTCCACAAACATACTAATTTTAGAAATGCCTGAATGTACAATTAACTGATATTTAACTTAACTGACGAACTTGCCATTAATTAATATTAATGGCAAGTTTATCTGGTCTCTAAAAACTATAGACGTAAGTCTGTAGACTTGGATCCAGCTGTCCTTTACCCTTTATAGCGTTAGTTACACGTCCGTCTGCCCCCGATAAAAAAGAAAAAGTTAATCTGAGATTTAGAACCCTTATAGTTCTAGTTAGTAGGTTTAAGTATTTTAGTTAGGAGAGAATGTTGAATTTCATCAAATGCCAGATCAGACTTTGTAATAAACCACCTGCCTGGATGTTGCTTTTTGTTTTCCCCTCGATTTTTTCCATCAGCGCTGCTCTTTCTTTTCCCTACTGATGTACATACACATGCTCCAGGCTCTCCAGCTTAAAAATAAAGACAACTAGGTTCCTGTGTCCCCAGCCCTTGACAGTCAAGCTTTTGTTTTGTTTTGTTTTGCTTTGTTTTAAAAAAAGAAAAAAAAAAAAAGACAGAGTCTTGCTCTGTCGCCCAGGCTGGAGTGCAGTGGGGTGATCTCAGCTCACTGCAACCTCTGCTTCCCAGGTTCAAGTGATTCTCCTATCTCAGCCTCTTGAGTAGCTGGGACTACAGGCACATGCCACCACATCCATATTTTTGTATTTTTAGTAGAAATGGGGTTTCACCATGTTGGCCAGGCTGGTCTTGAACTCCTGACCTCAAGTGGTCCACCTACCTCAGACTCCCAAAGTGCTGGGATTACAGGCGTGAGACGCTACGCCCAACCAAACAGAATAAAACAGTCAAAAGCTTTTTGAATCTACTTTTAATCGCACTTAATATACAGTTGTCCAAAGAATACTTCTTATGACTTTCTCTCTGGGGCACTGAATCTCTGGGGGATGATCTTAGACAAGTCTCTTAGTGTCTCGTCCCAGAAGAGAGATGGTCACAGTAACCTACCCCATAGGGTCTCCGTGAGGACTAAGTGAGTAAATGTGTGTAATTCCGGTAACAGTGCCTGACACATAGCAAGGGCTCTAGAAGTGGCAGCTATGATGATTATTGTGACTGTTACTGTTGAAATACTGACCTCTTCTGGTTTTCCTAACACCATTATCTCCCAATTTTCTTCTGACTTCTGGGCCCTTTGCAAATTTCCTTGGCGAGCTCCTCATTCTTTATTAGTCCCTTAGATGTTAACACTCCAAGCACTCCACCCTCAGCCCTGTTTCCCTATACACTTCCCCCTGGTTGCCCTCACCCACATCCATGGTTTCAGCTACCACCGCATGTCCACGACTCCCAGCTGCTCCCTCTAATGCAGACCCCCTGCTGAGCTCTGGAGTCTGTGCAAAGTGCACGTAGACATCCAAACGCACAGTGAAAGCTACATAAAGCTGCGCTCACTATCTCTCCAAGCTCAGTTATGCATTCAATAAATACCAGTATTTTCTGAGCACCACTCTGCACCAGGCATGCTCCTGCTACGGAACGAACAGGACCTGCCTCTTTTCCATGCATCCTCACTGTCAGGCCTCCATTGACTCTGGCCTCTTTTCTTTTTAGTTACAGCAAAAAGTATAAATAAGAAAATAAAAAGTATCTGTAATTCTAATTCCAGAGGTCATCTAGAAATGTATTTGTTTTGCTTTGCATATTTTTTACATAATTGAGAACATATTACATATATAATTTTGAAAGCCACTTGCTTATCACAAGCATTACAAATTCCCAGATAATTTTTTTTAAGAAACAGGGTCTGGTTCTATTGCCCAGGTTGGAGTGCAGTGGTGCAATCATAGTTCACTGAAGCCTTGACCTCCTGGGATCAAGCCATCCTTAATGGAGGACTCAGCCTCCTGAGTAACTGGAATTACAGTCACAAGCTACCAGGCCCAGCTAATTTCATTTATTTATTTTTGTAGAGATGGGGTCTTACTATGTTGCCCAGGCTGGCCTCGAACTCCTGGGCTCATGTGATCCTCCTGCCTCAGTCTCCCAAAGATTACAGGCATGAGCCACTGCACCTGGTCAGAACATAATTCTCAGCAGCTAATAATATTCCATTATATGGATGTGCCATAACTTTCTCGTGGGAATGGTTCTCTCTTGCCTTTGAAATATCAAGTCTGTTTTAGTTTTTTACCTGTTGTAAATAATGAGTGTGAAGGACAAATATACCAAAACATTAACTCTCTGGGTGACATTTTCTTCTATTAATTACACCTTTTTTTTTAACTTTCTACTATGAGTCCATATTGCTATAATCAGGGGCTGGGGGAGGGAGGCAAAAAGAGAAGTCCACTATTTAAAACATAATAATATGAAACAAAATAATGTTGCTATATTAACTATGAAAATAATGTTTGTTGATTAAAATATGCTGATTTCCCTAGAATGAATTCCTTTAGAAAATAACCATTGGAGGCTGGGCACGGTGGCTCACACCTGAATCCCACACTTGGGAGGCCAAGGCAGGAGAAATGCTTGAGCTCCATAATTTGAGACCAGCCTGGGCAACATAGCAAGACCCTGTCTCTATTTTTTGTTTTATGTATTACTTTTTGAGATGGAGTCTCACTCTGTCACCTGGTTGGAGTGCAATGGCACAATCTCAGCTCACTGCAACCTCCGCCGCTCAGGTTCAAGTGATTCTCCTGCCTTAGCCTCCCGAGTAGCTGGGATTACAGGCACCCATCACCACGCCCGGCTATTTTCTGTATTTTTAGTAGAGACAGGGTTTCGTCATGTTGGCCAGGCTGGTCTCGAACTCCTGACCTCAGGTGATCTGCTTGCCTTGGCTTCCCAAAGTGCTGGGATTACAGGCGTGAGCCACTGTCCCCAGCCTAGTTTTTAAATACATAAAATTTTATTAAAAAAAAAAACCATTAGATGTTTTTGATACACACTGTCAAAGTTCCAGAAAATGCCTACCAATATACACTTTCTTCAGTGTAAATAAGGTGTCCATTTTCCACCAGCTTAGTTAGATTTGGGTAAGTTGTAAACTCTTTGTTAGTGTGGTAGGCAAAAAATTGTAATCTTGCAGTTACTAAATTTGCATTTTTAAACCACCAACAATTTTTTTTTCATATTTGAATTAGCCATTATACCTAAGAGACTTCGGAGTGGAGTGGCTAACAGTTAAAGTGCTTGGGTTCAATTTGCAGCTGTGCAACTTATTTGTGTAACTGTGCCTCAATTTCAACACCCATAGAATGGGGCTAAAAGCACATATCTCAACTGTTGCCGTGAGGACTGAATGAATCAATCAATAAATGCAGGACTCTTAGGAAAGGGGTTGGCACATGTTACTCACTCAGTAAATGTCAGCAATGTCGTGGCCACCAGTGATTTTCCTTTTCTGTACATTCTGTGTTCCTGTCCTCTGCCTATTTGTTTATGTATTTATTGAGAGACGAGAGAAGGAGGGGAATGGGGGGGTGGGGAGAACAGGGGGAGAGAGAGAGAGAGAAAGAGAGAGAGATGGTCTCCTTGTGTTGCCCAGGCTGGTGTTGAACTCCTGGGCTCAAGTGAGTCTCCTGTCTCGGCCTGCCAGAGTGCTGGGATTACAGGTATGAGCCACCATAGCTGATCCTCTGCCCATTTCTCTATTAGGGTTTTTGTTTTAATGCTACCAAACTTAAAAGTATATATATATTTATTTAAACACTATAGATATTAAACTTTGCCTAGCACATATGTTGTAAACATCAAACATCTTTCTCATTATGTTTGCTTTAAATATTAATACTTTTTACTAGATAGAAGTTCTATATTTTTATATAGTCAAGTCTATCTGCATATTCTTTCATTGCTTTGATGGTTATGATGTCCTTGACCATCCAAAGATCAGATAAATAATTATACATAATCTCTCCTCTAGCTTTTTTTTTTTTTTTTTTTTTGAGACCGAGTCTCGCTCTGTCGCCCAGGCTGGAGTGCAGTGGTGCGATCTCAGCTCACTGCAAGCTCCGCCTCCCAGGTTCAAGTGATTCTCCTGCCTCAGCCTCCCGAGTAGCTGGGACTACAGGTGTGTGCCACCACACCCAGCTAATTTTTGCATTTTTAGTAGAGACGGGGTTTCACCATGTTAGCCAGGATGGTCTCGATCTCCTGACCTCGTGATCTGCCTGCCTCGGCCTCCCACAGTGCTGGGATTACAGGCGTGAGCCACCGCACCCCACCTCTCCTCTAGCTTTTTAAGTGTTTCTGTGTGTCTGTTTTTTGGTAATCAAGTCTTTAATCTACCTGGAGTTTCTGCTGTAGTTACCCAGGTATGTAACATGCTTCCTCACGCAGTCATGCTTGTGAATATGCTGCTCCCCTCTGCCTAGAATGTTTTCATTTCAACTTCTTATGAGCTCTCAAGGCATACTGTCCAAAATACTATGCAACATTTGTTGATTTGTCAGTGAACTTGACAGCCCAGCAAGAGCTATGTCTTCTTCCCTTTTGGTTGCTGATGTTTAGCAGAATGTAGAGTGTGGTATCCCAATCAATAAGGTTAAAGTAAAGAGGTAAAAAATGAAGGACATGACTCTTCGCATCTTCCTTTATCCTCCAGTTTGGCATCAGATAAATGCATATACACAAACACACATGTGAGTGATGGTGCCACCTCCCTCACCACCATCTGGCACTTGGTTCTCTCACCTACTGCTGAATCAGTTGGTGTTCCCTCGGTCTCTCCTGGGTCAGAGCCCAGGAGAACGGGTTTTGTATCCTGCCCATCAGCCAGGGTTCTGGCTCTGCAGGCCCGAGTAAAAGACAATTCATTATCTGCTCACTTATTACCTAGCCAAACAGAGTCCTAACAACTGAAAGGATATCTAATATACAATAACTGCTACCTAAGTATCTATCAGTCAAAATATGCCCAAGATTACTCATGACACTACTTTTTAAACTGCAAAATATTGGAAACAACCTATAAACCCATACATAGGAAAGCAGGTAAGCAAACTGTATACATGCATGCAACGGAGTAGAGTGCAGCTGTCAAAGAAAAGAAATCTCTATGAAGTCATTTCCAGGATATACTGGAAAAATCAAAATGCAAAAGACTACCTATAGTATGCTACATTTTGTGTTAGAAAGGAGGAGAAATTAGAAAAATGCACATCTATCTGCTCATTTGTACACAAAGAAACAGGAAGGATAAACTACAAGCTAATGAGATTGGAGACCTGCAGGAAAGGATGAGGGAATGGGAATGGGTAGAGAGGGCACATTCACTGAGAATACCCTTTAATACAGTTTCCATTTTTAAAATCATGTTAATGTTTTACATTCTAATTTAAAAAGGTAACAAGTATAAAATAAAAAACAAACAGAAACAAATAAGCCTAATTGTATTCCAATGAATACTACAGTAACACTGAAGGGGGAGAAAAACTAACTCTAGTAACATTTAAACACAGTGTTTTGACTAAATACACTTGGGGTAAAGCCAAAAGGAACCATATATAAATATTGACCTCCACTTAAGAGGTTTGTTTTTCACAATGGCATGAGTTAGTAATTCTGAAACTACTTACTGTGTATTCTAGGGTGTAGCACATAAGTATATTGTGGGTAATGGAAGTCAGGGTTCTCACTGTCAGAGAAAGGAATTACATGGGAAGAGGGAAAGACAGAATACAACCGTATGGTGGCGCAGATCTGGAATGGTCTGAACTCATGAAGGGAGTGTGTGTGTACACGCATATGTGTTTATAACACCCATATGTATATGTGCACATACATGGATATAAATATGCATGCTATCCTAGCTCTGTCCTCTGAGAGGGCTAGAAGCAGTGACACCCAAGCAGCAATGGGCACATTTAAGTGATCAGAACTTGGTTTCCTCCATTTTTTTTTTTTTTTTTAACAGATGAAGTCTTGCTTTTTCACCCAGACTGGAGTGCAGTGGTGCAATCTCAGCTCGGTGCAATCTCAGCTCACTGCAACCTCCACCTCCCGGGTTCAAGCAATTCTCTGCCTCAGCCTCCCAAGTAGCTGGGACTACAGGCGCCTGCCACCAAGCCCGGCTCATTTTTGTGTTTTTTTTTTGTAGAGACAGGGTTTCACCGTGTTGGCCAGGCTGGTCTTGAACTCCTGGCCTCAAGAGATCCGCCTGTCTCGGCCTCCCAAAGTGCTGGGATTACAGGCATGAGCCACCTCACCCAGCCCAGATCCTGGTTCCTAACTACTGTTCTCCACCATAAGGAACCAAGGCTTGGGAGAAATGGATGATTCCAGGGCTGGCTTAAGAAAAGGATAAGCTAAACCTGGAACATCATGCTGTGGCAGAAAGGAAGGAAGAATCCACAGGATGGAAGCATGTGGAAAAGGCACAAGAACCCACTTGAAACATTTGCTGATAAATAAATCTGGGACAATTTGATGTTTGGGGAACATCAAAATCAATCATGGTAATGACAGGTTATAACCTATAGAATAAAATTAAAACCCACAATTATACAAAAAAATTAAATAAATGGGGAAGAAGAAATAATTCTTCCTTCTAGAATGCCAATTAGTAAGTTGTAGAAAGAATGGAATTAGAAAATTACCATTTGGTAATTATCATAGTAATAATTATTTTAGATAAGAGCCATAAGTGAATGGTAAAACTAGGAGGTGAAAATTGGATGAGAATTGATATTTATATAATCCCAAAGTATCTTCTCACCAGATGCTTACTGATTACAAAGCGAAAAATGGTAATTTCACAGTGAAGAAGCCTGGCAGTTACCACCTTAACCCAGTGATGAGACAAATGTATTATCATATGATCCTGATGAAATGCACTGGGAAGGACATACGGTCACTTCTATGGTATTCCTGCCAAAAAATGTACAGCCTAAATCTAATCATGAGGAAACATCAGATAAGCCCAAATTGAGGCACACCATACAAAATAAATGGCCTGTATGCTTAAAAAATATCAAAATCATGGAAAACACGAAGCAAAGCAAAACAAAACAAAAAAGCAGGTACTATTCCAGATTAAAGGAGGCCCCAGGGACATAATTACATACTCCATGTGATCCTGGAGTAGGAGATTTTTCTTTTCCTCCAGAAAGAACATCAGTATAATCTCGCAAAATTTAAAATTTGAACAAATGTGCATAAATTACTTTAATATCTTGATTTTAATAATTTGTATTGTGGCTATATATGAGAGCATCTTTGTAGAAAAACTGCAATATTTAGGGGTAAAGGTGCAACACATCTTCAACTTACTCTCAAATGATTCTGAAAAGAAAATATGAGAGAGAAGAGAAACAAAGGGAGAGATTGAGAATAATAGAGCAGAAAACAGATGTGATAAAATGTGAACATGTGCAACAATGTACGGGAAATTTTGGTATTATTCTTAGAGCTTTTCTCTAAGTCTGAAATTATTTCAAAATTAAAGAAAAAAATAGTGAGATGGATAAGGCATTGCTGGGCAGCCCCAGCAGCAGAAGCAGTCCAGGGCTTGGGAGGGAGCACTCTGGGCCCCCAGTGCTCAGCAGTGGCTGGGAGAAGAAGAGCTCCTTGCCTTGACGGTGTGAGGCTCTGAAGTAGGAACTGCAAATGTTTTGTGGGCAAGGGAGTTCTCTGAAGTTCTGAGATGTCTGGTGGGGACGGAGGGAGAGAGAGATAGAAAGACTTTACAGACAGAGATGGGGAAGACTTTCAAATTTTCTGACTGAGAAAGGGAATCCTAGAATCCAAGAGGAAGGAATGCGTTCTCAACCAATCCACGATAGTCACTCTCTCCTCCACCCATTCCAATTGTGGGCAAAGAGTCATAAAACCCACTAGGGAGTTTATAACCAGATTGGGAGTTGGTGCCCTTTACTCACTCTGGCCAAACTCTGCAAATGGCCTCCTGGGGAGCCTTGCTCTGACAAATCCCAGAGAAGCTGGTCTAGGAAGTGATATACAAATGACTTACTCTGCAAGCAGCACATGGTCCCATGGATGACCATTCCACCTCACTCTGCTGCCCTGAAGAACAGTGTTCAAAGCCCTGCATTTGCAGTTCTTTATACAGACAGTCCTTGGCTTACAACTGGTTCAACTTACAACTTACAACTTGGTTCAACTTTACTATGGTATGATCAGTAAAAACCATACTTGATCGTTTCCTGGGCTAGCGATATGTGGTACAACACTCTTACATGAGATATTCAACACTTTATTATAGAATTGGCTTTGTGTTGGATGATTCTGCCCAACTGTAGGGTAATGTAAGTGTTCTGAGCACATTTAAAGTCCAGGCTAAGCTATGATGGTTGGTAGATTAGGTGTATTAAATGTATTTTTAATTTATGATATTTTCACTTTATGATGGGTTTATCAGCCCACAGCCCCACTGTAAGTCTAGGAGCATGTATATACACACAGTGCATCACATTCCACCCATGTCTGTGATCAAGTGTGCAAGTGGGCGGCTATATCTTTCTCCCTGCTCGTATCGTGTTTCAGCTTACTAAACTGGCAATTATAAAGATCTACCTGATTTACAACCTCATTTGACTTACTGAAAATACATCCCTGACCAAAAGGCCCCAGGCTCATTTACCAAATAGAAATAAAATAAATTTAACCATTAAAAAGTCCTTTAAAAAACCAGAGCAGATTTTAGAAAACCTGTAACCCTAGTTAGCTTTCTATCCTGGGCTCCAAATTATGAGATCAAAAATGATCATGAGAGGTCATGTGACTCATCCCTACCTTCAAAGGCTGGATTTCAATCATTTTGGAAAGATATTTATCTACTATTACTTTAAGTAACTTCCAAGAGAAGGTGCTATTAATTTCTTCAGCAGCCTACTCTATCTTCCTTAAAACTTTTATAGCCAAGAAATTCTTTTGGTTTTAAACTGAATTTCTATTGGGTTTACACCAGTTCCCATTTTCTTTGAGTGCTATAAAATTCTTCCCCTAGTTTCCCCTTCTCTGAGGGAATAACACCAGTCTCTTCAACTTTATTCAAATCTTTCACTGCACTTCTTAACTCACTCCAGTAGGGGCAATGCTAGGTGTACAGGAAAGAGAAAAGAAAAAAACCACACCCTCAGCACTACTTTGCCTGCTCACATCCTGGTGGACAGCATTCATCATGGTGGCCTGGAGCCACTGAGAAAAGGTTTCAATGTGTTCTGTAGTTTAATAATACAAGGTAGTTTCTAGTAACAGTTTTCACTAAAATGGTTAAAAAAAAGACATAGCATTTGAAGATAATGTATTTGTTACCCAGATTGTTCTCTTATGTAGAAGGCCTTAGTGCCAGATCATGCTGTACAAATAAGATACTACTGAATTTAGAGCTTGAACTTTTACCTAGTAAGTACCAGTTCCTTTTTAATTTTAGGTAGACAATGATTGTGGACAGCAACCATATATCAATTTGGAAATTTAGTTTATATCAATAAAATTTAATTTATATCATCTAATACATATTATTATAAAGGAAACTGTCCTAGTGGATACAGAGAAGTTGGAAGTATGAAACCTCCATCAATAATTATCATAAAAGGGTGAACAGAGTGTAAGTGTGATACCATATAGAATATGGTATAAGATAAAATAAAGGTATGAGATAAAATTCCAGGAGGTGGGATCAAAAAGCAGAGATTCTTGAGCTGGCTCTTAACAATGGGCAGGATTTTGAACAGACGGAGTCTAGGAAAGGACGAGGTGATCATTTCAAGGAAGGGACTGAATAGACAAAAAAATAGAGGTATAGGACCATGCTCAGACTATTTGAGAAAAAGGAGATTAGTAGATGAAAAAGCCTAAAGGACAGGCTGGAACTAGATGTTGGAAGACGTTAAATATTGAGCTAAGGAGTTTGCCTTATTCTGTAGGCATATAGATATGACCAAACATTTAAGGCTTGAATGGCTGCTATGCATACCAGAAACTATATTTATGAACTACTTATGAATGGTAGCCACACAAAACTAGAGAACAAGATAAATGGTTTTGCCCTCAGAAATGATTACAGCTAGGACTCTATAAAAATAAAAATGGTACACTGCATTTGGTAAGGTGGCCCTCCTTGGGATTACTGGTTTCATGGATAATTAGGTCAGGAAAGTATAGATAAGACTAGGGTAATTAATAAATAACTAAAAATATTATCTAAAAAGAGAAAAATAATCAAAATTCTTCTTTTAAAAGAATCATATTCTTCAATGTCAATAAATCATATAAATCAGTCCAAAACTGCTATTCAGTTATTTTACACTTTAATCAGACCTTAATCTTTTAATACCTAACAATATAGATTTAGATTCACTATATTTCTTCATGGTTTTCTGTAAGCGCATTTACATTGTGGTTTTTGCATCTGATGTAGCTGATGAAGATTGTGCAAAGTCCTAAATTTTCCTCCTTTCAGTTAATAATCAGATAAACTGCAATCTGGTAATCAAGAAGCACCTGGTTCCTAGCGACAGACTTTTTTTTTTTTTTTTTTTTTTTTTTTTTTTTTGAGACAGAGTCTCTCACTCTGTCACCCAGG
The DNA here is from genome assembly GCF_000001405.40 of Homo sapiens. Taxonomy (NCBI): domain Eukaryota; kingdom Metazoa; phylum Chordata; class Mammalia; order Primates; family Hominidae; genus Homo; species Homo sapiens. The sequence goes on along the minus strand of NC_000010.11, from coordinate 74,990,166 downwards.
CTGGAGTGCAGTGGCACCATCTCGGCTCACTGCAACCTCCACCTCCCGGGTTCAAGTGATTCTCCTGCCTCAGCCTCCCTAGTAGCTGGGAGTACAGGTGTGTGCCACCACATCCAGCTAATTTTTGTATTTTTTAGTAGAGATGGGGTTCACCATGTTGGCCAGGATGGTCTCGATCTCTTGATCTTGTGACCCACCTGCCTTGGCCTCCCAAAGTGCTGGGATTACAGGCATAAGCCACCACGCCCGGCCAGTGACAGATTTTTACATGACGAGAAATGACTATTATCATGGGTTATCTGGTCATCATGTTATCTAGATATTTTGAATTGATTCTCCAAATGTACCCCTAACACAACATTTACACATCCAGTATAATATAAACAAGGAGGAAAAAAAAAACTACCATTTTTAAAAACATTATCCATGTGCATACTTTTATATATTATGCCGGTTTTAACTGAGAAGGTTCAGAAGATATGAGTGCATATAAGATAAATATTTCTTGGGAAACCTCTAGATACAAACACTGTATTAATTTCCATAATAGAAAAGGGAAATTAACAAAATAAGGTAAGAGTTATTTCTACTAGCAAGGCCCAGGATAAGCTGCCTAGAAAATTATTTTTCTAAATGGAAATATACCTTTTCTGCTTTGTACTGTACAAGATTATAGGCAAAATTTCAGAGAGCTGAAAATCCTTTCAAATAATACTTCCTTTAGCTTTAATCACAAATAATTGCCTCTTTTGGTGCTAATGAGCATGAGCACCACAAAATGGAATGTAATTCTGTCGGTTCATTCAGGGTAATGGCTTTGTGCATGAGGCCTGCTGCCGAGAGATCTAGTCTCAATTTCCTAGAGTACAATCACTGAGCAGCAGTACATTTTTCACTTGAGGAAGATGTTCTAACCTATGTAAATATAAATAGAAAGCCCATTATCTATTGATAAAAACAACAATGCAGGTTAAATAAAGTTTTATATTTTACTGTTTCCTGTAACGGCCATCAGCTTCCTGGATCATGAAAGTAAATAAAGTACTTCACTTACTGAAATCAATGAGAAACCGTCCAAATCCTTGCCTTTGGTGCTGGGGCATGATCATTATGCAGGAGACATTATACTTCTGCTGGCAAAGCTTTTCCTGAGGGAAGGAGAAACAGATCAAGTATGTCAGAGCCCTGCTGAAGTGGGCAATTCCCTGCACCTGCCACTGTCCTTGTAAAACTGTCCACTAAAGAAAGCCAATGGGTTAGGTCAGGATCAAGCAGAAAAATCCTACTATATTAATCAATCAAACTATCAATTAACAACAAACCATCGACTCTGACATGCCTCTCAACTACATCTTTATTCTTGAAAGTCAGTGCCATAAAATATGCATAAAGAATCCAAGGAAATATATGAACCAAATAAAACAGAATATAGACAGCATAAAAGAAATGCTTTCCTTGCTCAAATAACTTCAGAGATAGAGAAAATAACATCCCAGGGAGTCACCCAGTGGAGTAAGTTAGGATTTAGCTGGCTATCTTGCTAAATATAATAATAATCTACAACTCTGCAACAGCAATCTGTCTTCTGCCTTTGGGCAAATGTCCCAGTGAAACTAAAACAGTATCTGTGTGGGTAGATGTGCACACATATATTTCTCCTATGAATAAAAAGTCAATGTAAAAAGCTAGAGAAATAATCTGCATTTCAAACCAGGAAAACAAAATAAAATGAAACAAAAAGACAACAACAAGAAACCCTAAAGCCTCCAAACAAAGGTTAGACCAAAATATTACGAACAGTTTGAAACCAGGAGGAAGACTGGGTAGAACATGGTAAGAAACAGCTCTTACAGTTAAAGAAGAATTTGCAACTTTCATGGGATGTGGCATCAGGGCAGTATTTTTTTATTCAGAGTACAAAGAAGTTGCCAAAACCTACACAGAGATCTGGAAAAGGCTTTTGAGGTCGTGGATGCTCTGGCCAAATATAAACCACAAATAAGACTGACCACAAATGGTACAGACCACACCAAAGAATTACTTCAGAACACCCAGATCTTTAATGAACCAATTTGAAAGATCACAGGAGATGGTTGTGGAAAAAACCCTACAGGGCAGAATTGAAGATTTCTTTGTGAAAAAGATGTACTCCCAACTTTTGCACATTTGTAGTTGTCTATGGAGCCTCTAAAAAATGAGGATGAAGCAATGTGTGTCAGTTTTTCTAAGAAGATGAATTGTCCCTCACTGGATGTGCACATCAATGGCAAAGGTTCAAGTAATTCGTCTGTTTTGCAAAGTTAGACAAATGGGTCACTCTCTCTAAAAAGAAATGTACTCTGGGTTAAGAGAATTCATCCTTGATACCATTCCTTGCTTTGTCCAGAACCATTTCCACCTTTCGGAGTTTTTTGAGATCCAACATAGTAGTGATCCTTCTTCCCCTCCGTGCAGCTTAACATGTTACTACAGCTAAATTCTAAGCTATGAATAAAATAACTAATCCTTCTTTCCTTTCTGTTTACAGCCATCTATTATGTGCTTGGAAAGTCATATGCATGTAACAATTTGCACTGAACCTTTCCAGGTCATTCCAGCCCTTCTCTGGCTATCCTTGAACTGTAGTTCTAATAACCTCTAGAATGTGGTTCAAGAATAGCCCCAAAGGGCCAGAGTCCTCTAGATTCCAGCTGACACATGAGAATATGGTTTAGTTTCATCTAGTCTTTTTTTTTTTGAGATGGAGTCTTGCTGTTGCCAGGCTGGAGTGCAGTGGTGCAATCTCAGCTCACTGCAACCTCCGCCTCCTGGGTTCAAGGGATTCTCCTGTCTCGGCCTCCAGAGTAGCTGGGATTACAGGGTGCCACAATGCCCAGCTAATTTTTGTATTCTTAGTACAGACGGGGTTTCACCATGTTGGCCAGGATGGTCTCTCGATCTCTTGACCTCATGATCTGCCCACCTCGGCCTCCCAAAGTGCTGGGATTACAGGCGTGAGCCACCGCACCCGGCCTCATCTAGTCTTTTAACATGCTTATTTTTTAGATTAATTTTTGTTTCACTATACTGCCAAGGCATATTAGTATTCCAGAATAGTAGGAAATAACAGCAGCTGCTGCCATGCTATAGAAGAAACTATGAGAAAAGTTGAGCTAGTTCTGAGTAAAATTTTGGGTACCCTGGCAGGAAGAGAGGCAGAAATTCAAACTTCAAGAATCACCACCAACTCTACACATGGCTGCTACTCAGCAGCCAACACAAGACCCAGGAGTGGGATGGTCAGTGCAGCACGAGGAAGGTGGGCACCGTTAAGCCTATGTTTAAATCCACAGACAATGAAAGAAACACCATTTTCTAACAGCAAGGACGCAACCACTATTCTTTTTAAGTTTCTGGAGAAGAATGATCTTGACAAACCTACATAAAAGGTAAGGTGTTTTATTTATTAATCATATAGATTTCCTATTTATTGTTTTATTCAGTGTTAATTCTCTATCATCTTTTGAATTTGTAATGTGCAAATTAACTTTCTTCTTTTTCATTTTAAAGCTTTACCAAATATGTGGATTAAAACACTGAGACAGTTTTCCATGAATGCTGTTACTTATTTTTGTTTATGATCTTTGGGTTGATTCTTAAATTTAGGATAGCTATAGTTTGCAAGTACCTTCACATATATTCTATCTTTTGAAACTTCATTAAAATGGCACTTCTATAAAGCATCCCATTTACATTGTGCAAGAGCAGATTCATTAAAATTCATGTATCACCTAATATAAAAAAATATCATAAATAAGAGAGTTTGGACCTTCTATCTAAAAGTCTCATAATTATTGTCTCTATTTATGTACCATCCTGGTACATTTAACTATTTCCTAGGTACCTCAGAAAAGTTAAGGTCATTACCTGGTAAACATCTCCAAACTCAGTTTTCCTTTATTGCAAAGGAGTTATTGTTTCTTAGAAGCCTTTGAGCAGAAGAATGTGAGTGAACTGCTCTGAACCAGTAAAAAGGACAAGCTATATCCGTCCCCTCAATATGTCGATTGTTTTCCCCACTCTAACAGCCAGAGATACTTAGGCTTTCTTTGTTCTTGTTTTGTTTTGTTTTGTTTTGTTTTTGAGATGGAGTCTCCCTCTGTTGCCAGGCTGGAGTGCAGTGGCGCGATCTCGGCTCACTGCAACCTCCACCTCCCAGGTTCAAGCAATTCTCCTGCCTCAGCCTCCCAAGTAGCTGGGACTACAGGCGTGCACCACCAGGCCCAGCTAATTTCTTGCATTTTTAGTAGAGATGGGGTTTCACCATGTTGGCCAGGATGGTCTCTATCTCTCGACCTCATGATCCGCCCACCCCGGCCTCCCAAAGTCCTGGGATTACACGCGTAAGCCACTGAGCCCGGCTGATACTTAGGCTTTCTAAAGGTGAGATTGCTTTAGAACTTAAAACCATAGCACAGAGAATAAGAGACAAAAGTGTAAAACCAGTCATTTTATCAGCTTGACTGTCCAAATGCCAGCGTCCTAACTCACTGAGATACTGTTGACCACAGAGGGAAGGCAACAAGGAGAAAGGAGAATTCTCTCTTAAATGCTACACTAAACTGAAACCTTCATGTTGACACCACTTAAAGGGAAAACGGAAATAAGCTAAACACTGAGAAAATCAAAGACGCTAAGTGGTCCACAAGGCAGCAATTAGAGTGTCATCAAGGCGGCACACAGTGCTGAGGTCCTTTACACACTTACTAGGCACCATGTTTTTTGTTTTCATCTTTTAAAATGAGCTCTGAACAAGAACCTGAGCTTTTCAAAAACACATGTCACTTATTCAAATTATAGTAATGAAAAAGCCCTGTTCAAAGAATTGGGCTCTACCAAAAACATTTTGAAAAAGAAAATGAAGGTCATGCTGGCTCTTGTTTTACCTTAGAGAAGTATCCAACCAGATGACAGCCCTTTTCATCATTTTTTGTAAGGACATAAAAAAGGAATGGCTCGACATCATAATACAACGTTTTGTGGTCCAGGAAGAGCTTGGCTAACAAGCAAAGGTTTTGGCAATAAATTTTGCTCATATTCCCATCAACCTAGCAAAAAGAAACAGACAACATTATTTAACATAAAAATACTGCACCATATAAAATTGTTTCTTCTATATGGTATTTCAGAAAGTACATCATTTTATTTCCAAATCCTAAACTGAGAGATTAAAACACTCTATTAAGCAAGTACAGCTTTAACCAGAAAACAGCTGTCACTGGCAAATCAGAATTCCACATTTTCTCTTAAATTAGGGTACATTTAAGGTAGTTAAAATTTCTCTTTAAGCTACCAAAGAAGGGCCAAACCACTAGTAAAGGAGTAATTTTTACTTGTAATTTATTCTGAGCTAAAAATGATCAGGCATGTCCTCTCTATCTGAACCGAATAAATCTGTATTAAGGAAATATAAACAGATCAAAATACTTCTCAAGTAAGTTAAACTTTATGTTGTTTCAAAAGGGTTTCACATAAAACTAAAATAAATGAACTGTATTATTCTGATTCCTCAGAAGTGTGGATTAGCAAAGAGGTTTCCATTTTGGTTTTATCCCAAGCATCATCTTAAATATAATTGGAAAAGATAAAATATCTATGTTGGGAATACTTACAGAGAAAGTGATATGAATTTCAACCTACAATAAGCACTATGATTACAGTCTACTTCTCTTCAAAATAAAAGAATCAAGCTGTGATACTGATGGCTATAGACAGGAGGCTAGGCACAGATGCCAATTTCTTTGATCAAATGTAGTTACTCTTTGAAAATAGAAAACACAGCAGATTCAAGAAGAATTTCCCTAGCACTTTTCTTAAGGGAAATGGATATTTGCTAACCAGAGCTCTGAAACAATGAACTTGACCATTCTCAGGTCTCCTGTGGACCATACGGGTTCTCATCTTGCACAAATTATTTTTAGATTTCATATAACTATTTCCCTCGGATGGAACCTAGGTCCCATACATAGCAACACAATCAAATATGGGCAATGGGCACAGAGGATACAATTCTCCCTTTAATTAAAGGAAGTTTACATGTATTTGAGAGTATGGCCCTTTTGGAAATGGTAGTATATTACAAAAAGGAAAGATGGAGATATACATAACTGTGAACCAGAAAAATACAGAGATGACAGTGCTGAAGAAAATTCTGATTGGTTGTGAAAAGTGTAAGAGGAATAAAGAAAGGGAAGGCCAGAAAATCGTAATGTGTGATTATTCCTCCTTTATTTTATAAGTTTTGTAAGAAACTGCTAGGAGAAAAGTTGCCCAAATGTTATACTCTATTAACTCAGATTCTAGAATAGGGACCTCGGTACTTATCAAATCCAACTCCTTATTCGTATAAGTGAATTTTACATACATGCTTCTGATGTCTCCCCTCTCATCTCTGGATGGTCCAAAAGCACCTGCCCTGAAAGAACAGCCCATTCTTACCATCCTAACAAGACTGATTCCCTTGCCCATGAGAAGACGTTCCATGGATTTATGAGAGCTTCAATCCCAGTGCTGACTCATGCTGATTTATGAAATAATTACTTAAGGCCAACAATGTGTTTTGAGCTTTGAGAAACAATGTTTTGGTTGGAAGAAAAGATCTAAGGCATCAAGGAAGGAGCCAATAGGAAAGCTGAACTTGTGACATTAGCTAAGCTTCAACTGTGAGCAGCTCTGTCACCTCAGCTGGCTGGGGCTGGCAGGATAGCATACCAACAGGAAGGTCAGGCAACGTGCATTCAGCCTTCCTTCTAGCCCACTGGTTCTTACTGGGGGTGATTCTGCGCCCCCAGGGGATGTTTGGCTACGTCTGGAGACATTTTTGGTTGGCACAACTGGAAGGGGTGGTGGTGCTACTGGCATCCAATTAGCAGAGGCCAGAGATGCTGCTAAACATCCTACGCTGTATAGCATAGCCCCTACAACAAAGAACTAACCAGCTTGAAATGTCAAAAGTGCCTAGCTTTTAGTAAGAACTAATATATCACCTAATCTTCCCAGCAACAATACCCTTCTTCCTCCAAGCTTACCGAAAGAGCTGATAGAAAAAGAGAAAGCTTTAAAAAAATCATAAGACACAACTGGAGTTTCCCATGTTCTCTGATCAGTCTTGGGGAAAAACTAGTGGGCCCAGACCTGTCTGAGAAGGAGCCTGGTCCATGTGAGAAACCTACAACCTTCCCTTTATTTAATAGGATGGCAAGACACTGCAGGCCAGAAATAAAGAGAACTGTAAGGCAGAATAATAAGTTTCAGCCTGAACAATTCAGAAAAAGAAAATCCAGAAGTGAAACTATATTCCAGAGAAAGAGGACATCACGTTTGCTGTACAAGGTAGGCTTGTTTCAAGCACCTAGGAATGAGCACCAATGCACACCACAATGGGTCACAGAGGAGAAAATGCAGCAGACAACAGAAGTGTGCAAGTGGAGGGAAGAGCATAAAGGAGAAACGTGAAAAGCCCTGCAGACAGACAGTAACCTGTGAGAAAGGCATGGTCTCCTCAAGGTGAAACTGACTCAGCTTAACGGAATCCCTGAAACTGACAACAGATACATAATTAAACAATGCAACTATATAGAGGCAAAGGCCTGCTACGAAATCAATTCTGGAAATACAAAATGTCTTCAAGAAACCCACAATGACAGACATATGGCCACAAGGGGTTCCTGTGAACAGCAGAGTTCTTCAGGGGTGGCCATCTACCCAGATGGGAGGGAGTCCCAACATCTGCTAGGGTCTCACCAAAAGGATTATCCACACTGCCAAGAAGTGGATGGAAACACAGGTGGTTGTGTATTGAGGAGATATGTACAGCTGCTCAATTCCCTGGAAGAGTGAGCACCTGCCAGACATTGGCTGGAGCTGCTGAACAAAGCTCATTTCTCCTGCCAAAGAAAGTAGAATTTACAAAGAGCTGAGGAGATCATAAATTCATGGTGAATATATCTAGTGTAGACAGGGATTTTGGGGAAGACAAAAATGTTAATGTGATGAAGTAGGGATTCTTCATCAGTCTAAATGGTTGCTTAATATGGTTAGATAAACATTCCAAAACATGGAGATGTTTTAAAGGGCAGTCTGAATTTCAGTGCCAAAATTAAGTATACTTTGTACCTTCTAAACACAAATCAGCACATAGTCAACAATTAGGAGTACTAGATTTCAAAAAGCTGAATTTTTTTATTTACACGCGCTTACCTCAAATACTGAAAGGTCTTTCCTTCGGTAAATTTCATTTGCTGGAGGATGAAACCATCCACACTTCTTGGAGTGTCTTAGCAAAATATTTTTACTTTTCATATATTTAAGACAGAATTCACACAGGTAAAGCTTTGGTAATCTGTTAAAGTTTAAAAATCATAGAATCTATCAGATAGATTATACTGTTGGGGGGAAGATTAAATATTGTTCAATTTTCTCTACATCATAAAAAGGCTGTATAATAACATTGGAGGCTGGGTGCAGTGGCTCACACCTGTAATTCCAGCACTTTGGGAGGCTAAGGCAGGCAGATCACCTGAGATCAGGAGTTTGAGACCAGCCTGGCCAACATGGTGAAACCTCATCACTACTAAAAATGCAAAAATTAGCTGGGCGTGGTGGCACATGCCTGTGGTCCCAGCTATTTGGGAGGCTGAGGCAGGAAGATCGCTTAAGCCCATGAGGCGGAGGTTGCAGTGAATCGAGATTGCACCACTGCGCTCCAGCCTGGGCAACAGAGTGAGACACCGTCAAAAAAATAAAGAAAGAAAGGAAAGAAAGGAAAGAAAGGAAAGAAAGGAAGAAAGGAAGGAAGGAAGGAAGGAAGGAAGGAAGGAAGAAAGAAAGAAAGAAAGCCAGCCAATAGTAAAGACAGAATGTAAAAACAACCATACATTATTTTTTAATATAATCCATAATATGTGCTCCCTTTACTTTGTGAACAAATAATTTGTTTCCTTAAAAATATCCTATATAAAGAAAGCTTTACAGATGTGGAACCACCACCCTAAAAAATCAACTTAATAAGGATATCATCCTGTCAAGGGACCAAGCATATTTTTCAAAATTCACATTTACTATCTTATTTCCAATTATATATGGTTAGTGGTATAGATATAATATCTTACTCAGAAGTGAATTTATTATTTTAAACAATCTGCATACATATGAGGCTGAAAAGTCCTCAAACTTAGTTGTTACCATTTCCACCTCTGGAAGAGGTAACTTTAAAGTTATTATCAGAGATTTATATATGGTCTAAATGCAGTAAATAGCACGGCTGAAAATCAAAAGACCTAATTTGTTTTCTACCAATTCCACTGTTACTTTGAGTAAAAGACAAACACCTCTCTTCCCTGCTGACTTTTTCTCCACCTTAAAAATCAGAACATTTTTTATTTCCATATCTTAATGAACATGGCTGGTATTTATAAGAAAATGTTTAGAAGCACTTGCAAGGTCTTTGGAGTATAAGAATGGGGAAAAAGGTTTTCAAGAGAGAGGCAGACACAGGTGAGACTACTTTCAAATCTTGCACTTATGTACAAATTTTATTCAAATCTTTCAGAGCACATGGCTTATCATTACCTATGCAAATTAAAGCTCATAGTCTTTTAAAATTGTTCAAGAACACACAACCAAATGGTATAAGGAAGGAGAAACCAAAATTCTTGACTCTTATTTTGTCACTTAACTTTTAGAAAACACTTAGCATTTTCTCCAGTTACGTGATTGGCCAGACACTCACATGCTAACGAAAAAAAATAAGATCTATTCTATAAGAAAATCAAGTTTATAAATACTGAAAACTTTGCAGACTAAAAAATTTTTGAAGATACTAGTAAAGTGTACCCTGACATACTTTATGGAAGACATCTATTCTCAATGTACCCATTTTGGGATATATTCGTTCACAGGCTAATCTTGAGTTCAAGACAAACAAAAACTTGGATACCATTATTTTCTCCTTTTTATTTTTTATTTTTTGAGATGGGATCTTGGTCTGTCACCTGAGCTGGAGTGCAGTAGTGCAATCTCGGCTTACTGCAACCTCCACCTCCTGGGTTCCAGTGATTCTCCTGCCTCAGCCTCCCGAGTAGCTGGGATTACAGGCATGTCCTATCACGTCTGGCTAATTTTTGTATTTTTAGTAGAGATGGGGTTTTGCCATGTTGGCCAGGCTGGTCTTGCACACCTAACCTCAGGTGATCCACCCACCTTGGCCTCCCAAAGTGATGGGATTACAGGAGTGAGTCACCGGGCCTGGCCTTCTCTTCAAAGTCACAAATGTTCTAAAGTAAAAATTTGGGGAAGGGTCTCTTAAGACTACCCATTCCCACTTACTTTCTCCCATTTTTCCTTCTTTTGCTAAATTTCTATTAAAAACTTGAAAATAAAATGCCAGAAATCAGAGATAAAAGTAACAGGCCTAATTAAAAAATATAAAAGACAACTGGAGAAGAAAGTCTACCCAATAATTCACCATGGCAAATTTCTTTTTTTTTTTTTAATTTGGTTTCATACAAAACCAACATTTCCCCAATTAACCAAGGAAAGAAAGCACAATCTAGAAGCTAAATGGCAAAATTTATAATGCCCATGTAACTAAGGAGCATAAGGAATTTACCGAGAACAAGGAATACCATAAAAAGGTGCTGGCAAAAGCAATAGTTTGGGAAGCACTTGGCATTGACTACCAAAATTTATTTCCTAAAATCATCCCTAATTCCTGCTTTAGAATCAAGAATTTTCCTTTCTCACATATGTGACATTCAAGTTATACACCTGCCAGACTTATTCCATTACCTTGCATATTCCTGTGGGTAAGGCGAGGAGTACCAGGTTTGGATTTCATATTTACCAAATTCAATCACAGAAGGGTACCGGCCACAGTCTTCCACCCCACTCTCACACTCTATTTTCTGTCAAATAGAAAGAAAAGGAAAATAATAATATATATACTTCACTTACATTTTGGTTCTTTCACCAGTGACTATCAAAACTTATCAAGATCAGAACACTAATCTTAATTGTGAATTTGCATGGCCTTAAAACACTATAGACCCTTATGAAATAGGTTGGTGCAAAAGTAATTACTGTTTTTATAATTTTTTCAATGGCAAAAACCACAATTACTTTTGCACCAACCTAACATTACCTTTGTGTAAGATTCACAGCAAACGAATACCCTAAGAAACAATATAGCAAAGGAAATAAGTATGGTATAAATACATACAAATGTCGATAGAACTGGATTTAACAATCTGTTGTAACAGATTAGAAATTAGGTGATTATAAATGATGTGGCTATTACACAGGCTTATTTATTACAGAAGCTTACAGTTTCCTATTCCTCCACGAAGTAGTATTTATCACAACTGTAATTAAATAATCAATTGTGAAATCTGCAGCTTAGCATTTGTCTCCTCTTATTTCCCTTATTTCCATGTAGTAAGCCACACGAGGTTAAGAACTCTGCCTGCCAGATTCACTGTGGTATCCCTGGTGTCTGGTACAGTGCCTGACACAGAACAAGAATATTTCTTGAATAAAAAAAGCCAGTTTTACCATGTTGGAATGAAAAAACTTTAGAATTAGCAGTATCTTTCAGATAATGGCCTACTGTTCATGTTTACATATGAATGTCAGAAGTAGGCCAAAAAAAGATAATATTTAAGGACTTCGAATCTTTTTTTAAAAGAGGTGGCATCCTGCTGTGTTGTCCAGGCTGGAGTAAAGTGGCCATTCAAGGGCACAATCCCACTACTGATCAACGTAGGAGTTTTGACCTGCTCCATTTCCAACCTGGGCTGGTTCAAGGACTTCCAACCTTAATAACTGGGGGAAATCTGACATTTATCTTAGCCAAAGGAAAGCTGATACAAGGCATCCTGATAGATCGGGGCAGAATGAGGGTTGGAAATACCCAATAGCTCTGAAGGTAGAAACTGTCAGGAGTATTTAGCCCAACTGGCTGCTACTAAAAATAAAGCGTTAAGAGCCTACAGAAAACCCCTTCCCCACAAAACAGGAAGTGGGGTTGGGTAGGGAGTCTACCTGACCACACTGGTCATAGAAACCGAATGTAGTCACTGACACAACAAATTCACAATTCATATTAGATTCGTCTTTGAGAAGTCTGACAGCCTCACCTGTCAATATCTGGGTGGTAATAACTTAAGCAGAATTAAAGTGGAATCACTTAAAGAAATTACTGGACAATAAAAATAAAACTGACTACAACTGATTGTGAAACAAAATATTGTTTTCATCAATGCAGAAGAGCTAAAAATATGAGACATTTTTCATATGGCTGGCCATCTGTGTTGGAAGAAACATCGGTGAATTTAACAGTGATGTTCTTCTTTTTGTTAATGATTTTAAATTGTTATTTTCTAAATTTAGGCAAAACTCATCAGAAATCTATTCCTTCACACCTAGAAATGTTTTCCAAAATCTGCCTCAACTAATGCTACTCTGTTTTATTTTGTGAGACCAGCTGAGTCCATACCTACTTTTAAGAGTGGCGACAATTCTACTAAGTCATTGCTTTTGAATGTACAGTCAGTAGAAATGGGCATGATAACGGCTAAAGAATCACAAAGGATGTTGAAAGGGATTCTCTATAAAATCAACACAGTAATTCCATATTAATAGTTAGAAGCCACATCTTATACTTGCTACTACAATGTGGGATCCTCGCCTTACCTCCCAAGAAAGTTCCTGGGCCTGCTTAAAAACATCCAAATCCTCTTCAGTAACGACATCCTTGTTTCCAATCACATTTACATCTGCACTTTCTTGTTTGATGTTTATTTTTATTTCAGTATCTGTCATTTAAAACCAGCAGAAAGTGTATTCACTGACTTGAATCATGAGTAACCACCATATATTACCAAAATGGCACCAAATTAGCATACTGGGCAAATAGGGATTTTTTTTAAAGCTTTATAAATAAGCTTTTACATCTAAGCACTGCTCATAGATCCAGCAGTATCCTTTCCCTGCTATACTCAAATTTTTATTTGAATTTATCACTGTCATCTTTTTACAGCTTTAATAAATATATGAGGGAAAGTAAGAGCAATACAAAGTGAAATCATATTTTTCAACCAAGATTAGAAGTTTTATCGATGTCTAGTTATAGCATTCCCATTATCACTTTTGAGATAATAAATTCTACCACTTTGTCCAAATGACACAGTTTCGGTTTTTGTTTGATAAAGGGTAGCAAATGTAATGGGCCAATTTGTTCAATGAAATTATGAAATCCGTTTTCTCCCTAAGGTGGATACACACACAGACACACTCACATCCAAAAGCACACATCACAGAGTCACAGATCAGGCTTTGCTGAGACGGAAGCAGGATGAACTTTGTCATGAGAAAGCAATGGAGCAGAGGGAAGAGCTGAAACACCCCCTGTTGGAAGCACTGACAGCACACAACTGAACAGCGCTGTGGCTGCAGAGGTGACATGGGGGAGAGCATGGCAGAAGCATGGCAGTGGCTACTCATGCGGGACTACAAAGCCATAAGCAATGCTATGAAGGCATCTGGGGGTCCTAGTGTCACTACGAATGGAAATAAATAATAAAAGGTGGGAGAGTATTAGTTGGAAAAACAACATTTTGGAGGTTTAGTCAGCATTAGAAAAAGGTCAAAGTTTCACTGCTTCTGTATGAAAGTGAAGTGAGAACAAGAGAAATAGCTAAGACCTATGTGACAAATAGGAATTGATTGGTTGATTTTTTTCAGGGTTGGGGAGAAAGGGACGGGACGCAGGTTTGGTTGGAGCTTTGACCTTTTGCTTACCATCATCCTGATCAGGTTTAATCCTTCCGTCTGTCAAGCTCCCCTTCCCTGGTGAGGGGGTCCCCATCTGAGGGGTCACTTTATATTTTAATCTGCCTAGCATCCTGTGCTTTTTAAGGAAAGTTGTTCGCTTGAAGTGAGCAATTGCTTTAAAAATACTTCCTCTAGCCATCCCCCAGCTAGAGGAGGAGGAGTGAGAAATAAACCGACTTCTAATATCTCTTTTGCCAAAGAAGTGGGCTTTAGATTTTGCCGTGGAAGATAATTCAGTTTTACGACGCATACGTTTGGGTGGTGCATAACTCGGGTGTCCCTTTTTGCGAGACTGTCCCTGAGTGGTATAGATATGAGAAAGCCCATCAAAGAGTGCCTTCAGCTGGCTGTTAGTGGTAAGGCTGCTCAGGGAGGGCACACTGCACTGGCTGGAAGAACTCTGGGGAGAGGGAGAAGAAGTGGCCGTGCTGGACTTTTGTGAACTGGGGCTCTGACCGGAGATGGGGGTTGGGGGTGGAAGTGAAGAAGGTGGAGGTTTTAGCTTTTGTGTGGTACCTGTAGCCAACACATGAGAAGTGCATGACTGTTTCTGAGAGACCTTTTTCCTTGGACGATAGTGCTTTGAAAAGTCTATAATTTCACCTCGTGATCTGCGACCATCAGGTGATGGTGTAAAAAACTTAGTAAGGCCATCAATGAGCCCTTTGGTTTTCTTGTTAACTTTAAGTGTAGAGGCAGAAATGTAGGTGGAGGTGGTGGTGATTTTGGTGGTGGCACCAGGCCGAGTGGGGTCTGTAACAGCCAATCTGCTGCTTGAGTCCTTCCCAGATGCAGCATGACCAGATGAAGGTGTGGTACAGACTTTAGTCTTTTGACCCCTACCAGGTGACCCCCTTCCTGTGAATGCATTCATGGATCCTTCATCACTGGTTACAGACCTAGGCAGAAATTTAGAGAATAGTATCAGCATTTAATAAATAGAATTATAAAGGTATCTAAAAACAAATTTATTGCAACTAGATGCATTCAATGGGCTTAAACTTAAGAACTGTATTTTTTGTGTGTGCCACCACCTAGATGTTTCTCTGTTGGAAAGGCAGCAGCAACTGCATTTACATGTCATGGTTCTTCCAGGGCCCATCCACCAGGTACTGGAAGAATCCATGTGGACCCAAGGGCAATATAAGCAAGAAAAATGCTGAAGAGACTAAAAGAACACCCAATGCTTTAATTATAATTAAATAAAAACAAGCTATCCTTTGGTGTTGTCACAAGTAGTTATGATTTCCTGAAATGTCTTTTTTAAAGTATTAGGAGGAAATAAGTCATATGTGTTATCCAGAAGCAAAAGAAGAAGCTTATCTAATCTCTAGTTAAAAGTAATTTTTAATTCAATTTGCAAACTTATATAAATAGAGTTTGGATATGGCTATAAATTTGTACTTTTTTTTAAGAAAACATAAAAAGACATCCTCTTCCTCTCAGCAGTTTGTGCTTAGGATGGTAAGATAACCAATAATACTCTCTTAGGAGAGAAGACAATTAACTACAGCATAAAATATTGCTGAAAAAAGGACAACAATAGCAAAAAACTGAAGAAATGATTAAAGAAAAGCTACAGCGGGTCAGACATGACATGGAGAGTCTGGTGAAGAAGCGGCACATTTACCATGGTCATTATCAGACACTTGGCGTCAGAATCTTTGTACCCTGGTTCTGCCCATACTGTTGAGTAGTTCTAGAAACTAGAGGTCACTCGCTAACACAGCTGCTTACATGAACAGCGGCCGACTGTCTTCACCTCAGGCTAGGGTTTGCGAAGCTACCCATTTTGTAGCAGAGTTTTATACAATAGAGAAACATTTGCAGATGAATTATGACAATGCTGGGGCCCAAGAATGTACTTTCAAAATGATCAATTTAGCTAAAGGTGAATAATGACAAAATGAAAGCCTTAAAAAGATACAATACTGAATTATAAAAATATCTTAAGTAATTACAAATACAAGAGTATATTTTAGTGATCATCTTGTATACAAAGATTTAATGACCAGATTTCAGCTGTTAGTTGAAGGGGAGGTAGGTGCAGCTACCAGGCTCATCTGAGGTGGCTCTACTGCCAGGGACTCTGCCTGGCACCACCAATTCAGCCAAGTCAGGTGAACGCTAGAGATCTCTAGTGTCACTAGAGACACAGTGAGAGTTACCAACAAGGAACTCATCCAGGCAAAAATGTTTCACATCAGAAAGCTGCATTTGGATTGTATCTGGAATCGATTGCCCAGAAAGGATAATATGCTTATAAAGCATGTAAAAAGGAAAACTCCCTAGACTGTCTTAAAAATTCCTAAGCTCAAAGGACAATTTTGGACAAACAAAAAGTTAGGATTGGTGCCAGATGCAATTTTCAGCTGTGTCCTCTGTTTAGAAAGTTTATATCCTAATTTGGTTTTTTTAATTGGGCCCTGAGGATATGGACCCATGTTGGGAACAATGCTTACACAGGATGAATGCAAAAACATATAATTTCTACTTCAAATGATACTACCATGAAAGATTTTATTCATAAATGTTTCATGTTTGCCTCTAGAAATTTTTTCAAAATCTATTGAAAATGTCTACTGGTTAAAGGGTTTTTGCAAAGTTTCATAGAAAACTCTAGAAAGGAGCCTGCATTTCTTACTTCTTCTTAGGAGATAAAGGTGCGGGAGAATACTATTTTTCTGAGAGCAAATAAGATAGTGAGAGCAGCTTCAGATAAAATTAGGGGAAAAGGAGTAAGCAAGGGAGTGAGATTCTTGGAGTCTGTTCAAGGTGTGTGCAGAGCATGTATTCTTTCTCCATCACAATGACCCTTTCACTAAGCCTGAAAAGATGGTGGTAGTCTGTTGGTAGAACTGCTATAGATGTGCAAGTCTACTGATCCCATTCGTAAACACCTTAATGCTGATAGTCAAATCTATACTCTACACAGGTTAAAATAAATTCATTTCACCTCTTATCTTTTCTCTGCTTTTCCAACTAACTCCTGCTAAATGCTCTACTGGGCTTTAATGGCAATTATACAGCAACAAGATAGTGAAAATGGGGTTATCATAGTAGATTTCCAGGCCACTGCGAATATATTATTTTATATATATGTCTGCACTAGTGCAGTTGTCAAATAGTTCTGTCTAACTCTTCAGAGGTAAGTGGTCATCTGCAGGTTTTTCAGAAGCTCCTATTTCATAAAAGAGATCTTAAAAAGTGGTAATGCTACATTACTATCAGAAGAGAGAGGTATTTTTCTAAAATGTTATCTGGAGTGACAAAAGAGATTTGCTATAGACATGGACAAATCCCTCTCGTTTTAAAATTCCTATGAAAATATTTACATAATTAAGCTCTAATGCTCAGCCAGTAATAAAGTAGGCTGAATGACTGTTTCCAATTCTTACATTCTGCTTCCATCCTGCTGCTTGAAAAATGTCACTTAGTATCACAGCTACTGCCAACAGAAGACCCCAAAATGCCAATGGTAATTAAAAATGTTATTTTCAAAAAATTTCCACAGCTTATGCAAAAGGAAAAGTATTTTTCAACCCTTGAGTTTGAAAAAATGATGCCAAAAAACCCCTAAAGGAATCTGAGAGAATAACAATCACCTATATTTTAAAGCAAAACATAAATGATTTCTTTTGATAAGATCTCAACCTACAACAATCGTTGCTTTAATTTATTTTTCGGTCGTCCAATGGGTTTTGCATATCGTCGTTTTATTTGTGCAGCTTTCTCATGAAGTAGTTTTCTTCCCTTTTTCTTTGGTCTGCAGACTTGGCAAATCCACATCCCTGAATTAATATATATATGAGAAAAATATTTTAATGTTTCATTTTAAGAGAAGATATTAAATATAAGTTGTAGCTGTAATAAGCTGCTCAAGGATGCCTGTATGCTGAACTTTACTCCAAAAAATGCGTCATTCCCTTTGTCATTTTCCTTAGGAAGCCATCACTAAGGTCAATTTCCCTGGAGTGAAGGTGGTGAGGGCAGAGGTGGCCCCTCTCTCAGAATCCTTCCATGAAGCTGTTCCCAACATGTCATTAAGCCTCTCACCAACACATAAACACACATGAAAACTCGCCCCTGTCAGATATTATATCTTTTGATTTGAGGGAGACATTTTCAAATCAGTCCATTTTTGGAATTTCTAGAAGAAAAAAAAATTGTCTTATCATCTCTTTCTGGAAAGTTCCAACACTAAAAAAAAATTATCAGTATAAAATATAATTTTAAAATTTAAATAAAAGTTTTGAGTACTGCAGAACTACAATGATTCAAACTATACATCTAGCATAGAGAAATAGGTCAATGGATAAGAATGGAAAGACCAGAACAACCAAAGCCTACAGAAAAGTTTAGCATATCAAAAGGTCATATTTTAAATCAGTGGAGAAAGGATGAAATGATTCAATAAGCATGATAGAACAAATAGCTATCTATCTGGAAGAGGAATTATTTCCTATCCTTTACAAGAATAAATTCTAGACAGATGAATATTGTAATATGAAAAAATAAAATGTTATAAGTACCAGGAAAGATATGTGGATATTTATATAATCTAAGCATGACTGACATTTAAAACTGAAGCCATAAATAAAAAGATTCATGAATATGACTACACACAAAAAAAGAGCTTCTGCAAATCAGGAAGAAAAAGGTAAAAATCCCAAGAGAAAAATGATTAATGGATAAAAAGAGGTACTTTAGAAAAGATGATATACAAACAGCCAAGAATAAAACACAAGAAATGTTCAATCTGACTACTTAAAAAGAAATAATCAGACATATTTCTATTATCAAACTGGTAAAATTTTAAAAATAATAATACTCTAATCAAATCTAAGATACTGTATGATGCATCTGACTTCAAAAATATTAAAACATTAAAAAAATGTGTCTTAGACTCAAGGAGATATAGTAACGGTGAGTACTGGTCACAATACAGGAAAATAGGTATCCTTCTATACTGCTGGACAGCCTGAAAACTGATACAGCCTTTCATGTATCTAGCCTTTGATCCAACAGTTCCTCCTCTAGGAATTTATTTCAAGGAAATAATTGTGGATGGAAAAAATTGGAAACATTTGTAATATCCACCCTAAGGGACTGGTTAAATAAATTAGAGTTCATTTATATAGAGGGTTGGAAAATCAAATACCTCCAGGAAGGACCTAGATTGTATAATGTATGTGACTGAAGCAAATTGGAACGTAAGACAGCAGGGAGTAGTGAGATTGTGGCAAACTGGAGCACACACGCACCACCCAGAGGACTCAGATTCAAACTTGTAAAAATATTGTACCAACAAAGCATATCTGTGACCCATAGTTGCCAGGTTTGTAATCCCTGCTCTATACTATGGAGTTCTACATACTTATTAAAAACTATGTTTAGGAGAATATTTAATGATGTAGGGGATGCTTATAATCTATTAAGAGGGAGGAAAAAGTACATTACAAAAACATGTACAGAATGTTCCATTTCCCTTCAAAGGGTATGTGAAGGCAGAGAAGGAAATTTCCAATTCATTTTTATTTTTATTCCTTTTTTGTCTATCTGTACTTTTTAAATCTTCCACAATGTAAATTATGGATTTTATAATAAAAAGGCAAAGTTATTTTTAAATGTTTAATATATTGCAAAATGAGGGGAAAAGGCTGAGCTTAGCTGATTTACACAATAAACAGAAGAAAATCCACATTCCATCAGACACAATCAGCTATAAGATCATTCAGATGCTCGTGTTCAAAATATCAACTAATGGCCAAGAAAATGGTGATGGCTTCCTGTTGTAGGACTTTGGAGTCACTATCATCCTCAAAAATATAAAATTTGTTAAGCTCTTAACACTGTGCTGAATAATATGGAAAGTGTTCTAAACTTTTGACCTTAATAATCTAATCTTATTCTAATAGGGGAATGGTTTGGAGAGAGAGATGGTCTTTTCATCCCTGGGTCTGAATTAGAGCCTTTATTTTATATATATGTATATATATACACATATATATATGTATTTTTTTCTATGCTTTTATACTCCTCTATTCACAACCTGTGCTAAACTCAGAAGTATAGGGAAGGTGGGAGGGATGAAAAAAATGCTTAAAGAACCTGTATACCTCTGAGCTGTCAGACCTCAGGACAAAGCTAACCAATATGTAATAAAATACATTTTTAGTACAGTTTAGAAGTTCACCTTTTGGCATTCTGGAAAGTGGTGGGTCACAGCATTCCATATGAAATCCTCTATCACAGGAATCACAAAAAAGCATATTATCCTGTAATATAACATATTAGAGACTAATTGAGACTGAAACCAACTGTAAAAGGCCAAAAATTCTTTTGTTACTGGATTAACATTAATACAATATAAGGAAAGTGCACCAAGATCCTGGTTGCAGTTTGACATCATGTGTATTTAAAGCTTTAGAAAGAAAGTAGCCATACTCTATAAAAATGAAAACACCTTAACACTGGAAATTAGCGAGTTACCTGGAGGCGGATTACGGGAGCCATACTTACAGCATTTCTGCCTTGGACTCTACAGGCACTGCATGTCTTGCATTCGATGCACTGCCACCTTAAGGCCTTTACATTTGTTGTTAATTCAGGACAAAATTTCAAACAGGATGGGTGTCCTATGAGAATAAAAAGCAAATTGCTTGATGGGAATGGTGCCTTTGACTTTTTTAAACTCCCATTCCCTAATATTTAATAGATAGCTGATGAGGCTAGCCAATGAACCTTAGGAACTTGAAAATGCCAACAGATCAGAGAATCCGAATTACAGATTTTCCTTTCTGCCTTTTCCCCTTGCCTTCTTTCCCTGTATGTAACAAAATGACTGTACGAATGTTTTCCCTAAGAGAACTTAATTTATACCAATTCCAATCTGAAGCCTTTGAGAACTTGAAGATAACACAGGCTCAGGCATTCTTACTCCTGCACCTGTACTTGCCGTCTTCATCAACCACCATCTACCCAGGGGGTCCTGGTTTGCCACACACTGAGGGGAGTTGCCAAAGTTCAAACAATTCCTGCTCTCTGTGTGTGATGAAATCATAAAACTCAACAGATAACTAAATAAAAAATTGAGGCTGCTTAACATAACTACAGATGCCCTCCCCCACCCAAATCCAATAGCACACAAAGAACATCCCATTGCTGGGCTAGACAGAGGATATTCCATTGCCATCTTGCCCCTGGGTCACTGAGTTTAAACTCTGGAAGCAGGAGCAGAAAACAGTGAATTTGAGAGACAGAGTTAAGAAGCTGAGAGATCCAGGTTAAACAGGACCCACCAAGAAGTGTGGCCTCAGCAGGTTCCCCCATTTTCCTGTTTGGGGCACACTTTTCACCTAGCAGCGCTCCACACACCAGGTCTTACTGCTCACTTCACAGAGGAAAACTGGAGACCCTGAGGGGCAATGCCATTCAAAGGAGCCAGCCATGAGCCAGTGTGTAATAGATTCCTCCAAGAGGTGTGCGGAGCGTGAGCCTAGATTCTTTGGAAGGCTGTACAGTTTAAAATCTAATGGTCTTTTATCACATAAACCCGAAGAGATCTCCAAACTTGATTTTATTTTTTTAAACCTGGTCTTTAAATAGTAAGAACATTAGTAAATCCCATGTGAAAGAACTTACAACCAAGCTGCAAAGGAAACCTGAGGGGTAATAAAAAAAAGCAGATTCTGCAATTTCAAAACTGTTTTATAATTTCCTGACTTTGGCAGGCTCATTGTTTAAATATGTATTTTGGATTGCTGCCAAAAAGGTCCTCCTCCCTAAAGCTTAACAGGTGCTTCATAAAATTCCACCCACCAGGAGATTTGGCTTTTTGAAGTAAAAACATTCAAAATCAATCACCAATACCGTTAATAAAAGCACACTATTCCTGAGTTAAAAAAAAAAAACTCTAAACATCTGTATTTAAGATGTTGAGAAAATAAAATATTGTCACAGGATTATGACCTCAGGCAGGAGAGACACCCAGGCAGATGCATTTAACCTGTGACACTGTTCTTTTATGAGGCTTCTCTCATTCAAATGAATGCAAGGAAAAAGTCTGAATAGATAAAAATGGTATCAATCTCCTCTTTCTGCTCAGGAACGGCAAACAAAGACAGCTTGCTTGTCGACTTCTAAGAAGCACACTGAAGCGGGGAGGGGAGAGGTCTACTTTGATCAGAGCCCTCCCCTCTGTCCCCTTATATAGTGAGGAGGGTAAAAACTTAACTTTTAAAGAACAGCAATTTAAATTCCACCCTTAAAATGGATCCCATCAGCTTAAAAGTATACCACTTACTTCCCCCCTCTTTTTTATTACTTCCTGTAAGGCATATATCATGGGCACATATGACCTCAATTTCACGCACTGAATTTTTCTCTACATTCAAATCTGCTTTTGTACTTTGTGACTTAATATTCAGTAACTAAGGTAATTCACATCATATTACAGCTTACTATTTATTCTCACAGGTATCTTATGAAAGACAGACTTTTTAATAATTATGCAGTTTGAAAATTAGTGGATTTCAGCCATTTTCAATCAGGGGCAAGGAATATTCTTTCTCTTAATGGTTTCTCTCACTTTAAGCAATACTGTATCTCAACTACTACTATTTAAGCTACCCTATCAAATTCTAAAATCTTCAGCCTATCTTTCCTTTAGGCAGCAATCTTACCTTTATTTAGCTCAAGAGAATTGGCCATAGATCCCTTACAGTTCTAAATTTCTATGATTCTGTAAAGGATGCTGAGGGATGAAGAAATATTTCCATTTTATTTTCTCATGGCCAACTTTAAAATAACACAAAAGACCGTAACGTGTCTTGATATACTACTGCACAATCTATAGTAATTAGATAAAGGAAAGCAATGCTACTGATCAAGTAATTCCTTACCTCTGGTTTAGCGATTTCATAAACTCAACAATTTCCTCTAACACTTTAATTTTTTTTTTTTTTTTGAGACGGAGTCTCGCTCTGTTGCCCAGGCTGGAGTGCAGTGGCGTCATCTTGGCTCACTGCAAGCTCCACCTCCCAGGTTCACGACATTCTCCCGCCTCAGCCTCCTTAGTAGCTGGGACTAGAGGCGCCCGCCACTATGCCTGGCTAATTTTGTTTTTGTATTTTTAGTACAGACAGGGTTTCACTGTGTTAGCCAGGATGGTCTTGATCTCCTGACCTTGTGATCCACCTGCCTCAGCCTCCCAAAGTGCTGGGATTACAGGTGTGAGCCACAGCGCCCAGCCTATTTTTTTATTTTTGAGACAGGGTCTTACTCTGTTGCCCAGGCTGGAGTGCGGTGGCATGATCACGGCTCACTGCAACCTTAGCCTCCCAGACTCAAGCAGTGCTGTCACCTCAGCCTCTCGAGTAGCTGGGACTACAGGCACGCATCACCAAGCCCGGCTAATTGTTTTGTATTTTTTTGGTAGAGATGGGGTTTTGCCATGTTGGCCAGGCTGGTCTTGAATTCCTGGCCTCAAGAATCCACCAGCCTTGGCCTCCCAAAGTGCTGGGACTACTGACACACCCCACCACGTCCAGCTAATTTCCTCTAAAATTCTTGTTCTCTCTGTTGACACGTTTCATGGTGCTTTGTCTTTCTGGAGTTTGTTTTACTATTGTATTTTGCAATTTATCAGATTTGAGAGCCATAATACATATTCATTCACTCATTCAATTTTACACAAATACATTGTCAAGTACTAGTAGCTTACAATAGTTTTATCTAGCAAAACCAAAGGAATACTATTTAAAATTAAACAAGTACCAATGGAACTACAAACCAGTGGAAAAGCTTTTTGGAGAAAGTACTGAGGAAGAAAAAACACAGGCTCTGTAGTAAGCACAACAACAGCAGCGCCCCAGCCATCTGTGCTCTAATTCCCATAACCTGTAAACATACTATACCTGTTGTAGCAAAAAGAACTCTGCAGAAGTGACTAGGGGTACCGACCTAGAGATGGGGAGTTTATCCTGGATTATCTGAGTGGGCATGATTGATCTAATCACATTAATCCTTAAAAGCAGAGAACCTTTTACGGACTTGGTTAGAAATGAAATGGCAAAAGGAGGAGGAAGGGTTCAAAGCATGAGAGAGACTCCACCTGCTATCACAGGCTTTCAAGATGGGGAGGGGGCTGCAAGCCGGGGAATGTGGGTGGCCTGTAGAACCTGGCCATGACCTTCACCTGACAGCAAGAAAACCAGGATCTCGGTCCTGTCAACACAAGGAATTGAATTCTGCCAATAACCCAGATGGATAAGAACATGGATCCTCTCCTTCCCAGAACTTTGGGAGGCCAAGGCGGGTGGATCACGAGGTCAGGAGATCAGGACCATCCTGGCTAACATGGTGAAACCCCGTCTCTACTAAAAAAAAAAAAAAATACAGAAAATTGGCCGGGCGTGGTGGCGGGCGCCTGTAGTCCCAGCTACTCGGGAGGCTGAGGTGGAAGAATGGCGTGAACCCGGGAGGCGGAGCTTGCAGTGAACCGAGATCACGCCACTGCACTCCAGCCTGGGCATCAGAGTGAGACTCCATCTCAAAAAAAAAAAAAAGAACATGGATCCTCACTTAAAGTCTCCAGAGAGGAGCCAGCCCTGCTGATACCCCGATTTTAATCTGGTGAGACCCATGATGGACTTCCAACCTACAACTATAAGATTAAAAATGTGTTGTTTTTAAGCCACTAAGTCTGTAGTAATTTATTCCAGTAGCAATGGAAAACTAATAACGACTCAGACACTAAGCCCCTCAGACTGGCTACCTGACCATCCATCTGTCCATCTCTCCTCCCTTCAACTAATATTTAATGAGCACTGGATACAGTGAGGAAAAGGAGAGGCATGGTTCCCACCCTTCCAGATCACATAGCCCAGCAGGAAAGACAAACATTAAACAAGAATGAGCATTAATGCCTTACAATGGGGTGGCTTAGGGATATGGGAGAATCTAGCAGGAAGTTAGAGAAAGGCCTCCCTAAAAAAGAGACCCAAAAGATGAATGTGATTGGATGGGACCAGAAGAGGGGAAGAGCAGGGAAGATGGCATGAACAGAGGGAGAGATGAACGAGGTATATCCAAGGAGAGAGAAGTTGTTCAATGTAACCAATGTGCAGAATGTGAACAGAATAGTGATGTAAGATGGGGTTAAACCAGAGCCCAATCCAGAAGTTTTTGGGGGCTATATTAAAGAATATGGATTTCTCCTAAGAGCAACTGATAGCCACTTATGAAATTATGTGATCAGATTTATAACTTAAAAAGGTAACTTAGGCTATAGTATGGAAAATGGATTGGAGGAAAAAGGGTGAAGCCTAGATTGAGGTCATTATAACAGCAGATCTGAGTGGGGCTGGCTGGTGGGGATGCATCGATAAATTTAGCATTCAAGATACATATTATGATTTAGAATCAATGTGTTTTTGGTGATTCCTTGGTGTGAAAGAATAGGACAGAGGATGGCTCCAAATGTCTAGTTTGTGTAACTGAGTGAGTAGCGAACGGTGTGCCACTTGCTGAATATAGGAAATCCTCCAGGAGAGGTGGGATACTGTTTGTTTGCTGGGATTTCTGTTGTTATTGTTGTGGCTGTTGTTTTGGGTGGAGGAAGCAGTGCAAGGTTGATGAGCTGTTCTGGATATTAACTTTGAGGTGCCTCGGGGGTAGACTCGTTGGAAAAGCTCTATAGTTATTTGTATCTAGGGTCAGAAGCTCAGTAGAAGCTACAAGGCAAAGTAACAAACACAGGGCCACGACAGACATCTGAAGAAACATTTAGGGAATGGAGAGAGGACCAAGGGGCTAACAAAAATATGTGGAAAGAAGTGGTAGAGAAAAAACACAGATAATATGGTGTCACAGGGGCCAAAGGAAAAGAACACTTCAAGAAAAAAGATTCTCTACAAGATCAAATATGACTAAGAGAAATTATTTGGTGTGGATTAAAAGATACCAATTAGATTTTGATAAACACTTAAAAATGATCATTAGATTTTGCTACAAAGAGGTCACTATTACCCAGACAAGCACAGTTTTAGTGAAGTTACATCTCTTTGGATGGTCAATCATGCTTTGGGCTTTTGCAGGGATGGGGCTCACCTTCTTTCCCCCAACCCCCAATCTTTTCTGCTTTGTTTTTTTATTTTTATTTTTTGAGACAGAGTTTCACTCTTGTCACCTAGGCTGGAGTGCAGTGGTGCAATCTCGGCTCACCTCAACCTCCGCCTCCCGGCTTCAAGCCATTCTCCTGCCTCAGCCTTCCGAGTAGCTGGGATTACAGGATGCGCTACCATGCCCGGCTAATTTTTTTTTTTTCCTTTTTTTAGTAGGGATGGGGTTTCACCATGTTGGCCAGGCTAGTCTTGAACTCCTGACCTCAGGTGATCCACCTGCCTTGGCCTCCCAAAGTGCTGGGACTACAGGCGTGAGCCACAGCGCCTGGCCTCTTTTCTTCTTTGGATCATATCTTTAGGTTTCTTTCTAGTCAAGAGTCTTCTTTCCAACCTAATGATTCAATCTGCATCTAGTCAATGTGAAACTGGATGACTAAGCAACCAACTCCTGGGGTGACCTTAAGAAACTAGTGGTCTTTTAAAATATTTTTATATGTCCATATATCCACACACTGCCCCTACCAGTTCCCTCCATGAGCATGCAAATTTTGTTCAGGGTTAACACACAAATAAAGACAAACCCAGGGAAGACTTCAGGTCTCCCGAGGGTGCACTGATATTCTACTCCACGGCTCTTGCTCCCTTTATTGTACAAAAGGGATTTCTCTCACTCACCCAGCTGCATCACAGCAGCCTTTCTTCTGTCTCCCGTTTCAATGAGCTTCCACTTAGAATGATGCTGTAATTTTGAACTGTACACTTATCTTAGATTTGCTAATTTGAAAACACACATGCACACAACTCATCTGTAAGTAAGATTTAACCACCCAGCAATCTGAGCAGCAGACACAAAATTTCATTTGGTATAATATCTAATACTTATGTGAAGCTAATTAAAGATAATTTGGTCTTAATGAGGCAAAGAGAATATAACAGTGTTAATTTCAAAGTAGGCTGATCCATGAAAGTCAAGTAAAATCATTTCTAACACTTCCACAGACCTAGACTATCTGATGATTCCCACATTCATATTAGTGGCTGGAATAATCCTTCACATTTGTCTCATGTTTTACAGTTACTGATCATCTTCCTATCATTTTCTCACTGGATCCCACAATAGCTCTGTGGATGGAGGGTGCAGACATTCTCCTTTACACCCCACAGATGAGGAAAACCAAAGTTACACACCCAGCAAGTGGCGGAAGAGAACTGGAACCCAGGCTAGGGACACCACATTCAGAGCTCCGGGCACTACATACCTCACCTCACGTTTTTACTACATATAAACTTGAATGATTTTTTTTTTTAAAGAATTTTTAGTAGAAAAAAAAACTGTTAAAGAAAATACTGCCCATTTAAAGCATCGAGCCCCTTTAAAAACAGATAAATTTCTAATTGGCTTTACTTTATGATGTAAGCAGAAGGATACATTTATTACTCTCATCTATGAAATCTAAGCGGAGTCTAAATGTGACATCATATGAATGGTACTTCAGATAGGGACGACTGAAAAGCATCAGGCACATATGGGAAACACATTTAAGAATGATCCTCCCCACAGGCTGCCATCTATATTTCCTTTTTCTGGTTTTATGCTGCTATGGGTATTTTTTCACATAAACAACTTACATTTTGGGATCCCTTTGAACATTATGAACGGTCTCAATTCAATCCCAGAACCAATAGACTCTTCTGAGAGTGAGAAGGCAGCCATTTCCATAAGGTCAACTAGGAGTCCCAACTAATCTGTAATTCCCACTTGAAATGCTGAACTGTGACAACAGGGCTCCCGCCATTATTTGAGGACACTGTTGAGGTATGCTGGCCTATTGTTTTCTTTTTTCCTTAGAATTACCAAGGTGTCAAAACAGAGCCTTAGAACCACAAGAACCCCCAAACTCCCTAAAATGAACTATATTTTATTTTGACCCTTCAATTTAAAGAGGAAAAAACAACAAAGTCTATTCTTCTGATTTATCAGATGAATAAATATGTACAAAGCATTTCCCTGCGTTAGGAACAATAGTTTTTTTGACTAAAGCAGCCAAATCCAGGCTGGCACAGCACACTCAAGGGAAGATTAAGTGAACTTCAACACTAGAGCCGGATCCCATCGCAGAGTCCAGAGAAGCACTCTGAGGCATCCTTTATCCCCAACAAAGAGACATGGTGACCCCAGGGCTTGAATTTCTGCCATGACCCATACCTTGGCCCCAAAGCCTCTGGCTCTCTCCACTTGAAGACTGGCTCACAAAACCACACCAGCCACATAAACCCTCTGGACAGTATCCTCAAGTCATTATTCTCCATTTGTTAAAAGAGAAAACAAGAGGATATTTTTGAACAGAGAAAACATAACACTGTACCTAAACACCCCTGGCTTTACCCTGAAAAAGTCTGAGCGAAAAGTAAGAAACACCAGGGGAAAGAAATTTTCAGTGACCTCAAACATAAAGGAGATCAACCTCCCCTCTGGCAGGTCTTCAATCCGGGAAAGACAAAGGGAGATTGATTACATCAGAAAATCTAAGATCTACCTGTTTAGAATTACACCTTTATACCCTGTGAAGGAGGCCTTGAAGTTATGATCTAGAAGATAATGATCTCGAACTTCTTATCAACTCAAGTAAGTGTATCACCAGAGGTAAGGAAATATATGAAGGGAACTTTTCTTCCCACATTTAAGTACATCTTTAATCTGTCTAGGCACCCAGACAAATAGATCCTAAAGAAATAAAAACAGGGAAGGGTGTTTTTAAAGTACCACCTTAAAAGCCACAAAGGGTAAACCCTAGACAAGTGAACACCACTAAATTGATCAGGCAGTTACACAAAAGAATAATTCATTCAGAATGAGCCTCGTGAGAAAACCCAAAAGATAACGACAGAGTCAGAACTGATGAGTGAGGCACTACCTCACCAGCATAAAACAGGGATATCGTGGGGCTGAAATGTATTAAACTGAACGTACAGATAATGTTTCCATGCCCTTTTGTCACTATCCATGATGCCATGGCCAGGTAAAAGAATTTTAATGAATCTGTAAAGCCCATCAAAAAGACTGTCAGAATGCATTTTTCAAGCAGGGTTTGAAATGTCTTATTTCCAAGGCTCTCCCTTCTAGTCAGCACCTGAAAGCTGCTGAACCACAAAGGGCCTATCACGTTAAACCTTCATATAAGGAATAAGAATCATTACACAACACTGTCATTCCTCAGCATGAAACATTTCTTCTACCCAACCATCAAGCAGCTGTCATAAGTGATGATAAGATTTTAAATTACGTGCAGCAATCAAGGATAACAATATCAAACATGCTAAACCATAACACTGCTGACATTTGTAGTACACTTACCATAGTTCTGCAGACCTTGTGCCAGGGTGTTTACTTGTGCCCTCACATTTCATTCCCATAAAACCCAAGAGGATGGTGCTGCCATTATCTCTAATTTTCTAATGAGGAAACAGGGGCTCAGAATGATCAAGTAACTAACTCAAGGCAGAGGAACTGGGCTATGGCTGGCTCTTGAGTTTGCTCCTAGCCAGTATATCTCAAGACTTCCCAAACAAGAATTAGCTATGGTGTTCTGTCGATTTTTGTTTTTGTTTTTTTTTTTTAGAGATTACTATAACTAGAGAAATAGTCATGAATTTTAAAACAAGACTTTGGAGAAAAAAGTTTGGGTAGTCTGGGGAAAAAATTTGAAGATTAACAGAAAAAGCTTAATTTTTACTTATTTTTTGCTATTAATTTTTAAAGATGGGGTTGTACTCAGCTTGAAAGCTTAGAATTCTCTACATGGAATTTACCTATAATGCAGACATCTCCACACTGAATTACCAATGCTGGTATAAAATAAAAGCTTAATCATAAATATGTATAGTATTATATAAGCATATATAATATCCATATGTCAGTACTAACATACTCACGCTTTTTTCTCTATTCCTTACTTTTTCTTTTAAAATTTAAAGCCTATGCTATTACCATATAACTGCCTTAAATAACAATACAGTTTTAATAGAGAGACAAATAGCATGAAGCTATGATAATGGGAAGTCATTGTACAACACATAGGAAAAACACAACTTACCACTACTGCCACAATCTGCACAAGAGAGGAGTTCTTCTGGTTTCTTTTCACGATTTGATTCTTTAGTCCCCAAACAGAAGCTACATATTGGAATGGGATCAGCACGGGGCTATGACAAAATTAAAATAAAAAATACTGTCACTTTTCCATTTCAAAAGTAAAAACATTAAAATCAAAAGCTTTTTACATTTTTCACTTAAAGCTTCTTCTTTCTTTAACAAAGAAAAACTGCTAAATAACGTATTTAAATAAACACTTTCTGCTAGTAAAAAAACTCTTATATTATTTTTGAGACGAAGTCTCGCTCTGTCGCCAGGTTGTAGTGCAGTGGCACAATCTCGGCTCATTGCAACCTCCACCTCCCGGGTTCAAGCGATTCCCCTGCCTCAGCCTCCCGAGTATCTGGGATTACAGATGCGCGCCACTATGCCTGGCTAATTTTTTGTATTTTAGTAGAGATGGGGTTTCACCATGTTGGCCAGGATGGTCTCGATCTCCTGACCTCATAATCCACCTGCCTCAGCCTCCCAAAGTGCTGGGATAAATCTCTTAAATTATTTGACACTAAAGTACTACCTGAATACATTTCAGTATAATGTATGACTCAGAAGTCATTTTTATTAAACCAGTGAAATCTAATACCTTTATATATTATATAGCTTGCCTGAAATGAACATAATTAAGGATTCATTGGACATCTCAATTGTTTCTATTATCTATATGCTTAAAATAAATTATTCGTTCAGCATTATAGTCTATGAATATCATGTATAGACTGTTAAGACTTTATTAAATATTGCAGCGCAGATTGCTATTATTCACCTACTAAATATTTGACATAAAATATCTATATGTTTTTAGGTGACAGAATAATAGAATGAGCAGGATTCTGTGGGACACTTGAAAAGGTCATTATTAACAAGGCTTTTGTGCCACGAAGGTCTTCAAAAGTAAACCACACCATACCAAACAAAAAAGATAAACCTTGAATCTCTGACATTCTCACCTTATTTATTTATTTATTTATTTATTTATTTATTTATAGACAGAGTCTCACTCTGTCGCCAGCCTGGAGTGCAATGGTGTGATCTTGGCTCACTGCAACCTCTGCCTCCCAGGTTCAAGTGATTCTCTTGCCTCGGCCTCCTGAGTAGCTGGGACTACAGGCGCGTGCCACCAAACCCGGCTAATTTTTATATTTTTAGTAGAGATGGGGTTTCACCATGTTGGTCAGGATGGTCTCGATCTTCTGACCTCATGATCCGCCCGCCTCAGCCTCCCAAAGTGCTGGGATTACAGGCGTGAGCCACCGAGCCCGGCCTGACATTCCCACTTTATATAAGAAACAACAAAACATTTGTCTAGTCCCCTAGCACCCTTTAACTCTCGTATGAAAATTGCTTTTAACAATGTATAAATCTACATACATTTTAGTATTTCCATTGTTATTTACTACTATCAGCAATGCTAGTATTCCCATCCATAGGAATAGCTGACAGTGCCTACAGATCTGGTCACATTATTTTCAACAGCCAAAACTACGAAAACTGTAATTTTACCGCATATTCCAAGCCTTCACACATGTTGTCTGCTAGCCATCTGAATGTTACTATGATGTCTCTATATTTGAATCTCATGAATCAAAAATTCAGAGCAAGAACACCC
Source organism: Homo sapiens (assembly GCF_000001405.40). Lineage (NCBI taxonomy): Eukaryota > Metazoa > Chordata > Mammalia > Primates > Hominidae > Homo > Homo sapiens. The sequence continues at coordinate 74,958,413 of NC_000010.11, read as the reverse complement.
AACATAATCACAAATGTTTTTAAATGTAAATTAAAAACAAGATTTTGCTAGGTCTAACTCTCTAAATATACATCAGCATAGAATAAACTTCATTTGTTCAGCCACTCTAGCCCAAATGCCTAATGCATTTCCTGGTGCATAGTAGGCACTCAAAATATATCTGCTAACTGAATACATGAAGGAAATATATGCTAGTTAAGAACAAAAAAAATCAATGGTTATAATGATTCCAACAAATGCCTTAGTTCCTTGGGACAACATGTCATCAAAAACAAAAAACCATCTCATGACCAAACATTCACAAATTGTTTAATATGACTGCAAATCTCATCTTACAAGGGCATTCATTATCTTCCCTTTACTTTCAGCTTAATTTGTTCTTATAATATGCACAGGCTTTACGTTCTGAGGTAGCTATGCAAATGTATTTCTGTAGCCCCAGTTAAAAAGTAGATTATAAAACATTCTGTACTAGAAAAACGAAAAGAGACAAGCTATAACAAATTGGTCACTGACTGTAGCCACAGTTTTTTAAATGCCAGATAATCAGCACTGCATAATTATGGATCCATAGTTATTACTTGCAACTGCTCAACTGCAGTACCTTGGGAACACTTTTGTTCCTTTAAATAGCAATTAAAAGAACAATCTGGCTTTAAAGTGACAACATTCCCCTGATAGATTTGAGCTAAAACCCGGTCCTCTTACTAACGGGATTCCTGCTTTCATTTGATATAACAATGTTCAAGCTACTGCTGTCATCCTTGCACTGATAAATAATTTACAGAATGTCACATATCATTCATGCAATGAAACAAATCCAAATCTCCAAACCCATTTTTCTTTCCCAGATGAATTTTTAGCTGTGAGAGAGACATGGCCATCAGCCAGCATTCATGCTCATTTTTCGTTTTTAACTAAAGGTAACACAAAGGACAAAGGTTGCTAGTAGTTCATGGCCAGAAAGACTGATGTCCCGCGCTCTGTCCAATAATAGAAAGCATAGATGTTATCACTTCACGCTACATTCAAGCGAACCCCGCCATGCTGATGTATGCTCACAACCATTTATTTTAAGGATAACTATCTCACAATACTCTATAAAACCACTGCATTATACAGAAATGTCTGCCCTGCTGAATTATTGATAATTCAAAGCACTTTTTGCTAACCTCCGTGTAGCCAAGTCTAATTAACTTTTAAAAATTGTCACTTGTACGAAATGAAACTTTTACAGTAACGCATGTAAATGGGTCACAGGATTATTATGATTCACTGTTCTCAATCAGACTACATATAAACTGTGTTTAAAAAAATCCCTTATAATAAAGTAAAATGGATTCCAGTCAGAAAAAGGTCTGAGTAAATGGCAATTTGATTCTATACAAATCTACTACAGGTAAGTTATATTTAAGATGTCTGAAAATGATACCAAAAATCTCCAAATTCTTAATTCCTTTCTTTGAAATTTCACAAAGGCACCTAACCTGTTGATCACATTTTCCCAACAACATGCCTGAATATTTTAAACTAATCCCAAGAAGGAAGGCTCATGAATAAGTCTAAAGATGAATACATCCAGCAAACTGTGCTCTGGAAGGATCTCCTTGTCTCCCATGCAATGGCCCTGGGGCAGCTGCTAGGCTACAGGCTGCTCCTGCACTATCTCATTTAATCATCTTAACAATCTTGCCCGGTATGAGTATTATCTCTATTTTAGAAAAGAAATTGAGCATCTAAGAAGTTAAGTAACATTTTTAAGGTTGCATAGGTTCAGGTGTAGAGCTGTACTCAAACACAAGTCTGTCTTCATGAGAGCCCATTTCTTACTTTGCTACCTCCCCTCCATTCCTCAGAATAACAAATGTCTAAAATTATCTTTCCATCAGTGGCAATAACTCTTTACTAATGTGTTCATAATCTATTCCATACAATTTCTCCCATGACCAATGGCATATGGTTTTTAAAACTATTAAAAAGGTAACCACTAAACACCATGGATTATGTATTAATTACCATGGGGAAAAGGTACCTTTACAATGGAGAAATCTGGTGGACACTTTATAAACAAGTATGGGACAAAGTGACATCATGTGCCTTCCAAGTGCCTATCCTAAAGGACTGAGCACCACCTATATAGTATTCTTGCCAGAAACATTTATCCTGAGTCCAATCATAAAGAAACAATCAGGCAAATCCAAATTGGGGGATATTCTCTGTAACAACTTTTCTGTACTCTTGAAAAAATGTCATATAATACCCAAAAAAGGGCAGGACCAACCTGGGCAACACGGGGAGACCCCAGCTCTACAAAATAAAAAAATTAGGCAGGCATGGTGGCGCATGCCTGTGGTCCCAGCTACTTGGGGAGTTGAGGTGGGAGGACGGCTTGAGCTGAGGAAGTTGAGGCTGCAATGAGTCGTGATTGCACCACTGCACTCCAGCCTGGGTGGCAGAGCAAGACCCTGTTTCTCAAAAGAAGGGAGGCAGGGGGCAGGACCAATTAAGGTGACTAAACAGGCATGAAAACTAAATATAAATATAATCTGTGATCCGTGGTTGGATTCTGGACTTTTACAAAATATCCACAGCTATGAAGGATATTATTGGGATAATTAGGGTAATGTATACTCAGAATTAGGCAATATATAAACTAGATATAATATAAATTTCTTGAGTGAACATAATTCTGATTATGTAGGAGAATATCTTCGTTTTTAGCAGATATATGTTGAAATATAGGAGTAAAGTGTTATGATGTCTTTATGTTGAAATTTAGGAGTAAAGTGTTATGATTGGAGAGTAACTTACTCTCCAATGATTCAGAAAAAAACAAACCTAAGGGTGTTCGTATGTTAATGTGCACAGAGAGAGAGAGTAAACATGACACAATGTTAACAGTTGGGGAGTCTATGTAAAAGGCATATAGGTGTTCATTACATTATTCTATGTAAAAGGCATATGGGTGTTCATTCTATAATTTTTCCTCATCTTTACAACTTTTCCAAACAAAAAGTTGGGGGGGGGGGGATAAAATTGTGTCCCTTTACTCTCAAAAAAGATCTAAACTGAATCATTATTTTCAGTAGGCCCTCTATATCTGCGGGATTAATATCCGTGGATTCAACCAACCATGAATGCAAAATATTTGAAAAGAAAAAGGATGGTTTTGTCTGTACTGAACATATATGTTTTTTTCTTCTCATTATCCCCTAGACAATAGAATGATTCACATAGCATTTATATTGTATTAGTTATTGTAAGTAATCTAGAAATGATTTAAAGTATATGGGAGAATGTACATAGGTTATACACAAATACTGCACCATTTTACATAAGGGACTTGAGCATCCATGGAATTTGGTATCAGTGGTGGTAGAGGGGTGAGGGAGGGGTCCTGTACCCAATCCCCCACAGATGCCAAAGGATGACAGTAGTTGGACTACAAACATTTATAAATCAAGGTCTCTCAAGCCCATTACCGACTCAGAGGAAATACAGAGGACAGAGGAATATGTTAATCTATAGAGCGGGGAGATGCTAGTACCAAAACACTACGGAAAAAATGGCCCAGTTTCTTCAACAAATTAAACAGGAGACCAAGTGAATAGGCGAGCAAAAAATAGATACAGAAGAATCGCTAGATTAATAGACATTTAAAGGGCGTATCAGCCAATCACAATGTGTGAACCATATCTTGATCATGATTCAAACAAAGTATAAGCAAAACAAAACAAAATATTATGACCTAGTGAAGGAACAAAGGCTACTTAGCTTTAAAAGACTGGGGTGGACTCGCTGGGTGTCTTCATCCAGGTGAAAGGGTTAGATTCGTTCTTGTGGTTACAGAGTACAAAACTTACACCAATAGGAGTCATCATAGAGAGCCTTTCCAACAGCTGTCCAGCAATGGAATGGATTCTTTTTTTTTTCCGCTTCATTTGCTTAGTTTTTATTTTTTTAATTGTGGTTCAAATGGCATTAAGTAAGTTCACAATACTGTGCAACCATTACCACCATTTATCTCCAGAACTCTTTTCAACTTGCAAAACTGAAACTCTGTATCCATTAAACAATAATTTCCCATATTCTCTTCCCCCAGCCCAGGAAAACACCATTCTACTTTCTGTCTCTATGCATTTGATTATTCTAGCTATCGCATATAAGTGAAATCATACAGTATTTGTGGAATGGATTATTCTTGAGGCAATAAGAGGCCCCTATAATCAAGAGGCCATGGAGAGACTGGATGGGCCCCATCAGGATGCTGAGGACACAACAGTATACAATTTCACCTCACACAATTTGGGGATCTGGGACTCTTCAAAGGTTCCTTCCAGATCAAATATTTTAACGGTTCTAGAGTTAATCTCTAAGGACTTTCCCAGTTCTAATTTTTATTGATTCTATAATACTTTAGAAATTTTAAGAGTCTTCAAGACCTTTGATCTCAAAATAAGATAGCATTTTCTAAGGAAACATTCTTTAAATCTAGGACAATGCATTTTTAAGAAGCTTTATTTTACTTTGTGATTACTTCTGTTTCTGCCCAGAAGGAAACTATATATTTGTTAGCCTTAGTCTAAGTAACTGGACAAAAATAAATGAAAATTCCTGCACAAAATCAGAGCCAGGAGTATTTAGATTCATATCCTCCTCCTGACAATGACACAAAAAGGGGTTTTGTAAGCCATTTCCATGGTATCTGTTCACAATGATCAGGGACATATAACCCTCTCTCTCCATAATCCCCTATAGATCCATACTTCTTAAGTCATCTACATCTTTCATGAGACTGCTTAAAAAAACATACCATTTTAGTAATCCCAAGTGTTAAAAACAAAACAGTTCAGCATTTTTCATTCATATGTTCATATTTGCACCACAGAAAGACCCAGATTTAAACGCTGCTCTCTAAGCCTCAGGTTTCCTCATCTGTAAAAGTGCACAATAGTGTCTGTGTTGTCTAGCTCTCGGGTTGTTAAAGTTCAAATGTGAGTGAGTGTGGAAAGTATTTTGTAAACTACAAAGTTCTACTCAAATATTATTATGAGTATTGCAAAATTTTATTTGGCTATAAAAACAGAAAGAGCAAACAAACAACTTCAAGTCCTTAATAAGCATCAGAACAAATGAATTATTCTGGAGTTTAGAATTACTCTATAAAAGACTTTCATTTTCTGAGCCCCCATGATGAATATTAATCTTAGAGGATTTTTTTAAAGAATGAATTAATCAGGGAGTACAGGAACAGAGTAGAAAATGCCTCCACTGAGAGCCAAAAGGCCTGCAACTATTTAATAAAAGGAAAACTCAAACTAAATGAAAAGAAAAAGATGTTGGAGAAAGAAAAGCATAAACAAATACAAAATCTTAAATGAATAATACTACAAAAGCAAGCAAAGATGAATACTGGCTGGGCACGGTGGCTTACGCTTGTAATCCCCACACTTTGGGAGGCCGAGGTGGGCAGATCACCTGAGGTCAGGAGTTCGAGACCAGCCTGGCCAACATGGTGAAACCTCGGCTCTACTAAAAATACAAAAAAAAAAAAAAAAAAAAAAAAATTAGCCAGGCATGGTGCCTGTAATCCCAGCTACTCAGGAGGCTGAGGCAGAAGAATCACTTGAACCCGGGAGGCGGAGGTTGCAGTGAGCCAAGACCGCGCCATTATACTCCAGCCTGGGCAACAAGAATGAAACTCCATCTTAAAAAAAAAAAAAGACTCTTCTGTGTCTCTTTAGTTTGCTCTCCCTTGTTACACTGTACTGAAATGTGAAGTTTAGGTAATGCTTTGCTGTTTACCACAATGCTTTTCCCAAGTCCCAAATACGAATGCCATGCTACAAGGCCACCTCTCTAAGGTCACCTAACTAGTGAGATGGAGGAACTTCCAGCCTGCTGATGCCAAGCCCTTCACTCTCTGGCTTTCCCCATGGTTTGTCCCTCCTTTCACTTGGAGCTTGATATACCTCAGCAGAAAGGCTGTCCCTGACCATCCCTCTCTGAAACTGTACTCCACTGGCACCACTCCAGAATCTCCATACCTTTTTTTTTTAGGAGACACCACTCACTTTGTCACCCAGGATGGAGAGCGGGGGCGTGATCAAAGCTCACTCCAGCTCGATCTCCAGGGGCTCAAGTGATCCTCCCGCCTCAGCCTCCCAAGTAGCTGGGACTATACTGGCGCACTACCACGCCCAGCTAATTTTTTAACTTTTCATAGAGATGGGGGTCTCGCAACATTTCCCAGGCCATCTCGAACTCCTAAGCTCAAGCAATCCACCCACCTCGGCCTCCCAAAGTGCTGGGATTACAGATGTGAGCCACTGTGCTCGGCTCCATACCTTGGCTTTATTTTTCTTCATTGCACTGACCATTATCTGAAATATTGCATATCATTTATTTGTCTGTTTCCCTTACTAAACCATAAGTTCCATCATGATGGCAGAGACTGTTCATTGCTGTAGCCCCAGCTTCAAAAGTGTATCTATTGAATAAATGAATAAACAAATGAATAAACTGCTCTGAAGTTGGGAACTGGTTTCTCCAATTCACAGGTCCCAAAATATTGTCAACTGTCTTTTATTTTCATGTATATCCTCAATGACCACAAACACGACATGTAAAGAAACCATCAATGGCAAGGTGGGTTCCACCATTGTCTAATCTGAAACCTTTTTTACTCTGACACACATAATAAACGACATTTATGTTTGCTATATACTTCCCTGGGCATAAACTGACAAGACGGGACCAAAATTTTAAAATCAGTTGGGAGGAAAATTATCTGCCCAGTATTCACTATTAGGGCTTGCTTAGTAATAGTCACTATAGGTTGTAATAGTCACTATATAAGACAGATTTGGAGCATGACCAGTTGCCAGCACCTAGTTGTGGTGGCACTCCCCCTCCCCAGTCCCGCTATTTCTTTCCATCTCTACAAAGAATACAAGGTTATTAAAAGAAAAAAAAAAAGGGTCGCTGGGCGTGGTGGCTCACACCTATAATCCCAGCACTTTGGGAGGACAAGGCAGGCAGATCATTTGAGGCCAAGAGTTCTAGACCAGCCTGGCCAACATGGTGAAACCCCGTCTCTACTTAAAAAATACAAAAATGAGCTGGGCATGGTGGTGCGCACCTGTAGTCCCAGCTACTCTGGAGGCTGAGGCAGTAGAATCACTTGAACCCGGGAGAGGGAGGTTGCAGCAAGCCAAGATCATGCCACTGCACTCCAGCCTGGGCAACAGAGCAAGATTCTGTCTCAAAAGAAACAAAAATTAAAAATTAAAAAAAAAAAAAGAAAAAGAAGGAAGCCAAGTAAAATGAATACACTGCAATGGTAACAAAATTATAACAAGACTATGTATCGGTTTAGTCTTTTTAAATTTAATTTTCATTTCAATCTATTCAATTTATTTTGAGACAAGCTTTTGAGACTGGCTAATTTTTTTTTTATTTTTGGTAGAGATGAGGTTTCACCATGTTGCCCAGGCTGATCTCGAACGCCTGGGCTCAAGTGATCCACCTGCCTCGGCTGGTGCTGGAATTACAGGAATGAGCTACCATGTCTGGCCTGTTATGGTCTATTTTTAAAAGAAAAATATTTTACAAATTTTGGTGCCTTATTACTGGTAATGAATTATTGTCCACAAACTTCACAACTGATGGCACTGCAACAAAGGCTGAAAACTGCTTCCTGTTGTTACTAAGGTTTTTTTGTTTGCTACTTCAGAACTCTATTTGACACTTACCTAATAAAGAACTAGACTTTATTTCTTGCCACTTAACCCACTTATGCAACTGATGTCTGTCGGAACAGATCAAGTTTGCTCCTAATTAGGATAGAGATCATGCACACTCAGGATTTTCCCTCACAGCAATCTGCTTCAGATATGGTCTTCGGAAACACACTAACTCTAAAAGTAGGGATTTCCTGTGATGATCTAAATCATCTTATTTTTTTTCCAGAGCGTTATTTTGTTCCCGTCTGCATCTGCAGTAACAGTAACTGTGGTCAGGACAGCCATTCCTCTGCAGGGAGGTTCATGCCCAGCACTCCCTCAGAGCAGCCCTGGGTCTACTTCACATCCTTCGGGGTAGAACAGAACTCTGTTTACGACAAGTCTATCGCCATTTTCTCTATACTCCTGTACCCTTTTGTTTTATTCCATGGCTATTCTTGCAATTTCATCATGAATTGGACATAAGTAGACACCAAACAATTTTTTTCTAAAAGATAATTGGAGATATACTTACTATAAGACTTTACACAGGCAACACTGTCATCATAATTCTACTCTCCCTATATAGATTTTTATTGTATCACCTCCCCTGCTCATTATACTTCTCTGTGGGTAATTGGTTCTGTGAGGGAGCACTATATCATCCCCCCGAGCTCTGTGGATTAAGTATCTGTATTACTCAGGGCAAAAGGATTTATTATTGTTAATGTATGGAGATCTTGAATGTGACTGCTGTATTTTTACCTCCTTGTCACAGGATGAGGGTTCTCCATATTTTAAGTGACAGTAAGGAAGCAGGAAAATCTAATAAAATAAAAATATTCAAAAGCATCCCTACATATATCCCTAAAATACATCGCTTCTTTTTTCATTTAAAGAAATCATTTAGAAACAAAAAAAGATATAAATGACCACACAGTGGGAAAGTCCCATGATCAAAGGCTGACTCAGAAGTATAAAATAATAAAGCTTAGCCATAACGGAGTAAGACGAGAGAAGGAAAGTCTTTCTAAGAACATCAACCACAACAGTTTTTAATTGTGTGGACTTAATTGAAATGCTCACACTGTATCCTGTAGTCTAGAACTTGTTCTAATCAGGCAGGTGTGCCATTTATAAAAGTGCTGATTAAGGAAAGTGATTCTATTGGAAGGAAACAAATCTAATCCTACATACTGCATTTAACAATAGCATCTCATTTGTGTGGTGTGTGTTTTCTTGTTTTTTTTGTTTTGTTTTGTTTTGTTTTCCTGGTAGATGAAGCCTACAAATTTCTTAGGGGTGGGGCGCGGGGCTGGGGAAAGGACATTCATGAAACAATTGCTTGCCCCAGGGCCTTCAGTTTCTTATCTGGACAGGGACTTCTCTCCTCCACTTCTGCCATTAGAAACTGCAGGTATTGGATTTATCTTCTGAAGAGGGACCAAAGTCTGATTCAACACAGCTGGAAATTCAACACATGGTTACAGGAAGTCTGTTTAGGATTTACAAACTATTCTCTTTGGCAAGCATATCATGATATTAGCAATATAAACCCTACTCTGGATTTAGAAAAATGGAATTTTAAAATCAACTTACATTCAAGTGTCACAAACCTTTAGTCATTCCTTTTTAAAAAGAAAATTAACAAAGTGCCTCTCTAGTGATTCCCAACTTCAGTGCTGTAGGAACCTTCACTGGAGCAGGTCCAGACTTCAAGACTATAATTTATTTAGGGATACAAAAATCGACAAGGATGTAAATAGAAATTCTGTCTTAAAGACGGCAAGAAAAACAGTAGGAAAACCTGGGCACTAGATTCTGAAAACAATGCAAGTACTGCCATTGGTAGAAATTCTGTATTGTAATTCATCTCTATGACTTGGGAATGTTTTCCAAGTGAGGCTAGAAGCAAAATAGTAATGCATAGATTAAAGGATAGGCATAACAACAATTTACAAGAAACACAAGCAAGAGCTGATACTTAGTAGAGCTGTGTATCAGCTAGAGGCAGCTAGGAGCTTCTGCAGTTGCCCCAAGGCATTCATTTTAATTTAGATATGGTGCTACAAAACACTGCCTAGGCACACTGTGAACTGAATGTAGACATTCTTACTATTAATCCTGCCAAGAGAAACCTGCTCTAACTGCTCAGGAGACACAGGCAACTCAACTGAATGTAATTAGATCCAAACAGGAAAGTAGAATGAGGAGATGGGACATAGGTAAGTGGTTATTAACAAGCTAGAAAAGTCAGACACTAGTCACTTTCTCAATAATATTATCACCACCACCTCTGACAATGCCCTGCACTCACAGAGATTTACATGGCAGTTGAGATGTTATGTGCTATTCAATAAGTTACTAATATTTACTCAGCACCCAAAGTATGCCACGCAGAATATAATTGGTACTCCAAGTGCTTGTCCTCATAGAACCAATAAAAGTAGTGTAATTCCATTACTACACTTAATTCTCAATTGCCCTCTGGGCACACAAACCATCTGGTGTGCAGAATTTCCATGCTCCTGACTTCTTTTGTTTTCCCTGCTTTCAGACTACCTCTGACCCTTTCAATTGCAGTATTCATAAGCAGTAGGAAAAGAGGATTATGTGGATAATTACTACCTGAAGGTCAAGAGCTCTGACCTTGTTTTTTGGAGTTAATTCTGTGTAGCAGAAGACTCATTCTTAGACCCCCTTTGTGGCAGAGTTTCTAAATCTCCTTATGCTTTAGGCCAGGCACCACCCTGGGCACTTACATGAGCATTATCTTGGACAGACTCTGCTCCCTGGCACCACAGCTTCACTGTAAGGTGTGTTGGAACTGCACAAAACCAAAGCCCCTCCCTGCATACTAATACAAGCTGCAGCAAAGCCAGGAGAAGAAATACCAGGCATGACAAGGCCTTCCCCTGAGGGTGAAGATTTTAAACTTAATTTCCTAGATCTTTACTAGGGTAAACAGTAGAAAGCCTACTAAGGGTAAACAGTAGAAAGCCTACTAAGGGTAAACTGTAGGAAGAAGGAAGAAAAAGCCCATTATTTTGGTGACATTGGTAAAATTTTGCATATCTTAAATAGCTTAGTACATGGTGAGCTCTTGGAAGATCCTTGTTTGGTTTATCTTAATTACTATACATAATAAAGAATTATACACACAGTAGATGTTTGATTAATATCTGTTGAATATACGAATGTAACATTTCTCATACTTGGTACTTTCTTATCAGTTTCTAAATTACATTCTTACTTTAGCATATAAATGGTAAATAAATAATAATAGAACAGCACACGGTTATGGGGGGAAATACACATTTTAAATGTTTGCACATTTAGAACCTTCACATCTTCCCATTTACAGTTGTTGTTTTTAGTTTGTTTGTTTTTGTTTTTTCAGCCGGGAGCGGTGGCTCATCCCTATAATTCCAGTACTTTTTTGGGAGGCCAAGGCGGGCAGATCACTTGAGTTCGAGACCAGCCTGGCCAACATGGCAAAACCCCATCTCTATTAAAAATACAAAAATTAGCTGGGCGTGGTAGCACACGGCTGTAATCCCAGCTACTAGGGAGGCTGAGGCAGAACTGCTTGAACTCAGGGGGTGGAGGTTGTAGTGAGCCAAGATCGTGCCACTGAACTCCAGCCTGGGCGACACAGTAAGACTCGTCTCAAAAAAAACCAAATATAACAAACAAACAGTTTTTTTTTCAATTGTGGCAAAATATAAATAACATAAAATTTACCATTTTAACCATCTTTAAGCATACAGTTAAGTGGCACTGACTACATTCCCGTTGTTGTACAACTAAGTTGAGCCATATTTTACATACAATGAAATGTACAGTTTGATGAGCTTTAAATAAATGCATACACTGGTAACCCACACCCCTATCAAAATACAGACCACTCCATAACCCAGAAAGTTCTCTCCTGCTAGTTCCCTGCTCATACCTTTCCACTTCCCTTCCTAAGCAATCACAAATCTGATTTCTACCACCACGATTTGATTAAGTCTGTTCTGGAACTTCATTTAAGTGGACTCAGACACTATGATTTTTTTATGTAGGGCTTCTTCCACTCTCCACAATATTTTTGAGATTCACATACATTGTTGTATCTGTCAGTATTTCATTAATTTTTATCACTGAGTAGTATTTTACTGTAAATATACAAAATTTTATTTGTTCTCTCTATAATTGATTAGCATTTGTTTTAAGTTCAGGGCTAAAATTTTAAAAATCACTATGAACATTATTTTTTAGAATATGTGCTTTCATTTCTCTTGATTAAATACCTAGGAGTGGAACACCTGGGTCATTAGATGGGTATATGTTTAACTTCATTAGAAACCCCTAACTAGACTGATTAAGAAAAAGAAAATGCAAATCACCAATATCAGGAAGTAAAGTAGAGATATAACTACAGACCATTAAGACGGTAAAATAATGGGAAATATTATTAACAACTTTATGCCAATAAATTAGACAACAGAGATAAGAAATGGACTTCACTGATAGACAAAATTATCAAAACTAACCCAAGAAGAAACAGAAAATCTGAATAACCCTAAATCTACTACAGAAAATGATTCATTATTTAAAACCTCCCTAGAAGAACTACCAGGCCCAGATGACTTTAGCGGTGAATTATTTCAAAGATTTAAGAACACAATGCCAATTTTACACGATCTATTTCAGAAAATAGAGGAGGAGGAAATATTTCTCAATTGGTTTTATGAAGCCAGCATAATTCTGATACCAAAATCAGATGAAGACATTATAAGAAAAGAAAATTAAAAGTGCAGTCAATATCCTTCATGAAAATAATCTCCATTATGAAAAGTTTTACTTTAAAAAACAACTCACCTTTACTTAAGTATAATTACATTGAGGTGTAATTTATTTGCAAAAACACGCAACCTTTTAAAGTTTGGGCAGGCCGGCGGGCACAGTGGCTCATGCCTGTAATCCCAGCACTTTGGGAGGCTGAGGCGGGCGGATCACTTGAGCTCAGGAGTTGGAGACCAGCCTGATAAACATGGTGAGACCCCGTCTCTATTAAAAATACAAAAATTAGCTGGGTGTGGTGGCTGTAATCCCTCACTCAGGTGAGGCAGAAGAATCTCCCGAACCCAGGAGGCGGAGGTTGCAGTGAGCCAAGATGCACCACTGCACTCCAGCCTGGATGACAGAGTGAGACTCCGTCTCAAAAAAAAGAAAAAAACAAAAGTTTGGGCAAATGATACATCCATGTAATAATCCTAACAATTAAGACATAAATCCCTCTCATCACCCCAAAATGTTCCTTCCTGCATTCTCTTCCCTTTTCAGACCCAGGCAATCACTCATCTGCTTTCTGTCACGACAGATTAGTTTCGCCTGTTATAAAATTTCATATATGAAATCATACAATCCGTACTCTTTTATGACTTAACCTTACACTTGACATATTTTTGAGATTCATCCATGTTGTTGCATGTGTGAGTAGATTATTCCGTTTAATGTTACTCAGTGCCTCATTTTATGAATATATCTAAATTTGTTTATCCATTTACCTGTTGACAGACATCTGAGTTCTTTACAGTTTGGGGCTCTATGAATAAACTTCATATGAACATTCATGCAAGTCTTTTTTGTGTACATGTTTTCATTTATCTTGGGTAAATACCTAGGAGTGGAACTGCTAGGCATACGGTTAAGTGTAGGTTTATTTTATAAGAAACAGGCAAAGTGTTTTCCAAGGTGCTTGTGCCATTTTACACTTCCAGTTGCACTTGGTATGGTATTATCAGTGTTTTTAATTTTGGCCATTCGAGTGTATGGAAGTGTCTCATTGTGATTTTAATATGCATATCCTTTTTTTTTTTTTTTTTTTTTTTTTGAGACGGAGTCTCGCTCTGTCGCCCGGGCTGGAGTGCAGTGGCGCGATCTCGGCTCACTGCAAGCTCCGCCCCCTGGGCTCACGCCATTCTCCTGCCTCAGCTTCCCGAGTAGCTGGGAACACAGGCGCCTGCCACTACGCCCGGCTAATTTTTTGTATATTTAGTAGAGACGGGGTTTCACCGTTTTAGCCAGGATGGTCTCGATCTCTTGACCTCGTGATCCACCCGCCTTGACCTCCCAAAGTGCTGGATTACAGGCGTGAGCCACCGCGCCCGGCCTAATTTGCATATCCTTGATGACTAATGACGTTGTTCATGTGCTTAATGGCCATTCATATATCTTCTTTTGTACAGTTTCTGTTAGAATCTTTTGCCCATTACAATGGTCACTGCAATATATTGTCAGATCCTCTTTCAGTGAAAAACCTATTGTCTCAGCTAAGAATGCTATGGGAAATCAGTATTCAGCTATCACTCCCTCCAGGGATTGCCTCAAGCTGCAGAGAATCACACTGGCCAAGATATATCCTTCCTAGCATGGGCCATATCCAGTGATACAGGCCCACATTACTGAGTGATGCAGAAATAAAAAGGCACCATCAGGGCCCAACTCAGGGAAATTCCGAAGGTCCAGTCCAGCTTCAGAGCAATCTGTGAAGTCATCCAAGGCTGTTCCTGGGCCGCATCACTGCTCAACATCTCCCTCCATCCAGTGCTGCTTTGTTGCCCTCCTTCTCAAAAGCCTTAATACCAAGGGCATCCCTTACTAAATATCCCATACCTGAGCTTTATCCGTAGCTGCTTCCTGAGGAACACAACCTGTAACACCCATTGTTTAATTGGGTTGTTTGTCTTATTCAGTTGTAAGAGTTCCTTACATATACTGGATACAGGTCCTTTGTATGTATGTATATAACACATAAGATATAAGTGTTGTGAATATTTTCTCCCAGTTTGTGGCTTGCCTTTCCATTTTCCTACCAATTTCTTTTGGAAAAACTTCAGTTTCTAATTTTGATAAAGTGCCATTTATCGATTTTTCTACTTTTTGTGTTCAATCTAAGAAATTTTTATCTATCCCAAAGTTGCAATGGTTTTATCCTACATTTTCTTCTAGTTTTATAGTTTTAGTTTTTTATATGTCTATACACCATTTTTAGTATATTTTTGTGTATGAGGTGAGATAAGGGTCAAGGTTCATTTTTTTTCCCATATGTATAACCAGTTATTCCAGGATCATTTGTTGAGATTTTCTTCTTCCCACTGAACTAGTCCTTCAACTTTGTTGTTCTTTTTCAAAAAATTTTTAAACTATTTCAAATCCTTTGTCACAAATTTGTTCATCAACGTCCCAATTTTTAGGAAAAAGCTTTTTGGGATCTTTACTGGGCTTGTTTTGACTCTATAAATCAGTTTGGGAAGTACTAACATTGTAACATTATCAGTCTTCTATGAACATGGGACACTTCTCCATTTACTTAGGGCTGCCTTAATTTCTTTCAATAATGCTTTACAGTTTTTGGGGTACAGGCTTTGCCTATATTTTGTCTAACTTTATCTGTATATATTTTCATAGTATTTGATGCTATTGTAAATGTTATTTCAGGTTCTGAATCTTCATTGCTACCATATAGAAATGCAACTTTAAAAATAATCATTTTGTATCCTAGGACCCTGCTAAATCCTCTCTAGTTTTAGCAGCTGTCTTAAAGATTCCTTAGGATTTTTGATATAGATGACCATATGGTCTAAAACTAGAGACACTATTAGTTCTTCCTCTCAATCTGCATGCTGTAAGACATAGTATTAGTATTATCATTAATACTTAATACTGTAAGAGACATTATTATTCTTCCTCCCAAACTTTCATTTCTTTTTCATACCTTGTTACACTGGCTAGAAACTCCAGTACAATGCTGAATAGAAATGATGAAAGGGGGATATTCTTGTCTTATTTCTGACCTTAGGAAGAAAGTATTTAGTCTTTCACTGTTAATAATGACATTAGCTATGGCTTTTTTTTTTTTTTTTTTTTTTTTTTTGCGATGGAGTTTCGCTCTTGTTGCCTAGGCTGGAGTGCAATGGCACGATCTCGGCTCACTGCAACCTCCACCTCCCGGGTTCAAGCGATTCTCCTGAATCGGCCTCCCGAGTAGCTGGGATTACAGGCTTGTGCCACCATGCCCAGCTAATTTTGTACTTTTAGTAGCGATAGGGTTTCTCCATTTTGGTCAGGCTGGTCTCGAACTCCTGACCTCAGGTGATCTGCTTGCCTCCGCCTCCCAAAGTGCTGGGATTACAAGTATGAGCCACCATGCCCAGCCAGATATGGCTTTTTATAAATGTCTTTTATCAGGTTGACAAAAGTTTCTTCTATTCCTAGTTTGCTAAGAGTTTATATCATTAATGGATTTTTAGCTTTGTTGATTGTTTTTCCTTATCTTAATAAGATGATCATATATTTGCTTCATGTCACAATATTAAATCAACTGTATTTCTGGATAAACCCTTTTCTAGGTAAAACTCAAAATGTATTATCCTTTTTATATATTTCTGGATTAATTTGCTAATTAAAAAAATCTGTGTTTATGTTCATGAGGAATGTTCCATAGTTTCCTTTTCTTGCAAAGTCTTTGTTTCGTTTTTATTTTATTTCTTGAGACAAAATCTCACTCTGTCGCCGAGGCCAGAGTGCACTGGCATGGTCTCAGCTCACTGCAACCTCCGCCTCCCAGGTTCAAGTGATTCTCTTGCCTCAGCCTCCTGAGTAGCTGGGATTACAGGCACCTGACACCATGCCTGGCTAATTTTTGTATTTTTAGTAGAGATGGGGTTTCGCCATGTTGGCCAGGCTGGTCTTGAACTCTTGAACTCCTGACCTCAAGTGATCTGCCCGCCTCGGCCTCCCAAAGTGCTGGGATTACAGCCGTGGCACCCGGCCAGTTTTTGGCTAGTTTTAGTATGAAAGCAAAGCCAATCTCATAAAGTGAAATGGGATGTGTTCCCTCCTCTTCTATTTTCTGAAAGAATTTAACATTTGTATTGTTAAAGATTTGATAGATTTCATCACTATTATGTTGTCAGTTGTCTGAGTCTGGAGTTTTCTTTGTAGCTAAGTTTTAAATTATGAACCGAATTTCTTTGCTCGCTATAGACCTATTCAGATTGTGCATGTGTGCATGCATGTGTGTGTGTTTGTGTGTTGGTGGTAATTTGGGCTTTCCACAAATTCTGATTTCATCTCAGTTACCCAATTTTTTAGCATAAACTTGCTCATAATATTCCTTTATTATCCTTATTATGTCTTCAATGCTATCTCCTCTCCCATTCCTGTTACTGATAATTTGTCTTTTTCTTTTTCATTAGTCTAGCTACAGATTTCTAAATTTTATTGATGTTTCAAAGGACCAACTCTTGATTTCTCCTATTTACTTGTAATGTTATTGGCAGAAAATGTTGGTTCTAACATAGACATCTTATTTGGTATCATCTCTGTCATTACCATTATTATTCTAATTCAATAGAGAGAACCATGTGACTATTCAGAATAACATTCCCTTTTCCTTGGATGTAGAGGATCTGCTCATTCAGCCTGGTGATATGCCACATGCACATCACTCCTGGGATCTGGGGGTGCGGGTGCACAGATAACAGCTGGCATTTTAGTAGAAGAAGATTCCTACCAAGAATTGCTCTCCAGACAGTGCTTTTTAACCAGGTGCGAAGAATCTTAACCTGATTCTGATGAATTACCCATGGATCTTCTAAAAAAAATGCACATGCCTAAGTCTCACCCACAGACTTTGACTCAATAGGTCTGGGATTAACTTAGGAATCTTAATTTGTAACCAATCTTCAAGAATTCTGATGGTACCCCAACTTTGGAATCACAGCTCTGAATCATCAGAACACTGGACAGTTTATGCTAAGAAGAGTCTAAGGAGTTGGAGAGAAAATACAGAGCAGTGAGGCGACCAAGAATTTGTTGCCTACCACCTAATTTAGGGACTCAAAGGCATAAATGAGCTTAGGTACATAAACATGTTTTAAAAATGGGGGAAAGGCTGGGTGCAGTGGTGCACACCTGTAGTCCTAGCTATGGATAGACTGAGGTGGGAGGATTGCTTGAAGCCCAGAATTTTGAAGTTACAATGAGCTGACTGCATAACTGCACTCCAGCCTGGGCGACAGAGCAAGAACTTCTCTTTAAAGAAAGAAAAAAAAAAAAAACAAAGGCCGGGCACGGTGACTCACGCCTGTAATCCCAACACTCTGGGAGGCTGAGGCGGGCGAATCACGAGGTCAAGAGTTCAAGACCAGGCGGACCAACATGGTGAAACCCCATCTCTACTAAAAATACAAAAATTAGCCCAGCATGGTGGCACGTGCCTGTAGTCCCAGCTACTCAGGAGGCTGAGGCAGGCGAATCACTTGAACCCAGGAGGTGGAGGTTGCAGTGAGCTGAGATGGCACCACTGTACTCCAGCCTGGGCAACAGAGCGAGACTCTGTCTCAAAAAAAAAAAAAAAGGGGAAAAATATGTAAGTGTAATTACGAGTACATATAGCTTTAAACTCCTCAATGTGAGCACTATTTTGTTGATTTTAATGTATACATACACATGGTTTTCTTAAAAAATTCCACACAGTACAAAGACATTTTAATAGAAAGTAAGTGTCCCTCACATTTGAAGGTCTAACACCTTCAAATCCTGTCTCCAAAGGTAGTTATTGTAACCAGATTCATTAAGACACTTTCATTAATAGCCCCGACACACACACACAAATAACACCTTAAAAAAAGAAGTTGCAGCAGTCTCAACTTCTCAACCCAGTCCCAGTCTCATCCTAATTAATATTGATGTTATTACTACTCATTTGTTTCTACATAAAAATGTACACATGTACACTTCCATGTGCAAATACATCTATAGGATAAACTCTTACAAGTGAAATTGCTGGGTAACGGAAACAGGCATTTTAAATTGCGACAGGTTGTATCACTGCACACTTCCAACATATTTTATCAAATTTCTTCCCTTTGCCAATTTAGTTGTTTAAAATCATACCATAAACTTGTTTCTCAAATCAACTTTAAAAAATAGACTCCAGCTGGGCACAGTGGCTCACGCCTGTAATCCCAGCACTTTGGGAGGCCGAGGCGGGCGAATCACAAGGTCAGAAGTTTGAGACCAGCCTGGCCAATATGGTGAGACCCCGTCTCTACTAAAAATACAAAAATTAGCCGGTCGTGGTGGCGCACACCTATAGTCCCAGCTACTTGGGAGGCAGAGGCAGAAGAATCATTGGAACCCAGGAGGCAGAGGTTGCAGTGAGCCAAGATTGTGCCACTGCACTCCAGCCTGGGCAACAGAGACTCCATCTCAAAAAACAAATAAACAACAACAACAAAAAAACAGACTCCAAGGTCATATTTTAAGTCAAAAAGGGGTAATTTTCCTTAGCCCCTAGTATGTGATAATACAAATAAAGCTGTACCTCCACAAGCACCCATAATTCATAGTTAATATCAAAGATTAGTGTTCCCATACATCCTCACAGCCTTTACATTGGAAGAATCAACTCAAACAGCAGTAGAAGCACTACCAAACAGGCAGAGAGTAGTAAACCAAACTCTGCTCTCCTATCCAGTGATCTTGCAGGATCAGCATAGGAAGCACACCATCTTCACACTAAAAAGATAACTAAAGCATGAATACAAGGGGACTGGTGTGTGTGTGTGTGTGTGTGTGTGTGTTAAGAAAATAAAGGGGCTGGGCACGGCAGCTCACACCTGTAATCCCAACACTCTGGGAGGTCGAGGTGAGCAGATCACCTGAGGTCAGGAGTTCGAGACCAGCCTGGCCAACATGGTGAAACCCTGTCTCTACTAAAATTACAAAAATTAGCCAGGTATAGAGGCGGGCACCTGTAATCTCAGCTACTCAGGAGGCTGAGGCACGAGAATTGCTTGAACCCAGGAGGCAGAGGTTGCAGTGAGCCGAGATTGTGCCATTGCACTCCAGCCTGTGTGACAGAGTGAGACTCTGTCTCACAAAAAAAGAGAAAATAAAGGGTGCATAATTTATCTGAGACCATGAGTTAACAGGAAACTCTCCATGTATGTTTGACAGATCATTGGAAATTACAAGGGCATGGAAATTTTTTACCAGCCCATAAAATTTCAGTATTCCTTTCCATATTCAGTGTCACAACAAAGAATAATCTAAAGACTCAAAGAATAATCAGTAAGCATAGACCCATCTATACAGGTAAAATATCAGTATTGTCAGGCATGGTTTTTCTTCCTCTCTCCCTTCTTTCTTCTCTTTTTCCACTTCATCTTCTCTTCTTTCCAATTACCTGCCCTATCTACTTTGAGGGCCTGGTTCACATGATACTGCTGGTAGTCTATGTAGGGAGCCATCCCTAAATCATTAAGATGATTTGGGGGATAGCTGGGGGGTGGGGAGGATGGTGTAGATCAGTGCTTCTTAAACTTTAATATGCAAACAGAACATCTTTTAACGTCCTGTTAAAATGCAGATTCTGATACAGTGGTTCTAGGATGGGGCCAAAATCCTGCATTTCAAACAAGCTCCCAGGTTAGATTGATGTTGCTGACCTGCGGTCCACATTTTTGAATGGTAAGAATACAGGTCATTTAAAAACAACAACGACAACAACAACAACGAAACAGCCAGGTGAGGCGGCTCATGTCTATAATTCCAGCACTCTGGGAGGCTGAGGAGGGAGGATGGCTTGAGCCCAGGAGTTTGAAGTTACAGTGAGCTATGATCTTGCCAAAACAACTCATATTCAACTCTGGGGTATGTTTGGGGTATGTTTTACCATTTCGATATGAGGATTCACCAAAGAGTTAAACCCTATAGTGAAAGCCCTGGAGGAGGAACTGGAATAATAGTAATTGTAGTGGTTGCTGGTGACAGCAATTGCAGTAGTTAGTAGTAGTTATCATAGCAGTAATAGCAGAAGCAGCGACAGCAATAATTTAAGAGCAAAAGCAAACATTTAAGAGCACTTACTATGAACAGATATTCTGGTAAGCATTTAGTTAATGATTAAAATGCAAGAAGAGAGGTAACATTATCTCCATTTACACATGAGAAACTGAAGTTAACTTTCCCAGGGTAGTCAGGCTTTAGAACCATTGCATTACCCTGTCTCTAGTTATCTATCAAGTTCACCATCACTGTAATATTAGTAATGGAGGTCATAATTTCTCAAGCTGACACACAGGAGGAGGCAATTATTTAAAGACCTTCTTTTTCTCATTCCTGTAAAGTCCAGCTTGGATAAATAAATAGATCATTATAACTTATCAGTTTAGGTCAAGGTCAAGAAGATTTTAAATTAATATTTGACAATACAGTGCAGACAGTCTAGCTTTGGGTAATGAAGGCTGGCTGTGCTTTCAGAGACTATTATGATGATGATGTTGTTTTAAACCTCTTGGCTTTATTTGTTAACTAAGGTGTGAGAGTGGAACAGCTTGCTTTTAAAGTTATCCTAAGATTAACTTTGGTTACAATATGAATTCCAGCATATTTGGCTCCGAAGCTACATTTTACGCTTTTTAGAGATTAAGCTAAACATACAATTCTCAGTCAAAAAGCCCTGTGGAGTAACCCGATCTGAGCAGGGGCACTTTAACTCACTGCCAAATAAAAAGCATGATCGCCTTATTCCACACACACAAATACCATTCTTGGATAGGCCAATTAATCATGAATATAACTTTTCAGACATTACATAATTTCACATAGACTTGCTTCTAATGCTTGCCAAAGAAAACATCAATTTCTATCACTAGGAATAAATGTACACTTCAAAAGGAATGAAAGTTACAAACATGAAACAGTGAAACTCTGGCCACCCTTCTCATGCCATCCTCCTTCATAACTTCTCTAATAATTTTATTATACAAAACTGGCATTAATAAACAACCTAAAATGACATAAGTTGTAAAAGTGCATAAACAAAATAAAAATCGAGAAATCCAATTAAGTTTTATACCCATGGAAGTGGCAACCTCTAAGATACAGTAGAAAAATAAGGTCATATACACACCGCACACTCCTGGATGCTCCAATATTACACACATACACACAAAAACCACACATTGATATATTAAATCACCATTATTTTTTAAAGATTCAATTTTCCTATCTAAAATTATTTGTTTTCTAAATAAACATCTCACTCATCCCTGGTCAATTAGGAATAAATGATTAATTTGAAAGTAATCTACCAGTATCTACAATCAACATTTTCAAATATAAATAATCAACATAAACCTGGGAATAGTATATTATTTTTTAAAAATACCTGTTGGCCCAGGATTCCCTTCAGCATGTTTTACAAAATTTCTTTTTTTTTTTTTTTGAGATGGAGTCTTACTCTGTCTGCCAGGCTGGAGTGCAGTGGCGCAGTCTTGGCTCACTGCAACCTCTGCCTCCTGGGTTCAAGTGATTCTCCTGCCTCAGCCTCCCGAGTAGCTGGGATTACAGGCGCCTGCCACCATGCCCGGCTAATTTTTTTGTATTTTTGGTAGAGACAGGGTTTCACCATGTTGGCCAGGCTGGTCTCAAACTCCTGACCTCATGATTCGCCTGCCTTGGCCTCCCAAAGTGCTGGGATTACAGGGAAGAGCCACCGCACCCGGCCCAAAATTTCTTAACAGATTATTTACAAGCAACAAAACTTGGAAAACAAAAGCAACAAATCATCTTCATGCTAAATAATGGCTGTACTAAAGATAGATTTTAAAGGAGGTATGCATAAACTCACTACAGATTTATCTGAATAATCCTCTTCTACAAACATTTTTAGGGTGTTCTTCACACTATCCTTTTAAAAACAAAATTACTTCCTCACACTATCCTTTTAAAAAAAATTATTTTCTATTTACTTAAAACTGAGTAGATAAGTGACTACTTTTGAAACTTTCCTAAGGAAAATCTCTCACCCTAATCATCATCACTCAAAAGCATGCAAGTGTCCATACATACACATGGCGCTCTATGCTTTTAAACAAAGACCAAGCCATTCATGCCAGATCTTTCATAGGTGTGTAGAAACAACTGGTACAGTGCTTCTCCTCCCTTGTTTAAACTCTTGCCTCACCAGCCAGGATTTTGTTCAATTTTACTTGGTATGTTTTGCATTTAAAAAGATGTATTTTTGGCCAGGCTCTGTGGCTCATGCCTGTAATCCCAGCAGTTTGGGAGGCTGAGGCAGGAGGACTGCTTGAAGCCAGGAGTTCAAGACCAGCCTGAGCAACAACATAGCAAGATCTCGTCTCAACAAAAAGTTTTACAAATTAGTCAGGCATGGTGGCGCATGCCATTGCACTCTGGTCTGGGCATCATAGCGAGACTCTGTCTCAAAAAAAAAATGAAAAAAAAAGATATATTGTTTTCATTTTCTAAAAAAGATATAATTCTAAATACTTTTCCAAATTATGTAGCTATATATGAGTACACAGATGTGTGTATATATATATATGTGTGTGTATGTAAATGTATGTACATATGTATAATATCGGGTGTGCTCTTCATTCTCTCCAATTAATAAATAACAGTAAATGTTTATTGCATGTTTACTACATGCCATGTACTGTGTTAAGTGCTTAAATTATTTCAACAATCCTGTGAGGTCAGTGTTACGCTCGAGTCTTGCTGAGGCACAGAAATTGTGCAGCACAGAAATTGTTCAATAATGGGCCCAAAGAGAATAGCTGCAAGTGACAGAGCTCAGAATCCAACTCAGGCAGTTCATCTCAGAACCTGCTTTCTTCACCCCTGTGTGGATCTCTAAATTAGAAACAGTAACCAGGACAGGGAAGGGATTCTGTCAGTAGATATAAGTCAAGAGCAAGGGTCATTTTGGAAGTGGGAAGCAGAGGTGAGTATAATTGGGGTGGATGTTAGAGGAAGAAGCTATGGGAGGTCTATTATTGTCAGACCTGAATGAAGAAGAGCCCATCAGCAACTCTCTAGTTAATTCAAAAAGACTTTTAGGGAAGACGGGATTTCAAGAGTTACTTGGAACAGAAGGAAAAAAAGAGAACAGAGTCTAAGAAAACGATAGCTCTTGAGAAAAGGCTCAAGGAAGAAGGTGCTGCCTAGAGGAACTGAAAATGAATGAATGGAGGGAGAAGACTGGAGACCCACGCAGCAGATGAGGGAAATGAGACTCCAGAGCCTGCTGGTGATCGATTCTGATGTGTGGCGTGAACAGCCAGAGTAGATGCAAAAGGAAATGAGAAGCCACTGTAAAGATTTAAAGGATGCAGCCGGCATGGTCAGTCAGGAAGTTCACACGGCCCATTCTAGGAATTTGGAAGAGAAGGCAAGGAAAGGAGAAAGACAAGCCTAGAAGGTGCTGAGTTTAGTGGATTTTATGAAGACTGGTCAATGTCTGTATGTTGAGAGAAAAAAAGTCATCCAGAAATTGTTCTAAATTCAATAAAGTTTTCAGAAAAAAATTGCCAAGGCAGAAAACTTGGTAGTGACTCATTCTAATAGTACAGCTAATTGCTTAGCAATTACTGGCCATGATTATAACAGGGATTGTAGGCTTTTTTTTTTTTTTTTTTTGGAGACGGAGTCTTGCCCTGTTGCCCAGGCTGGAGTGCAATGGTGCGATCTCGGCTCACTGCAACCTCCGCCTCCCAGGTTCAAGCGATTCTCCTGCCTCAGCCTGCCAAGTAGCTGGGATTATAGGTACCTGCCACCACGCCCAGCTAATTTTTCTATTTTTTGTAGAGACAGGGTTTCATCATGCTGGCCAGGCTGGTCTCAAACTCTTCAACTCAGGCGATCTGCCCGCCTCGGCCTCCCAAAGTGCTAGGATTACAGGCATAAGCCACCGCACCCGGCCAATTGTAGGCATTTTTAAACTCTTACTCTGTGAGGATGTATGTCTCAATCCCTTGAAATTTTTATTAGTACTTAGGTGTGCTCTCAGCAAAGTTGTCTACCTATGTCACCAGAATAAAGACAATTTTTCAAAGAAAATTGTTGTGTTTTCTCCTCCATTAAGCCATTGTTATCCTCAGCGAAGATGTATATATGAATAATTTATACTCACCTGGAATGGCTAACATATGAGCATATTGTTCCAAAGATACAGCTAGTTTTCTTAACGGCCAGATCACAGAAATTCCTAACAGCCTTTCTCACTTAAAGGGATAAAATACAAACACTTATTGGGGGAAAACAACTTTAGTAGTTTATTGATTTAGCTTTAGGAGTATTTCACAGCTGACTCCTTTTTAACAGCATACAACCAGGGGCATGTGTCTAATCAATACTGAACATCTATCTTGCAGTTGGGGCTCATGAATTAATCAACATCTACTCAAACTCAAAACCCATCAGGCAAAAATCAACGGTGACCTACATCTCTTCGAACACCACAGAACCACCCAAACAATGTTACTGTTTAAAATGATAACAAACTCAAAACCCTAACTGCACCAAAACTGGTAGTCTCTACTCATGAGTTACTTATGTCTAGGCTATCTCTTTTTTCCAAGGAACTAATAGCAGGCACTAAGGTTCTCATAACATTTCCTACATGGCTATACTAACCTCATCATACATAATGCTACAAAAGTTTAGAGAGGGCAGGAGACTACCTCAAGGACATGCAGCAACCTAGGGGGTTGTGGGGAATCTGGCTCTCTCCACTCTATTCAATGGTGGATGATTAGGCCAAGTGACCTGTTTCCTGATCAGCATGTGAAACAACACAGGAAAAAATGGTGTGTATGCAGAAAGTCTTTCCTTGTGAGCTCAAATTGTATAAAGAAGGTTTTATTTCTAATTATGGTCATATAATTACAGACACTTTAAGGAGAAGAGCCTGTTTGTTCTCCCTGGTGTAAGCAACTCACTGATTCAGGCTCTTTTGAAGCCAGCAGCCAAGTGGCAGTGGCACGGATCCAGGAGTTCCTGGAGGAGAACAGATGGACAGCTATCCCAAAAAAGAGCTCCCTGATGTCACCCAGCAATGAGATGTGAGAGCTCATAAATATACCATCCTCATTCAGGTGGTACATGTATAAAATAAAAGGGTTCACAGCGTAAGTCGATATTTTTCTCACTGGGTAGCAGATGATACCATGCTTGGCCCCCCATTCCCTCATTTTCTAATGAGGCCCTCCCAAGACTTCCCATTTAGCAGAAATCTGCTCCATCTAATGATTACTTTTTTAGTTTTCCATTTAGTTTAAGGGAAAATTCCTATTTCATCTATGTTTTCAGAACTTGTTACAAAAATTTTCTGAAAGGTTACTGATCCACCAGGCATGGGGTAAAGGAGTCAAGGCTGCAGAATCTGGAATCAGACTCACTGAGTTTGATTCCTGTCTCTACTTTCCTAGCTCTATCATTTTCTGGTCGTGTGATCTTGGCCAAGTATCTGACTCCTCTAAGTTTTAGTTTCTACATCTGTGAAATGGGGATAACTATAGTTGTTGTGGGAATTACATGAGGTGACATATATAAAGTGCTTAAGACAGTGTACGGTGCATGTTAATTGCTCAAAAGATGTTAGCAGCTATGAGTCGTTACTGTACTTGATGTAGATATTTTGGCCAATCAACATTTTTTGAGCGCCCACTACTTACTTCAACTGGACAAGAGCACAGACTCTCTATCCATTATGCCATAAAAGATTCAAAGAATGAGAATGTGAGACCCAAGCCTTGGAGGGTTTACAAATCACATGGGGAGAGAACACACATATACATTCAAGAACATGCTTTCAGCCGGGCGTGGTGGCTCACGCCTGTAATCCCAGCACTTTGGGAGGCCAACACAGGAGGATTACTTGAGATCGGGAGTTTGAGACCAGCCTGGCCAACATGGCAAAACTCTGTCTCTACTAAAAATACAAAAATTAGCCAGGCGTGGTGGCATGCGCCTGTAATCCCAGCTACTCGGGGAGGCTGAGGTAGAAGAATCGCTTGAACCCAGGAGGCGGAGGTTGCAGTGAGCCAAGCTTGAGCCACTGCACTCCAGCCTGAGCAACAGAATCCCGCAAACACACATTTCTTGCTTTCTTCAATAGTATACTCTATGGAAGGCTGGCAAATCATATTCTAAAAGGCCAGATCTTCCATCCCTTTTAAAAGAAAGGTATGGTAAACAGCTTTAAAAATTAACCATCTCAAGAATTTCATTATTTTCTAATGTAAGTTCACATGGCTAAAGAAATACTTGAACACTTATTATATGAGTGGCAGCATATTTAATACTAAAATTCAGGTTTTTGAAGTTTTATTTCATTAAAGCTATATAGATGGATCAAAAATCATCAATAGAAGGGTAAAAGCTGGGTATAGTCCATCCACAGGGCTTCTCTAAGGAGGTGAGTCTTGAAGGGAATTTTAACACGGAGACTGACAGAGATTTCAGTCAGTTCAGAAACAAACTGCAGAGGAAAAGGCAGTAGACACGGGTGGAAAGGGGAGGGGTGATGGCTGTGATGAAAATACAGGGGACTTGAGCAAAGATTCACCCAGGGACAGGAGAGGAAAGGAGGCCTTTCAGTTGGAGACAAGCCTCAGACAAGGAAAACAAAGCCCTCTTCACTGACCGCCCCTACCAGCCTCACCAGCCCAGAGCTCTTTACTTCCCCACAAAATCCTCAACACTAGTGGCAAATAAGCTATTGTCTAGGGCACCCAGGCACTTCTGCTTCCATCTGTTGAGTTCTGTGCTTAATTGCGCTTGTTCTCAAACCTGTTTGTGTCAGTTATGCCTGTTACTATAATCAAGAACCTTAATTAAATATTGTTATCCAACATCCAATAAGCTATGTGCACAAAAAAAGACTTGCAGTCTCTATGGACACGTAGCTGAATGCTTTTAGATGGATTTGATTAACAGTGAAAAAAACTGTAAAAGGTCGAGGGGGAAATTACAATCTAGAAGAACTCTACATTCAGATTCTTCACAAATGCCTTTAAAGAAACTGAGACTGAAAATTATTGAGAAAAAAGATGGAAACTCCAACCCATGCTCAAAGAAAAGCCTGGAACCTCCATCAAACAAGTGGCAAATACACATACATGATATATTTCAAAAGTTAAAATATTAATAAATATTTAACACATACAGAGAGTGGATGCACATTTTTATTCCCTGCTTTTAACCAACTTTCTTGACTAACCAATCAATTCCTGTCACATCAAATAAAAGAACTAAAATGAAATCATTTTCTTTCATTATTACAAAAAACTACCTGCATACAGGTGGAAAGATTTCTACTCAAATACATACATATTTAAATCTGTACTTACTATGTTTCATTTCAGCTAAGTCTATGTGAGTCAAAATCACAGGTAAGTTAAATACAATTCTTGTTAAATATTTTGCCCACAAAACTCCAATCTGAACACTGAATTTAAACAGATATTTGCATTGGGTACACCCAACTTTAATACGTTGTCTTCATTTTCTCTAGACCAAAATAAATATATCTGGTACAAAAGAGGTCTGGTCTAGATAGGTATTAAGTATTTTCAAAGTATGTTAAAATAATAAAAAAAGAGGCTGGGCACAGTGGCTCACAGCTATAATCCCAACACTCTGGGAGGCCGAAGTGGGTGGATTACCTGAGGCCAGGAGTTCGGGACCAGCCTGACCAACATGGTGAAACCCCATCTCTACTAAAAATACAAAAAAAATTAGCCAGGTATGGCGGCAGGTGCCTGTAATCCCAGCTACTCTGGAGGCTGAGGCAGGAGAATCGCTTGAACCCAGGAGGTAGAGGTTGAGGTGAGCCGAGATTATGCCACTGTACTCCAGCCTGGGCAACAGCTTGAGACTAAGCCTCAAAAAAAAAAAAAAAAGGAAAAATAATATAAGGATAATTTAGTCTGTGAAAAGCAATCATTTTTCAAATAATATAATTTGCCTCTGACTGATTTTAAGACCTAAATAATATTACCATAAAGAATGGTGGCTATCACCTACTTGTGCTCACTTTCCTTGAATGGCTTGAAAACACAAGTAAGAATTAAACCTAGAATGTAGTAATAAATAATTACTTGGTATAAATTCTTTTGAATACACACTGCTTATATATGTGAAACTAGCAGCCCGTTAGAAGCCATATATATTTTCCCATTAATTAACCACAGCAAGTTATTAATCATAATTGCAAACAATTTGCCCAACTGATGGTTCCTTGGTTTTTTTTGACATGACCATTTTACAGATAATTAGACTACAGAACCACTAAATAAGGATTGTGTCTTGGACTATGTCCTGTATATGATGATAAATAATACACTGGTGGCATTCGGTCAATGTATGACTAATACTGCCATTCGTTTATTTTTTAAATACTTTATGTTCACTGAAAAATATTTATCACAAGATTTCACTGTACGCAAGAGCATCTGTAATACAGGGTAGAAACGGAATGTTTTCAAAACAGAGCACCTGGAAACATTAGCCAGAACTCAGGCGGCCAGTATTTTGGGATTTTTTTGGCAGGCACATAAATAAATCAGACATTCTGATTAGAAAATGAAACTCCCAGCTCTAGGTAGAAAAAACTAATTTCATTCAAGATAAATAGTTACTTTCAAATTCATTAAAGAGGAAAAGAATCTTGGTGGAGACAGGCATAAATCCTGGAAGCTATGTCAGATATAAGCAATGAGGCCCAAACCACTACCACGCAGTCTTATGTAGCACTTCCCAGTACAAAGCCCAAAAAGCTTTGCGTACTTTTATCTAATTAATTATAAATCACTAAACAAATCTTGACCATGGTGAGAATGCTACTTGGACAGAAACAGTCTGAACATTTTGAGCTCTAAATTCTACCACATAACCAAAGAGAAAAATATTCAGCAAGAGAAAACAAAGGTTCTTGGCTAAAACCTCAACTCACCATCTTGTACTTATCAAAGTCATTGTAGGCATTATTTCAGGGTTACTTTACTGTTGTCTAAAAACTAAAAAATGTACATGCCTCAGACCAAGGTCAGTGCTCAATAAATACTTGCTGATTTGATGTCTTAATTTTTCAAGAAAAGGGTTATAAAACCTTTAAAGTCTTAAAAACTACGTATAAAAACTAAATATTTCTTTCTCCAAAAAGTTCATATGACAAATGACATAAGTGAGCTAAGAATTTTAAGACACAGACTAAAAACCAGGCCCCCCACCAGTGATTAAGCCAGTGATTCAAATTGTTCTTCCTGATGAAATAGAAAATATTATAAATATTTATTCTGTAGTAGTGGAGTTCACTAAATATTATTTATTTTTCATCTCCCTTCCTGCACTCATCACGCTTATAACTAAAATCACATACTATTACACTTGATTACCACCCAAAATATCTAGCATTCTCTGTTTCACATGCATAAATCTTATCCATCCAATCATACTGCTAGTTTCTTGAGAGAGGGGACTGAATCTTGCACCTTTATACTCTCTTCAGGGCCTTAGTGTACCATCAGGATATAAGAGACTTTCAAAAAATTACTTAGCTATCAAGTAAGTGATAATTTTAACCAGAGAAAGAAAAAGTTAACTCCTGCTTCTGGCACAGTCAAACAATGGATACTTACTTTACTCAAATATCCTAATTTATAGAGTTGGATTAACAATTTCAAGAATTTTGAGCAGAGTAAAAAATGTTATATTACAGCTATACAAAATGAAATTTACTTTTCCCTGAGTTTTGCATTGTAGACTGATTATTATTACCCTTAATGAAATAGAGGATTGACTTAAAATAAATTTTCAAACAATAATATGCCAGGTAGACCATTTCTTTTTCCTGGAGCACTTTTTGTTGATGAGTTCAGATGTCTGACTCATGATCTGGTTTGGCTTACATAAGCCTGTGGAGTATTCTCTTGCGAGTTTAGGGCAGCTCAGAGGGTCTTCTCTATCCAGAAGCACTGGAGAGTCACACATGAGTACTTGGTCTGAATACTTCCTAGGCTGGAGGAGATAGGGTTCAAGGGCAAGGATCACTGAGGAAATTGCCAGTTTCCTGACCCTACTGCAGCGGTGGTGGATGCTTATAAACAAAGGCAACTGGGTAGGAAATACACCATCCATTCCAAGCTAGCATGAGAGAGAAACCTGAGGAAGCGTGAGGGGTGAGGGAGATGGGGTACTGAGATAGCCCAGAGCCCTTTGAGGCTGCCCCATTTCCCACAATCAATAACCTAGCCCTTCACTACTTGCTGAGATTCTGAATCAGAAAGGATTTTAAATTATCTGGCTTTCAAACAGGAGATTTTCAATTTCCCCAACAAGCCTGTCAGAACCAAAAAAAAAAAAAAAAAAAAGGTTTCTTGCAGCAGGCTCTGGTTGGCCAAGCAGAGGCACCTCCTGCTGGGCCGATGGCTCCCCAGTTCAGATCTCCTGATCATTCAGGCTCTCCCGAGAGGTTCTTTATACCCACAGAAACAGTGAGGCCCCAATCTGCAGGGATCTGCTTTAGGCAGTCCCTTGCCAGTCAAAAGATATGACTCCTAATTCATTACTATACTATGGGAGCAAAGGGAGGGGTTTGAAGTAATGCACAGAAGTCTGAATAGGGCCTTTGTC
The DNA here is from genome assembly GCF_000001405.40 of Homo sapiens. Classification (NCBI taxonomy): domain Eukaryota; kingdom Metazoa; phylum Chordata; class Mammalia; order Primates; family Hominidae; genus Homo; species Homo sapiens. The sequence goes on along the minus strand of NC_000010.11, from coordinate 74,927,190 downwards.
AAGCACCTGTGCTAGGCCAACACACTAACTGATAGAGAACTGTTCATTACATCAACATCTAGGTCAAACCCAGAACAATGACATCCTCAGTGAGATTTTGTGATAATATTTCTGGACTGTGTATTACAAGGAACTATAGTGGTGCAGTAATAATAATGTTGATTGTGATGATCAACATTGTGATGATTCCACTGCCTCCCTTTATTGAATACGCTTAACTCTTACATCATTATTACATTTGATCCTTATGACCCTGTGAGAAAAGGAAGAAAAAACATCCGAAAATGAAGGATTGACACAGAGCTGACTTGATTGGAGGTCACTCCTTCAGCTGTTTCCTGGGAAAGCCAGAATAGGTCTCAAGAGTGTACTGAAGAAGGAACTTATTAAATGGATACATTCACTCATTAACAAAACCTCTGTCCCATGCCTCCACGTGAAGTGGTAGATCAAACTCTAGGGTTTCACAGACGTAATTTGGTCCTTGCCCTTAAAGAAGTTCTGAGATTACATGGAGGGAACAAGGTGGCATTTAGACTGGTCTTAAAGGGTAGGTGTGTCTTGCTAGTAACGACAACTACAACATGCCCAACATGTGCAGAGGCATGGGCCCAAGAAAGGACCTCCGTCAGGTTATTTAAAATGATTCAACACATACATAAAATAAGTGATCTGCATTTTCTCCTGTAGGCAATATGGATACAGTGGTGTTATTTTTGTTGTCGTTGTTGTTTTTTGAGACAGAGTCTCAGTCTGTTGCCCAGGCTGGAGTGCAGTGGTGCAATCTCGACTCACTGCAACCTAGGCCTCCAGGGTTCAAGTGATTATCCTGCCTCAGCCTCCCAAGTAGCTGGGATTACAGGCGTGTGCCACCACACCCAGCTAATTTTTGTATTTTTAGTAGAGACGGGGTTTTGCCATGTTGGCCAAGCTGGTCTTGAACTCCTGACCTCAGGTGATCTGCCCGCCTCGGCTTCCCAAAGTGCTAGGATTATAGGCGTGAGCCACTGTGCCCGGCTGGATACAATGGTGTTTTTATTAAAATAATAACATATCCCATTTTTGACTAGTCTAAAATATCAAGTGTTTAATTTCAAAGTCAAATTCAACAATTATAGAGGATTCACAATACACATATGAGGTCTATGCATTTATGTAGGTAGGGGACAGTCACTGTTCCTGTGCATATTGGCACTGTACTGCGCAGTTATCTGTATCTTGTTTGCTGGGTCCCCTGCCCCCCACCCTGCCATGGGCTGTACGCACATGCGACACAAGCTGCATCTGTTCTGCCGACTGCTCTGGCTCCTGCACACACTCTATTTCAAGCACATAATGAGCACTCAATACATTATTTCAAGGAATGAATGGATGCCTATCAGGCACTGTATTATAAAAGAATTCCCAGTCTAGCAGAATGGAATGATGCCCAAACAATAGTGATAACACTGTTATAAGTGTTATAAGAGTTACTATTAAAGAGCTTTGAAAACACAGATAAAAGAGCAACTAATCCAGTTCAGATATCCTCCTATACATCAACTTGTATAGACAATTTTCACCCCTTAATAATTTGCTTTCACAACAAATACTCATCCAACAGAACCTATGTTTTTCTGTGAAGAAAATCTAAGCAATAAAAAGTGACTCAATTTCCAGGCATAGGTTTTACAAAATGCTTCTGGATTATGGAAAAGAAATGTTCTTATAAAGACAGACTGTAACAAAACTAATCCTAGACCAGCACAGGAAATCATCTTCACTTGTGGGGGGAAAAAGGGGGGTGGGGGTGGGGACTAGAGAGGAGGGAGAAGTATGGAATGATTATCCCACAATAAAAAAAGAAATTGGCCAGGCTCAGTGGCTCACGCCTGTAATCCCAGCACTTTTGGAGGCTGAGGTGGGCGGATCACGTGAGGTCAGGAGTTCAAGACCAGCCTGGCCAACATGGCAAAACCCTGTCTCTACTAAATAATACAAAAATTAGCCAGACGTGGTGAAGAGCACCTGTAATCCCAGCTAATTGGGAGGCTGAGGTAGGGAGAATTGCTTGAACCCGGGAGGCAGAGGTTGCAGTGAGCCGAGATCATGTCACTGCACTCCAGCCTAAGCGAGACTCCTTCTCAAAAAATAAAAAATAAATAAAAGTAAATTTACATTTTGGTTTGGATACAGAGACTAAAAGGTCTCCTCTACCACCCCATAAATTCTAGTATCAGACCTTTAAACTTTCAGATGTTAAGAATTAGTTTATTCCCCAAAGGTTCAATTAGAACACAGCTGAAAAAAAAAAAATTCAGTATAGCAAACTGACTGATTCCATGATCTGATTTCATCACCGAGCAGTAGGAAGCATTTAGCTGGTCTACAGAGAGAGAGGTGTGTGGTTCTCTTGGCTAGAAGGCACAAAATCCAACTTTCTGTTCTTTTGGCAAAAGAAGGAATGTCCAATCAGCATAGTAGGAAGTAAGTAACAGAATTTCTAATTTTACAAAGTTAGTCAATTTCATGGTTAAGAAGTGCTGTTTTGATGGTAACCTTTACATTTTTACAACCCAACTATGAGTATTAAGTAGGGAAGATCCAACTAAGATAGTTATTTCAGGGGTAACGTCCCTTTCTCTCAAAGTTAAAACTCTTAATATAATTCACTTGGCTTGTAACATGGTATTTAGTCATTCTCATTCTTTGAATTGTTGCCTAATGCAAGCTTTCATTTGGATACACCACTCCCGTTGATGTTTATAGGACTGCCTTGCTATTAACCTCTAACCCAATTAGTCACCAAACTGACAGCATGCATTGCTATTTGGAAGCCAACTGCTTATGAAGGAATTTTTTTTTAGAATCTGAACAAAATGAGCCGTATTATGGCCACTTTATTTATAGTTTTTAACGAAGTATTCCAGGATATCTACAGTGACAAACTCAGGGTAAAAGCAAATCAGGTCCTTTGTGTGCACTGGGCCAGGGAGTGAGGGCTATTTTAAATAAAAATATGTTTTAAAAATTTAAAGGTGTAATCCACCTTCTACCATGGCCATCTCTCCCCTTTACTTCTGTTACCTCTGTTTATCTCAGTGATAGATAACTCCATCCTTCCAGTTATTCAGGCCAATAACCTTGAAGTCTTCTCTTTTTCTAACACTCTGCATCAAGTTCATCAACAAATTCTGCGGGCTCTACTTCAAAATACATCCAGAATCTGTCCTCTTCTCACACTCTCCACCATTACCACTGGCCTAAACCATCATATCTCTTGCTTGTTTTGTGGCAATACCCTCCCAGCTGCCACCTTGGTGCCGCCTACAGCTTATTCTCAACACAGCAGCAGGAAACAGCTTGTTAAAACGTTAAGTCAAATCATGTGCCTCCTCTGTTCAAAACCCTGCAAAGGCATCCATCACTCTCAGCAAAGCCAGAGGCCTGACCTGTGCTGAGACCTTCCTCCCATCTGCTCTCACCTCTTACTACTTGACGACTCTCCCCTCTCTCTCCACGCCAGCCACACTGGCCTCTTATCTGTTTCTCAGACATGTCAAGGGCTCTTTGCACTTGCTGTTCCCTCCATCTAGAACACTCCTTCTCCATGCCTGGAATGCTCCCTCACTTCCCTCAGAAGTCAAGTTAAATGTCACTTTCTTAGAGAGGTCTTTCCTCATCAAACTATTTAAAAAAGCAATGCCTCCCCATCCCATCACTCCTTAATTCCCTTACTCTGCTTTATTTTTCTCCATAGCATTTCTCACAGCTGACATGCTATATACTCACTTACATTATTTGTCTCTTCCCATTAGGATGTAAATGAATTTCATGAGGGCAGAGACTTGTCTGTTTTGCTCCCTGCTGTGTCCCCAGTGCCTACAACAGTGCCTGACATACACCAGGTGCTCAAGAAATAGTGGCTGAATTAATGAATAAATAAATGAATGAATACTAGACTTCCTCCCTTCTACTTCTCCTACTCCTTTTCTATACTACTTCTAATAATAGAATTGTTTGCCCATGACTCATTGATAAAGTTGTCTTGCATTTACTTCTCTAAGATCTATTTCAAACTAACTTATCCTGAGCCCACACCCAATAAATAAACAAGAACTTAAGAAACCAGCTTACTTACCTTCTAACTAAACATTAGGTGCTTGAATCTTTCCAATAACCTCTACCTGTTTCTAAGGGCCTATAATTTCTTCTGCCACAGTGTATAATTCAGCCAGTGTTTCTCAATCCTCAGGCATTCCCAGACCATCCACGGCAATTTTGCTTCATCTGTGTATCACCTGTGCTATTATTTTCTTAACAAGTTTTAAACCTGGCTCACTTTTATTCTTTAAAAAAAAATATGACTACAGAAATGAAGTGTTTGTTCATGAACCACCACTGGAGGTTACATATACCAAACTCTGGATTCACTTGAGCCAAAAAGTTTACCATGGGGCCTGTAATACCTTTAGGATGTAAAACAAACACACATACATACACACACATCCTTTTGCTTAACGCTATGTAAGTTAAAAACTGAAGTCACATTAGAATCAGATCATCTATGGACTCAAAATATATCATGAAGAAATGTCTAAATTCCTAGTCAGATTAATTCAGGCCATCAACACTAAGTTCCTAAAGAAAAAACCTGCCCAATTATCTGCTGGGTCCTTTGTAAAATATTACCTGCTAAAATGCTCTGGTAAAGAGCACACTGGTATGCTTTTCTAGAAAAGTTCTTTTTTTCTGATCACTATTCCATCTACCTAGCCATCTTTCTTCTTTTTTTCCTTTCTTTTAGGAGAGGATTGGTTGGGATGAAGGGCTCCTGGAGGGCACTTCCTAAATTTGACAGGTTTCTTTATAACAGCAATTTTGCAGTTGTTTTCTAGAGCTTTATCAAATTTGACTTCTAAAGCTCACTTTTCTACTTTAGAGAATGATATTAAGAATCCCTGATTAAGGACAATAATCTTCACAAACTAAAAAGCCATCCTTATATTCAAACATGCTTTAAAATGTGAGCAGTATTCTAAACTTGCTGCAGACAACCCATACAATCACATGAGTTATTTTAAGAAAAAGACTCAGTTAGACACATCTACAGAAGCTAATACTAACGTGCTGTTCTTCCAATGAAAAGGTTACTGACCTATCAGTAGGAGTTGTCTTTTCTGGCAGAGATGACAGATTTGCCTTGTCTTATCTCCACCCCCTGCTGTGTCCCCATAATGAGCCATAGCTACATGTGCAAGACAGCTGGCAAGGGGGAGTCAGGGTCTGTGGCCATGGGCCAGAGCAAAGCTTACCAGTCAACCCAGAGCCTGGACCTATGACCGATGTCTCATTAACACCTTGCTCTAAGCAACTGAGCTGTCACAAAAATCAACAGTGGCTTAAGCATTTTGTTTACAAGTGAAACAAATCAGGTCAATCTGACAACCAATAGTTCAAGCAGCCACTAGAAAATTGCCAAAAGGACACAAAAACCAATAGTAAGCAGGAGTGATAAGGGTCTTGCAGTCCTAGCTTGGGAGGTAGCCACACAAGCAAGGATGAGTATGGAAGGGAATGAGACTGTAATAGGCAGGTCTGTTTCTAACATACCAGGCAGTCAATGCATGTTAATTAAAGATAAAAAGAAGAAAGGTATAGCTACAACCCCCTTAGTGATGTCCTTCTTACTCAGTGGTTAGAACAAATGCCTTGATAGATGCCCAAAAAACAGCAAGGGACAGTTCACACTCAGGAGCTACAAGTTTAAAAACATCTATACTTTAAAAATATTTAGAGGCCAGGCACGGTGGCTCATGCCTATAATCCCAGCACTTTGGGAGTTCAAGGCAGGCGGATCACCTGAGGTCAGGAGTTCCAGACCGGCCTGGCCAACATGATAAAATCTTGTCTCTACTAAAAATACAAAATTAGCTGGGCGTGGTGGCAGGCATCTGTAATCCCAGCTACTCAGGAGGATGAGGCAGGAGAATCACTTGAAGCCAGGAGGTGGAGGTTGCAGTGAGGCAAGATCTCGCCATTTAACTCCAGCCTGGGCAACAAGGGCAAAACTCCATCTCAAAAAAAAAAAAAAAAAAAAAAATTTAGACTACAGTGACCCATACACATTAGGAAACCATTTGATCTTAAACCAAAATAAAGGAAAAAATCCACAACAAATCAAGCTCAAAAGAAATAATTATAAACATATTTTCATCACCAAAATTTTGGATTTATGAGCAAGCCAAATAATCTTTCCTTTTAGAGTACACACAAATTAATATGAAGAAAAGCTCCCTGGGCACCATTTTATGCCCAGGGTTTCAGTGGTTAGTCTAATTGGGGCCATCCCACCTTGGGATGGAACAGCAGAGAAGAAAAGAAAAATGGACACAGCCACTATTAAATTATAACAAGTTTCTTTGTTGGGGTATAAAAGCAGTCTTACGAACGAAAAGGAGAAATCACCAGAGTTTGGAGAATTGCCCCTTGATCAGTCAACTGGCCAAGAGAACCAATTATCCACCTATCATTGTATTAAATGCTATATGAGAAGGGTAAAGAAATAGCAGACAGGGACCTTATCCACAAAGTTTATGATCTGGTTGAAAACGTATTATTAGCAAATGTTAAAAAAAAAATCAAACTAAAAATACTCAGCTGTCATGTTTAGGCAATAAATGCTGGAGGCACTCTTCTAATGAGGACAGAATAGGTAATTCAAAGAGCTAACAACATAGGGTTGAATTTTCGGTCAAAAATTGGTGAGGACAGGAAGTCCAAGAGGTAAACCCAACACTCAGAGCCACTTTTATCATGGGGTTATATTTACCAATCCAGGAAATAAAGCTGATGTGAAATTCTGGTGACATCTGGAGCCTAAGCAGGTGGGGTCTCAAGGATACCAACCCCTATTGTAAATGGGGCTTCAAAGAGGGAAAGTGAACTGTAAGTAACCAGCCTGCACACAGGTTTGCAGCCCAACTCACAATACCTGAATCATGAACTTGGCTTGAGGAGGCCTTAAACTGTACAACCTAGGCAGAAGGCAGAAGCATATGAAAATTCTCAACCTCAAATTATTTCTATAAATACTTTTTCAAAAACAACATCCAGGATGTAATCAGGCACAGGAAAAAACAAACACCATGAGTCAGAACCAGCAGAAACAAGAAACTACAGAAGAAGACCCACAGGAACTTCAGATATTGAAAATACAGGTAAAGATTTAAAAACAATGACATTAACTATATTCAAAGAGATAAAAACCAAACTAAATGGTTTTAACAGGGAACTATAAACTATAAAAGATGACAAATTTGATAACTAAATAAAAATTCTATAACTAATGACAGATTAGATATAGTTGAAGAGAGAATCAGTAAACTGAGTACAGCTCAGAAAAAGAAGAAAAACACAAAAGAGGGTAAAGGCATAGAGCATACAGTGAGAAATTTTAACATATGTTTAATTGGAGACTGAAAATGAGATTAAAAGAGGATGAAGCAGGCTGGGTATGGTGGCTCATGCCTGTTAATCCCAGCACTTTGGGAGGCCTAGGTGGGCGGATCGCCTGAGATCAGGAGTTCAAGACCAGCCTGGCCAACATGATGAAATCCCATCTCTACTAAAAAAATTTAAAAATTAGCAGGGCGTGGTGGAGCACACCTGTAATCCCAGCTGCTCGGGAGGCTGAGGTGGGAGGATAGCTTGAACCCAGGAGGCAGAGGTTGCAGTGGAGCCATGATCACGCCACTGCACTCCAGCCTGGATGACAGAGCAAGACTTCATCTCAAAAAAACAAACAAAAAAAGAGGATGAAGCACAAACAGTATGTGAAGAAATAATGGCTGCGAATTTTCCTGAACTAAAATACCAATCCTCAGATACCTAGCAGAATAAATAAAAATAAATCTGTATCTTGATATATTGTACAAAAACTTCAAAAATAAGAACCAGAGGAAAAAAATATATATATATAGATAGATAGATATGGAGTTTTGCTCTTTTGCCCAGGCTGGAGTGAAGTGGTGCGATCTTGGCTCACTGCAACCTCCATGCCCCAGGTTCAGGTAATTCTCCTGCTTTAGCCTCCCAAGTAGCTGGGATTACAGGCACCTGCCACCACGCCTGGCCCATTTTTTTAATATATTTTTAGTAGAGATGGGGTTTTGCTATGTTGTCCAGGCTGGTCTTGAACTCCTGACCTCTGGTGATCCACCTGCCTCAGCCTCCCAAAGTGCTAGGATTACAAGCGTGAGCCACCATGCACGGCCCAGAGAAAATATTTTTAAAGACAGCCAGGGAAAAGACAATTACCTGAGATTGACAATTGAAGTCAAAAGACAATGAAATAATATCTTCAATGTGTTCTAACTACCTAAGAATAATCTCCAAGAATGCATATGAAATAAACAAAAATTACTCATGCCAGCAAACCTCTACTCAATGAAATTCTTTTCTTTTTTGAGATGGAGTTTCACTCTTGTCACCCAGGTTGGAGTGCAACAGCACAATCTCAGCTCACTGCAACCTCTGCCTCCCGGGTTCAAGCAATTTTCCTGCCTCAGCCTCCCAAGTAGCTGGGATTACAAGGGCCCACCACCACACCTGGCTAATTTTTGTATTTTTTGAAAAGACAAGGTTTCACCATGTTGGGCCAGGCTGGTCCTGAACTCCTGACCTTAGGTTATCCGCCTGCCTTGGTCTCCCAAAGTGCTGTGATTACAGGCATGAGCCACCGTGCCCAGCCTGAAATTCTTTTACTCCTTCAAGACCCAGTCATATATCTATTCATTTTTTAAAAATCTGCTGAGCATCTAGATAACATGCTAGGCAGTTAACATTTGACTTGTTGACTGAACTACCATGTTAGTTCAAACATATTGCAACTAGGACCACTAGAATATATTAGAACAAGAGCAGGAGTTTTTCTCTTTTCTTTGCTGCTATATCTCTCTCACCTCAAACAGTGCCTGCCATATAATAGGTGCCCAATAGGCATTACAGAATAAATTCATATTCTTTATTAACAGAATTTAAATGCTATTAGATGCTATTGCAACAGCTAAGCATAATTATTTGTTCTCTTTTTCTTTCCAAAAGTACAGTAACAATCTTAATGTTGTGCAGTTTAAAACTAGAAACACTGATTACAATTAAATGCTCATTAAGTATGAATAATGAGATTTAAAAAAAATTTAAGCCAAAACTTACCCTACAAATATGAGGATATATTTATTAATAAAAAGTAATGAAAAAAGGTAGCTTTGTAACTACTCTTCTAGTTTCATGCCTCACTGTGTTCTTCACATACCCTATGCTCCATTCCTATCAAGTGATTTGCCAGTCTGCAAACAAGCCAGTCTTTCACACTTTCATGCCAAATGCCCCTGCCTGTCCATGATGAACTCCTCTTCCACTCCATTTCTCCACAAGGAAAAGTTTCCCCATTCTTTAAGACCCAGATCAATGTCATTTCTTCTGAAAATGCTGCCTCAACACTGTTATTCAGTGAGTCAGCAACTCTCTCTTCTCTAGGGAGATAGTACAAAGGCCTTTTAAAGGCACTACATTGTTTTAGCATTACTTGTCTATGTGTTGGCTCACCTCATTAGGTAAGGGCCATGTCTCATCCATTCATTTATCTCCCTTCCCTCAAGCACCAATCTCAGTGACTGGTATATACTAAGCATCCAACTAAAACTGTTTGCTGAAGTCATGAAAGACAAAGAAAGGATTAGAATCTTTAATAGATTGCAGGAAATAAAGGAGAAACAACAACTGAAGGTAATGTGGGATCCTGGATGGGATCCTGGAACAGAGAAAAATACAGGAGGTGAAAAACCGGTGAAAGTCAAAAAGGGCCACAGTTTAGTTAATGGTATTATACCAGTGAATTTCCTGATAATTTTTTTATAACTGTGCTATGGTTATATAAGTGGTTATCAGGGAAACTGCATAAGGTTATATATAATTAACTCTACCCTATTTTGACAACTTTCCTATAAATCTAAAATTATTTCAAAATAATTTTTAAAGTGCTTGGCTGACTTGAATTATTGTGTCAAATTGTAGAAACATAACAAAGAAGTGTTCAGGTTTTTTGAGACAGGGTCTCGGCCTGTCACCCAGGCCAAAGGGCAGTGGTGTGATCTCAGTTCACTGCAGCCTCCACTTCCCAGGCTCAAGCAATCCTCCCACCTCAGCCTCCCGAGTACCTGGGACTGCAGGTGTGCACCACCACACTTGGGTCACTTTTGTATTTTTTTGTAGAGACAGGGTTTTGCCACATTTTGCCCAGGCTGTTCTCAAACTCCTGAGCTCAAGACATCCACCCGCCTGGGCCTCCCAAAGAGCTGGGATGACAGGCATGAGCCACCGTGCCAGGCCAGTGTTTAGTTTTTATACAAAGTTCCCAGATATATAAGGTAAATAAATAATTGGAGGGATTAAAGGAACCACTGCCATATCTACACTATCTGAATTTTTTTAACCAAGAATGAATTTATGTATGCACCCATCAAGTATAATTAAGAAGAATGCCCACCAAATCAATTGTGTGAGAAGTACAAAGCAAATTTAATATACCTACAAATATGTCTATGGCCCGTACAGTCAATAGCAATACACAACTCTCAACCACCACCATAAGCATTCTCTGGGTAATATAAAACCAGTTGATACACAGAAGAATATGTAAATCATAATACATGAAATTCAATACCACTGGGCAGATATTTCATTCTGACACATCACTGCACATGAAACTAAGCTCTACAGAAGGCACTGTATTATGCTACAGAATATAAAAATATGTCCCTGATAAAACTGTTGAGATTGTAAAAATACAAATATGGGATGAGGTCAGTTTACAACTATGAATTATCAAATAAAGCACAATTCAATAAAACATTTGGAACTATAGATGTAAGTGAAAGTAAAAACAAGACAAGCTATCATTAAGGCATTATGATGTCTCACAGGGTCACTATAATAGCACATGAGTATAAAAATTATAGATTTTATTTATTTATTTTTTATTTTCTTCAAGATAGAGTCTTGCTCTATCGCCCAGGCTGGAGTGCAGTGTCACAATCTCAGCTCACTGCAACCTCCGCCTCCGGGTTCAAGCAATTCTCCTGCCTCAGCCTCCTGAGTAGCTGGGATTGCAGGTGCACACCACCACGACCGGCTAATTTTTGTATTATTAGTAGAGGCGGGGTTTCTCTGTTGGCCAGGCTATTCTCAAACTCCTGACCTTGTGATCCACCTGCCTTGGCCTCCCAAAGAGCTGGGATTATAGGTATGAGCCACCACGCCCAGCCAAAATTATAGATTTTTAAATACCACCATCACAAGCAACATAACTGAATTTTAAATCATCTCCAGGGCATCAATAACAGTGGCAATGAGCAGCAATATGGGAGCTGTGGATTTCAACTGGTCCACCAGCACATGCAACCTTTTGAAATTGTTTTAATTTAAGACAAAGGTAACTAGATACTTCTTTATCTGAAAGACGGATGATGAAGGATGGAAGCACTCTTTCATTCTAGAAATATTAACTGCAATTTAACATGCACCAGGCACTGTGGTAGTGTTGGGGATACAGAGAGATACAGTTCCTGCCTTACTGGGGTTTACAATGAGACAATACTAATAAATGTGATGTCATTATGTCAATGAAAAACAGAATGCAAAGGAAGCTCAGAACCTAGTCAGAAAGTCCTCCCAGATGCAAGTGACATTTCACTGGGATCTAAAGGATGAGTGAGCGTTAGCTAGACAAAGGGAGCAGAGGTATGGCAGGGGTTCTGGACAGATGAGGCACCTTCTGTGATGGAAGATCTACAAGTGCATGGAACATGGCATATTCAAGGAAGTGAGAAAAATTCAGAATGCTGGATGTGCAATGGGGTGAAGAGAGTATGCATTTATCAGCCTATGGAATGATTCTTAAAACCACAGAGAAACTTACACGGATACATTAGACAACTGATTCTTATAAGCTGCATATAGTAATAATGTATCATTATGATTATCATCACTATGAAGAAACATATATTTTTGCCAAAGTAAGAGCATGTTTTAATAAATTTTTTTTTTAAAGGAAACAAGGTTTTGCTCCATTGCCCAAGCTAAAGTGCAGTGGCTCAATCATAGCTCACTACAACCTTGAATCCCTGAGCTCCAGCAATCCTCCTGCCTCAGCATCCCGAGTAGCTGGGACTACAAGTGTGGGCCACCAAGCCTGGCTATTTTTATTTTTTTATTTTTTATTTTAAAGAGATGGAGTGCCTGTGTTGCCCAGACTGGTCTCAAACTCCTGGCCTCCAGTGATCCTCCCACCCCAGCCTCCCAAAGTGCTAGGATCACAGGCATGAAGCCACCGCACCCAGCCAAAAAGCTGGGATTTTTAAAGATATTTTCTTTGCTTTTAAAAGAACACTATAAACTAGTCTTCGAAAACAAAGTAGAATGTGTCAACAGAAAAAAATATCAATTTGCACTGAGGGGAAACTGGAATCATATCCTAACTATGCAGCCCTTTTAAATTGTTGAATTCAAAAAACGATGGCTCATTATTAGAGAAATTCCTAATTTCTTGAGCCAGTTGCTTGAAAAAGTTGCCAATTTTGGCTGACGTCCCTCACTCACAAGATCCTAAAAGTTTCCAGAAGAAATAAAATTGCTTTAACCTTTGTAGTAAATAAGAATTAAATGTGATAAACATCGAATTAACTAAATCCACATTAGTTATAAGCATCTAATATTGAAAAAATTATGTTGAAAGCTACCCACATAACAATTCTTCAGTTAAAAAAGAATTAATTTAAATAATAAGATGGAATTTGATTTCTCATATTTTGTGAGAACAGCATTTGTTTTCTGTCACAGGACTTAAAATTTCTAGATTAAATAATTACACTTTGAAACAGAAAAGCACAATGATACACTGTGTGAACAAAATGCTATGGACTTACTAAATAAGTAATACTTTTTTTTTTTTTCTTTTTTTTGTGGGAGACAGAGTCTCGCTCTGTCACCCAGGCTGGAGTGCACTGGCGTGATCTCAGCCCACTGCAATGTCTGCCTCCTGGGTTCAAGCAATTCTCCTACCTCAGCCTCCCAAGTAGCTGGGACTACAGGTGCCCGCCACCACGCCCGGCTAATTTTTTGTATTTTAGTAGAGACAGGGTTTCACCATGTTGCCCAGGCTGGTCTCAAACTCCTGAGCTCAGGCAATCCGCCTGCCTCACCCTCCCAAAGTGCTAGGATTACAGGCATGAGCCACCACTCCCAGCCAGTAATACTTAAGGCTCATGCTAGGCTTGAAAACAGGTCTACTATACTGGCACAGAGAAATAGGTAAGCATGAGACCCCGGCACTGGGCACAGCTCTCTGCTGGGGAAACCCTGGGAGATGGCTCCCCTGCAGGGCGGTTTACTCCTGGCCTCCAGAAGCTTATCTGTTAGTGGACCGTGGGCACACAAGTTTTCTTTCCCCTTTGTGTATTCACCCTCAAAAGGGCAAATTTCTACACTATAAGTTGTTGCTGGACTAACATCGAATAATAAAGTACTTCTTTAGCAAGATTCAAGTTGAATTCAATCCTTGTGAATTCTAGAAGCAATTAACATTATGAGAATACAGTAGTCCCCCTTTATGTGAAGTTTCACTTTCTGTGGTTTGTTATCCACAGTCAACGGCAGCTCAAAAATGGGTGAACACACAGCACAACAGGATATTTTGAGAGAGAGAGAAAACAAATTCACATAACTTTTAATAGAACATATAGTTATAACTGTTCTATTCTTACTTATTTTTGTTAATTTCTTCCTGTGCCTAATTTATAAATTAAACTTTATCACAGGTATGTATTACATACAGGGGAAAAACATAATATATAGAGACTTCAGTACTATCAGTGGTTTCAGACATCCACTGGAGATCTTGGAGGTGGATAAGGGGGGACCATGGTGTTTCAAAATCTTGTTTGGAGTTTACAAAGGGAATGCTTAATTTCTGATTTATCTAACAAAAGATACCTGTAGACTTACCTGTCATACAAAATAACCACACTGAATAATAGCTTGTCATAGCAAATCTTCCCCTCCAACTACTCATACCCCTTTCTCTCTCTTCAAGTCCTAAATTCAAGTAATACTTCACTTGACACTTATTTATCTCCAGGATTATCATATAACTACCATTGACAGTTAGATCCACTTTTTTGCAATTGACTGAACAACCCAATCAATAGCAACAAGGACACTCTGCTTTCACAAGATGACAGCTGCTCCAGCTGCTGGCTCCCTGGGGCTGATGTTGGGGAATCAGGCCAGCACAACATGACACATTCACAGGGACACGGACACCAGGTACAACACTACATCTACATGGGTCATTAGCTTGACTATAGTTAGGCAATGCCACGAAATAAGAAATGAAGAAAAGTGTCCCAATTTGTATAAAATATAGGACTATGTATTATATCCTCCTTTGTATTTGTGATTTTGAAAGCCTAAAAACTGAATATGGCTGCTCATATTATAAACTGTATTCACAGCTGTTATAACTGATGTTAAAGAAAGAGGGAGGGATAGGAGAAAGCAAAATGCTCACATAATAAATAAGCTTTCTACAATACAGACAGAGAGCTAAATACAAGAGACATGGATGAACTTTGGCTAACAATATAGGAAGTTATATATATGAATGACTGCTTGATAGAAAATCTACTGGAAAGCTGGAATTCCTCCTCCAGCCCTACCCTTCAACCTTCATCTATCTTTCTATCTATCTATCTATCTATCTATCTATCTATCTATCCATCCATCCATTTAATCTATCCATCCATCCTTCAACCTTCATCTATCTGTCTATCCATACATACATACATACATACATACATGAGACAATCAATTAACATTCCCAAACAACCTAGAAATTAGGATATTTGCAGACTGAACTTGATAGGAGTTGAAGAAATGTTTAGGAGGAAGCCAGTCTAAAAGTCCTTTGTAATATTAAAAAAAAAATTGAGCATAATTTTTGAAAAGCACAGCATCTGCTTTTAAATTAATCATAAACACTTATTGCACCTGGCTGTGATAACTCACACCTATAATCCTAACACTTTAGGAGGCCAAGGTGGGAAGATCCCTTGAGCCCAGGAGGTCAAAACCAGTCTGGACAATATAGTAAAACTCTGTCTCTACAAAAAAATTAAAAATTAGGTGGGCATGGTGGCATACGCATGTAGTCCTAGCTACTCAGAAAGCTGAGGTGGGAAGATTGTTTGAGTCCAGGATCATGCCACTGCTCTCCAGCCTGAGCAACAGAGCAAGACCCTGTTTCTTAAAAAATAATAATAACAAAAATAAATAAAAATAAATTTAAAAATGAAACAGTACATTTTCCCCCATGTTATAAACACAATACACTAACATTCTAGAAAATGTATCAAAATATTTTTCAGGAAAAGTTAACTTGACATAGATATAAAAATCTCAAATATTACAAAGTATTAATTTTTAAAATCATGATGAGAAGAAAGACAGGGGAGGCATCAAAAGAAACCAACAACATGCTTTCAATAAACATGGCATGGAATTGTAAAAACAGAAAGTAGACTAAAGGCTGGGCACAGTGGCTCACACCTGTAATCCCAGCACTTTGGGAGGCTGAAGCAGGCGGATCACTTGAGGTCAGGAGTTTGAGACCAGCCTGGCCAACATGGTGAAACCCTGTCTCTACTAAAAATACAAAAAATTAGCCAGGCATGGTGGTGGGCAACTATAATCCCAGCTACTCAGGAAGCTGAGGCAGGAGAATCGTTTGAACCTGGAGGAGGTTGCAGTGAGTTGAGACTGCGCCACTGCACTCCAGCCTGGGCTACAGAGCAATACTTAGTCTCAAAAAAAAAAAAAAAAGAAAAAGAAAGTAGACTAAGGTTTAAAGTGAGTGAAGACAGCTGAAAACTATGTTCAATAAATTTTTTAAAGCATGTTTACACACACAGAATCACATGCATATATATGCTGTCATCTAGGAGCACAAATCCCAGAGGAATGCAAGCAGTGTTTATGAAATATCCTTATGTGTATCACTCTCCGCTGGACTACCCATAGAAATCAAAGAGAGGCAAAGTTACTTTGAGGATTTTAGAGGAAAGATGTTTCACAAAATACTCAATCTCAAAATACATTTTTTAAAATATATTCTTCCAAGAAGGAAGAAAAATACAGAAGACACTTCTCTATCAAGTATCAAAGAAAAAGATCTTGAAAATGGCAAGGGTAGACTAGATTAGATAAAAATACCTCAAGCCCAAGATCGGGAAAGAAATTTAAGAGAATGCATATAGCTGTTATGTGCTATCTGTATTTACTCCATGCCTTCTTCCATTAAAATGAGTGGTGACATCTGTTTTATACAAGTTCAAGTTTCCAGTACTTGACAAACTTCCTCTCAAACCCAAGAGGAATTACCAGGGAGGTTGCAGATCTGTAGTCCATGATGTTTGAAAAATCAGGGAGAGTGAGAAGGATGCAGATAATGGAATATGGAAAAATATCACCAAAAAAAAAAGAAAAAATGTGAAAGAAGAAAACTCAGGAAATTAAAATCAAGAAAATATTGCAATGACCATCAGCAAAAGGTTTAGAAAAAAAATTAAACATATTATTTGTGGGTGCCCACAGTGAAGTTATCTCTAGAAGCCAAGACAGAGTCCCTAAGCACTAAAACTCAAAAATTAAGCTCATTTCTCCTCCTGATAAGGCTGTTGAAAACTTCAACATAGGAAATGCCACGAGGGGGTATTGGGATTTTGAAAAGGCACAGAAAAAATTCTTTTCATGCCATTATTATTGAGAAAAGAGAAATATTAGTTTAGTTATTTTTTGAGATGGAGTTTCGCTCTTGTTGCCCAGGCTGGAGGGCAATGGCACGATCTTGGCTCACCGCAACCTCCGCCTCCTGGGTTCAAGCGACTCTCCTGCCTTAGCCTCCCAAATAGCTGGGATTACAGGCATGCGCCACCACGCCTGGCTAATATTTTTTTTTTTTTTTTTTTAGTAGAGATGGGGCTTCTCCATGTTGGCCAGGCTGGTCTCAAACTGTCAACCTCAGGTGATCCACCATGCCCAGTAAGAAATATTAGTTTAAAGGCGATTAGGGGAGGTTTTTCCTTTCAATAGACATCCTATTCAATAGATAAATGACCTCAAGAAAGCAGGAAAGATGAAAAAGTGAGAATGTTAGGGAAAAGAAGAGGCAGCTGACCACAAAAATGTACTCACTCCTCCCTTGACATACATGACTGAAATCTAAATGGTTTGGGGTGGGGCATGGAAACTGGGCACTCTGCTTACCCTATAAATACTACAACTGCTCCATAAGATTTCCTTCAGAACTGAGAATGGGTAATGAGTGCTGAGTACTCTATATAGACAAAGAACTTGGGGGAAGAAATTTAGGTCTGCTGTAGAACTTAAGAAGGTCCTAAATTATGTCAAAAACACCTTTTGCCAAAGAACCCCCTTCTCACCCAGAAGGCCAGTATCCATCCAGAACCCAAGAAAGCTAAGGGAAACCAGCGCACAGCTGTGAGGCAGAGAAGGTGAGCCTGGAGCTTATGCACAAAGGAAGATTATCCAGAAAGATGTGGCAGTTCTGTTAATGCAATGCTAACCCAAACTGAGGAGTTCTGCCTGCTATCCAGCCCATAATAAGCTGGACAGGGAACAATTTTTCTGTATACACAAGGGTAAACCCTAAAATAGATATAAGGGAAAAGGCCTTGCCTTACATTATATTTATTTATTTATTTAGAGATGTTGTCTTGCTCTGTCTCCCAGGCTGGAGTACAATGATGCGATCTCAGCTCACTGCAACCTTCACCTCCCAGGTTCAAGCGAGTCTCCTGCCTCAGCCTCCCAAGTAGCTGGGATTACAGGCAAATGCCACCACGCCCAGCTAATTTTTGTATTTTTAGTAGAGATGGGGTTTCGCCATTGTGGCAAGGCTAGTCTCGAACTCCTGACCTAAGGTGATCTGCCCACCTTGGCCTCTCGTGCTGGGATTACAGGTGTGAGCCACCATACACGGCCTTACTTACATTTTAATAAGGCTAAGATGGCCATTTCTAACTATTACTTTTCAGATTTCTCATGTCCCCAGTGGTTACTTTTCCCTCAACCTCTTCACATATAGACTTGTGGATACTCTAATTAAGAAACCTTGGTTCAGAGACCAAAAAGGAGAGAAGCTGCGGAACAATTCACAGTTGATTCAGGGAAAAGGAGTCAAGGCAGCATGTGGGCTTGCAGTAAGCAAGTCTCAGGGGGCTACCAGAGGAAAGATACACATAAAATAATTTTTAAACTATAAAGGAAAAAAAAGGAACGAAGAACTTATATCATGATTTAACTGACAGGAGGTTATCTAAACTACAAAAGTATATGAGCTGGAAAAGCAGAGAATCAGGGGGAATATACTAGGTTGACCCACATAAAATTCCCATTTTTATAGGCTAAAACAATTGAATATCAGTGTCTTAGTTCATTTTCTATTGCTTATAACAGAATGCCTGAAACTAGGCAACTTATAAAGAAAAGGAGTTTATTTCTCTTTCTTTTTTTTTTTTTTTTTTGAGACGGGGTCTGGCTCTGTTGCCCAGGCTGGAGTGCAATTTCGGCTCACTGCAACCTCCGCCTCCCAGGTTCAAGCGATTCTGCATCAGCCTCCCGAGTAGCTGGGACTACAGGCACGCAGCACCATGCCCAGCTAATTTTTGCATTTTCAGTAGAGATGGAGTTTCACCACTTTGGCCAGGATGGTTTCAATCTCTTGACCTCGTGATCTGCCCGCCTCGGCCTCCCAAAGTGCCGCGATTACAGGCATGAGCCACTGTGCCTGGCCAGGAACTTATTTCTTATAGTTATGAAGACTGAGAAGTCCAAGTTCGAGGGGCCTCACATCTGGTGGGACCTTCCCACTGGTGGGGAAGAATCTGCAGAATCTCATGGTAGTGCAGGGCATCACATGGCAAGAAGCTGAATGTGCTGGTTCAGGTCTCTCATACTCTTCTTATAAAGCCACCAGGTCCACTCCCATGATAACCCATCAGTCCATTAATTCATGAATTAACTCATTAATCTAGTAATCCATGAATGGATTAGTCCATTCATGAAGGCAAAGCCCTGGTGATCCAATCACCTCTTAAAGACTCCACCTCTCAATACTGCCACATTGGGGATTACATTTCAATGTAAGTTTTGGAGGGGACAAATATTCAAAACATAACAATCAGTAATTTTATAAGGTTCAAAGGAATAACTATTGCAATGTTTTGCATTGGAAAAGCCATCATGGCTGGGTGCAGTGGCTCACGCCTGTAATCCCAGCACTTTGGGAGGCCAAGACAGATGCATCACCTGAGGTCAAGAGTTTGAGACCAGCCTGGCCAACATTGTGAAACCCTGTCTCTACTAAAAATACAAAAATTAGGCGGGCATAGTGGTGGGCACTTGTAATCCCAGCTACTTGGGAAGCTGAGGTAGGAGAATTGCTTGAACCCAGGAGGCAGAGGAGGTTGCAGTGAGCCGAGACCATGCCATTGCACTCCAGCCTGGGCAACAACAGTGAAACTCTGCCTCAGAAAAAAAGAAAAAGAAAAAGAAAAAGAAAAAAGAAAAGTCACATGAAGCAAATGACTGCACTGAAGAAAAGCCATCACGAAGCAGTGTGACTGCACTGAAGAACACCAGAATGAATGGAGGTTTTGGGCTCAATATGAAGGATGTACTGCTGACAAACAGGACAGCCAAATCAGAAACTGGAGGTGTCCAGAAGGAACACAGTAACACCCTCTCAAGAGATTTCTGTACTGGCTAGTCTCTAAGACCACCCAATGTTCTGAAAAGTTCCAAATGTTCTGAAAGTTCTTGCCCATTATGTCTAAGCAAATCGTGGTGGGTTTGGCTGGTTCTGTTTGTAGTGAGAGCAGACAACTCTCTGTAGTGAAAGGAATGTATCCTGAAAAGAGAATGGAACAAGAGAAATTCAGGAAGGCAAGAAAATAACTATTTCTACCACTTGCAGCCCACCCGCTGCAGAACTTAAATATCCTGCTTTGATCACAGTGGAATCTCAACTGACGTCTGCAGGCTGGAAGAATGAGCCCTACAAACCAGTGACATAAATTTAAAGGAAGGATTGACAGCACTGCTGAAATGCAGTAAAGGGGTCCAGAAAGGAAGCAGTCACTGGCATGTGGGGACTTAAACTGCAAAGCTGTGACCAGGTAGGTGTGGGATGGGCAGTTTGGGACCTCAAGAGCAGAGGGCACTCCAGAGGCGGACGCTCCAGAAAGGCCCAGCAGGAACAGGAGACAATAAATTTAGCCGGAAAGGGGTCTGGGTGTTAAGTCAGAAAAGTGGACTGAAGCCAAGACTGTAAACCATCCCAACTCCCAAGCTCAGGTTTTCACGAAGAAGTCTGCTCACTCTGGTCTCTTAAGCATAGTTTATAGAGGAAACAGAAGACCAAAGTAAGAAAAGTGGTGATTTCAAAGTAGATAAAAGGGTGGAAATGATTATTTTCTTGCCTTCTTGATTTTCTCTTATCCCATATTCTTTTCAGAATATATTCTTTTCACATCTACCATTCTTCTCTACTCTTACTACAGAGAGAACCAACCAAATCCACCAGAATTTGCTTAAACTAAATATGCACATCTTTCAAATGTCCCAATATTTAGGATCCAGACAAAAATATAAAAAGGGAAAAAAAAGATTTTTTTTTTGAGGTGGAGTCCCTATCACCCAGGCTGGAGTGCAGTGGCACGATCTTGGCTCACCACAACCTTTGCCTCCTGAGTTCAAGCAATTATCCTGCCTCAGCCTCCTGAGTAGCTGGGATTACAGGAGTGCACCACCACGTCCAGCTAGTTTTTGTATTTTTAGTGGAGACGGGGTTTTACCATGTTGGTCAGGCTGGTCTCGAACTCCTGACCTCAGGTGATCCACCTGCCTCGGCCTCCCAAAGTGCTGGGATTTCAGGTGTGAGATACTGTGCCCAGCCAATCCTATGGTTTTCTATTAATCAGTTATTGCTATATTTTTTCCTATTTTTCAGACCAGATTTTGCCATATTTCACTCTTAATGGTGTACAAACCATATTAAAAAGTCTCATCATTTTTATTAAACCAATTTTTCTACATAATCCTCTTTAATGAAAATATACACCTCAGCCGAAATGTGAGAAGGGCAACAACAGCATACACTTTTGAGCCCTTATGTGCAAGACAGTGGCATTGCAAGGCATGGATGGAAGGAGTGGTCCACTCAGAGTGCAGGCAATAGGGAGGGCCTTGTCAGTAGGGAATTTAAAAATAGTAATAAACCGACCAAGAGTCAGTTTGCTTTTTATTATCACCCTACACCGGCAATTCCAGACAATTCTAACTCCTGCCTGCTGGGGCTGACAGCTCCCATCACAGCCCTCTTCTCCTTAATCCACCGCTAGTGCCCAACAACGTATTAAATGCTTTACAGAGACTCTCTTTTAACCCTCATTTTACAGACAAGAAAACAGAGTCTGGCAGACTGAGTTAAATGGGGGAATGAGGATTTACCCTAGGCAGCCCAATTCCCAAGCCCACCTGTTTAACCTGCAGGCCACCACCACTCAGGGAAAAGGAGCAAAAGGCAGCAGAAGCCCAGGGTTGGGTTCAGCTGAGAGGCAACAGCTGAATTTGGATGTCATCGTCTATTAGCCTACCGCCTACCTTTTCCATCAGTCAATCAACAACTGCCTGGAGCTCAGAGAACACTTTCTACTTATTAATTTATTGCCCATTTCTTGACGGTTTCCCTAGAGAGCAGGCAGGTTAACTCTGCCACACACCTAGTCGCTGTGGCCTGAGGCAATGATCTCTCACAACTGACAGGCAATGGCAAAAAACTACCTCATGAAAATATTTTGGACTCCTTGGTGTTCACTTTAATGGGCAAGGACATCTGTGTTTTTTTGTACTGTCAAATTCCCATAATAGAAAAATTTTTAATTGCTTCACTTTTAGACTATCTATGCCTTTTACTGGACATCATCATATTGAGAGAAGGCAGGATATAAATAAGAAATAAAAACCCTTCTTCACTAGCTAATAATTTAACTGTGCAAATAACTCATTTTGTCTCCCCAGTTTCTACATCTAGTAAGTGTAATTTTAAGTTACGTCTTCAAAATTCTAGTGAAGGTAGAAGTTCTCTAACAATCTAAACTCCTTAGACCATCAAACTACAAATAGAGGCCACTGCTGTGAAGACTTCTGAAACTAAGATGAAGAAATTCCTCCTCATCCCATTCCCCAGTTACTAAAGGGGGGAGGATCACAGAAATAAAGGTGTGATTAAGTTCACAAATTTAAATTTTAAAAATCAATACATACTGAATGTGAGAAGAACTATGTAGTCACTTCAGAGATGTGAAATATCCAACCAAGCCTGGACTCCCAAAGACTGGATATATTAACACAGCTAAAGAAAGGAGGTGTCAAACAGAAAGCTGGCCAGTCATCAAGGGATGCTGAGGGGAAAGCAAGTGTGGGAGCAGAATTTTACAATGCCCTCAAGATTTGGGCCCCTGTACAATCTCTCCCTATGAGCATACACAGGGCTAGGCTTTTAAAGGGGGTCAGAGATTGTAAAGACCAAAAGTGTGTGGGAGATTTTCCAGCTGACCTTGAAGAAGCAAAATGCTACATTGTAGAGAGGGCCATGTGGCAGGGCAGCCTCTGGGAGAAGAGGACCTCAGTCTTACAACCATAAGGCACTGAATTCCACCAACAACCAGTGAGCTTATGAGACCACATCCCTGCTGACATTTTGATTTCAGCCTGGTGAGTCCTTGAGCAGGGGACCCAGTTACCTGTGCCTGGACTCATAGAAACTGTGAGATAATATACTTTCATTGTTTTAAGCTGCTAACTTGTGGTTATGTGTTACACTGTAATTGAAAACTAATACAGTGAGTCTCCAGAGAAGCTGGCAGTACCCATCTAAACATTGTCCAGACATAGAGAAGGCCATCCTTGTTGTGAGACAGGTGTTTGATGCCATGGAAACTGTGCTCATCTAACTCATGGTTTGGATGCCATGCTCACTAATACACACCTGGCCTCCTACACAGGTCTGCCTTAAGGGAGATAATGTACTGACCATCCACATGGAGTATCTCAGTCCCTGGAACATTTACTTTTCAGGTAAATAAACAAATAAATATGCTGGCCTCCTGATTCCATACACCAGTTTCTTCAGCTAGGCTCCTGTAAGTCTACCCCTGAGAGACAGCTCCACCCTTGATATCCACAGAAAATCAAGTTAAAATCTGACAAAGCTAAGAATTAGCCAGACCCTGGACTATATTAGTCTTACTGCCACAAACAGTGGCTTAAAACAACACCCATTCATGAGCTCACAGCTGAGTGGGTCAGAAATCCAGTCAGGCTCAGCTGGGTTCTCTGCTTAGGGTCTCACAGAGCCAAAATCAAGGTGTCAGCCAGACTCTGCTCTTATCCATGAGCTCTTAGGAAAAATTCACCTCCAAGCTCGTTTAGGTTGTTAGAATAATTCGGTTCCTAGCGGTTGTAGGACTGAGGTCCCTGTTTCTTTGCTGGCTGCCAGCTGGGGACCATGCTCAGTTTCTAGAAGCTACCCACATTGCTTGGCACATGGTCCCTTTCATCTTCGCAGTCAACATCAAATCCTATTCATGCTTCAGATCACTCTTTCTTCCCACCTGCTGGAGAATATGGTTTCTAAGGGGCTTGTGTGATTAGATCAGCCCACCTGGATAGTCTCCCTCTGCCAAGCAAGGTAGTAGAATCATGGGTGATATCTCAAACATGCATAGGTTCCACCTATACTCAAAGGGGAAGATATAATACAAAGGGCAGGGTCACTGGGGGTCTCTCAGGATTCTGCTACCCACACTGGACCATGGCAATCCGACAAGGTAATGAATGCCACCCTGGGAGGGCTCCTAAAAGAGAAGAGCCAGTCAGCTTCCTACAGGAGACCCTTCATATACCACAATACTGCCAAAATCCCTGTTCGTTTAAAAGCAATTAGCATATTTCCCCGTTGTTTTCCAATATTCTTAGTGCTATACATTGTTACTTTTTCCTTCTTCTGAGCTGGAACCTTATGAATGTATTTTGCCCACTCACAGAAATCAAGTTTCATAAAAATTAAGCAGAAACTATAGACCAAATACTGAACATCTACTAAGTATGAGACAATATGTCAAGTACTGTGAAATATGAAAATAATATTAACTCTTCTCAAAGGAGTTGATAAGTAATGCAAGCCAAAGTGAAGATAATATAACATGATTAATGATGCCACACTTAATATTAGTCAAAAGGAAAGAATTAATAAAAGATTCACACCAAATTACCACAGTTTTTAACGTAGGCCTGACAGCCAGAGTATTCCTACAGATGCCACTGGTAACAAGTAGATATGAAGATCTTTAAAATGTTACCACTATGATTCTAAAATTTTGGGATGTTTACTGTGTATATTATGTTTATGTATAAACAAGCAAAAAAAATCAGAGGAAATACACCAAAGTAGTTTAGCTATTTGAATAGTCGGTTTACAGGAGATTTTAACTGTATTTTTATTAGTTTTTTAAATTTTCTCATTTTTCCCCAGTAAGCATATGGTACTCTTAGAACCAGAAAATATATATCTACACGCATTTATATTGGGCAAATCATGGTATTTGCCCCAACTAATCTTTCCTTCAAGCCAAAAACTGTCTTGTCCACAGCTCCCCCTGCTTTGGAAAGCATGGGCAATTTGGATATGGCACAAAAAAGATCAGGAGAGCCATTCAGACCCAGCTAACTGGAACGTGAACAAGGAAACAAACTTGTTGACAGCAAGACTTAGAGCTG
This sequence comes from Homo sapiens, assembly GCF_000001405.40. Lineage (NCBI taxonomy): Eukaryota > Metazoa > Chordata > Mammalia > Primates > Hominidae > Homo > Homo sapiens. Next base: position 74,902,233 of record NC_000010.11, on the reverse strand, counting down.
AAAGGATACAAGAGAGCTGAAACTACCAAGAGCCCCTGCAAACTGATGGCATGAGAGAACAGAAATGATTAGTAAAGAGGAGCTATGGGCTAGAGAGAAGTACACGAAACAGAGATTGAGGGAGCCAACAGAAGAAAGGAGAGAGCAGACAGGCTATCGTGCAGAGGACGCCCAAGACAGAGACAGAGAAAAGCAGGGACGGATGGGTGGGTGGAGGGATGGGTGGACAGGAGGACAAGGAGAGCCAGAGTGAGTATGCAGTCCTCCTAGCACTTCTTTGATTTCTGACAAGTTTCCAGCTCTCTTTTTAACAAATGATTTTCCATTCCTTTCAACCAAAATGAGCCTAATCAAAATGACATTAAAAACATTACTTCTATATGTCTAAAAATTAAAATAAAAGTTTTTAAAGATCTTCTAAAAGACACTTTCTTAATTTAGATTTGTTTTTACTTCTTCAAATCCCAGTTCCTCCCCACAAACTGATGAGAATCTCTGAATCTCTCCAACCCCAGCACTCACAAACAGAACAATCCCAGTCAGAAGAGGATTTGCCTATTAGCGACACTATCTCCACCAAGACAGCAGCCTTATTAAATTACAACTGTTTGAACAAGGTCAAGCACTCAGAGTTTAATTCAAAGTGTTTCCAGGTATAATGCTGTCAGGTCAACTTAAACAAGCCAACAGAGGCTTGGAGGCTGATTAAATATTAAAACAGAATCTTTCACATCTGTTTTTACCCAAGGATGAAATTACTGTACATCACTTCAATCAGCTCATTAATACACTACACACACATCTTGCCTCAAAGGTTACAGGAATATCAATGCTTCAGAGGCCTGCAGTGAAACCTGCCCACACAGCCAGAAGTGAGGTCACTACATACTTTACAGAACGTCAATATTTCTTTATAAAATGTGAGAGATAATCAGTTAGACATAGACACATTTTAAATTAAAGCATGAAAACCTCCGTGAAGTTAAGCCAGTTGCTTTTGATCTGAACCTTTTCATCATTCATTCAGTTGGCTTTGACAGGTAACTGGATAGCATACGTTGAGCAAAAATTTTGATTCAACGGTAATTATTTTATAAAATGGAGGGTTGTCACATCCAAGTAGAGGGTCATGGTGATCACATTTTTTAACTTATAAAAGCACAAATATAAAATATAAAAGATATTTTAAGTGTAAAAGATATTTAAGATTTTATACTTAAAATATCTTTTATATATATAAACATTTCAAAGGACACACACTTAGGACACTCAAGAATATATACTTTCATGGAGTATTAGGTGAATGAGCAGTTGAGAATTTTCTGCTTTTAAAACTCCTATAACAAGGAATGACACCTGGACAAACAGTCAAGAATCACTTAGAATAGGTCTCTGTTTAACCCCCACTCCCCCAACATTTGCACTCAATGAATAATTCTTACGCTGTTTTGTAGCACTATGTGGTAGGCAGTGATAGCTATTGGCTGGGACTGCTATGCACATTTCCCACCCATGCCTCTTCTTCTGGTATATCACCCCCTTTCATCTGGGAACCTCGCTAGTCCTTGACAGTTGTCAAACACAGTGCCCTCACCCCCTAGCCAGTTGAGTGAGCACACTCTTCAAACCACAGTCCTCATGACCTGGGTGACAGTCTAAAGCATGGGCACATGCCTCCAACAGGCTGCTCCTACACGTGCGCTGGAAAAGAAAAGTCTTTGGGGTTGCCCACCTGGCAGAAGGTATGGGCAGCCATTTTCCCACCCCCAACAAGACAGCCAACAAGCAAAACGCAAAACCTACTCGCAGACAGAGTGAGCAGAGCTCAAGATGTACAAAAACAGCACTGACCACATCCTCTGAGCAACTGGAGCCAACTGGGCCCAATCCACCTCTACTTTCTGTTTTGAACATTAGGTGTCTCTAGCTAAGTCTGATATGAATTAATTAATAATATATTTCAATAAGATATTTTAAATTAGTTCAATATAGACAAGGATGACAAATTTTAAATATTTAACATTTGACTAAAAATAATTGTGTTAGTATCAATGTTACTTGTGAGATGTTTCATTGTGATACTGCCCTAAGGTCACTTAATTAATGTTAACATTATCTGTGTTTAGGTATGTTAGTAATAAAAAAAATCAGAAAAGTTATTCTGACCCAAAGTACAGATAAAATCACACTTTGCTCTAAGAATCCTACTGACCTCTCTTTTTTCTGAAGTTCTACAGAACTTACTTATACACTATAGAACACTTACCTAGAGATTTTAATCTTGCACTGCTTTCTTACTGTTTCATGTGTAATTGATTTAAAGTTTTATTAATTGTTTTGCTATGTTAAAAACAATAAAGTTTGCTTAAATATAAGGTATTTCAAATTAGTTCAATATAGACTAGGATGACAAATTTTAACTATTTAACATTTGACCAAAAATAATGATGTTGGTATCAATGTTATTTGTGAGATCTGTTTCATGGTAATACTGCCCTAAGGTCACTTACTTACTCAGGAGTAGAGGACAAACTTACACCCAAAAAAGGGTGACTATTGAGTAACAAAACCTTCAAAACCCAACTTAAACACTGCAGGCTAAGGAAAAATTATTCAAGAACCATTTGTGAGATGCTGGAGTTTTAAAAATTCATTTAGAGGTCGGGCGCGGTGGCTCATGCCTGTAATCCCAGCACTTTGACAGGCTAAGGTGGGTGGATCACCAGAGGTCAGGAGTTCGAGACCAGCCTGGCCAACGTGGTGAAACCCCATCTCTACTAAAAATATACAAAATTAGCCAGGCATGGTGGCAGGCGCCTGTAATCCCAGCTACTGGGGAGGGTGAGGCAGGAGAATCCCTTGAACCCAAGAGGCAGAAGTTGCATGAGCCGAGATCGCGCCATTGCATTCTAGCCTGACTGACAAGAAAGAAACTCCGTCTCAAATAATAATAATAATAATAATAATAATAATAATAATAATAATTCATTTAGAATTTTAGAAATAGTTGTTTCCATGAGTACATGAAAAACATTTTATTTCTTTGAATTCATTGATACTATTTTTTTTTTTTGAGATGGAGTACTGCTCTGTCACCCAGGCTGGAGTGCAGTGGCGCAATCTCAGCTCACTGCAACCTCCGCCTCTTGGGTTCAAGCAACTTTCTTGCCTCAGCCTCCCAAGTAGCTGAGATTACAGGTGCCTGCCACCATGCTCGGCTATTTTTTTTTTTTTTTGTATTTTTAGTACAGACGGGGGTTTCACCATGTTGGCCAGGCTGGTTTTGAACTCCTGACCTCAAGTGATCCACCCACCTCAGCCTCCCAGAGTGCTAGGATTACAGGAATGAGCCACCGTGCCCAGCCGGTTGATTCTAAATAAAGGAATGATTTGGGAGATGAAACTCAAAGTTTCATTTCCCCTCCCCCAGGATATGATTACATTTGAAACTGAAGGTGACTGTAAGCACAGAACTGTCTTAGCCTTCTTTCTTCTGCTATAGCACAGTAATAGTATTTCAGTAGGAAAACCATGGGACACAGAGCCAGGACACCCAAGTGGAAGTTCTTTCTCTGTCACTGACTGGCCTTGTGAAAATAAAACAGACAGTTCAAAACTTCTTTTGAACCTGTTCTCTTAACTGCATGAGACTAACGCCCACATTATCCACTATATAAGAGGGCAGTGAATAGGAATTTGAGGCTATGGTGAGCAATGATCAGCCACTGCGCTCCAGCCTTGAGCAACAGAGTAAGACCCTATTCCCTTAAAAAAAAAAAATTGTAGAAAGAAGGCAGTGAAGACCCACTGAGACAATGTTAGAAAAAACAAAACCAGTATCATGAGTTTGTGTCATGTGCTATGTGCAAACATGATCTTAGTCATCTTCTAAGGAGAAAACAAAGCTCAAAAAGGCTACTCCTAACTTGTGCAAAGTCATAGCACAGGTAGAAGCAGCAGCTCAGTCCAAAGCCCACATCCTTCCCCTCACCACACTGCCTCCAGTAACTGCAGAACAAGGAAGCTGTACTCCTGGACCCACTGAGGATCCAAATCCTAGGTGCTTTTCCCTTTTTGTACCAATGCCTTTCACGTTTGTTTAAAAAGTAAACATTCTACAATAAACACTTTGTTGCTGTTTTTTTTTTAACTAAAGAAACATATAGATTTATTGTTGACAAAGAAAAATTCCAGCAAACACATATAAGGGCCTATGGTGTTTTGCTGAACAAAATAATTTAAAAGTGTGCTTGTCTGTTATGCTTGCTATGGCTAAAATTCCTAATTTAACATGGCAAAAATAATCTGCAAATGAATTATAGCTAATTGCCTATGGCGTTTTCAAGTTCTAAAGAATGAAACAGCCCCCAAAATTTCAATTTTTAGAGCCATAGATTCCTGTTTATAGATTCCTAGTGTTCATTTACTGAGCGTAAGCAGTTATGAAGACATTTAAATTTTTAATAGGATGTACTTCTTTAAAGAAAAGCTGAAACTTCCTGTTTAGTGATTTAATCATGACACAAGGTGAAAGTATTTAAAAATCAAGTATCTATTGGATGAAGTTCACTGCTAAGACACAGAATAGATGCTGGCCCCATCTTTTATATTCTGTAGGATGCAAACTACATGCCTTGCTAGGGGGTAACATAAAAAAGAAAGTCACCTGGTAGTGGTGACTTACTGAATTTTCTCTGCCCGTAAAGTTTAATGCAGGTAAAATGACTTAATTAACTAATGGGGCTGAGGGATAAGGGTTGTGCCTACCACTGTGGCCCCCACAGTGGAGAGGGCACTTTTGCCACCGCTCTAGGTCCAGCAGTGTGCATTCTTCCCCAGGCAGAAAACAGGTACTCTAGGTGCACAATCAGATTACTTCTGGGACAGACACTTCTTGTCATGTTAGAGTGGGGAGCGGGGGAGAGGAAGAGGTGGTGCACGCCAGGATTTGCGTCTGTGCCAGGGCTTGTTTCAAGGCTGGAGAAGGATGCAGTGAAACCAGAAGAAGGTTAGGCTCAGGATTATAATAAAAACTTTCAAATACTTACAAAAAGGGCTCTCTGAAATCTTAAACCATTAAATTTAAACACTGGCAGTTAATAAAACACAAAGCTATTTGTTTAACAGAAAATAGAATCCCAGTATGGCATAATCTTATACCATACACAAATTCACACTTGAACAATATAATCAAGTAGAGTAAACCATATTAAATGTAAAGTCAATAAATTCTTTCTTTGATTGTTGACCCCACACACACACCAAAGAAAAGACTATAAGGGATTTAACAGAAGGAAATTAATCATCATAATACTTTGGTTCAATGCTGATCTAGGGTGAGATAATTTGGGCATTAGTACAGTTTACGTGAAATAAGATTTAAAGCAGCACATTTAAAACAAGCAGAATTCATTAAACAACCTCTCAAAAGGATCATTTCCTCTAATTATTGCTTTTATAACAGAAGACAAAGGCAACCCAATGTAAGTTCATAAAATCTACAATTAGCTGCCAAAATCTTAGCAGATAAAATTAGAAGAGAAAGCATATTTGGAAGCACAATTGGTAAAAAGTTCTGTTATCTTATTTCTAAAAAGGCATTTGCTCTTTCTTTCTACCCATAATCGTTTAAAGTACACAAATAGGCCGGGTGTTGTGGCTCATGCCTGTAATCCCAGCACTTTGGGAGGCCAAGGCAGGTGGATCACTTGAGGTCAGGAGTTTGAGACCAGCCTGGCCAAAATAGTGAAACCCCATCTCTACTAAAAATACAAAAATTAGCTGGGCGTGGTGGCGTGTCCTGTAGTCCCGGCTACTCAGAGGCTAAGGCAGGAGAATAGCTTGAACCCAGGAGGCGGGGGTTGCAGTGAGCCGAGATCCCGTGCCACTGTACTCCAGCCTGGGTGATGGAGTAAGACCACCATCTCAAAAATAAATAAATAAATAAAAAACTAAAGTACACAAATATTATGGACTAGATATTATGGTAGGCCCATGACAAAGAGGAATAAAAAGGCAAAGCTAAGCTAGGTGATCTAGCAGCATATGGTCCTGGAGAGAGGGGGTTTATAAAAGTCCTCACAATACTTTCAGACAAGTGTGCTAACCTGGGCTGTACCTAAGAGGCTATAGGAGAGAAAAGCAGCTGACTGGCTGACTGGAACATTTTCACATCTGGGCTGAGTCTTTAAAGGAAAAGAAAAAGAAGGAGTCTGAAAAACAAGGTTAAACAAGAGGGAAAGGTACATATCCCATATTTCAGGCAAAAAAAAACAACAACAACAACAACAACAAAAAAGCAGTGTGTGGAATGGTACAGAGCTAGAATATTTTTAGGGAATCTTTGGACATAGGAAGGGGATAAGAGGAAGTCATGCTGGGGAAGGTAAAGCTGGAAAGATTGATAGGAACAAGATTAAGGGCCAGGCATGGTGGCTCATGCCTATAATCCCAGCACTCGAATCCCAAGAGTTCGAGACCAGCCTGGCCAACACGGTGAAACTTCATCTTTATTAAAAATACAAAAATTAGCTAGGCATGGTAGCTCACACCTGTAGTCCCAGCTACGCAGGTGGCTGGGGCACGAGAATCGCTTGAACCCGGGAAGTGAAGGTTGTAGTGAGCTGAGATTGCACCACTGCACTCCAGGCTGCCTGGGCCAGAAAGACTCTGCCTCAAAAAAATAAGGAATAAGATTAAGAAGAAGAGCGTTTTGGTGAAACTATGGAATTAATTCAAGCTTTTTATGCCTTACTCATAGGGCCTATTGGGAAGATATTTAAGACCTGATCAAAATCTGTCATATTATTTCCTAAACTTTTCAGTATTACACAATTAATGTTTTAACCATAATAATAATAATAATAATAATATGATTAAAGGGCAAAGTGAAAAGGCAACTTATGAATGGGAGAAAATATTTTCAACCAAATATCTGATAAGGCATTAATACCCGGAATATATAAATAACTCCTACAAATCAAAAAAACAACAAACTAATGCAATTAAAAAATGGGCAAAGCACTTCAAAAGACATTTCTCCAAAGAAGATATACAAATGGGCAAGAAGCATATAAAAAGATGTTCAACATCACTAATCATTAGAGAAATGCAAATCAAAACCATAATGAAATATCACCTCAGACCCATTAAAATGGCAAAAAAAAAAAAACCAAGTGTTGATAAGGATATGAAGCAATGGTAATCTCTGTGCACTGCTGGTGGGAATGTAAAATGGCGTAGCTGCTATAAAGAACAGTTTGGCGGCTCCTCAAAGAATTAAAAACAGAATGATGATCCAGCAATCCCCTTCTGGGTATATAGCCAAAAGGATCTCAAAGAGATTTTTGCTTACCCATGTTCACTGCAGTAGTGTTCACAGGAGCCGAAAGGTAGAAGTACCCTAAATGTTCACCAACAGACAACTAGATAAAGCAAATGTGGTCTATCCATACAATGGAATATTATTCATCCTTAAAAAGAAGGAAATCTTGTCACATGCTACAACATGGATGAACCTTGAGGACATTAAGCTAAGTGAAATAAACCAGTAAGAAAAAAACAAATACTGCATTATTCCACTGATGTGAGTTATCGAAAGTAATCAAACTCTTAGCAACAAAAAGTAGAATGGTGGTTGGTAGAGGCTGGCAGAAGCAGGGAATCAGGAATTGCTTCCTGGGTACAGAGTTTCGGTTTTACAAGATAAAAAAACTCTAAAGATCTGTTGCACTAACTGTTGCATACAGTTAACACTACCATACTACACACTTAAAAATGGCAAAGATGGTAAATTTAATGTTATGTGGTTTTTTTAAACCATAATCAACAAACAAACCAAAAATAACAACATGGCCGAGCACGGTGGCTCATGCCTATAATCCTAGCACTTGGGGAGGCCGAGGTGGGTGGATCACTTGAGGTCAGGAGTTCGAGACCAGCCTGGTGAACATGGTGAAACCCCGTCTCTACTAAAAGTACGAAAATTAGCTGGGCGTGGTGGCTCATGCCTATAGTTCCAGCTACTTGGGAGGCTGAGGCAGGAGAATGGCTTGAACCCGGCAAGCGAAGTTGCAGCGAGCCGAGATCGTGCCATTGCACTCCAGCCTGGGCGACAGAGGGAGACTCCGTCTCAAGGGAAAAAAGAGAGAAAAATATGATTAAAGGCTGCAAAGTTTCAGGCTAATTCATAAGGGGTCCCTCATGCCAATATGGGGACGTGACCTTTATTATTAGCTGTATGTTACATCAACAAATTTAGTGTTCAAGCTAGTAAAATTTCAAATTTCTCAGCCAACACAGTAATTGCTGGCAAGTTGTATGCTTGAAACCTGCAGAGTATAAATAAGGGAAAGTGTGCTAAATTCTAAAATCCACTCCAGTCTACTGGGGTTGAGATTGTTGATTGATTTTGTCATCATGGAAAGCTATTTCAGGATTTAGTAACATTAAAACCACTAATTTTGGCTGGGCGTGGTGGCTCATGCCTATAATCCCAGCACTTTGGGAGGCTGAGGTGGGCAGATCACCTGAGATCGGGAGTTCAAGACTAGCCTGGCCAATATGGTGAAACCCCATCTCTATTAAAAATACAAAAATTAGCTGGGCGTGGTGGTGCATGCCTGTAATCCCAGCTACTCGGGAGGCTGAGCCAGGAGAATCGCTTGAACCCCAGAGATGGAGGTTGCAGTGAGCTGAGATTGCGTCATCACACTCCAGCCTAGGCAACAAGAACGAAACTCTGTCTTTAAAAAAAAACAAAAAACAAAAAAAAAAACCCACTGATTTCTAGACAGTGTTTTAAAAAGAAAATATTATCTTAAATAAAGCCAAACTTTCAGTTATTAAAAAGTCTATTTAGTCTAAATCCAAATTCATTTTATCCAATGTCAAGCTTTTCCCCTAAGAACAGCAGTGAGGAAAAAGAGAGGGGTCCAAGGAATGAAAGGCGGCAAGTGTGAGGAAAGGGAAAGGTCTGCCCACTTTTCTGTGGTCCAGTCCTGCAGCCTGTAAAATATCTTCCACCATTTGCAGGAGTCCACATGCCAGCTCTCTCTAGTGAGACCCCTTTGCTGGGACCTCCATGCTGCCTGATGCAGGCAACGGGTGCCCTTTGACTCAGCTCTCAGTCTCCTCTCAGCTCCTGCCTCTGTGGTTCACCCACAACCTCTTTCTGCTGCGGGCCTAGCCCTGGCAGGCAGCCTTCGCAGGCAGGACAAGTCTTTCAAAAAGACTCAGGCCAGCTGTCCTCCATGTAGACCACCAGGCCCACAGGAAATGTCAAGCGTTTTTGCTGTCCTCTCTCCATACACTGTCCCCAGGGGCAGCTCCAGCCACATGGGGGGCTTTCAGATGAGAGGAAGATACTTGCCTCTGTATTCACAGACATCCCCAAACTCCAGGAAAGCCACACCACACTCACTCAAGAACGCTTTCTCAGGAGTCCATTCTAATCCCACAGCAGCACCTGGCTGGTACCTCTGTGCAGCTCAATGAGATGTCAATCTACCCTCTTGAATTCAACCGTAATCTCTGAGTTATTCTCTTGAGGCCTTTCTCTAATGACTAGGGGAGGACAGAAAGAGGAGAAACCCCCACCTCCCCCAGGCAAGAGCTCCCTACCCCTAAGAGTTCCTTGCAAGCAACTGACTTATACTCTTCTCTTACACAGGTTGGTTATGCTATGGGGGGTATAATAGCTGCTATGTGCACAAAAGGTGGTTAGAGGTATCAGTGCGAAATGTACAAAAGTAAAGGCTAAGTCCACCTATAGTAACACTGATGTGTGCAACCAGGACTATCCAGGAAGAAAATCTTGATAATTTTAGTAACTCTAGTGCCACTACTAACTGTCGCTGCCTTTATAGGAGACAGGGTCTCTCTTTGTCCCCCAGGCTGCAGTGCAGTGGGGCAAATATAGCTCATTGCAACCCCAAACTTCTAGGCTCAAAGGATCTTCCCACCACAGCCTCCCAAGTAGCTGGGACTACAGGTGCACACCACCATGCCTGGCTAATTTGTTTACTTTGTGTAGAGACTGGGTCTTGCTTTTTTGCCCAGGCTGGTCTCGAACTCCTGGGCTCAAGTGATCCTCCTTCCTTGTCCTCCCAAAGTGCTGGGATTACAGGCGTGAGCCACCACACTCAGCCTGTCCCTGCATTTTCTAACACTGTTCAGATTCAAACTCCAGGTGGAAGCAGTCAACAGGCTAAGCCTAAGAAGCATGTCCACCCCTGCAGTTCCTAGGAGGCAAGAACAGAAAATGCCCATTTGAACTCTGCTGGCTTCCACAGCAGAAGGTAGAACCTACCAGGACTCATTATTGGGCAACCTATAGTGGACAGCAGATGTCCATTACAGACATTCCCTATCTGCTTCCTTAAAGAACTGAGAATATCTGTCAAAACAACACTGGTAATGATAAACAATGTTAATTCTGCCAGTCCACGTTACATGCCAATATTGTTCCAACTAAAAAATAATTTATAAAAGCATAGCTCTGATCACTACCACAATCTGCCATCATCAGTCAGAGTCAACAAAAAAATAAAAGCTCCCAGAAGGGCTAAAATCCTTAATGCAAGGCTGATAACAAAGATGGCAGGAGATTATTTAATTTTTTAATGTCAGATCATGTTAACTGCCATGCTTAAATTTGCAAATTGTTGCTTGTTAAAATATCCATTTACTAAAATGATAAATAATACATGTTGTGACACATTAGTGAAACTGTTATTTTTTAAAGCATCACAGACACAGATGAATTACCATTTCGGTGCAAACCCTTGTACCATTTAAGGAAAAACAAGAGGATCTGTTAAGTTACATCGTGGCAGAAAACTCAAGAGTTGCCACCACATTTCCCTACCCCAAAATGACCCTCCACATTTCAGATTCTTAAGGTCTTCTCAGCAAGGCATGTGCAGAGCCAAAACCAGAGCCCAGAAAGTTGACTGAAGGCTTCCTGCCAAAGGCAGCCCTTGCAGTAGCAGCACCAGCTAACATCAAGGTCGAGCTGGCAATGGAAAGGTGGCCAGGTTTAAAAGAAATGCTGTCAGGAATTGCCAGGAATAAAGAAGCCATTCCAAATTGCACTATAGCAAAGGTAACAAGGATCACAGCTTTCCCCAATGTTCATCCATTTCATCCCCCACTAATCTTGCTCAGTAATTTTCATGTTCAATTTTACCTCTTATTCATATAGAGCTCAGCTCTTTGCTTTTATTGAATGGGAATACATACTAGAATTTCCTTTGAAAGAGAAATGGTTATTTGCAAATGCTGGAAGGCAGAGAGTAAAAACAAAGTTTGTAACACAAATATAATTTTGAAATTCAACCATTTATATGCCAAAAAAAAACCCAAACTGTGTTCTATTTACCTTTAACTCAAGATTTGAACATATATCATAAAATCCTTAGAAAACAAAGTGACTGTATTTTAAAAATCAAACCAATGATGGTACAAAAAAAAATTGGTAACCAAAAGATTAAATGTAAAACATGAGTTCACTGACTCAAGGTCAAATTTCTAAACTTGGCATTCTCAGCTCTTCATGGTCCGGCCCTAGCCTACCTTTTTCTATTTTACTTCCTACTGCTTCCCTTTAATAGACGTGTACTCCGAGAAAACTGTACTACTCAGCTCCTCACATTCTCCTGTGTGTATTTTTGTTTGTTTGTTTGTTTGTTTTGAGACGGAGTCTTGCTCTGTCACTCAGGCTGGAGTGCAGTGGCCCGGCTAATTTTTTATATTATTAGTACGGACGGGATTTTGCATTGTTGGCCAGGCTGGTCTCAAACTCCTAGCCTCAAGCAATCTGCCTGCCTCAGCCTCCCAAAGTAATGGGATTACAAGTGTGAGCCACCACACCCGGCCTCCTGTGTGCATTTGTAAATGGTGGGCTCACCTCCCTTTTCTTCTGAATATCTCCTTAAAAATTACATGTCCAGGCCAGATCACTTGAGGTCAGGAGTTCAAGACTAGCCTGGGCAACATGGCGAAACCCCATCTCTACTAAAAATACAAAATGAGCCAGGCAGCTGGCATGTGCCTGTAGTCCCAGCTACTGGGGAGGCTGAGGCAGGAGAATCACTTGAACTCAGGAGGCAGAGGTTGTGGTGAGCCAAGACTACACCACTGCACTCCAGCCTGGGTGACAGAGTGAGACTCTGTCTTAAAAAAAAAAAAAAAATTACATGTCCAAATTCTCCCTTTCCTACAGTGACCAGCTCAAATGGCATCTTGGCCAAGTGTCCTCTCCTTCCTCTGCCTCCCACAGTCCTGGCAATGAGCTATACTCCATACACCTTATCCCTTCTTGAAGAGTCATCTTTGGTCAAAAAGTCACTACTAAACTGTGAGTTCATCTTCACAACACAGCTTTTACTTATGGGGAGACACTCACACTATGCCCTGTTTACACAGGATCCAAGCAGAGCCTGCCTCCAACCTATGGCAGGTCATCTCCTGCCTGCCTTGTGTAAATTCCTCAGATTTAAAAGCCCATTTATTCCTTTGGCTCTTTCCCACTAGGGCTTAGCTCTCTCCCAAAACAATGAATTTTCCTTTCAATGACATTGGATAAGGCTCCTTGATTTGATCTATTTTCTGCCTCCCATCCACTGAGCCTTGCTCCAGGGTATGCCCAGTCCAGTATAAAAAGCCTGGCACCACCTTGTGGGGAGAGAATTTCAACCTCTTTACACAGATGCAAAGGTCCCCATGAGGCAACTGGCCCTGAATTCTGGAGTTCGGCTCCTCCCTTCTCTTGGACCTCAGTTCTCAATTCTCTCCCACTGAATCTTCACAGCTACTTAACTTCTTAATGAAGCTGAACGCTCTATCAACCATCCAGGCCTTAAAGTTCTCAAAGCTGAATATCAAGCATAATCACCCAAGTAGAGAAATGGATCAGACATCAGAGACATCCAGGCAACCTTATCTTGTCTAAAATTATATCTTGTCTAAAAAATATAAATATGTATTTTTAAAATTTTTCGTTACACAATAATGGAATATAATTTCACTGTAAAAAAAATTTGACAACATAGATGACACAGACAAAGTCTCCACTGACACTTCCTCAATCTCGTCCCATGTCTGTCTTAGAGTCCTTTATCCACGTATTTACATATCATCCTTCATCAAATCTAAGATCTTATCACTTGTAATGTGCACTATGCTTCACCAAGAGTTTAAATTAGTAAACTATGTCACCAATTGTTAGATACGCTGATTTCAGAAATGTTAAAAAATCTGAAAAGCATGTTTTAGAATTTACAAATACATATAAATTTTGAGGTTTACAAATATAAATGTAATAATTTTATATTTTTTCTCACTAAAAACGTATCTGAGAGAGCCTCCCACATCAGCTGCATAAAGATCTATACCACACTCTTACACACTTTTTAGGTATCGCATTCTATATGCTGGCTGTACCACTGTACATTTAATCATTCCAATATTTCACCATTCCAGTGCTGGAATGAGCATGTGTTCAGGTGTATTTCACTAGACACAAAATTACCAAATTAAAAGTATGTGATTTTATTTTCAAAGATACAGCCAAACTACCTTCTCCAAAAAGGTCTGAACAATTTATATGCTCAGAATATGAAAGTACACCCATTTTTTCTCATTGCCGCCAAAGAATATTATTCTCTTTAATTTCTGCCAATCTGATGGGATAAAATCATATCTAGTTGCTTTAATGTGTAATTCACTAATTATTAATGAAGTTAAGCATCTCTTTGTATTTATTGGCCATTTGTTCCCTTTCTGTCAATGCCTTTTTATATCTTTTGCCCATTTATTCTAGTGTTTTCTTATTAATATGCAGAAGCTTCTTTATATACTCTGTATTTATCCTTTGTGTATTGCACATGGTCTATTTTCTCCTAGTCTGTTATTTGTTTTTTAATTATATTTGTGATTTTGTCTTTGGTGATACAGACATTACAATCTTTTAATGGTCAAATTTATTCATCACTTCCCAGCTATACCCAAGATTACTTACATGTACGTAATACTTTCTTCTAACAAGAAACCCATTCTTTGCAAACTCCACTGGGTTCTGGCCTGGCAGTGCTTGAAGGGATATGAGATACACTCCTACAACCCACACATTGGAGAATTTCCATACAGCTATCCTGACCCCACCTCTGAAAGAGGCAGGTGTCAGTCAGTGCTCTGCCAGCCTGTGGGCACTATTTCAGGAAGGACCAGCCAGTTCTCTTTTTTTTTCCAGACAGGATCTCACTCTGTCAACCAGGCTGGGCTGCAGTGGCACAATCATAGCTTACTGCAGTCTCAATCTCCCCAAAGTGCCTCAGCCCAAAGCACTGGAATTATAGGCGCATGCCCCACACCAAACTACCTTTTTTTTTTTTGAGGTGGGGTCTTGCTATGTTGCCCAGGCTGGTCTCAAACTCCTAGGCTCAAGCAATCCTCCTGGCTTAGCCTCCCAAAGTCTTGAGATTATGGGCAGGAGCCACTGCACTTGGCACTAGTTTCCTTTCTTAACATCAAAGCCAGAAGCCTAACCCATTCCAGGCTAAATGTGCCAGCCTGGTCAGCCTGACATCATGGCTCAAAACCAGAGACCAGGCTGGGCATGGTGGCTCACACTTGTAATCTCAGCACTTTGGGAGGCTGAGGCAGGTGGATCACCTGAGGTCAGGAGTTCAGGACCAGCCTGGCCAACATGGTAAAACCCCATCTCTACTAAAAATACAAAAATTAGCTGGGCATGGTGGCATGTGCCTGTAATCTCAGCTACTCAGGAGGCTGAGGCAGAATTGCTTGAACCCAGGAGGCAGAGGTTGCAGTGAGCCAAGATTGCGCCACTACACTCCAGCCTGAGCAACAGAGCAAGACTCCATCTCAAAAACAAAAAACAGAGACGAAAGCCCTGCCACACAGAGAGGCAAGCATCCCACTATCCATGGCTCAGTCCCTGGGCCAGGAGTGTCTGGACACCCTATGGAAAGACTGTCACCCCACCCCTCTCTCCTGTAGTCTCAGATGTAACATACTGCCTGCAGAACTGCATCCCTGACCTGGTAGAAACCAACCCCAGGGCATTGGGTAACTCTGATGACTAGATCCTGGTCTGACATGCCCAAATGCCAAGGTGTAGTCCCTGCGAGACAGTCCCCTGTCCCCAGAGAGACGGTGGAGAAAGGCTGGCTCTTCTCCCTTCACACCTGCACTATGAGATCAGGTCTTTGATTCCTCTGCATTCTGCTCCCCACTGCTGACATGGTCTCCCTTACAAGATATGCCATAACCTACTGCCCAGCCTGTCCAAACCTCACGTATCAGGCCCTCAGGACTCACCCAACTACCAGAAAGAGGGCCCAGGACAGTTAGGTTCCGAGTTCCCTGACTCCAAGCAGGGTGAAGTGAGCTCTGGTTCCTGGGTCAGTGTAATACACTGGGTTATGGATGGGTCAGAGGTTGGTGGGAACACATACCTTCCCTCTCTGCGATACATGAATTATTTAGTCAAGAACATAGCACTTAATGGGCAGGTAAGGTGGAAGTACAGAGTAGGAGCAGATGCAGCCTATGTTTCTGTGGCTTGTCCTTTGCCCCTGGGTTTCCACCTAAGAGCATCAGCCAACTATAACACCAAGCTCAGGTGGGGTCCTCCCAGATGTGGGGCACGGGGGAGCGGAGAGGAAGCTGAATCTTTGCTGTGGCTTTTAAATACTCTGGCTTATCTACTCATCACTATACTTACGTTTAAAGGAATATTTATATACATTAGATACTCCTGGTTGGTGAGTCAAACTCGGCATTTTCAAGAATTCCTCCTCACCTGGGATGCAGGTGGGGGTGAAGAAGGCTCTGTGTCCAGGTGTCCCTGCCTCCAGCTTCCCAATCTTTGGAAAGTCCATCTCCCAGAACTGTGATGGCCTGAGAGGCCTGCTCCAACACACATGAAACTCAGCAGAACATCGCAGGGCATACCTGGGAAAATTCCAATCCCACCTCAACCTTCTCTCAGACAAAATTAATCTTGCCTGTCAGAGCCAAATGTAACCTAATGTTCCCCTGATGTAAACAGCTCCCCCTTCTCCTGTTACAGCCCCAACCATCGTGCTTGCACAAACTGAAATCCTACTGTTTACAGCCTGATGATAACCCAGTTGGCATTCTGTGCTCTAAGCTACTCCCTTAGAAAGAGCTTCCCCTGGCCGGGCGCAGTGGCTCACACCTGTAATCCCAGGACATTGGGAGGCCAAGGTGGGAGGATCACAAGGTCAAGAGATCAAGACCATCCTGGCCAACATGGTGAAACCCTGTCTCCACTAAAAATACAAAAAATTAGCTGGATGTGGTGGCGTGCACCTGTAGTCCCAGCTACTCGGGAGGCTGAGGCAGTAGAATCGCTTGAACCTGGGAGGCAGAGGTTGCAGTGAGCTGAGATCGTGCCACTGCACTCCAGCCTGGTGACAGAGCAAGACTCCATCTCAAAAAAAAAAAAAAAAGAACTTCTCCTTGACCTTTCAAGGCCTCCCCAGCAGGACTCAAAATAGGCAGCCTCACCTAAGTCCCACTCACCTCTGAGTCCTCCACAATATTTACTACACTTCTTTATCCTAGATAACATTTTCTAAATATTTGTTCAATTAATTATATTGGAATTATTTCTGGAATTAATTTTTGCCTTCCCAAAGTTCATATCTAGCATATTTAAGTTTGATAAACTTGCATCTTTATTAAAGAAATCTCTCATTGGCCTAATAGCAATATTATCCAATATCAACTTCAGATTTAACCAGCCTCAACTGGTTAAGAGCTTCAGATGGCATTATACTAAATGGAGAGTTTCCTCAGATTCTAAATCTGTGCTGTCCAACACAATAACCACTAATCACATGCGACTATATAAATTTACATTTTCTCCTTTGGGAGGCTGAGGCCTGGAGTCCAGACCAGCTTGGGCAACATAGAGAGACCCCATATCTACAAAATTTTTTTTTTTTAATTAGCCAGGTATGGTGGTACATGCCTGTAATCCCAGCTACTCAGAAGGCTAAGGCAGGAGAATCACTTGAGCCCAGGAGGTCGAGGCTGCAGTGAACTATGATTGCACCACTGCACTCCGGCCTGGGTAACAGAGCAAGACCTTGTCTCTAAATAAATAAATAAATTAATTAATTAATTAATTTACATTTTCAAGAAAATTAAAATTTTAGTTTCTCAGTCTCAGCCACATTTTAAGTGCTCAATAGCCACATGTGGCTGGTGGTTACCAGACCATATTGGATGGTGCAGATAGAGAAAATTTCCATCATCAAAGAAGGTTCTTTAGGATAGCGCTGCTCCAAATGCATTAAAAATCTTGAAAACTGGCTGGGCACTGTAGCTCACGCCTGTAATCCCAGCATTTTGGGAGGCTGAAGATGGCAGATCATTTGAGGTCAGGAATTCGAGACCAGCCTGACCAACATGGTGAAACCTGTCTCTACTAAAAATACAAAAAATCAGCCGGGCATGGTGGCCCGCACCTGTAATCCCAGCTACCTGGGAGGCTGAGGCAGAAGAATCACTTGAAACCAGGAAGCAGGTGTTGCAGTGAGCCCAGATCACGCCACTGCACTCCAGCCTGGGCAACAGAGTGAAACTCCGTCTCCAAAAAAAAAATCTTGAAAACCCAAAGAATCCTTAGCTTACAGCTAGTATCAGATCTTCAAGGTACCATAATTAAATTTAAAAACACACTGCTCCTTTAATTAAAACAACATAAGGAAACACTCTCACTGATAAAGTAGGGCTTTTATAATAATAGATTTGTCTCATCACAATGAAAAATTTAAACACAGCCTAAGTCTCATCTATCTTCGGTTGCCAAAGCTAATAGCCTATGCAGAGGGCAATGCATTCTTAGAGTTGCATGAATCCTTTCTCCTGACAGATAAAATTTCTGGTTAATAGTCACTAAGGAAAGTAATTTTAACATAACCCTTTATGTCCTGGGCTTGACTAGAGCATACAAACAACACCTAGAAAATTTTCAACCCAGGGATTTCAAAAGCTATGCATACAAAACCAAAAACACCTAAGTCTTCTATGAGTTCAGAATTTGATGCTAGGTGGAAGGTGTCTATGAATATGTGAAGTGAGTATATATGTTGGAATAAAGGAACTGTCTAAGTAGGCTGTGTCTTTTTCTCTCCCATCTCCATGAAATGCCAGTGTCTCTTAGCAGATAAAATACAAACCATAAGGGAGTTAGAGAAAAGAAGTCTTCTATTCCTTTTATAGACTCCTAGGAGCACTGAGACTCATTCAACAGCACATAAGTATGAGTCCTGGAAAGCACAGCTTCAGCACCTCAATAGAAAAGTTTTTCCCCTCACAGTGAAGCAATGAGAGGGCTAAGAAGCACATACTTTTTAAAAATCAAAACAGAATTGGATGAGGATGGGCAGAAGGGTAGGCCTGGGGGCAGAGGACCAGGTCATCCAACAGTCTCCAGGTATAAAGTCTCAATTCTATACATTCATAATGTGTATTTGTGATGTTCCCTCTGGGCTGGCCACCACACTGTATAATCATAAAGTGAGCTTTAATTACCCAAGACCATTCACTAGCTCTTATGAAATGTGTTCTACCTGAAGGACTGCTCAAGAGGGTCACAAATGGCTCATAATTTTTTTCTGCTGGATCTTAAAGCCTACAACTTCCTACTAAAGGAAAGGTCAAAGGAAATACATCTGTAAAATACTGCCAGAGGGGAACAGGAGAAGTAGGGGGCAGCCAACAACTGGGACCTCGGTGATGCCAACCTTAACTGTCATTTCACCCTTTCCCCTTCAAACCATCCCATGGTCCTAAAACCTTTATAATCCTTTTATACTTGACACTATTGTCCCAGAAGAGCTGTTTGTCATCCTGAAATCAAACTGTATCTTCTCCTCTGGGAGCATGTACATTCTGTAATAAGACAGGTAATCCTCAGACAGCGGCAAGCAGAACCGTACTAGGCTCTGATACTGACCTTGACTTTACTGAAAAACGTTAAGTGGTAAAAATTTCATCAAGGTAAGGGAAGAACAAAGGAAGAAACTGTTTCCATGTTTTCCCTTCCATTTTACATGTGCATTATTTCAATCCCATAGCCAATTGTTTGTCATCTCTTTATAAACTTTCGGGAACTCAATAGAAAACAGTACATGAGTCACTCTCTCAAGAGCATACAAATGATGAGGAATACATTCCCATATATATATACTATTATTCACTGAAATTTTTACTTAGCTGTTTTTGATGAAGAAAGCCATATGGTCATGAAAAATACACTATAGGCAAGTTACTGATTCTGACAAAGCTTTCTTAAAATTCAGAAGAAACTATGTGAACCAAACAAACACGAACACATCAACCCTCAGAAAAGATGTTTAAAGAGCAATGCAAAATGTTTTAACTGGACTTTATCAGGCTTCTTAAATACTATAGAATTTCCTTACTGACACATTAGGGAAGAAATTAACTTTTAAAGACAATTGTTTAAGGTAAGCAATCTCACAAAATGTTTATCTAACAGAATCCAGCCATGCTGGCTACAGCATCTCTATTGACATACCTTTAAAAACCACAAATTATTAGGAAATAGGTCTGGAAAAACGTGGCCCATGTAGAAAAAGTCTTTAACAAAGAAAGGTTTATTTCCAAATTACATTAGTATTCACAAGGTGAAACAACTTATTATAGATGCACAGCATTAGTCTCATACACAATAATACCTTTACTAATAAGAGAATATGTCCAAATGTCACATTTCTTTTTTACAAAGTTTAATTACCAGAGGTGAGAACTGATAGGCACAGGAATGAGTTCCAGGGTATCAGATAAGAGGATGGCTGCAGAACGAAATTACTGTAAAATACTAACTAAAAGTCAAACATGCAAGAAAATATAAAATATGCATCAGACAGTTTTAGGATGAGGTTAAGGAAAAGAGTCAGTGAGCCAGATTAATACTAATAGCAAGAGGAAGAATAAGAGGAATCTCTGGTTGAGCAGGGAAGGGGAGACAGCAGGGAAAATCTTGAAGAAGGGGCAGAGCTTTCAGCTCTTAAGTGAAGTTAAAGTGGAAGATGGAGACTCCAGCAGCCCCAGCAGACACATCCACCTCAGGTGGAGGCGCAGCGGGAAGAGCAGGTTCCTTTTGACTGTATTCCCCCATCCCATGGCACCCACCAAGGGTGCTTTCTAGGTCAACCTCGGAAGGAAGCCTCTGGTGTCTAAAACTCCATCCCCAGCCAAGTGTGGTGGTTCACGCTGGTAATCCCAACACTTTGGGAGGCTGAGGCAGGAGGATCGCTTTGAGGCCAGGAGTTTGAGAAGAGCCTAGGCAACATAGCGAGACCCCAGCTCTATAAAATAATTTTAAAAATTAGCCAGGCACAGTGACATGAGACTGTAGTCCCAGTTACTTGGAAAACTGACACAGGAGGATCACTGGAGTCCAGGAGTTCAAAGTTACAGTGAACTACGATTACACCACTGCACTCCAGCCTGGGCAACACAGCGAAACCCCATCTCAATCAATCAATCTCCACCGCCATCTGTGTGCTGGTTAATGGCATCCTTGCAACACAGGGTTTAACACGAAAATTCTGCATGAGACAACATGCAATTGTTTTCAGTATAATCACTCAAAAAGTATCAATGAATGGTTTTAGATTCCTGTGTTTCAACAGAGGGTGGAGCACAGAAGGCATGGGGTGTTTGGAGATAGCCAGAAGCCAAAGGCAGGAGGCAAAGGGCAGTGAAATCACCACTACTGAGTGATGTACAGGGTACAGGCCAGCACCTTACTTTATACAGATTACCTCAGTGAAGCCTCACAACAACCTTATGGACGAGGTGAAAGGAGCCAACTGGGGACAACTCTGATCCTTATAACCCCCAAATCTTAGAAAAACGAGGCTGTCCAGTGAGAGTCCAACTATAAAACCAACAGGGCATGTTAGAGACACAGCCTCCTTAAGGAGGCTTAAAGATGGTTGGGCACAGTGGCTCACACCTATAATCCCAGCACTTTGGGAGGCCGAGGCAGGCGGATCCCCTGAGGTCAGGAGATGGAGACCAGCCTGACCAATATGGTGAAACCCCATCTCTACTAAAATGACAAAAATTAGCTGCACCTGTAGTCCCAGCTACTCCAGAGGCTGAGGTAGGATAATGGCTTGAACCTGGGAGGTGGAGGTTGCAGTGAGCCAAGACTGCACCACTGCACTCCAGCATGGAAGACAGAGTGAGAGTCCGTCTCAAAAAAAAAAAGAGAGAGTAAGATAAGGCCAGGAACAGTGGCTCACGCCTGTAATCCCAACACTTTGGGAGGCCAAGGCAGGAGGATTGCTTGAGCCCAGGAGTTCGAGACCAGCCTGGCCAACATGGTGAAACCCCGTCTCTACTAAAAATACAACAATTAGCTGGGCATGGTGGCGTGCGCCTGTAATCCCAGTTACTTGGGAGGCTGAGGCAGGAGAATTGCTTGAGCCTGGGAGGTGGAGGTTGCAGTGAGCCGAGATTGCGCCACTGCACTTCAGCCCAGGCGACAGACCAAAACTCCATCTCAAAAAAAAACATCAGTAAGACACACCTGAAGACCAGCAATTCCACTGCTAGGTATACAGCCAAGAGAAGTAAAAACGTGTCCACACAAAAATATGTACACAAATGTTCATAGTACTACTACTCATAATAGCCAGAAAGTAGAACCATCAATGTCTAATGAATGAATGAAATAAAATGTGGTATATCCATACAAAGAACTATTATTTGGCAGTTATAAAGAATGAAGTACTGATACATACTACAGCTTAAAAGAACTTGAAAAATTATGCTCAGTGAAAGAAGCCAGTGATTTTTAAAAAAGGCCACATACCATAGGATTCCATTTATATGACATGTCTAAAATACGCAAAGTTATAGAGACAGAAAATAGATGAGTGGTTGCCACAGTCTAAAGGAAGCAGGAAATGGGCAGTGATGCTAATGGGTATAGGATTTCATTTTGGGGTAAGAAAAATGTTCTGGAATTAGACAGTGGTGAATGACTTTGTGAACATACTAAAAACCACTGAATTACACACTTTAAAAAAGTAAATTTTACGATAACGCAAATTATGTCTCTTTTTTTTTAATCTACCTTTATTTTTATTATTATTTTTTGAGATGGAGTCTCACTCTGTCGCCCAGGCTAGAGTGCAATGGCACTCACAATGGATCTCAGCTATAGGTGCCTGTCACCATGTCCAGCTAATTTTTGTATTTTTAGTAGAGACGGGGTTTCACCGTGTTGGCCAGGCTGGTCTCAAACTCCTGACCTCAGGTGATCTGCCAGCTTTGGCCTCCCAAAGTGCTGGGATTACAGGTGTGAGCCACCATGCCTGGCCAGATCTACCTTTAGACAATAACGTATCTAAACACTGTCCATTAGAAGGGGAGACTAGTCAGCACCAGAAGCTTAGAAAGGAAGGAAAAAACAAAAACGACACTGTCTGGGGAGAAGCTTCAGTAACAGGGGGACTAAGAACCCTGAGCTCAGATTCATTGAAAGGCTTCTCAGAATGGCATTAGCACTACAGAATTAATCCCAGGCTGCTGGCAAAGTGAACAGAGTCCCCTGAATTTGGGTAATATAGTAGCCCTAAGATCTCTTGTCAGTCAAAATCTCACGAGCACCAAGCAAATCCCATGGAGCTCTTCTTCCAGTATCCTCCCCTGATCCAATATCATTTATTTCTCATTGTAAATTATTAAGCTGCCTTTCAGGCCTTTTTAAGCCCAGTCAAGGCAGCTCCTATGTCAAGAAATGACCTGCTTCCATATTTTTGGACAACAGAGGATATGGGGAAAGACTAGGATGGCCAACCATCCTGGTTTTCCTAGGGCTTTCCAGGCTATAGCACTCAAAGTCCTACAACCCAGAAAACCACTTGGTCCCAGGCGACCCAGGATGCTTGATCACCCCAGAAAAGACCCTGAACTTGGTAACAATACTAAGATAATGCTGCCCTAACAAAGCAGATAATGTGTAGAGTGACTGATGCAAACCGATTCCCACCATCTTCTCCTTTGCCTTCTAACCAAAGAGACTGGGAAGCTACTTTCTTGACATCCCAGACTACCTGCCACTAGTGATGGTTGTACGGCTCAGCTCAAGCCAATGAAATATAAGCAGAAGCCTTGGGGAGTCCCTCATTTCCTGAATAAAAAGGAAGACGTTTCCGCTGTTACCCTTGGCACTTTCCCTCTTTCCCCTGTGGGAATAGAGAGATGGTGCCTAGATATGAAGCAGCTATTTTGTGAGAATGAGATGAGCAAGTGAGCACAAGGAAGGCTTCTATGCTAAAGATGGTGAAGCAGAAAGACCCTGAGCCACACAGTTTGGCCAGACACCACTCACCATAACCCAAACATGCACCCTGGTTCATACCTCTGATCCCTGTAGCTTGTTACTTCTCTACATAAAATGTCTTCCCTACTTTCTGGATGGACTCTGACTTCAAATCTCAATCTAGAAGTTACCTCCCTCTGCAAAGCCTTCCCCAGCCAAAACAAATGTCTTTTTTTTTTTTTTTTTTTTGAGATGGAGTCTTGCTCTGTCACCCAGACTGGAGTGCAGCGGCACCATCTTGGCTCACTGCAACCTCCACCTCCCGGGTTCAAGTGATTCTCCTGCCTCAGCCTCCCGAGTAGCTGGGATTACAGGCACATGCTACCATACCCGGCTAATTTTTTGTATTTTAGTAGAGACAGGGTTTCACTGTGTTGCCCAGGCTGGTCTAGAACTCCTGAGCTTTAGGGGTCATTTGTTCACCCCAAACCCAGTCAGCCCGCAACATTAGCATTAGTTGTATGGTTAGTTACTAATGCACCCACTATAGTCTCCCTGGCTGACCACGCTGTACTATACCTACAAAAAGTACTCTGTAAATGAATGAGTATGAAATATTTCATAAGTCACTGACTGAACAAGTCAACCCCTTTCCTCTTTGAGTTTCTTAAGGGAACAAATAGTATCTCACTCACTGTTGCATCCCTAACAGGCAAATCTGAGATGCCCAATACATGTTTGCTAAACACAAACCATCACAGCTCCTCATAAAAATGTCTCCATTGAGCTGTGATTTAATGCCATCCCTTTCTGTGGGCTGAGAAATGCCTACTTGGACAGGGGTTTAGCATCATTCAGGGAGACTGCATTTCAATATATATATTTCTTATTTGTTTAAAATGTTTCTTTTTATACAACCAGCATGCTTTTTTTTTTTCTTTTACAATCTGGTATTTCCCTTTAGTGGGGAGGATGAAGCAGAATGGGAGGGAAGATTGCCAATGTTATTACTCTTTGATGATAACATAGGATTAGAACCCAAACATAAATTACTCCTAAATTCAGAGAGAAAAAATAAAAACAAAAAAATTATCTTTCTTCAAACTTCTATGCTTCTTTATTTGACAATAAGAATTTTATAAACCAACATCTTGTTCTTTTCTCCTTAGCATCCAGGATGTTTAGAACTAAATTATTCATTCTAGACATAGGGTTTATCTGATATTTCATCTTAATTATTTTTGATGCTTTGAAAAAAAGATTAACCTATTAAACATATTTTAACAAACTAAGCAATGTAAAATCATTTTTTTGATCCAGGCATAGTATAACCAACATCCTCAACAGCTGAAATTAAGCAGTCACTTTCTGCAGCATCAAAACTGCAATAAAGGGAGTCTCTGAGCCTACTCTGGTTCAGAAGCTGCCTACAAAACAATAAAATATTTTTTAAAACTGCAGTAAAGCCTTGAAAAAAAGTATGCATCTCCCAAATTTTGGCAAAATCAGCCCCCCTTTTCCTAAATTATTTTGATACATTTTAACAAGCTTCAACTGAGATTTTTAAATCACTGCATATTTACACATCTTTAAAAGTTTTCTTGGCTGGGTGTGGTGGCTCATGCCTGTAATCCCAGCACTTTGGGAGACGGAGGTGGGCAGATTATCTGAGGTCAGGAGTTTGACACCAGCCTGGCCAACATGGTGAAACCCTGTCTCCACTAAAAATACAAAAATTAGCCAGGCGTGGTGGCGCATGCCTGTAATCCCAGCTACTGGGAAGGCTGAGGCAGGAGAATCGCTTGAACCGGCAGGTAGAGGTTGCAGTGAGCCGAGATTGCACCATTGCGCTCCAGCCTGAGCAACAGAGCGAGACTTTTCTGAGACGGAATCTGTCCCTGACAAGGGCCAAACAAACAAAAAAAAAGTTTTCTTTATTTTATTTATTTTATTTTTGAGATGGAGTCTCACTCTGTCACTCAGGCTGGAGTGCAATGGTGCGATCTGAGCTCACTGCAGCCTCAGTCTCCCAGGTTCAAGCGATTCTCCTGCCTCAGCCTCCCGAGTAGCTGAGACTACACGCATGCGCCACCATGCCCAGCTAATTTTGTATTTTTAGTAGAGATGGAGTTTCACCATGTTGGCCAGGCTGGTGTCAAACTCCTGACCTCAGGTGATCCGACCACCTCGGCCTCCCAAAGTGCTGGGATTACAGGCATGAGCCACCACACCCAGCCAAAAGTTTTCTTTTATCAAGCATTAGACTGCCCACATTAACATACAAAACCTCAGCTCTTCATTATTTTTCTCCCAGAAACCTTCTGACTGGCTTAATTTTGTCCTGGAATAAAAGGCCTACTTAAATTGAGAAATAATTCTGTGTAACTATGAAAGCAGTAACTTCTCAAAATAAAATTTTGCCTTTCTACTTGGAGATGCCTTAGAAATAGTACTACAAAAAGCAACAACCAAAAAAATGAAGATTAGCTTCTGAAACAAATCTTTGTGAGAAAAAAAAGTAATGCCAGTCACAAAGAAAGAGCACTTATATAAAGAATCTGCCACATTCCCCACATAGGAGAGATGTGCTCCTAGAAAGTTGAAACCTATTTTTCTACTGCCATAGTTTAAAAGCCGGCAGGGGTGGGGAGTGGGGGAAGAAGGAGGGGGTGATACATTTACAATTTCAGAGCTCTTCAAATAGTAGGCAATGTTGACATGAAGTTGCAAGTGTAAATATTTGTTCCCTTCCTGGTTTATAAATTTCATGATGATAAAACTCTGTGTATAGAGCCACTAATTAAAAAGGAATCTATTTGCCTTGTAGGATGCTTGAGGTTGTATGTTTATTCAAGATGAATAAAGTGGTGCACACTAGAAAGGAACAGGAATTAGAATTTTGAACTTCATTGGTTTAACAAGTTCCTCCTGGGAATGAAAAGAGACTTCATTTGTCAAATCTGAGAAGGCTTTTCAGATGATAATTTGTGTGAAGATGCAGCAGTACATACAGTAAAAAATTATCTCCCCTGACCTTGAAAGGAAAGAAGGATGATATGTGATCAAGAAACAGCAAATTAAATGTTTGAGAAAAAGGAAGACAGGCTGGGCACAGTGGCTCATGCCTGTAATCCCAGCACTCTGGGAGGCTGAGGTGGGCAGGTCACTTGAGCTCAGGAGTTCGAGATCAGCCTGGCCGGCATGGTGAAACCTCATCTCTACTAAAAATACAAAAATTAGCCGGGTGTGGTGGCGTACATCTGTAATCCCAGCTACTTGGGTGGCTGAGGCAGGAGAATCTCGTGAACCCAAGAAGTGGAGGTTGCCATGAGCCACTGCACTCCAGCCTGGGTGACAGTGCAAGACTCCATCTCAAGGGAAAAAAAAAAAAAAAGAAAAAAAGGAAGACAATTTTCCATTACTTTGGTTTCAGGGTCACTTAACATTACCATTTAATGGTAATCTAGTAATGAGGTCCCCTCACTATTCAAGATTGCTTTAATGTGCTACACATAAGAACTAGCTAAACAAAACTGATTACTACATTACACATACAGATGACAGCCAGGATTGCTATTATTTACTTACATACTAAGTGGAATCTAGACCTTAAGCCTGAATAGCCACCACCACCACAAACAACAAGATCTTATTTTGCACTAGGAATGTTTAAAGCACTCTGTGTTTATTAGCTAATTTAATTTATCCAACATTTTGTTCTTGAAATGACTATTATCCCCAATTTATCTAATACAAAATATTTTTAAACATGTATCTCACACCCATAGAATATACAACACCAGGAGTAAACCCTAATGTAAACTATGGGCTTTGGGTGATAAGGCTGTGCAATTACAATGTGTCATCAGATGTAACAACCATTCTGGTGGGGGAGGTTGATAATGGGGAAAATTGTGCATGTGTAGGGGTAGGGAGTACATGAGAAATCTCTGCCCCTTCCACTCAATTTTGCTGTAAATCTAAAATTGCTCTTCAAAAAAAAGTCTACTTTTAAACACACAAACACACACACACATACACACACACACACACCCCACACACACCACCCACACACAAAACATAGATCTCACACAAAGAAGTAACTTCTAACCCTGCACACAGCAAGTACTCAATATTTGCTAATGGCAAGACTGGAAGTACAGGATGACTATGAAATCAACTAAGAAAGGCTGGGCATGGTGGCTCACGCTTATAATCCCAGCACTTTGGGAGGCCGAGGCAGGTGGATCACTTGAGGTCAGGAGTTTGAGACCAGCCTGGCCAACATGGTAGAAACCCTGTCTCTACTAAAACTACAAAAAATTAGCTGGGTGTGGTGGCGCATGGCTGTAATCCTGGCTACTCGGGAGACTGAGGCAGGAGAATCCCTTGAACTAGGAGGCAGAGGTTGCAGTGTGCCGAGATTGCGCCACTGCACTCCAGCCTGAGCGACAGAGCAAGACTCTGTCTCGGAAAAAGAAAAGAAAAGAAAAGAAAAATCAACTAAGAAAACAACTAAGAAACTGACAGACTTACAGCCTATCAGTCACTGAAGAAATAAACAACATATGACAACCTACAGTAACCACCCAAGTGAATTTGTCTTTTGCTTTCTTATTCCCATGGGGACTACAGGACCTCTGTGATAACATAAGTTCCTTCTACAATGATCCTGTATGTGCCTTTCCAATTTTTCATAACTTCAAGTAAGAAATACGTTCACATCATGACCTACTATACACATATGTGAATATTAAACTAAAATAGAAGTTTCATGAAACATTACTTACCCTTTTACACAAGGCATGCTATATTTTTATTCTGTTTCTCTTTTTTTTTTCTTTAATGCTGATAGGAACTCATTATGTTGATTTCACAATCAATTAATGAGAGACAATTCAGTTTGAAGAACACTGATTTCATGCCTATATTTTGGTTTTCTGGGTAGAGTAAAATTTCTGTCTGCACCTGATAACTCTAAATGAGTCATTTCATCTCCCTGAGTCTCACCTCATCTGTGAAATAAATACCTGTATTAACTACTCATAGAGTGGCTGAATTGAGGAAAAGAGAGAGGGAATAAAAAGACCTTGGGGAGAAGATTCTATTGGAATTCAGTCTGCAACCATCAGGGTGCACCAAGTGGGGAACATCTACCTCCCTCTCTCTCCCCTAAAATCTCTTCCAATCCATGAGCAAGTTCTGTTAAATATGTTCTTCAAAACATATTTCAGATCTGTCCTCATCTCTCCATCCCCACTGTCAAAACCCCAGTCTATGCCTCCATCCTCACAAAGGCCTCCTCCCAGGCTTGCCCTCCTCTACCCTTGCTCCTCTATAGCTCCCCTGGCCACACAGCAGCCTCGGTGACCTTTAAAAAGTTTTATTTTATTTATTTATTTATTTATTTATTTATTTTGCTGCTGCTCAGACTAAAGTGCAGTGGCATGATCATAGCTCACTGCAGCCTTGTATTCCTGGGCTCAAGCGATCCTCCTGCCTCAGCCTCCTGAGCAGCTGGAACCACAGGCACATGCCATCACATCTGGCTTTTTTTTTTTTTCATTTTTTGTAGAGATGGGATCTCTCTATGTTGCCCAGGCTGGTCTCCAATTCCTGGCCTCAAGCGATACTTCCACCTCAGCCTCCCAAAGCACTGAAATTATAGCCGTGAGCCACCATGCCTGGGCAAAAAAGTTTTATTTTGAAAAAATTTCAAACCTATAGAAAAGTTGCAGGAATAATTCAATAAACACCCATATGCCCTTTAAAACTGGCCACTTTTGCTTTATCTCTCTTTTGTGAATCATTTGAGAATAAGTTGTAAAGACCATGATCATTCACCCCGCTTAAGAACAAGGTCATTCTCTTCATTTCCATAATGTATTATCAGACTTAGGACACTTAACATTGATATAAGAGTATCATCTAACAGTCAGTACATATTCCAAATTTGCCAGTTTTCCCCAATACTGTCCTTTACAGTAAGTTTTCTTCCTCCAACCTAGGACCATTTAGTTTTCATGTCTCTCGATGACTTTAAAACATAAACTAAGACAGGTACAGTGGCTCATGCCTGTAACCCCAACACTTTGGAAGACCAAAGTGGGAGGATCACTTGAACCCAGGAGTTCACCCAGCCTGGGCAACATAGCAGAACCCCCTCTCTACAAAAAAAAAAAAAATTAATTAGCCAGGAGTGGTGGCACAAGACTGTAGTCCCAGCTACTCAGGAGCCTGAGGTGGGAGGATCGCTTGAGCTTAGGAGTTCAAAATCAGCCTGGGTAACATAGTGAGACCCTGTCACTACAAAAAAACTTTAAAACTTTGCCAGCCATGGTGGTACACAACTGTAGTCCCACCTACTCGGGAGGCTGAGGTGGAAGGATCACTTGAGCCTTGGAGGCAGAGGTTGCGCTGAGCCGAGATCGTGTCACTGCACTCCAGCCTGGGTGACAGAGTGAGACTCTGTCTAAAGAAAAAGAAACTTACAGAATCTCAGGGTTGAAAGAGACCTTTATTTAGGTCATGTAGCTGAGCCCACGCTACTGCAGAATCCTCACAAGTTGTCATGCAACCTCTATACCAGCTGCTGCAAGGATGGGAGCCCATGTGCCTAGAAGCCGCTTCTCTTGTCTCCAGGTTCTGTGAGTATGTAATACTTGCATATTTTGAGCTGCTCTCTGTCTGGGTTCAAACAGGGCTGAGCAAGTGTGAGAAGGGAACTACTGAGTATCTAGTCTGTGCCAGACACAATGCCGGGCATTTCCCTTAGGTTACTGTTAGTAAAGGATAATTTATTGTTGCTCTCGTATGTGCCATAATTCACTTCTATCTCACACCTATCCAGGAGCCTGTTTTCCTTTGATTTTTAAAGGACCTGCTGCTCACTGTCTTTCTTGAAGCATCCTGTCCTCTCAGGTGGGCTGAAGAGTAGGTTGTTATCCTTATTAAACATATGAGGAAATTGAGGTCTAGAGAGAGTTAGGACACCACACATGGGAGCCAGTCTTCTGACTCCAGCTCCAGGCTTTCTTGTATACTGTTCTGGGCGTTCCTGTTTGAGCTGAGGATGTCTGTGTTTCTAGCACCTGAAACTTCCTTGTTCTGGCATGCTAAACCATATTGTTCTTACTCATCTTGGTATACCTCACAATGCTCCCCTTAGAGTGAGTGTTGCAGCCTAT
This sequence comes from Homo sapiens, assembly GCF_000001405.40. Lineage (NCBI taxonomy): Eukaryota > Metazoa > Chordata > Mammalia > Primates > Hominidae > Homo > Homo sapiens. Next base: position 74,871,681 of record NC_000010.11, on the reverse strand, counting down.
TCTTAAATTTCTTGTAGAGACAGAGTATCTCTATATTGCTCAGGCTGCTTTCAAACTCCTGGGCTCAAGCAATCCTCCTGTCTTAGCCTCCCTAAGTGCTGGGATTATAGGCATTAGCCACCATGCCCAGCTTGTAATTATTTTTTAAATTGAATCAAACATGTCTTAAGTACTCATAAACCATATGAGGGCTAGGCATGGTGGCTCACGCCTGTAATCCCAACACTTTGGGAAGCCAAGGCAGGTGGATCACTTGAGGTCAGGAGTTCGAGACCAGTCTGGCCAACATGGTGAAACCCCATCTCTACTAAAAATACAAAAATCAGCCGGGTATGACGGTGTGTGCCTGTAATCCCAGTTACTTGGGAGGTTGAGGCAGGAGAATCACTTGGACCCAGAAGGCAGGGCTTGCAGTGAGCTGAGATGGCACCATAGCACTCCAGCCTGGGTGACAGAGTAAGACTCCATATCAAAAAAAAAAAAAAAAAAAAAAAAAGGCCAGGCTTGGTGGCTCACACCTGTCATCCCAGCACTTTGGGAGGCTGAGGCAGGCAGGTGGATCACGTGAGGTCAGGAGTTTGAGACCAGCCCGGCCAACATGGTGGAACCCCGTCTCTACTAAAAACACACAAAAAAATTAGTTGGGCGTGGTGCTGGGCACCTGTAATCCCAGCTACTTGGGAGGCTGAGGCAGGAGAATTACTTGAACCCGGGAGGCAGAGGTTGCAGTGAGCCGAGATCGTGCCATAGCACTCCAGCCTGGGTGACAGAGTAAGACTCCATATCAAAAAAAAAAACAAAAAAACGCCAGGCATGGTGGCTCACATCTGTCATCCCAGCAATTTGGGAGGCCGAGGCAGGCAGATCACCTGAGGTGAGGAGTTTGAGGCCAGCCTGACCAACATGGAAAACCCCGTCTCTACTAAAAATACAAAATTAGCTGGGCGTGGTGGCGCATGCCTGTAATCCCAGCTACTCAGGAGGCTGAGGCAGGAGAATCGCCTGAACCCAGGAGGCGGAGGCTGCAATGAGCCAAGATCCACCATTGCACTCCAGCCTGGACAGCAAGAGCAAAACTCTGTCTCAAAAAGAAAAAAAAACTCTTTCAATAGACAATTTATATTTAAACAAGCAAAATGAAAATGAAAAGATCAAATGCATTTATTTGAAATTAGTCAGTATGTGACTGGGAGACTTGTTGGTCATTATTAAATAAAGACATCCTTGTTGCTGCTCATCCTAGATTAAGATGTGGAACAGCCCAAGTTAAGAAGCTACCCAACTCTAAAGTGCAAACCAAGGTCTGCCATCTTGACAATCTGCCCTTGGGCCCTTCAATATAGGTCTCATGGTCTCATATTTGGTTTTTCGTGGGGTTTTTTGTCTTTTGAGACAGAGTCTTGTTCTGTCTCCCAGGCTGGAATGCAGTGGTGTGATCATGGCTCACTGCAGACTCAACAGACTCAACCTCCCAGGCTCAAGTGATTGATCCTCCTGCCTCAGCACCCCCAAGTCGCTGGGACTACAGGGGCATGCCATCACACCTGTCTAATTTTTGTATTTTTGTAGAGGTGGGGTCTCGCTAAGTTGCCCAAGCTGTTCTCAAACTCCCGGACTCAACTGATCCTCCTGCCTCAGCCTCCCAAATTGCTGTGATTATAGGCATGAGCCACTGCACCCAGCCAGGTCTCATGTTTGAAATCTCTGTATGTTATCTCAGACACAGGATCAGAAAATATATGTCATGTGTCTCCTGATCACCACAGATGCCCTTCAAAAACCTTCTAAGTTTGGTGAAAATCTGTCCAACTGTTTCTGACAGATGAGGTAACAGATAAACAGAAGCTTAATCTTAGTTAATAAATAACTGCTTGCATCCATACAGCAGAAATAAGGTCCCTGTCTTCATGAAGCTTTTCCATTTAGAGGGGACAACTTAAGTTACAAAATAGCCAGACAAATAAATACATAATTAGACTATAATAAAGGCTAATAAGAAAAAGCATATGGTCCTTTGTTCGAATTATAAAAGGGACCTCGTTGAGATTGGGAAATTCAAAGAGGTGGGAAAAGTCTTTTTAAAGAACAACATTTAAAGCCAGGCGTGGTGGCTCACGCCTGTAATCTCAGCACTTTGGGAGGCCCAGGCAGGCAGATTGCTTGAGGCCAGGAGTTCGAGACCAGCCTGGCCAACATGGCGAAACCCTGTATCTACTAAAAATACAAAAATTAGCCAGGCATGGCCAATCCCAGCTACAAGGGAGGCTGAAGCAGGAGAATCACCTGAACTCAGGAGACAGAGGTTGCACTGAGGGGAGATCGCACCGCTGCACTCCAGTCTGGGTGGGCAACAGAGTGAGACTCCATCTCAAAAACAAAAAAGAACATTTAAAAAGAAAATATGTATAAAATAACACTATGTTTAAAAAAAAAACTGCATAGCTGTATATATGCTTTGATTATAGTTGTGTGAAAGGACACGCGCATAAACAAATCTGGAAGGAAATAAGCAAAAACAAAACGGTTGTATTAAGGTGGCAAGAGTCTAAACAGTGTTTCACCCTTCAAAATTTTTCTTTAATGTTGTTACATTATTTTTACCATTAATAAGACAAGTATAGACATAGAATCTGAAGCCCTAACAGAGAACTTGAGCATTTTCAGTTTAATCTTAAGCTTCATTGTAAAACTGTGGTTCAGAACAAGGCTGATTTTCATTAAAACAGCAGCAGGGCAGAAGGGAGCATGAGCCTGAGAGTCTGAAGGCCCTGGACTCCAATATGGCCCAGCCATTAACTATCTGCATGATACCAGACAAGTGAATGAACATCCCTGGGAGGCTGCTGTATCATCTCTAACATGGAGCTAACAAGACCTGCCTCATAAAGTTGTGGTGAGGACAAAATGAAAGAGCATATATAAACGGCGACACCCAGCACAGAATATGTGCTTAATAAATACTGGTAGACATTATGATAGTTACTAGGATATAAATGCAAATGAAACAGTGAGCTCTGAATCGAAAGGCTCTAGGGCCCAACAGGTGACTAAACTGGAGAAATTAAACAGTTCCTCATCAATCACTGTTAAATGATTTCTCTCTGACAATAAGCAAATCAACTAGTGGCTAAAGTCACTTTCTCTGAGGTTACCTATATTGCACCTTCAGTAAAACCAAAAGGATCAGCTCAAGATAAAAATCTCTGAGAAGAGAAATGAGCCATACAATTTCAGCAATTTACTAAAAACAATTAAGAACCTCTTTATTTAAAATGAAGCCTCCTGAAAGAGTTTCTAGAAACTGAAATGGAAGCCATATAGAAAAAATATGGCAGATTTATTCCAGTTATTTGGGAAGCTGAAGCAGGAGGATTGCTTGAGCTCAGGAGTTCAAGACGAGCCTGGGCAAGACAGGGACACCGTCTCTTAAAATATAATAAACAAACAAAAAACTGATCTTAAAACAACCCTACAAACCAAAAGTTATGCAGCTAGTATTTGTCAAGATGATGTTATTAAGCATGCATGATAAAAAAGAATGCTTTTTAGTTTCTAGATATTTGTAAAAATAAACTTTAAAAACTCTACCACGTATCTTCAAACATAAGACCATGCCATAAAAGTAGAATGTTTCTGACACCAAATATTATGAAAGTGTATTTTCTTCAACTTAAAGCACTAGGTTAAAAAATTCTTATTCGGCCATTCCATAAACCTTTGCTTCAATCATTTAGTTAATTGAGCAAAAAGTAAAAATATTTTTGCTCATTCACTTCCATCAGAACAGAAAACAGTGTCAAAAGGGGAAGAAGGCTTTCAATATTGCTTTGTTGAATACCTGGATTAGACTGACCACCCTTTAAGATAGTTTTTGTGTACTTCAAAACCCAAACCAAGCCACATGGAGCAGCTGCTCACTGACCAACTGGTCTGCAGAATTCAATGAATGACAAAAGGTTACCTTAATTCAATAAGATAATCAGCATACATTCACCCACCACCCAGAGTCTAACCATCTGCAAGGCGGCAGAGCCAAATGCCTCTAAAACAACTGGCAGTGTGCAGACATGTCCTCGTGTCCCTCATGTCAATGAAATTTCTCTCTTAGCAACAGCTAAAAAGAAGCTGAACTTTCAGAAAATCTCAAGATATCATGATCCAACAACTTGTTAGTAAGTTATTTTGAGTGCCACTGAGATTTCCAGGCCAGATGGGTAATATGTTTTATTCAATTGAGTCTTGTACTGGGATAACAAAATGTGAGACAGACACGATCTGGATCCTTTCATTGTTCAAGAGGCAAAATGTCCTAGTGCCTTCCAAATAACAGCAGGAACAATGTAGCAAGAAAAAAAGAAGGAAAGAAAAAATATATATAGCAAAAACCCACTACAAGAGCAACTTCAGAGTAAGAAATCAATAATAATTAATTTTTTAAAGATCTCAATTGGCTTTATTATGCTTCGAGAGTCAGGCAACACTGCATATCATAAAATAGAATAAGTATACCCCAATAATAATTTAGACTGCAATATCTGACATCTGCCCTAAGCCAGGACATCACGCAGCTAACCATGCAGCTAGCTCTAGTTATCGAGACTACCAAATAATAATAATGATGATGATAAACCAACATACAAGGTTTAAAAAAGACATAATGGGCACTATAAACAGTATTTAATATAAAAATTTACTTTCATTCTAACACATTACACTGAAATCACCTGATACAGTATTTCCCCAAGTGTGGGATTCTATCACTAGTGGTACTCAAGATGCCTTGAGGTGAGACTTGAGATGTTATGAGGTGAGCTGAATCACACAGAATGAGAAACTTGTTCCCTTTTCAATTTTCTTTCATACCTTCCCATTAAGTCAAGAAGAAAGTCTCATTTTGGTGCTAATATTGTGTTTAACGCCTCTAATGCTTGTTAATCTTCTTTTGAGAGAGCAGGCCTCAGGCTCAGAGCCTTGGCAGACAACAATATCCAGCTGAAACTTTTTAAAATAATAACTTTTACAGTTATCTTCTATTTATGGCAAGGAATGCTTGTTTTCCACTTACAATAATGATATAGACTCCTTTTTTTTAGTAAATCTACTAAGATAAAGAAAATGAGGCAATTTAATTTTAAGTAAATATTCTAATTACATTTATTTTTCCAAGTTTACACTTTGAAAAACTTTCAGCCCTACAGAAAAGTTGAAGTAGCATAATGAACACTGGTATGCCCTTCACCTAGATTCAACAATTAGGGGTCCTATCTTTTGCCTCATATCTTTATCTATATCTGTCTATATTCACACATATATTTATACATACATATTTTAGTATGATTTTTGCTGAACCATTTGAAAGTAAGCTGCAAACATCAAGACACTTCACCATTAAATACTTCCGAAGGCATCTCCCAACTCATAAAGACATCCTAGATAATCAAAATGCCATTATCATATTGAAGAACAATAACATTAATGCCATTAAGTTCCCTTAATATGTAATCCAAATTCAAATGTATCCAATTATCCCCCAAATAAGTAATTTTTTAATATTGTCATCCCTTGTTATACATGAGGGATCAGTTCCAAGACCTCAGACTATAACAAAATCCACACATACTCAAGTCCTGCAGCTGGCCCTGAAGAACCCACAGAGACAAAAAATCAGCCCTCTGTATGTGTGCATTTTGCATCCATGAATACTGTATTAGATTTGGTTGAAAAAAATCAGCACGTAAGTTGACCAGCGCAGCACAAACCTGTGTTGTTCAAGGGTCAACTGTACTGTTTTCCATGCACGGCATTTGGTTATTATGCCTCTTTAGTGCGGTAATGTGAAAGCAAGTATTAAGAAAATAATACAGGGGCTGGGTGCAGTGGCTCATGCCTGTAAACCCAGCACTTGTGGGAGGCCAAGGCACGAGGATCACTTAAGGTCAGCAGTTCAAGACCAGCCTGGGCAACACAGTGAAACTCCCTCTCTACTAAAAATATAAAAATTAGCCAGGCGTGGTGGTGCACGCCTGTAATCTCAGCTACTTGGGAGACTGAGCCAGGAGAATCGCTTGAGCCTGGGAGGTGGAGATTACAGTAAGCTGAGATTGTGCCACTGCACTCCAGCCTGGGTGACAGAGTAAGACTCCATCTCAAAAAAAAAAAAAAGATAAAATAATTAATACAGATTGTATAAAACTGGTAAAAATTGTGATTGAGGCACACTTTGGTTTGGGAAACTCTGAGCTTTTGGCTTGAAGGCAGTAGAGAGGAAGCAATCCAAATAATTAATTCAAAAAAGAAAGAAAAACTCTGCTATTAAACTAAACTCATATTTACAGCATACAAAGCTATGAAGGAAAACATGTAAGACTCTCCTTTTCTTCTGTAAGACCCTGAAAAAGGACTGAGCAAATCAAAAGACCACTGTCAAACTATACAGTAATATGCCAAAATGCTCTTCATTAAAAATTCCAAAGCTGATACATGTTCAAAATAACTAGCTCATTTTTGTTATTGAATAGGCACTGTGTTAGGCCACCTAAATGCATAATTTCATTAAATTCTAATTAACAACCCTATGAAGAATATATAATCCTTCCCATTTTACAGATAAGGTAAGTGAGACTCAGGGAGTTTGTGTGACACTTTCTTTCTGCTATTAGAACTTTTTCAAGAAGAATGTACTCATATATGTCTTATATATCTAAAAACTTTTCAAAAGAAAAAATACCAAAGTCCGATCCCAATTTCTGTTACAAGAAATACATAAACGTAGGTATAATATTAGCTTACAAGTGCTTTAAAAAGCCCTGTAAGAATACATACAAACCACCAAGTGTGGCTGCCTTTGGAAAGCTGTTTTCAGAGAAGAACACACAGGGCCAATGAGGTAAAACTTTTACTCTTTACTTTATATACAGTTGGACCTCTGTATGTGTGGAGTCAACTAACCTCAATTCAAAACACCTGGGGTAGTCGAGGGTTGGGGTGGTGCCCATGCCTATAATCCCAGCTACTCAGGAGGCTGAGGGGGAAGAATCACTTGAACCCAGGAGGCGGAAGTTGCAGTGAGCTGAAATCACACTACTGCACACCAGCCTGGGCAACAGAGAAAGACCCTGTCTCCAAATATATAAATAAAATACCTGAGGGGAAAAAAGTGGATGGTTGCGTCTTTACAGAACATATACAGGCTTTTTTATACAGACTTGAGGTCAGGAGTTCGAGACCAGCCTGGCCAACATGGTGAAACCCCGTCTCTACTAAAAAACACAAAATTAGCCGGGCGTAGTGGAGCACGCCTGTAATCCCAGCTATTCAGGAGGCTGAGGCAGGAGAATCGCCTGAACCTGGGAGATGGAGCGTTGCAGTGAGCCGAGATCGCGCCACTGCACTCCAACCTAGGCGACAGTGAGACTCCATCTCAAAAAAATACAAAAAATACAAAAATTAGCTGGGCATGGTGGTGTGCACCTGTAGTCCTAGCTACTTTGGAGGCTGAGGCAAGAGAATCACTTGAACCCAGGAGGTGGAGGTTGCAGTGGGCTGAGATCGCGCCACTGCACTCCAGCCTGGCTGAAAGAGAGAGACCCTGTCTCAAAAAAACAACAACAAAAAATTTTGATGGCTCAAGTGTGAATAATATTTACAAACTCATAAAAATATAAGCACTGAATACATATACTTACCTACATAAAAGTAGTGTATATTGAGATAAGAGGGGCAAAGGGAAAGAGAAAAGTGTATGTGTATGAGGGACCTTTATCCTTATCTACACTCGCAAGAAGTCAACAGATAATGTCTACAATTTAAAAATAAGAAACAACAGCGTAAGAATATTACAGACCTCCAACTTCCCTAAGAAGCCAGACTAAATGTGGTTGAAAGAGTTGAAGATGCTTATCTGCAGGGCATAGGAATAAGGATGGGGAAATAACCACAACACTGTTATTTAGCAATGGCCATTAATCATTTTAAAATGTCCAAGTCATTAGTAATCAAAGAAATGCAAAGTAACTCCTAAGGATCCATTCTTCCCTCTACTACATTAACATGACAAAAGGTAAGCATTAAGAATCAATTAGATGCCCACACTCCCTTATACTCTGCCCATAAGTATAAATTGGTACTATCTTTTTGGAACAGTTTTTGATAATATGCTTCCAAAGCTTTAGAAAAAGAATTCATAGTCATGCCTCAGTATTACCTCCTTTAGTAATCTATTCTATGGGAAATAATTATCCACACATGCACAAATTTTTAGTAGCGGTATTATTTGTAATAGCAGAAGATTTAGGAGCACCTTAAATTTTGAAGGATAAAGACATAAATACTATGCAGCTATTTAGTCAGCTTCAAAGAATAATCAAGAATATGGGAAAAGGCTCACAACAGATTTTAAATTTAGAAAGGAAGATACAAAATTATATAGCTCACACAGTCTTCTTTTTATTTAAATATAGCATACATATTTACATGTAGGAAAAAAGGAAAAAAGACTGGAAGAAAATACACACTTTCAACAGTAGTTATCTTTATAGTCAAATTTGCAGTGATAATGTATCATCTCCAAATCTTTCTGTTTTTCAAAGTCTGTACAAGGAGCATGTGTTACTCTGAAAATAATAGACTCCTTTTCTGATTACTTAAATAACATGAGGTGGGGTGGAAGGAGCCACAAAGAGAAACGGATTCTAGCCATTCTTGGCGTAAGAGAGCAAGAGGAGAGGAGGTCTTCGTTAGAAGGTAATGAGGACATCGGTTTACAGCTTTTCCTTCCCAAACAGTATGGCAGAGTGGAGTGCTGGGGGCTGCCGTCCCTCCACTGCCTTGGAGTCTGTTCAGCTGACCTTTCTGTTGAGGCTGAGGACAAGCTCACCACCTCTGTAGCTCAGGCAGCGACTATCCCAGTGTGGTCAGTGCTATATTATCATCCCTATTAGTCAGCTGAGGAAAACTTGGGATTTGAACCTAAGCATTCTAGCTCCAGAGCCACTTCCCCACAAGACTCCTTCAGAACGATCTCTAAAATCTCTTTTAGCAGGAAGCAGAGCCCTGACCAATTAACATCTCTAGATTGCTTCCTCAGCCACATAAGTAGATCCTACTTGTTCATCTATTAAAGAAGAAAGCATGTGATGCATGCTGGCATCACAAGGAAACTTCAAAAAGTTCTAATGCCTGACTCCCACTCCAACATTTTTATTTAAGCAGCATGGAGGTGTGATCTGGGCATCTAACGTTTAAAAGCTCCTCCAGTAATTCTAATGTGCAGCAAAGTTTGGGAACCACTGGCCTAGGTCAAATGACCTGCTGAAGGAGAGGAGGGGCAAGAAGCTCCAGAAAAATACTCTTTTTGCATATAATTTCAGAGGTCTACAAACCCCAGAAAAAAGGGCTCCTTGAACCTTAGCCTTAAAACCCTGGACTTGGTGATCTCAAAGATCTCCTGCAACTCTAAAGTTTTATACTACATTTAAAGAATTACATAAATATTACTAAATCAATACATTAATAGAGACAAGGGGTGAATTTGATGATTTTTGGTTTTCTATTCTGAAGGACAAACTCCAAGTTTAATTAATCAATGGTTTCCCTTGGGATGTGTATTTAGAAGAAATAAGCAAAGGAATTAGCACTATAACCTTACATCAGCACTATCCAAACTGCTTAACCAAATGCAAAGATTTCTAGACAAGTGAATGGCTGCTATGAAGACAAAGAGGAGAGAGGCCCATCGTCAAATCATCTTGGGTTAGGCAAGGTAAATTTTAGAACTACTCAGGTACTGTAAATCTCAGACTATTATTAGCATCATTAATTTCTTGTAGAGTACTTCCTTCTTCCTCAGAACATCATTTGGGAAAAGCTACTTTAATGATATCATATTATAAATTTTAACAATCTTCTCAGTGACGTCTATTATAAACAGTAAAAAGGCACTTAAAGGCTCATGTTTATAAGAACCTAATATGAAACTATTTTCAATACCTTCTCATTAAAAGAAGTTTTCTTCATCAGGAAAATGAGAGGTAATGTAGTATAATGGTTACATGTACAGATCAAGGAGCTTGGATGCCTGGGTCTAAATCCTGGCTCCAGCTCTACCACATTAATAGCTAGGTAATCTTGGGCAAGTCCTTTCACCTGACATGCCTCAGCTTCTTCCTTTGTAAACGAAGAATGAATAGTCCTACCTTACAAACAGGTTATACACAAAGCACTTGAAGTAGTGCCTGCCTCATAGTAAAGCATTTTATAAATGTTGGTTGTTATTATTCATTCTTAAAATTTCAATTGCTCTAAAAGTGATGATCACTCCAATGATCGTTTGAAAAGGAATAACAGCTGTATGTATTAGCATGTTTCTTTTTTTTTACCTTTGAGACAGAGTCTCGCTCTGTCACCCAAGCTGGAATGCAGTGGTGTGATCTCTGCTCACTGCACCTTCGGCCTCCGGCATTCAAGTGATTCTCCTGCCTCAGCCTCCTGAGGAGTTGGGATTACAGGTGTGTGTCACCACACCCGGCTAATGTTTTTTTTTTTTTTGAGACGGAGGTTCACTCTTGTTGCCCAGGATGGAGTGCAATGGCACGATCTCAGCTCCCGCAACCTCCACCTCCCGGGTTCAAGTGATTCTCCCGCCTCAGCCTCCCGAGTAGCTGGGATTACAGGCATGTGCCACCACGCCCGGCTAATTTTGCATTTTTAGTAGAGACGGGGTTTCTCCATGTTGGTCAGGCTGGTCTCGAACTCCTGACCTCAGGTGATCCACTCGCCTCAGCCTCCCAAAGTGCTAGGATTACAGGTGTGAGCCACTGCGCCTGGCCCAGCTAATTTTTGTATTTTTGGTACAGATGGGGTTTTGTCATGTTTCCCAGGCTGGTCTCGAACTCCTGGCCTCAAGTGATCCTCCTGCCTTGGCCTCCCAAAGTGCTGGGGTTACAGGCGTGAGCCACCATGCCTAGCCTCAACTGATCACTTTTATTACCATTTAGATATGTGGTAACTTCCATATTATGTGCCTAATACAGTGTTTTATATATTGCAAGAATTCACTAGGTATGTGTTGATTTCGCCCGAAGAAATGAGAGGCAGAAGGTGATAAAGTGACTACACTACACTCTGCCTGTGCACCAGGATTGAAACACCAGCTCCAATACTTCCTGTGTACTCTTGGGCAAGTCACCTTATTTGGCCTGTTTCTTCATCTGTAAAATTCAGTTAATAACAGTACTTATCTTTCAGAGTTCATGCAAAATTATATTGTATATATTAAATGCTTAATATACACAATAAGCACTAAGTATTTAATATTAATATCTTTTTGCATGTTTTTTGTACAGCCTTCAAATCTAGTATTAACTGCTTATAATGCACATTTCACAAGGCACAAATACACGTTTTAACTATGCTTGTTTGCTTTTGCTATGTGTCACATACTAAATGGGGAACCTAAGTGGTCAGAGACACAAATCATGGATTTCAGGAGAGAGAAGGCACTTTCCACAAGATACATGTCAAAATAAAAAACAACCTACAAACCAGCATGGCACATGTATATATATGTAACAAACTTGCACTTGTGCACATGTTCCCTAGAACTTAAAGTATAATAAAAATAAATAAAAATAAAAAATAAAAAACAACTGAAAAAGTGTTCTCAATGCTAGCTCTTTATTTCATTCTGCTATAAAATTTTTAGAAGCGAGAAAAATACATACAATTTACACCTGATCAATGTTCTCCAAACTGCCTGCAGGCTTGTGTTCATACACTAGCAAGATTTACTGCTAACCAACATGCCATGCTAAATTGAAATCAAGATATTACACAATTTTCCAACAAAGGGGTGATTTTATAAGCTAGTATACATGCTCCATGAGGATGTAATTGTTGGCATCTTGTTACATTTCTGTAGCTGGTGGAAAATGAGTTAAGTTAGAAGGTTTATAGAGGGTCAGAGCTCATCAGATGAAAAAATCATCTTTTTTATCAGCTCTAGAAAACATATTTATTAAGCTAACTAGTTATTCTTCAACAACTGGATTAGTCAGAATTTCCAAAACCTTCCAACTAACTGCAGAAGACTGCTGAAACATTGTGAAATGAAATAAAATGAAGAATTCTAGAGGCTCGTTACCTCAAGTTCATGTTTATTTTTCTGAATTTTTACTAAAAACTAAAAGAATATAATATACATCCATCTGCATGTCATTTTTCTTTTTTAAATAAATGAGTTTCTTTTTCAGCCTATTTAGACTTCTCTGATTGAGGGTTCTAATTTAAATTATAGATATATGCTGGGCACAGTGGCTCACGCCTATAATCCCAGCACTTTGGGAGGCTGAGGTGGCTGGATCTCTTGAGGCCAGGGGTTCAAAACCAGCCTGATCAACACAGTGAAACCCCATCTCTACTAAAAAAAAAATACAAAATTAGCTGGGCATGGTAGCAGGCACCTGTAATTCCAGCTACTCAGGAGGCTGAGGCATGAGAATTGCTTGAACCTGGGAGGTGGAGGCTGTAGTGAGCCAAGATCGTGCCACTGCACTCCAGCCTGAGCAACAGAGCAAGACGTTGTCTAAATAAATAAATAAAAGACATAAAATTCTTCAGATGTTACTTAGTCTTTGAAATATCATCAAAGGCAGGGCACACTGGCTTATGCCTATAATCCCAGCACTCTGGGAGGCCAAGGTGGGTAGATCACTTGAGATCAGGAGTTCCAGAGATGGAGTCTTGCTCTGTTGCCCAGGCTGGAGTATAGTGGCACAATATTGGCTCACCGCAATCTCCACCTCCAAGGTTCAAGCGATTCTCCTGCCTCAGCCTCCTGAGTAGCTGGGACTACAGGCGTGAGCCACCATGCCCAGCTAATTTTTACATTTTTAGTAGAGATGGGGTTTCGCCATGTTGCCCAGGCTGGTCTCGAACTCTGGACCTCAAGTGATCCATGCACCTCGGCCTCCCAAAATGCTGGGATTACAGGCATGAGCCAAAGAGCCTATCTTGATAAATCACCTTGTATTTTTCATGCACCCTGTGGGCATTTAAATGAAAGACCCTTCTCTACAACTTTAAATGTACTTCTCAAAAATCATTTTGGGCCAGGCATAGCGGCTCTCACTTGTAATCCCAGAACTTTGGGAGGCCAAGGTGGGTAGATTGCTTGAGCCAAGGAGTTCGAGACCAGCCCGGGCAAAATGGCAAAACCCATGCCTATCAAATATACAAAAATTAGCTGGGCATGGTGGCACACGCCCCTGTAGTTCCAGGACCCTGAGGTGGGAGGAGTGCTTGAGCCTAGGAGGTCAAGGCTGCAGTGAGCCATGATCACACCGCTGCATTCCAGCCTGGGCAACAAAGTGAGACCCTGTCTCAAAAAAAAAAAAAAAAAAATTGCCCATCCAAACTTCTATTGTTAAAAACTCTGAAGCTATTAGTGCCAAATCCATTCTTCAGTTCTTCAACTAGTGAGTAAAGGGACATGAAGTGGAGGCAAGAGTGCACGCCCCCGTTCCTGCTCTCCTGGAAATGACTCAGGATGTACCATGAGACTCAAAACTCAGGCCTCTTGACCCCCGGCCTTCAGCTAGCATTACTCCCATAAACTGTGATTAATTCCTTTCTGGTTATTTTTTCCTTTTTTTTTTTAATTAAGAAATAGAGTCCTGCTCAGTCGCCCAGGCTAGAGTGCAGTGGCACGATCATAGCTCACTTACAGCCTCAAACTTCTGGACTCAGGCAATCCTCCCACCTCAGCCTCCCAAGTAGTTAGGACTACAGTTCTGTGCCATCACACTTGGATAATTTTTAAAAATTTTTTCTAGAGATGGGATCTCACTATGTTGTCCAGGCTGATCTCAAACTCCTGGCCTCAAGTGATCCACCTGCCTTGGCCTCCCAAAGCATTGGGATTATAGATGTGAGCTACCTGCACCTGGCCCTCTTTCCTTTCTAAACAGACTTGATCATGGTTCACCATAGCCCAAAACCTTCAATGATTTGCAACCCCCAATGCAAAATTTGATTTAGGTGACAATACTAAACCCTGTGTGGCAGGCAAAATAATGGGCTCCCCCAAAAATGTCTACTTCCTAATGCCCAGAACCTTACCTGGCAAAATAACCTTGCAGATATGATAAAGTTAAGGACTGTGAGATAAGGGCATTATCTGGATTATCCAAATGGGCTCAATCTAATAATATGCATCCTTTAAAAGCTGAAAAACTGTCCAGGCTGTGGTAAGAGGCAGATGTGACTGTGAAAGAACAGTCAGAGAGATGCAACATTGCTGGCTTTGAAGATGGAGGAAGGGATCATGAGTCAAGGAATATGCGCAGCCTCTAGAAGCTCAAAAAAGCAAGGGAAAAGATTCTCTCCTAGAGCCTCCAGAAAAGAACATTACCTTGCCCTCACCTTCATTTTAACCTAAGAAACCCATGTTGGACTTCTGACCTACCGAACTGTAAGACAATACATTTGTGTTGTGTTAAACCATTAAGTTGCTGTAATTTGTTACAGCAGCAATAGAAAACTAATACACACTGGGTGAAAGGTTACTCACATGCTTTCAAAGTATCATTGCACAGATTACTTGTTAATTACAAAAGGGAAAAGGCGCCTTTATAAACGAAGATCTAGCAGATGCCACCTTAACCAACTGATAAACTAAGCACCACCAGTAATGAGACAAGCTGAAATTATTTATCTCCTGGTATCTCACAAGAAGAAATATACAACATCCCCCATACAGTATTTTTTCTTTTCTTTTTTCTTTTTGAGACAGAGTCTCACTCTGTCACCCAGGCTGGAGCGCAGTGGTGTGACCTTGGCTTACTGCAACCTCCATCTCCTGGATTCAAGCAATCCTTCTACCTCAGTCTCCCAAGTAGCTGGGACTACAGGCACATGCCACCACGCCCAGCTGATTTTTTTGTATTTTCTGTAGAAACGGGGTTTCACCATGTTTCCCAGGCTGGTCTCAAACTTCTGAGCTCAATCAGTCCACCCATCTTAGCCTCCCAAAGTGCTGGGATTATAGGTGTGAGCCACCACTCCCAGACCCCCACACGCTATTCTTGTCAAAAATGTTTACTCTGAATCTAATCATGAGGATACAGTCAGACAAATACTAATTGTGGGACATCCTACAAGACAACTACCCTAGACTCTTCAAAAATGTCAATGTCTTCAGAAGCAAAAAGGAGGGAAAACTGTTCTCTATTAAAGGTGACATGACAGCCAAATGCAATATATGATCTTTGGTTGGATCCTGGATGAAAAGTCAAAAGTTGGCCAGGCGCAGTGGCTCACACCTTTAATCCCAGCACTTTGGGAGGCCTAGGCGGGTAGATCACCTGATGTCAGGAGTTCAAGACCAGCCTGGCCAACCTGGCGAAACCCCATCACTACTAAAAATAAAAAAAGTTAGCCGGGCATGGTGGCACGCACCTGTAGTCCCAGCTGCTCGGGAGGCTGAGGCAAGAGAATTGCTTGAACCTGGGAGGTGGAGGTTGCAGTGAGCTAAGATCATACCACTGCACCCCAGCCTGGGCAACAGAGCGAGACTCCATCTCAAAAAAAGTCAAAAGTTATAAATGAGATTTTGGGGCCATTTGGGGAAATATGGACTGTCAGTTAACACTCATTCCACTGCCGAATTTTTTGCGTAATAGTATAGTATATAAGAGAACATTTTTGATATATTATTAAGTATTTAGGGGTGAAATATAATATTTGTAATTTAGTTTCCAACAGTTTAGTCAAAATTGTGAATATATAAATGTGCTGTATATATACGCACACCCATGTATAAAAACATATACATATACACACATATAGGAAGAGAAAGAATGTGGCAAAATGTTAAAATTGGTGAATCTATGTGAAAGAAATAGAGTGTTTACTGTACTACTCTTTTAATATTTATGAAATACTCTAATTTTATAAATTATAAAGGTTAGGAGAGAAGTATTTTCCTAGCTCCCTCCATGCCTGCCTTTCCCAGGTCTGCTCACACACTGCCAGGAGTCTACCTGGAACAGCTGATGTTCTTCAAACAGCCAATACTCTTCCACTAGCAGATCCTGTTTTCTGCTGCTTTACTCACAACTCAAGGCTCAACAGCTAAAGCTGGGTTTTGTTATAAGACAGAAGTGTTTACAATACTAATTTTGAAAACAAGTTGGTCAAATATCAAATGGGAGTCATCTTTTAATGGCCTTATTACTAGATTTTAATATGTTCTTATGTTTCTCTTTCCCAAGATAATGTTTATGATCTGTTTCTTAAACTTCATCATACCCATAGGGTGGCAAGCATGACAGGGAAACCTTGGACAAAAAGCAGGGCTGGTCACATCAGAAACTACTAACAGAAACAGTCAAGCTCTGCCTCTGGCTCTCAGCCCATGTCACTCTGAACACCCTAGGCAGCCCAGACCAAGGCTCACCTCCTTCCTGCAGGCCTCACTGCTCTCCATATGGCAGCTCACTGACATCAAAGAAGACGGAAGAAATTATCTAAATTCACCAGGCTAGTTCCACTCCTTCCCTTGAATTGTGGAAGAGTCGCTGATATCTCAATTACCTCTCCTGCAATAGTACCTTTTTCCCTGCATGCTAAGATTTTGCAATGCTAAAAAGCAGGGTGAGAAGTGTATACTGGACTAACAGATGGAAGATTAACAACAAAAGACCGACTTGATGGGGGAGACAAAACTACAATGTTTGTATACCTATAATAAAAATACTGAGGAAGAAAAATTGAACTTGTAAGTAAAGTTAGGTTGCTCTTCTGTAACGCCTGTCGAGCTACAGACAGGAAAAGGCCCAGCATGGTTTCTGTGTACGCCTATGCTGTTTCTAATAGAAAGGACAAAATAGAGCCAAAACATCTGTTGACCAGTTAAGTTTGTTAATGAAACCAAATTGCAGCTGGTTTATCACAGATCAAAAGTGAGGCAAATTAGAGAAAGGATGTATGAACAAAGCTGGTTTCTAAAAAATAGTGGCTAAAGAATTCTAAACCCACTTGTCAAATTAACAAAAATCCTTCCTGGATTTTGCTTAGACCAGTGATTAGTATTTACTTTGTATCTTTGCAGAGACCAGCCTCATAGTTTAAATCTAGTATCATTCACTCTAAAATGTTGTCTATATTGCTCATTTTGCAGATTTATCAAAATATCACCTTTCATTAAAAAAAAACAGAAAAAACATACACTCTACATAATATTACACTAATTAAAAGATTCACTTATATAAGGAAAAAGAATATGTAGTTTGCAACTGTTGGAGACTTCTCTGGTAAAGTGCTTCTGCCCCAAGCAGAGGCATATGTACAGTTAGCATTTCACATATCCACTGCCACAACTCCTTCTCTTACATGTACAACTTTCCATCACCACCTGAAGACAGAGAGATAAGCACACCCACTCACAAAAACATACTTCCCTCTTGGCCCTGCTAACTCAAAATGTCACATGCAAATTACATGGCTGACGCATTTGCTAACTTTAATTTGGTGAGCTAATTGATGTTTATGTACTCAGAAACATTAATAGATTGGAGAGATCAAAGTACCTGAGAAGATTCAGGTTCATATTTTAAATGCTAGTGTGATCAGAGAACAGTTTCACCTAATCTACTGTAGTTTAAGGCACAGGGCCAAGAAAAGGAAGTTTATAAACAAAACAAAAAGTCAAGAATTTTACAATTAAAACACATTGCTACTGTCATGATAAAACAATGGGCTGGGCGTGGTGGGGCATGCCTCTAATCCCAGCACTTTGGGAGGCCGAGGTGGGCAGATCACAAGGTCAGGAGTTCGAGACCAGCCTGGCCAATATGGTGAAACCCCCGTCTCTACTAAAAATACAAAAAAATTAGCCAGGAGTGGTGGCACATGCCTGTAATCCCAGCTACTCGGGAGGCCAAGACAGGAGAATTGCTTTAACCTGGGAGGCGGAGGTTGCAGTGAGCCGAGACCATGCCACTACACTCCAGCCTGGGCAAGACAGCAAGACTCCATCTCAAATTAAAAAAAAAAAAAAAAAAAAGGCATTTCTTATATATTAAAAATAAAAGGCTGAGCACGGTGGCTCACGCCTATAACCCCAGTACTTTGGGAGGCCGAGGTGTGTGAACTGCTTGAGCTCAGGCGTTCAAGACCAGCCTGGGCAACGTGGCGAAACCCTATCTCTACAAAAAATACAAAAATTAGCTGGGTGTAGTGGTGTGTGCCTGTAGTCCAAGCTACTTGGGGGGCTGAGGTGGGAGGATGGATCATTTGAGCCTGGGAAGGTCAAGGCTGCAGTGAACCATGATTACACGGCTGCACTCCAGCCTGGGCAACAGAGTAAGACTGTCTCAAAAAAAAGAAAAAAAAAAATTAGCCAGACAAGGTGGTGCACACCTGTAGTCCCAGTTACTCAGGAGGCTGAGGTGGGAGGATCAAGGATCACTTGAGCCCGGGAGGTCGAGGCTGCAGTGAGCCATGATCAAACCACTGCACTCCAGCCTGGGTAACAGAGTGAGACCCTGTCTCAGAAAAAAAAAAAAAAAAAAAAAGATGAAAGAAATAACATACAAAGATAAAACATATAAAAAGAATATAGACCTTCATTTTTGAGAAACATTAAAACGTACATTTGTTAAATAATGTTTGAAGAGAAAGGATGAATAAAATATTTGTCATTTAAGACAAAATCAGAATAAACCAGCAAATAGTACTTAACTGTTAAATAACTTCAAAGCTACAGAATATAGATTTTCTTAGCACTGAAAGTATCACAAATGTAGCTGGGAATACAAGAGTAACTCCTGAAAGCTGCTGATCATTCAGGACAGGATCATGTGTTACATACAGTAAAGGTATCACAACTATCAAATCTATCTAAGATCCAAAGAGTTAAAAGAATGTTTAACATTCATTTGAACAACCAAAAATCCTCTTGACATAATGTTTCTACTTTACCTGAAGCCCATTTCATTAGAAGTCTAGACAAGTCCCATCTTGATAAAAGCTCAAAAGTGGAACACGCTGTCATGCCTCAGAGTACAATAGAAAGACTCATTCACCCTTCATTTTATCTTTCCCTTGACCCAACTAACTAGTTTGAGACAATTCATGTGCTCTCTCAACAATGTCTCAACAACTGGTACTACCTGCTCACAAAAGCAGTCCTCAGACACTGCTATTGTGAAGAACTTCTGAAGCTTAATTATAAGAAGAACATGAACTGCAATTTTTTTCCTTCCATGACCCTGGAACAGCAAGTATTTGATCCACCTCGTCTTTCACATTACAATAGGTTTCTGTCTGACTTTAGTGATTCTAAAACTGACTTTATCCATACCAATTCCAAAATGCAGGTTATTTTGAAGAGCATATTTTACAATATTTAGAGATTTATTCGATTTTCAGTTAAATACACATAATCAAGCACTCTTCAAGAAAGATGACATCTGCAACACAAAGGATACCAATTCAAAGGAAAACTAAGAAGGTCAACAGAGAGGAGGACATTCAGGCTCTATAATTAGCAGATAAAAAATATACACATTTCTGCCAAAAAAGATCCAGAGTTGCCTGAGACTATGAACAATTCCCCTAGGGCTGAGAGACTTCTGGAAGCCTGCCACATCAAAGAACAATATGGACTAATGAATAGTCCTTCATAAAGTACAGGCTATTGGAAAAGTCCCAGAACAGATGAGGAGGGTCTGCTCTAGGGCAGGGTTAAGGGGACTGAAGAGGAGAAAACAGAATGGAGAAAACAGAAGAAAAGAAAATCTAAAAATAAACTTATCTAATTCATGTGTGTAAACAACTCAAGCAACTGCTGTAGGATGTACATTTATCTTCTATTTGTAGAAATATTTCATATTAATAACAGTGCCAAAAACCCTAACAACGTATCTCTCTAAAAGGGGCAGGAGAAATAGAATAAACAACTGAATAAGCCAAGACCACACATAACAAGGGTCCTACGTTTGTCTTTCAACCCCATTTCTGATCATCTGAACTCCTTTTAAAAATCATTTTGTGGCCAGACACAGTGGCTCATGCCTGTAATCCCAGCACTTTGGGAGGCCGAGGCAGGTGGATCACTAGGTCAAGAGATTGAGACCATCCTGGCCAATATGGTGAAACCCCGTTTCTACTAAAAATACAAAAATTAGCTGGGCGTGGTGGTGCACGTCTGTAGTCTAGCTACTCCAGAGGCTGAGGCAGGAGAATTGCTTGAACCAGGGAGGCGGAGGTTGTAGTGAGCCGAGATCGCGCCACTGCACTCCAGCCTGGCAACATAGCAAGACTCCATCTCCAAAAAAAAAAAAAAAAAATCATTCTTATCAGCCTGACCAACATGGTGAAACCCTGTCTCTACTAAAAATACAAAAATTAGCCGGGCATGGTGGCACATGCCTGTAATCCCCAACTACTCAGGAGGCTGAGGCAGGAGAATCGCTTGAACCCGAGAGGCGGCAGCTGCAGTGAGCCGAGATTGCGCCACTGCACTCCGGCCTGGGCAACAGAGCAAGACTCTGTATCCAAAAAAAAAAAAATCATTTTGATTTTTTTCTTATTGACAGTATCACTGTTTTTGTAATTTTGTTTATGTTTGAAGGCTTTTTGTAAGATTCTAATACAAATATTTCTTCAACAGAAAAAACATCAGAAGCCCTACTTGATACTGAAAGTGTCCCACCTTCCAATTACGATGCCAACCTAGAATGAGAATTCCCACATTATGTACTACACTGGAAACAGACCAAGACTTGACACTTAATAAATTTTATGAAGACATTCTCACTAAAGTGAAATACTATGGAATTTATTTTAAATGGAACTAAACTGATTTTATAAAAATGCTAAAGCTCAAATGTTCAAATGGAATCTTAATGCTACAAAGTGCGCAGTGATAATGGAAGTCTCTCTTAGAATATGTGACTTTCCAAAGTCCTCATAATCTGACCTAATTGAGCTTTACTACTTTTAATGAGAAACATTAATACTATCCTTTAGGAGTTCCCTCACCAAGTCAAAGATAAAGTTTTATCTTCAGTGGTTTAATTCATTTCCATATCACCTCACCGAAGAGAGCTTTCTTAAATAAATACAAAGAATTTATGCTAAGAAGCCAGTGTGGTAATACCCAATTTGAATTCCAGACTATCAGAAGATGTGCAATTACATTTCAGAAAGGAAGGAGCCCTTCTATTTTAACTTGCATTGTATTCCTCCTAGCAGTCATGCATCGGAATGATGATGATGTTCAATCTAATTAGACACAGACTTACTACTTTCTCTACTGCCTTTCCATATTGCTAATATTATAAATAGTATCTACTTTAAAAACTATAATAAGCTCATTGCATCTACCAAATTTAAAATGCTGGAAATCTATTTGTTGGGGCAAAACTGCTTCTAATCATTTGAAGAACTGGAAGAGATACTTTTACTGTTAATAAAAAGCCACCACAGGCCGAGGCAGGTGGATCACGAGGTCAGGAGATTGAGACCATCCTGGCTAACACGGTGAAACCCCGTCTCTACTAAAAATACAAAAAATTAGCCGGGCGTGGTGGTGGGCGCCTGTAGTCCCAGCTACTCAGGAGGCTGAGGCAGGAGAATGGCGTGAACCCGGAAGGCGGAGCTTGCAGTGAGGCGAGATCATGCCACTGCACTCCAGCCTGGGCGACAGAGCGAGACTCTGTCTCAAAAAAAAAAAAAAAGCCACCACTGTTGACCAGTGTACTGCCCAGTGGTAAAGAGCTCTGAGGTCAGACTGTCTCGTCAGAATCTTGGCTTCACCACTCACTAGCTCTATCAGTGACCTTGGGCAAATCACTTAAGCTTTCAGCCTCATTTTTTCATCTGTAAAATAAGGGTAATAATCTACCTCCCTTGCAGTTATTGTGACAAGTCAAGGAGATAATAAATGTAAAGCACTTGGAATAGTGCCAGCATTTAACACTTACAAAACGTTAGTTATTATTCTTACTATTTTTATTTTGTTTTACATTTAATGTAACTGCTCAAAAAAGTAACCAGAATAAACAGCTTCTTGAAAGTCATGGCCAGGCACGGTGGCTCACAAGCCTGTAATCCTACCTAGCACTTTGAGATGCCAAGGCAGGCGGATCACTTGAGATCACGAGTTCGAGACCAGCCTGGTCAACATGGTGAAACCCTGTCTCTACTAAAAATACTAAAATTAGCCGGGCTTGGTGGTGCGTGCCTGTAATCCCAGCTACTTGGGAGGCTGATGCAGGAGAATCACTTGAACTGGGAGGCGGAGGTTGCAGTGAGCTGAGATGGCACCAGCGTACTCCAGTCTGGATGACAGAGTGAGATTCCATCTCAAAAAAAAAAAAGTCATTAGTTAGGCCAGGCATGGGGCATAGTAGCTCACGTCTATAATCCCAGCATTTTGGGAGGCCAAGGCAGGCGGATCACTTGAGGCCAGGAGTTCAAGGCCAGCCTGGCCAACATTAATGAAACCCCATCTCTACTAAAATACAAAAATTAGCCCAGTGTGGTGGCACACACCTGTAATCCCAGCTACTCGGGAGGCTGAGGCACAAGAATTGTTTGAACCTGGGATGCTGAGGTTGCAGGGAGCCAAGATCATGCCACTGCACTCCAGACTGGGTGACACAGTGACACTCTGTCTCAAAAAAAAGGCATTAGTTGACTAGATTGTAATTGAGATCACTCCATTTCTGAACTGTTTTCACTTATATCATAAATTTCCTCCCACAATGCAAGGCAAATCCTATGACTTCAAGCACATCAAGAACAATGATAATCTTTTCAAATATATTAGAAAAAGTCTTATATATAGGAAATTATAGTACAATCAATCTACATATGAATCCAAGTTCAGCAGCCAAAGGAAGAATCATCATAGGTCGACAATTAGCATACTATGATTTAGTATAAGAAACTCAAACTATTTTAAAATGGCTACTAGGCATTTTGGGTGCCTTTGACAAAAGATGTAGACCAGGAGTGTCCAATCTTTTGGCTTCCCTGGGCCACACTGGAAGAAGAATTGTCTAGGGCCACATATAAAATACACTAACAATAGCTAGTGAGCTTAAAAAAAAAAAAATTAAAAACCACAAAAAAATGTTGTTGTTGTTGTTGTTGTTCTTGTTGTTGTTGTTGAAACGAAGTGTTGCTCTGTCGCCCAGGCTGGAGTGCAGTGCCTCAATCTCAGCTAACTGCAACCTCCGCCTCCCAGGTTCAAACAATTCTTGTGCCTCAGCCTCCTGAGTAGCTGGGATTATAGGCGTGTGCCACCACGCCGCAAGCCAAAAATCTCTTTATGTTTTAAGAAAGTTTACGAATTTGTGTTGGGCTGCATTCAAAGCCATTCAGGGCCGCATCTAGCCCATGGGCCATGGGTTGGACAAGCTTGCTATAGACCCTAGCCATAGAAAAACATGTGGAGGCCAGGCACAGAGGCTCATGCCTATAATCCCAGCACTTTGGGAGGCTGAGGTGGGTGGATCACCTGAGGTCAGGAGTTCAAGACCAGCCTGGCCAACATGGTGAAACCCCGTCTCTACTGAAAATGCAAAAATTAGCCAGGCATGGTGGCGCACGCCTGTAATCCCAGCTACTAGGGAGGCTGAGGCAGAAGAGTCACTTGAACCTGGGAGACAGAGGTTGCAGTGGGCCATGATTGTGCCATTGTACTCCAGCCTGGGTGACAAGAGTGAAACTATGTCTCAAAAAAAAAAAAAAAGAAAAAGAAAAAGAAAAAAAAAGAAAAACATGGATACACACACATGACTTCACACTCTATTTCAGAGGATTTGTGGGATACCCACCCAAGTTCATTTGTGGATCCCGGGCTAAGAATTTCTATTAAATTTACTTAGCGAGTTTACATGGTTTTAAACTATTAAATCACTTTTAATTTCAAAGGGTAATATATTATGTTGTAATTTTCTCACATTTTTTAAGGAAAAATGCTATTTTATTTATTTATTTTTTTTTTTGAGATGGAGTTTCGCTTTTGTTGCCCAGGCTGGAATGCAATGGCGCAATCTCGGCTCACTGCAATCTCTGCCTCCCAAGTTCAAGCAATTCTCCTGCCTCAGCCTCCCCAGCAGCTGGGATTACAGGCATGCACCACCATGCCCGGCTACTTTTGTATTTTTTTAATAGAGACGAGGTTTCTCCATGTTGGTCAGGCTGGTCTTGAACTGCTGACCTCAGGTGATCCACCCACCTCGGCCTCCCAAAGTGCTGGGATTACAGGCATGAGCCACTGCACCCAGCTGGAAAAAAATGCTATTTCATTAAAGAATACAAACATGTTGCCAACTTTGTTTAAACTGATTTTTATTTATTTTTGTTTTTTAAGAATCAAATGATTACTTAATAGAATTAGTCTCCAAATTTCATCAAGTAAAAATTCTAGAAAACATTTCTCAGCTTTCCTCATTATAGCATGATGCTAACTAAACAATTTAAAGATCAGCATCATAAAAAGAGCAGTAACAATTGCCTGCTAAGCAATAAATTACTCTGCTCTCAATCCTAGACACTTTCAGACATGAATTTTCCTTTAGACTAAAAATACTTCTGTACAGATGCTGCCTGAAAAAAATATGATAAGGTTGGCAAGAAATGACGGGCAAGGTTAAAGCGAAGGATCAGAAGATACTGTGGAAAATTTGTACTGACTCTTCCATCACAAGTAAAAAGTATCCCCTGGATCACAAAATTATTGAAACATACTATTAAATTGCCTAAAGCTACCTGAATTAGTCCACGTACCTGTTCATTATAAAACCTTAACATACCTTAGGGTAGTGTACATATTTTTAAAAACAAAGATATCCAAATCCATCAAGAAATGGCTCTATAGTCCCTTAAGGAATTTCTTCACAGTATAAGCTTTTATAAAAAATATTTAATTAAGGCTGGGCACAGTGGCTCACGCCTGTAATCCCAGCATTTTGGGAGGCTAAGGCAGGTGGACCATGAGGTCAGGAGATTGAGGCCATCCTGGCCAACATGGTGAAACCCCGTCTCTACTAAAATACAAAAAATTGGCCAGGCATGGTGGCACGCTCCTGTAGTCCCAGCTACTCGGGAAGTTAAGGCAAGGAAATCACTTGAACCTGGGAGGCAGAGGCTGCAGTGAGCCAAGATCATGCCACTGTACTCCAGCCTGGTGACAGAGCAAGACTCCATCTCAAAAAAAACAAAAAAACAAAACAAAAATATATATATACATATGTATTTAATTAAAAACAGAGGTCCCTGATTTGGCTGTGTCAGACATATGAATTAGGATTTAAGTGGCTTTTTGTATTTTCTTTTAAACAAATGTTATTAAGAAGAAAATTTCATAACTTTACTTCTTTCTTTATGCCCACATTCTGCCACAGAGAACTAGAGGTTGGTTACACAAACACAACAACCACCTAAGGATCAAATAAATGTGGCAGAAGACTAACAAAATAAAAATATAGTTAACAAATAAATGTTGGCCAGGCACAGTGGCTCATGCCTATAATCCCAGCACCTTGGGAGGCCGAGGCGGAAGGATGTCTTGAGCCCAGGAGATCGAGACCAGCCTGGGCAACATCGAGAAACCTCATCTTTACAAAAAGTACAAAAATTAGCCGGGCGTGGTGGTGTGCACCTGTAGTCCCAGCTGCTCGGGTGGCTGAGGTGAGAGCATCACTTGAACCCGGGAGGTGGAGGTTGCAGTGAGCCGAGGTGACACCACTGCACTCCAGCCTTTTAGATCAGCCCATGGAAAGGCAAACCACCTGGTCCTATCCAATTTGTAGGACCAGGTGGTTTGCCTTTCCATGGGCTGATCTGATCTAAAGCATTGAGGAAAACAGGTTCCATTTCAAGGGTTCATGGTATCCAAACAAGAGGAGCATAACTTTTCCTAACATGCATGTTTCAATTGTTTCTAAACTGTACTTAGCCCAGGCAACATGGCAAAACCCCATCTCTACAAAAAATTTAAAAACTTAGCTGGGCATGGTGGCATACACCTGTATTCCCAGTTACTTGGGAGGAACACTTGATCCCAAAAGGTCAAGGCTGCAGTAAACCATGAATAAAACCACCATTTCTTTCCTTCTTTTTTTTTTTGTTTTTTTTTTTTTTTTTGAGACAGAGTCTCGCTCTGTCACCCAGGCTGGAGTGCAGTGGCACAATCTCAGCTCACTGCAACGTCTGCCTCCCGGGTTTAAGGGATTCTCCTGCCTCAGCCTCCCAAATAGCTGGGACTACAGGTGCCCCCCACCACGCCTGCCTAATTTTTTTGTATATTTAGTAGAGATGGGGTTTCACCATGTTGGCCAGGCTGGTCTCAAACTCAGGCAATTGGCCCACCTCAGCCTCCCAAAGTGCTGGGATTACAGGCATGAGCCACTGTGCCTGGCCAAAACCACCTTTTCTTTCTTCCTTTCTTTATCTTTGGGACAGGATCTCACTCTATCACCCAGGCTGGAGTACAATCAAGGCTCACTGCAGCCTCTACCTCCCATGCTCAAGTGATCCTCCCACCTCAGCCTCCCAAGTAGCTGGGACTACACATGTGCTTCACCAAGCCTGGCTAATTCTTTGATTTTTTTGTAGAGACAGGGGTCTTACTATGTTGCCCAGGCTAGTCTTGAACTCCTGGGCTCAAGTGATCCTCCCACCCTGGCCTCCCAAGGTGCTGGGACTACAGGCAGGAGCCACCCTGCCCAGCCAAAACCACCTTTCTATCAACAATGATTAATGTTTTATAACATGTATTAATAAAATTAACTGATATCAATATATCTGCTCACCCAAAAGACAGAGAATAAACCCCAAAACTAGACATGAACTATAAATAACTTTCTGCTGCTCTACTTTGTGTTTAGTTTGGGAAGTAAATACTGTAGCTTTGAAACAAAGACAAATCTTACTCAACCAAAAACTTAAAGTGGTAGCAGTAATGTAAGGAGAATTCTGCCATATATTTATAAATACTATAGAAATAACATAAGGCCCAAGAAATCAGAGTATTTTAAAAAGATACTGTATGAGACAAAATAAACATTCACCTACAACACAGAGAAGTGGACAATAAAAAATGACTTTTTATTGAAATGAGGGATTTAGGTGACGTATTAAAATAACTTCTTACATGCATAGATTATCAGCCAGGCATGGTGTCTCACGCCTGTAATCCCAACACTTTGGGAGACCAAAGCGGGTGGATCACCTGAAGTCAGGAGTTCGAGACTAGCCCGGCCAACATGGTGAAACCTGGTCTCTACTAAAAATACAAAAATTAGCTGGGCATGGTGGCATGTGCCTGTAATCCCAGCTACTAGGTAGGCTGAGGCAGAAGAATCACTTGAACCCGGGAGGCAGAGGTTGCAGTGAGCCGAGATTGTGCCACTGCACTCCAGCCTGGGCAACAAGAGCAAAACTCCATCTCAAAAAAAAAAGCATAGATTATCACCATTAAAATAAGAAGTCTAGCTGGGCATGGTGGCTCACGCCTCTAATCCCAGCGCTTTGGGAGGCCGAGGCGGGCGCATCACTTGAGGTCAGGAGCTTGAGACCAGCCTGGCCAAGATGGTGAAGTCCTGTCTCTATTAAAAATACAAAAATTAGCCAGGTGTGGTAGCAGGTGCCTGTAATCCCAGCTACTTGGGAGGCTGAGGCAGGAGAATCGCTTAAACCTGGGAGGCAGAGGTTGCAGTGAGTCAAGACTGCGCCACTGCACTCCAGCCTAGGCGACAGAGCTAGATTCTGTCTCAAAAAAATAATAATAGTAAAATAAGAAGTCTGTAGATTCTTCTTTGAAAATAGTAATAAAGAGAAAAATATACGATGGCCTTTTCGTAGATTTCTGAAATATATATGACCCTGCCTGGATGAAGAAAGATCAATATTATCCTTCCTGGTCCCTTCAGACACCAACCAGTTAGCAATTAGAGCTTAAAAACAAACCACATGACTCTTCCATTAAATTCTTGGCCAACCAGTGAGGAAGTCCTCCACACAATGCAGTACAATATATACATTTTAAAATACAAAAGCCTGCTCTAAGGCAAAACATTCAATTTTATCAAACTTTATTCAGAACTTTTGTCCACATAAAACTTAAGTGAAACCGTAAAAGACAAAAGGACAGTAGTGAGAATGCACGAACATTACTCCTTCGCTTACCTGGTCTTTCTCATGGGGTAGAAGGCTGACAGGTGGGAGCGAGGATGGGAATGCACTGGGATACTGAGGTGCCCCTTTGCCATCTAAGCTCCCATAATTGACCCTGTACTGCGGTCCGTCTTTCAGTAACCTCCCATTATTCACAGCGCGTTTGGCCCCCAGTCGCAGCCGCTGCTGAAAGGCTGGGTTGTTGGTGGTGCTTGTGAGATCACTTTGACTTCTGAGATACTTCTCTATGTTCTTCAGGGAGGAGCCATTCGGCTCCTCAAGTCCTTCAATTGCTCTCCTTAAAAGTTTATTCCAATCCACATTGCGGAGATCATTACATGATCCTCTAGACCCCTTGGCTGACTTAGGAAAAGTGCCTGGTTTAACTGATGAAAAGCGCCCAGGGTTGTCTGGGTCCTTATAGGAGGCAAGGCCTTTGTTGGTGACTTTGAGAACTGAGCCATCCTGAACACTGAGTTCCAGCTGTTCAGAGACTGTCTTCTTATCCAACCCATGGGAAGTACTGACCGCATGGCAGATTCTCTCTTCAGAGGGCCTTTGCTTTTGCTTTTTTATTTTCTGTATAGCTTCAAGAATCCACTCTGTATAAAGTGGGTTTGCAAGTTTTACCATGGTTGACAAATGACTTCTTCAACACAAAAGTTACCCATAGAGGTTCTCTTTGTATTTAACAGAACTTGCACATTTGAAAGTCATTTACAATTCAACAAATGGACAGAGTATTCCAGACTGTATTAAGCAACATCTTACAAACATCCATCCTTAAGAGATTCAAAAGCAGACAAACAGGCAATGTTGATGGTTGTCTTATTTTACCAACAGGAAAGACTGCATTCGGGTGAAGAACATCTTTAACTGGGAAATCAAGACCTTAAAGGATAAAAAGAGGGGAAAGTCTCTTAATAATGAAGCTTACACAAATAAACTAAAAGATTCTTTAGCATGACTTTTTCAGACACAGAATGACCACAAGAAGTAATGACAGGCAGGTATTACATAACACAGCCACAGTGACTATATTTTTCAACAAGAAATTGGGTCACAGTCTGAGAAGAAATTGTTTTTAGAATGTTTCACTTCTCTATATGAAGTCATTTATGAGGCATAATCACATCTAAATTATACATTTAATTATATTTATTGAAATTAACAAAATTATATGAAAGTGGTTTGAGGTATATGTCTGCCATAAACATAAAATACACATCAAAGAATAAGTCTATGATATAAAAAATCTGATGAAAGTACATTAAACTTATTTCAAAAAATCTTAAACTTAAAAAAAAGAGTAAATAATCCAGCTTTCAGCTAGGTATTGTATTTCCCAAGTCTCATACGTAAAAAAACTTCCCATCTAGCTACTTCTATGGAATCACATCCCCATCCCTTTAACAGAGGTCTATGATACCCTCTAACCCACAAATTGGAAAACTGAAAATAATACAGTAACATAACCCTTCACCTTTAAGTAGTAGAGCATTCTAGTTATCTTAATACCCAGTTAGCTCATTAAACAGCTCAGTACAAAGAAGATATATACAAATCTGATTCCAGGTGGACAGTGGCATTTGTTCTGAGAGATGCTTGGTATATACAAAAACCACCCTAGATCTCCAATCTGGTATTGAGTACATCTACAAAGAGGCTACAAGGAGAAAGAGCCTTGGCCTGGGAATTGGGCCAAACCTGAGCTCTAATCTTGGTGTCCAATGATAACATCCACTTCTTAATTCTTTTTATAGTTTAAACTGTACAGAGTGTGCTCACATATAACTTGTCACTTAAACTGCAGAACTTTGTGGGTAAACTGAGGCTCGGGAGAAGATGGAATTCACCCAAGGGAAGAGTCAATAACAGATTAAAGGGTCGAACATCATTAATTTTTTTTATTAATTTTTTTTTTTTGAGATAGAGTCTCGCTCTGTCACCCAGGCTGGAGTGCAATAGCGCAATCTCAGCTCACTGTAATCTCTGCCTTCTGGGTTCAAGCGATTCTCCTGCACAGCCTCCCAAGTGGCTGGGATTACAGGAATGTGCCACCACACCCAGCTAATGTTTGTATTTTTAGTAGAGATGGAGTTTTGCCATTTTGGCCAGGCTGGTCTCAAACTCCTGACCTCAGCCCACCTCGGCCTCTCAAAAGTGCTAGGATTATAGGTGTAAGCCACTGTGCCCAGCCAATTCTAAAATCCAACTAAGTCCATCACTGTTCTCACCTGAGCCACAACTGCCTGCTCTAGCTAGTTCTGCCTCTGCAAAGAGACCAACCTGGGTCTGAACCCCAGCCCTACCACAATGTCCAGTGGAGGAACCCTGGATAACTTAAGCTTCCATCACTTTACTTGTAGGCAATACTGGTATATCCCTTACAGGACTACTGAGAGGATTAAATAAACACATTATCTAATATTCAATATATAGTTATCACTTTCATCAAATGCAACATCTATATACTTTGAAATTTTTATAACAAAATACAAAATTAAAGTTATCTCTGGTTATTTATTTAGACAGACTATACCTAAGAGAAGAAAATAATATCTTTCCTTAAAAACTTTAGCCAGACATACTGAAGAATATAGTATTTGCTCTCAGAGATCCTGGAATGTTGCTGAAAAACAGCTGGGTCATTGAACTATACTTGTTCAAACAGTACAGTTTTAAATGCCAACCCAAAATGCCACCTTAAAGGAGGCAATTTAAACAAGATTGTCCCTGTGATCAGTAAGCTGTAAATTCACTCTACTCATTCTCCCCTCAGATTCAGAAACTTGGGGCTGAAGGTCATCCAGTCCAACCTCTAGTTATCCAATAAAAGATCCCTGCCCAATATCCCAAATAGATGGGCAATGAGTCTTTACATTTTTAAAATACTTCCAGTGATTGATAATTTGTCACTTTTTGAGGCAGCTCACCCCACTGTTGCACAGCTCTAGCTAAATTTCTTGCTCAGAGAAGCAAAAATCTGCCACCCCATAACTTCGACCCTATTCCTATTCCTAACTAGTCCTATTCCCTGGAAGGATCCCAAGACAATTCTTAGTATTTCTTCAGTATGAGAGGCCTTCAAATGTCCAAAAACAAGTACCTTTTGAAAACCACTAACGACAAAACCCCATGCTACCTCCAGCCATAACTTAGACCACTCATATCCCAGTTTCTTAACCCTTCCACATATCACATTGTTTCAAAGCACCACTTTCTCTTGGTTGCTCACTAGTTTGGCTATTGGCCATCTTAAAATATGACAGTTCAGGCATTATCCAATTATAAATGCAACCCAAATTACAGGAACTTCCTCAATACCCCTGCCACACAAGTGGTCATGGTGAGCATGCAGTCCAACTAAAAATCCCAGATCTTTTTTCAAAAAGTGCTGTCAAGTTGAGTCTTTCCACCCCTTTCCTTCTGCAAATTGAAATGCTGCAATTTAACGTTTATTACCGTTCAATTTCATCTCGTTGATTTAAGCCTATCTTCCAACCTGCTAAAGATTGTTTTGAATCTTGATTCTGTCATCTATGTCATCTACAAATCTAATAAGTACTCACTTTTGTTTCATTATATAAACCCTTGACAAAAATGTTAGACTTGGAACACAGTGTGTTTAGGAATGAAATCACTGGCTTTCACAGTGCAACCACTTTCAGGATAGAACACAGAATCATTCTCTGTCAGTTAGTTTAGAACAGGAAATTGATCTTTCCCAAGTAAAATGGTTTCGGGCAAAATTTCATTAGAAGATATTTCACTGTATCCAAGTAATTATTTAATCTTTCATCATTTATTCAGGATGAATCACAACTAATTTAATTTGATTGCACAAAATACAACTGCAGAAAGTAGAAGAGGTCACAGGAAAAGTGCCCAATATTGCCAAGTTGCTTTTAGGTGTTTTGTTACACAAGCAAACGAACGTACATTAAAACAAAATGCATAGCCGGGCGTGGTGGCTCACACCCGTAATCCCAGCACTTTGGGAGGCCAAGGCGGGTGGATCACCCAAGGTCAGGAGTTCAAGACCAGCCTGGCCAACATGGTGAAACCCCGTCTCTACTAAAAATACAAAAAATTAGCCAAGCATGGTGGCATGCGCCTGTAATCCCAGCTACTCAGGAGGCTAAGGCAGGAGAATCGCTTGAACCCAGGAGGCAGAGGTTGCAGTGAGTCGAGATTGCGCCATTGTACTCCAGCCTCGGCAACAAGAGCGAAACTCCATCTCAAAAAAAAAAAAAAAATGTGTTTCATAACTAATAGATACCTAAAATATACCTTCATGACAAGCTTTTACCACAATCATTTTTTTTTTTTTGGGGGGCACAGAGTCTTGCTCTTGTCGCCCAGGCTGGAGTGCAATGGCATGATCTCGGCTCACTGCAATCTCCACCGCCCAGATTCAAGCAATTCTCCTGCCTCAGCCTCCCAAGTAGCTGGGATTACAGGTGCCCACCACCACGCCCAGCTAATTTTTGAATTTTTAGTAGAGACAGGGTTTTGCCATGTTGGCCAGGCTGGACTCAAACTCCTGATCTCGTGATCCGCCCACTTCGGCCTCCCAAAGTGCTGGGATTACAGGCGTGAGCCACTGCACCCAGCCCACAAATCTTTACCCACAATCATTTATATCCATAAAACAATTGTTTATATCCATTACCAACACATTTCAATAAGATTGTCATTTTATACCTTAAAAATGTAATAAAATAAGGGAAAGTACCAGAATTGGAACTTCAAACGTTTTAACAGTCCATGACAAAAATGGAGATTATCCAGGTCTTCAGGCAAATCTGCCAAAAGAAAAAAGGAAATGTTCATTTGGACATAAGGACATCCTTAAATTCAGCAACCATCCGTGTATCTCCACAACCATTCAAGACAAACAGCTCCAATGAGTTATTATACTACATTTGGTGATATAATAATTCTTTTAGACCACTGAAGGATTCTTATAAATATGAAACTTGAGACAGAAAATGAAGCCCCAAGGACCCAGCCAAGTGCCTATAGAAGTAAATTTCATCCCTAAGCCCAGACCTGTTCAAATTTTAAAAATCAGGTTTGTGATAGATTCCTAAGAAAAAATCTCATCATGGAAAAACAAAACAAAAACAAAAACCCACTACTACTCAAATAGCCAAACAGATATAACATTTATCAGAAAAAAAGACAGTCAAAAGTTGTTTTAAGGTCAGCATTCACATTCCTGGGCAGCATTCGCTGTTTGTCCCAAAGGCCACCAGGCACCTAGGTACTGAATGGACTACCCAGATATGACCAATAAGCTCACCTACAAGAAAAACGTACCAGTTTACATAATAGTAAATATGTATTGACACAAGTCACATTTTAGGACAGCAGTGATTATTTTTACTTGAAAAGCAAAAAATAAATTTAAAAGAACAATTGTGAATAACTGCATTTTGATCTTACGTAAAACAATCAAGCAACCTTGGATCCTCCTTCTCCCCTCCCCCAGCCACGACACACACCCCACTCCTCGATTTAATCTCAAAATTAGCTCTCATCTGACACCAACCAACAGAGTTAATTAGGCAGAAGCAGATGTAACTCAGCAGCTCTTTGCTACAAGCAGAATCACAGTGTTCAAAAAAAAAAAAAAAATACACAGCTAGGAGAGGAACAAAATCAGAAGTCTCTTATCTGTAGCCAATTCTCAACTAAACACATGTATATTATCCACTTTGTATATTATCCACCGCAAATTTTTTAATCTTAGGCTGATTTGTTTCCAACATCCCACTGGCCCCACTGTAAATTCATATAAGCAAGAGAATAGATTGAAAACCAATTTCATTTTAGCCTAAGCAGTATCTAACTGGAAAGACAAATCCACAGGAAAAAAAAATGCATAATTCATTCAAAAGCCAAATAGAAATGATTTTTTTTTTCCTGATTTGGAATTATCCACACTATTTCTCTTTTTCAGAGCATGGGGATTTGCTTCACATGTAGATAGGACATTCTATCACAAGCGAAAACCCTAAAATCATTATTCTCTTTTCATTTTTTTTCTATAAAAACTTGAAGGTTGGACTAAAAGGCTATCAAAAAGGTAGCAAATCATCCTAAATTAATTCTGGGGATTTGTGCTACATCAAATTAAATTATTCTATTTTCTAAGGTTGTGAATCATTTTATTTTTAACTACAAAATATCAGTAAATTATATGGTTGTATCATACGGTCTTATAATATAACACTATTTACATCATTCATTACAAATATTCTAAACATATCTAGAGAAATGCTTAGTCCAGCACTGAGCTTTTAGCTTCACTGGTATTACATAAACATCAACACTATTCAGAAATATTCATGTCAGCATAAGAAGAGTCAAAATATCCTGGATCATAAGTATTATGCGAGGCCTCCTCTAAGCTTTTACTAAAGCTGTGTGTGTTGTTTCAAAATCAATGTCATAACACTCAAGTCATGAGATTATGGATGAGGCAAAAAACAGTGGTAGAAAAAAACAAAGATTAATAATAGAGTTTACACTTTTGTCATCCTGAGTTTTACTTGCTAACAGTTATTTTTAACTATTTTACTTTCATAAGTCCTGGCTTTTTCTTTCTTTTTTTTCCCCAAAGGGATCACTGTTGGAAAACCTGGATTTTTTCAAAGCCCATTGTGTAACTGAGTGAGCATCCACAAATCTAAGCAGTATCTTCCGAAACAGAACAGAACTGTTTAGGGGAAGGGACCTTGACTTATTTTTCTTCTATCAGCACCCAGCTCAGGTTATTGGCAGAGTTGCTCAAAATAGTGTCCTTGGTTAACAAATATCTGTTGTCTGACAACATGAAACGCCATCCATATGGTGATATTTCTTATCTTTCAAATCCTGGATGCATCTATTTCCTCTGAAATCAATGCTTCAGGCCCAAAACATGTGAACTGGGAGGTGAGGTTATAAATACTAATCAAAGAAAAACCAACAAATATTTAGCGAGCTGATGCTCCCTGCATGCAGCCCTGTGGTAGGTACTATGGGGAATACAAAGCAAAGCTAGAGACAGAACATATAAGAAGCAATTAAGAAATAGCAAAGCACTGTTTGGCGGTTCCTCAAAAAGTTAAACACAGAATTACCATATGGTTCTGTAATTCCATTTCTAGGTATAGACTCAAAAGAATTGAGAACAGATACTCAAATAAGTACACGTACACCCATGTTCATAACAAAACTATTCACAGTAGCCAAAAGGTGTAAACAGCCCAAATGTCCATCAACAGATGAACAGATAAACTGTGGTATATCCATACACTAGAATACTATACAACTATAAAAAGCAATGAAGTTTCGATACATGCTACTACAATGTAGATGGACCTCAAACACGTTATGCTGTGAAAGAAGCCAGACACAAAAGGCCACACATCATATAATTTCATTCATATGAGACATCCAGAATAGATAAATCCATAGACAAAACACAGATTGGTGGAGTCTCAGGGACATATCTAGAGAAACTGCTTAATGGGTAAGGGGTTTTATTTGGGATCAATAAAAATGTTTTGGAACTTGATAGTGGCAGTGGTGACACAACACTGAATGTACTAAATGCCACTGATTTGTTCACTTTTTAATGGTTTTTTCATTTTATGTTATGTGAGTTTCACCTCAATAAATTGTTTAAAAAAAAAGAAATAACAAAGCACTAAACTATAATAATAATAATAATACCAACCATTTCCTGACACCTACTGTGGTCC
Organism: Homo sapiens; assembly: GCF_000001405.40. NCBI lineage: Eukaryota > Metazoa > Chordata > Mammalia > Primates > Hominidae > Homo > Homo sapiens. The sequence goes on along the minus strand of NC_000010.11, from coordinate 74,835,733 downwards.
AGGTACTTTACATAGATTATCAGTAAACTTTAAAACAACTCTGTAAGGTAGCATTGTTGTTTTTACAAAAGGAAAACAGGCTTGACTTAGCCAAGATCTCAGAGCCATTAAGTCATGAAGGATTTTAATTCAGATGCCAAAGCCCAAACTCTTTCTGTCTCTCCAGAGGTTTTCAAACTAGGCTCTTTAGATCTCTGTGACAAGGAGTTACTTCGGGTATTACCTTCAGGTACCCCTTGTGGGTTAAACTTTGGGCCATTGCAGCACCTTGAACCCAACAGTGCAGCTCCACTTTAACTGTTTTACATATATTTGTCTTCCCCATAAGATTCGCTTTAAAGGAAGTGTTCCTCTGATTACAGAAGGAAGAAGTCTGGAAACAACTGTGACTATACTACCTTGCTGAAACCACGTGGAGGATGGATGAACATCTCTTGGATGGATGGGACTGAAACTGAACCTTGAAAGATAATGCTGAGCCTGGATAAGTGCCCCACCGTCCCTCTGCCCAAATTCAAATCCTTCATGGCCCAGTGCAAACAACTTCTCAAAAGCCCCAAACATCTTTGTCTAACAGGAAGCTTTTAGCTTTTTTACTGTTTTGACATTCATTTCCCACTTAGTATTATGCTTACTTGTGTATTAACCTTGTCACCCCTACTAGACTATAAAATTCTTAAAAACAGGATTCATGCTTGATTCATCTTTGTATACCCTAAGATTTCCCAAGACCACAACTTGATCATAAGAGGGTTTCAATGCCTATTTGCTAAATAAATGTATCGGGGAATGAATGAAGGAAATCAAAGTGAAATAACAGAAGCTAAGAATGAGCTGTCAAACAAAAGGGACACCAAGTCCATGTGCCTGACTAGAACAGGTATATGCTCAAAAGGGATAAAGAAATTAAGTTGGGCCAGGCACAATGGCTCATGCCTCTAATCCCAGCACTTTGGGAGGTCAAGGAAGGAGGATTACTTGAGGCCAGGAGCTCGAGACAAGCCTAGGCAACACAACAAGACCCTACCTCTACAAAAATAAAAAATTAGGTGGCTGTGGTGGTGTACACCTGTAGACCCAGCTACTCGGGAGACCGAGGCAAGAGGATCTCTTGAGCCGCCCAGGAGGTTGAGGCCACAGTGGGCTATGATTGTGCCACTGCTCTCCAGCCTAGGCAATAGAGCAAGACTCTGTCTCTAAAAAAGACAAATATAATTTAAAAATGAAAAACAGAAATAGGCCAGGCACAGTGGCTCACACCTGTAATCCTAGCACTTTGGGAGGCCAAGGCGGGCAGATCACGAGGTCAGGAGATTGAGACCATCCTGGCCAACATGGTGAAACTCCATCTCTACTAAAATACAAAAAATTAGCCAGGCGTGGTGGTGCATGCCTGTGGTCCCAGCTACTCGGAAGGCTGAGGCAGGGGAATTGCTTGAACCCCGGAGGTGGTGGATGCAGTGAGCCGAGATCGCGCCACTGCACTCCAGCCTGGCAACAGAGCCAGAATCCATCTCAAAAAAAAAAAAAACAGAAATAAAGTTGGCTGTGAAAAAAGCCAAGCTGTGGTGTGTGAACGTGACAGATGAATAGGAAGCCACTGCAGGAGCAGGTGACACCATAATGCACAGGGAAGGGCATGCACATACACACACAAACCTGTTGAATGTTTGAATCACTCTGGCAATAGTAGCCATCTACTCTGGAGGGAAGGGTGATTGAAAGAAAAAACAAAAGCAACCAGTATTTCATCTCTGCAAACATCAATCTTGTTCAACTTATATTTATGAGCCTAACTCAGCAGCAAGCCCAGAGCAGGCACTCAATAAAACGCTGGTTGAACTGAATATTTAATTCCCCATCTTTTTAGAGTAACACTAAGTTCTTTCCCACTACTCATTAACAAAGAGAGTTTTCAATTCATAAGCTAATAATGTTTTCCAAGGATTTCTAAGAGGCTAAATCACCATAAAAATTATCATTTCAACTAATACATATTATATTAATTGCAAGTTTAATTTTTCATGTCATGCTCTCCTAGTTGACAATATCCTTGTTATGTCATTAAACTATAATTGTGTAAATGTGCTTCAACAAACAATAACTGAACCATCAATAAACTATTATGGTTTCCATAATCCCTAGCAAAGATTAGTTTCAACATCATCATCATAAATTAGTAGAGACAGGTCCCAAATCTCCTGGTGAAACCCATGAATTAGGTTTGCATAGTTATCCCTGCATTTAAGTGCTCAATAGTTTCAGTCTCTAAAATTTAATCACACTGTTAGGAACCTCACAGGAAATTTGATCCCTTGTAAAACAGAGGAATTTAGAGACAAGATGAAAAGTCATTTGAAGTCATCAGGTCTTTGGAGCCAGGGTACACTGATTAGTAATGATGTATTATAACTAAGCACTTTCACTTAAGAAATAATCAACTAAATTTAGAGTGTCTTTTTTTGGCATTTAAAAATTCCTATTCAATCCTAGATTTCTCCCTAATTACAAATTAGCTTTAGTTGGTTTTTGATGACAAAGACCGAGAATAATGTATTAAGGGAAAAAATGTGATTTTTTTTTTTTTTTTTTTTTTTTTGAGACAGAGTCTTGCCCTGTTGCCCAGGCTGGAGTGCAATGGCGTGATCTCGGCTCACTGCAACCTCCGCCTCCCGGGTTCAAACGACTCTCCTGCCCCAGCCTTCTGAGTAGCTGGGATTACAGGCACATGCCACCATGCCATTGTTTGTTTGTTGTTGTTGTTTTTATTTTTAGTAGAGACGGGGTTTTACCATGTTGGCCAGGCTGGTCTCGAGCTCCTGACCTTGTGATCCAGCTGCCTGAGCCTCCCAAAGTGCTGGGATTACAGGCATGAGCCATCATGCCCGGCCAAAAAATGTGATTTTTAAAAAACTTTTTAAAATAGAGATACAAGGCCAGGCTTGGTGGCTTATGCCTATAATCCCAGCACTTCGACAGGCCAAGGCAGGTGGATCACCTGAGGTCAGGAGTTTGAGACCAGCCCGGCCAACATGGTGAAACCCCATCTCTACTAAATACAAAAAATTAGCAGGCGTGGTGGCGCATGCCTGTAATCCCAGCTCTTTGGGAGGCTGAGGCAGGAAAATTGCTTGAACCCAGGAGGTGGAGGTTGCAGTGAGCCAAGATTACGCCATTGCACTCCAGCCTGGGCAACAAGAGCAAAACTCTATCTCAACAAAATAAATAAGATAAAATGAAGATACCAAAAAATCTAAATAAATAAATAAAAATAGAGGCGGGGGTCTCCCTATGTTGCCCAGGCATGTCTTGAACTCCAGGGCTCAAGGGATCCTTTCACTGTAGCCTCCCAAAGTAGTGGGATTACAGGCATGAGCCACTGCACCTGGCTGAGAAAAATCTGACATCTTAACTTTTTTATGATTCTTTTGAAAGAGAGATTATTACAGGATTCTTTGTTAACTGTATTACAGATGTCTTCAGACCAGATATCCAGATACCCTGAAAAATTCAGGTTCCCTTTTGAGAGTTTCATAAATATTATAGCTCTACTCTAAAAAATAAGCACATGTACCCATATACACTGGTATACATTTTTAAGGGTTAACAGACCTTCTGTCATCCAGCCATGGACCACTTAAGGTCCACTGGCTATATACAGAGAGGTATTTTATCCAGTTTCACAATAGTTAGCTTTGTGTGCTTTACTTAAGGCATGTTACATCAAGAGTAAGAAAGTTATTCTTTTTGGTTTTGGATGTTATCAAAAAACAGGTTTCTGACATTTTAATCAACAAGTAGGTGTGCTGTGATGGGAAGTATCAGAGTCAGGGATCCAGTCCCCATTCTGCTAGCTACCTAGGCTAGGGGATATTGGACATGCTACTAAATCAATCTAAGTCTCTGTTTTCTCTTCTGTAAAAATGAGAATACTTCTCTGTTTTACAGAACCGTTAAGAGGAATCACTGAGATAACAAATATGAAAGCAGCAAGGATGATGGCAGACACATAGCAGGAACACAATAAAATGCTAGCTCATAAAAGGAAAAAGGGCAATACAGTCAGCTGGAGACCTGTAAAATCTAATCTGGCTGAACTTCTGTCTATATGACCATTTTCTCCTAAGAGACAGGAGAAGTCAGCACCTGGCTCTTAGTTATAGCTGCAGAGAAGTAAAAATTCAAGACAGAGAACAGAAAAAAGTGAAGGAAAGCAAAAATAGATTGTAATGGTGAGGCTGGGGTCAAGAAGAGTGTATTTTACTCATAGTTATACATTGTTTAAGGTCAACAAAGCTTTAAAAAGATAGTACTGCATAGGAGAATATCTTATTGACCTCAGGGTAGGAAAAGTCTTAAAACAAGACACAAAAGGCACTAACCATAAAGTAAAGACCAATAAATTTGACTCCATTAAAATTAAGAACTTCTGTTCATTAAAAGACACCATAAAGAGAGTGAAAAGGCAAGCCACAGTATTTGCAACACACACACATGACAAAGGACTTGTATTCACAGTAAATAAAGAACTTCTAAATAGCAATAAAAGATACAAGGCCCAACTTTTAAAAGCAGGGTGGGAAAGACTTGAACAGAACTTTATAAATGAGGCTATCTAAATGGCTAAAAAAGTATATGAAGAGCTGGCCGGGTGCAGAGGCTCACGCCTGTAATCCCAGCACTTTGGGAGGCCAAGACGGGCGGGTCAACTGAGATCAGGAGTTTGAAACAAGCCTGCCCAACATGGCAAAACCCCATCTCTACTAAAAATACAAAAAATTAGCTGGTTGTGGTAGTGGGCACCTGTAATCCCAGCTACTCAGGAGGCTGAGGCAGGAGAATCGCTTGAACCCAGGAAGCAGAGGTTGCAGTGAGCCAAGATCACGCCACTGCACTCCAGCCTGGGTGACAAAAGCAAAACTCCGTCTCAAAAAAAAAAAAAAAAAAAAAAAAAAAAAAAAAAAATATATATATATATATATATATATATATATATATATATGAAGAGCTGTGCAATCTGATTACTAATCAGGTAAACGCAAAATTTACCATATTGGCTAAAATCATAAAAGCTAAAAAGGCTGAGATTGGAGAGGGCGAGAAGCAAGGGAATTCATATATTGCTGGAGGGAGTGTAACCTGGTACAATACTTTAGAAGAGTTTGGTACTTAGTAAAGATGAAGACAAGCATACCTTATGACTAGGTGACCATACAATTCATCATCTAACCCTAGATACTTTTGAAAACTAAAAGTGTTACAGTTACGCTGGGAAAATAAGCAAAAACCAGGACAAATGGTCACCCTAGCTATAAACCGGCAATTTCATTCCTAGGTGTATACCTTAGAGAAACTTGTGCACATGGGCACCAGATGACAGGTATAGGAATGCTCATAGCAGCTTTGTTCACAATTGCCCCAAACTTGAAACAACTCAAATATTCGGCAACAATGGAATAGATGATACGAAAATTGGTGTATTCTCTTTCTGGGGTCTGCGAGAAGACAGGTATCAGAAGATCATGGGAGTTCTATAAAAAGATGCTTAAAGGTGCTTTGGAAATGCAAATTAAGGCATTAAAGGGAAGAAATATCCCATCACCCCACTTCTCTCATCCACGCATCATTTACCATTCTGCAACAAAGACTGATCACTACAGCTTACACATCCCTACTTACATAAAATATTTTTCTTTTTTTTTTGTTTTTTTTTTTTTGAGACAGAGTCTCGCTCTGTCGCCAGGCTGGAGTGCAGTGGTGCAATCTCAGCTCACTGCAACCTCCGCCTCCCAGGTTCAAGTGATTCGCCTGCCTCAACCTCCTGAGCAGCTGGGACTACAGGCGCCCGCCACCATGCCCAGCTAATTTTTTGTATTTTTAGTAGAGATGGGGTTTCACCATGTTGGCCAGGATGGTCTTGATTTCTTGACCTCGTGATCCATCCACCTCGGCCTCCCAAAGTGCTGGGATTACAGGCGTGAGCCACCACACCCAGCCACATAAAACTATTTATTTAATCCCAGCACTCTGGGAGGCCGAGGTGAGTGGATCACCTGAGGTCAGGAGTTTGAGACCAGCCTGGCCAACATGGCGAAACCCCACCTCTACTAAAAATACAAAAATTAGCTGGGCACATGTCTGTAATCCTAGCTACCCGGGAAGCTGAGGCAGGAGAATCACCTGAATCCAGGAGGTGGAGGTTGCAGTGAGCCGAGATCGTGCCACTGCACTCCAGCCTGGGCAACAGAGCAAGACTGTCTCAAAAAAAAAAAAAAAACTATTTCCTTTTCTCTCAGTACAAATGTAGGCATGTGTAAGCACGTGGAAAACTGAGGGTACACTGTAGAGAACTAGGAGACTGAAAGCCAGATCACTTAGTTACGTCTTTTACTAATTGATACGTGAAAGTCCATGAGAGCTTATGAAGCACATTAAAATTATTAAACTTCCTCATCTACTTTCTAATACTCATGCTATTTACCTTTCATTCATGCTATGCCTCACATCTGACAGTTTCCACCCAATCTTCAAAAGCAGTGTGTGAAATAAACACATGCTATAATAGCAATGACATAATATCCACTCTACTCAGAAGCCTAAGTGTGGCTAGTAAGCAAAACTTCCTCTGCCGACCGTGTCATGACCATCAGCCATTCCCTAAATTCCTCTTTTAATGTTAAAATCTTCCTCTGTCTCTCTCTTTTCTTTTCTTTTTTTTTTTTTTTAAACCATCACTTCACCACTCCAACCTTTAACTCTCAGTAGAAGTTCTCGGAAAAGAAAAAACATGTGCATTATCCTTTCCTTCTTAAAAACATAAAATACTGTCCAAATTCATTCTGATAAATGTGTAAAGAACTTATGAATGGCCGGGCGCGGTGGCTCACGCCTGTAATCCCAGCACTTTGGGAGGCCGAGGCGGGCAGATCACAAGGTCAAGAGTTCGAGACCATCCTGGCTAACACGGTGAAACCCCGTCTCTACTAAATATACAAAAAATTAGCGGGGCGTGGTGGCAGGCGCCTGTAGTCCCAGCTACTCCGGAGGCTGAGGCAGGACAATGGCGTGAACCCGGGAGGCGGAGCTTGCAGTGAGCCGAGATGGCGCCACTGCACTCCAGCCTGGGCGACAGACTGAGACTCCGTCTCAAAAAAAAAAAAAAAAAAAAAAAGAACTTATGAGTAAGAAAAAAATGGAGTGTTTTATTTCAAGGCTATGCCAAAAAATCTAGGGTATACAAGTAAGACAGGAAGAATGCACTTTAAAAAAAAAAAAACACAAAAAACCTTCTTGGGGCCCCATAGAACTAAGACTGTTCGAACACAACTAATTTCCATTTGCTATTTCCACCTTCTGTCCATATAGGAGGGGCCCTCATATGCTCTACCCTGAATTTCCTTGGTACCTCCAACCCCAAACATACTTGGTTCGTTGGTCTTCATTTCCTATTTCCCACATCTGTAATTCTTTATCACTACCCCTTCACAACTTCTGTCTAACACTCTCTTTAACACGTCCCAACACCTTCTACCAATTACAGGGCTTAAACTCCTTCATGGGGCATAGGACACCATTTGTAATCTAACCCCTCCTCTGCCTTTGCCTGGTCATCTCCTACCACTCCCTGCACTCTGCCCACAGCAAAGTACTAGCAAATTCAAAGCTATGCAAAATGTCCTATCCCAAGGTATGGTGCATGTCTCTTCCTGGGATACCCTGCTGCCGGACACTCCCTTGAAGACTCCAGATCAAGTTTAACATAATGAATCCAGCGTATCACGGGTCGCCATAGCTCACGTCTGTAATCCCATCAGTCAGGCAGAGGTGGGCAGATCACTTGAGGCCAGGAGTTCGAGACCAGCCTGGGCAACATAGTGAGACCCTTTTCTCATTTTTATAAAAAATAATAAATACAGCCTATCAAACAACTTGTCTCCCAAACTAACACCTTTCTCTGCCCCATCCTCACCCCTGGCACAGTCCACCAAATCACATTCACCGAAAATTACTGTACAGCTCCACCCACTTTCTTCACACCTGCCGCCTTGTCCCACCCCTACCAATCCCTTGTCCCCAGGAGATTTTCTGCCACAGATTTTGCAAGTTCTAAGCAGCCTCTCTCCCCTTCCTTCATATTTAAGTTTGCTCTGCTGTCTTAGCATCATCTTTCAGAAACTCTCCCAAGCACAACCATCCCATCCTTCCACGTTTTTAAAAAATACTTCATACCCCAAAGCTAGCAAACCTCCTTCTTATTCCAACATGCGATCCACCCAGATACCTCTTTCCCATCACTGCAATCGTACCTGCTCCTCACATGCGCCTCAATGCCTCCCCAAACCCCTCAACGCCTCCCCAAACCCAACACTCTGCACCGCTTCAACTCTACTCCACATCCACCACACCCAAACCCACCTACTCTGCGCCCAGACAACTGCAATCTCGCCTTCGGTATCATCTCACCTGCCCTCACACACCCCTCGGTCCGCCTTCCACTTCTCTCAAATTGCATCCCTCCCTAACTCTCCCTCTGCACCTGCTTCTACACCTTCAGCTTCTCCTCCCACCCAACCCTCACTAGTCTTCCTCACACCCTCGCCGGCCCCCCACCGCTCCTACCAGTTCACTCCCACTCAGAAATTCCCTCTCAGCCCCCGCCTTCCGACTCCCCGAACCCCGCCCCCACCCGATCCCGCCCCGCCCCCCTCCGCCCTCGAGCCCCGCCCCCTTGCCCTAGAGCCCTGCCGAGGGGCGGGGCCTGTCCCTCCTCCCCTTTCCCCCGCCCCCTACCGTCACGCTCAGGGGCAGCCTGACCCCGAGCGGCCCCGCGGTGACCCTCGCGCAGAGGCCTGTGGGAGGGGCGTCGCAAGCCCCTGAATCCCCCCCCGTCTGTTCCCCCCTCCCGCCCAGTCTCCTCCCCCTGGGAACGCGCGGGGTGGGTGACAGACCTGGCTGCGCGCCACCGCCACCGCGCCTGCCGGGGGCGCTGCCGCTGCCTGAGAAACTGCGGCTGCCGCCTGGAGGAGGTGCCGTCGCCTCCGCCACCGCTGCCGCCGCCGCCAGGGGTAGGAGCTAAGCCGCCGCCATTTTGTGTCCCCCTGTTGTTGTCGTTGACATGAATCCGACATGACACTGATTACAGCCCAATGGAGTCTCATTAAACCCGAGTCGCGGTCCCGCCCCGCCGCTGCTCCATTGGAGGAGACCAAAGACACTTAAGGCCACCCGTTGGCCTACGGGTCTGTCTGTCACCCACTCACTAACCACTCTGCAGCCCATTGGGGCAGGTTCCTGCCGGTCATCTCGCTTCCACATAAACACACCCCTCGACCCATCATCCCCCCCTCCGGCACCACCCCGGGGGAGGGTCCACTGCCAATACCAATCAACAGACCGCTGGGTCCGCCTCTTCCGGGCACCTATTGGTCCAGCCCTTTTTCTCTCTCCTAGATACCGCGCCACCTCTACTTCCACCTACCCGCCCCCTCCACCTCTAGGAAAGGATTGGGTCTACTCGCAGCAGAGGAGCGTAGCCTTATTGGCTGCAGACGACGCCAATCAGGAGGCCTTTTCCCTCTCCCCTCCCCCACTCAACCCCAAACCCCCTAGCCCGCAGCTAAAGTTTGTGTGAGAGCTGATCGCTGGCGGCGGCCGCAGGATTTAGGGGTGGGCGCGGGCGGGCGCGCGCGGGCGGGCACGCGAAGTTAAAATTCGAGGTTCTCAGTCGCCAGCTCCTTCGGTGGAGTGTGCGGACGGGCGCGCCGCCCGGAGCGTTCCATCCCGCCCCCTCCTCCACCCTCTCTCCCGTCCCGTCCCGTCCCGGGCGACTACTCGCCCGCCCCCTGGCTCGCATCCTTCCCCCCCCAACACACCCCTACCCTGCCAGCCCCAGGCCGGGTGCAGGCAGAACGATGTCGCTGCAGCCTCCTCGCCATCCCATGCCTCGGGGGAGCAAGCCCCTACCCACCGGGCGTGCACCCCCCGGCTCCACACTCGCCCGTGTCTGCAAGCACGTGCACCGCTCGCCGCTGCCTCCGGCCACCCGGGTCCCCGGCTAACCTCGCCTGCAGCCCGGCCAATCGCTCGCTGCCCTTTGTTGCTGCAGCCTGGGTCTCCCCGCTGCCTTCCTCAGCCTCCGCCTCGTCCTTTGCCAGCCGCCCGGGTCCGCAGCGCCGCGCTCCCCCCGCCCGGGACCCACCGCCGCCGCCTCCTTCTCCTCCTCCGCCTCCTCCTCCTCGGCTCCGGGCTGCAGCGCACAGAGCCCGAGGCAGCGCCGCCCAGCCCCGCTCCCCCCGCGCCGCCCGCCAGCCCGCCCGGCCTGGCCGGGGGCGCAGCCCGGACCCCGCCCGCCCCAGTCTCCGCCCCGGGGGTACCTGCCTCCGCCCCGGGGGGCTCCTCTCGCCGCCCTCGGGGGAGGGCGGAGACGCTGGTGTCCGCGGGAGGATGGGGACGCCTGGGCCGTTTGGGGCGGGGAGTGTGCCCGCCAGGGCTGGGACTGAGGTGCGGTCCTCGCCAACGCGTCCCCACTCCCGTCGCTGTGGGCCCCAAACTTCGTCCTTCGCCCAGGCTTTGCGCCTTCGGGCGATCGCGGCAGTTTTGGGGTGGGGGACGCCTCGGGAGCTGTGTCTACCCTGATCGGGAGGAAGAGGGAGCAGTGACATTCAGCGACTGCGGACAGGGCACGGCGGCGGCATCCTTGTGTGGGAGTGGGGATGTCAGACGCGGGCTGGAGGGGGAAGCTGCCCCCCAGGATGCTCTCTCCCTGCCTGCGAGGAGCTGGCGAGCTCAGCCGCGTTCTGGGTGCTTTCTTGGGCGGTGCAGGCGGATGGCAGAGGGGCTGAGGCGGGAGGGGGGCGGGGAAGACCGCTGGGGGGCCCTTCCCCCCCTCTCTTTTAGCCAGCGCTGTAAGGAAGGCTGATGGCGAAGTTCGGTTTTCCAGGCTTCCCCTGGGCCCCCCGAGTTCCTGAGGCCCACTTGAGGGAGACTGGGGGCTCCTCTGGCCGCCCAGGCGAGGCCACTCTGACGCTGCCCACATGCCTCCCAGAGCTCTCTGGACTCTGAAGAGAGCGCCCCTGGTTCTTTCCGGAGGTGAATGGGATGCTGGCAAGGGAGACTTCAGAAAATAGGAAAGGTGGGCTGAGAAATGGCTCCTAGAGAGTTTGAGCACGAAGTTTCCCTCCCAGGCGCCATTTCTTTGAGAGGGGGAGGAGAACTATGGCTTTGCAAAAGAACCAAGTTTCAGGCATGGTGGCCTGGGTGGAAAACCACCTGTTGCCTGAAGTCTGTCCCTGGAGTCAGGGCCATCTTGGGCCTGGGCATGGCTATGCCGGGTGCCAGGGAGGGGAGGCCCCAGGCTTCCTGCCCTGGTTGACTCCTGCAGCCTCATGCCACTGACACTGCAGCGGCATCTTCACCTTCCCATTAGAAACCACTGTACAACTAGGTAGGTACTTTGTTAGGACAACTTATCTTCGTCCTTATCTCAGACAAAACAAGCAGCACACGCAGCCCTGTCTTCAAATGCAGACCACAACACACACTTCATTTTTTAAAGATGGTCTGCTGCTTTGGGGTGTGAGCTCCCTCTCCTCCTGAGCTTCTTGGCAGCAAGGTGAGAAAGGAACTTAGACAAAGGGCACAGAGTTGGATGAAAGGATAGAGAAAGGTCGAGGGGGAGCAGAAGAATTGTAATACTACACTACAAACTGTCACCGGTTCCATTATAAACAGTTTTTATAGGTGTTTTATTACTTGGTTGTTAGTTTTTTAAAACACAAACCTCTTTAGATTAAATCTTGGCATTCACAGGCTCAGCCCAGGGAAACAAAACACAGAGAAAACTCCAGCCATCCGCTTGGCTACTTTTGAGTTACATTACTGATAAAACAAACAGCAGGTTGGGTTTCCTCAGACTCTGTCTCAGCCTCGTTTATTTAGTATCTTCAATAGCTTGCTCAAGGCGAATTTTTACAAACCATTAGTTAGTTCATAATTCAGTGTAGTTCACTTAGGTGTTTCGAAGAGAAGGACACTTATAAGGTGTGCTTTTTTATAATGCAGGTGCTGGGATTTTTATTCTCCAAGAAGTTACTAAATAAACTTAAGAATCCTGGCCCACTCTTTATTTAGGCTTTCTGTTCTTTTTTTTTCTTATGGTCTGCCCAGATGCACTTTATTTTGTAAATTACATTTGTGACCCTCAGACTGCATTTTATCTCAAGCAATAAAAATAAACCATGCCTTAATTAAAAACAAGTTTGAAAACCCCAAATCTGTACACTCAAACTAAAGTATGTTAAAAGAAGCAGCTAAAGACAATAAAAGCCAAAAAGTCCACGTTTAAGATGCCTTCAGCCAATGAATTGTGGGTGATTTGTGAGCACCCAACACTCATTATCACTAATGTATTATTCCACAAGGATCTCCAGTGCATCAAGAAGTGAAGAGACACCTTAGAGAGAAATCGGCTATGTTTGCCTAAACCTGTGCTCTTGTAACCCCAGGAGATCAGGAATACAGAAGAGAGAAATGTCTTCATTCAACCTCTTGATATGTTTTCTTGAGATTCTGTTCTTAACAAGCATAGTTCTGTAACGGGGATGTGGCAAGGAATCCATAGCTTTCCCATTGATACTCCCCTCTAGGGTTACTTGTCCTTTGAGAAATCTGGCTCTTCAGATAAGTGGGACTGGAAAGGATAATAAGAGACACAGTCAGAGATATTTAATGCTTACTCCTAAACCGCTCTCTTATCTGTGGTATCTCAGGTCCTCTGCTGAGCTAAATAGCTCAATTAAGAAATTAACCTAGAAATAGCCTGAATTGAAAACCAAGCATGGTGCAAATTTTGCAAGCCTACTGGGCTGGAGGATTATGAATGGAGAAGCTTATCTGACCTGTCCCCCACAACCCCAAAACAGCTGCCAGCCACCACCACAGACCAGAACCACTGACTAGTTATACTGCTCCATGCAATCTACAGATCACTGGAATCAGAATGATCTGGGAATGAGTGTTTGAAAGACAGTTTCCTTGGCCCAACCCCAGAGATTCTGATTCAGTAAGTCTGAAGCGAGTCTCCCAAAAATATATTTTTAGCTCATGACTAGTCTTGAAGCTTACAGTCACTAAATTTGAGAACCACTGGCCTAGGCTAAATCTTCTTCTTCCCCAACCGAGGAAGTTACTTCTTCTGTGAGTGTCTTAGCCAAAAGGTTATAGTCCCTAGTACTGGGCTGATTTCATGATCTGACCTATTTGTCCTTGAGTTCTGAACAAGAATAATAAAGTGCAGAGGAGCTGCAGGAACCTCTGGGAACCCAGATGGTTTGATCTTTTGGGTTTGTTTACTTGCTCTGAAGCAAGTCAGACAAACAGCCTGATAAGAGGTACCACATCCACAGAGGCACTACCAAGTCCTTCTAAAGGAAATTGGGTAAGGAGGCACAGGCAAGGACGCTAAACGTATTTGTCCAGGGCCCAGCCCATGGTGAATTCTATTTACATTCAATTAGTCACTTAAAAAACATTGATCTACACCTCCCTTCCAACTGCCACATGGAATCCTCTCCCTTCATTGACTAGAAACTGACCCCACAAGGTCACAATGTCTGGTTACTTCAGTCAAGGGCAGAGGGGATGGGGGATGATCAGTCAAAGCATTAAACTGGTTAGGAAATTCTAGCTACAGCTGCCTTTATGAACAGCTGGGGTTATCTCAAATACCAGTATTCTGTACCCACATCTAATTTATGCATTCCTGCTTTAAAACCTTTAACGTCTTTTAAATGCGTTCTGGACCAAGCCTAAACCCCTTAGTCCTCTAAAGGTATGCATATCTGCACCTCACTAGTATCTCATCTCCAGCTTCCCGAGCCTGCCACTTGTCTGTGCCCAGCACACCCTGTCCTCACTGCGATGCCCTCACTCCCTGCCTTATCTGATAAAGACCTTGGCTAAGCACTCCTCCCAATTCCTGCTTGGCTGCTGCCTCCTCTGTGAAGTTTTCCTGGTTTTTGCAGGTAGCCCACAGGACTGAGAGCCTGGCTTCACTCCAGCACTGGCGCTTGTTAAGTGCTTAGCTAATATTTGTTGAATTATGGAATAAATAAAAGCATTTACCCTACTCTCTTGTCATATTTTGCCTGTTTTCCTAATTAGCTTTTCTACTGCATGGACCAGTTTGTTCATCTGTGTAACTGCCCTAGTGCCATAAAAGCTACTTAATGAAGACACACCATTCATACCTGTGGTTTGCCTCCCTGGCCACACGTAGCAATCACCTGAGGAGCTCTTGAACCAGCCTAGAGCCTAAGTCCCACGTAAGGCCAATTAAATTAGAATATTTGGGGAGAGGGGCCCTTCATCAGCATTTTTCCAAATCACCCTGTGCAGTCAGGGTGAACAACCATTGATTTATTTCTTATTTATTTATTTATCTTAAGACAGGGTCTTGTTCCTGTTGCCCATGCTGGAGTGCAGTGGCACAATCATGCCTCACTGCAGCCTCAACTTCCCAGGCTCAGGCGATCCTCCCACCTCAGCCTCCGGTTAGCTGGGACTACAGGAGTATGCCATCACACCCGGCTAATTTTTTGTATTTTTAATAGAGACAGGGTTTCACCATGTTGCCCAGGCTGGTCTTGAACTCCTGGGTTCAAACAGCCTCCAAAAGTACTGGAATTACAGGGCCCGTAATCCCAGCACTTTGGGAGGCCGCTTGAGCCCAGGAGGTCAAGACTAGCCCGACCATTGATTTCTATAAACCAGAAACATGCCTCAGCCTCAAATGAGAGATTCTGAGGAAGACAGGAGAGTGATAAGAGATTGTAGAATTAGCTAAAGATTGTTGAAGAACAAAGTTGTCGGGGATCTTTTGGTTTTTGTTTTGAGACTCAAAGGTGAGGTGGCCTTTCACTAATCATATCAATTAGTGATGTCCAAATAGTCTTAATAAAGACAGTTTTTAGCACCAGGCTATACCAAAGAAAATTTGGACAGGGTATGGTGACTCACACCTGTATTCCCAATGCTTTGGGAGGCTGAGATGGGAGGATGGCTGGAGGCCAGGAGTTTGACACCAGCCTAGGCAAGATAGCCAGACCCCTATCTCTATAAAAAATTTAAATATTAGCCAGACATGGTGACACACACCTGTAGTCTCAGCTACTGGGGAGGCTGACGTGGGAGGATCACTTGAGCCCAGGAGTTGGAGGCTACAGTGAGCTATGACTCCATCACTGCACTCCAGCCTGGGTGACAGAGTAGAACCCTGTCTCTAAAAAACAAAAATTTGAACCACCCCAGTGTTTAACTTTGCGATTCACAGTCTTTTGGATTTTGTAGGAGAGTAACACTTCAAAAAGAATTTGAGGAAACTGAGAGTTGCCAACTTTTTTTTTTTTTTTGAGATGGAGTTTCGCTCTTGTTGCCCAGGCTGGAGTACAATGGCACAATCTCGGCTCACCACAACCTCTGCCTCCTGGTTTCAAGCAATTCTCATGCCTCAGCCTCCCAAGTAGCTGGGATTACAGGCATGCACCACCATGCCTGGCTAATTTTGTATTTTTAGTAGAAACAGGGTTTCTCCATGTCAGTCAGGCTGATCTTGAACTCCTGACCTCAAGTGATCTGCCCGCCTTGGCCTCCCAAAGTGCTGGGATTACAGGCGCGAGCCACCGTGCCCGGCCACCAACTTTTAATTTTGATAATAAGGACATTTTTAAAAAGAACTAATGGCTATCTACTATCAGCATCATTTCACAGAATAAAGGACATTTTATCCCCCAAAATAGTAAGAAGAACATACTCCCTGAATAAAAGATAGCCCTTCCCATGAAAAAAGAGTGGGCAACTTTATATCAATATGTTCATTTTCTCACTTTTTTCTTCTTTTTTTATTTTCTATTTCAATATAGACAATGAAACTATCTTCGTATCTGGTTAACTGACCAGAGTACATTTAAGAATCACTGGACTACTTTATAAATTTACAGGGGTAAGGAAGTATAAGTCAAGTTTAATTTAACTACTAACAATTTTCTCCAGTTTTTGCAACCTAATGTGCGCATCTAACTGGAAAGAGGTTTTTTTTCTTATTCTTTTTTTTTTTTTTTTCGAGACAGAGTCTCACTCTGTCGCCCAAGCTGGAGTGCAGTGGTACGATCTCAGCTCACTGGAATCTCTGCCTCCTCGGTTCAAGTGATTCTCCTGCCTCAGCCTCCCAAGTAGCTGGGACTGCAGGCCCATGTCACCATGCCTGGCTAATTTTTGTATTCTTAGTAGAGATGAGGTTTCGCCATGTTGCCGAAGTTGGTCTCAA
This sequence comes from Homo sapiens, assembly GCF_000001405.40. Taxonomy (NCBI): domain Eukaryota; kingdom Metazoa; phylum Chordata; class Mammalia; order Primates; family Hominidae; genus Homo; species Homo sapiens. The sequence goes on along the minus strand of NC_000010.11, from coordinate 74,819,412 downwards.
ACTCCTGAGCTCAAAGTGATCCACCTTCCTCGGCCGCCTCAGCCTCCTAAAGTGCTGGGATTACAGGCGTGAGCCACCACATTCGGCTAACTTTTTTGTATTTTTAGTAGAGACGGGGTTTTGCCATGTTGGCCAGGCTGATCTTGAACTCCTGACCTCAGGTGATCCGCCCGCCTCAGCCTCCCAAAGTGCTGGGATTACAAGCATGAGCCACTGCGCCTGGCCAATTTTTCACCATAATTGCAGACAGGGGCCCTGAATTTGCCTTTCCAGCTATAAGGTAACCAATGCAGACAGCATCAGGTCATTCAAGTTGGCAAGTTCATTATTTCCTCTTTAAATGTATTTTTTAAAAATGAGATAAAGTTGGCTGGGCGCGGTGGCTCACTCCTGTAATCCCAGCACTTTGGGAGGCCAAGGCGGGCGGATCACGAGGTCAGGAGATTGAGACCATCCTGGCTAACCTGGTGAACCCTGTCTCTACTAAAAATACAAAAAAATTAGCTGGGCGTGGTGGCGGGTGCCTATAGTCCCAGCTACTTGGGAGGCTGAGGCAGGAGAATGGTGTGAACCTGGGAGGCGGAGTTTGCAGTGAGCCAAGATCAGGCCATTGCATGCCAGACTGGGTGACAGAGCAAGACTCCGGCTTAAAAAAAAAATGAGATAAGGTCTCACTATATTATCCAGGCTGGTCTTGAACTCTTGAGCTCAAGCGAACTTCCCGCTTTGGCCTCCCAAAGTGGCAGGTTCATTATTGAACTTCAGGTTAAAGTTCATCTTTCAAGTTGCATCCCAAGGAAGGCCAAGGGGATCAGTCTGGTGAACCATTTCACCAGCTTGATACCTCTCTGATACCTACTGGTATCAGTAACGAGACTGCTTGTAAGAGGGCATAGCTCAGCTTCATACAGCCTTGTTTTTTTTTTTGAGACTGAGTCTTGCTCTGTTGCCCAGGCTGGAGCGCAGTGGCACGATCTCGGCTCACTGCAACCTCCACCTCCCGGGTTCAAGCAATTCTTTGCCTCAGCCTCCCAAATAGCTGGGATTACAGGCACCTACCGCCATACCCAGCTAATTTTTGTACTTTCAGTAGAGACAGGGTTTCAACATCTTGGCCAGGCTGGTCTTGAACTCCTGACCTCGTGATCCACCCACCTCAGCCTCCCAAAGTGCTGGGATTACAGACGTAAGCCACCACACCTGAGCCTTTTTTTTTTTTTTTTTTTTTTTTTTGAGACAGAGTCTTGCTCTGTCATTCAGGCTGGAATGCAGTGGTGCAATCTCAGATCAGCCTCCCAGACTCAAGCAATTCTTCTGCCTCAGCCTCCTGAGTAGCTGGGACTACAGGCGTGCACCACCATACCCGGCTAATTTTTGTGTTTTTAGTAGAGATGGGGTTTCACCATGCTGGCCAGGCTGGTCTTGAACTCCTGACCTCAAGTGATCCGCCCACCTTGGCCTCCCAAAGTGCTGGGATTACAGGAGTGAGCCACCGCACTCAGCCTACAACCTTGCCTATAAATTGCTTCAGGGTTGGGATTGGGGTTGGTTCATCTTTATATTCTCCAAAGTGTCTTGCACATAGTAGTAATAAATAATGTTAAGTAAAATAAAAGGTTAAGGATCTGTTATCTGTTTATCTAAGATCTATCTGTCTAAATTCAGAAATTAGACTGTAAACTTCATATGCTTACAGATTTCTTGTAAATGTCAAACACATCATAGACATTCATTAAATACATGAAGCCTGCATGAATATATTTCCTAACTACCGTAAAGTAGTACTTCCTGTTACCCAGTCTAAAACCACTTTTTCTACTCTGTGTGTGTTTGTTGAAGAGTGACTTTAAACACGTAGCATCTTAGCATTTGACCAATGGAGTGTTCTATTTTTATTACATGTACTACATTTGCTATTTTTTTCTGTGGTATATATGTACATACATAGTCTTGGAACTGTTCCCATTGTACCTTTTCTCTTTCCAAAATCAAGTATCATATTTTGAGGACCTCTTATCTGAGCTGCCCCTTCTGGTGTTTGCAGCCTATTCATCTGCTCCATGTGCCTCACTTCCATGGCCAATGTGACTTGGCATATCTGTTACCGAGACTGAGATCTGTTTTCTACCAATTCCAATGCCACACATGGAGTCATAACCTGTGGTAAACAGTCTGTAATAATTCCTAGATTTCGTTTCCTGAATTGCAACTGATGACATGAAATAACTCTAAGTTCAGCTTATTTGTAATTTGTAATATCTTTCTCTGTAGCAGAAAAATTAGTGTTCACCAAATAGTCCCTGTGCACCCCTGCATTTCATAGCCTTCCCCTCCATTAGGTTAGAACCATGTGGCTAGTTTCAGCCAATGGATGAGAAGCTGAAATGATATGTGTTACTTCTGGTTCAAAGAGTTAAGAACCAGAGTGAGTCATTCTCCATTCCTCTCTTCCCCTTCGGTAGTATCTCAGAAGCCATGTGTTCCAGATGATGAGCTACAAGTTAGCAGAGCTGCCATTAGCGTGGACCCCTAAGTAACTGCATGGAGCAGACTCCTCCCACTTGTTCTGATATGTAACAGGAGAAATACACCTTATTGTGTTAAGCCGAAGAGATGCTGAAGTTTTTCTGCTATAGCAGGTGGTATTGCTTAACCTAAATTAACAAACAGTAGTGTTCAGGGGATATGTTCCAAGATTCCCAGTGGATGCCTGAAACCACAGATAGTACTGAATCCTATATATACTATGGTTTTTTTTCTATATATACATATCTATGATAAAGTTTAATCTATAAATTAGGCACAGTAAAAGATTAGCAACAACAATTAATAATAAAATAGAGCCAGGGCAACAAAATTTATTGTAGCATCTCTACAAAAAATTTAAAAATTAGCTGTTCACATGCCTGTAATCCCAGCTACTTAGCAGGCTGAGTTGGGAGGACAGCTTGAGCCTGGAAGGTTGAGGCTGTGGTGAGCATGATCATGCCACTGCACTCCAGCCTGGGTGACAGAGTGAGACTCTATCTCAAAATAATTATTAATAATTTAAAAACAGAAAAAATATAATAATATACTGTACTAAAAGTTATGGGAATGTAGTCTCCCTCTCAAAATATCTTATTGTACCCTTCTTGTGATGAAGAAAGGATGGAGGGATGGTGTGAGATTTCATCATGCTACTTGTTTATTTCTGGAATTTTTCATTTAATATTTTTAGACCACATTGACTTCAGGTAACTGAAACTGCAGAAAGCAAAGCCATGGATGGCAGGGAGAACCACTGTGTTCCCTAAATGCAATACGACCCAAATATCTTCCTTTTTCATTTTTTTGAGATGCAGTCTCACTCTGTCACCCAGACTGGAGTGCAGTGGTGTGATCTCGACTCACTGCAACTCCACCTCCCAGGTTCCAGTGATTGTTCTGCCTCAGCCTCCCAAGTAGTTGGGATTACAGGCACCCTCCACCACACCTGGCTAATTTTTTGTATTTTTAGTAGAGACAGGGTTTCGCCAGTTTGGCCAGGCTGGTCTTGAACTCCTGACCTCAGGTGATCCGTTTGCCTCGGCTCCCAAAATGCTGGGATTACAGGGGTGAGCCACTGCACCCGACCCAAATATTTTTCTTAAAGCCATACCTTTCTGCCCTTCTGCCGTCTGCCATGTGAGGACGTAGTGCTCCTCCCCTGCAGAAGATGCAGCATTCAAGCCTTCATCTTTATTTTATTTTATTTTATTTTATTTTATTTTATTTTATTTTATTTTATTTTATTTTTGAGATGGAGTCTTGCTCTGTTGCCCAGGCTGGAGTGCAGTGGTGTGATCTTGGCTCATAGCAACCTCCACCTCCCAGATTGAAGTGATACTCCTGCCTCAGCTTCCCGAGTAGCTGGGATTACGGGCATGCACCACCATGCCCAGCTAATTGTTGTATTTTTAGTAGAGACAGGGTTTCACCATGTTGGTCAGGCTGATCTCGAACTCCTCACCTCAGGTGATCCGCTGCCCTCGGCCTGCCAAAGTGCTGGGATTACAGGCATGAGCCACCTCACCCGACCAAGGCTTCATCTTGGAAGCAGAGAGCAGTCCTCACCAGATGCCAGCACCTTGATCTTGGACTTCCCAGCCTCCAGAACTGTGAGAAATAAATTTCTGTTCTGTATAAATTACCCAGTCCTGGATATTTTCTTATAGCAACACAAAATGGACTAAGACAGAAATTGGCTTATTGGCTTCCAAATAATTAGCTTTCTCATAAGTGTAAGTAGAATTTTTTGGAAACAAGGATGTTGCTTGGGAGTACAGCTGTATCTGAAGAGAAAGAAATTCTGCCCAGTATCTGTTCAGTGGCCTCTTTGCAGCTTCCTCAGCCTAGTCTGGAGCTCTTAGTAACAGTTAATGACCTATGAGCTGATTTACAGGGTGGCTAGGGAAAGAACACTTTATTCCTGCCAATTAAAGGAGTTGGGGACTGATATTGGGGATAGTGTTGTGTAATTCTGTGGCTCCACTCAAAACCTCTGAGGAAGATAGTGTGGGAACTCAAGATGCTGAAGTGGACTGAGGGAGCATATTTGCTGAACATGTCTTTAGTGTTTGGTAGAACAATATTATTAATAATAGCTAACACTTTTGGAGCACTTACAACCTAAGTGAGTTCCCTGAATTGGCTCATGTAATCCTCATAACCATTCTCTTTAAATATTGCTATTATGCCCCATTTTACAGACAAGAAAACTGTGCTCTGAGGTGTTAAGCAGTTTCAGGGAGGTCAGAATTCCCAACTGAGCAGCTGATCATTGCACTCCACTTGCCCCTCAGTGAGGTCTGAATTCAGAGTCCAGGCCTGAAGTCACTGTTCTGTAAGGATGGCCCTTGGGGGCGGTTCAGGAGTCCAGGCCGGCACTGCCAGGACAGGCCTTTGGAACCCATGACCTCTCCCAGGCTGGAGAGGAAGCTGGCACCACCAAGGAGGCACAAAGATGGGGAAGCCAGGGAGAGCGAAGTGGCCTCGGGGACAGAAGGCAGGAGACCTGGCACTTAATGGATGAGATAGAGAGAAGGTGCTACTGGCAGCGACAGAAAAAGAACTGTCAGGGCCAGGACATGCAGAAGCCTGAGACCCCACCATCTCCAGCCTGCGAGGACACTGGAAGTACCAATTTTTGGACTGCAAAAGCCTCTCACTTAATTCATAGAAGCATTATTTTAGAGGGAGGTGGAATGGGCGACTGGGCACCTCAGGCGGCTGCTGGATGGGGGGTCCTCAGAGCTGCAAGCCTCCGCCATCCCTTGCCATCCCCTGCTGCCACCGGGCCTCCGATGCTCTGCGCCTTTGTCATTCCGCATCCCACGGTGCCAGCTAAGTCACTCAGCTGTCACAATGAGGCCTGGAGCTGCAGGATACAAAATAACTCTGGGGAGACCTCTCAGAGGCGAGGCGGGGGTGGGGGCGGGGTGGGAGGCGGTGGGGAGGGGAAGACTGGGCCCCAGGGGCGCGGAAAGGAGCACCAGCTGCCTCTTGCAAGTTGCTAAATTAGTTGGGCTGTTGTTTTTCCTTTAATTTTTGTGTGAATTCAAGAATAGGTCGCGGATGTCTTGGCAGCTTGTGAATGAGACCCTTCCTCAAAGAATTCACCTTGCTGAAGGGCTGCTGTCAGGCGCACAAAACTAAGCGAAGTAGGCTTTGCCCGCCGCCTCCTGCTCGCCCTCCCGGCAGGCGCGCTCGGCCTCCTTCCCCGCGCCTGCCTCCCGGACCCCGCGCTCCAAGCCGGCTACCCTGCCTCGCGGGCCATGCCCAGCCTGCCCGCTCCCGCCCGGCCTCACCCCGCCGGAGCAGCGACCTAAGCAGGAGGCAGGGGAGGCGGGCGGAGGGCTCTGGAAGTTGCCAGACTCGCTCCTGGCCCCGCGTCTCAGCGGCGAGCCCCGAAGCCACCCCAGGCGCGGACAAGGAGAGGGGCTTTCCGGTGACCGTGGCCCCAGGCATTTGTTACGCTTACAGAAGGCAATGCACGGATGGTGAGTATTAGCGTTGGTTTTTGTCTCAGTGGCACATCCAACTCCTTGCTGCCACCTTTCTCCATCTGAGTGCACCCAAGGCCCCTGGACTTGGGTCTCCAGGGTAAAGCCAAGGACCCGGAGCCTCAACAACGCGTCTGATGGCCTCGGCAGGAGCTTTTGCCCACGCAAGCGCACGTCTCTACTGGGATTTATTAAGAATCAACAGTTTACCTGGCGCGGTGGCCCATGCCTGTAATCCCAGCACTTTGGGAGGCCGAGGCAGGAGGATTGCTGGAGCTCAGGAGTTCGAGACCAGCCTGGCCAACATGGTGAAACCCCGTCTCTACTAAAAATACAAAAATTAGCTGGGTGTGGTGGTGCACACCTGCAGTCCCAGCTACTCAGGAGGCTGAGACACGATAACTGCTTGAACCTGGGAGGCGGAGGCTGCAGTGAGCAAGATCGCACCACTGCACTCCAGCCTGGGCGACAGAGCGAGACTGTCTCAAAAAAAAAGAAAAGAAAAGAAAAAGAATCGACATGTTACAGTTTTCAGAATGTTTTGCATATTTTAAAAATACGTAGTCCAACATGAACAGTTAATAAAAGTACAAACAGCGAATAAACATATGAAAAATGGTCAGATTCATTAGTTACCAAAGACATGATCATCAAAACTATGAGAGGCTATTTTTTTCCCTCCCAGTTGGCAAAATGAAAATATTGCCATTCTCCACACTGACCTGAGTGTGGAGAGTTTGGCAATCTCAGTGGGAGTGTGAGGAGCATAAACTGATACTAGGTTTCTGGAGAGTAATTTGACATTGTTTATGAAGAGCCCCCCCGCTTTTTTTTTTTTTTTTTTTTTTTTTTTTGAGACCGAGTTTTGCTCTTGTTACCCAGGTGGAGTGCAGTGGCGCACACAATCTCGGCTCACTGCAACCTCCACCTCCTGGGTTCAAGTGATTCTCCTGCCTCAGCCTCCTGAGTAGCTGGGATTACAGGTGCGTGCCACTACGCCCAGCTAATTTTTTCGGTGTTTTCTTTTTTCTTTCTTTTTTTTTTTTTTTGAGACAGAGTCTCTCGCTCTGTTGCCCAGGCTGGAGTGCAGTGGTGCAATTTTGGCTCACCACAACCTCTGCCTCCCAGGTTCAAGCGATGCGATTCTGCTGCCTCAACCTCCCAAGTAGCTGGGACTACAGAGTCATGCCACCATGCTTGGCTAATTTTTGTATTTTAAGTAGAGACAGGGTTTCACTATGTTGGCCAGGCTGGTCTTGAACTCCTGACCTCATGATCCACCCACCTCGGCCTCCCAAAGTGCTGGGATTACAGGCGTGAGCCACTGTGCCCGCCCAATTTTTTTGTATTTTTAGTAGAGACGGGGTTTCATGATGTTGGCCAGGCTGCTGTCGAACTCTTGACCCCAGGTGGTCCACCCACCTCAGCCTCCCAAAGTGCAGGGATTGCAGGCGTGAGCCACCATGCTCAGCCACCAAGACCCTTAAAAAATACACCAAGTAGGCCCTGTGCGGTGGCTTATGCCAGTAATCCCAGCACTTTGGGAGGCCCAGGTAGCAGGATCACTTGAGCACAGGAGACAGAGGCTGCAGTGAGCCATGATCGCCACTGCACTCCAACCTGTGCAACAGAGCCAGACCCTCTCTCTCTCAAAAAAAGAAAGCCCCGAATAGATGAAGGGCCTCTAAAGCAGGGGTTTGGGAGCTGTAAACCAAAAATAATTTTTTTTTTTTTGAGACGGAGTTTCGCTCTTGTTGCCCAGGCTGGAGTGCAATGGCATGATCTCGGCTCACCATAACCTCCGCCTCCTAGATTCAAACAATTCTCCTGCCTCACCCTCCCAAGTGGCTTGGATTACAGGTGTGTGCCACCATGCCAGGCTAATTTTGTATTTTTAGTAGAGACGGGATTTCTCCATGTTGGTCAGGCTGGTCTGGAACTCCGACCTGAGGTGATCTGCCCGCCTCGGCCTCCCAAAGTGCTGGGATTACAGGTGTGAGCCACTGTGCCCAGCCTTTTTTTTTTTTTTTTTTTCTTTTAGACAGAGTTTCGCTCTGTCGCCTGGGCTGGAGTGCAATGGTGCTATCTCCGCTCACTGCAAACTCCACCTCCCGGATCTAAGCCATTCTCCTGCCTCAGCCTCTCCAGTAGCTGGAATCACAGGCATCTGCTACCACGCCCGACTAATTTTTGTATTTTTAGTAGGGATGGGGTGTCATCATATTGGCCAGGGTGGTCTCGAACTCCCAACCTCAGGTGATCTGCCCACCTCGGCCTCCCAAAGTGCTGGGATTACAGGTGTGAGCCACTGCACCCGGCCTGATCCCAGGACTTCAGAAAAACTCAACCAATTGTCAACCAGAAAATGTTTAAATTTACCTACAGCCTGGAAGTACCCCATCTACCCCCACCCCTCGCTTTGAATTGTCTGGCCTTTCTGGACCAAACCAGTATATTTCTTAAATGTATTTGATTGATGTTTCATGCCTCCCTAAAATGTATTAAACCAAACTGCGCCCCGATCACCTTGGGCACATGTTCTCAGGACCTCCTGAGGGCTGTGTCACGGACCATGGTCACTCATATTTGGCTCAGAATAAATCCAAATATTTTAAGGAATTTGACCCATTTCATCAACAGAGCCAAGCAGATCCAGGTCTGCTCTCACCACTCCAGCTGTGTGCCCTGGAACAAGTCACTTCACCTCCTTTAAACCCCTTTCCTCAACTACAAAACGGAGGTGCTCCTCCCTACCTCACAGGACTGTTGAGAAGATGAAGAAACAAAACAAAACAAAACAGCCCACTTAACAGATGGTGATGGTTGCTGCAATGGTTGCTATTGTAAATTCATTTTGCTATCTCCTTGGCCCAGTAATCTGGACTGTCCCAAGTAAACAGCTTTAGGTGTAGACAGAAATTCATGCACAAAAGATGTCTATCACAGCATTACAATATAATCACAAAAACACGAAAACAACATACCCAGCAACAGGAGAAAGTTAAGAAAATTATGGCTTAACCATGGGATTTTACATATACATTCAATGGATAGCATATGATATACACTGCTTTGTAGCTTGCTTTTTTCACTTAACAGTGTGACATGTTGCAAGTTTTTACTGTGTCTGTAGGATAAGTTCCTAGCATTGGAGTTGTTGGGTCATAAGATGTGCATTTTAGATCTTGACAGCTGTAGCCAACTTGCCCTGCATGGAGGCTGGCCCAATGCACACTTCCCTCAGATATAGGGCAGAGCCTGTTTCCCCAGCCTTCCGCAAACATTATCAACATTTTGCTCTTGGCCAATGTGAAAGTAGTATCCTGTTGAAATTTCAATTTGCATTTTTCTTTCTTTTTTTTTTTTTTTGAGATAGACTTTCACTATCCTCGCCCAGGCTGAAGTGCAATGGCACGATTTTGGCTCACTGCAACCTCCGCCTCCCAGGTTCAAGTGATTCTCCTGCCTCAGCCTCCCGAGTAGCTGGGATTACAGGCACCTGCCACCATGCCCTGCTAATTTTTGTATTTTTAGTAGAGATGGGGTTTCGCCATGTTGGCCGGGCTGGTCTCAAACTCCTGACCTCAGATGATCTGCCTCCCTTGGCCTCCCAAAGTGCTGGGATTACAGGTGTGAGCCACCACGCCTGGCCGAGTCTAATTTTTAATTGACTTAGCCCTTCAGCTAGCACATATGCAATTTTTTTTTCCCACTTGAGCACTTGTCTTTTGACTTTTTGGTCAATTTTTGCTAAGGTTTTTTGTTTTTTTTTTCTGAGACAGAGTCTTACTGTTTCACCCAGGCTGGAGCACAGGGGCGCAATCTCGGCTCACTGCAACCTCTGCCTCCTGGTTCAAGCAATTCTCCTGCCTCAGACTTCCGAGGGATTACAGGCATGCGCCATCATGCCCAGCTAATTTTTGTATTTTTTAGTAGAGACGGGGTTTCACCATGTTGGCCAGGCTGGTCTTGAACTCCTGACCTGAGGTGATCTGCCCACCTCGGCCTCCCAAAGTGCTGGGATTACAGGCATGAGCCACCATGCCCGGCCTCCAAGGTTTTTTTAATCAAGAAAAAAATACATATTTTTTCTTTTTTATTTTATTTTTTTATTTATTTAAGTGGAGATGAAGTCTTGCTATGTTGCCCAGGCTGGTCTGGAACTCCTGGGCTCAAGCAATACTCCCACCTCAGCCTCCCAAAGTGCTGGAATTACGGGCATGAGCCACCAGACATGGCCAAGAAAAAAATTTTAACTCAAAATACTATTGTCTAGGGCCTAGGTAATTTCTCGTTCTGTCCTTAGACTCTATTGTGGTAATCCATTGACCTTTCTTGCTCTCTACCTCCTTGAGGGCAGGAACCTTGACAACCTAGTTTACCATTTGAACTCCAGCAGACACCCAACAGATACTTCGTGACTGCACTTCCATTTTGTAAGTGAGTGCCAAGAACTTCTGGTCTCCTAGGCAAATCTGCATAGTACACAAGGAGAAAACATTCTTGTATTCTATCAAGTTCTGCCACGAAACAGTCGTGTTCAACTGGTGACAAAATGTAGTGAATTTTCAAAGTATTACCCTAGCCTTATATAATAGGTTTCAAGGGGACATGAGTGAGTGTGGACAATTTTACCCCCAACCTTGGCTGGGCCCAACCCTACTTCCTAGCCCCCATATTCAACACACTCTCCTGGCCCGCCACACCTCCAACCCCTGAGACTCACTGGGCTCCAGCTCTCCACTGGTGGGCTGACAGGCACGTCCCCACCCATAGGGCCTGGGCAGCTTCAAAAGACCCTCAACTTATCCTCTCAGGAGTCAAGAAAAGTCCCTTTCCAACAGGAAAGAACAGGGTCACCCAGATTGTTATGCAAATGTTAACTCATCTGTGGAAACGTTAGAGTATTCCTGGCCTCAACAGCAAGAAACAAACAAACCAAAAAAAAAAAAAAGAAAAGAAAAGGTAAAGCAAGAAGGTACAGAATAACTTCCAGCTTCTAACAGAGGAGGGTCAGACCAGGCATTGCTGACACGGTCTCATATGTTCTCATATGTTGCTTGATGTTTAGGGGCAAATTTGGGACAAAGTACAAGGTGAACCCTTGTCCCCCACACTGATTTCGTTTTGGAGCCCAGCCATTGGTATCATCTTTTTTTTTTTTTTTTTTTTTTTTTGAGACGGAATTTCACTCCTGTTGCCCAGGCTGGAGTGCAATGGCAATCTCGGTTCACTGCAACCTCCACCTCCCGGGTTCAAGCGATTCTGTCTCAGCCTCCCAAGTAGCTGGGACTACAGGCGTGCGCCACCACGCCTGGCTAATTTTGTATTTTTAGTAGAAACAAGGTTTCTCCAAGTTGGTCAGGCTGGTCTTGAACTCCCGACCTCAGGTGATCCACCTGCCTCAGCCTCCCAAAGTGCTGGGATTATAGGCGGGAGCCACCACACCTGGCCCAGTATCATCTTCTACAGAGGCCCTTTCCAGGAGTGAGGGACATCAGTGTGGCACTGGAGGGACATCAGTGTGGCTGTGCTCTGGCATACAGTACCATTCTATTGGCAGGGTTAGTCCTCGATGGAGCCCCTTTCAGCAATCACCCCTACCCTTCCTTTACATATCTTAACAGGCTTTCTTAATTTTAAATTTTTATTTTGAAAAGCATGTCAAATTTACAGAAAAGTTGCAAAAACACCTTAAGGAACTCCCATACACGCCTCACCTATGTTCACCAATTCATATTTTTGCTGCATTTACTTCAGCATTCTGTATACAATATATATCGCTATTATTTTTTTTTTTATCAACCTGCTTACCAAATTATTTTTTATTTTTCACTTTTTTTTCGAAATAAAATCTCACTCTTGTTGCCCAGGCTGGAATGCAATGGCGCGATCTCGGCTCACTGCAACCTCCACCTCCTGGGTTCAAGCGATTCTCCTGCCTCAGCCTCCTGAGTAGCTGGGTTTACAGGTACCCGCCACCATGTTCGGGTAGTTTTGGGGTTTTTTTTTTTTTTTTTTTTTGAGACAGTCTTGCACTGTCCCAGGCTGGAGGGCAGTGGCAGGATCTCGGCTCACTGCAACCTCTACCTCCCAGGTTCAAGCTATTCTCCTACTTCAGCCTCCTGAGTAGCTGGGATTACAGGCGCGTGCCACCACGCCTGGCTAATTTTTGTATTTTTAGTAGAGATGGGGTTTCACCATGTTGGCTAGGCTGGTCTCAAACTCCTGATCTCAGGTGTTCCGCCCACCTCAGCCTCCCAAAGTGTTGGGATTACAGGCGTGAACCACTGTGCCCAGCCTAAAATTATAGTTTAAATGAACATTTGAGAGCAAATCATAGATTTTTACCCTTAAATATTTCCATCTTCACTGCTAACATGAAGGACATCCTCTTAAATAATCACTGTACAATTATCAAATGCAGAAAATTTAACATTGTTAAATTGCTGTTATCTAAGCTGAAATTCATATTCAAATTTCACTAATTGTCCAATTAAAGGCCTTTATAGCTTTCTCTTTTCCAGACCAGGAGCCAGTCCAGGATCACATGTTGCATTTATTTGTCCTGTTTGCTTAATTTCCTTCTTAATCTGGAAGAGTTCCTCAGCCTTTCCTAGTCTTCATGAACTTGATGTTTTTAAAGGTTTCAGGCAAGTCATTTTGTAGAATTCCCTTTAGTTTGGGTTTGTCTGATGTTTCCTTATGATTTGATTTAGGTTACGCTTTTTTTTTTTTTTTTTTTTTTGAGACAGAGTCTTCCTCTATCACCCAGCACCCAGGCTGGAGTGTAGTGGCGTGGTCTCTGCTCACTGCACTCTCTGACTCCTGGATTCAAGTGATTCTCGTGCCTCAGCCTCCCAAGTAGCTGGGATTACAGGCATACACCACAATGCCTGGCTAATTTTTGTATTTTTAGTAGAGATGGGGTTTTGCCATGTTGGCCAGGGTGGTCTCAAACTCCTAGCCTCAAGTGATCCACCTGTCTCATCTTCCCAAAGTGCTAGGATTACAAGCATGAGCCACACAATACCTGGTCATGCTTTTGTTTTTTTTCTGGAGATGGAGTCTCACCCTGTTGCCCAGGCTGGAGTGCAGTGGTGCAATTTTGGCTCACTACAGTACTCTGCTTCCCAGGTTCAAGCAATTCTCGTGCTTTAGCCTCCTGAGTAGCTGGGATTACATGTGCACGCCACCCTGCCTAGCTAATTTTGCGTTTTAGTAGAGACAGGGTTTCACCATGTTAGCCAGGCTGGTCTCTAACTCCTGACCTCATGTGATCTGCCTGCCTCGGCCTCCCAAAGTACTGAGATTACAGGCGTGAGCCACAGCGCCCGGCTGCATTTTTGATAAAATACTTTTTTTTTTGAGACAGGATCTCCCTCTGTTGCGAAGGCTGGAATGCAGTGGTACAATTATGGCTCATTGCAGCCTCAACCTCCCAGGTTCAGGTGATCCTCCCACCTCAGCCTCCTGAGTAGCTGGGACTACAGACATGCGCCACTATGCCCAGCAAATTTTTTGAAGGTGAAACCCTGTATCTACAAAAAAAATACCAAAACTAGGCGGGCGTGGTGTTGCACACCTGTAGTCCCAGCTACTCAGGAGGCTGAGGTGGGAAGATCTCCTGAGCCTGGGAGGCATATGTTGCAGTGAGCCAAGATCACGCCACCGCACTCCAGCCTGGGCAATAGAGTGATACACTGTCTCTAAGAATAAGAAATTAAATAAGTTGTTTTCCCCCCAAACCAAGTCTCTTTTTGTTTTCTGTGGGATTCTATGTCTAGCAACAAATCTGGCATGGCTTAAGAAGCATTGGGGAAACATTGATTTCTGAATTGATTGACTGAATGAATGAATACAGCATCCAAACACCCTGAATTTTCTGAATTGAGGTCTTATTCAGGGAATAGTTTAGGTTAATATTAATCACTGTACATACTGAGAAGTATAGGAATTCAGGTATTACTTTTTTTTTTTTTTTTGAGACGGAGTCTCGCCCTGTCGCCCAGGATGGAGAGCAGTGGTGCAATCTTGACTCACTGCAACCTCCTCCTTCTGGGTTCAAGCGATTCTCCTGCCTCAGCCTCCTGAGTAGCTGGGATTACAGGCGTGCCACCACGCCTGGCTAATTTTTGTATTTTTAGTAGAGACGGGGTTTCACCATGTTGGTCAGGCTGGTCTCGAACTCCTGACCTCGTGATCCACCCGCCTCAGCTTCCCAAAGTGCTGGGATTACAGGCGTGAGCCACCGCGCCAGGCCACATTATTTATTTATTTATTTATTTATTTATTCATTCATTTTTTGAGACGGAGTTTCGCTTTTGTTGCCCAGGCCAGAGTGCAATGGTGCAATCTCGGCTCACCGCAACTTCCACCTCCCTGGTTCACGTGATTCTCCTGTCTCAGCCTCCTGAGTAAACTGGGATTACAGGCATGTGCCACCACACCTGGCTAAATTTTGTATTTTTAGTAGAGAAGGGGTTTCTCCATGTTGGTCAGGCTGGTCTCGAACTCCAGACCTCAGGTGATCCACCCACCTCTGCCTCCCTGGGAGGCCTGGCCATTATTTATTTATTTTTTTGAGGCAGAGTCTTGCTCTGTCAGCCGGGCTGGAGAGCACAGTGGCGTGATCTCGGCTCACTGCAACCTCTGCTTATTGCAACTTCTGCCACCCGGGTTCAAGTGATTCTCCTACCTCAGCCTCCCAAGTACCTGGGATTACAGGCGCCCGCCACCACGCCTGGCTAATTTTTGTATTTTTAGTAGAGACGGGATTTCACTATGTTGGCCAGGCTGGTCTCAAACTCCTGACCTTAAGTGATCTGCCCACCTTGGCCTCCCAAAATGCTGGGATTACAGGTGTGAACCACTGCGCCCGGCCCAGGTATTACATTTTTACAAAAAAAAAAAATTTTTTTTTTTTGAGGCAGGGTTTCGCTTTGTCACTCAGGCTGGAGTGCTAGAGTGCAATGGCATGATCATAGCTCACAGCAGCCTCAACATCCCTGCCTCAAGTGATCCTCCCACCTCAGCCTCCCAAGTATGTGAGACCACAGGCATGTGCCACTACACCCAGCTAATTTTTATTCTTTTTTTCAATGTTTTCTTTTTTAAAAAAAAATATATATATATTTATATATTTTTAAATTGAGACAGGACCTGGCCCTGTTGCCCAGGCTCATCTTGAACTCCTGGCCTCAAGCGATTCTCCTGCATCTGCCTCTAAAAGTGCTAGGATTACGGCATGAACCACCACACCCAGCCTATATATTTATTTACTTATTTAGTAGAAACGTAGTCTCCCTATGTTGTGCAGGCTGGCAAAATTGCTTCTAATAATATTTCTCCATCTTCCAGTGAGCCTCAAGCCCACCATCTTTGCCTGGAACCCCATTTGAGCACTGGTGCATTTGATTTGAAGGTGGAAAGTGGAAGCTTGGCTTTCCTGGGGAAGGACTTCTCCCAGAAATGAAGGAAAAGGCTGGCTCTGTGCTGTCAAAATAGATTAGACATGGTTATTAATATTGTGAAAATATTAATTACTTTATGGGTTAATATATGCACAAGCTGGGCATGGTGGCTTATACCTTTAACCCCAGCACTTGGGGAGGCCGACGTGGGCGGATCACGAGGTCAGGAGTTTGACACCAGCCTGGCCAACATAGTGAAACCTTGTCTCTAGTAAAAATACAAAAATTAGCCGGGTGTGGTGGCATGCACCTGTAGTCCCAGCTACTTGAGAGGCTGAGGTGGGAGAATTGCTTGAACTTGGGAGGCGGAGGTTGCAGTGAGCCAAGACCACGCCATTGCTCTCTAGCCTGGGTGACAGAGTGAGACTCCATCTCAAAAAAAAAAAAAAAATGCACAGCACATTTCTTTCACTGAAAGAACCAACTGAGGCAGAAGGATTGCTTGAGGCTAGGAGTTTGAGACCAGCCAGGTCTCAAAAAAAAAAAAAAAAAAAAAGAGAATATGAGGTTATGGGAAGCACTCACGTTCTTTGTTCAAAACATTTGCGATGTTTGAAAGTTTTATCGGAAACATTATTTCAAAATCTGGCTGGGTGTGGTGGCTCACACCTGTAATCCCAGCACCTTGGGAGGCTGAGGTGGGCAGATCACCTGAGGTGAGGAGTTCAAGACCAGCCTGGCCAAGATGGTGAAACCCTGTCTCTACTAAAACTACAAAAATTAGCTGGGCATGGTGGTGCATGCCTGTAAACCCAGCTACTGGAGAGGCTGAGGCAGGAGAATTGCTTGAACCCGGAGGCGGAGGTTGCAGTGAGCCGAGATCACGCCACTGCACTCCAGCCTGAGTGACAGAGTGAGACTCCGTTTAAAAAAAAAAAAAAAAAGAAACATTACTTAAAAATCAGAAAAAGGAGGCCAGGTCCAGTGGCTCACACCTGTAATCTCAGCACTTTAGGATGCTGAGGCGGGCGGATCACCTGAGGTCGGGAGTTCGAGACCAGCCTGACCAACATGGAGAAACTTCATCTCTACTAAAAATACAAAATTAGACGGCATAATGGTGCATGCCTGTGATCCCAGCTACTTGGGTGGCTGAGGCAGGAGAATCGCTTGAACCTGGGAGGCAGAGGTTGGGGTGAGCCAAGATTGCGCCATTGCACTCCTGCCTGCGCAACAAGAGCGAAACTCTGTCTCAAGAAAAAAAAAAAAAGCAGCAAAAGGGGCTGGACATGGTGGCTCACACCTGTAATCCCAACACTTAAGAAGGCCAAGGCAGTTGGATCACTTGAGGCCAGGAATTTGAGACAAGCCTGCGCAACATGGCAAGACCTCGTTGTTACAAACAATGTAAAAATTAGTCAAGTGTGATGGCATGCACCTGTAGTTTCAGCTACTTAGGAGGTGGAGGCAGGAGGATTGCTTGAGCCCAGGAGTTGGAGGCTGCAATGAGCTATGATCACACAACTGCACTCCACCCTGTCTCAAAAAAAAAAAAAATTGTTTGACATGGTGGCTCACATCTGTAATCTCAGCACTTTGGGAGGCAAAGGGAGGAGGATCACTTGAGACCAGGATCATTTGAAACCAGCCTGGGTAACATGGTGAGACCGCTTCTTTACAAAAAAAAATTTTTTTTTAATTAGTCAGGCATGGTGGTGCATGCTGGTAATCCCAGCTACTCAGGAAGCTGAGGTGGGAGGATCACTTGAGTTCAGAAGTTTGAGGCTTCAGTGAGCCAAGATCATGCCACTGCACTCCAGCCAGGGTGACAGAGCAAGACCTTGTCTCTAAAATAATAATAATAATATTTATTGATACCTCATATTTTACACAGTTATGGGGTACATGTGATATTTTGTCACATGCATGGAATGGGTAAAAATCAAGTCAGGGTATTAGGGGTGTCCATCAACTTGAGTATTTATCGTTTCTATATGTTGGGAGCATTTCAAGTCCTTGCTTCTAGCCATTTTGAAATATATAATACATTGTTGCTAACTAGTCATCTCACTTTACTGTCAAATACTAGAACTTACACCTTCTAACCAACTGTATGTTTGTACCCATTGACCAATCTTTCTTCATCCCTTCCTCGCACCCACACATCCTTTGCAGCCTCTAGTATCTATTATTCTACTCTCTGCCTCCATGATGTTAACTTTTTTTTAGCTCCCACATATGAGTGAAAACATGTGATATTTGTCTTTCTGTGCCTGACCTATTTCACTTAACATAATGACCTCCAGTTCCACCCATGTTGCTGCAAATGATGTGATTTCATTCATTCCTTTTTATGGCTGAATACTATTCCGTTGTGTATATATGTCATATTTTCTTTATCTATTAGTCCATTGATGGACACTTAGGTTGATTCCATATCTTTGCTATTGTGAATATTGCTACAACAAACATGGGGGTGCAGATATCCCTTTGATGTACTGATTTCTTTTCCTTTGGATAAATAACAAGTAGTAGAATTACTGGATTGTATGGTAGTTCTATTAATATTTTTAGTTTTTCAGGAAATCTCCATACTATTTTTCTTTTTTTCTTTTTTTTTTGAGATGGAGTTTTGCTCTTGTTGCTCAGGCTGGAGTACAGTGGTGTGATCTCGGCTCACTGCAACCTCTCCCTCCCGGGTTCAAGCAATTCTCCTGCCTCAGCCTCCTGAGTAGCTGGGATTACAGGCACACACCACCATGCCCAGCTAATTTTTTTTTTTTTAGATGGAGTTTCGCTCTTGTTGCCCAGGCCGGAGTGCAATGGCGTGATCTCGGCTCACCGCAACCTCTGCCTCCCGGGTTCAAGCGATTCTCCTGCCTCAGCCTCCCGAATAGCTGGGATTACAGGCATACGCCACCATACCCGGCTCATTTTGTATTTTTAGTAGAGACGGGGTTTCTCCATGTTGGTCAGGCTGGTCTCAAACTCTTGACCTCAGGTGATCCACCCACCTCGGCCTCCCAAAGTGCTGGGATTACAGGCATGAGCCATCACACCCAGCAGCCCGACTAATTTTTTGTATTTTTAGTAGAGATGGGGTTTCACCTTGTTGGCCAGGCTGGTTTCGAACTCCTGGCCTCAAGCAATCCACCCATCTCATCCTCCCAAAGTGCTGGGATTACAGGTGTGAGCCATCATGCCCAGCCATACTGTTTTTCATAGTGTCTATGCTAATTTACATTCTTACCAACAGTGTGGAAGTATTCCCTTTACCCTGCATCCTCACCAACATCTGTTGTTTTTTGTCTTTTTAATAATAGCCATTCTGGCCAGGTATGGTGGGTCACGCCTGTAATCCCAGCACTTTGGGAGGCCAAGGCGGGCAGATCAGCTGAGGTCAGGAACTCAAGACCAGCCTAGCCAACATGGTGAAACCCTGTCTCTACTGAAATTACAAAAATTAGCTGGGCATGGTGGCGCACGCCTGTAGTCCCATACTCGAGGGACTGAGGCAGGAGAATTGCTTGAACATGGGAGGCGGGGGTTGCAGTGAGCCAAGATTGCACCACTGATCTCCAGACTGGGTGACAGAACAAGACTGTGCCTCAAAAAAAAATAAAAATAATAATAGCCATTCTAACTGGCATACTCCCAATTTGGCCTCCCAAAGTGCCAGGATGACAGGTTTATGCCACCATGCCTGGCCCTTAACCATTTTTAAGAGTACAGTTCTGCGGCATTAAGTACATTCACATCGTGCTACTGTTACTGCCATCCATCCATAGAACTCTTTTCATCTTGCAAGACAGAAACTCTATACCAATTAAACAAGAACTCCCCCTCCAGCCCTGCCCACTGTTTCTGGCAGCCAGTATTCTACTTTCTGTCTCTATGAATTTGACTACTCTAGGTGCCTCACGTAAGTGGAATCGTACAGTGTTTATCTTTGTGACTGGCTTATTTCACTTGGCACAGCGTCCTCAACATTCATCTATGTTATACCGTGTGTCAGAATTTCCTTCCTTTTAAGGATGAGTCATTTCCATTGTGTGAATATACCATGTTTTCTTTATCTATTCATCCACCAATGGACACTTGGGTTGTTTCCACTTTTGACTATTATGAATAATGCTGCTGTACACATAGGAATACAAGTATATCCTCCAATCCCTGCTTTCAAGTGTTTTTGGGTATATACACAGAAGTAGAATTGCTGGGTCATGTGCTAATTCTATTTTTAATTTTTTGAGGAACTGCCATACTGTCTTCCAAGAGGCTATACCATTTTATATTCCCACCAGCAGTGCACAAGTTTTCAGTTTCTTCACATCCTTGCCAACACTTGTTATTTTCTGTTTTGTTTTTATTATTATTATTATTATTATTATTTGAGATAGAGTCTCACTCTGTTGCCCAAGCTGAAGTGCAGTGTCACGATCTCGGCTCACTGCAACCTCCGCCCCCCGGGTTCAAGCGATTCTCCTGCCTCAGCCTCCCGAGTAGCTGGGATTACAGGCGCCTGCCACCACGCCTGGCTAATTTTTGTATTTTTAGTAGAGATGGGGTTTCACCATCTTGGCCAGGCTGGTCTTGAATTCCTGACCTCATGATCCACCTGCCTCGGCCTCCCAAAGTGCTGGGATTACAGGCATGAGCCACTGCGCCCGGCCTATTTTTATTTTTATTTATTTATTTATTTATTTATTTTTTGAGACAGAGTCTCTCTCTCTCTGTCACCCAGGCTGGAGTGCAGTGGCGTAATCTCGGTTCACTGCAACCTCCGCCTCCCAGGTTCAAGTGATTTTCCTGCCTCAGCCTCCTGTGTAGCTGGGACTATAGGCACCCGCCACCACACCCGGCTAATTTTTGTGTTTTTAATAGAGATGGGGTTTCACCATATTGGCCAGGCTGGTCTCGAACTACTGGCCTTGTGATCCGCCTGCCTCGGCCTCCCAAAGTGCTGGGATTACAGTCATGAGCCACCACGCCCAGCCCTGTTTTTATTTTTTGATAGTAACCATCCAAATGGGGATGCCGTGGTAGGATGGTTTTAAAATACAAAAATTACAACTAATATTGCTCAGTTTGAATTGATTTTCAATTCCAAAGGCTTCCCTCATCTGAAACAGAAAGCATCCAGAAGAACCAGGGTTTGAATTACCTTCTTCCCAGGGGTCTTGTTCCACCATCCTGAATGTAACACACCCAGAGGGTTCAATTCACTCAGTCCAGGGCTGCTCCTCATCTCAGTTCCTCATCTGCAAAATGATAATAATAATAGTATCTCCCTCATAGAGTTGTTATGAAGATTAAATGAGTTAATTATTATAAAGCACTTACAGCAGGGCCTGATGTACTGCAAGCCCTATATAAACACCTGTTAAATAAAATGATCGAATATATTTTTCCAGTTTTGTAGGTTCTTTGGAGACACTGATGGAATGTGAGAATTGTGTCCTGCAATGGAAAGAACATGAATTTACCAAATCTTTACAGAATGTCCGATATTGTTCTAGGCATTGGGAAGCAACATGGGAGATGCTCCAGGAATCTTTCAGATTCTCCAGGATTAAAAACACAACTGCTCAGCTTCCACAGTCTCTTGTAGTGATACTGCATTCTGGCACTGTCCTGGGTGTTTATATGCCACTCCAATCCTTACAACAACCTTGTAACGCAAAGACTATTGTTTGTTCGTTTGTTTGTTTTGAGAAAGGGTCTCACTCTGTCACCCAGGCTGGACTGCAGTGGCGCAGTCATGGCTTATTGCAGTCTTGACCTCCTGGGTTCAAGTGATCCTCCCACTTCACCCTCTGCGGTAGCTGGGACTACAGATGTGTATCACCACACTTTGCTAATTTTTAAAAGTTTTTTGTAGAGATAGCGTCTCACTATGTTGCCCAGGCTGGTCTCAAACCCTTGGGCTCAAGCAATCCTCCAGCCTCAGACTCCCAAAGTGCTAGGTTTATAGATGTGAGCCACTGTGCCCAGCCAGCAAATTAATGAATTTACAGATGATGGCATTGAGGCTGTGAGGGGTTATGGGACTTGCCCAAGTTGGGTGCATGGTGGGAGATGGTCTAGAAGGGAGGCAGGGCAGGCTCAACCCTGAGCTTGGGACCTCAGGAGTTAAGGAAGGTCCACTGTTTACTGAGTGTCTGACAAATGCAAGGCGGGCTAAACTTTTATATGTGAGAGTCATCCCACTCATCATGGGACTCCCCATCTCCCAGGAGGGACTTTGGCCATCCACTTTTACCAAAGAGGAACCAAGGCAGAGCAAGGCTCAATCACCAGCCAACAAAGAGTAGGTTCATTTCCAAGTTGCTGGACACCTGAGAAGATGGCTTCAGCACTATCAATAATTTAAAAGGAAACCTCTTTCATCAAAATCACCTGGGTTGCAAATAAAAATGCAGGTTCTTGGGCCCTGCCACAGGTCCATTAAATAAAAATCTGCCTAAGATTTGGACATTTCAATAAAGCTTTCCTTGCAACCTGTAAATAAGGAGAACAGGACTATCTACAGAGTTAAGCCATGAAGTCAACACCAAAGAATCCTGGTGAGATATGCAAAGTCACCTCTAAAGGGACAGATCAGACTTCCCCTTCCCTCTCGACATAATCCAGATTGATCGTATTAACAAATTTAAAGGAGGAATGAATATGAGAAAATGTTATGACCTTGGTGTAGAGGAACATTTCTTAAACAAAACACAAAAATCACAAGCCTTGAAAGAAAAAGATTCAAATATTCAACTGCATAAAAAAATGAAAGGGTTCTGTGCAACAAAAGATGTCAGTTTTAAAAAATGAAGACGGCCGGGCGCAGTGGCTCAAGCTTGCAATCCCAGCGCTTTGGGAGGCCAAGACGGGTGGATCACTTGAGGCCAGGAGTTCAAGACCAGCCTGGCCAACATGGTGAAACCCTATCTCTGCTAAAAATACAAAAATTAGCCAGGCGTGGTGATGCATGTCTGTAATCCCAGCTACTCAGGAGGCTGAGACAGAATTGCTTGAACCCGGGAGGCACAGGTTGCAGTAAGCCGAGATGGTGCCATTGCACTCAAGCCTGGGCGACAGGGCGAGACTCCATCTCAAAAAAAAAAAAAAAAAAAAAAAAAAAAAAAGAAAAGAAAAAAGACAAGACAGAGAAGGGGAGAAGATGTTTGTGTTACATATAATCAGCAATGGATTGTGTATAATTAACAAAATATCAGTATCTAGAATATATACAGAATATCTAAAAATCAACTTTTAGGCTGGGTGAGGTGGCTCATGCCTGTAATCCCAGCACTTTGGGAGGCTGAGGATCACTTGAGGCCAGGAGTTCAAGACTAGCCTGGCCAACTTGGTGAAATCCGTCTCTACTAAAAATACAAAAATTAGTCAGGCGTGATGGTGCACACTTGTAATCCCAGCTACTCAAGAGGTTGAGGTGGGAGGATCGTTTCTTGAACCAGGGAAGGGGAGGTTGCAGTGAGCTGAGATCGTGCCACTGCACTCCAGCCTGGGCAACAGAGCGCCCATCTCAAAACAAAAAAAAAAAAATTTTTTTTAAGTGAGAAATAGTTCAAGACCAGCTTGGACAACATGGCAAAACCCTGTCTCTACTAAAAATACAAAAAATTATCCAGGCTTAGTCAGGCGTGGTAGCGCAGGCTTGTAATCCCAACTAAGGAGGATGAGACATTAGAACTGCTTGAACCTGGGAGGCGGAGGTTGCAGTGATCAGAGATCACACTACTGCACTCTAGCCTGCGAGACAGAAGGGGACTCTGTCTCAAAAAAAAGGGGGGTGGTGGAGAAATAGCTCCATAGAATAAGGATAAAGAACATCAAGAGGCAATCAGAGAAGAAAAGACCAAACCACAAATAAACATGAAAAAGGTGCTGAACTTCACCAGGGATGGGGAAATGCAAATTAAAACCACAAAGAGCTATTTCAAGGGCGGGTGAGGGGCAGACATGTGGTGGTGGCTCAAGCCTGTAATCCCAGCACTTTGTTTTTATTTTTGTTTGTTTCTTATTGAGAAGGAGCCTCTCTTTATCGCCTAAGCTGAAGTGCAGCGGCGCGATCTCCACTCACTGCAACCTCCACCTCCTGGCTCAAGCGATTCTCCTGCCTCAGCCTACCGAGCAGTTGGGATTACAGGTGCCTGCCACAACACCCGGCTAATTTTTTTTTTGTATTTTTAGTAGAGATGGGGTTTCACCATGTTGGTTAGGCTGGTCTCAAACTCCTGACCTCAAGTGATCTGCCCACCTTGGCCTCCCAAAGTGCTGGGATTCGAATCACTTGAGGTCATGAGTTCGATACCAGCCTGGCCAACGTGGCGAAACCCCGTCTCTACTAAAAATACAAAAATTAGCCGGGCATGATGGTGTGAGCCTGTAATTCCAGCTACTTGGGAGGCTGAGACAGGAGAATTGCTTGAACCTGGGAGGTAGGAGGTTGCAGTGAGCCGAGATCACGCCAGTGCACTCCAGCCTGGGCGACAGAGCGAGACCTTGTCTCAAAAAAAAAAAAAGGGCTGGTGAGACTGGGCGGCAAATGAAACTTCTATAAATGCTGGTGCCAGTGTAAAGTGGGACATCCTCTTTCTAGAGCAGTTTGGCAATTATTAGTTATTACTGATAATATTACTAATAATTAGTAATAATAGTTATTACAAATAATATTAAAAAGGCAAATGCCCTCCGATCCAAAGATTTCCTTCTTAGGAAAATTCTCCCGCAAGTGCCCTAAAGGACAAATACAAAAGTGTCCACTGCAGCATTATATATAATGAATATGAAAATAACTTAATTGACCACTAATAGGAGAATGAATCAATACTTTAATGTATGATCCTACAATAGACCACTATGCAAAAGTTAAAATTAATGAACCAGAGCTATATGTATCAGCATTTCAAAAATGTAAGTCAGGTCATATCTCTACTCTGCTCAAAACTCTTCATTTCATTTCAGTGAAAGCAAAATCCTCACAATGGCCTCAATGGCCTACAACCCTCTCTGTGGCCAACATCCCCCAATCCACCCTCACCTACCCAATTATTTTTCTGACATTACCTGACACACACTTTGTTTATAGTTGCAAAGGCTCCTTCTCTTGATGGTCACTAGCTCACCTACCCGGTCCTGTTTTCCTTTTTTTCTAGCCTGATCTCCTTTTGTGAAGGCAGGGATCTTTGTCAGCTTTGTTTATTGATGCATTCCAGATGCTCAGAGTGAACAAACATGGCTGAATCTCAAAATCATAATGTTACCCAAGAAAATCATGTTGCAGAAGGATGTTTATGGTATGATATCATCTACATAAAGTTTTAAGATGTAAAACAATACTATATATATAATCATTGCCTTATTTTTATTTATTTATTTATTTTTGAGATGGAGTCTTACTCTGCTGCCCAAGCTGGAGTGCAGTGGTACCATCTCAGCTCACTGCAACCTCTGCCTCCTGGGTTCAAGCTATTCTCCTGCCTCAGCCTCCCGAGTAGCTGGGACTACAGGCACATGCCACCACGCGCAGCTAATTTTTGTAGTTTTAGTAGAGACAGGGTTTCACCATTTTGGCCAGGCTGGTCTTGAACTCTTAACCTCAGGTAATCCACCCGCCTTGGCCTCTTAAAGTGCTAGGATTACAGGCATGAGCCACTGTGCCCGGCCCCCTTATGTTTTTATACTTTTACTATGTGTAAAGTATAAAAAACTTTTACTATACTTAAAATATATATACTATATAATATTTTATATAGTATAATTACAAATATTTTATATATATTTTTTTTTCTTGAGATGGAGTCTCACTCTGTCCTCCAGGCTGGAGTACAGTGGCGCGATCCCGGCTCACTGCAACCTCTGCCTCCCGGGTCCAAGCAATTCTCTGCCTCACCCTCTCAAGTAGCTGGGACTGCAGGCACCTGCCACCACGCCCAGCTCATTTTTGTATTTTTAGTAGAGACAGGGTTTCACCATGTTGGCTAGGCTGGTCTTAAACTCCTGACTTCGTGATCCACCTGCCTTGGCCTCCCAAAGTGCTGGGATTACAGGCGTGAGCCACCGCACCCGGCCCACAAATGTAATATATTTTATAGTATAATATATAATATATTATAAAGTATAATTACAAATATAATATATAGTATAATATATATTATATATAGTAAAATATATATTATATATAGTAAAATACATGTATTATATATATAGTAAAAGTATAAAAACATAAGGGAATGGTCAACACCAAATTTAGGATAGTAATTATCTCTGGCTGTTGGGAGTGAGTGGGATAGATTGCAATAAATTTTGCATGTTTTGTTTTAAAAAACTGATCTGAGACAAATGAAAAATCATGAGACTTGGCAAAGCTGAAAGGTTTGATTCTATTGTCTTCAATTATTATTATTTTTTTTAGAGATGGAATCTCCCTCTGTTACCTAGGCTGGAGTGCAGTGATGTGATCAGAGCTCACTGCAGCCTCCACCTCCTGGGCTCAATCAATCCTTTTGCCTCAGCCTCTTGCGTAACTAAGACTACTAAGACTACAGGCACACACCATTTTGCCTGGCCAATTTTTGTATTTTTTGTAGAGACAGGGTTTCATCATGTTGCCCAGGCTGGTCTTGAACTCCTGGGCTCAAGCAATCTGCCTGTCTTGGCCTCCCAAAGTGCTGGGATTACAGGCATGAACCACCACACTTGGACCATCTCTGTTCTTTTAACTCTATCTGTGTCTTTGAATCTGAATTTTGTCTCTTGTAAATAGCATGTAGTTTTATTTTTAAAATCCATTCTGAAAATCTCTGCCTATTGATTGAAGTGTTTAGTCCATTTACATTTAATTACAGATAACATAGGATATATATCTGCCATTTTGCTATTTTTAATACATTTTAAGTCTTATTTAATACTCCATTACTGCCTTCTTTTCTGTTAAGTAAATATTTTCTAGTATACTATAGTTATTGCATTGTCATTCTTTTACTATATATTTTTAGTTATTTTCTTAGTGGTTGCCATTAACATCTTAAAACAATACAATTTGGAACCATGCCAATTTAATTTCAATAGTGTACAAAACTTGCTCCTACAAAGGACCATTCCCTCAACCTTCTTTGTACTATTATTGCCAAGCAAATGCATGTTTATAGAATATATGACCCTCAATATATATTTCATGTTTTATATTAGTGCTTTATGCAGTTGTCTGAAGTAAGACAGGAGAGAAAAAGAGTCACAAACAAAACATACATCTATACTGTCTTTTATATTTGCCTTTATTTAGTTACCTTTTCCAATGCTCTCCACTTCATGTGGATTTGAGTTAGTGTCACCTGTTCTTTCATTTCAGCCTGAAAAATGGATGTGCTAGAGTTAAATTCTCTTTAGTTGCTCTTTTTATTTAACATTTTATCTTTTCTTGTTGTGGTAAAATACACATAACAGAAAATTTACCATTTTAACCTTTAAACATTTGTTGTTTTTATCTATTTCTTCTTTCTTTCTTTCTTTCTTTTTTTTTTTGAGCAGAGTCTCTGTCATTCAGGCTGGAGTACAGTGACATGATCTTGGTTCACTGCAACCTCTGCCTCCCAGGTTCAACCAATTCTTGTGCCTTAGCCTCCTAAGTAGCTGGGACTACAGGTGCATGCCACCATACTTGGCTAATTTTTTGTATTTTTAGTAGAGATGGGGTTTCACCATGTTGGCTAGGCTGGTACTGAACTGGCCTCAAGTGATTTCCCTGCCTTGGCCTCTCAAAGTGCTGGGATTACAGGTGTGAGTCACGGTGACTGGCCTTTTTTTTTTTTTTTTTTTGAGACCGAGTTTCGTTCTTATTGCCCAGGCTGGAGTGCAATGGTTTGATCTTGGCATACCACAACTTCCGCCTCCCGGGTTCAAGTGATTCTCCTGCCTCAGCCTCCTGAGTAGCTGGGATTACAGGCATGCACCACCATGCCCACCTAATTTTGTATTTTTAGTAGAGACCGGGTTACTCTATGTTGGTCAGGCTGGTCTCGAACTCCCGATCTCAGGTGATCCACCCGCCTCTGCCTCCCAAAGTGCTGGGATTACAGGCGTGAGCCACCACGCCCGGCTAATTTTGTATTTTTAGTAGAGATGGGGTTTCACCATGTTGGTCAGGCTGGTCTTGAGCTCCTTCAAGTGATCCACCTGCCTCCACCTCCTAAAGTGCTGGGATTACAGGCATAGGTCATCACGCTGAGCGGTCTTGTGTCTTCGTGTGTGTGTATTTTTTTTTTAGTAGAGACAGGGTTTCACCATGTTGGCCAGGCTGATCTTGAACTCCTGACTTCATGATCTGCTGGCTTCGGCCTCCCAAAGTGCTGGGATTACAGGTATGAGCCACCAGGCCCAGCCAGGTCTTGTGTCTTCTAAGTGCATATTTGTATGCTTCATTTCAACCAGTTTTAAATGTACAGTTCTGGGGCACTGAGTACGTTCACATTGTTGTGCTACCATCACTGCCTTCCATCTCTAGAAATTTTTCATCTTCTCTAATTAAAAACCCCATGCCCATTAAAGATTAGCTTCCTAGTTCTCTCTCCTCTGAGCCCTGGCAACCCCATTCTACTTTCTATCTCTATGAATTTAACTACTTTAGGTACCCCATAAAGTGGACAGTATTTGTCTTTTTGTGACTGGCTTACTTCCCTTAGCATAATGTTCTCAAGGTTCATCCATGTTGTAGCATGTCTCAGAATTTCATTCATTTTTACAGCTGAATAATATTCCAGTATATTAATATATCACATTTTGTTGGTCCATTTGTCTGTTGATAGACACTCTGGTTGTTTCCACCTTTCGGCTATCGTAAATAATGCTGCTATGACTATTGGTGTGCAAATTTCTGTTTA
The DNA here is from genome assembly GCF_000001405.40 of Homo sapiens. Lineage (NCBI taxonomy): Eukaryota > Metazoa > Chordata > Mammalia > Primates > Hominidae > Homo > Homo sapiens. The sequence continues at coordinate 74,791,086 of NC_000010.11, read as the reverse complement.
GTTCTCCTTATCATGGTTCACTGCAGCCCCAACCTCTTCGGTTCAAATATCTTCCCACCTCAGCCTACGAAGATGCTGGGACTACAGATGCATGCCACCACGCCTAGCTAATTTTTAACTTGTTTGTAGAGATAGGGTCTCATCTATGTTAACTAGACTAGTCTTGAACTCCTGGGCTTAAACAAACCTCCTGCCTTGGCCTTCCAAAGTGCTGGGATTATAGGTGTCAGCAACCACATCTAACCCTTAATTTTTTTTTTTTTTAATAAAGTAAGACGGGGCTTCACCCATGTTGCCCAGGCTGGTCTCCAACTCCTGAGCTCCAGCAATCTGCCCACCTAAATCTCCCAAAGTGCTGGGTTTATAGGCCTGAGCCATCATGCCTGGCTCCGGCCCTTAATTTTTAAAGAATTGCTTTGCTGGATGTAGAAACTTTGGTTGCCAGTTTTTGCCCCACTGCCTTTTGAGCCTCTATAATTTCTTTTCTTTTCCTTTTTTTTTTTTTTTGAGACAGAGTCTCACTCTGTCACCCAGGCTGGAGTGCAGTGGCACAATCTTGGCTCACTGCAACCTCTGCCTCCCAGGTTCAAGCAATTCTCCTACCTCAGCCTCCCAAGTAGCTGGGATTACAGGCGTGCATCACCATGCCCGGCTAATCTTTGTATTTTTAGTAGAGACAGGGTTTCACCATGTTGGCCAGGCTGGTCTCAAACTCCTGACCTCAGGTGATCTGCCCATCTCAGCCTCCCAAAGTGCTGGGATTACAGGTGTGAGCCACCATGTTTGGCCTGTTTTCTTGTTTTGTTTCGTTTTGTTTTGTTTTTGAGACAGAGTCTCGCTCTGTCATCCAAGCTGGAGTGCAGTGGTGTAATCTCAGTTCACTGGAGCCTTGACCTCCCGGGCTCAAGCAATCCCCCCACCTCAGCCTCCTGAGTAGCTGGGACTAAAGGTGCATGCTAATTTTTAAAAATTATTTTTTGTAGAGACAAGGTCTCACTATGTTGCCCAGGCTGGTCTTGAACTCCTGGACTCAGGCAATCCTCCTGCCTTGCCCTGCCAAAGTGCTGGGATTACAGGCATGAGGCACTGTACCTGGCTGCCTCTATGATTTCTGATAAATTAGCTGTTAATTTTATTGAAGATCTCTTGTATGTGATGAGTTGCTTCTGTCTTGCTGCTTTCCAGATTTTCTTTTCTTTTTTCTTTCTTTCTTTCTTTCTTTTTTTTTTTTTTTTTTTTTTTTTTGAGACGGAGTTTCACTCTTGTTGCCCTGGCTGGAGTGCAATGACATGATCTCAGCTCACCACAACCTCCGCCTCCCGAGTTCAAGCGACTCTCCTGCCTCAGCCTCCCGAGTAGCCGGGATTACAGGTATGTGTCACCAAGCCCGGGTAATTTTGTATTTTTAGTAGAGACGGGGTTTCTCCATGTTGATCAGGCTGGTCTCGAACTCCCGACCTCAGGTGATCCGCCCGCCTTGGCCTCCCAAAGTGCTGGGATTACAGGCATGAGCCACCATGCCTGGCCCAGATTTTCTTTTTGTCTTTGACTTCCAGCAGTTTGATTATTATATGTCTACATTTTGTATCCTTTTGAATTTACCTTACTGTTAGTTTTTGAGCTTCCTGGATATGTAGATTGGTTTCTCTTAGCAAATTTTGGAAATTTTTGGCCATTATGGATTCAAATTTATTTATCTATTTTTCTCTCTCTCCTCCCCTTGTTGTTATGCATCATTGGTATGTTTAAAGGTTTCCCACAGGTCTCTGAGATTCTGTTCCTTATTTTCACCTTTTTTCTTTTTGTTCTGGAAAGAGAGACTGGATAATCTCAATTGACCTATCTTCAAATTCAGTGATTAAAAAAATTTTTTTTTGACTGGGTGCACATGCCACCATGCCCAGCTAATTTTTAAATTTTTTGTAGAGATAGGGTCTCACTATGTTGCCCAGACTAGTCTGGGCATACATAAATTGCAGGCATGCAGTCCCAGCACTTTGGGAGGCCAGGGCAGGTGGATCACTTGAGGCCAGGGGTTCAAGACCAGCCTGGCCAACATGGCAAAACCTTGTCTCTACTAAAAATACAAAAAAAATTAGCCAGCTATGGCACTCCAGCCTGGGCAACATGGTGAGACTCTGTCTCAAAAAATAATAAATAAATAAATAAATAAGTACTTTATATTGACACATAATGATTGTAATATGTATGGGGTACACAGTGATGTTACAACACATATAATGTATAGTGAGCAAATTAGGTAATTAGCATATCCATCATCTGAAACATTTATCATTTCTTTGTGTTGGGAACAATCAATATCCTCTTGGTTTTTAAAATAACAACTTTATTGATATATAATTCACATATGTACAATTAATCCACTCCAATTATGCAATTTAGTGGTTTTTAGTATATTCACAAAGTTGTGGAACACTTACATTTGATTATAAAATATTTTCATCACTGAAAAATAAACCCTGTACCCATTAGCAGTCACTACACATTTACTTCTAAATCCCCAGCTGTGGACAATCACAAATCTACTCTCTTTCTTGCTATATTTTTCTATTGTGAACACTCTATGTTTTATTTTTTTAGACAGGGTCTTGCTCTGTCACTCAGGCTGGAGTGCAGCGGTGCAATCATAGCTCACTGCAGCCTCAGCCTCCTGGGTTCAAGTTATTCTCCTGCCTCAGCCTCCAGAGTAGCTGGAACTACAGGTGCACAGCATCATGCCCGGCTAAATATTTACTTTTTTTTTTTTTTTTTTTTTTGAGACAGAGGTTCACTGTGTCGCGCAGGCTGGATGCAGTGGCACGATCTCGGCTCACTGCAAGCTCCGCCTCCCGGGTTCACGCCATTCTCCTGCCTCAGCCTCCCGAGTAGCTGGGACTACAGGCGCCCGCCACCAAGCCTGGCTAATATTTTGTATTTTTAGTAGAGATGGGGTTTCACCGTGTTAGCCAGGATGGTCTCGATCTCCTGACCTCGTGATCTGCCTGCCTCCGCCTCCCAAAGTGCAAAGTGCTAGGATTACAGGCAAGAGCCACCGTGCCCGGCCAATATTTACATTTTTTAACAGAAATGGGGTTGCACTATGTTGCCCAGGCTGGTCTGGAACTCCTGGCCTCAAGTGATCCTTCCACCATGGCTTCCCAAAGTGCTGGGATTACAGATGTGAGCCACCATGCCCAACCCCATGTTTTCAATTTAAGGGTTTCTAAGGAATAGAGTTATCCTAATAACCAAACCCAGACCGTCTGCTTCTCAAACAGAACCAGTTATCCCACTTTGTGACGCCATCTCAGAGACACAGGCTTCTTTTTCCTTCCTTGTTCTCCTTCCTCACCTGCTTCCCTATTAATCTCATGTGTCCCCTCACTTTTTCCTCCTCTCTCTCCCTTCTCTTTACACTTTCGCTCCACTTCCCTTTTTCTCCCCTGCTCTTCCCGCATCTGCTTCAGTGACACAACGTGACTTAGTGAACATGCTCAGGCCTTGGCACCAGGAGATCTCAGTTTGAATCCCAGAACTGTTATGTGCAGTTGAGCATGTCTTTATGTTTGCTCACTTGTAAAATGGATTTAATAACAATTAGCTTTAGTATTGTAGTGAGGATTAAATGAAATAATATACACAGGCCGGGCATGGTGGCTCACACCTGTAATCCCAGCAGTTTGGGAGGCCGAGGCTGGTGGATCATTTGAGGTCAGGAGTTTGAGACCAGCCTGGCCAACATGGTGAAACCCCGTCTCTACTAAAAATACAAAAATAATTAGATGGGTATGGTGACACCCGCTTGTAGTCCGATGTACTCAGGAGGCTGAGGCAGGAGAATTGCTGGAACCCGGGAGATGGAGGTTGCAATGAGCCGAGATCATGCCACTGCACTCCAGCCTGGGCGGCAGAGCACGGCTGCCTCAAAAAAAAAAAAAACAAAAAAACAAAAAAACAGAAATAACAAGAAATAACATAAGCAAAGATTAACACATGGTAAATGCTCCATCATTGAAAACTATTATTAATAAAGATATTATACAACATTATTTCTGCAGACTATGTTATTAGTTTTTGTTTTAAAAATATGGGTATAATTTGCTATCCTGTTGGGGTGGGTGGTGGGGGAGGGGGGTGTGTTTTGTTTGTTTGGTTTTTGAGACAGAGTCTCGCTCTGTCCCCCAGGCTGGAGTGCAGTGGCACAATCTTGGCTCACTGCAACCTCCACCTTCCGGGCTCAAGCCATCCTTCCACATCAACCTCCCAAGTAGTTGGGACTACATGCATGTGCCACTATGCCTGGCTAATTTTTGTATTTTTAGTAGAGATGGGTTTCATTGTGTTGGCCAGGCTGGTCTTGAACTCCTGACCTCAGGTGATCTGCCCGCCTTGGCCTCCCAAAGTGTTGGGATTAAATGCATGAGCCACTGCACCCAACCCATCTATTGTTTTTAGCCATCTATTTCTTCTGTTGCTTCATGTCTCCATCCTTTCTTCGTTTACCATGGTATATTGCCTTGTTTCTTGAATTGTCTGTATCCCTAGGGCCTTGAACAGTGTCTTGCATAAGACAGGGACGCAATTAAACAGTTGCTAAAAATCAAATGAATTAATGGTTAAATTAAGTTTAGCTTAAAGCTGCCTCCTTAGATATTTTAAGATCAGCCTAAAGGTTTCTTCTTACATAGCGATCTGTAACTCAACTGGATGTGTAAACAGGCTGTAACTTACTCTTCTATCAAGCATTCAGTTCCAGCCAATCAAAGGTGGCCAGCTGGTCAAACTGTGTTTAAATAAGGCAAACACTCAGCTGGAACCAATCCAGCTATTTCTGCACCTTTCTTCCTTCCATTTTCTATACATCACTTTGCTTTTTCTGTTCCTAAATCTTCGACCATGTGGCAGCACCAGAGTCTCTCTGAACCTATTCTTCTTTCAGGGGCTGTCCAATTTGTGAATCGTTTTTTGGTTAATCAAACTCGTTAAATTCAATTTGTCCAAGGATTTTCCACTAACAGAATGAACTTCTTCGCATCCTGGGACAGAAGGAAGTGCCCCAGCAGGCTTAGAACACCTATCACTGTTTATTGTTTCCTCAACTTCACGGCAAAGCATCAGCTTCACTATTTTACCATTAGCTGAAGTCCAACAGTGCTATTATTATTATTATTTTGAGATGGAGTCTCACTCTGTCACCCAGGCTGAAGTGCAGTGGCGCTATCTCGGCTCACCACAACCTCTGCCTCCCGGGTTCAAGCGATTCTCCCGCCTCAGCTTCCCGAGTAGTTGGGATTACAGGCCCGCGTCACTACGCACGGCTAATTTTTTTGTATTTTTAGTAGAGACGGGGTTTCACCGTGTTGGCCCGGCTGGTCACAAACTCTTGACCTCAGGTTATCTGCCTGCCTCAGTCTCCAAAAGTCCTGGGATTACAGGAGTGAGCCACTGCACCCGGCCTGTGCTATTATTTTTAAAAAATATGCAGTTAGGTAGGATGAATAAGTGTAAGAGATGTAATGTATAGCGTGAGGACTATAGTTAATAATGTTGTATACTAAATATTTGCAAAGACAGGAGATTTTAGGTGCTGTTGTCACACGCACATATACACACAGAAAGTAACTATGGAAGGTGATTGTTTGGAAAAACTCGAGCTATGCTTTACCTCTGCTCTCACACGACCACGAGAACAACAAACATCAACATGGAAGAAGACTTTTGTGACCAAATGTGTATGGGGGGGGTCTCCCCACCACGAAGTGAGCAATCAGTTCTGCAGGGAACACCAGTGGAGTGTCCTCCAATTCGATTCTGACATTACGTACCTGGAGATAGTGTACATAATGTCACAGGTTGGGGGCTCAGTCTTCAAAACTGCCCCCCCTTCAGACACTAGTGGCAAGTCCAGGCCTCTGCAATTTCTGACTGACTGGCTTTGAGTTGGGGCTCCCATGACCCCATCTTTGGGTTCAATTAATTTGCTAGAATGGCTGGCAGAACTCAGGGAAACACATTTACTGGTTTATTATATACTATATTACAAAGAATACAGATGAAGAGATGTGTACATTGAGGTGTGAGGGAAGGAGCTTGGAGCCTCCATGCCCTCTCCAGGAACCTCCATGTGTTCAGCTATCCAGAAGCTCTCAGAAACCTGTCCTCTTGGGTTTTTATAGAGGCTTCATTACATAGGCATGACTGATTAAACCATTGGCCATTGATGATTAACTTGATTTTCAGCCCCTCTCCTCTTCCTGGAGGTTGAGGGTAGAGCTGAAAGTCCCAGCCCTCTAATTATGCCTTGGTCTTCCATCCTGAAACTAATCAGTCAACATTAGCATAGAGAAAGACAGCACTTCATAGCTGAGCATGGTGGCTCCCACTTGCAGTCCCAGCTATCAGGGAGGCTAAGGCAAGACGATCCCTTGAGCCCAGGAATTGGAGGCTGCAGTGAGCTATAATCACACCCCTGCACTCCAGCCTGGGCAATAGAGTAAGACCCCATCTTAAAAAAAAAAAAAAAAGGACAACACTTTGGGGATTTCAAGGATTGTAGGAGTTGTATGCCAGGAAATGGGGATGAAGACTGTGAAAGGAAAATAAATCTTGGGGCCCCCAAATTACTAAACTAAAGGGAAAAGTCAAGCTGGGAACTGCTTAAGGCCTATCTGCCTCCCATTCTATTCAAAGTCACCCCTCTGCTCACTGAGAGAAATGCATATCTGATTGCTTCCTTTGCAGAGGCTAATCAGAAACTCAAAAGAATGCAGCCATTTGTCTCTTATCTACCTATGGCTTAGAAGCCCCTCCCCTCCCTACTTCACATCTTCCCACCTTTGCTTCTAGTTGTCCCGCCTTTCCAGACCAAACCAATATTCATCTTACATATATTTGATTGATGTCTCATATCTCCCTAAAATGTATGAAACCAAACTGTGTTCTAACCACCTTGGGCACATGTCATCAGAACCTCCTGAGGCTGTATCATGGGCGCACATCTTCAACACTGGGAAAATAACCTTTCTAAATTAACTGAGACCTGTCTCAGATTTTCAGCGTTCACATTTTGGTAATCACAAAGGTATTCTGAGTGGAGATGTCCCTGACTTTTGACAAATCTCCTATCGGTGCTTGATACCAGCATGAGCTAATTTTATGGCTCAAACCAATAGGACGATTTGCTGAGGTGTGGGAGCATCCCCTCCAGAAAATTCCCTTATCTCCCAAAATTTGGTCAAGATCTAAAGTTTATTTTGCTATACAACTCCTCTTTTTTTTTTGGTTTTACTTGCTTCCAACAAGAAAGGCAAGATTTCCTGTTTCCATGACGATGGAAGGCAGGTAACTTCTTTAAGGAGTTTGAGCTCGCTCCCAGCAAGGAAGACGAATTCGGGTTTTTTTTTTTTTTTCCTGCTTCTAGGATGGCAGAGTGCAGTCTTCAGCCTGAGACCCATCCCTAAGTAAATATCTGAATTGGGGTTTTGGCTTGGTAAAGTTTAACAATCAGCTGATCTTAATTTCTCCTTACATTAGAGGGCTCAGTAATCATATAAGTTGTGCAATTAGTTTCTTTTGCTTAACTGTTTTTTTGTTGTTGTTTCGGTCTTTTTTTTTTTTGAGACGGAGTCTTGTTCTGTCTCCCAGGCTAGAGTGCAATGGTGCGATCTCAGCTCACTGCAACCTCTGCCTCCTGAGTTGAAGCAGTTCTCCTGCCTCAGCCTCCCAAGTAGCTGGGATTATAGGTGCCCACCACCACACCTGGCTAATTTTTGTATTTTTAGTAGAAACAGGGTTTCACCGTGTTGGCCAGACTGGTCTTGAACTCCTGACCTCAGGCGATCCACCTGCTTTGGCCTCCCAAAGTGCTGCAATTACAGACATGAGCCACCTCGCCCAGCTGTTTGGGTCTTTTTCCCATTGGGTTTGACCAACTCTATCCAACTTGATCAAATACGAAGGAAAGTTCCAAATTATTGTTACAGGAAAGGGGTCCCGATCCAGATCCCAAGAGGAGGTTCTTAGATCTCGCGCAAGAAAGAATTGAGGGCGAGTCCGCAGTGCAAAGCAAAAGCAAGTTTATTAAGAAAGTGAAGTGGTGAAAGGACAGCTACACCATAGACAGAGCAGGACGTTCCTGAAAGTAAGAGGAGGAACGCATCCACCCCAGGTACAATGCTTGTATATGTGGGGAGATGTGCTCTGCTACAAGGGTTTGTGATAAAGGATTACTTTTCTTAATTACTATATTTTGCAATAATCAATATTATGCAAAATTAGGAATGCCTTTGTTTTCCAGATATTGGGATATCTGGACACATCCAAGTCTGGGTCTGTTTAGTAAACATTATTAATTTGTTCCCTTAACCATAAGCATGGAGAGGCTAGGAAGCCCTAATTTTCTGGGAATGCAGCCCAGCAAGTCTCAGCCTTATTTTCCTAGCCCTCACTCAAAATGGAGTTGCTCTGGTTCAAATGGCTCAGACATATCTCCCCCTCCCTTTGCAAGAAAACCTTGAATCCTAAGGGTTGCACAGGAATGAAGATCTGTTTTCTGTAACTTCTTCAGGTTGAATGGGGTGATGATACTCCTAACTATTAGGATCTCTTGCATTCAGGGTAGAGCGAAGCTCAGTCAGAGAACGTTGGTATGGTGAAGGTTGTTTATAACTGAGTTCCGACAAAAGGTGATATCTATCCCTTTCATTTCTTCTGAACAGGAGTCAGAGGTCACTGATTGGCTCACAGGAATAAACGGGATCAGTCTCTTGTGTTCCTTCGGCCTGTTTAATTTGAGATAAGTGGACCCAGCTGTTTATTCCCAGAAGTTTAACTGCAGTTGGGGTACTAAGGAGAACTTGATAGGGTCCCTTCTATTTGGGGGAAAGTTGATCTGCTGGGGACCCTTACTTCCAAGTTTTTAACAGGACCCAGTCTCCTGCTGGGTTGTAACAAGATTCTCTTCCTTAGTAGGGGAAGGGAGTCTTAGATTTCCATATTCAAGGAGTGCATTTTGCATTTGTCCAAGTTAATCACATAATTCTTTTTTTTTTTTTCTTTTCAGATGGAGTTTCACTCTTACTGCCCAGGCTGGAGTGCAATGATGCGATCTCGGCTCACTGCAACCTCCATCTCCTAGGTTCAAGTGATTCTCCTGCCTCAGCCTCCCACGTAGCTGGGATTACAGGTTCCCACCATCACGCCTGGTTAATTTTTGTATTTTTAGTAGAGACAGGGTTTCACCATGTTGGCCAGGCTGGTCTTGAACTCCTGAGCTCAGGTGATCCACCCACCTCAGCCTCCCAAAGTGCTGGGATTACAGGCGTGAACCACTGTGTCCAGCCTGATTACATAATTCTGTAGCTTGAAAGTATCTATGTCTATTAGGAGGTCTGTAGTTAAGAAAGGCCTTCCACACATTATTTCAAAAGGGCTGAGCTGCAAATTTCTCTCAGGGGCCACTTGAACCCGTAATAAGGCTACAGGTAATAAAGACAGCCAGGTTTCTGATGTTTCTTGGCATAGTTTAGCAAGGGTCCTTTTTCGAGTTTGATTAGCTCTTTCTACTTTCCCTGAAGACTGTGGCCTCCATGCCAAGTTAAGGTGGTACTGAATTCCTAGGGTTGAAGATGTGTTTTGGTAATTGTCGCTGTGAAAGATGGGCCATTATTGCTCTGTAAGCTCTTAGGCAACCCAAATCTAGGAGTTATTTCCTTCAGCAGGAGTTTAGAAACTTCAATTGCCTTTTCAGACTGGGTAGGAAAAGTCTCAATCCAACCAGTAAAGGTGTCAACGAATACTAATAAATATTTAAACCCTTTACATGGGGGCATCTGAGTATAATCTATTAACCAGGGCACGTTCCCCTATGCTGCTCAGGCCTTACTAGAGGAGGAGGTAAAGATTGGTTATTTGGGTTATTCCAGGCACATAGTTCACAGGCTTGAGTTACCTGCTTTACTGTTTTAAGTAAGCCTTTTCCAATAAAAAAAAAAAAAAGCCAATATATTAATTGAAACAGGGAATCTCTTCCCCAGTGAGCAGAATCATGCAAATGCTTAACTATTTCCCACTGATTAGCACCTGGTAGTAACAGTTTGTTGTCCTACTTCCCTGGTGCACAAAGCTACTTCCATCTGTAATTCATTCTACCTCAGGATTATCTAGAGGCTCATCCTTTAAATCTAGACGGCTGGAGTAAACTTGCTCCATAACTTGGATACAAGAATAATCTAGGTTGCCTGTGGGTTCAGGCAAACGGGTAGCTGGATTCAAAGTTTGGCATACTTTAAGTATTTTTTATTTTTATTTATTTATTTATTTATTGAGACTGAGTTTCACTCTTGTCTCCCAGGCTGGAGTGCAATGGCATGATCTCGGCTCACTGCAACCTCTGCCTCCTGGGTTCAAGTAATTCTCCTGCCTCAGCCTCCCAAGTAGCTACACAGGTGCCCGCTATCACATCCAGCTAATTATTGTATTTTTAGTAGAGATGGGGTTTCACCATGTTGGCAAGGCTGGTTTTGAACTCCTAATCTCAGGTGATCCACCCGCCTTGGTCTCCCAAAGTGCTGGGATTACAGGCGTGAGCCACCGTGCCCAGCCATACTTTAAGTATTATATCAGGATGTTTAGCAACAAAGCCTGATACTGATTCACAGGAAAGGAGAAGGAGCAATTTCTGTCTGCCTTGTGATTTCCAAATGATACTACTGTTTGCAGCTGAGTTAACAAATCCCTTCCCAACAAGGGTGGGGCATTCAGGAGGAAACCAAAGTCCCCAAAGAGCTTTTAGAGGATTGGTAAAATGTCTATGGGCTTGTCCATCTGTCCCTTTGATCATACATTTTTGGGGTGACAGAGGCCCATTATGAGTCAAAACGGAGTAAGCATTCCAGAAGGAAGTTAATATTCTTTTTTTTTTTTTTTTTTTTTTGAGACGGAGTCTTGCTCTGTCGCCAGTCTGGAGTGCAGTGGCATGATCTCGGCTCACTGCAACCTCTGCCTCCAGGGTTCAAGCTATTCTACTGCCTCAGCCTTCCGAGTAGCTGGGATTACAGGCACGTGCCACCACGCCCAGCTAATTTTTTTGTATTTTTAGTAGAGACGGGGTTTCACCATGTTGGCCAGGATGGTCTCGATCTCTTGACCTTGTGACCCGCCCACCTCGGCCTCCCAGAGTGCTGGGATTACAGGCGTGAGTCACTGCACCCGGCCCAGAAGTTAATATTCTTACCTGCCATGTCATAGTTTACCTGAGGCTCCCCTGGAGATACAGCTAGTCATCCGATGGGAGTGTGGTGGAAGGTCTCGGGCCCTGTCACTCTTGGGCTCACCTGGCTATTTCAGCCATCATTGGTTCAGGTGCTGATGGCCCCCTTTGGAACACTGGACAATCCCTCTTCCAATGGCCAGTTTTCTTACAGTGTTCACACTGACTGATGCCCAAGGCACGTTGACTCAGATGCCCAGCTTTGGGCTTCCCACCTTCCAGCTTCCCTTGTTCAGGCTAAGAGCCAGGAGGGCAGCCCCATGTGGGAGGTGAGCTTAAGGCTGCAGCCAAGAGCTGCACCTCGTGGGAGGTCCTTCTTGCTCTTTCTGCTTCCTCTGCTTTGTCGCTGTTATTAAAACCTAAAAATGCCATATCCAAAAGCTGTTCCATAGGAGTCTGGGGACCCATAGCTGCTATTTGTAGTTTCCTGTGGATATCAGGGGCAGACTGGGTTATAAAATGTACTCCCAAAAGGGTTCATCCTTCCCTTGAGGCAGGACCAGTGTTAGTATATTTTGTGATTGCCTCAACAAAAGCTGGATTCTTATCTCTTTGCCCTGAGAAACTTCCTTAACCTTTTCATAGTTAACCGGCTTTTTCATACATTTCTTAATCCCTTCCAACAAACAAGTGACCATATGATCTCTCCTTCCCAAGTCCTCACTACCCCTTTGATAGTTGTTAGGTTCACGACTACGCCAAATGTCATGCCCAGGGCCAGGTTCCAGATCCATCTGAGGTCCGAGGGGAGTGAGTGGACAGGGGATAGGGAACTGAAAGAACATTCGACGGGCCATAAGCAGGTGAAATGTAGTTTTATTCAGCAGCTCTCTCATGAGCAGCTTTCTCAGACTAGCTCTTACACTTCAGCAGCTTACTTACACTGTCCACCTTGTCTCGGCTGCTTGAGCTGGCCGCTCCCACACACAGCTGTGTGGCCAGCCCTTCCTTGACTTCAGGGTCAGCAGCTTAACTCTTTCTCTCTTTGGGCACGAGCACAAGCCGTGCTGTGCCATGCCAAGCTGTGCCCTGGCTCCCCTCTGTCTGCAAGACAGACAGCTCTGGTTCTTTCTCTCTCTCTCTCTGGGTGCCAGCGTGCCTGCATGAGAGCCATGTCAAGTCGTGCCCAAGAGTGCCTGTACAGTGTTAACAGGGCAGTTACACCTTTCACAGACAATAGTGGCTCCAAGGCAAGTATGAACTTACACAAACAGGTTATATAACAAGCGGAGTATGCGCCTGCACCCTAAACTTGCTGAGTTACTTTGGCCCAGATGTCCGCCTCAGCCTATTGTTGACCAAAGCACATCCATGTACCTTACAGTAGTTCCACTCTGGATCTTGATCTGGAACTGCTATACCTCCTGCCTGATATATATTATGGTTTGGGTTGTGAGCCAATACCTCATCTCCATGGGTCCTAGCTGTCCCCAGAATGTGTTGATTGTCTTTCACTGTACAACACAGAGACAACACAACAAGAAGATCCTGCCAAGTTAAACTATAGGTCAGAGTTAACTTCTTAAACTCATCTATGAATTTTCCTGGATCTTCAGAGAAATGACCAAACTTCTCTTTACATAGAACCAAATCAGACATAGAAAAGGGGACATGTACTCTCACAGTGCATTCTTCCCCATTTGCCACCTCTCTAAGTGGACAAAGATTTCCCTTTGGAGGTTGATGGGAGGCTCCGCTATGAGTAGTCCTCACTGGGCTAAGTTCCTCAGGGAGTGGTGGGTATAGAATGGGACTAGACTTGTAAGGAGGAGAGGACGAAGGGTTCTCAATAGAACTTTCAGGTGGACTGAAGGGAGAAAGGACTGACACATCTGAACCTTCACAGCTGATGGAAGGAAGTTCTGCTCCACCCAAAACTCCCCGCTGAACCCGGGGGTTTTGCATTAAAGGATCATCTAGTATGACTACCTCTTTTTCTTCTTTTCCTTTCATCAAACATGCACATGCCTGCTGCAGGGTTTTATCCTGACTGAGCTGCAAAAATGCTTGAACATATGGTATTTCATACCATTTTCCCTCCCGTTTACAAAAAAAAATAAGTTGAAGTATAGTATTAAAGGCCATAGTTCCAGTAGGAGGCCATTTCTCTTGTTTTTCCAAATAATACTGAGGCTAAACAGTATTACACAGAAACACCAGTTTTCACTGGGCGTGGTGCCTCACACCTGTAATCCCAACACTTTGGGAGGCCGAGGAGGGTGGACCACCTGAGGTCAGGAGTTCGAGACCAGCCTAACCAACACGGTGAAACCCTGTCTCTACTAAAAATACGAAAATTAGCTGGGCGTGGTGGTGTATGCCTATAATCCCAGCTATTCAGGAGGCTGAGGCAGGAGAATTGCTTGAACCCAGGAGGTGGAGTTTGCGGTGAGCTGAGATTGCACCATTGTACTCCAGCATGGGCAACAAGAACAAAACTCCGTCTCAAAAAAAAAAAAAAAAAAAAACCGACCAGTTTTCTCTTCTTAAGCCCATTCAGTTTAAACTGGTCCCAATGTTCAATAATGCATCCTAGTGGTGCGTTCTTTGGAATCAATGCCATGGTTCCCATGAAGGAGGCAGGTGATGTTGAAAGAAAAGTTCCAAGCCTGCGAGAGTGTATTGCCACTGGCAGAGTTCCACTAAAAAGAGAGGTTATTAAGGCCAGCTGCATTAATGAGGGGATCCCTGCCGAAAATTGAATTCTCTTATTCACATTTTCCAGATAACATAAGTGAGCCGAGCCATGAATCTTAGATAAACCACAACATGGACTTCGACAAAAATGTCAAATAAGGAAAGGGAAATGAAGAGGATTTAGATGGGAATGACCAGAGCAAACAGGTCTGGGCAATAGCAGCAGTGTGGATTGGACAAGCAAAGCCAGTTTGCCCAAATCCAAGAAAGGAAAGAAGATTTTTTAGTGTGAAACGAAACAGCAAGGATAAAATTCCCCTGATTTTCATCGTAGTGCTTCTCGATCACAAGCAGACGGATGGAAATTGGGAGGCGCTTAGGAAAAGAGTAAGTTAAAATTCCTAAAACTAGTTAAATAAAGTCTGCTGAAAATGACAGTGAAACAGACACAGCAATTAAGAAATTGATTTATGCAGCAAAGAAGACAAGGCAGATTAATACAAAGAGCATAGCCTGCGGTGCCAAACACATTTTTAGCCAAGAGGGACTTTACTGAGAGGGACCTCTAACCCCCAAATCATAGAAGGGACTCTAACCCTCCTAAGTCAGGCCTCTAACCTGAGGTTGGTCAAGCATCCTTGCCTTTTATTAAGAAGGGTTTCTAACCCACTCTGTCTTAGGAGAGACTCTAACTCCCCTAAGTTGGGCCTCTAACCCAATCCCATTCTTTACCCAGGTACCCCACCACTTACCCAAAGTTACCCAATCAGTGCTGCAGTCTATTTCTTTGGATTGGAGGGTTTCTTCAGTATCGTCCCTTCAGGTTCACCAGAAAGATGTTACAGAACCCCAACACTTACCCAAAGGTAGCCATTGGGTCAGGGTTTCTGCACTATAGTCCCTTGTGTGGTCGCCAGAAATATGTTACAGGAAAGGGGTCCCAATCCAGACCCCAAGAGAGGGTTATTGGATCTCATACAAGAAAGAATTCAGGGCAAGCCCGCCGTACAAAGCAAAAGCAAGTTTATTAAGAAAGTGAAGTGGTGAAAGAACAGCTACTCCATAGCTATAGTGACTTCAGGACATTCCTGAAAGTAAGAGGAGGAATGCACCCACCCTAGGTACAATGCTGGTATATACGGGGAGATGTACTCTGCTACAAGGGTTTGTGATAAAGGATTAATTTTCTTTTTTCTTTTTTGAGATGGAGTCTCACTCTGTCACCCAGGCCCTAGTGCAGTGACGGGATCTCGGCTCACTGCAACCTCTGCCTCCTGGGTTCAAGTGGTTCTCTTGCCTCAGCTTCCTGAGTAGCTGAGATTACAGGCATATGTCACCATGCCCAGCTAATTTTTTTGTATTTTTAGTAGAGACGGGGTTTCTCCATGTTGGTCAGACTGGTCTCAAACTCCTGACCTTGTGACCTACCCGCCTCGGCCTCCCAAAGTGCTGGGATTACAGGCATGAGCCACTGTGCCCAGCTAATTTTCTTAATTACTGTATTTTGCAAGAATCAGTATTATTATCTTTAAAACTTTTGTCATCCACGGACAATTGTTGTTTTGGTCCTTTTTAGATGGTGGTTTTATAAAACCACCAGCTATGAAACTCAAACAGGTGCTCTTGAATGAAGGTTTCTGATAACTTTGAAGATTGTGACATCAGAATAGAGGAAAAACTGTAGGACTCATGGAGAGCTGAAATATTCATGAATATCAAGCAGAATAGGAATTAACTGTATGGACTGAAGTAATAGAAAACTGAAGTAATTTTTTGACTTTTTGCTTAAAATGTTGCTAATCCTTAATTTTTTCAGAGTCAAGAAAACTCCTTTGGAGCTATTGATGGCTTTTTAGCAATTTAGTATACTCCTATAAACAAAATTTGGAGCATATTTTTTTCTCTCTACCTGATTTCTACAGAATTTTGAAACTATTTGTGAGTATTCTTAACTTACAGCAATGCAGTTATTTGCATAAGTGCCATAAGAATCTGTTTTCATTTGTAACAGGACACAATTGAAGAAACTGGTTGTTTTACCAAAGCTTTGACTGGAATGGTGTGCTTGCCTTTAAGGAACCAAACTTGACTTATGGAGCCAATAAAAGCCCCTTGAGAAAACTGGTCTCATGTCTTGTCTCCACAGTCGCTGTACAGGGTTCCTGACCTGTGCGAAGTAAAGAATGTCACTTTCTGACAGGCCCAGGAGACCCAAGTTTGTCTTGGAACCTCTAGAGGAGAGGAATTCACCCAACTCATAGGTATTTGATGGTACAAATCCATTGCTGGGCTTGGCTTTTAAAATCTTATCTAAGATTCTTTCTATGGAACAAAGTTCCATCAAAGCCCATTTAAAAGCCTACATAAAAGAAAATAATTATTCTTGTTGCACTGTATACCAATAATCAGGCCAAGTACAATAAAGCAAATTAGTCCTACCATGATTTATCTTTAGTAAAAATGAGAAACTGGAGAAAGAAAAATTATGTTTCAAAAACTATAGTATACCTGTTGTTAGATTCTGGTCTTGCCTAATGTTTTTCAATTTTTATTATTTTCTACAGTTTGGACTGAATTCTAATTTTTTTTTCTTGGCTACAAGTCTGCAAAATAATGCTTTCAATTTTTTTTTCCTTCTTTTTTCCCATTTTTCCTAATTTGGAGTCACCAGAAACTAAGCTGTGCTTTTGTAAAGCCCTGTGAACTGAAGCTGGATAACTTAAACTTTAGAAGAAAATAACAGCAACCGATTTTATATATATACATAAGCCACTTTCGTACCTGCCTACTGATGTATGGGCTTCAGAGTAATGTGGCCTATATTGATTTTCCAGGATTGTTCTTTTGTTTTTTGTTGTTTTTCTCTCTTCCTCTCCCTATTTTCTCTTCATAGGACATGAGACTTCACAACCTGCTAAAAAATGAGCTTTCTTAACCCATTTAACTTGGGACCTACCCATCTAGGAATAAACCATCCTAGCCATGAGAAATCAGACAAAACCTGAGACTAGAGACTCATTTTCTTCTAAAATGCTTTCTCCAGAAGATTTTTGAAAAGAAAAGGGGGGGAAATGTGAAAGAAAAATAAATCTTGGGGCTTCTAAATCACTAAGCTAAAGGGAAAAGTCAAGCTGGGAACTGCTTAGGGCCAACCTGCCTCCCATTTTATTCAAAGTCACCCTTCTGCTCACTGAGATAAATGCATATCTGATTGCCCCCCTTGAAGAAGCTAATCAGAAACTCAAAAGAATGCAACCATTTGTCTCTTATGTACCTATGACCTGGAAGCCCCCTCTCTCACCTTTGCTGTGAGTTGTCCTGCCTTTCCAGACTGAACCAATGTTCATTTTACATATGTTGATTGATGTCTCATGTCTCCCTAAAATGTATAAAACCAAACTGTGCTCTAACCACCTTGGGCACATGTCATCAGAACCTCCTGAGGCTGTGTTACGGGTGCGTGTCCTCAATCTTGGCAAAATAAACTTTCTAAATTAATAGACCTGTCTCAGATTTCTGGGGTTCACAAGACAAAATATATATGTATTTCACAGCATCACAGTGATGGATATGTTAATTTTTTTGACTGTAGTAGCCATTTCACTATGTATATGTATATCAAAATGTAACTGCCCAGTGAGTTCTTCCCGCCTGCTGCACAGACAAAATCAATGCACTGAGACCATGGCATTGCAGTAAAGAAAGAGTTTATTGAGGCAAGGCCAGCCACACTACACTACTCAAGGCAATCTCTTCAAAAATTTGAAGGCTAGGGTTTTTCAAGGATAGCGGGTAGGGGGCTACGGAGTAGGGGCATGCTGATTGGTTGGGGATGCAGTCATATGGGTGTGGAAAATGTTCATTCTGTGCTGACCCTGCTTCTAAGTGGTAGCCACCAAAGTGGCCACTTGCCCTGGTCAGGCAGTCCGGTGGGACCATCTGGTCATCAGAAATGCAAAAGACATCTCAAAAGATTCTACAATACCAATGTTAATTACAAGAGTCATTGGGGAAGTTCTAAATCTTATGATCTTTGGAACAATAAAAAATCATTTGGCCGAGTGCAGTGGATCACGCCTGTAATCCCAGCACTTTGCAAGGCTGAGGGACGTGGATCACTTGAGGTCAGGAGTTCGAGACCAGCTTGGCCAACATGGCAAAACCCTGTTTCTATTAAAAATATGAAAATTAGCCAGGTGTGGTGGTGGACCTGTAATCCCAGCTACTCAGGAGGCTGAGGCAGGAAAATCGCTTGAACTCAGGAGGCAGAGGTTGCAATGAGCTGAGATTGTGCCACTGCACTCCAGCCTGGGCAACAGAGCAAGACTCTGTCTCAAAAAAAACAAAATAAAATCATTTGGCCTGGCTCAATGTCTCACACCTGTAATGTCAGCACTTTGGGAAGCTGCGGGGGTGGGCAGATGGTTTATCTCAGGTGTTCAAGACCAGCTTGGGCAACATAGCAAGACCCCATCTCTACAAAAAGTACAAAGGTTAGCCAGGTGTGGTGGTATGTGTCTGTAGTCCCTCTTCTCAGAAGGCTGTGGTGGGAGAATTGCTTGAGCCTGGGGAGCTCAAGGCCGCAGTGAGCCATGATTAAGCCACTGCACTCCAGCCTGGGCAGCAGAGTGAGATCCTGACTAAAAAAAAAAAAACAAAAAATTGGCCAGGCTTGATGACTCACGCCTGTAATCCCAGCACTTTCGGAGGCTGAGGCAGGTGGATCACGAGGTCAGGAGTTCAATACCAGCCCGGCCAGCATAGTGAAACCCCATCTCTACTAAAAATACAAAAATTAGCCCAGTGTGGGGGCGGGTGCCTGTAGTCTCAGCTACTTGGGAGGCTGAGGCAGGAGAATCGCTTGAACCCAGGAGGCGGAGGTTGCAGTGAGCTGAGATCATGCCACTGCACTCCAGCCTGGGCGACACAGCAAGATTCTGTCTCAAAAAAAAAAATTATTTATACCTACATCTTAGCAGAATTCACGCCCCTCTCACCCTCCTAACCTGGTGGCCTTTCACTAGTTTTATGAAGGCAGCTTAGTTTTTGGGAAGGGTTATTAATTATCATTTAAACTAGAAACTAAATTTCAAGGCCTGGCAAGGTGGCTCATGCCTGTAATCCCAACACATTTGGTTGGCAGGCCGAGGCGGGTGGATCACATGAGGCTAGGAGTTTGAGACCAGCCTCGGCAACATGGTGAAATCCCATCTCTATAAAACAGACAAAAATTAACTGAATGTGATGATGGTTCATGCCTGTAATCCCAGTTACTCAGGAGGCTGAAGTGGGAAGACGGCTTGAGCCCCAGAGGCAGAGGCTGCAGTGAGCCATAATCAAACCACTGCAATCCAGCCTGGGCAACTGAGCCAGACCCAGTCTCAAAAAACAAAACAAAACAAAACAAAACAAAAAATGGCCAGGCATGGTGGCTCATGCCTGTAATCCAAAGCATGGGGCAGGTGGATCACTTCAGCCTTGAGAGGCTGGGGCAGGTGGATCACTTGAGCTCGGGTGTTCAAGACCAACCTGGCCAACAAAGTCAGGTCTCTACTGAAAATACAAAAATTAGCCAGGACTGGTGGCATGCACCTGTGGTCCCAGCTACTCAGCAGGCTGAGGTGGGAAGATCGCCTGGGCCTGGGGAGATCGAGGCCGCAGTGAGCCATTATCACACCACTGCATTTTAGCCTGAGTGACAGAGTGAGAACCCCCTTCACACACACACACAAAAAAACGAAAAAAAAAAAAAAAAAAAGGCTAGGTGCAGTGGCCTATGCTTGTAATCCCAGCGTTTTTTGATTGCTTGTGTCCAGGAGTTCAAGACCATCCTGGGCAACATCACTCCAAAAAAGAAAATTAGCTGGGTGTAGTGGAGCATGACTGTAGTTCCAGCTACTCAGGAAGCCGAGGCGAGAGGATCTCTTGAGCCTGCCAGTAGAGGCTTCAGTGAGCCATAATTGCACTAATGCACTCTGCCTAGGCAACAGAGAAAGACCCTGTCTCATTAAAATATATATATATATATATAGTTTTAAAAAATGACTGGACGCAGTGATTCATGCCTATAATCCCAACACTTTGGGATGATCGCTTGATCTCAGGAGTTCAGGACCAGCCTGGGTAAAACAGCGAGGCCCTGTCTTGAAACTGCCTTTGCAAAAGAATTATAACTGAGGAAGTTATGACAGTTGAAAGAGATCTGACCTAACCAACTCCACCTTGTTTCTAGCCTCACGGGTTGGCTATCTGCTCATTCCTGGGCATGGGCCAAACTCACTTTGGGAGAAATTTAGTTTATAGTTTAAATAATAGCCTTTCCCTAAAACTAAACTGTTCTTGTAAAACTAATGAAAGGCCACCAAGTAAGGATGAGAGGGACTTGAATTCTAAATAATACTAGCCATTATTCCAGAGATCATAAGATTTGCAACTTCTCCAATTACTCTTGAAGATAACATGGTAGAAGCTAGGATTGGCCTTTTAAAATGTCTCTTCAGGTTTTTGCATTTCTGACAGCCTGATGGTCCCACCTGGACCTGCCAATCAGTCCTGTGACCCCACCCAGGAACTGACTCAGCATAAGAGGACAGCTTTGACTCCCTGTGATTTCATCTCTGAGCCAACCAATCAGTGCTCCCAACTCACTGGTCCCCTACCCACCAAATTATTAAAAATTCTAATCCCTGAATTCTCAGGGACACTTATTTGAATAATAATAAAACTCCAATCTTTCATGTAGCTGGCTCTGCATGAATTAAACTCTTTCTCTATTGCAATTAACCTGTCTTGATAAATTGGCTCTGTCTAGGCAGTGGGCAAGGAGAACTCCATGGACAGTTATAGTCTCTACAAAAAAATTTTTTAAAATTAGCCAGGTATGGTGGCATGTGGCTATAGTCCCAGCTACTCAGGAGGCTAAGGCAGGAGGATAACTTGGGCCCAGGAGTTCTAGACTACAACAAGAGCTATGATGATGCTACTGTACTCTAGCCTAGGAAACAGAGCAAGACTCTGTCTCTAAAGAAGTTTTTTAAATTAAATTTAATTTAAAAAATTAAAAATTTTATTTAGGCTGGGCATGGTGGCTTACGCCTGTAATCCCAGCAATTTGGGAGGCTGAGGTGGGCGGATCATCTGAGGTCGGGAGTTCGAGACCAGCCTGACCAACATGGAGAAACCCCGTCTTTACTAAAAATACCAAAAAAAAAATTAGCCAGGTGTGGTGGTGCATGCCTGTAATCCCATCTACTTGGGAGGCTGAGGCAGGAGAATCGCTTGAACCCAGTAGGAGGAGGTTGCGGTGAGCCGAGATTGTGCCATTGCACTCCAGCCTGGGCAACAGGAGTGAAACTCTGTCTAAAAAAAAAAAATTATTTAAAGAAACTTGCTGTTTTACTTAAATGTAATCAAAAGGGAAATTTTTATTATTTATTTATTTATTTACTTTTTTTGAGATGGAATTTCACTCTTGTTGCCCAGGCTGGAGGGCAATGGCTCCATCTCAGCTCACTGCAACATCTGCCTCCCAGTTACAAGCAATTCTTCTGCTTCAGCCTCCCGAGTAGCTGGGATTACAGGCATGTGCCACTATGCCCGGCTAATCTTGTATTTTTAGTAGAGACAAGGTTTCCCCATGTTGGTCAAGCTGGTCTCCAACTCCCGACCTCAGGTGATCTGCCCACCTCAACCTCCCAAAATGCTGGGATTACAGGTGTGAGCCACCGTGCCCAGCCCAAAAGGGAAATTTTATATCAATATTATAAATAGAAAAACCACTGTCACTTGCCTTTATTGATTGAACTAAGCATATTAATATTCGAAATAAAAAATATTGTTTTGTGAATCCTTTAGTATGATCTTGGGAACCATCTTTTGGGAAACATTACTTCTCATTCAGCACTTTCTTCACCTAATACACTGGCCATTTGCTTGGCATACAAGAATTTCTGATTCTCCCTGTCCTTCCCCTTCTCAAGGGCTGAGATGCTGTGTCCTATGGAAAGTGAAATTCCTTCAGTTCTATTAAAGGAAACTAAATATGGCCTGAGAAGGACTCCATACTTCTATATGTAAGTCCTTGTGGATGAACTGCAACCTAATTTAATAGGTAGACAAGATTGAAAACCTAACTTAGGAGTATGCCCCTGTAACAATCGCTGAATCTTGTCCAGTCCCAGTGGCCATACTTTAACCAGTCATACACTGATGAGTGCTCAAACTGTGATCAAATGAGGCAAACGCTGAGCTGTAATCAATCCAGCTGTTTCTGCACCTCATTTCCAATTTCTGCCCGTCACTTTACTTTTTTTATCTATAAATTTGTTCTGACCATGAGGCACCCCTGGAGTCACTCTGAATCTGCTGTGATTCTGGGGGCTGCCCAATACACCAATCGTTCATTGCTCAGTTAAACTCCTTTAATTCTGCTGAAGTTTTTTTTCTTTTAACAGTCCTGGTTAATGTGAATTTATCTTGGGTCAGCTCAGAAGGCTCCAGCAGAGCCCCTGGGTGCCCAGGTGTGCCCTGGGCTGCTCTTGGGGTGGGGCCTGTGGTTGTTCTCATTCCATTGCATTGCGTGGCTGCCCACCCCAGGGTGAGTCCACCATAACCTACCTCTGAGCACAGGCATTCAATTTTTTTTTTTTTTTAAGATGGAGTCTCCCTCTGTCACCCAGTGCAATGGCTTGATCTTGGCTCACTGCAACCTCTGCCTCCCAGGTTCAAGCAATTCTCCCACTTCAGCCTCCCGAGTAGTTGGGATTACAAGTGTGCACCACCATGCATGGCTAATTTTTGTATTTTTTGGTAGAGATAGGGTTTCACCATGTTGGCCAGGCTGGTCTCAAACTCCTGACCTCTACTGATTTGCCCACCTCGGCCTCCCAAAGTGCTGGGATTACAGACGTGAGCCACTGCACCTGGCCAGCATTCAATTTTTATGATTTGTAAATTTCACTACTCAGAAAACCAGGATAATGACTCAGGTGAATACTCAGACCCTTCTGTAAAAGAAAAACACAATGAAACATTTTGTTATTATATACCATGCAATTGTTTCCAATTAGCCCAGGATTCATGCTGCATGTTATAGAACACAAAGTATCTCTAAACAGTCTAGAAAGACTTCTCGTACAGTATACTGCGTAATTATATTATTGCTGCTGATTTGTAATTTTCATTATAAACAAGTTTGCTGAGAGGTTCATAACTCCGCCTTAGCTTTCATAAAGCGTCTTTTTGGCAGGTACGAGTGGAATTGGATGCAAATCCACACTCTAAATTAAGTGAGAACTTGCTAAGTCACTTTATTTAGATCAAGGAGGGATTTTGATCAGTG
Source organism: Homo sapiens (assembly GCF_000001405.40). Taxonomy (NCBI): domain Eukaryota; kingdom Metazoa; phylum Chordata; class Mammalia; order Primates; family Hominidae; genus Homo; species Homo sapiens. The sequence goes on along the minus strand of NC_000010.11, from coordinate 74,767,840 downwards.
TTTGGAGAGAGTACAGACGCTTTTTGGTCCTGCCACTTCCCATAACTATACACAGCTATTTTATCAGGAGAAACTGGTTCCCAGGGGTAAGCCCTGCTGAAAACTGGAGGGTGCCTCTCCTCTGGGATGCTGAGGGCAGAGCTGCCAGGTGACAGGTGGCTGGGAACCTGCTATCCTGCACTCTGCCTGGGGAGAGCTGAAGCCTGAGATGTGCCTCTGGCTCTTCCCTGCTCCCTGGCCAAGCTCACTGCAGTTCGGTACCAGCATGGGGTGGTCTGAAATGTCAGCAGGCCTGGGTCTCTTGGCCACACACCCTCCAGACTCCCACATCTTCCGTCCTTGACTTCTGCAGAGTTTGGCTAGAAGGATTGTAGGGGCCCTTGTGAGAGGGACACATCATCCTCTGGCCAATCTGAGTGGCTAGTAACTCTGCCAGTGTCCCCAAGTGACCAGTGACTGTGGTAAATAAAACACACTCCATCAGGCCAGGTGTGCTGGCTCACGCCTGTAATTCCAGCACTTTGGGAGGCTGAGGCAGGAGGATCGCTTGAGCTCAGGAGTTTGAGACCAGTCTGGGCAACATAGTGAGACCCCCGTCTCTACCAAAAAAAAAAAAAAAAAAAAAAAAAAAAAAAAAAAAGCCAAGTGTGGTGGTAGGCACCTGTAGTACATGGGAGGCTGAGGTGGGAGGATCACTTGAGCCCAGGAGGTAGAGGCTGCAGTGAGCCATGATTGTGCCACTGCACTCCAGCCTGGGTGACAGAATGAGACCCTGTCTCAAAACAAAAACAAAGACAAAAACCACAGTCACTAATTCTGAAATATAAAGCCTAAGAATTTCATCCAGACTCTCTCAACGAATGTTAGCCAGAAGTTTCTCTTGAGGGCTCCAGTGAAGCCCGTGATAAAGTGGTTTTCTGCTTCCCTGGTGTGGGTGTTCCCAGGTGGGTGTGAAGGGGAGGTGCCCCTGGGCACCTTTTGTTTTTGTTTATCCTTTTGAGCATTTTTGTTCCTCGGGCACAGCAGCTCAATGACTGCACAAGGGACAAGGGACAGCCGCAGCTCTGCTGGGGTCTGAGTCATTTTCGTGTTCATGTAGGAATAATTCCTCTCATTGTTAACACCCTGGTGATTCCCGCTTCTCCCTACTCCAGACGCCGGAGTCCTAGGTGTTGCAGCAGCTGCAGTTTCCTGGGCTGGTGCCTTTCCTCATTCTGTTTCATCTGGAAAAATCCATTCCTGTTTTCAACTGCCAATCTCAGATTCAAAATGCCCATCTCCTCCTGTTTTTGAATCTCAGATTTTGAATCTCAGATTCAAAATGTCCACCTCCTCCCGTTTCTGCTACACCTTCCCTCACTCTGTGATCTACCCGCTGGGCTGTGTGCACCTCGAGAATAAGACCTGTGTCACCTCTGTCCTGGATCCCTCCGCAAGGGGCTGAGTTTATCATTTGTTGAATTAAACCAAATTGCATCCATTTTTGCTTACTTATTGTTTCCCCATTTGAATCTTAGTTTTGATCGTCACCACTCTGGACTTTCTATTCATTCATCTCTTCATTCACGGAACATGTATTGAGTGCTTTCCAAGGGTCAGGCACCGGTCTAGGCACTGGGGAGGTTCCAGTGAACAAAACTCTGTCCCAGGTGCCAAGCAGACCCCAGTGCAAGGGGAGGGCTGGGCGGGAGTACAGGGCCCACTGTGGGAGGGGCTGCAGATCCACTGGGAGAAGGCAGGAGGCTTTCCAGGGAAGGCAGTGTCCAGGCTGAGAATCCTGGAAGCTGGAGTCTGGTCCCCAAGAGGTCCTGTGACCTCCTGCTCTCCCCTCTCACCCTCCTGCTCTTCTTGGTCTTTTTCAGTGTCAATGACGTTGGCAAGGTTTTGTCCTGGACCTCGTCCTCCTCCCTGGCTGGACTCTCACCTCGATGCAGGTGACTTCTCGCTGTGTCTCTAAGCCCCAGGCTTCTTCTGTAAGGGCCAGGGGTACATTCTAACAGCAGGCTGGATCCAGCTTCCTCCAGACATTATGCTGTTTCCTCACGATTCAGCACATCTGAAACAGACTGTGGCATTTCTCTTCTGAGTTCTTGCTCCTGAGACATTCAGGTAACCGTGGTTATGTTCTGGAGCCTGGGTCTGGAATCAGGTAGAAGGCACTGCCGCTGGCTTCTGTCTTTTTACACAACCCAGTACAAAGTCTACCTGAGCCATATTCTCTCTACTCACAGACATTCCTTGGTGATAAACGTAACTATGCTGTTTGATTATTTGTCCCTGTCTTTTTTTGTTTGTTTCGTTTTTAGGGACAGGGTCTTGCTCTGTCACCCAGGCTGGAGTGCAGTGGCGCCACTATAGCTCACTGTATCCTCCAACCCATGAGCTCAAGCCATTCTCCCATCTTAGCCTCCTGAGCAGCTGGGATCACAGGTGCATGCCACTACACCTGGCTAACATTTTAATTTTTGGGGGAGGTGGGAATCTCACTACATTGCCCAGGCTGGTCTCAAACTCCTGGTGTCAGGTAATCCTCCCACCTCGTCATCCCAAAGCACTGGGATTATAGGCCTGAGCCACCACACCTGGCCTATTTGTCTCTGTTCTTAGGTAATGGTTCCTATCATGTTATATCAAGAAGTAACCTACTTCTCAGAGATGGCCTGACAATTGCGTGAGGGTGCTGTGGCTGAGCCCTGTTGTCTGAATGCCAGTCGCCTCTGGCAGTTTAGGGGAGTTGTTAAGATTATTCACCAAGTACTTCCAGCCCCCTGCATCTCCTGGGACATGGTAGAATTGCATTTTGGACCCTCTTGTGGTTGGGTGGGGTGTGTCACTTGTTCTGGCCAATGAGTCCTGCGTGGAAGGAAGTACTGTGTGTCCCTGGGCTGTGGCATTTAATTTGCAGGCAAGAGCCTTCCAAGACTCCCTTTTCCATGGCGAATGGCAACGTTTGAGATGACAGCTGCTTCCCCAGCCTGGGTCCCAGAATGAGGAGACATGACACCATGGTCCCAGCCAACCCATGATACACAAAGAGCTTGAGTGAGAAATAAACCTTTGTTGTTATAAACCACTGAGGTTGGGGCTGTTTGCACCTGACTCGTGCAAAGTGAAGCTCTATTTAGCATCTTTTATATTTCAAGTAGGCATGAGTTTTTATAAGCAAATAGCTGACATATCCATTTCCATAAACATTGTAAATGAAATGCCCGAAAGCAATAGGTTTCTCTTCAAACAATGGTTGAAAATATATGCACGTCGATAGCATATTTTACACAAAGCTAACCTGGGTGAAAGCAATGTGTGTTCCATACTTAATGAATAAATAAGTTAGGTTTCTTTAAGGGACCACATTGATTGTTAAGTTCGCCTTAAGTTCAAGCCGCCTCTGCTGGGACACCGCACTGACTTGACCTACTGAGCCAGCAGGGGGTGGCCGCCCCCGGCTCCATCGTCCCATGGTCACTCGCTGTAATAATTCAGCAGCCTGTTTCAACTGGTGTCGCCTCTCTGATCTTTCATCTTTCTTTTCCTCGTGCCAATGTGCCACTGGAATTTCCAGTTAGAAGGGCCCCTTGCGGTCACATACCCAGAACGGAGGAAGGGAAATTTGTGTGGCCATCATTTAGGGGCAGAGGACAGATGCCTGGAATCTGGGCAAGGAGAGTCTTTGCAGATACTAACATGGACCAGGCCTCATCCCCTCAGCCTGGAGTGCGGCCCCGGCTGCCTGGGCTTCCCCCACCCTCAGGGCTTTGCTCAAATGCAGCCCTTTCTCCCAGCGAGGCCTCCCCTGACCCCCAGATTTAAAATTGCAGCTGCTCCCTCACTCTGCTTAAGGCTCTGCATCCCCTGCCTTGTGTCTCCTCCACAGCACCGTCTCCTGAGCACACACTGTATCATTTCCTAATTTATTATGGTTATTGTTTCTTTCCCTCCTTCCTAGAACATAAGCACTACAAAAGCAGGAAATTTTGTGGTTTTGTGTCTTGGACCCCAACAGCCTGTCCAGGTTGTTGTCCAAAACAGTGCCTGGCACAAAAGAGACACTTAACAAATATTTGTTGAGGCCGCACACGGTGGCTCATGCTTGTAATCCCAGCACTTTGGGAGGCTGAGGCAGGTGGATCACCTGAGGTCAGGAGTTCGAGACCAGTCTGGCCAACATGAGGAAACCCCATCTCTACTAAAAATACAAAAATTAGCTGGGTGTTGTGGCAGGTGCCTGTAATCCCAGCTGCTGGGGAGGCTGAGGCAGGAGAATTGCTTGAACCCAGGAGGCAGAGGTTGTGGTGAGCCAAGATCGCGCCATTGCACTCCAGCCTGGGCAACAAGAGTGATACTCCATCTCAAAATAAATAAATAAATAATAAATATTTGTTGAATGAATAAATAGGGTGGAGCCCACGCACTGGTGATTTTGATGGGCTCCCCAAGTGGTTCCAAGCAGAGCAGGGTGGAGAGCCAGTGCCCCACAGTCCCTCGTTCACCTGCAGCGTGCAGAGAGCTTGCTCTTTTCTCGATTTGATCTAAGTGGCCAGGCATTTTCTGGTTTATTCCTGCCAAGAAGGGACAATATCCCTGCCACAGCCTTGGTAGAGCAAGAAGATGGAGTCTTTGGGAGGGAGCCCCTGAGGGCTTCTCTCTATGTGTTCATGTTTTAAATGGACACACATCAAAAAGAAATACAAATTGTGGTGATATGAAACAATTTTTAGTGACTATTAAATTTGGCATTGGAAGTGGAGGACACTTTTCTTTTCTTTTTTTTTTTTTTTTGAGACAGAGTCTCCCTCTGTGGCCCAGGCTAGAGTGCAGTAGCACAATCTTGTCTCACTGCAACCTCCGCCTCCTGGGTTCAAGTGATTCTCCTGCCTCAGCCTCCCAAGTAGCTGGGACTACAGGCACGTGCCACCACGCTCGGCTAATGTTTGTATTTTTAGTAGAGATGGGGTTTCACCATATTTAGCCAGTCTGGTTTCGAACTCCTGACATCCTGATCCACCCGCCTCAGTTTCCCAAAGTGCTGGGATTACAGGTGTGAGCCACCGTGCCCAGCTGTGGACACTTTTTCTCTCTAATTGCATCTCTGGAGCAGAGGTCTCCCTGGCTGCCCATGACTGTCAGGGCAGCATCGGATGCCTGTGGTGGCAGTGGTCTTGTTCTGAACCTTGGAGTAGCAACAGGGAGACACAGTTTATCCTTTGCAAGAGAGGACAGACACATCACTGTTGGCAAGCACACAGACTCCTTGCTAAATTTCAATTTTAAAATTTCTTTTATTTAAAGAGTACCATTTGCTGCAGAGCACAGTGGCTCATGCCTGTAATCCCAGTACTTTGGGAGGCTGAGGCGAGCAAATCACCTGAGGTCAAGAGTTCGAGACCATCCTGACCAGCATGGTGAAACCCCATCTACACTAAAAATACAAAATTAGCCAGGCGTGATGGTGGGCGCCTGTAATCCCAGCTACTCGGGAGGCTGAGGCAAGAGAATCACTTGAACCCAGGAGGCAGAGGTTTCAGTGAGCGGAGATCGTACCACTGCACTCCAGCCTGAGTGACAGAGTGAGACCCTGTCTCTAAATAAATAAATAGTACCATTTGCTAATAATTTTTTGCCTGATTATGTTACAGTGTTTATATATATATATATATATAGAATTTTTTTTTTTTTTAGACAGAGTCTTGTTCTGTTGCCCAGGCTGGAGTGTAGTGGCGTGGTCTCAGATCACCTGCAACCTCTGGCTCCTGGGTTCAAGCAGTTCTCGTGCCTCAGCCTCCCTGAGTAGCTGGGATTACAGGTGTGAGCCACCATGCCCAGCCTGAATCTCATTACTTTCTAAGTGATGTATTTGATTAGTGGATGGCTTGGTAATAATAATAATAACAACAATAATAACCACTATATTCTGAGCCTTTATATTGTGGTAAGATCTTCTCCTAACTCTTAACAACTATCAGAGGGAGTCATTGTTACTCCATTTTTCAGAGAAGCACAGATAAGTTATTTGCTGAAAGTCACACAGTTATTTTAACCACAGGATCTAGGTTCAGACCAGGTCTTCTGACTTCAAAATCTGTGTTCCTAATTGCTCTACTCTTTCCAGATATGCTGTTGTCAATAGAGAACAGATTTGGGGCCAGACGCGGTGGCTCACACCTGTAATCCCAGCACTTTGGGAGGCCAAGGCTGGCAGATCACCTGAGGTCAGGAGCTCGAGACCAGACTGACCAACATGGAGAAACCCCGTGTCTACTAAATTCAAAATTAGTTGGGCACGGTGGCGCATGCCTGTAATCCCAGCTACTTGGGAGGCTGAGGCAGGAGAATCGCTTGAACCTGGGAGGTGGCGGAGGTTGCGGTGAGCCGAGATCACACCATTGCACTCCAGCCTGAGCAACAAGAGCAAAACTCCGTCTCAAAAAAAAAAAAAAAAGAACAGATTTGGTTCTCTTCTTTTCCGTGGTCACAGAGGAGGAACTGCCCTTGTGGGACTATGCTACCATTTCTGGGACTATGCTACCATTTGTAACCAATGGGCTGTGAGTGGAACTTCCAGGCTGAGGCATTTAAAAGCAAGTATGAGTTTTCTACTCTCTCTTTTTCCCTGTTGTGGTAGTTTGGAAGCAATGATCAGAGATGGTGAAGTTATAAGATGAAAGGTGAGCCGGGTGCGGTGGCTCACGGCTGTAATCCCAGCGCTTTGGGAGGCTGAGGCGGGCAGATCACCTGAAGTCAGGAGTTTGAGACCAGCCTGGCCAACATGGTGAAACCCCATCTCTACCAAAAATACCAAAAAGTTAGTCAGGCGTGGTGGCAGGTGCCTGTAATCCCAGCCACTTGGGAGGCTGAGGCAGGAGAATTGCTTGAACCTAGGAGGCAGAGGTTGCAGTGAGCAGAGATCACGCCATTGCACTTCAGCCTGGGTGACAGAGCGAGACTGTATCTCAAGAAAAAAAAAAAAAAAAAGAAATAGATGAAAGGTGCCTGGATCCCTTAGTCACCACATGGCAAATAGCATCCTGGCCTGCATTGAACTTTGAATGAGCAAGATACAAACTTTTATGTGTTAAGCTGTTGAGAGTTCAAGCTCTGTTTGTTCTTGTGGTGTAGACTACCCCATCCTATGAAAGCTGAATATCAGTGCCTCCATTTATTATTATTATTTTTTCATGTTTATATAGTTTTATTTATTTATTTATTTTTTCTTCAACTTTTCTTTTTAGTTCAGGGGTACATGTGCAGGATATGCAGGGTTGTTATCTAGGTAAATGTGCGCCGTGGTGGTTTGCTGCATAGATCGTCCTGTCACCTAGGTATTAAGCCCAGCATCCATTAGCTATTCCTCCTGATGCTCTCCTTCTTCCCAACCCCCATAGGTGCCCAGTGTGTGCTGTTCCCCTCATGTGTCCATGTGTTCTCATCATTCAGCTCCCACTTATAAGTGAGAACATGTGGTGTTTGGTTTTTTCTTCCTGCGTCAGTTTGCTGCAGATAATGTCTTCCAACTCCATCCACGTCCCTGCAAAGGACATGATCTCATTCCTTTTTATGGCTGCAATGCCTTCATTTATTTTCCTCTGGATTGGAGTTCTGCCCTCTAGGGCTATACATAAGGATATGCCACATTGTCTTACTGTCAGATTGTTTTATTTGCTGTTATATTCTATGTGTTAGTCTTGTGGCATTGATTAGTTATGATATCCTTAGCTGGTCAGATATTGTGTTTTATACTTCTGTCTTTCTTTCTTTCTTTTTTGAGATGGCGTTTTGCTCTTGTTGCCCAGGCTGGAGTGCAATGGCGCGATCTCGGTTCACTGCAAGCTCTGCCTCCTGGGTTCAAGCAATTTTCCTGCCTCAGCCTCCCGAGTAGCTAGGATTACAGGCATTCGCCACCACGCCCAGCTAATTTTGTATTTTTAGTAGAGACAAGTTTTCTCCGTGTTGGTCAGGCTGGTCTTGAACTCCCGATCTCAGGTGATCCACCTGCCTCAGCCTCCCAAAGTGCTGGGATTATAGGCGTGAGCCACCGTGCCTGGCTGTATTTTACATTTCTTTGTTGTTGTTGTATTTATTTATTTATCTATTTATTTATTTATTTATTTAGAGACAGGGTCTCATCTGCCGCCCAGTCTGGAGTGCAGTGGTGTGGTCTCAGCTCACTTCAACCTCTGTCTCTCAGGCTCAAGGGATCCTCCCTCCTCAACCTCCAGAGTAGCTGGGACTAGACTACAGGGGCACACCACCACACTCGTCTAATTTTTTTTGTAGAGACGGGGCCTCACTGTGTTGCCCAGGCTGCTCGTTAGCCCCTGGCTTCAAGCAATCCTCCTGCCTCGGCCTCTCAAAGAGCTGGGATTATAGGCATGAGCCACCATGCCCGGCCTATATTTGTTCTTTATCCTAGAAGCTCTAAGCACAAAGTTAGTTCTATAGCAGTGCTGGTGAATTATTGAATCTATATTATCCAGAAAAAATCTATTTGCAGCCAGGCACGGTGGCTCACACTTGTAATCCCTGCACTTTGGGAGGCCGAGGTGGATGGATCACCTGAGGTCAGGAGTTCGAGACCAGCCTGATCAGCATGATGAAACCCCCGTCTCTACTAAAAATACAAAAAATTAGCTGGGCGAGGTGGTGTGTGCCTGTAATTCCAGCTACTCAGGAAGCTGAGGCAGGAGAATCACTTAAACCCGGGAGGCTGGGGTTGCAGTGAGCCAAGATGGTGCCACTGCACTCCGACCTGGGCAACAAGAACAAAACCCCATCTCAAATAAAACAAAAAAACACAAAACTTTTGCATTTACTCTGGTTTTAAAATGTTAATATTCGGTAGACTTTTAAGTTCAGTTGAAAACCGTATTCTATTTATAAGTCTAGGTAATTTTAGCAATTACTTTTAAGGAGTTTTAAAATAATAATTTGGTCCCATTTACTCATTCAGTTAAATGCCTTCAATCATTTAAAACTTAATTTATAAATGTAATATATTTAATTTCCTTTTAAAAGTACATAATTCAATACAAAAATTAGCCGGGCATGGTGGTGCACGCCTGTAATCCCAGCTACTCAGGAGGCTGAGACAGGAGAATCACTTGAACCCGGGATTCAGAGGTTGCAGTGAGCTGAGATTGCGCCACTGCACTCCAGCCTGGGTGACAGAGCGAGACTCCGTCTCAAAAAAAAAAAAAAGTACATACTTCAATTGTCTAACTGACAAATGCTCCCAAGTACCTAATTTTTATAAATCTAATAAATTAAACATATAGCGGTATAGTGAACCTAATTTCCCTGAAATGTTTCACTACTGTATATAAATTTAGTAAGGTTTTTACTTAAAAACCACAAATCAATTCCTTGATGACACGTTTTTGATACAGATACAAACTCATAGAACAGTTGAAAGTACAGTACAAAGAACTTTTTTTTTGAGACGGAATCTCACTCTGGGCAGTGCATCTTGGTTCATTGCAGCCTCTGCCTCCCAAGTTCAAGTGATTCTCCTGCCTCAGCCTCCTGAGTAGCTAGGATTATAGGTGCCGGCCATCACACCCAGCTAATTTTTGTATTTTTAGTAGAGATGGGGGTTTCACCATGTTTCCCGGGCTGGTCTCGAACTCCTGGACTCAAGTGATCCTCCCACCTCGGCCTCCCAAAATGCTGGGATTACAGGTGTGAGCCACTGCGCCTGGCTTAGAAAGAACTTTTTATCTGAACCATTTGAGAGGATTGCTAACCTAATACTCCATCACCTGTGAATATATAGTGTCTGTTTCCTGGAAACAAGGACATTCTCCTGTATAACCACAACACAACCATTAAAATCAGGAGATTAACATGATACATTACTATCATTAGATCCTAATACCACATCCAAGTTTTACCATTAGTCCTAACAATGCCCTGTACAGCAGGCAGATCCAGCTCAGAATCCCGTATAGCATTTAGTTGTCATGTCTCTCCCTTCTCTTTCAGTCTGGAATAGTTCCTCAGCCTCATGTCCTTGATATTTTTGAAAGGTACAGGCCAATTATTTTGCAGAATATTTCTCGCTTTGGGTATGTCTGATCCTCATGATCAGATTCAGGTTATCCGTCAGGCAGAAAAATGACAGAAATGATGCTGTATTCTTTATTGCATCTTATCGACTGGTGCATGATTTCGGTTTTTCTCATTATTAATGATGTTGACTAAGATCATTTGATTAAGATGGTGTCTGTCATTTCTTTCTGCTGTAAACTTAACTTTTTATTCTCTTTGTAACTAATCAGTATTTTGCAAAGATGTATTTTGAAGCTATGCAAATATCCCATTTTTACTAAAAATGCAAATAAAACTTTCAATTAATTAATCTATCTATGTTTGAGTTATAATCTACTACTATCATTATTTTGAATCTCATATTGTCTCTCATCAAGCTGGCTTGTTCCTTTTTTTTTGAGACAAAGTCTTGCTCTCTCACCCAGGCTGGAGTGCAGTGACATGATCTCAGCTCACTGCAAACTCTGCCTCCTGGTTCAAGCGATTCTCGTGCCTCAGCCTCCTGAGTAGCTGGCATTACAGATGCATGCCACTATGCCGGGCTAATTTTTGTATTTTCAGTAGAGATGGGGTTTCACCATGTTGGCCAGGCTGGTCTTCAACTCCTGACCTCAAGTGATTTGCCCGCCTCAGCCTCTCAAAGTGCTGGGATTACAGGTGTCAGCCACCGAACCCAGCTTGGCTTGTTCCTTTTGACATGCCTCCATAATTTTTTTTGTTTTTGAGTAATTGTGTGCTTTCTGGAAAAATAAGATGTTTCAGGTTTATATTGCACTTTGCCTGCCTTAACCCTGGAAGCATCCATTTCTCCAAGGAGCTGTGGAAAATAGTATTTAAGGCCAAGACCTGTGCTCCAGGGGGCCCATTGTTGTTGGAGTGATGCTGCTCCTGGGTCCCCTCAGTGACAGAAACAGAGAGCACCCTGGCTTCCATTGCCCTCAATATGTTTACTTATTTCGTTTTTTCTTTCCTTTTTCTTTTATTTTTCTTTTTTTTGGCGGGGGACAGAGTTTTGCTGTTGTTGCCCCTGGAGTGCAATGGCGTGATCTTGGCTTACCACAACCTCCACCTCCTGGGTTCAAGCAGTTCTCCTGCCTTAGCCTCCTGAGTAGCTGGGATTACAGGTGCACCCCACCACGCCAGGCTAATTTTTGTATTTCTAGTAGAGACGGGGTTTCACCATGTTGGTCAGGCTGGTCTTGAACTCCTGACCTCAGGTGACCTGCCCGCCTTGGCTTCCCAAAGTGCTGGAGTTACAGGCGTGAGCCACCGTACCGGGCCATGTTTACTTATTTCATCACCACCTATGTGTGTGATGAATCTCCCACCTGAGCTGCCACTGGCTTTTCCCTGTATGCACTCTGACTCCGTACTCTGAACCACTGCCGCATGGATCCTCTCCTCCCCTCTTTACCCTGCTTGGGATCTGACACTCTGGGCTGGGCCGTGGCAGTTCCTCACTCTCCTGCAGATACAGTAGATTTCCATTACTCATAGCAACTGCATTTGATAAGGTCACCACAGACACTGAATTAGTGAATACTGAACCATTGCGCCTAGGGGAGATACAGGGTTAGCTTCCTGAGAGTCTCTGGTCACAAGAGTTTTGTCAACTGATTAATATATGACTTTATTTTACGTGCATTTATGATTTTTTGGGTTTTCTTTTATTTTGTTTTATTTTTGGAGAAGTGGGGTCTTGCTCTGCCCAGGCTAGAATGCAGTGGTGGCGCAATTATGGCTCACTGCTGCCTCAACCTCCCAGGCTCAAATGATTCTCCCACCTCAGCCTCCTGAGTAGCTGGGACCACAGGTGTGCACCACCATACCCAGCTAATTTTTAAATTTTTTTTGTAGCGATGGAGTCTTTATGTTGCCCAGGCTGGTCCCGAACTCCTGGGCTACAGTAATCCTCTTGCCTTGGCCTCCCAAAGTGCTGGCATTACCGGCATAAGCCACTGCTCCCAGCTGTGTAGTTCTGTTTAAAGATGCCTTATTAATAAATATTGTTGATTCATTAACATTGAATTAAGTCAACCGCACTATAGCTCTTGCCTGAACAAAGTTCATCTAACACATGTATTTTCTCCGGAAGGTGCATCACAGTCTTTCTGCACTTAGGATCGCTAGACAGCACTTCAGCCGTGCACGTGGGGACCATTTTACACAGCACCATCCCCAAGAAAAAGGACAAAAATATGAAAAACCTGGCACTAAATGGACTGTGAAAAGGACATTTCTTCACAAAATGACAGTTGAAACAGGAAGTCAGAGCGTTGCCTTGTTCAGCCTCTGCTAGAAATGTGCTTGTCGGTTGACTCAAATTTTTTGCCGCTCTGTGCATGTTGGTGAATATCTGCAAAAGGACTGTGGGTCGGGCGCAGTGATTCATGCCTATAATCTCAGCACTCTGAGAGGCCGAGGCGAGAGGATTGATTGAGGCCAGGGGTTCAAGACCAGCCTGGTCAATGTAGTAAGATTACATCTCCACAAAAAATAAAAAACTAGCTGGGCCTGTTGGCATAAGCCTGTAATCCCTGCTTCTCCAGAGGCTGATGAGGTAGAATCCCTTGAGCTCAGGAGTTTGAGGCTGCAGTGAGCTATGACTGCATCACTGCACTCCAGCCTGGGACACAGAGCAAGACCCTGTCTGAACAAATTAAAATAAATAAATAAATAGGGCATGGTGGCTTATGCCTGTAATCCCAACACTGTGGGAGGCTGAGGCAGGAGGATTATTTAAGCCCTGGAGTCTGAGACTAGCTTGGACAATGTAGTGAGACCTCTACTCTATAAAACATAAAAATAAAAAATAAAATAAATAATAGCCAGTTTGAAAAATGCTTACCCAGTAAGGGAATTATTATCTTATCTCACACAATTTTGGGGGTTATCGTCTCATATTATTTTTGAGGTTGCCTCATTGACTTGCACTGCTTGAGGTTGCAAAACTACTGAAGAAGTGGGCTACTGGTAGGATTCTTGCTGGTGACGCTGACAGGCTGCTGGGAATCAGTGTGTACGGGAGCTGGCTGTGCAATCTCTTCCCAGCTCTACATTCTGGGCCTACCTTCTGGGTAGTTTGAAATTGGCCATGGTGGGTGTATTTACACCACAGAAATCTGCAAATGCCTCAAGTCAGGGCTTTTTCTTGGAAGAACTGGTGGTTAAACCGTAACCAGCACGCCATTGCCGTGAGCTCTATTTATAGATGCTGAATCAATGACTTCATAACCCAAGAAAGGAACGCTCATACAGCCAGAGACCCTTCTAACCTCTCCTTGCACGAGTCTTCATGCCTTATATCACTTGTTTGGATACTGCATTTCTTCGGCTCTTAAGATATGTAACCCCAGCTCTAAAAGCTTAAATTTGATGGCTTCCTGCATGCTTCCTAGGACCACACAACTATTACAGCTATAGAAATAAAATCTGACTGAGTCTGGGCCCTCTAAGCTTTGTTCAGTGACCTGAAGGTCACTCCATGTTCCACAGCCCCTACCCCCAACCTCCAAGCTAGCACGCATCCCCCTGCAGCACCCAGAGCCGGGTCCTCATGTAAACTTTCATCACCTCTTTTTTTCTGTTTAGGGTCCAGACAAGGGTTTCTTTTGCAGACAAGTCCCCTGGCCTCCCAGCCTGGGGTGCAGGCACCCGTCTGCCCCGCCTGCAGGTCTCCTTGAGCCGGGTAAGTCACTGCAGCCCGTTCCTTCAACACCTGGCAGCAGCATGCGGACAAAGAACTCATGCTGTTGTGCTGAGCCTGGTGATTCAGGCTGTAAAACTGCAGGCCAAGTTGTTAAACCCAGATTCAGGTAGACAGCCAAGCAGGGCCAAGGCTGCCCTGCATCTGGGTTTTGGCAGACAGAGCAGTTTCCCCATCTGTGGGGGCCTTGGTGTGGCCTTTCCCTCCAGGAGGCAATGTCGGTATAATTTATTGGGCCATAATTGTTGAAAGGAGCAGTCCTTCAGGCCATTCATTCAGGCCAAAAATATTTCTTTATTGAGCGTTCCCAGTGTTCTCAGCCTTGTGCTATGTGGTGGGGGTGGGGTGTGTGTGTTGGGGAAGTCACGAAAGAGACCAAATCCCACTCGTTCTGCAGCAACGGAGTGGCAATGGCAAGCAGGGCTTGCTACACACCCCGCGCAGAGGCGGCAAGTCCTGCTGGAGAGTCTCAAAGGAAGAGCTCCTCCAGTGGCCTTGAATTTTGCCAGGTTTTGCAGGACGAGTGGGATTTAGTCCATGAAGAGTCCGGCAAGGGCACCGCCCCTGGGGAATCAAAGCACAGGATGGGTGGGGAAGGGCCCAGGCTCGCCCAGGGAGTGGTGAGTCCTATGTGTGGACAGGCAGGGCCCTGGAGAAGGTCTCCTGAGAGACAAGCTGGAGATGTGGCACGGCCACCTGGGAGAGGACTCTTCAATGACAGGATAGAGTTTGGACTTTGTTCTGTAAGATACAAGGGACCTCACTGAAAGTTTTTGAGGAGAGGAGTGGCATGACCCGCTCCATGTCACACGAAGGCAAGCTGGTGTTTCCACTCTCAACGCGAGAGGAGTTTTCTCCAAGAGGAGCATAGCGATGTGCTGCCGATATCAGGCCGGGGGGTGTGAATGAAGGAAGAGGGTTGGGTGTGTGTTCAAGAGCATCTCTTTTGTACTCACCGGGTTGTTTCCATTGTCCTGCTGCCACCATCTGTAGGAGATGTCAGAGATAACAGTGTGATTCCTAATAATCATTGTAGCAATGATAATAGTAACCACAAAAATAATCAGTATAGGTGAATTGTATTAAGTAATCTCTATGTGCTAGGCCCTGAGCTAAATACACCACATGAATGATTGTGTAAAATACTTACGTCAACCCTATGAAGTAGACATTATTATTTTCCCCATTTTACAGATGAGAAAAACCAAAGCACAGAGAAGTAAGTGCACTTGTGCAATGTCACACAGCCAGGGAATGGAAAAGGGAAGGCAACAACCCAGCATTGTCTGACTCCAGAGCCTGAGCTCTGTTCCCCTCCACTATAGCCCTTTCTGAGATGCAGCACTTCCTCTAGAAAGCACTCTCCAGTGTATCTGGGCAGGATGGGCAGTGGGAGGCTGGATGTCAACCTGGGGAGGTGGTTTAGTAAGGGGTTGGAGGACTGTGTCCAGAGGGTGCTGAAGAAGCCCTTGGGCTTGTCCACCCAGCCCTGGGGTTCCACTTACGTTACTTCCTTGGCTTCTACAGGTATTTGATGTTGAGACCCTATCAACACATGCTTCCCTGGCCAGGCACGGTGGCTCACGCCTGTAACCCCAGCATGCTGGGAGGCTGAGGCAGGCAGATCACCTGAGGTCAGAAGTTCGAGATCAGCCTGGCCAACATAGTGAAACCCCATCTCTACTAAAACTACAAAAATTAGCCGGGCATTGTGGCAGGTGCCTGTAATCCCAGCTACTTGGGAGGCTGTGGCAGGAGAATTGCTTGAGCCTGGAGACGGAGGTTGCAGTGGGCTGAGATTGCACCATTGCACTTCAGCCTGGGTGACAGAGCGAGACTCTGTCTCAAAACAAAAATAAAGCAAAACACATGCTTCCCTGACTACTCACAGGTGAAGTGAAGGTGGGAGGGATAAAGCAGATGGATCACAGCAACAAGACCCAGGAAGATCCGGTCAATTGATGAGCATCTAGTGAAAGTTTAATAGGAATAATGCAAAATCTTGTAATGGTCCATGAAATCACCACACTGTACTAGTGTGGACACAGGGGTACGGCTTAATACTAATGTGATGCCAAAAAAAAAAAAGAAAAAAGAAAAGGAAACAAACACTTAACTTTTGGTTGATGAAAATCTCAATATGAATCAACAGTGTTATATGAATATCAAAAAAAAGCTGTGACTGGCACTTTGGGAGGCCGAGGTGGGAGGACACATGAGGTCAGGAGTTCGAGGCCAGCCCGGCCAACATGGTGAAACCCTGTCTCTACTAAAAATACAAAAATTAGCCAGGCATGGTGGCGCGTGACTGTAGTCCCAGCTACTCAAGAGGCTGAGGCAGGAGAATCACCTGAACCCGGGAGGCAGAGGTTGCAGTGAGCCAAGATGGCACCACTGTACTCCAGCCTGGGCAACAGAGTAAGACTCCATCTCAAAAAAAAAAAAAAAAAAAAAGCTGTGACTGCAGGCTATATCAATAGAATTATAAAGCAATTGTTTGGCTTCCACATAGACGGTATTCAAGGTGTGCTATGTAGCTCCCAGGAAGAGTATCCGTTAATTGCACAGAGTAGAGACGAAGGGAAGACAGACTTTGGCACAGGGTAGAGAAGCTGCTCGGAGGTGCCCAGATGAAATAGCAGAAAGAATACCTGGCGGGAGCCGGTGTGTTCCCGGGAAACTGGAGTGTTCAGGCTCGAACAGGATGGCTGCTTGGCAGAAAGATGGAGTAGTGAGGGAATCACTGGAAGACGATTGGGCTCAAAGAACTTCATGTCCATTTTGACCCTCACTTTCCATGATTCCATGTGCTAGAAGTCTCTTTGGGGAAAGGAAAGTGATAACCTCTGTGTGTCGTTTCAGGTGTGAGAGCTACACCTGCAGCATTAGTGCAGAAGTGAAGCCTCTGGAGAGAAAGCATTGGTTGACTGTGAAAGCACATGGGGGTATCTCCGAAAGCTGGGGGGCCCCCCTCGGTCTCACCGTCTGAGCACCCACTATGGCATTTCAGATGTGGAGAGGGCTGAGGGTGGGGCAGCGAGCCACCCCCTAGGTTTGTGGTTCTGCCAAACTTGAGAGACATGGAAATGTAGGCTTTACCGAATTAAGTGACAGCCACTCTGTATAAACAAATTGCCAGCTATGGGGAGTCCCCATGCAGCCACAAACCAAGGCTGGTAGTCTGCTCCCAGACAGGACTCTGTAAGCTGGGTTAGCAATGGTTCCATGGTACTGGATGCATATCATCGTGACGCACAGGGGCGACGCTCTGCCGTAGAAAGAATACAGGCTCCAGAAGCAGGCAGCCTGGGTTCAAATCCCAATTCACTGCTTTTTTTTTTTTTTTCTTGAGACAGGTTCTCTCTCACTTTGTCACCCAGGCTGGAGTGCAGTGGCATGATCTCGGCTCGCTGCAGACTCAACCTCCTGGGCTCAAGCAATCCTCCTGCCTCAGTTCCCCAAGTAGCTGGGGTGATTCACGGATTCTTAGCACTGTGTGGTCTAGAGCCATTTGCTTCCTCTCTTTGAGGCTCAGGTGACTCCTGTGTAAAATGAGGATAATCACATCTACATAAAAGCTAATATACATGAATTGTTTATAATAGTAGGTGATTGACAGAAAGCAATCAAAGACCTAGTTTTCTTCACAAATATTTTTAAGACCGGACCCTTTTATAAAAAAAAATTTTTACATTGCCCAGGATGGCCTTGAACTCCAGGCTGAAGTGATCCTCCCTCCTCAGCTTCCCGAGTAGCTGGGACTACAGGTGCGCACCGCTGCGCCTGGCTCAGACATTTCTTTCTTTCTTTCTTTCTTTTTTTTAAACGGAGTTTCACTCTTGTTGCCCAGGCTGGAGTACAATGGCGTGACCTTGGCTCACCACAACCTCTGCCTCCCAGGTTCAAGCGATTCTCCTGCCTCAGCCTCCCAAGTAGCTGGGATTACAGGCATGCACCACCACACCCGGCTAATTTTGTATTTTTAGTAGAGATGGGGTTTCTCCATGTTGGTCAGGCTGGTCTCGAACTCCTGACTGCAGGTGATTCGCCAGGCTCAGCCTCCCAAAGTGCTGGGATTACAGGTGTGAGCCACCGCTCCCAGCCCATTTCTTTCTTTCATCCTGTTGTGGCTTTGCCTGTGGGGCTGCTTGGATTTCAGCAGCTTTGGCCTCTAAGAAAACACATGTGAGCAGACTGGGGGGAGGGCTTAGAAGACTTGAGCTCTAATTATGGGCAGGATCAACAAGTTGTTCACATGGAATGATCATCCCTAGCAGGTTTGTTTTGTTTTGTTTGTTTGTTTGTTTGTTTGTTTGTTTGTTTTTGAGACAGGGTTTCATTCTACTGTCCAGGCTGGAGTGCAGTGGTATGATCACAGCTCACTGCAATCTCGAACTCCTGGGCTCAAGCGAGCCTCCCAGTTGGCCTCCCAAAGTGCTGGGATTACAGGCATGAGCCACCACCATGTGCGGCCTTCACTAGCAGTTTTACTAGAAAAGCCTCTCATTTGCCATCTCACTCAGTGTCTCCTGGAAGAGGCTCTTTGGGAGGAATTGCTGTCGCCAGCTCCTTAAAATGCCACCTGGGGGTCCTTCAAGATGCCAGGCACACCCCAAACCAGGGCCTTTGCATTGCTGTTTCTCCTGCCTGAAGCCCTCCTGCCTCAGACATTTGCGTGACTCAATCTCTTTCTTCATTCAAATATGGCCTCATCGGAGGAACTGTCCTGAGGGGTCCGTCTAGAATAGCGTCTCTCCCTGCCCTGATCACTCCTTCCTCCTTGCCCTCCATGCCACCTGACATTCCAGGTATTTATCTGCATGTTATCATCATGGCTCTTGGACAGCGAGCTCCAGGGGAGCAGGGACTTGGCTATAAGCAAAGCTCTTTCCCCAGGGCTTAGAACGTGCTGGTGTGTGGTGCGTCTCAATAAACATTTTTGGATCGTGTGGTTCGCTATGCCTTCCTGGATGGCTTTACTGCTTCCCAGGAAAACTACATCCCAAACATCCTGAGTTCATTCTGAGGAATGGGTCTGTGGTGAGTGGACAACTTCTAGAGAGGTAATGCCTCCTCACCAGGCACTGAGACGGGCAGGTTTTGTGGCTGACTCCCTCTGCCTCTGGCTTCCCTTGTGCCGAGAAGGTTAAACAATAACAGCAAGAGACCGAGAGCAGGAACGGAGGCTCCTAGAATAAAAAGACATTTACTCACACAAAGGGGAAGTAGGACAAAGCACCCTACTTCTACTGAGACACACAGAATAATCCCTGGAAGTGGGGAGCACTTACCAGTCCCGTCTTTCAATGGTGCAATTGTCTGGCACCACAGAGCTGTGAAAGCTGTTTATAGATGGGCTTTCACACTCGAGCAAGGAAACAGTCCGCTCTTGACTGTGCTGCCCAAGGTAAACCTTTCGTATGTCTCCTCTCTGCACAGCCATTGCATTTTACTCACATGGAAGATCATGTTTACTCTTTGGGCCCTTAAAGGGCTGATGCTGTTGAAGCAATTATTCACCGGCCAGTTCTCATGCTGTCTAAACCTGTATTTCAAAGCTGTGTCTGGCATTAGAAATAAACTCCATTGGCTTGTGGGGTTTTTTTCATGTTGGCATTTGGCCTTGTTGGGCAGTGGGAGCTTTTGAGCTGACAATTCAAACGGTATCTTGTGATGGAAAGTGACCAAGTGGATATGGCCATGGGTCTAAAATGAGGAATTGGAATACTAGGAATATAATTATGTTTTGCATGTCATCAATTTTTAAAAATTTAA
The DNA here is from genome assembly GCF_000001405.40 of Homo sapiens. Classification (NCBI taxonomy): domain Eukaryota; kingdom Metazoa; phylum Chordata; class Mammalia; order Primates; family Hominidae; genus Homo; species Homo sapiens. The sequence continues at coordinate 74,748,315 of NC_000010.11, read as the reverse complement.
CTGATAACTCACAGGGGTGGAGAGCGAGGGCTGAAAAACATTTAGACTTGAGTAAGATAATTAACACAGCAAATAGCTATATTTTGTATCCTGTATTTGTCCTTTGTCACGTGCATTGTTTGGCCCTATTGCCAGAGCTTGCCCTACGCAGAGTCTGGCCACATAGGATGACTAGACGCTTCCCCTTGAAACAAAATCCTCTGGGGTGGGGTGGAAATGTGGTGGAAATATGTGTTTGGTGACACCTAGTATATTCATTGCCCATTTAAAGTCTACAGAAATGGCGTAGGCCCAAATGAGAGCCAGGTGGAGATCATGGCCTCAGTAAAGGGTCTTTAGGCACGTCCAGCTCTGGAACAAGCCCACACATACCCATCTCCATCTCTGTGCTTCCCGTGCTGGCTCACCCAGTAAGGTGGTGGGTCCTTCAATGGTGGGGTCTACAAGTCATTCCCCTTTGCAGCCCCTGGGCCTAGAAAGTGCCTGGCACAAGTGCTCAATATAGGACCATTGAATGGAATGGAATGATTATAAAACAGAATTTTAGCAATGGAGGGACTTCAGACATCATTAGGCCAGACACCTTACATTACAGCAAAGGGTCTAAAGAGATGACACAATTTGCCTGAGATCCCATAAGGCTGGCAGCCACCAACAACCAGGGACTTTGCTTCCTTGCCAGACCTTTTCCACTAGAAAAACAGGTGTTTCAGGCCAGGCGCAGTGGCTCACCCCTGTAAGCCCAGCACTTTGGGAGGCTGCGGCAGGAGCATCACTTGAGCCCAGGAGTTTGAGACCAGCCTGGGCAACATGGCAAGACCTCGTCTCTACTTCAAAGAAATCAAAAGTTAGCTGACAGCATAGTGTCCTGTACCTGTGGTCCCAGCTATTTGGGAGGCTGGGATGGGAGAATTCTTGATCCTAAGAGATCAAGGCTGCAGTGAGCCGTGATTGATTGAGCCACTGTACTCCAGCGTGGGTGACAGGGCAAGAACTTGTCTCAAAAAAAAAAAAAAAAAAAAAGAAACACAAAACAACCACAATCCCCCACATGTTTCAGAGTGGGAGTGGCCTTGGCATTCGTAAGCATGTTTTCCAGTTGTGTCCATGTGCGTGTATTCGTGTGTGTGTGTGTGTTTGGTCACAGTGAATTTCTTTCTGGTCATAGGATTAAGAAACAAACAAACGAAACCCTGAAGTCATCTGTGTAATGCTCTCATTTCGTAGATGGAGAGTTGACGCCCAGAACCTCAGTGTAGCTGCCCAGGCTTCACAATTGGGTATGCGGTACAGAGCCCGAAGACGCCTCCTTTTCCGGGAGCTGAGCTCAGGGCTGTCCTGGGTGTTTCCAGACCACTAGGAACCTCCCAAGTCGTCCACAGGAGGCGAGACTGCGTCACTGTCCCCCATCACAACCCAGCACAGTCCACAGCCCAGCTCCATGAAGGCAAAGACCTCGGGCCCGTGGCAGTGCTTAGCCCATCCTAGGGGCTCAGAGAGCCTTTGCTGAATAAAGAAAAGGCTGCTCCCAGGGCTGTTTTGAAGTGGGCCATGTAGAGAATGGCTATAAAGTTACCACATAGAAAACAACATACATTTTGGCTGGGCATGGTGGCTCATGCCTGTAATCCCAGCACTTTGGGAGGCTGAGGTGGGTGGATCACCTGAGGTCAGGAGTTCAAGACCAGCCTGGCCAACGTGGCGAAACCCCGTCTTTACTAAAAATAAAAAAATAAAAATAAATAGCTGGGCCTGGTGGCGGGTGCCTGTAATCCCAGCTACTCGGGAAGCTGAGGCAGGAGAACTGCTTGAACCTGTGAGGCACAGGTTGCAGTGAGCCGAGATCGCGCCATTGCACTCCAGCCTGGGTGACAGAGTGAGACTCCGTCTAAAAAAAAAAAAAAGAAAACAACATACATACTAATAGAACGGTTACATCTAAATGCGTTTTGTCTTCCAAATAATTCACCTTGTGAGGCTACATATGTTTATTTCAGTATGCTGCTACTGTTCAAAACATTTTTAAAAGATATCCTTTGGCATTCCCTCCTGAGTTCATTAATTAGTCATAGAAAATCAAAGTCTCTTTACTTTGCGGTCAAATTTTCTTTTTGACCTAAACACAATTTTCTCAGCCTAATCTCCTATCATATTCATCGTATTTTATTTTTTCAAAGATGTTTATTAAATGTCTTTTGCATGCCAGCATCACTGACTTCAAGATTTAGTATTCAATCATGATATATATATGCAGTGAATGTTTATTGAACGCCAGGCACTGTGTTATAAGCACATCATAGAAACTGATTTATTTAATCCCACAACTTTAAAAGGTAGCTGGGCAAGGTGGTAGGAGCTTGTGGTCCCAGCTACTCAGAAGGCTGAGGTGGAGAACCGCCAAGGGCAATGTAGCAAACCTTGCCTCTGAAAAAAATAAATAAAATAGATAGGTATGGAAACTGAGGCTTAGAGAGGTTAAGCAAATTGTCTCACAATACACAGCTAGAAAGAGATGGGTTTAAATCCAGCTCTGACTTCATAGCCTAATAGCTTAAGTATTCTAATATTTACCAAGTCAGAACACACTTTTTTTTTCTTTAGAGACAGGGTCTTGGCATGTTTCCCAGGCTGGAGTGCAGTGGCACAATCATGGCTCACTGCAGCCTCGACCTCCTGGGGTCCAGTGGTCCTCCCACCTCGGCCTCCTGAGTAGCTGGGACTACAAGTGCATGCCATCATTCCTGGCTAATTTTCTAATTTTCCGTTTTTTGTAGAGATGGGATCTCACTATATTGCCCAGGCTGGTCTTGAACTCCTGGGCTCAAGCCATCCTCCCAACCTCGGCCTCCAAAAGTGCTGGGATTACATATAGACTATAACCTACCAAAGTAGTCTTCTATTGCTGAATATTTATATATATATATATGTATTTTTTGAGACAGAGTCTTGCTCTGTCACCTAGGCTGGAGCTCAGTGGTGCAATCTGGACTCACAGCAACCTCCACCTTCAGGGTTAAAGGGATTCTCATGCCTCAGCCTCCCAAGTAGCTAGGATTACAGGCATATGCCACCATGCCCGGCTAATTTTAGTATTTTTAGGAGAGACGGGGTTTCGCAATGTTGGAGAACATTTAAATATTTCCATTAAAAATATTTTAAGTAAAAAAAAAATCAGCAGATACATGTAATAAAAAACATAAAAATTAAAAAATATATTTTAAGGGCCAGGTGCTGTGGCTCATGCCTGTAATTCCAGAGCTTTGGGAGGCCAAAGCAGGGTGATCGCATGAGGCCAGGAGTTTGAGATCAGCCTGGCTAACATAGCAAGGCCTTATCTCTACAAAAAAAATTAAAAAATTGGCCGGGGATGGTAGTACACACCTATACTCTCATCTACTTAGGAGGCTGAAGCAAGAGAATTGCTTGAGCCCAGGAGCTTGGGCCTGCACTCCAGCCTGGGCAACATATTGAGATTCTGCCTCTCTCTCTCTCTATATATATTTTCAGGAATTCTATGATGCACATCCTTGGACGTAAATCTCCACATATGTTGCTTGATCTTTTCTCCAGAAAAAATTCTGCTACCTACCGAACTGCAGGCTAGTGACCTGGGGGCCTACAAGCAGGTCCAGAAGGGACCCCTGAAGCCGAAAGGCATCACAGAGCTTGGAGTGACCAAGCAGAAGAAGAAAAAGAAGCACAAAGACAAGGCACAACTCAGGAAGAGATGGGAACAAGCAAAAAGAATGAGGAGAAGTGGTGCGGCCTGTTCAAGCTGACCCTAGCCCAGGAGAAAGTGCAGGAGAAGCGACACATGGAAAGGATCCTGAAGAAAGCATCCCAGACCCACAGGCAGAGAGAGGAGGACTTCAGCAGACACCTGGACGCACACACGGAGCATCGCGACACCCCCAAAGTCAGCTGGACCCAGTAACCACCCACTGCCGGGACAGAGCAGCATCCAGGGGAAGCAAAGGCCAAGTCGGGTTGCGTCTGTTTCCTCTGGTGTATTCTAGAAACTTTGCTTTACACACACCCCTACATCTTCTGCTACAAAGTGCTTTTCAAAGCCATGCACCCCATTCTGGAACTTCATTAAAGTAAGCCTGTCCTTTTACTCAGTTTAGGTTTCTTGGTAACACCTAGAAGATATATCCTTTTGGTTTGGATGGAAAGTTTCTAAAAGTTTATCCAGAGGTACAGCCCGTTTCTGCGTCCGGGCCATGTAAAAATATTTTACCTGCTAGTGGCATCTATAATAACGCTCTGAGGCCAACCAGCTGTCTTTGCTTGGATGAGACGGACCCCAGAGGATTGGAGCTAATGCCAGCGTGGCCTGCAGTGTGCAGACCCCCACGAGGCCTAGCGTGTGCACCCTTCGAAACTCCATCCAGCTTGGAGCTTATGCTGTTCCCTGCAGGCCCCGGGGAAGCCACTTGCAACTTTGCGGGCTTGACTTCCTCCTCAGCCACCTGGCCGGTGGGACGGCACAGCCTGGGTAGCAGAACAACTACCTAAGGCAAGGATGGGCTACACACCTTGTCCCTTTCTGAGCCCATTCCCTCCAAACCCCACACCCTTCCAGGTACCTCTAACGGGTATTGTCATGGCAGGCATTGCTCATGGATCACAGCATTCTTTGTAATGGAAGCCGGACACAGACTGTCTCTCAACCCTCAGCCCCAGGCAGCCTCTTGTATTTACTCAGAGTTGGTACATCACATGGAGCCTGTTTGGCATTCCCGCCCTAAGGACACCTCAGGGTGACAGGACCAGGGCAGAGCCCCAGCACAGGCATGGGTGCGGTCACCTGGGAGGCCCAGGTGGCAGTGCTAGAGGGCTAGGATCTTTGAGGGCCTGTGTGTCCTGGATGAGGCTGCATATGCTATTGGGAGAAACAGTCTCTGTTGACATAGACATTGAAAGAATAACAAAGACGGAAGAGAGAAACCAAGTGTGGAATTTGGGATTGTCCTATGTGAACTACAGAATAAAGCAAAAACCAGTTATTGAAAAAAAGAAAAAAGAAACAATTCTACACACAGTATTTCCAGGTCATATTTTTAAAGCCTTGACTGTCTTCTACATATATGAAGTCTTTGTTTACAGTGCTTATGTTATCATTATTTAAATTGTTGATAATCTGACCAGGCACAGTGGCTCTCGCCTGTAATCCCAGCACTTAGGGAGGCAGAGGCAGGAGGCTAGTTTGAGTCCAGGAATTTGAGACCTACCTGGGCAACATGGTGAGACCCCAATTCTCCACAAAAAGGAAAAAAAAAAAAAAAGACACACAAAAAAGTAAATTGTTGGTAACCCAGGAGATATTAAAAGGTATTTATTTTTTTTCTACTTTATCTGCATTTCTGTGTTTATTATTGAAAGTAAACCTTTCAGCAGGGTGTGGTGGCTCATGCCTATAATCCCAGAACTTTGGGAGGCTGAGGTGGGTGGAACATTTAGGTCAGGAGTTCAAGACCAGCCTGGCAAACATGGTGAAACCCCGTCTCTACCAAAAATACAAAAATTAGCCGGGTGTGGTGGCACACGGTGTAATCTACTTGGGCGGCTGAGGCAGGAGAATTGCTTGAGCCTGGGAGGCAGAGGTTGCAGCGAGCCAAGATGGAGCCACTGTACTCTAGTCTGGGCAACAGAGTGAGACCCTGTCTCAGAAAAAAAAAAAAAAAAAAGAAACATTTCTTTTTTATTCATATTCTTCTTTTGTGAATTGCCTTTTTTCCATTTTCCAAATGGAATGTATGCCTTTTTCCTTCTGCTTTGCAAGGGTGTTTTCTAAATTAAGGATATTAGGCCAGGCGTGGTGGCTCACACCTATAATCCCACAATTTTGGGAGGCCAAGATAGGTGGATCACCGGAGGTCAGGAGTTCAAAACCAGCCTGGCCAACATGGGGAAACCCAGTCTCTACTAAAAATACAAAAATTAGCCAGGCGTGGTGGTGCATGCCTGTAATCCCGGCTACTCGGGAGGCCGAGGCAGGAGAATCGCTTGAACCTTGGAGGCAGAAGTTGCAGTGAGCCGAGATGGTGCCACTGCACTCCAGCCTGGGCGACAGGAACAAAACTCCGACTCAAAAAAATAAAAAATAAAATAAAATTAAGGCTATTAATATTTTGTCAATCTTTTACGCTGCCAACATCTTGTCCCTGTTTGTGGTTTGCCTTGTTATTTTTTAAAAAATCAAATTTAAGTTTTAAATTTTTATGTAGGCAAATCTATGCATCTCTTATATTTTTCTTTAGGTATTATGCTTTGAAAAATCTTTACCACTCAAGATTATAGAAACACTTTCTATATTTTCTCATTATTCTGTTTATAGTATTTAAAAAAATAACTGATCTATTTGGAACTTTACCTTGATGATTGGCATGCAGTGGGGACTCCAGCTTAATTTTCCCCAACAGAAACCAATATTCCAGCATGATTTGCTTGCATAATATTTCCCTTCTCTGATTTTAAATGCTAACTTTATCATATGCAAAATACTGGTGTATATGTGAGTCTGTTTCCAGGTTTTAAATTTTATTTTACTGATCTGTCTATTCTATGCCAAATCTGTTTTAATTACTGTGGTTTTATGACAGATTTTAATAATTATGCAAAATCCCCTCATATTTCTTTTCTTCTGCAACAATTTACTGACTCGTCTCTCCCAAAATCTCTTTGAGATTTTAATGGACACTGCATTTCATTTATTAATTAGTTTGAAAAGAACTGACATCTTTTATTATTGCCTTTTCTCACACAGGTATGTGACATGTTGCGCATTTATTTATCTTCTGTTATGTACCTTGGCAAACTTTTGCTCTATTCTTCATTCAGATCTTATATACATTTTTAAAAGTTTATTCTTGGGTGAAATATGTGTGTGTGCATATACACACATATACATGCGTGTGCATGCATGTATATGTGCATGTACATATGTATATACACACATATGCACACATGTATGTGCATATGCATATATACACATACATACACGTATGCATGCACACATGTGTATATACACATATGTATGCATATACACATGTATATGTATTTATGTATATATGCATACATATATACACATATACACATATATACATGTATACATAGATGTATATGTATGGAATATGTATGATGTGTGTATACATACATAACACACAAACACGTGTATATTTGCTATAATTTGTACTTGCATCAGATCTTTTTCTTCTTATTTTATTTTCGAACTGCTTATTAATAGTAATATTCAGTCACTCAACAAATACTTATATGCTACTGTGTGCCAGGCACTGTGCCAGACACAAGGACCATACTAGTGTACAAAACAGACACGGTCTATATATACTATTGATCATTTCTAAAATATTGATCATCCTTGCATTTCTGGAACAGGTTCTGCTTGGGTATGAAATATTATTTTAGTATATTGTACTAATGAATTAAATTTGCTAGTATTCCATTTAGGATGTGTGTTTATAAATTCCATATAAATAGCCTAAGTGAGACTAAGCTGTCTGGCTTGAGGTGTGTGTGTGTGTGTGTGTGTGTGTGTTTGCGCACGTGTGCATGTATCTGGTTTTGGTGGAAGGGTTATGTTAGCTTGTGAAGTAAACTGGAAACTTTCCGTTATTTCTCTATTTTATGTAGCATTGGAATTGTTTCATTCTTACTCCTTAACAATCACATTAAATTATAATGTTCAAACTAGAAGACTCGAACTGAGAAAAGGCCCCAGTTGTCCTACATCTCAAACCTTTGAAAGAATTTATGGAAATGGGATAGAATGGAGGTTTACACAACAAGACACCAGATGACAAGACATGACTTTCTTGTTTTGGTCCTGTCCCCTCAAAGGGGACCAGCGGCCTTGTATGTTCACTTCTTGAAAGGACTGACTTTTTTCCCAGGGAGGAAAAGTGTGCCCTCATCTTCCAGCTGTTTGATACTCCTGGCGAGTGCAGGACTGGACTGATGCTGCGAGGCAGGGGATAACGGATTGGCTTTGTACAAGGTAGGTAGAAAACTCCAGTGACAGCAAGCTGAGGGCAAAACACAGCACCATTACTGTTCCCGTCTCACAGAACCTGCAGATAGCCGACACAAATAAGAGCTCCATATCTCCCACTTGTCTTCAGCCTTTGTGTCTTTCTGAATTTCTATAACTATAGCTGAATCTGTCAGGCCAGTTCCATGTCCACGGCAGAGTGCAACATCAGGGCCAACATGTGAGCCCCAAAGTCCTGATTCTGTGATCTAATATAATACCTCCCATCATGTTTTTATTTATATCCCTAAATGTGTCTTCCAATTTTTTTTTTTTCAAGACCAGTTCTCACTCTGTCGCCCAGGCTGGAGTGCAGTGGTGCAATCTTGGCTCACTGCGACCTCTGCCTCTGGGGTTCAACCAATCCTCCTGCCTCAGCCCCCAGAGTAGCTGAGGTTACAGGTGTACACCACCACGCCTGGCTAATTTTTGTATTTTTTGCAGAGACGGGGTTTAGCCATGTTGGCCAGGCTGGTCTTGAACCTCTGGGCTCAAGTGATCTGTCTCCCTCAGCCTTCCAAAGTGCTGGAATTACAGATGTGAGCCACCGTGCCCAGCCCCAACTTTAAAATTTAAGAATCATTCCTCTTACTTATCTGAGAACCTTTTAAGTACATGGGGTCTCTACTTGCAAGCAGCTCATATATTAGTTTTCTATTGCTGTGTAACAGATTGCCACAAACTTAGTAGCTTAAAACAGCACCCATTTATTATCTCACAGTTCTACACGCACAAACGATTTTTATAAATAGAGACAGGTTGCCCAGGCTGGTTTCAAACTCCTGACCTCAAGTTACTCCCCCGCTTTGTCCTCCCAAAATGTGGGGGTTACAGACGTGAGCCACCGCGCCTGGCCTCTCACAGTTCTGTAGTCAGAAGTCTGGTGGGTGGGCTTGGCAAGGTACTGTCCTTAGGGTCTCTAAATGCTGAAATCAAGGTGGCAGCAGGGCTTTGTTACTTCCTGGAGGCTCTGGGAAGGAAACTGCTAACAAGCTTATTCAGGCTGTTGGTCAAATTCAGCTCCTTGTGGTGCTAGGGCTGAGGTCCCGTTTCCTTTCTGTTGGCCTTGAGCCTCTTGAGGTTTCCTGTGCGCCTGGTCACGTTGCCCCTTCACCTTCAAAGCCAGCAAAGGCTCACTAACTCCTTCTCAAGCGTTGAATCTCTCTGACTTCTGCCTTATCTCTCCTGCCTCCTGCAGGAGAAAGTTCTCTGCTTTTAAAGGCTCACATGATTAGACTGGGCTCACTGGATCACCCAGAATAATCTCTGTATTTTAAGAACTGTCACCTTAATTACATCTGCAATGGCCCTTTTGCATGTTACATAATGTACTTACAGGTTGCAGGGATTGGGACATGGATCTTTGTGGGACCATTATGCCTGTCAGAGCTTTTATCTCTTTGTTTTCCATATAGAATATTTTAGGATAATTTTTTTCCCTTTATGTTTTTATTTTATTTTTGAGACAGGATTTCCCTCTGTCACCCATCTGGAGTGCAGTGGTGCAATCACGGCTCACTGCAACCTCTTCCTTATCACGGCTCACTGCAACCTCTTCCTTCCAAGCTCAAGAGACCCTCCCACCTCAGCCTCCCAAGGAGCTAGGACTAATACAGGCACATGCCACCACGCCTGGCTAATTTTTGTATTTTTTGTAGAGATGGGGTCTCCCTATGTTGCCCAGGCTAGTCTTGAATTCCTGGGCTCAAGCAATCCTCCAGCCAAAGTGTTGGGATTACTGGCATGAGCCAACTTGCCTGGCCAATTTTTTCCATTTAAGAGGAAATAGAAGACAGCTCCATCCTTTTGGAAAAAATGAACTGCCAGACACCATCAGGCCCCAAATTCACACAGCCATCATGCATTCAGCCTCTAACCATAAGTCCTTGATTCTGGCCTCAAACTCAGTAAAATTCATTTGTGCATTTAAGACTTGAGGCAGCCAAATTTTGACACACCATTAGGTGGCACTTGATTAGAAAGCTTGCTTCTGTCTGAACTTTCTCAAGGCAGCAATCCGACAAGAGGGCAAGGAAACTCTGAGGTCAAGGGCAGAGTAGGGCTGAGGTTCTTAGTGATTATGGGGAAGTCCTCACAGGCAAAAACTGTCCAAGACTTGAAAGTAATTTGTACATTCAAGTTGACTTTAGAGAACTTAAATATTACTTAGCAACTGTAAATAGACTATTTAAAAGCTTTTACACATGATATTTTAAGAAAGCATGGCATCAGCTGGGCATGGTGGCTCACACCTGTAATCCCAGAACTTTGGGAGGCTGAGGCGGATCGATTGCCCGAGGTCAGGAGATCGAGACCAGCTTGGCCAACATGGTGAACCCCGTCTCTACTAAACATACAAAAAATTAGCTGGGCATGGTGGCAGGTGCGTGTAATCCCAGCTACTAGGGAGGCTGAGGCAGGACAATTGCTTGAACCCGGAAGGCAGAGGTTGCAGTTAGCTGAGATCTCTAGCCTGGGCAACAAGAGCGAAACTCCGTCTCAAAAAAAAAAAAAAAAAAAAAAGCATGGCATCAAAAAAATCACTGTGTGTGTGTGTGTGTGTGTGTGTGTGTGTGTGTGTGTGTGTGTGTATTTTTTTTTTTTTTTTTTTGAGACAGAGTCTTGATCTGTTGCCCAGTCTGGAGGGTACTGGTGCAATCACAGCTCACTGCAGCCTCAACCTCCTGGGCTCAGGTGATCCTCCCACTTCAGCCTCCTGAGTAGCTGGGACTACAGGCGCATGCCACCACATCTGGCTAATTTTTGTATTTTTTGTAGAGACAGTGTTTCACCATGTTGCCTGGGCTGGTCTTGAACTCCTGGGCTCAAGCAATTCACCTGTCTCGGCCTCCCACAGTGCTGTGATTACAGGTGTGAGCCACCATGCCTGGCCACCACATTTGTCCTATGTTTAAAATGAGCAAATATTCAGGCCGGACATGGTGGCTCATGCCTGTAATCCCAGCACTTTGGGAGGCTGAAGCGGGTGGATCATCTGAGGTCAGAAGTTCGAGACCAGCCTGACCAACATGGAGAAACCCCATCTCTACTAAAAATGCAAAAGTAGCCTGGTGTGGTGGCACATGCCTGTAATCCCAGCTACTCAGGAGACTGAGGCAGGAGAATTGCTTGAACCCAGGAGACGGAGGTTGCAGTGAGCCGAGATTGCACCATTTCACTCTAGCCTGGGTGACAGAGTGAGACTCCGTCTCAAAAAAAAAAAAGGCTATTATGGAGATTCATGCACGAGTTTATTTCTGAGTATGCACATATGTTTTTATTTCTTCTGAGCCGATATGGAAAGGTGGAATTTCTGGGTTAGATGGCAACTCCACATTTAGCTTTCTGAGGAACCGCTCAACTGTTTGCCAAAGTGGCTGCACCATTTTACATGATCAACACATACGTAATTTTAAAAATGGCTTCATTAACATGTGATTGACATACAATAAAATGCACATATATTAAGTGTATGATTTGGTAAGTTTTGGCTTATGAATACACTCATAAAACCATCACCACAATCACTTCAAAGTCATCTATCACTCCAAAAATTTTCCTTGTACCCCTCTGAAATTCATTCTTCCCATATCTCATGATACAATTGTGAGACCTGAATTTGAGTATTTGTTGTTACTGTTGTTGTTTTGCATAGGAAAACAATTGTACCAGCACCATTTGGATAGTCCTATGCAAAATGACAACAACAGCAAATACTTAAACTCAGGTCTCACAATCTGTATCATGTCTATCTCATATACAAAAAATTGTCTCCAAATGGACCATCTCTCCCCACTCCATCATTCCATTATTTCCAAGTAATCACTGTTCTTTCTGTCATTATGGTTTAGTATGCATTTTCTAAAGTTTTAAATAAATGCAATCCTATAGTATTTTTTTTGGTCTAGCTGTGTGTTTCCTCTTTGTCTGGCTTTTTCCACTGAGTGTAATTATTTTAAGATTCACCTAAGATGTTGACTGTCTCAATAATCCATTCCTTTTTATTGATGGGTAATATTCCATTGAATGTATATACCACAATTTGCTTACTCATTCCCCTGTTGGTGGACATTTGGGTTGTTTCCAATCTAGGGCTATTCCAAATGAAGCTGCTATGAACGCTCATGCACAAGTCTTTTGCAGACATATATTTCATTTTTCTTGGGTAAATATCTGAGTGGAATGTTTCTGTTACGTGATAGCTATATTAATATTAAGCATTTAAGAAACTTCCAAACTGCTTTTGAAATGGCTGTGCCATTATATATCCTCACCCGCAGTGAATGGGAATTCTAATTCCTTCACATCCTCACCAATACTTCGTACGGCCAGTCTCTTTTTTTTTTTTTTTTTTTTTGAGACGGAGCTTCGCTCTTGTTGCCCAGGCTGGATTGCAATGGCATGATCTCGGCTCACTGCAACCTCTGCCTCCCGGGTTCAAGAGATTCTCCTGCCTCAGCCTCCCAAGTAGCTGGGATTACAGGCGCCTGCCACCATGCTCGACTAATTTTTGTATTTTTAGTAGCAACGGGGTTTCACCATGATGGCCAGGCTATTCTCGAACTCCTGGCCTCAAGTGATCTGCCACCTCAGCCTCCCAAAGTGCTGGGATTACAAGCATGAGCCACTGCACCCAGCCCAGTATTTTTAATTCTATTGATTCTAATAGGTGTGAAGAGGTACCTCTCTGTGGGTTTAATTTGCACTTCATGAGGTCAAGTGTCTTTTCATGTACTTATTTGGTGAAATATGTGTTCAAATCTTTGCCTATTTATAAAATTGGATTTTTTTAAACTTTGGTTTTGAGAGTTTTTTAAAAATATGTATATAACAATACATATGTTATCTATATAAAATATACTTATATATAAAACAAAATATATGTTATATATATAAAAATATACTTATATATAAAACAAAATATATGTTATATATAAAACTATATACATGTATGTGTATATATATGTATATACATATTTTTGAGACAGAGTCTCTCTCTGTTGCCCAGGCTGTAGTGTAGTGGTGCGATCTCAGCTCACTGCAAACTCCACCTCCCAGGTTCAAGCAATTCTCCTGCCTAAGCCTCCTGAGTAGCTGGGATTACCGGCGTGCCACTATGCCGGCTAATTTTTTGTATTTTTAGAAGAGACAGGGTCTCACCATGTTGGCCAGGCTGGTCTTGAACTCCTGACCTCAAGTGACCTACCCACCTTGGCCTCCCAAAGTGCTGGGTGTTATACATTATTGATAGAAGTCTTTTATCAAATATGAGCTTTGCAAAAATATTCTCCTATTCTGTGGCTTACCTTTTCATATTCTTAATAGTTTCTTTTGAATAGCAGAGATTTTCAATTTTTATGAAGTCCAAAATATCAATTTGTCCTTTTTAGGATTGTGTTTTGGTATCATATCTAAATTTTTTTTTGCCTAATGGACGACCAAAATTTTCTCCAGTTTTTGTTTCTGTAGTTTTTTAGTTTTAGATTTTTAACAATCAATTGCCACATAATTAAAATTTCAGAAACCCATAGATTTATGATCAATTGTTTTTTTTCAACCAGGGTGCCAAGAAATAGCCTTTTCAACAAATAATGATGAAAAATTGGATATTCACATATGAAAGGAATGTGGACCTCTAACTCACACCATACACAAAAACTAACTCAAAATTACTTATAGATCTAAATTTAAGAGCTAAAACTATAAAACACGTAGAAGAAAATGCAGAATATTTGTGACTTTGGGCTAGGCAATGGTTTCTTAGATATAACAAAAGCACAAATAACAAAAGAAAAAAAAATCTATAGCTAAGTTAGAAACTTTTGTGCTACAGATGATACCATCAAAAAACTGAAAAGACAACTTACAGAATTGGAGAAAACATCTGCAGATCATATGAAGGAATTGCATCTAGAACATACAAAAATACAATTCAACAATTAAAAGACAAAAAAACCCCAATTTAAAAATGAGCAAAGGATTTGAAAGTACATCTGAAGAAGTTATATAAATGGTGAATAACACATGAAATGATGCTCAACACCATTAGTCATTAGGGAAATGCAAATCATAACCACAATGAATTACCACTTCGTATCCACTATGATGGCTATAATAATTTTTAAAACACAGAAAATTACAAGTGTTCGTTAATGAGGATGTGGAGAAACTGGAAACCTTGTACATTGCTGGGAATGTAAAATGGTGCAGTCACCGTGGAAAACCATTTGGTGGTTCCTCAAAAAGTTAAACATAAAATTACAAGACGACTCTTCAACTCTACTCCTAGACATATAATCAAAAGAATTGAAAACAGAGACTCAAGCAGATATTTGTATGCTAATGGTCATTGTAGCACTGTTCACAATAGCCAAACAGTGGAAACAACCCAGTGTCCATCAACTGATAAACAAAATGTACTGCACACATACAGTGGAATAGTATTCAGCCACAAAAAAGGAATGACATTCTGATACATGCTACATCATGGGTGAATCTTGAAAACATTATACTAAGTGAAATAAGCTAGACAAATATTGTATTATTCCACTTATAATATTTATAATAGGCAAATTTATAGCAACAGAAAGTAAATAATAGGTTACCAGGGGTTGGGAGTGAGGAGAGATGGGTAGTTAACAGGTGCAGAGTTTCTGTTTGGGGTGCTGGAAAAGTCTTGGAAATAGAAATAGTGGGGATGATTGCAAAACATTGTGAATGTAATTAGTGCCACTAAATTGTGCTCTTAAAATGGTTAAAATGACGGTCGGGCGTGGTGGCTCGTGCCTGTAATCCCAGCACTTTGGGAGGCCAAGGCGGGCAAATCACGAGGTCAGGAGATCGAGACCATCCTGACTAACACGGTGAAACCCCGTCTCTACTAAAAATACAAAAATTTAGCTGGGCAGCTGAGGCAGGAGAATGGCGTGAACCCGGGAGGCGGAGCTTGCAGTAAGCCGAGATCGCTCCACTGCACTCCAGCCTGGACAACAGAGCGAGACTCCGTCTCAAAAAAAAAAGGGGGGGGGCGTTAAAATGACATATTTTATGTTACATTTATTTTACCACAATAAGCAAACAGACAAATGCATAATGAGATACCATTTCATGTTCACTAGCATGGCTATAATAAAAAAAGACAGGCAATAATGAGTGTTGGCAAGGATATGGAGAAATTGAAACCTTAGTGAACTTCTGGTGGGAATGTAGCCTTTTGTAGCTGTTTTGAAAAACAGTTTTGCAGTTTCTTAAAAAGTTAAACATATCATTTTCATACAATCCAGCAATTCCACTCCTACTTATCAACCCAAGAGAAATGAAAACATATGCTCACACAAAAACTTGTACACAAATGTCCCTAGCAGCATTATTGTAATAGAACCAAAGTGGAAATAACTCCAGTATTTATCAACCAATGAATGAATAAACAAAATGTGATATATCCTTACAAAGGAATATTATTTGGCAAGTGAAAGGAATGAAGTACTGATACACACTACAACATAGATGAACCTTGAACAAATTATGCTAAGAGAAAGAAGCCAGTTACAGAAGACTAAATATTGGATGCTTTCATTTTATAGAATATTGGTAAGAACCAAATCTGTAAAGACAGAAAGATTAGCTGTTGCTTAGGGCTGAGGAGGAGACAGTAGGGGAAATGAGGAGTTATTGCTAATAAGTACAAGGTTTCTTTCTGGGTGGACAAAAATTTTCTATAGATTGTGGTGATGGTTGTCCAACCCAGGGAACTTACTTAAAACATTTGACTTAGGCTGGGTGAGGTGGCTCATGCTACTGGAATCCCAGCACTATGGGAGGCTGAGGAGGGAGGATCACTACAAGTCAAGAGTTGGAGACCAGCCTGGGCAACATAGTGAGACCCTGTCTCTACAGAAAAATTTAAAAACTAGCTGGGCATGGTGGTGCACATGGGAGGCTGAAGCAAGAGGATCCCTTAAGCCCAGGAGTTTGAGGTTACAGCAAACTATGATCATGCCACTGCACTCCATTCTGGGCAACAGAGTGAGACCCTAACTCTAAGAAAAAAATAAATTAAATAAAATTAAAAATGTAAAAAGTGTACATTTTAAATGGGTGAATAGTTTGGTTTGTAAGTTATATCTCATAAAGCTCTTGAAGAGTCACTTGTGCATGTTTATGTGGGTCTATTTCTGAACTCTCTATTCTGTTCCACTTATCTGTTTCTAACTTTATGCTAATGCCACACTGTTTTGATTACTGTGGCTTTATATGTCTTGAATCAAGTAATGTAAATCCTCTGACTTTGCTCTTCTTTTTCAAAGCTGTTTTGGTTATTCTAGGTCCTATGTATTTTCATATGAATTTGAGAATCAGTAGCTTGTCAGTTTTCACAAAAATGCCAGCTAGAATTTTGATTGTGATTGCATAGCATCTGTATTAGTCCATTTTGTGTTGCTACAAAGGAATATCCAAGGCTGGGTAATTTACAGACAGAAGAGGTTTATTTGGCTCACGGTTCTGCAGGCTGTCCAAGCATGGCACCAGCATCCACTTGGCTTCTGGTGAGGCCTCAGGAAGCTTTCATTCATGATGGAAGGTAAAGGGGGAGCAGGTGTGTTACATGGCAAGAAAAGGAAGCAAATGAGAGATGCCAGACTCCTGTAAACAACCAGCTCTCTTATGAATGATAACTCACTCATTGCCATAGGAGGACACCAAGGCATTCATGAAGGGTCTGCCCCATGACCCAAACACCTCTTACTAGGCCCCACCTCCAACAGTGGAAATCACATTTCGACATGAGATTTGGAGGGGACAGATATCCAAACCATATAATTCCACCCTGGCCCCCCAGATCTCATGTCCTTCTCATGCTGCAAAATATAATCACCCCTCCTTAATAGTCCCCCAAAGTCTTAAGTCATTCTAGCATCAACTCAAAAGTCCAAAGTCCAAAGTCTCATCTGAGACTCAAGGCAAGTCCCTTCCGCCTATGAGCCTGTAAGACCAATAACACGTTATTTACTTCCAAGATGCAATGATGGTACAGGCATTAGGTAAACATTCCCATTCCAAAAGGGAGAAATTACCCAAAAGAAGTGGGCAACAGGCCTCATGCGGGTCTGAAACCCAGCAGGGCAAACGTTAAATCTTAAAGCTCCAAAATAATCTCCTTTGACTCCATGTCCCATATCCTGGGCACACTTGTGTGAAGAATGCACTCCCAAGGCCTCAGGTGGCCCTGGCCCTGTGGCTTTGCTGGGCGCAGCCCAAGTGGCTGCTCTCACAGGTTGGAGTTGAGTGTTTGCAGCTTTTCCAGGCTGAGGGTGCAAGCTGCCAGTGACTCTACCATTCTTGGGCCTGGAGGGTGGTAGTTCCATTCCCACAGCTCTACTATGCAGTGCCTCACTGGGGACTCTACACAGGGGCTCCAACCCCACATTTTCCCTCAGCACTGCCCTAGTTGTGGCTCTCTGTGGGGGCTCTGCCCCTGTGGCAGGCTTCCGCACCCAGGCTTTCCTATATATCTTCTGAAATCTAGGTGGAAGCTGCCAAGCCTACTTCACTCTTGCATTCTGTGTGCCTGCAGACTTAACACCATGTGGAAGTTGCCAAGGCTTACAGCTTGTGCCCTCTGGAGCTGCAGCCCAGGCTGTACCTGAACCCCTTTGAGCCAATGCTGGAGCTGGAGTGGCCAGCGTTGGGAGAGTAGCGTCCTGAAGAAGTACAGGGCAGCAGTGACCCAGCCTGATCTCTAAAACAAGTCTGTCTGTCTAGGCCTCCAGGGCTGTGATGGGAGGAGTGTCCTGGAAGATTTCTGAAATGCCTTCTGAGCCTTTTCCCCATTGTCTTGAATATTAGCACCTGGCTCCCTTTTAGACGTGCTAATTGCTCTAGCAAGGTTTGCTCCCAACCGCAGCCTGCTTGGATTCCCCTCCTGGAAACTCCCTTTCCTTCTCTACCACATGGCCAGGCTGTGGATTATCCAAACTTTTATGCTGTGCTTCCCTTTTAATGATAAGTTCCAACCTTAGGTCATTCCTCTGCTCCCATATCTGATCATAGGCTGTTAAAAGCAGCCATGGCACTTCTTGAATGCTTTGCTGCTTAGAAATTTCTTCTGCCAGTTACCCTAAGTCATCACTCTCAAGTTCAGCCTTCCACAAAGCTCTAGGACATGGACACAATGCAGCCAAGTTCTTTGCTAAGGTGTAACAAGGGTGACTTTTACTCCAGTTCTCACTAAATTCTTCATTTCTTTCTTCTTTTTTTTTTTTTTTTTTGAGACAGAGTCTCACCCTGTCACCCAGGCTGGAGTGCAGTGGTGCGATCTCAGCTCACTGCAACCTCTGCCTCCCAGGTTCAAGCAATTCTCCTGCCTCAGCCTCCCAAGTAGCTGGGATTACAGGCACCCATCACCATGCCTGGCTAATTTTTGTATTTTTAGTAGAGACGGGGTTTCACCATGTTGGCCAGGCTGGTCTTGAACTCCTGACCTCAGGTGATCTGCCCACCTTGGCCTCCCAAAGTGCTGGGATTATAGGCGTAAGCCACTGCTCCCAGCCAAGTTCTTCATTTCTATCTGATACCTCCTCAGCCTGGCCTTCACAGTCCACATTTCTATCAGCATTTTGGACACAATCATTTAACCAATCTCTGATAAGTTCCAAACTTCCCCTTGTCTTCCTGTCTTCTTCTGAGCCCTCCAAACTCTTCCAACCTCTGCTCATTACACAGTTCCAAAGCCACTTCCACATCCTCAGGTATCTTTATAGCAACATCACACTCCTGGTATCAATGTTCTGTGTTAGTCTGTTTTGCATTGCTAGGGAAGAAATGCCTTCTGGGTCTTTTCCCTATTGTCTTGAATATTAGCACCTAATAATATTTATAATATTTATTATTTATAAATAATAAATATTTATATTTATAATAAAATTATAATAAAGGGAGCCTTGAATAAAGGCCTTTATTATAAATTTATAAAGACTGGGTAATTTGGCCAGGTGCGGTGGCTCATGCCTGTAATCCCAGCACTCTGGGAGGCTGAGGTGGGTGGATCACTTGAGGTCAGGAGTTTGAGGCCACCCTGGCCAATATGGCGAAACTCTGTCTCTACTAAAAATACAAAAATTAGGTAGGTGTGGTGGCTCACGCCTGTAGTCCCAACTACTCGAGAGGCTGAGAGGCAGGAGAATTGCTTGAACCTGCTGAGTGCAGTGGTGCGGAGATCGTGCCACTGCACTCCAGCCTGAGCGACAGAGTGAGACTCCATCTCAAAAAAAAAAAAAAAAGACTGGGTAATTTATAATTATCAAAGACTGGGTAACTTATAAAGAAAAGAAGTTTATTTGGCTCACGGTTCTGTAGGCTGTACAAACATGGCACCGTCATCTGCTCAGCTTATGGTGAAGCCTCTGGAAAGTTTTTTTTTTTTTTTTTTTTTTGAAACAGAGTCTCGCTCTGTCACCCAGGCTGGAGTGCAGTGGCACAATCTTGGCTCACTGCAACCTCTGCCTCCTGGGTTCAAGAGATTCTCCTGCCTTAGCCACTCAAGTAGCTGAGACTACCCATGCATGCCACAATGCCTAGCTAATTTTCGTATTTTTAGTAGAGACAGGGTTTCACCATGTTGGCCAGGCTGGTGTCGAACTCCTGACCTCAAGTGATCTGCCCACTGTGGCCTCCCAAAGTGCTGGGATTAAAGGTGTGAGCCACCATGCCTGGCCAGCCTCAGAAAGATTTTACTCATGGCAGGAAGAAAAGAAAAGAGGGAGTAGGTGTGTCACATAGTGACAGAGAGAGCAAGAGAGAGATGCCAAGCTCTTTTAAACAATCAGCTCTTGTGTGACCTAATACAGCAAAAACTCACTCATTACCGCAGAAGGGCACCAAGCCACTCAGGAGGGATCCACCCCTGTGACCCAAACACCTTTCACTAGGCCCCACCTCCAACACTGGAGATCACATTTCAACATGAGATTCAGAGGGAATAAATATCCAAACCACATCAGCATCTATAGATCAATTTGGGGACAATTGATATCTTAACATTGTTGAGTCTTCTGACCCATGAACAAGGCATATCTAGTTTTTTTTTTATACAGGGTTTCACTCTGTCACCCAAGCTGGAGTGCAGTGGCTTGATCATGGCTCACTGCAGTCTCGACCTCCCACATGCCTGTAGTCCCAGCTACTTGGGAGGCTAAGATGGGCTCAGGTGATCCTCCCATCTCAGCCTCCCAAGTAGCTGGGGCTACAGGCGTGTGTCACCATACCTGGCTAAATATATATATATATATATATATATATTTTTTTTTTTTTTTGTAGAGACGGGGTTTGCCATGTTGCCCAGGCTGGTCTTGAACTCCTGGGCTCAAGAGATCTGCCCACCTCAGCCTCCTAAGGTGTTGGGATTACAGGCGTGAGCCACTGTGCCCAGACTATTTATTTATTTAGATATTATTTAATTTCTTTCAGCAATATTTTATGGTTTCCAGTTAGAGGACTTCTACGTATTTTGTATTTTGTATTTTACGTATTTTATATTTTTGATGCTATTACAAATGGCATTTTACTAATTTGATAAATTAATAAATGTATGAATTTTCACTGTTAGCATATAGAAATATAATTAATTTTTGTGTATTATCTTGTATCCTTCAACCTTGCTAAACTTGCCTATTAGTTCTAGTTGCTTTTTTCTGGGTTCCTTTAGATTTCTACATAGACAGTCACGTTGTGTGAAAATTGAGACAATTTTACTTCTTCAATTTAGCTGGTTTTTTTTCTTTTTTTTTCTGCCTGATGGAATGGCCAGGACTTCCAGCACAACGTTGAATAGAAAAGGGGAGAGAAGGTGTCTTGTTCCTAGTCTTAGGGAAAACTATTCAGTCTTTCACCACTAAGTGTGATAGTAGCTGTGGGGTTTTTGTAGATGTCCATAATTATGTTGAGGATATCCCTTTCTATTCCAGATTTATTTAGTTTTTATTAGGAATGAATATTGGATTTTGTCAAACGCTTTTCTGTGTCTATCAAGATAATCATATGGTTTTCTTTTTTACTTTGTTAATATGGTGAATTATAATGAATGATTTTTCTTTTAGAGATGGTATCTTTTGTTGTTGTTGCCCAGGCTGGCCTTGAACTCCTGGGCTCAAATGATCCTCCCACCTTAGCCTCCTGAGTAGCTTGGACTACAGGCATAAACGACTGCAACTTGCTCAATTATTGATTTTGAATATTTTATTTACTTAGAAATGGAGTCTTGCTACATTGCTCAGACTGGTCTTAAACTCTCAGCCTCAAGATATGCTCCCAGCGTTGGGATTACAAGTGAGAGCTGCCACATCTGGCCCGATTTTGAAGATTAAACTAGCCCTGTATTCCTGGGATAAACTCCACTTGATCATGATATGTTAACTTTTTTTTTTTTTTTTTTTTTTTTTTTTGAGACAGGGATTCCAGAGTATTTTCTTCTAATGTGTTAATCTGGTTTTGGTTCTAGCCTCAAATAATGAGTTGGAAAGAATTATGTTTTCTTTAATTTATTTTGGAAGAGTATACGTAGAATTGGATTCTTTCTTCCTTAAATGTTTGGTAGACTTCATGAGTAAAGCCATATGGGCCTGAAGGTATTTTTGTAGGAATGCTTTCAACTTTACAAATTCAATTTCTTTAAGATATACAGAGCAACTCCTGCCATCTTTTTGTTTGTTTCTAAGTAATTGTTATTGAGATATAATTAATATACCATAAAACTCAACTTTTAAAGTGTACAATTTAGTTATTTTTAATATATTCAGGTTGTAAAACCACCACCACTAATTCCAGAATATTTCACTACCATCAACCCACCAAGAAGAAACTCCATAACCATTAATAGTCACTCCTCATTTCTCCCATTCTCCCAGTTCCTGGTAATCACTCATCTGCTTTTTCTCTGTGATTCAGATTAATACCAACTTAGTTCCAATAGTATATAAAATATTTGCTCCTATATTGCTTCACCTCCCTCTTTATGCTTTTATTGTCACAAATTATATCTTTATAGGTTATATGCAAATATTTATAATTATTGCTTTATGCAGTTGCCTTTTAAACCAGATAAGAAAGAAGAATTACAATAATAATATGTAAACATTGTCTTCTATATTTACTTATGTGGTTACCCTGACTAGTGTTCTTTTCTTTTCTATTCTTTTTTTGAGACAGAGTTTTGCTCTTTCGCCCAGGCTGGAGTGCAGTGGCGTGATCTCAGCTCGCTGCAACCTCTGTTCCCCGGATTCAAGCAATTCTCCTGCCTCAGCCTCCTGAGTAGCTGGGATTACAGGCATGCACCACCACGCCCGGCTGATTTTTGTATTTTTAGTAGAGATGGGGTTTCACCACATTGGCCAGGCTCATCTCAAACTTGTGGCCTCAGGTGATCAGGCCGCCTCGGCCTCCCAAAGTGCTAGGATTACAGGCATGAGCCATCGCGCCCCGCCTGACGAGTGTTCTTTATTTCTCTGTGTGGATTTGAATTATTGTCTAGTGTCCCTTCATTTCAGCCCAGAGGATGCCACTTAGCATATCTTTTAGAGAAGTTTCTTCAATAAACTCCCTCAGCTTTTGTTTATCTAGGAATATCTCAATTTCTTCATTTTTGAAGGATATTTTTGTTGGATTCTTGGTTAATTTTTTTCTGTCAGAGATTTAAATATGACACCCCACAGCCTTCTTTTAAAATAGACTTGATTTTTTAGAGCAGTTTTACAATTTTCACAGCAAAATTGAGCAGAAAATTTCAGGAGTTCCCATATACCTCTGGACTCCCAACGGGCACAGCCTCCTCTACTACGTCTCCTCTACTACCAACGTCCTGCACAAAAGTGGTATATTTGTTACAGTCAGTGAACCTACAATGACACATCATTATCCCTCCAAATCTATGGTTTACATTAGGGTCCACTCTTGGTATTGTGTATTCTCTAGGTTTTGACTAATGTATAATGACATGTATCTACAACTATAACATCAACAGGGAAGTATCATTGCCCCAAGTATCCTCTGTGCTCTACCTCATCATCCCTCCCTCTCCCCAGTCCCTGGCAACCACTGATATTTTTACTGTCTCTATAGTTTTGCATTTTCCAGAATGTCAAATAGTTGAAATCGTATAGTATGTAGCCTTTTCAGATTGGGTCCTTTTGCTTCATAATATGCATTTAAGATCCCTGCGTGTCTTTTCATAGCTTGATAGCTTGTTTCTTTCTTTTTTTTTTTTATCTTAAAAAATAAGGATGGGGTTTCACCATGTTGCCCAGGCTATCTCAAACTTCTGGCCTCAAGCAATCTTCCTGCCTCAGCCTCCCAAAGTGCTGGGATTACAGGTGTGAGTCACCATGCCTCGCCAGTAGTGTGTTTCTTTTTAGTGTTTAATAATATTCCATTAACTGATGTACCACAGTTTACTTATCCATTAACCTACTGAAGGACAAGTTTTGGCAATTATGAATAAAGTGGCTAAGCTGCAGTAAACCTCCATGTGCAGGTTTTTGTGTGAATGTAAGTTTCAACTCCTTTGGATAAATACCAAAGAATATAAATATGGTAGGAGTATGTTTAGTTTTGTAAGAAACCACCAAACTGTCTTTCAGAGTGGCTGTACCATTTTGGATTCCCACCAGCAATGAATGAGGGTTCCTGTTGTTCTGGTATTTGATGTTTGTTAGTATTCTAAATTATGGCCATTCTAATAAGTGTGTAATGGTATCTCATTGTTTTTTAATTTTTTATCTCATTGTTTTAATTTGCAGTTCCCTAATGACATATGAGGTTGAGCATCTTTCCATATGCCTTTTTTTTTTTGAGACAGAGTCTCGCTCTGTTGTCCAGGCTGGAGTGCAGTGGTGCAATCTTGGCTCATTGCAACCTCCATGTCCCGGGTTCAAATGATTCTTATGCCTCAGTCTCTAAAGTATCTGGGACTACAGGTGCACACTGCCACACCTGGCTAATTTTTGTATTTTTAGTAGAGATGGAGTTTCACCATATTGACCAGGCTGGTCTTGAACTCCTGGCCTCATGTGATTCACCTGCCTCGGCCTCCCAGAGTGCTGGGATTACAGGCGTGAGCCACTGTGGCTGGCCTCATATGCTTGTCATTGGTATAATTTCTTTGGTGATGTGTCTGTTCAACTCTTTGGCCCATTTTTAAGTCAGGTTGTTCCTTTTCTTATTGTTGAGTTTTACGAATTCTTTGTGTATTAAGGATAACAGTCCTTTGTCAAATACATCTTTCGCAGATATTTTCTCCCAGTCTGTGGCTTGTTTTCTCATTCTCTTGATCCACACTGCCTGTTGGCTTCCATGATTTCTAATCAGAAGTCAATTGTTAATCTTATTGTGGGTCTCTTGTTTATGATGAGTTGCTTCTCTTTTGCTACTTTCGGGATTCTTTGTTTTTGGCAGTTTGATTTAATGTGCTTCAATGTAGATCTCTTTAAGTTTATCCTAGTTGGAATTTGTTGATCTTATGTGATGTGTCAATTAATATTTGCCATCAAGTTTAGGAGTTCTCAGCCATTATTTATTCAAATATTCTTTTTGCCCCTTTCTCTCTTTTCTCTCCTTCTGGGATTTTCATTGTGTGTGATAAGTGTTATGTTGCTTATATGTTAGTCTGCCCATTTGTCTCCATTCATATTTTTTCTCTTCCTCAGATTGGATAATCTCAATCTTCAAGGCCACCGATTCTTTCGCTTGTTCAAATCTGCTGTTAAGCCCCTCTTGTGAAATTTTCATTTGAGCTATTATAATTATATATTTTTTGAGTCAGAGTCTCACTCTGTGCCCAGGCTGGAGTGCAGTGGTGTGATCTCAGCTTCCTGGGTTCAAGAGATTCTCGAGCCTCAGCCTCCCAAGTAGCTGGGATTACAGGTGCTGGCCACTAAGCCCTGCTAATTTTTATATTTTTAGTAGAGATGAGGTTTCACCTCCCCAGGCTGGTCTTGAACTTCTGACCTCAAGTGATCCGCCCACCTCGGCCTCCCAAAGTGCCAGGATTATAGTCATGAGCCACTGTACCTGGCCTGAGTATAATTTTAAATTCCAGAATTTCCATTTGGTTCCTTTTTAATATTTTCTATCTCCTCATTAATATTCTCTATTTGGTGAGACATCAAGCTTTTTTGGTTGTTGTTGTTCTTTATTTTATTTTATTTTATTTATTTATTTTGAGATGGAATCTCGCTCTGTTGCCCAGGCTGGAGTGCAATGGCACCATCTTTGCTCACTGCAACCTCTGCCTCCCAGGTTCAAGAAATTCTCCTGCTTCAGCCTCCCGAGCAGCTGGTACTACAGGTGCGCACCACCATGCATGGCTAATTTTTGTATATTTAGTAGATACAGAGTTTCACCATGTTGGCCAGGCTGGTCTCGAACTCCTGACCTCAGGTGATCTGCCCACCTCAGCCTCCCAAACTGCTGGGATTACAGGCATGAGCCACCATGCCCGGCCCTTTAGTTGTTGTTCTTTAGACATGTTTTATTTAGCTGTTTGAACATACTTAAAATAGCTGATTTAACGTCTTTGT
Organism: Homo sapiens; assembly: GCF_000001405.40. NCBI lineage: Eukaryota > Metazoa > Chordata > Mammalia > Primates > Hominidae > Homo > Homo sapiens. The sequence continues at coordinate 74,722,695 of NC_000010.11, read as the reverse complement.
CTAGTAAGTCTAATGTCTGAGCTACCCCAGGGACGATTTTTTGTTGATATTTTCCCCCCACATATAGGCTATACTTTCTTGTTTCTTGCATTTCTTGGAATGTGGGGCATGGAACTAGGGCAGGTTAAATGCCACAATGCCACTGCACCTGGCCAAGGGACAGACTTCTAAGAATGAAGCTACATCGAGAAGAAGGAAGAGTTTTAGTACAGAGGATGGGAGCAGAAGTAAAGCCAGATAATATGAAGAGCTAGTTTTTCTGGCAGCCAAAATCCCTGGTGACTCTGCCTTTCCTAAGTCTCTAACTCACTACAGAAATCTGGAGAAGTGAGAAAGGTCTTCATTGAGCAAACATTTATTTAGCATCTACTATGTGGCAGTAGATAATTCTGCCTTAGAAGAAGACATATACATTAATAAACAGTTATATGATACAATACAATTGCATAAACTATGATAAGGAAATATGCAATGTACTATGAGAGAAAAACGGATGAAGCAGCAACTAATTGCCTGGGTATTACAGAATAAAACATTACAGATGACCTGACTTTTGAACAGCATCTTTAAATATGAGTAGTTGTAGAGGGAAAGTGGTAATCCAGTTAGAAGCATGAGTGTAGTTATAAGGTATGTTTAGGCTGAAGTGGGGGTTATAAGGAGGGATGGCAGTAGGAAAGCTGTTGAAGTGGCTAAGGGGTGGATGCTCAAGGGATTTAAACAGACCAGGGAATGTGACTGAGTTTCCTCTTTAACAAGGTGTCCCCATGGTGAGGGAGGACTTACTGGTGATGGGGAAGAACCAGAGTTGGGGAAATATATATGATAATGCTCCAAATTACACCAAAGGAGATGGAGACATGAGGAAGAGATTTAAGAGGGGTACTGCTGACCGAACTTGGTGATCAATTAGATATACAGGAAGGAATGATGTCAGCAACAGGGTGGAATAGGAATTTCCAGACTCTCCTCCACTCACAGATACATGAAATCAACATCTATTTACAGATCAATTCCCTTTGAGAGAAAATCAGGGACCAGTCGAGAGACACCCACTGGGCAACTGAGAAAACATCCACATTGAGTGGGTAGGAGAAGCCAAGCCACACTCAGGCATGGATAGCATTCTGGGCACTGTGCTATAAAACTGGGAAAGGAATCTCCAACATGTAACTTCTCTACGGTTGGTTTCTTAATCCACCAAATCTGAGAGTAGAGGGAATCAGGCATACACAAGTCTCTCTAGACCACAGGAGAAAACTGGCAGTTTTATAGATGCACAAGCACTGCTAGAGGCTGCATCTCCCGGGAAGAACGCAGAGAAGGGGCTTAAAAAATGCATCCCTCTTTCTCCCCAGAAGGGGTTTATGACACGCTCTTTCAGTGGCTACTTGACAGCCTTGCTTTTAACTAACTTGCATCAGGGAGTTAAAGAGGCAGACAAAATAGAAGCCTGCCGGCAGCCTGATAAGCAGATTGGCACTTCCCAAGCCTTCTTTCCTGGTTCACTCCAGCAATAACTCCAGGTCTATTAATCCCTTCTGGAAGGAGACTGTCCACACAAGCACCCCAATGTTTACAGTTTCCATCTGAGGAACTGCATCCTAAATCTTCTAGCTCTAGTAACAGAGGGGATCTAAGCATATTTGAGTCTCTCTAGTCCACAGAAAAAAGTAGTGGTTTCATATGCAAGCATTACCAGGGGCTTTATCCCCTGGAAGCAGTGCAGAGAAGGGGCTATAGAAATGCAGCTCCTTGTTTCTCCCCAGAAGAGGCTTATGCCAAGCATCAAGTGCTTCAGTTTTTTACAGTTATCTCCCAAAGGATTCCATCCTAAACCTCTTAGACCTGGGAGCAGAAGGGACTAGTCATATGTGAGTCTCCGTAGATCACAGAACAAAGAGATGGTTTTAAACAAGTGCACAAACACTTCCAGGGGTTAGACCCCCTTGCAGTAGTGCACAAAATGGGTTGGAATGTACAGCTTCCATTTTCTTTCCAGATGAGGTTTATGGCACACAATTCCAGTGGCTACTTGATGGCCTGGCTTCTAATGAACTTGCATGGGGAGTTAATGGGGCAGACAAACAGTAGCTCTACAGCAACCTGAGCCAGGGCTTGGCACTTCCTGAGCCATTCCTTTGGCTCACCCCAATGATAAATCCAGGCCTATCCATTCTTCTTGGGAAGGAGTTTTTACATGCACTGAGTGCCACAAATTCTACATCTCCTACCAAAGGAACTGTCTCCTTAAGAACCTCACTCTAGGCCGGGTGCAGTGGCTCACGGCTGTAATCCCAGCACTTTGGGAGGCTGAGGCGGGTGGATCACCTGAGGTCAGGAGTTCGAGACCGGTCTGGCCAACATGGTGAAAACCTGTCTCTACTAAAAATCCAAAAATTAGCCGGGCATGGTGGTGGGTGCGTGTAATCCCAGCTACTTGGGAGACTGAGGCAGGAGAATCACTTGAACCTGGGAGGTGGAGGTTGCAGTGAGCTGAGATGGCACCATTGCACTCCAGCCTGGGCAGCAAGAGTGAAACTCTGTCTCCAAAAAAACAAAACAACAACAACAAAAAATCCCCTTACTCTAGGAATTGATGGGACTTTGCATTCCTGAGTGGCCTAGACCACAAAAAACAAAGAGGCAGATATACAATGGGTCCACTTCCAGCAGCTATTTCCCCAGGAACAGAGGGGTGCTGCCTGAATGTGAAGACAGACATTTGCCACAGATTCTCTCCCCAGCTTTGTGCAGAGAGGGTGGGAGAAAATGCTTGTGCTCAGCTTCACTGTGAAGATAGAAGGAACTGGAATACATATGCAACACCTCAACCTTTCCAACTGTATCAAAAGAGTCTGCTTCTACCTTACCAATCTTGGGGTATGGAGAGGACATAGCATATTCTTTTTTTCTCTCTTTATTTTTATTTAATATATTAATATAGAGATAGGGCCTTATTATGTTGTCCAGGCTGGTCTCAAACTCTTGGGCCCGAGTGATCCTCCTGTCTTGGCCTCCCAAAGCACTGGGATTACAGGCATAAGCTACTGTGCCTGGCCAGGACATGGCACATTCTAATCTCCAAGGGCCACCAAAACCAGAAACAGCAGTTTGGATGAACATAAAGGTTTGAGAGAAAATTTAAAGTCTCTGGCCAGATGGATTGGTGAGATTCCCTATATGAGGCCAGTCTGACAAGACTAGGAGAGGCAGTTCCTATCTAATGTATAGAAACCAACAAAAAGGAAAGGTAACTGAAAAAATAGGAGAGTATATTTCCAAAACAAAGAACAAGATAAATCTCTAGAACTGATGTGAAGTGGAGATGCAATTTACCCAACAGGGAATAGAAAATAGTGGTCATAAAGATGCTCACTGAGGTCAGGAGAGCAATGTAAGAACAAACTGAGAATTTCAACAAAGAGAGAGTATTAAAAAGTACCAATCAGGGTGTGGGAGCAGTGGCTCATGCCTATAATCCCAGCACTTTTGGAGGCTAAGGTGGGAGGATTGCTTGAGCCCAGGAGTTTGAGACCAGCCTGGGCAACACAGGGAGATGTATCTCCACAAAAATTTTTATTAAAAAATTAGCTAGGTGTGGTGGTGCATGCCTGTGTTTCCAGCTACTCAGGTGGCTGAGGTGGGAAGATTGCTTGAACCTAAGAGGTCAAGGCTCCAGTGAGCCATGATTGTGCCACTGCACTTCAGCCTGGGCAACAGAGCAAGACCCTGTCTCCAAAACAAAACAAAACAAAACAAAAACCAAAAGAAAACAAAGTACCAAACAGAAATCATAGCGCTGAATAATACTATGACTGAACTGAAAAATTAAATAGAGGGATTCAACAGCTGACTAGATCAAGCAGAAGAAACGATCATTTAACTTAAAGACGGATCATTAGAAAGCATCCAATCTGAGGAACAAAAACAAAAAAGAACTTAAAAGAGTAATGATAGCTTAAAAGACTTATGGGACACCATCAAATGTAACAGCATAAGCATTACTGGTATACCTGAAGGAGAGGGGAGAGATAAAAGGACAGAAAACATTTTCAAAGTAATAATGGCAGAAAACTTCCTAAGCCTGGGTGAAGAAAATAGAAATCCTGATTCAGGAAGCCCAAAAGAAACCAAATAGGATGAATCAAAAGAGACTCATGCTGAGACACATCATAATCAAATTGGTAAAAGTTAAAACAAAGAGAGAGTTTGGGAAGCAGCAAAGGCAGGCTAGAAGGAAGCGGTATGACATATTCAAAAACCTCAAAGAAAAAAAATTGTCAACCCATGATACTATACCCAGCAATCTTATCTTTCAAAAATGAAGGAGTGATAAAGATGTTCTCAGACAAATAAAAGCTGAGAGAGTTTATCACCACTAGACCTGGCTTACAAGAAATGCTAAAGGAACTTCTTCATGCTGAAGGAAGAGGATGCTATTTAGTAACATTAAAACATATAAAAGCATAAAAGTCATTGGTAAAAATAAGTATGTTGTGAAATCCAAAACACTCTAATATGGTAAGGGCAGTGGGTAAATCAATTATATCTGTAGTATAAAAGTTAAGAAGCAAAAGTATGAACAACTAGAGCTACAATAATTTGTTAAGATGCAAATAATAAAAGATGTAAATTTTGACAAAAATATAAAATATAGGAGGAGGGGGAGTACAAGTGTAGAGTTTGTATAAATAATCAAAGTTAAATTGTCAGTAGCTTAAAGTAGCCATTTATATGATGTTTTATATAAGTTTCAGGGTAACTACAAAGCAAAAACTTACAATAGATACAAAAGAGATAAAAAGAAAAGACCCAAAGCATACCACTACAGAAAACCATCAAACCACAAAGGAAGAAAGCAATAGAGGAAGAAAGGAACAAAGCATCTACAAAACAATAAGAAAGCAATGATCAAGATGGTGCTGGTAAATTCCTACCTAGTAAAGTTATGTTGAATATAAATGGATTAAATTATCCAATCAAAAGGCATAGAGTGTCTGAATGGATTTTAAAAAACAAAAAACCAAGACCCAACTATATGCAGCCTATGAGAGATTCATATCACCTTAAAGGACATTCATAGATGGAAAGTGAAGACATGGGAAAAATATTCTATGCAAATGGAAACCAAAAGAAAGCAGGGGTAGCTACACTTATTTCAGATAAAATATACCTTTTTTTTGTTTTGTTTTTTTGAGATGGAGTCTCGCTCTGTCATCCAGGCTGGAGTGTACTGGCATGATCTTGGCTCACTACAACCTCCATCTCCCAGGTTCAGGCAATTCTCCTGCCTCAGCCTCCCGAGTAGCTGGGACTACAGGCATGCACCACCATGCCTGGCTAATTTTTGTATTTTAGTAGAGATGGGGTTTTACTATGTTGGCTAGGTTGGTCTCGAATTCCTGACTCAGATGATTGGCCTGCCTTGGCCTCCCAAAGTGCTGGGATTATAGACGTGAGCCACCGTGCCCAGCCCTGATAAAATAGACTTTAGAAAAAAACTGTAAATAGAGACAAAGAGGGTCATATATGGTGATAAAGGGGTCTGTTAATCAAGAGAATATTATAATTGTAAATACATATACACCCAACATCATAGCGCCTAAATATATAAAGCAAACATTAAGAGATCTGAAGGAACACATAGACTGGAGGAACGCTATAATAGTAGGGGATTTTAATATCTCAATTCCAACAACAGACAGATCATTCAGACAGATAATCAATAAGGAAGCATTGTACTTGAACTCTACTTCAGACCAAATAAACCTAACTGACATATAAAGAACATTCTACCTATTCTTTAAGTCAAATAATAAATTAAAGGGGAAATTTTAAAAAGTCTTGAGACAAAAATGAAAACAAAACATACCAAAACTTATGCAATACAGTGAAAGTAGTTCTAAGAGTAAAGTTTATAGCAAAAAATGTCTACCTTCAAAATGAAAAAAGTTATCAAAAAAACAAATGTAACACCTCAAAGAACTAGAAGAAGAACAAACTAAGCCCAAAGCTAGCAGAAGGAAGGAAATAACAAAGATCAGAGCAGAAATAAATGATTAGAGACTAGACAATAAATAGAAAAGACCAACAAAATTGGTTTTTGAAAAGCTAAATGAAATGGACTCTTTTTTTTTCTTTTGAGATGGATTCTCACGCTGTCACCCAGGCTGGAGTGCAATGGCACGATCTCAGCTCACTGCAACCTCTGCCTCCCAGGCTTAAGCCATTCTCCTGCCTCAGCCTCCCAAGTGGCTGGGATTACAGTGCCCGCCACTATGCCTGGCTAATTTTTGTATTTTTAGTAGAGATGGGGTTTCACCATGTTGGCCAGGCTGGTCTCAAACTCCTGACCTCAGGTGATCCACACATCTTGGCCTCCCAAAGTGCTGGGATTACAGGTGTGAGCCACCACACCCAGCCATGAAATGGACTCTTGGCTAGAATAAGAAATAAAAGAGGGCTGGGCACGGTGGCTCATGTCTGTAATCCCAGCACTTTGGGAGGCCGAGGCGGGCAGATCACCTGAGGTCAGGAATTTGAGACCAGCCTGACCAACGTGGATAAACCTCGTCTCTACTAAAAATACAAAATTAGCCGGGCGTGGTGGCACATGCCTGTAATCCCAGCTACTAGGGAGGCTGAGGCAGGAGAATCGCTTGAACCTGGGAGGCGGAGGTTGCGGTGAGCCGAGATCGCGCCATTGTACTCCAGCCTGGGCAACAAGAGTGAAACTCTGTCTCAAAAACAAAAACAAAAACAAAAAAAGAAAAGAGAGAAGACTCAAATAAACAAAATGGGGCCAGGCACGGTGGCTCATACCTGTTATTACAGCAGTTTGGGAGGTCAAGGTGGGAAGATGAGTTTGAGCCCAGCCTGGAAAACATAGCAGGACCCTGTCTCTACAAAAAATAAAAAAGTGAGCTGGGTGTGGTAGTGAGCACCTGTAGTCCTAGCCAACTGGGAGGCTAATGCAGGCAGAGGATCACTTGAGCCTAGGAGTCTGAGGTTACAGTGCGTTGTGTCACATCACTCCACTCCAGCCTGGGTGACAAAAAAGAAAATAAAAGTGGAAGAGGAGACATTACAATTGATAACACACACAGAAATACAAAAGATCATAAAAAAGTACTATGAACACCAAAAAAATTGAACAATCTGGAAGAAATGGTACATTCCTGGAAACATATAACCTACCAAGACTGAATCATGAAGAAATTGGAAGTCTGAACAGACCAATAATGAGTAAGTAGATTCAGTCTGTAATTAAGTCTCCCATAAAAAAAAAAAAAAAAAAAAAGCCCAGGATCAGATGACTTCATGGCTGAATTTTACCATTTACAGAAGAACTAATACCAATCCTTCTCAAATTTTTCCACCAAATTGAAGAGGAGGGAATACTTCTAAACAAGTTCATCATTAACCTAATACCAATGCCAGACAAAGACACTACAAGTAAATAAAACTACCAGCCAATATCAATGATGAACATAAATGTAAAAAATCCTCAACAAAATACTAGCAAAGCATATTCAATAGTATATTCAAGGATCATTTACCATGATCAAATGGGATTTATCCCTGGGATGTAAGGCTGATTAAACATATTCAAATCAATAAATGTGATTCATCATATTAACAGAATGAAAGACAAAAACCATGTGATCATCTCAATAGATGCAGAAAAAACATTTGACAAAATTCAAGATCTATTTATGATAAAAACTCTCAGCAAGTTAGGTATAGAAAGAATGTTCCTCAATACAGTTAAGGCCATATATGACCGGGCCACAGCTAATATTATACTCAGTGATAAAAAGTTGAAGGATTTTCCTCTAAGATCAAGAACAAGACAAAGATGCCCATTCCCACCACTTTGGCTCAAAATGGTACTACAAGTGCTAGCCAGAGTAATTAGGCAAGAAAAGAAAAGAAAAGAAAAGGCATCCAAATAGGAAAGGAAAAAGTGAAATTGTCTGTGTAGATGATAGAATTTTATATATACCAAATCCAAAAGATTCCACCCAAAAAATATTAGAACTGATAAATGAATGAAGTAAAGTTGCAGGATACAAAATCAACATACAAAAGAGTAGCACTTTCATATACTAACAATGATCTATCTGAAAAAAAATAAGAAAACAATCCCATTTACAATAGCAACAAAAGAATAAATTACTTTGGAGTAAATTTAACCAAGGAAGTGAAAGATCTATATACTAAAAACTATAAACATTGATGAAAGAAATTTAAGAATCAGTTGGAAACATTAAATATGTTAAAAGAGAAACTAAAGACATAAATAAGTGGAAAGATATCCTTTGTTCATGCATCGGAATAATTAATATTTAAAAAATGTCCATACTACCCAAAGTGATGCAATCCCTATCAAAATTCCAGTGTCATTCTTTTTATTTTATTTATTTTTTTTTTTTGAGACAGGGTGTTGCTCTATTGCCCAGGCAGGAGTGCTCACTGCAACTTCTGCCTCCCAAGCTCAAGCCATCCTCCCACCTCTGCCTCCTGAGTAGCTGGGACTATAGGTGCATGCCACTACATCTGGCTAATTTTTGTATGTTTTGTAGACATGGGGTCTTACTTTGTTGCCCAGGCTGGTCTCAAACTCCTGAGCTCAAGCAATCTGCCTGCCCCAGCTTCCCAAAGTGCTGAGATTACAGGCATGAATCACTACACCTGGCCTCCAATACTATTCTTCACAGAAAGAGGAAAAAAAATCCTAAAATTTATATAGAAGCACCTAAGACCTGAATAACCACAGCAATCTTGACTAAAAAGAACAAAGGAGGAGGCATCACACTACTGGATTTCAAAATCTATTAGAAAGCTATAGTAACCAAACTGTATGGTACTAGCATTAAAAACAGACATATTGACCAACAGAATAGGACAGAGATTCCAGAAATAAATCCATACATCTATGGTCAATTGATTTATGACAAGGTGCCAAGAACACACAATGGGGAAAGGACAGTCTTTTCAATAAATGGTGCTGAGAAAACTTCCATTCTTCCATATGTGGATATCCATAAATGGAAGAATGAAAATAGCTCCTTATCTCACCTCATACAATGAACAACTTTGCCAGGTGCTGTGTAATGCCAGCACTTTGGGGAGCTGAGGTGGGAGGATCACTTGAGCCCAGGAGTTTGGGACCAGCCTGGGAAACATAGGGAGACCCCATCTATACAACAAATAAAAGTAAATTAGCTGGGTGTGGCAGTGCATGCTTGTGGTCTCAGCTACTTGGGAGGCTGAGGTGGGAGGATTGTTTGAGCTTGGGAGGTTGGGGCTGCAGTGAGCCGTGATTGCACTATTGCACTTCAACCTGGGCAACAGAGTGTAAAGAGTTAAATGTAACATCTGAAACTATAAAACTACTAGAAGAAAAGAGGAGAAAAACTTAATGACATTGATCTGGAGAGCAGTTTTCTGAATATGACTCCACAAGCACAGGCAATGAAAACAAAAGTAGAAAAATAGGATTACATCAAACTAAAAAGCTTCAGCATAGTAAAGAATTAATAAAGTGAAAATACACCCCTCGGATTGGAAGAAAATATTTGTAAATGATACATCACGTAAGGGGCTAATATTCAAAATATATAAGGAACTCAAAACTACTCAGTAATAAGAAAACAAATAACCCTATTTAAAATGTGAAAAAGACACGAATAGACATTTTGCAAAAGAAAACATATGAATGGCCAACAAATACGTGAAAAAATGCTCAAGATCTCTAGTCATCAGAGAAATGCAAATTAAAACCACAATGAGGTATCACCTCTCACCTGTTAGACTGGCTATTATCAAAAACACAAAAGATAAGAAATGCTGGTGATGTGGAGAAAAGGGAAGACTTGCATACTGTTGGTGATATTGTAAATTAGTACAGTCATTTTGGAAAACAGCATGGAGGTTCCTAAAAAACTAAAAATATAATTACCACATGATCCAACGATCCCACTTCTTGGGCATATACCCAAAGGAACTGGAATCAGTATGTCACAGATATGTCTGTTCTTTCATGCTCCCAGCAGCATTATTCACAATAGCCAAGACATGGAAACAACCAAAGTGCCCATCAATGGATAAATTAATTTTTAGAATGTAATCTATATACACAATTGAATACTATTCAGCCTTTTAAAAAATAGGAAATTGGCTGAGTGCAGTGGCTCTCACCTTTAATCCCAGCACTTTGGGAGGCTGAGGTGGGAGGATCGCTTGAGGCCAGGAGTGAGACCAGCCTGGCCAGCATGGCAAAACCCCATCTCTACTAAAAATACAAAAATTAGACAGGTGTGGTGACACATGCCTATAATTCCAGCTACTAGGGTGGCTGAGGCATGAGAATTGCTTGAGCCCAGGAGGCGGAGGTTGTGTAGTGAGCCGAGACGGTGCCACGGCACTCCAGCCTGGGCAACAGATTAAGTCCCTGTCTCAAAAAATTTTGTTATATTTACCTTAGCTTTCATCTACTCATCTCCCTCTTTGTGTTTATTTCTTGATGCACTTTACCATAGGTTGAAAACCTCAGTACACTTTATCTCTATCAGTATGTATTTTATTTAACTAGAATTCATTATTTGCGTATAATTCTTTTTTTTTTTTTTTTTGAGGCAGGCTTTCCCTCAGGTTGGAATACAATTGTGCAATCAAGGCTCACTGCACCCTCAACCTCCGGGGATCAAGTGATCCTCCCATCTCAGCCTCCTGAGTATCTGGGATCACAGGCATGCACAACCATGCCCAGCTAATTTTTGTATTTTTTTTTTTTTGTAGAGATGGCGTTTCATCATGTTGCCCAGCTGGTCTCGAACTCCTGGGCTAAAGTGATCCACCCACCTTGGCCTCCCAAAGTTCTGGGGTTACAGGTGTGAGCCACCATGGCCAGCCTATAATTCTTTTTGTGTGTGTGACGTAAAACCTAAATATAATGAAATCACAACTTAAGTGGGCTATTTCCTGAGCATTGACAAATGCATGTAACTGTGTAATCCTATTACGATGCGGCATATCATCATCAGTTCAGAAAGTCCCCTCACGACCCTTTCTAGTCAGTTTCCACTTTCCTCCTCCCCTACAAAGGCAACCACTGCTCTTTTTCACTATAGGTTGGTTTTGCTTGTTCTAGACTTTCAAATACATAGAATCTCGCAGTTTGTATGCTTTTGTATCTGGTTTAACTCAGTAAGGTTTTTTTTATTGTTGAACTGATTCATGTTGTTTTATCAGCAGTTAATTTCTTCCTTTTGCTATTTTTTCTTTTTGGGACAGGGTCTCCGTCTGTCACCCAGGTTAGAGTGCAGTGACCCAGTCATGGCTCACTGCAGTCTTGACCTTCTGGGCTCAAGCAATTCTCCTACCTCAGCCTCCTGGGTAGCTAATACAGGTGTGCATCACCATGCCCAGATAATTTTGCTTTTTCTCTGTAGAGATGGGGTCCTCACTATATTGTCCAGGCTGGTCTTAACTCCTGGGCTCAAGTGATCCTCCCACATCAGGCTCCCAAATTGCTGGGATTACAGGCATGGGCCATCACACTCGGTCATCTTTTGCTAAGTATTATTCCACTGTTTGAATATATCAGTTTATCTGCTCTCCTGTTGATGGACAACTATCCCTTTCCAGTTTTTGGCAATGATGAATAAAACTGCTGCAAGTCCTTTGGCGGACATATACTTTCACTTCCGTTGGGTAAATACACAGAAGTGAAACAACTGGATGAACGAATAGGTGTATGTTTACTTTTTTATGAAAAACTTGAGGGCCTTTTCCCAAAGTGGTTGTTCAGTTTACATCAGCAATGTTCAGTGGTTGTTCAGTCCATCGGCAATGTTGCTCCATGTCCTCTCCAACATTTGGTGTTGTCATTTTAATTTTAGTCATTCTAGTGTAGTAGTATTCTCAATGAGGTCTTAACATTCATTTCTCCCATGATAACAATGTTGAATACTTTATCATGTACTTCTTAGTGATTCATATATCTTCTTTTGTAAAGTATCTGTATTTTTGAGTTGTAAGAGTATTAAGATACATTCTGAATATAAGTTCAGATATATGTGTTGTGATTATTGTATCCTGGCCTATGGGGTATCTTAATGGTATCTTTTGATGAACATAAAGTTCTAATTTTTTGAAATCTAATTTATCAATATTTTTGTTATATGGTTAGTGCTCTCATGCTCTCATGGTTCTTTCCAAGGACTTTTGCTTACCCCAACTTGTGAAAATATTCCCCTGTTTTCTTCTTTAAGTCTAATAGTTTTAGCTGTTATGTTGTGACCATGTTTTATCTCTAATTTTTTGTATGGTATGAGATCAGGGTCAAAGATTCATTTTTTTCCTTATGAATATCAAGTTTTTATAGCATCATCTGTTGAAAAGATTTTCCTTTCCCCATTGGATCACTTTGGCACCACTGTAAAATATCAAATTACTTTATATTTAAATTAATTGCACTACAGATAGTACTCAACTTTCTATAGTTCAACATACAAGTTTTTGACTTTATATATTTATTTATTTGAGACAAGGTCTTGCTCTGTTGCCCAGGCTGGAGTACATGGGTGTGATCATGGCTCACTGTAGCCTCAGACTCCTGGGCTCAAGTGATCCTCCCAACTCAGCCTCCCGAGTAGCTATAAGTGCAAACCACCACAGGTAATTTTTTTTTTTTTTTGAGATGGAGTCTCACTCTATTGCTCAGGGTGGAGTGCAGTGGTGTGATCTTGCCTCACTGCAACCTCCGCCTCCTGGGTTCAAGCAATTCTCCTGTGTCAGCCTCCCAAGTAGCTGGAATTACAGGTATCCACCACCATGCCTGGCTAATTTTTGTATTTTTAATAGAGATGGAGTTTCACCAACATGGCGGCCAGGCTGGTCTTGAACTCTTGACCTCTAGTGATACCTGCCTCATCCCAAAGTGGTGGAATTACAGGTGTAAGCCACTGTGCCCAGCCTGTGGCTGGATAATTTAAAAATTTTTTTGTAGAGGTGGGGCCTCACTTTGTTACCCAGGCTGGTCTTGAACTCCTGGGCTCAAGTGATCCTCCCACCTTGGCCTCCCAAAGTGTTGGGATTACAAGCATGAGCTGCAGCGCCTGGCCAAATCCTTTCCTATGATTTGAATTCAGTTTTACAAACATTATCTTTTTTTCTTCAAAAAGAAAATAATCATAATGATAATAACAGCAGCTACTTATAAAGCATTTACAAGGCATTATAACAAATATCTTATACTTGGTAATCTCGCTCAAATCATCTCAATGACCTTCTATGTAAGGGTTATTATCTCATTTTACAAAAAGGAAACTGAGGTTCGAAGATTTACCTAAGGTCATATAAAGTCTGACTCCAGAAGTCCAATTATACCATTTTGTCATCCTTAAAAAAGTGATTTATTGGTCTCTGATACTAAGTTATTCTTCAGTGTATTATATTGCTGTTCTTCATAATTCCATTAACAAATTGGGTGTCATTTCAGGGCCCAGTATTAAATAATGATCTTTCTTCCTCAGTTTGCTGTACACAGGGAAAAGACAGAAAAAAATTCCTATATGACAAGTTTTTGTTTGTGTCCAATTACAGAGTTCCATAAGACTATGATTTGAATATTGTGGTACAACTTAAATTTGGCACATTATTTAATTATCCAAAGTTTATTACATGTTTGAGTGCACATTAAAGAGATTATTTGGCATAATTGACAAGATAAAATTTCTGTACCTTATTTGACTATCAGGTGTATATGTGGTATATTTATGTATGTGTGTGTATAGACACACATATACTCCTAAATTAAATATATTTGTATAAAAAGCTAAAGATTACTATGTTAAGATTAATTCATTAAAAAATCTATTATATTAAATTGCATCTGCATTCAAAGCAGAAATGTAAAAAAACAAATCAGTGTACTAAATACACACGAATTTACAAAGTAATTGAAAATGAAATAAAAATTTCTATTGAAATGTTATATTCTTGTTTAATTGGCATTTAAGTGGCACTATCAAACTATGGAAATAAACATCATTTTTTAGATTGTTGAGATAATAAAGATTCTACAAGCATTACCATACCCTTGTACCCTCTAAATTAAGATTCAGCATTATTATAGTAGGAAAAAATGGCAGATAATTTTCTTCTTTATTAATATGGGAATTCTCAGGAAGCAATTAGGGCAGTGTCTGCACTCCTGGGCTTGTGTTTTCAGCTCTTCCATCAGTGGAAGTCTGGCTTCTCAGGAAAGGTGCAGCCAGTCCGTCTAATTATGATGCTTGCTGCATAGTGGCCAGCACGGATACATTCAGTCAGAGGCTTGTCAGAGACCAGTTGAGACAGAAAACCTAGAACACAGGCAAAAAAAAACACATGAGTATTGTATAACAGCAGCAGAAATGTCATATTGGGTCAGACCAATATATGATCTAAGCACCTGTCTCATTCTTCAGCCTTGACAGTAAGAGAAAGTCTTGTGCGTTACCGTTAGGGAGGTCTTTTTTTTTTTTTTTTTCCCCGAGATGGAGTCTTGCCCTGTCACGCAGGCTGGAGTACAGTGGCATCATCTTGGCCACTGCAACCTCCGCCTCCCAGGTTCAAGCAATTCTCCTGCCTCAGCCTCCTGAATAGCTGGGACTACAGGCATGCACCACCATGCCTAGCTAATTCTTGTAGTTTCAGTAGAGATGGGGTTTCACCATGCTGGCCAGGCTGGTCTTAAACTCCTGACCTCGTGATCTGCCTGCCTTGGCCTGGGATTACAGGTGTTGAGCCACTGTGCCCGGTCGGGAGATCTTTTCCCAAACATCATGAGCTTCCCCTAATATTTATTCTAAAGAGCTCAAGTTGAGACACAACAACTTGCCATCAAGTCAATCTGGTCTTCCTTTTTTTTTTTTTTTTTGAGGTGGAGTTCCACTCTTGTTGCCCAGGCTGGAGTGCAATGGCATGATCCTGGCCCACTGCAATCTCTGCCTCCCAGGTTCAAGCCATTCTTCTGCCTCAGGCTCCCGAGTAGCTGGGATTACAGGTGCCTTCCATCACGCCCAGCTAATTTTTGTATTTTTAGTAGAGATGGGGTTTCACCATGTTGGCCAGGCTGTTCTCAAACTCCTGACCTCAGGTGATCCGCCTGCCTTGGCCTCCCAAAGTGCTGGGATTACAGGCGTGAGCCACCACACCCAGCCAGGGAAGCATATGTTGATAGGGTCTCAAAATCAACATGGTGAAACACCGTCTCTACTAAAAATACAAAAGTAAATTATCTATACTGGTAATGTGTATATATAATTATACATACGAGCAATGAACAATTAGAAGTTACTAAGAATAAGCCAGGCATCGTGGCTCATGCCTATAATCCCAGCACTCTGAGAGGCCAAGATGGGTGAATTGCTTGAGCTCAGGAGTTTGAGACCAGCATGAGCAACATGGCGAAATCCTGTCTCTACAAAAAATACAAAAATTAGCCATGCATGTTGGTGCATGCCTGTAGACCTAGCTACTCAGGAGGCTGAGGTGAGAGGATTGCTTAAGCCTGGAAGGTTGCGGCTGTGGTTAGCTATGATCATATCACTGCACCCCAACCTGGGTAACAGAGTAGGACCCTGTCTCAAAAACAAAAATTGATTAAAAAGTTAAGAATATTTATCCATATTTATTCTAAGGTACTTCACATACTTCAAATATTTGAAGTACCTTAGAATAAATCTGACAGAAGTTGTGTAGGGCCTGCACATTGAAAATGACAAAACAATGCTGAGAAATATAAAAGAAGCCTAAATAAATAGACATAAAGTGTTCAAAGGTCAGAAGATTCAATATTATCAGTTCTGCAGGAATTTTTCTATTAATTCATTGGAATACTAATAAAAATTCTAGCAGATTTTTCTTATAGAAACTGACAAGCTGCTTCTAAAATTTATATGGAAATTCAAAGGACCTAGGTTAGCAAAAACTCAACTTTGAAAAAGAAGAACAAAGCCAGAGGATTTATACTACCTGATTTCAAAATTTATTATAGAATGATAATAACCAAGACACTATGGTATTAGCATATAGACAAATAGATCAATGGAACTGAACAGAGTCCAGAAATAAACCTACTTCTGTATAGCCAACTGATTTTTGACACAGGTGCCCAAACAATCCCATCAAGAAAGGACACTTTAACAAATTGTGTGAAAAAAAAGCATTTCAACCTTTACCTTACACTATCTACAAAAATTCACTTGAAATGAATCACAGACATAAATGTAAGGAATAAAATCCTAAAACTCTTGAGGAGAAAACATAGAAGAAAATCTTAGTGATCTTGGGTTTGCTAAAGATCACTTAGTAAGAGGTAAAAAGTATGAACTTTTCTTTTTTAAAAATTTATTTATTTTTGAGACAGTGTCTCACTATCACCCAGGCTGGAGTGCAGTGGCACACTCATGGCTCACTGCAGCCTCGACCTTCTGGGCTGAAGCTCTTCTCCCACCTCAGCTTTCCTCTAATTCTTGCATTTTTTTGTAGAGATGCTCAGGTTGGTCTTGAACTCTTGGGCTCAAGTAATCTGCCCGCCTTGGCCTCCCAAAGCACTGGGATTACATGTATAAGTTACCACACTTGGCTAAGAATGCAACTTTTATAGAAGAAAAAATAATCTGAACTTTGTCACAATTAAATACTTGGTACCTCAATAACAAGAAACAACTCAACACAAAGTAGGCAAAAGTATTTAACATTTTAGCAAAGAAGATAGATGCCAAATAAGCAAATGAAAAAATGTTCAATATCATTATTCATTAAAGAAATGCAAATTAAAATCACAATTAGATACCACTGCACACTCGCAGAATGGCTAAAACTGAAAAGACTGACTATAACAAGTGTTGGCAAGGGTGTGATCAACTGGAACTCTCACACACTAATTGTGGGAATGTAAAATGCTAAGACCACTTTCCCAAACCATCTGTCAGTCTTAAAAAGCTAAACATGTGCATATCATATGATCCGTTCTATTTCTAGGTATTTACCCAAGGTAGGTGAAAGCACATATCCACACAAAGACTTGTAAATGAATGTTCACAGCAGCTTTATTTGTAATAGCCCCAAACTGGAAACAATCCAAAAGGGGATGAGAAGGAGCAGGAAGGCATGATTAGAAAAGGCCATGGGAGCAGTGGATATGTCCATAGTGATGGTTTCATGGGTGTACACATATGTCCAAAGTTATACAATTGTAAACTTTAGATTCATACCGTTTATTGTATGTCTATTATGCCACAATAAAACTGTGAAAAAAGAAAAAAAGGATAATTGCAAATAAGACAGGTCAAGAGCAGAAGAATCTGGGCTACCTTCCCCTTAGGGGAAACCTGAGCTGCTGAGCTGCTGCAGTTAACACTCAAATACTCAGAAGAGCAGATAATAATGAGAAACTGTGCTGCAGCTAGGCTTCTGGGCCTTCCCTGAGGCCCTGGGCAGCCTGAGGGGGATGAAGGTTAATTGAGAAGCTGTGGTATAATGACCTGTAGAGAACATTATAAGTGATTTATGTCCTCCTTCTTCTACCATTCTGACCACACAGACTTTTCCCAGTCAGATTTGGGGAATGCTCTGTATTAGATGAAACAAATAAGTATTCCCAACCAAAGAATAAAATTAAAATGGTTAATAGAATGATGTATTTTAAAGACATTTGCTGAGACTGTAAAATCACTCTCTCAAGAGGTTTAGTAAGAGTATTTTATCACCAAGTTTTCAGGTAACAGTCAAAAGTCAATATTAACTTTTCTGCCAAACTGTGAGGCGAAAATGCTCAGTCCACACAGTGAATGGAGCAGATGCCAAATTCAGAGTCAGATCAGCTTACAATGCAAACATGTCTATTAGACGCCTTATAAGCAACATCTGTTTTCTTCATTCCGCCTGGTATGATCATTGTGAGAAAAAGAAAAAGCTCATGTTTATGAAATATTTTTGTGAAGCAAAACCACCAGCATCCTTTTTCTAAGAGAACTAGATGATGAATGAAGTATTCTGAAGAATCTTTTGCTTTGACAAGTGGAGAACCTGGATGCTGAAAAAAGCTAAGACCTTTGCCCAAGGTGAATGTCAGTTTTTCAATAATCTATTTTTAAAAACCAACTAAAATGAAATACAGATACTACATAATCAGTTATAAGTGGAATCTTCAAAAAGTATCTGATGTGAATCTTGAAAGCTGTATAAAATTGTTTAAATAAACAAAGGGAGCTTATATTTAAATAATTGTAGGGAATCCTTTTATAATGGAAGTAAACATCCCCAAGATACTTTTTTATTTTGAAAAATATACGTAACATAAAATTTACTATTTTAACAAATTTTAAATGCACAATTCAGTGACATTAAGTACATTCACAATGTGCAACTACTACCTCTATGCATTTTTAGAAGTTTTTCATCACCCCAAAAGAAACTCTGTACCCATTAAACAATAACTCCCCACTCCTCTTTACTTCTAGCCCCTGGTAACTGCTACTCTACTTTTGTCTCTATAAATTTGCCTATTCTAGGTACCTCATATAAGTGAGATCATACAATATTTGTCTTTTTGTGTCTAGCTTATTTCACTTAGCATAATGTTTCCCAATATAATCTTAGTTTAGATTTTTAATTATTAGCCTGCTTAAAATGTATTTTATTTGAAAAGGATTCCAAATTCAGAAAAAAGTTGCAGGAATAAAAATAGTACAAAAAGCATCTGCATATCATCTACCCAGGTGCACAATATTGTTAACATTTTGCACCATTTGCATGTACTCTTTCTCTGCATACAATTTTATTTCCCTGAACTATTTGAGAGGAAGTTACATTTACAATGTCTTTTTACTTCTGAAAACTTCAGTGTATCTTTTCTGAGAATAAGGATATTCTCTTACATAGCTACAGTGTGGACATCAACATCAACTTCAGTAACACTGTTATCTAATCTACTGTCCATATTTCAATTTAGTCAATTACCCAATAATATCCTTTATGGAAATTTTCTCCTCTGGAACAGAGTCTAGTTCAGGATTTAACTGTGGTATCTTTATAGTTTTTAAAAATCTGGAACATTTCCTCAGATTTTGACTTTTGAGATACGGACATTTTTGAAGAATATAGTCATAACTTACCTCACCTCATTTTTAATTTATTTGTTATTTATTTGAGACAGGGTCTTACTCTGATTGCCCAGGCTGGAGTGCAGTGGCATAATTTTTTTTGGCTCACTGCAGCCTCAACTCCCTAGGCTCAGGTGATTCTCCTACCTCTGCCTCCCGGGTAGCTGGGACCACAGGTGCACACCACAACGCCTGGCTAATTTTTTTGTACTTTTAGTAGATGGGGTTTTGTCATGTTGCCCAGGCTGGTCTCGAACTCCTGGACTCAAGCAATCCACCCGCCTCAGCCTCCTAAAGTGCTGGGATTACAGGTGTGAGCCACTGTGTCTGACGCGCTTATCCCATTACTTATTTATTTTCCCATTTTTAATAGACTGATTCTAATTTTGGATTTGTCTAATATTTTCTCATGATTAAGTTCAGACTATGCACACCCAGGCAGACTACTACACACATTATGATGGATCCTTCTCAAAGTGTCACATTTAGAGGCACATCATGTCCATCTGCTGTGCACTGGTGATAGGAATTCTGACCACCTGATCAAGGTGTTGTCCTACTTCTCCATTGTATAGTACCTATTTTTTCCCTTGCATCTAACAAGCAGTTTGTGAATAGACAATTTAAGATCACATAGGCCAGGCACGGTGGCTCACACGTGTAATCCCAACACTTTGGGAGTCCGAGGCAGGCAGATCATGAGGTCAGGAGTTTGAGACCAGCCTGGCCAACATGGTGAAACCTCGTCTCTACTAAAAATACAAAAATTTGCCAGGTGTTATGGCACTTGCTTGTAATCCCAGCTACTTGGGAGGCTGAGGCAGGAGAACTGCTTGAACTCAGGAGGCAGAGGTCACAGTGAGCCGAGATCATGTCACTGCACTCCAGCCTGGGCAACAAGAGTAAAACTCCATCTCAAAAAAAAAGAAAAAAGAAAGAAAGAGACCAGAGAGAGAGAGAGGAAGGAAGGAAGGAAGGAAGGAAGGAAGGAAGGAAGGAAGGAAGGAAAGAAGGAAGGAAGACAGACTGAGCAAATCCTCAAATCAAATTAGGCTGGCCATGGTGGCTCCTGCCTGTAATCTCAGCACTTTGGGAGGCCGAGGGGGGCGGATCACAAGGTCAGGAGTTCAAGACCAGCCTGGTCAATATGATGAAACCCTGTCTCTACTAAAAATACAAAAATTAGCTGGGCATGGTGGCGGGTGCCTGTAGTCCCAGCTACTTGGGAAACTGAGGCAGGAGAATCGCTTGAATCCGGGATGCAGAGGTTGCAGTGAGCTGAGATCACGCCACTGCACTCCAGCCGAGGCGACAGAGACTCCATCTCAAAAAAAAAAAAAAATCACATAAATATTCTGTTCTTTATCAAAAGTCCCAACCCCCTCCCAGATTGAGTATCCACTCATAATTTTTAACTGAAGCAACTCATACTGTGATGATTTTCCAACTGCAGCTGTGAAATGATTTTCACATTTACCAGTCAGCCCTCACCATTCTACCATAAACAAGAGCCTACCTCTTCTCCCATTTATTATTTTAAAATCTATTTATTATCAATAAGAATGCACAATTATTTTTATTTTATTTGTGTGGTGGAGTCTTGCTCTGTCACCGAGGCTGGAGTGCAGTGGTACGATCTCAGCTCACTGCAACCTCCACCTCCCCAGTTCAAGTGACTCTCCTGCCTCAGTCTCCCAAGTAGCAGCTGGGACTACATGAGCCACCATGCCTGGCTAATTTTTGTATTTTGAGTAGAGATAGGGTTTCACCATGTTGGACGGGCTGGTCTCAGACTCCCAACCTAAGGTGATCCGCCCACCTCAGCCTCCCAAAGTGCTGGGATTACAGGTGTGAGACACCATGCTTGGCCCACAATTCTTTTTAAATCAATGGTTTATAATCCCTTACAGCCCTTAATTAATTTGGTCCTTAAAATATTCCAGTTTTTGCCAGTGGGAGCCGTTCAGGCTGGTGGCTCCCGTGTCATTGGATATGCCATCACATTATTTTTGATCCCTTCTTTATGTTCTGGCATAATGTTCTGGGCTCTACTATGCCCTGGAATCAGCCATTTATCTGAGGATAACTGGTTCTTTTTAGCACAGAATGGTATTAGAGACCAAGATCTGGGTGGCAGCTGTGCTCTTTGCTTCTAGACCATGTTAATGAACAGAGCTGGGAAGTATGCATGTATACATAGTCATGCACACACACACACTTACATCCATAACTGTATACGTATACATGTGTACAGAGACCTATTTTAGAAATTGAGCTGACACCAGTACTTCCAATTCTAGTCCATCTCCACAGGGTTCTTTCTTGCCTTTCCTCATCCCATTATTTGTATGTTCCTTCTTTTATAGTGAGAACCTAGCTCCCAAAAATATCAACAAATTTATTTGTTTACTCACTTTTGTAATACATCTAAAATAGTTTCCAAGTCACTTCATCCCTAACTTTAAAAGAAAAAAATCCAAATCTACTAAAAAGAGTTTAGGGTTAATTTTCTGTTCTCTGGTGTAGTCAAATACTGTGTTCAGCATGTAACTTAGATTGGTTCTCTTTTTTACCCCCTTTGGGGAGCTCATTTTACTTAAGAAAAGATTGGAAATAGTTGGGTTCATGTTTTTCAGTTTGCTTTCAGTTTTAGTCCCATTTCTTACATTCTATCCTTATTGATTTAATATTTAAAAAATATGTAGAACATTAACATGTTTCTAAAAGTAAAAATTCTATAAAAGATATGCTCAAAGAAGAGTGACTCTCTTTACCATGTCCTCCTCACCATCCCTTTAAGCAACCACTTTCACTGTTTTCTGGTTTATCTTCCTGTATTCTTTTAGTAAAGGTAAGCAGATGTATGTACATTTTCTTCCTTTTCTTTCTTTTTCTTTTCTTTTTTTTTTTGTTTTAACACAAAAGGAGGTAATACACTATATATGCTCTCTTACACTTTGCTTTTTTTCCACTTAAAAGTATCTCTTGGAGGCTGGGTGCCATGGCTCACGCCTGTAATCCCAGCACTTTGGGAGGCTGAGGCGGGTGGATCACCTGAGGTCGGGAGTTTGAGACCTGCCTGGCCAACGTGGTGAAATCCTGTCTCTACTAAAAATACAAAAATTAGCCGGGTGTGGTGGCGGGTGCCTGTAATCCCAGCCACTTGGGAGGCTGAGGCAGAAGAATCGCTTGAACCCAGGAGGCAGAGGTTGCAGTGAGCCGAGATCACGCCACTGCACTCCAACCTGGGTGACAGAGCGAGACTCCTGTAGTCAGAGACCAAAATCTCCTGGTAATCATTATACATCAATTGGTAGAGATTTTCTTCATTCTTTTTTACAGCTACATAGTATCTCCATGTATAAATACACTGTAGTTTAATCTATCTCCTATGTGTGGGCATTTACATAGTTTCCAATGTTTTGGAAATATAAACAATGCTACAATGAATAAAATTTTACATATGTATTTTTGTGTTATTAGGGGCGTATCTTCAGGATAAATTCTAGAAGTAGAACTGCTAGGTTAATGAGTAACTATATGCATACATAGTTTTATTAGTGATTCTCCTTCATAGAGGTTTAAGGATTTTCTATTTCTACTAGTAATGTAAGAGTGCCCATTTCCCCACAACTTCACCAATATAGTACACTGTCCAGCTTTTGAATTTTTGCCAGTCCGATGGGTTAGAAATATTTCAGTATAATTTTAATCTGGATTTCTCTTATTAAGTGAAGCTGAACATCTTTTTATATATCTTTAAAGAACAAATCTCTCTGTGAATTAATTTTTATCTTTTGCTTATTTTTCTATAGGATGTTTGGTCTTTCACCCTCTATTTTATAATTATTATTATCGTTTTTGAGAGTCTCCTCTGTCATCCAGGCTGGAGTACTGGTGTGATCTTGGCTCACTGCAACCTCCGCCTCCAGCGTTCAAGTGATTCTCCTGCTTCAGCCTCCTGAGTAGCTGAGATTACAGGTATGCACCACTATACCCAGCTAGTTTTTGTATTTTCAGTAGAGACGGGTTTCACCATGTTGGCCAGGCTGGTCTTGAACTCCTGACTGCAGGTGATCCGCCTGCCTCGGCCTCCCAAAGTGCTGGGATTATAGGTGTGAGCCACCATGCCTGGCCTCACTCTATTTTTAAAAGTTCCCTGCATTTTAAGTATATTATTCCAATAAAGTGTTTTTCGAAAAAAAAAACCAACAATAACAATATGCTATTAATAGATACAAATACTGTACTGTGTCAGCAAGTAAACAAAGTACTTTTTAATATTTCATTCACTGAAACACAGCCTCAGGCCCCAGAGTGTGGTTGGTAAACACTATAGCAGATAAATGTGGCTTGCAGGTATTAAAAAAAAAAAAAAAAAAAAGGCTAGGTTGGGTGGCTCATGCCTCACCTCTAATCTGAGCACTTTGGGAGGCTGAGATGGGAGAATCATTTGAGCCCAGGAAACCAGCCTGGGCAACACAGGGAGACTCGTCTCTACATAAAAAAAAAAAAAAAATTAGCTGGGCGTGGTGGCATGCACCTGCAATCCCAGCTACTTGGGAGGCTGAGGTGGAAGGACTGCTTGAGGTGGGAGGTTGAGGCTGCAGTGAGCTGTGATTGAGCCTACTGTACTCTAGTTTGGGCAACAACAACAACAAAAAAACAAAAACAAGTCAGGCCTGGTGGCTCATGCCTGTAATCCCAGTACTTAGGGAGGCTGAGGCACCCAGATCATTTGAGCCCAGAAGTTTGAGACCAGCCTGGGCAACATGGCAAAATTCCGTCCCTACAAAAAAATTCAAAAATTTAGCCAGGCGTGGTGGTACATACATGTAGTCTCAGCTACTTACTCAGGAGGCTGAGGTGGGAGGATCACCCAAGCCTGGGAGGTTGTGGCTGCAGTGAGCCATATCGCTCCACTGCACTCCAGAATGGGAGAGAGAGTGAGACACTATCTCAAACAAAACAAAACAAAACAAAAAAGTCTGCTCTTTTTAGAACAAGATTTGGGCTTACCAAGAGTCCAAAAAGCAAAATATTAAATAACTGACTTTGAATGTATGTTTAATAAGAAAAAGTCTCTTAGGATCCCTTTTTCCCAGTGCCACTGGCTTGTGGTCCTTATCAGTACATCATCTTGAAAATGAAGAGCACAGCTCTGTATGTATGCTTTTCAACACAGCCAAGAGAGCAGGCATAGGAGGCATTACACCAGAGAACAAGAACCATCAGTGCAGGTTTTTCCAAATCAAGAACTCATATGCTGAGGCAGTTGTTGTTGCCTTTTTACTTTGGTTCCTTCTCTCTATCCTGTTACACATAGGCGTATCAACCTGGGCCTCTCAGGCTTTTCCCAGCTTTAGGAGACGTTATAGACTTTAGGTCCTCTAGCTGACGAGGCATAAGGTGAGAATCTCTCATCGACAATAAATTGGGTTCCTAGAGCTATTGTTAGCTGGCTCTGAATCCTGGAACAATCTTTCCAAATAAACCTCTGTTCATTAACAATTGGTGTAGCCTATTATCTTCTGGTTGATTTTATTTAGACTTTTACTGATGTTACAAAATGTGATCAATAAATTGACAAATTGTATCTGGTATTTGACATGAGACCTGAAACATATGTTAAAGTTGTACAAAAAGAGGAGGTGCTACACTAGTTTCCTCAAAGCACACAGAGGTAGGATTGCTGGTGTGCTCAAAAGGCAATGTAATTTCCTAACTTAAGCTGTCTATTCCATGTAGTTACTATAGAAGAGCTATAGCATCTAGAATTTTCTTAGTGTCATTTACAGAGAATCAAGAAATATTGTCAGTGGGTACGGAAGCCTTAATGGAGACACTTAATAAGCTAGGGATATTTTAGAAGGAAATGAACAAAGTCTTTATGAGTCCATTTTTTCTTTTCTATTTATAGTTCCTTAATAGTTTTTCATGGTAGCTGGAACCTAAAACCCAGTAGACTCTATTACTGTTCATTCTATATTCAGCAGCTTGTCAACAAGTAAGCAAGCTGCACTTTTTAAACTTGGAGGAATAAAGTTTTTTTTGTTTTTGTTTGTACTCCTGGGCTCAAGCAATCCTCCCACTTCAGCCTCCTGAGTAGCTAGAACTACAGGTGTGTGCCACTATGCCTGACTAACTTTTCTATTTTTTGTAGAAATGGAGTCTCACCATGTGGCCCAGCTGGTCTGAACCCCTGGGCTCAAGCAATCCTTCTACTTCAGCCTCCCAAAGTGCTGGGATTACAGGTGTGAGCCACTGTGCCCGGCCAGAATAGTTTTACTAATTCACTTTTTACAAGTATATATTACGCTGAAATTGTTTTCCCAAAGATACAGTACAAATACATGTCAGTGGCTCTATTTTTATCTTCTTAAATAGTTCCCAGAAACCTTTTATATATAGTAGACCACCATATGCCTATGTAGAGTTTAAACATTTTAAAGTTTTTGGAAATATATAATTTGTTGTAAAAAATCTCATTTTACACTAAATTTAAATTATTATACATCTAGGTAGTACATTGTTCACCTGGAAAAATATACAAATGTTTATGCATTGAAAATAGATTTTAAGCCACATAAATTTAAAGGTCAGAGAATACTGTGAATAGACAGCAATACCTCATATATATAAAGCCTGAAGCCATAGCAGCTCCATGGCCATCCATATTACACCTATAAGGACCCCTCAGGCCTTCACTAAGAGATTATTTATTTTTAAGAAAGCAAGTGAAAATATTGTTTTTCTGATTATAAAAGTCATACCCAATAACTGCAGAAAATGTGGAAAAAGGGAAACAGTAAAATTACAAATAAATAGAAAACATACACAGTCCCATTAAAAATAATAATGAGGGCTGGGCATGGTGACTCATGCCTGTAATCCCAGTGCTTTGGGAGGCCGAGGCGGGCAGATCACAAGGTCAGGAGATCGAGACCATCCTGGCTAACATGGTGAAAACCTGTCTCTACTAAAAATACAAAAAAAAAAATTAGCTGGGGGTGGTGGCGGGTGCCTGTAGTCCCAGCTACTCGGGAGGCTGAGGCAGGAGAATGGCATGAACTCGGGAGGTGGAGCTTGCAGTGAGCCGAGATCGGGCCACTGAACTCCAGCCTGGGTGACAGAACGAGTTCGTTTCAAAAAAAAACAAAAACAAAAACAAAAATAAATAAATAAAAAATAAAAATAAAATAATAATAATCAGGCCAGGCGTAATGGCTTGCACCTGTAATCCCAGCACTTTGGGAGGCCGAGGCTGGTGGATCACTTGAGGTCAGGAGTTCGAGACCAGCCTGGCCAACATGGTGAAACCCCATCTCTACTAAAAATACAAAAATTAGCCAGGTGTGGTGGTGTGTGCCTGCAATCCTAGCTATTCGGTTGGCTAAGGGATGAGAATTGCTTGAATCCGGGAGGTGGAGGTTGTGTTGAGCTGAGATTGTGCCACTGTATTCCAGCCTGGGTAACAGAGTAAGACTCTGTATCAAAAAATAAAATAAAATAAAAAATCAATACTATTTAACATAGTGGGGAAGCCCTAACAAGAGTAACAAGACTAAAAAAAATTTAAGAATTGTAAAGGGAGGCTGGGTGCAGTAGTTTGTGCCTGTAATTCCAGCACTTTGGGAGGCTAAGGTGGGCAGGTCGCTTAAGCCCAAGAGTTCAAGACCAGCCTGGGTAAGAAATTGAAACCTCGGCTCTACAAAAAATACAGAAATTATCTGGGCATGGTGGCACATGACTGTAGTCCCAGCTACTTGGGAGGCTGAGGTGGGAGGATTGCTTGAGCCCAGAAGGATGAGGCTGTAGTGAGCTGTGAACATGCCACTGTACTCATTCTATCCTGGGCAACAGTGCGAGATCTTCACACACACACACACACACACACACACACACACACACACCCCACACATACACAGGAATTGTAAAAGAAGAAATAAATTTGTCAATATTTTCATTGAGAGCAGCTTTGTATATAGAATATACATACATATATACATATACATATATACACACATACACACATACACACACACACACACACACACACATATATATATACAAGAGCAACAGTTTTAAAAATGTAATTTGGTAAAAATACAAAAGCGATGCAAGTTATGCCAGCCTCTAATAAAGAAAACTATAGAACTTTATGGAAAGATATTACAAAGGACCTAAATGGAGAGATATGCTGGGTTATTGGAGAAGAAGATAACATTCAATACAAATTCAATCACAGTCTCAACAATGTTTTTGGGAACCTGATAAGTTGATTCTAAAATTTATATGAAAAAGCAAAGGATCAAGAACAGGCATATACACTTACTGAAGTAAAAATGATAGGAGAGACTAGTCTTACCAGATTAAATACTTCTAAAAATCTATAATAATAAATGCAGTGTTTGTTGGCATAGCTATAAATAAATAGAGAAAAGGTGGAAACTTGAGCTACAACAGAGTTGCCATTGCAAATTCATGGGGAAAAGATGGCTTCTTAGAAAAGTAGTGTTTAGGCAACTAGTTTTCAATTTGGAAAAATAACATTACCTCACTCTATATTAAAAAAAAAAAGAATTCCAGGTCTATCAATGAGTTAAATGTAAATGGAAAAATAGTAAGACTTTTAGAAGAAAATAAAAAATATCTTTATGTCCTAGAGGTAGAAAATATTTCTTAAATAAGACACACAAAAAGCAGAAACCAGAAAGTGAAAGATTAAACTGTGCTAAAATGAAAACTTCTGGCTGGGCACAGCAGCTCATGCCTGTAATCCCAGCACTTTGTGAGGTTGAGGCAGGAGAATTGCTTGAGCCCAGGAGTTTGAGACCAACCCTGGCAACACAGCAAGACCCTGTATCTACAAAAAATAGAAAAATTAGCTGGGCATGGTGGTGTAAACCTTTAGTCCTAGCTACTCGGGAGGCTAAGGTAGTGGGGACTGCTTGAGCCCAGGAGTTTGAGGCTGCAGTGAGCTATGATTGTGCCACTGTACTCTAGCCTGGACTACAGAGGGAGACCCTGTCTCAAAAAACAAACAAACAAAAAACCCCAAAACCCCCAAACCTTCTGTTTTGCATATGATACCTTTAAAGAGAGGAAATTAAATAAATAAGTTTCTTTTTCTTTTTTTTTTGGGGTAGAGATGGGGCCTCACTAGGTTGCCCAGGCTGGTCTCCAACTTCTGGCCTCAAGTGATCCTCCCACCTCAGCCTCCCAAGGTTTTCAGATTACAGGCATGAGCTACCACACTGGCCTGATCCTGACTTTATAATTTCTACTTGTGTTTCCTTCCATTTTTAGTCTTTAGTCAGATCCAAGAAGTACATTTAGAAACATGTTTAGTCAAAATAGTAAAAAAAAAAAAAAAAAAAAAAAATGTGTTTGAAAAAAGTTAAGTTTCTAGAGTTGGGATGACTTTTTTCCTGTTTGTTTTTCTTATGTTTTAAATATTCTATAATAAGCTACATTACACTTTTCAAATCAGATCTAAGTCAATAAACCTTTTTAAAAAACATGGGAACTTTAAATTATTCAGAAAAATGGTTATTAAGAGCAACCATTCAAGAGTTTCAGCTAAGTGATGTGTTATTTTAATAGTTTCCCACTCATGCCTTTGGAGTGAGTTAGTAATTGTAGCCACTGGATGAATTTTCCACAAGGTAAATCAGTACAAGTATCAGTATAAGTAGAATAAAATTGGTCACTCTTCTTAGAAGATTCCTCAAGCACATAAAAATCATCACTATTTCCTGTATTTTACTCTTAGGCTTAGGGAAACACAGGCAATTTTAGAGAAGGCAATTTAGAAAGTTTCTGAGGGAACCTTAGCACAACCTTTCTTTCCCAAATGAAACTTCCTCTTACAGAAGCTATATACCAAGTAAATCAGTACGCATCTTTTGAAACGGAAATTCAAGGACTAATACTTCCCTCACAGGGAATGCCGGGGGGATTCCTAACAGAATTAAGAAGGATAATCATACTTAGAGTAGCTATCACGTGATAGCAATGAAAACAAGTATTTTGGTAAAAACTGTGAGGTCACTGGCCACAGGACACAAGTCTAAGCCATAGCACCTTAAGGCAGTGAAATTGATGACACTGGGAAACACAGACCATCATACACACCCAAGATGTCAGTAGAATAAGATGGATCGAAGAAAGGTTTTCCCACTTGGGTTTAAAAAAATTAGACTTTATATTTTTGGGCAGTTTTAGGTTTACAAAACAATGAAGCAGAAAATACAGAGAGTTCCCAAATCTTCCCTCATCCCCTTACTCCCCAGTTCCACCTATGATTAACCTGTTACATTAGTTAGTGGGTGTATTTGTTACAATCGATGAGCCATTATTGACATATTATCATTAAATAATATCTATAGTTTACATTAGGGCTTACACTTTGTGTTGTATATTCTGTGGGATTTGACAAATATAATAATATACACCATTAAAGTATCACACAAAACAGTTTTGCTGCTCTAAAAATCCTCAGTGCTCTCTACCTATTCATCCCTCTCTCCTTGCGCCACAGCTCCAGCCCATGGTAGCTACTGACTTTTTTACAGTCTCCATAGTTTTGCCTTTTCTAGAATGTGATATACAGTCTTGAGTTGCTTAACAACGGGGATATATTCTGAGAAATGGATCACTAGGTGATTGTGTCATTGTGAAAACATCAGAGTGTACTTACAGAAACCTAGATGGTATAGCCTATTGTTCCCAGGCTACAATCCTGTATAGCCTGTTATTCTATTGAATTTTAGGTAATTGTAACAAAATGTTAAGTACCTATGTATCTATACATATCTAAACATAGAAAAGGTACAGTAAAAATAAGGTTTTATAATCTTATGAGACCACTGCCATATATGTGGTCTGTCAATGACCAAAATGTTATGTGGTGCATGACTGTAGTTAGAATCACACAGTATGTAGCCTTTAAGACTGCCTTCTTTCATTTAGCAACATGCATTTAAGGTTCCCTCATGTCTTTTCTTGGCTTAATAGCTCATTTCTTTCCTTCTTTCTTTTTTTTATTTTTGAGACAGAGTTTTGCTCTTGTTGCCCAGGCTGGAGAGCAATGGCACGATCTCAGCTCACTGCAACCTTCGCCTCCTGGGTTTAAGCAATTCTCCTGCCTCAGTCTCCCAAGTAGCTGGGATTATAGGCGCCTGCCACCATGCCCAGCTAATTTTTGTATTTTTAGTAGAGACAGGGTTTCACCATGTTGGCCAGGCTGGTCTTGAACTCCTGGCCTCAAGTGATCTGCCCGCCTTTGCCTCTCAAAATGCTGGGATTACGGGTGTGAGCCACCATGCCCAGCTGATAGCTCATTACTTTTTGTTGGCTGAATCATATTTTATTGTATCGATAATGTTTATCCATTCACCTAGTGAAAGATATGTAGCTACTTCCAAGTTTTGTCAATTATGAATAAAACTGCTATAAACATATGCATGCAGGTTTTTGTGAAGACGTAAGTTTTTAAATCATTTGGGCAACGAAGGAGCCTGATCGCTAGATCATATGGTAAAAGTATGTTTAGTTTTGTAAGAGATTGCCAAATTGTCTTCCAAAGTGGTTGTTTACCATTTTGCATTTTTTACCAGCAATAAATGAGAGTTCCCAGTGCTACACATCCTCACCCCATAGGCCACACATATAACCTCAGGATGTTGGAAAATGAGATGAGTGAAATATTTTTCAATTAAAAAAAATTCTTAGTATTTACTTAAAAGAAAAACCTCCCCAAATAAAAGGAACTGTTTAAAATTACATGCATTATATCCCAAACTCATTGATCTGTTGCGTGCTTTGTCAACTTACTTTGTTGTATGTTTATGGTCTTCAGAAGACACTGTGACAAGCCATGGAGAATTTACCTCAGACTCGTTTGGTATTCTCCATGGCTCTGGCTCAGATCCTTAAGGACTGGGTGCAATGATCTAATTAACCATTTGCATTCCTGATTGTAATAATTCTATGATTTCCCTGCTGCCTCCATCCCTCACCCCACCCTTGCTCACTCACTTAAGTTACCAATGTTCTTTATCCATGAGTAATATCAAACTTCACACTGTATAGTAGTGACAAGCTAATTACATAGTTATTTAGAGATAATATGGGAGTAGTAACATAAGTTATCATGTAATTACCTTTGTTCTTAGAAGCATTACCATGTAATTAAAGCAAACCTGATATATTTTACAGCAACTAACAGTACTAAACTCAATTCTCCCTGTCTCCCTGCACAAACTTTGTTCTTAGTCATTTCTGGGTCAATCTGGTTTTTCAATTATTTGTTTATTTTCCATCTTTCTTAGCTATCTGTCCTTTAGTGATGATTTATATGCTGTCTTAAACTGGCCTGTTAAACTTACCTCCTATACCAATGATTACCAGATATATGCTGCCACAGTGTACACGAGGCAGTCAACTTAAAGGTGTTACATTCTTTTTAAAGGTTTTATTTTCATTATCTCTAGCTGCTTTAGGAAAGGGAATAAGATAAATTATAACTTTGACTGATCTGAATCCTCAGTTTACTAGACTCATGCCATGACTGCTTCTATACTACATTTTTATTATAAGAAACAAAAGAAAGTGAAAATCTGGAATCTGTCAGAAGTACCTGGATTCATTCCATCAACCAACAGCTATTGAATGTCTAGGTACTGGGCTTTGGGTGCACCAAAGGAGTCAAAGATGGATAAAACACAGTGTTTGTCCTTGAGGGTTTTATAGCTTTAGGAGAGAAAGCCACGTATGCACTTTAAAAATAACATAACACCTCAATTGGGGGACATTTAGAAATGCATCTTGGAGAAGGTGACATGAGCTGGGTGTTGAATGAATAACATTTTGCAGAGATAGACATTATAAGCAGGAAAAAAAGCCATGCTGTTGACAGGACAAAGCTTATTTTGCAATATAGTCAAAGGTCAGCTGAGTTGGGGACACAGCGGGAAAGACAAAATGGGGACATATCGTCAAGGATCTTGTATGATGTGATATGGACTTTTTTTGAGACGGGGTCTCATTCTATCACCCAGGTTGGAGAACAGTGGTGTGATCTCAGCTCACTGCAACCTCTGCCTTCCAGGCTCAAGCAATCCTCCCACCTCAGCCTCCTGAGTAGCTCGGACCACAGGTGTGTGCCACCATGCCTGACTAATTTTTTGTATTCTTGGTAGAGATGGGGTTTCCCCATGTTTCCCAGGCTGGTAACAAACTCCTGAGTTCAAGCGATCCACCCATCTCAGCTTCCCAAATTGCTGGGATTACAGGTGTGAGCCACCACACCCAGCCTGATTTGGATTTTATACTATAATAAATAGAGAGCCAACCAAACTCTGATACAGGGGAGGCATATTACATTGCTTTTGGGCAGCTAACTCTGGCAGAAGTGTGGAATATGAACTTACTAGGAAAGAGACTGCTTGCAGAGAGATCAAATGGGAATCTACTGTAAAATTCTTTCCAGAAATGGTTCACAAAGCGTGTTCCCTGAACCAGCTGCTTCAGTATCACTTAAGCCCCATCACGGACCTACTAAATCAGAAGCCCTGGGAGAGGGTCCAGCAACAGATCTTTTAACAAGTGTTCAGATGATTCTGATGCACGCTCAAGTTTGAGAACCACTATTCTGGGTGATAGATAGTAAGGAAAGAAGAAAAATAAACAAGTTTGTTGATTTGATGTGGGTGCTGACAAAAGTTAAAGAGCTAAGAACAATTCTGTGGCTTGAGGTAAAGAAGCTGTGGAAAATGAAACAGGTTATGTCCCAGGCTCAGTGCTCTTCACTAGAGATTTTCACTGCCTCCTTTATGGATGAGCTACTTTTTACCCCACTCACACCTATAAACGAAGGAATGGCAGCAAAGATCCTAGGTAGGACAGGGCAAGGTTCTATTATCTGCTGAATTAAACCCTTCCCACTGGACATTTTGGCAAACCAAATTTGTAAGTTTGAGAGTGTGATGTGTGTATTAGGGGACTTGAGAGTGATGTCAGGAATCAACTTGGAGATCTACTGGATAACTTTAATATATTTTATGAAATCTTGACTGGAGTCTCTGACCTGTATGTTACTGCCTATTACAGCAGGAACTGATGTTCAGGATTATGATCTTGAGAATAAATTTTTTGTATCTGTACTATAACTACTTAGTACAATTATTATTAAATACTACCTTCTTTCCTAACACATGTATTCTCTCCATAGCATCCTTTATTATTTATTTTATTATTTATTTATTTATTTATTTATTTTGAGATAGAGTCTTGCTCTGCCACCCAGGCTGGAGTGCAGTGGCATGATCTTGGCTCACTGCAAGCTCCACCTCCCAGGTTCATGCCATTCTCCTGCCTCAGCCTCCCGAGTAGCTGGGACTACAGGCGCCCGCCACCACGCCCAGCTAATTTTTTGTATTTTTAGTAGAGATGGGGTTTCACCATGTTAGCCAGGATGGTCTCGATCTCCTGACCTCATGATCCGGTCTCGGCCTCCCAAAGTGCTGGGATTACAGGCGTGAGCCACCATGCCCCCCAGCCCAGCATCCTTTATTTTAAGTGATACTAAAGGTAGTATGATCAGTCTCTCTGTTTCTGGATTAGTCACATACACACTCAGGCTGGAGTGCAGTGGCATGATTATGGCTCATTGTTTCCTTGACCTCCTGGGCTCAACAGATCCTCCTATCTCACCATCCTGAGTAACTGGGACTACAGGTGTTTGCCACCAGGTCTGGCTAATTTTTTAATTTTTGATACCAATGGGGGTCTCACGATATTGCTCTGGTTGGTCTTGAACTCCTGGGCTCAGTTTATTGTCTCACCTCAGCCTCTTAAAGTGCTGGGATTACACGCGTAAGCCACTGCACCTGGCCTAGCGTGGGTTACTCTTAAACCAAGTTGACCTGATCCTAAAGTATGGCCTACTCTGTTTCCTGACTTATTCTAACCCCTTCTTATGATATACCTCAATAACCAAATTCCTAGAAATACCGACTAAATGGTCTTTACTTGATGGTAGGGGCAAATCGGTTTGCAGCTGTGCATATGATTGATATATTCATTTATTTAACTAATATTTACTGAGTCTTCTATGCTAGGCACTGTGCTGGGTCCCGGGGATACGCTGGTAAATAAGACACTTACAGTTCCTGTTCTTCTGAAACTTACATTGTAATGGGGGAAATAGACAAAAACAAGTAAACAAATAAGTAAATAAGACAATTCCAGAGTGTTAAGTGCTACTATGAAAAAGAACTGAGTAACAGGAGAGAATATTAGTCAAGGGACCCATTTTAGATAGGATGATTACAGAAGAGTTGACTTTTAAAGAGTAGGGGAGGAACATTCTAGGCAAAGTAAACTCCACTGTACAAAGTGTCTAAGGCCTGAAAGAAGACTGACAGTATAGCTACATCATGCAGGCAAAGGTGAAAATGGAATGAAATAAAGATACAAACATAGCAGATCATATAGATTTTTTTAAATCACCACAGGAGCTTGGATTTTTAGGCTAAGTGCAGTGAGAAGCAACGGAAAGGTTGTAAGCAGGGGAATGAAATAATTCAACTTCTTCCTAAAGTGATTATTTTGGCTATTATACAGAAAATGGAATAAAGTTCCAGAAAGAGTGAAGGCATAGACATCAGTTAGGAAACTACTACAGTAAGTGGAAAACAGGCCTAAGCTAAAGTCATGACAGAGAAATAGAAGTGGACAAATTTGAGATACATCCTTAAAGCGGAATCAAAAGAACTCACTGACGGTTTGGAGAGAGGGAATGGAAGGACTCAGGAAGGGCGTCTAGGTTTCTAGCTTGAGATACAAGCTGTTTGATGTTCCATGTATTGTATGATAGATGGATCACGTTGTAGGGAACATTTTCAGAACTATAAATATGGGAAGAAGGTAGTGGACAAGGCATGCAAACACAATGTTTATAGAGCCCATCCACGTATTACCCTTTTAAGAAAAATCACTTCCAGCACTGCAGAATGTTTTGTGCACGTAAATTCAACCTTTACTATTAAATGGAACAAAGGGTAGGCATCTCGTTCAAGGGCAAACAACTTATGGTTCTCCTAGTGTCCTACTGATGACATTGTATAAAAAGTGAATTGAGCTAATAACCCAGTGTTCTCTTTTAGGAGCCAGAATGGAAAACAAAGACAGGCTGGGAAGCTGACTGTGAGACAGTAAGACGCAGACACGTAATGCAGCTGAGTAGGATTAATTAGTGAAGAACTGGAGTGAAGATCCAGTATCTGCTGCTGAGGTCTCCAGAACTGACTTGAACCTACAATCACCATCTGGCTATACTTTCAGTGAAAACTTGTCATTCTGGCTCTTGTCTGAGACTTCTTTGAGACCCCTCTTATAATATGTAACACTTAATGAATCCTTACTATGTATCAGGTGTTGTGCTTTATAAACATTACTTCATTTAACTTTCATAATAACCCAAATGAGATAGGTACTCATTATCTTCATTTTTATAAATGAGGAAACGGAGGCTTAGAGATGTTAAGTAACGGCCAGGCACTGTGGCTGACTCCTGTAATCCCAGCACTTTGGGAGGTTGAGGCGGGTGGATCACGAGGTGAGGATATAGAGACCATCCTGGCCAACATGGTGAAACCCTGTCTCTACTAAAATACAAAAAATTAGCCGGGCGTGGTGGCGCACACCTGTAGTCGCCAGCTACTTGGGAGGCTGAGGCAGGGTAATCGCTTGAACCCGAGAGGCAGAGGTTGCAGTGAGCCGAGATCATGCCACTGCACTCCAGCCTGGTGACAGAGCAAGACTCCATCTAAAAAAGAAACACAAAAAACAAAAAACAAACAAACAAAAAAGAGAATTAACTTTTCCATAGTCTCTCTCATAGTCTGTGCTGCTACAACAGAATACTTGAGACTGGGTAATACATAAAGAACAGAAATTTATTGTCTCACAATTATGGCAGCTTTGAAGTTCAAGATCAAGCTGTTGGCATTTGGTGTCTTGTGAGGGTGGAAGGGTAAGCCAGAGTGGAAGAGCAAGCTAGCCAAATGCTGCATGAAGCCTCTTTTATAAGGGCCTTAATCCCATTAATGAGAGAGGAGCCATCAAGGCCTAATCACCTCTTAAAGTCCCCACCTCTTAATACTATCACATTGACAATGCTAGAATTTTAGAGGGGACACATTCAAACCACAGCAGTCCCACAACTAGTTAATGTGGTACCAGGACTTAAAACCACATCTTTTGGGGCCAGGTGCAGTGGTTCACACCTGTAATCCCAGCACTTTGGGAGGCCTAGGCGGGCAGATCAGGAGGCAGGAGATTGAGACCATCCTGGCTAACATGGTGAAACCTCGTCTCTACTAAAAAATACAAAAAATTAGCCAGGCGTGGTGGTGGGCACCTGCAGTCCCAGCTACTCGGGAGGCTGAGGAAGGAGAATAGCGTGAACCCGGGAGGCGGAGCTTGCAGCGAGTCGGGATTGCGCCACTGCACTCCAGCCTAAGCAACAGAGCGAGACACCACCTCAAAAAAAACCAAAACAAACAAACAAAAAACCCCACATATTTTGACCCAGTGTCTTAACCACTGTTATAATATCTTCCTTACAAAAAAAAAATTCCTTAACCTGAACTAGGTGAAATGGGTTTATGCTCCTTTTGACTGAAGGAGTCAGAGTAAACAGTGCCTTGAAGCTCAAATATGGCTACCCTACTATATACTGCCCCTCCCCATCCAACGAGCTCTCTCACATGCTGTCATTCTCAAGAAAATTGCATAGAATAAAATAAATTACTGTATTGTGGGCCTTTTGAAATGCACATAAAAATGATATAATCATAAATCCATATCCTTTATGTTTTCTGTTTTTGAATACCTTAATATGGAAGAATGATCTAAATACAATTGTGAAAAGTCAATTTCTTCTACCTTTAGAAAAATTAGAAGAGCAAGCTCTAGAGGTGCCCTCTTATGCAACAATATTTTACAACCTGCTACTTTGTGGCTTAAAGCAATTCAGGGTAGAATTTGGCTTAGAACTATATGCACAGATAAACACGTGACAAAGCATTTCAAAGACAAAGAAAACCCAACATCTTTTGCTGTTCTTTCTGACAGAGTCTGTTACCCTTAGGCTTTAGAACTGGTCATCCCAGAGATATCATAATTTTTATTAGTCATTTAGACAGGCCGAGGCAGTAGTGCAAGAAGACATAAAAAGTTTACCATAAAGCACTAAATGAATTATTTAGATATGGGAAGATGTACTTTAAATATAATGGTCAAACTTATTTTTCATTTTTGCTTGACTGCAGCATCATGAGAGAAGGTCAAACTTATTTTTAATAAATTTCCAGTTTTTTTGTTCATTTTCTAGGTGGGTGATTTTTTTCAACTGTGATTTGTTTTTCTAGACATTTGGAAGAGGTCAGGTAGTGTTCACATGAATGCTTTTCATGAAGCTCAGTAGCTAATGCAGTTTCTACAGAAGGTAAGCAACTCCTTACTCTGATGCTTACCTTTTGCACAACGTGCATCAGCTTTTATTGTTAAGACAATGACTAACTTAAAGTAAGCTAGAATATTTTAGAATCTGCTTTAATCAAGGTATTTAAAAATAAGGGTGGCATTGACAGTTTTATGTGTTTAGATCACATTGTGTTACAAAAACATTTAAGTGTAATAAAGACGCAAACTGGATTTTTCTACAAAGACATGTTTTATTTTTGTTTTTTGAAACAGGGCTTTGTTTTGTCACACAGACTGGAATGCAGTGGTGTGATCACGGCTCACTGCAGCCTTGACCTCCTGAGCTCAAGCGATCCTCCCACTTTGGCCTCCTGAGTAGCTGGAACTATAGGTGTGCACCACCATGCCCGGCTAATTTATTAATTTTTTGTAGACATGGGAGTCTCACTATGTTGCCCAGGCTCATTTTGAACTCCTAGGCTCAAGTAATCTTCCTGCCTTGGCCTCCCAAAGTGCTGAGATTACAGGTATGAGCCACTGCGCCTGGCTTAAATTATTTTATAATTGTTTTACTACTTCTTTTAAGTTGATTTTTCAGAAAA
This sequence comes from Homo sapiens, assembly GCF_000001405.40. Classification (NCBI taxonomy): domain Eukaryota; kingdom Metazoa; phylum Chordata; class Mammalia; order Primates; family Hominidae; genus Homo; species Homo sapiens. Next base: position 74,684,435 of record NC_000010.11, on the reverse strand, counting down.
AAAAATCATGCATTTATTCTGCTAGTATAAGTACAGATCACTGTATCTTTACATTGGTTTTGGTTCTAATTATGTTCTAGTGGTAGCCTAATTTAGAGTGAGAAAAGGTCTGAAAAACCCTTAGCCATTAAATTCATATATTTAACAAGTCACAATCTTGATATCTTGATCTACTTGGAAATACCATTAAAAGTGCTTGGCTATTAATACTAGGGAAAGTTTTAATAAAAGCTAATTAAGCTACAAAACTCCCAAGTGGTTAACTGATTTTAGGGGCTAAACTTCTGGTACTTCTAATTATCCTCTGATGGCTTTACTTAGTGTTTCACAACCCTGACAGATGACAATGAAAAACTGCAGTGAAATTCATCCACCCTGACACTGTGCTAAGAACCGGCTTCTTCCCCTCCAAGTAAAATCAATACTCTGTTTGAGTAAACACGTTTACAGCTTTATTAGGATGTCTTGCTTGTTCTGTAACAGCTACTTGAAGCTGTGGTAACAAATCGACTCAACTCAGTTAAACCTAGAGAGCTGGGTAAGAGGCCCATCGATAAGGTTGTTATAAAAATAAACTGCAGGAGATCAGAAAGCTGGAGCAAACAGTCTGGTAAATGTCAATATTTTCCCTTACGGAGGACGACAAAACCAGTGAGATCATGTAGAAAGTATTTTATCCCCCTTAAAAATGTTACTTGTTTCAATTGAATAATGCATTTCCACTTTTTGTGCACAGCTCTTCTGAATGAAATTTTCACTTCCTAATTCCCATGTGCGTCTAGAACAGGAGGTTGATATAAATACTTGGTATTTTTCATGTCATTTCAGATTCTTTATTTCCCTCATATTTAGAGACATATTTTGGTCTACACTGACTTTACAAAATGGCCCTATCCAAGTTATCTGGAATACCTGTGGTGTTTCAGTCTTACCTTCTTTCTATTAATGAAACAAAATTTTTGTCATCTACATTTGGGAGGACATTTCAATGCAATGTTCACCCTGGATATAATATCTGTAAGACTGATGTTGTACATTCAAAATGAGGCCTTGGATGTTTTGACATTTAACAAGAGCACATCATATTGACTTCAAATAGGTTGCACAACCTCCTGACTGGTGGTAGTACATATAAAATGTCTGCTGCCTGTTAGGAGCAAGCCTCCAGAGTGGGTATAGCTCTACCAAACAAGGACTCATAACCCCTCACTTACTTAGATGTTCACAGGTTGCTCAAAGAACTAACATCTGGCAGGAAATTCCCACTTCAATTTGGCTAGCTTAGAATATCCAGATGTGACAAAGTAATGGTTTCCCCCTGCTGAAAAGTGCTCAGATGTAAACTTTTTGTATTTTCTATGTAGTCTAGTTAGTAAAATTTTGTTTTGACTTCATATTGACTACCAATTAGTCATGAACTCAAATAACAACTTGTGACCCAAATTTTAGAAAACTGATTTTTCAGGGAAAATAATAAATATTAAATTTTGAAATAACTGAAAAAGCTACTGTGCCTGCCAGGGTAAGGTCTGACCTAGCAGGTATTTGCATAATGAAAACCAGGCTGGGAGCAGTGGCTCATGCCTGTAATCCCAGCACTTTGGGAGGCCAAGGCGGGTGGATCATCTGAGGTCAGGAGTTAGAGACCATTCTGGCCAATATGATGAAACCCTGTCTCTACTAAAAATACAAAAGTTGGCCAGGAGTGGTGGTGCACACCTGTAGTCCCAGCTACTTGGGAGGCTGAGGCTGGAGAATCACTCAAACCTGGGAGGCAGAGGTTGCAGTGAGCTGAGATCACACCACTGCAGTCCATTCTGGGCGACACAGCTAGACTCCGTCTCAAAAAAAAAAAAAAAAGAAAAGAAAAGAAAAGAAAACTAAAGCTTAATTGGTGTCAGATGGTGTTAATTGTTGACATGTACAGGAAGTCAATTTAGAGCAAAGGTTGCTTTAAGATAGTTCAGCACAACACACCCTCCCACATAAAGTGAGCAACTGAGAAGCAATGTGTAATATACAGGCAAGTGGTCAGTACTGTAGCTATAAGAAAGAATAACTTTATTGTCCTATAGCTACAGCTTTGAGAATAACTTCTTATTCCTTCTTTGTGGTGGCTAAAAATGGAAGCTTACTAAGTTCTGTTAACATGGTATGGGACATTGTATTTGAATTAAAAACAAAACCAAAAGCCCATCAATTTAAAAATGATCTTAATTTCGGAAGAAAGCTCTTGAAGAGTACTGCTAAGCAGTATTTTGCACTCATATAGATAAGATGCCCTTTCACCCTAATCCCTTTCAAAACACTGCTTTAAAAGTCATTCTTCTTCATGGAGCATAGATGTACAACACTGAGTCAGTATTTGATTTTAAAGCTAATGTGTGATCTTTTGATGTGGTTCCCAAAATAAAAGTTTAGCGTATGCTTCTGTTTATTGTTAAAGTCAAACATCAAGACAAAAACAAAACAAAACAAAAAACCCCTCCTTCTGTGCATTTGGGATATTGACTCTTGACCTATATGTTTCCAAGAGGACTAAATAACAGACAGCTTAACTGACAACTTTTTTTTTTTTTTTTTTTTGAGATGGAGTCTCACTCTGTCGCCCAGGCTGGAGTGCAGTGGCGTGATCTTGGGTTACTGCAACCTCTGCCTCCCAGGTTCAAGCAATTGTCCTGCCTCAGCCTCTCAAGTAGCTGGGATTACAGGTGCCCGCCATCAGGCTTGGCTAATTTTTTGTGTTTTTAGTAGAGGCGGGGTTTCACCATGTTGTGTTGGCCGGTGGTCTCGAACTCCTGACCTCAAGTGATTTGTCCACCTCGGCCTCTTAAAGTGCTGAGATTACAGGCATGAGCTGCTGCGCTCAGCCTTAACTGACAACTTTCATTTGGATTATGAACACAAGTAACTGCTGCTTCATGAATTCAGTAATCTGGCTTCTTGTCTCGTATTTGCAATTAACTCCCTTGGACAACTCATCTTACCTTTCTTTGGGCCTTACTTTCTTCATTCATCAAATAGGGGCTTTTGAATAGGTCATGGTTTTCCTACGTGACATCATGAGCCACCAAATAAAATGTGGATAGGGACAAATGGGAGTTTGTTTAATCTCATTTCATTCTTTCTTAAAAACATTTTTAATTTTTAATTTTTGTGGGTTCATTTCATTCTGATTCAGATAAGATCTCATTTGAAAAGAGTTTCACTACTGGAAACTGAAAACCAGAAAATATGATTTTTTAAAATTTTCCTTTCAGCACAAACACTCTAAATGATATAGTTAAAAACAAAAGATTCAATGGGGCAAAGTAATAGCTGCTGGGATAAGATGATGGTAACATTGTTTATGTGAAGCTGTGCTTATGCCCTAATTCATAAGAAGGATCATTTTGTTATTATTTAACTCAATTCAAAAACCTACATTTGATCAACTGAAAATTTCTCATAGCATGATGGTTCTAAAATTTTAAGAGCATTTGATGACAGAAATCAGTTTTTAATTTGCCATTTACTTTGTGGGCTAGAAATATATCTAAATTCTATAAAATGTCAACGTTAATTGGATAATTAAATGAAAAATAAATTAAAAGCCTGTGTTTATACCCCTGGTTTCAGAACTTATATATCTGAAGAGAGAGTAGCTGTTAATTTGACAATCATGCTGCTAATTTTGTTTTATTCAGACCTTTGCTGATAAGTAGCCTTAAAACATCAGAGGTTATGTTTTATGTAAATTATCGTATAGTTTGAAATGCTGTGTCTGATGACTTATTTACCACAGTGAAGATTTCTGCTAGGTACTAAGGTTGGCTAGGCTCTGCATCAGTGCTACACACATGTGATTTTATTTATTTAAAGATTACACTAATTACAAAGCCAATAAGGGCACATTGTAAAAAAAAAAAAATTCAGACATACAGAGTAGAAAGTGATTATTTCATTCAGCCACCTCCCAGTACATCCACTGTTAGCTGTTTGGAGTGTTTCTTCCTGGAACTTTTATATGCTTTTATAAGTATACCTACAACATACACACATAAGACCATTTTTAACAAAATACAAATCACATCATATTATACTTATTGCTCTGTACTCATCATTTTTTTTTTTTTTTTCTTGAGATGGAGTCTTGCTCTGTCGCCCAGGCTGGAGTGCAGTGGTGCGATCTCGGCTCACTGCAAGCTCTGCCTCCCAGGTTCACGCCATTCTCCTGCCTCAGCCTCCCGAGTAGCTGGGACTACAGGCGTCTGCCACCACACTCAGCTAATTTTTTTGTATTTTTAGTAGAGACGGGGTTTCACCTTGTTAGCCAGGATGGTCTCGATCTCCTGACCTCGTGATCTGCCCGTCTTGGCCTCCCAAAGTGCTGGGATTACAGGCGTGAGCCACCGTGCCCGGCCTGTACTCATCTGTTTACAGTAAGTATAGAACTTACAGTTCTATACTTGTCTTCTTTACTTTTTATTTTGTTTTTTGGGATGGAGTCTTGCTGTGTCGCCCAGGCTAGAGTGTGGTGGTGCCATCCCAGCTCACTGCAACCTCCGCCTCCTGGGTTCAAGCGATTCTCCAGCCTCAGCCTGAGTAGCTGGGATTATAGGCACCCACCACCACACCTTGCTAATTTTTGTATTTTAGTAGAGATAGGGTTTCATCATGTTGGTCAGGCTGGTCTCGAACTCCTGACCTCAAGTGATCCACCTGTCTCAGCCTCCCAAAGTGCTGGGATTACAGGTGTGAGCCCCTGCGCCTGGCCTATACTCATCTTCTTTATATGAAGAAGTGGGCCAGATATTAGAAAAGCCCAACATGAATGGCATTCACGTCATCAGTAATTTTTTACTGGCATTAAAAAAAAAAGGCCAAATAATTTTGTAGAATTTATGAAAAAATATGGTTGATCAGTGAATCCCAGACTTTGGGATTTCACAGAACATTGAAACTTGCCCAAAAGATTTTAGGGATAAACACAGAGCTGGCAAACTTTAATTCTGCTAGATAAGAACATTTTTAAAAAATCCACTATTACCAACATTATTCATAAAGAAAGAAAACTGAACTCCCTCAAAGTAGGAAGGGCAAGATTTAAAACTGAATACATTTAGTTTTATGGAAATTTACTTTCTTGCCCCTGCCTTTTTACATTTTGATACTGACTGATGAAAACTCTTATGTCATAGACTGGTACCAGTCGACAGACCAGTGTTTATAAAACCACTTTGGCTATTTCTCCTCCTTTAGAGAGGAAGCTAAGATGTTGTAGTAATAAAAGGGAGTATAGCAAAATGGCTAGGGCTAAGAACTTTGAGGCCAAATTTTGAGTTTGAATCTTAGCTTTCAATATGACCTTGGGCAAATTACTTAATCTCTCAACACTCTAAGGCCAGAGGAACTGTCCAGGTAAGCACAGGCCCAGCTGTCAACCCACAGATTTGTGGAGCTAAATAAATGAGTTGTTATTTTAGGTAACTAGGTTTTGAAAGTGGTTAGTTATGCAGTAAAAGCTAACTGATACATGTTGGATGTATCAGACAGGTAAAATTGACCAGATTCATTTAATAGCAGCTGAGAGAATTTTAGGATTCAAATTACTTCCAATTGGCTCACCAATATTCTAGGTCAGGGAACTAACACACATATATTTTGTTATGTCACAATTCTGTTTAAGAAAATGAACTTCAGAAATTTTACTTACTACATTTCCTGTGGACCTCTGCAACTAAATAAAAATTTCCATATCAACATCATTTTCTTAGAATAAATATTTCTCAATAATCATCAAATATAAGAAACCTAAGTTTCACATCTGAGCTTTGGAGTCTGATAGCCTACATGGTTCAGACTGTCTGTGTCTTATCCACATTCCCAGAAGATAAACTCCTTTCAATTCCATTATCTATTTACAATTGCTTCTAGATGAAGGCCATTCAGGATATTAGGTCTTTGAGGGAACATTTGCGTTGATGAGAAATTACAGGCTTCACTCTAAAATCATCCTGTATTTCACATGAACAAAGTGATTTCTCTCTCTCTTTTTTTAAATCATGGCTGGAGAGGATAATCTTTACATTTTTTTAACTAACGAAGGCTCAAATAATCATAGACAGTGTTTATGAAATTTGGTGCTGGTCTAGCTTCAGCTTGACTAAGACTCTGGATGTATAACACTAGTGTGGCATGTAATAAAGCATCCTATCACTGTGCAAGGGTATAGCTCTCTCTTGCTTTCTGTTGCATGAACCTGAACTACTATCTGTGGTGAATGTTTCATATCCTTTTTTTTTTTTTTTTTGTAGAGACAGGGTCTCCCCCTGTTGCCCAGACTGTAGTGCAGTGGCGTGACCTCAGCTCACTGCAGCCTCAACCTTTTGGGCTCAAGCTATCCTCCCACCTCAGCTTCTTGAGTAGTTGGGACTACAGGCACATGCCACCCTGCCTGGCTATTTTTTTTTTTTTTTTTTTTTTTTTTTGTAGAGACTGGGGTCTCACTGTGCTGTGCAGGCTGGTCTTGAAATCCCGGCCTCATGTGATCCTCCTGCCTCTGCCTCCCAAAGTGTTGGGATTACAGGTGTGAGCCACCATGCCTGGTCTGTTTCATATTCCTAATGACCAAGCCAATTTCACTGTTCATTTGATGGTTTTAAGAAAAATTTCTGTTCAAGAAATAAAACAGAGAAGATGTCCCATTAGAGCAGAAAGACAAGAAAAAGAGTTGTTGACATTGGGTTGTTTAGCAGTGGGCAGCTGTCATCTTGGTCACCATCAAGTAAATCCTCAGCAGATGTGGGTCATATGAAGGTTTTGGTTTTTGAGTGAAGAAGTCTGAGAAACAATATATTCAACACTTACCAAGTTGTCTTCTAGTCTTCTGAGATGGAGAGCAAAGGAAGGGGGTAGTGTAGAAAAAACAAATCCCAAGAATTCTGCACCACTTCTATGCATAGCACAATGAAGCAGCAATTAAGAAGAATGGGGAAGGAAGCTATAAATGTTTGGGACCAAAGAAACAAGGTGAGGATAGAAAATATGAAGATAATTAGAGAGTCTTCATGGTTCTCAGAAGTATAGATAGGTGCCACATGAAGAGGAAGTGGCATCCTTGTTCTGAAAAAACTCTTTAAAAATTTTTTGTAAACCAATGTTCTTTTCTAAACATGAATTAGAGAATGAAATTGTTTTTTGTTTGTTTTTGAGACAGGGTCTTGCTCTGTCACCCAGCCTGGAGTGCAGGGGTGCAATCACAGCTCACTGCAGCTTCGACCTCCCAGGCTCCAGCAATCCTCCCACCTCAGCCTCCGGAGTAGCTGGAACCACAGGCTTATGCCACCATGCCCAGCTAATTTTTTTATTTTTGGTAGAAATGGGGTTTTGCCACGTTGTCCAGGCTGGTCTTGAACTGCCGAGCTCAAGCTGTCCACCTGCCTTGGCCTCCCAAAGTGCTGGGATTACAGGTGTGAGCCACTGCTCCCAGCCTAGAGAATGTAATTAGTGTTCCTTTTTATTAGATGGGAAATAGGAGAATTATTTGCATTGTGATTGCTGAGTGGTTTTCAGAGTCATTTGCATATTATAGGTAATATTTTTAAGGGTAATACATTTTCTCTGCTGAAGCTGTTGTGAGGATTTTTAAAATAAAGAGTATTCTGGCTGGGGGTGGTGGCTCATGTCTGTAATCCCAAATGAATTGTCATTTTAATCAATTGTAATCCAGCACTTTGGGAGTCCTAGGCAGGAGGACTGCTTGAGGCCAAGAGTTTAAGACCAGACTGGGTAACAGAGTGAGACTCTGTCTCTACAAAAACATTTTTTAAAAACCCTGTAGTCCCAGCTACTCGGGAGACTGAGGTGGGAGGATGGCTTGAGCCCAGGAGTTTGAGGCTGCAGTGAGCTATGATTGTGCTGTTGCACTCCAGCCTAGGTGACAGAGTGAGACCCCATCTCCCCCTCCAAAAAAAGTATTATGAGTCAGCACAGTTACTTTATTATCATTCCAAATAAAATATTCTGGCCAGGTGCAGTGGCTCATACCTGTAAATCCAGCACTTTGGGAGGCTGAGGCAGGTGGATCACCTGAGGTCAGGAGTTCGAGACCAGCCTGGCCAACATGGCAAAACTCCATCTCTACTAAAAATACAAAAATTAGCCAGGCGTGATGGCGGATGCCTGTAATTCTAGCTATTTGGGAGGCTGAGGCAGGAGAATCACTTGAACCTGAAAGGCAGAGGTTGTAGTGAGCCGAGATTCTGTCACTGCACTCCAGCCTGGGCGACAGAGCAAGACTCCATCTCAAAACAAAAACGAAAACAAAACAAAAAAAACCAACAAAGTAAAATCTTCTAATCTATACGTGGCTTTTAACCATACTTAATGAAGGTGTTTTTTTTTTTTTTTAATTCTAAGAATGTTGGTTCTTGGGTGAAGTCTCTAGTCTTTTATCTGAGAGTTGTATATAAGTGCCTACACATAATCTGTCAAAGGTGTACTCACTTTCAGTCTAAAGATGATTTGTAGGTCCTGTCCATATTCCCACAGCTGCCATAAAACATATGACTAAATCATATTAGATTAACACAGGCTGGTATTGACAGCCCAGTGGGAACATATTGATTAGGTCCTCTTTCATGTTATTTGTTATGATTTTTCTTCTCAGTTTCATTTACTGGGAAGACACAGGGGAAGAGATTTCACTGGGAACAATGACAGTGCCTGTCACAAAATGTTCTCAATGTTTCCATTTGTTACTATGGCAGTGACAAAGAGGGTTCCAAATGAAAAGGTAGACCTGCTGTGACAAAGCACAGCAGGACAACAGGAAGAAATTTTTTCCTGACCTAGGAAATTAGGAAATCATACTTAGAGATTATAGAATTGTATCCATTTCCAAGAGTACAATCCTAGCACTTGGGCTTTTGAGGAAGAATGTGAAAAGATTAGTTCTATCAGGGCTGGGCAGTGACAAATAAAGAACAAATATCACAAAGTGCTTAAGACCTCCAAATAGAACAAGGAGCGATGCTTGTAGAGGCTGGAGGGATTTGTTACTGTCACTAAACCCGTGAGATGGAACTACGAATTTAATTTAATTTAATTTATGTACATTTGGGTTACTCATTTTTAAATTATACATGAAAATCCATGATGTAGTCATATATCTTTTTAGCTGGCTAAAGGAACACATGGCACTCTGGTACTGATATAGATAATTAGCACATGGTAGCTGGAGTGATACTTTATCCAAAACTTGAAATTTATGCAAAGAAAATTATTGTCCTTCAGAGAGTTAAATTACCACAAAGTGGACTAAAATATAGATATGCAAAGTCACAAAAGACAGAAATACTCTTAGGCCAGCAAAACTTGAAAGTTACAGGATGAATATATTAACCATCCAAATATAGAATGTGTCAATCAGAAAGAAGATATGTTAATTGGGCAATGAAGCGAAGAAAAATAAACTACATAGTAAATGTAAAAGTTGCCACTGCCTGAGATTCATTCCCAAGGTGGAAGGAGTCAACGACAATTATTTTATTAATTAATTAATTAATTTTTTTGAGACAGGGTCTCACTCTGTCACCCAGGCTGGAGTGCAGTAGCAAGATCTTGACTCACTGCAACCTCTGCCTCCTGGGTTCAAGTGAATCTCCTGCCTCAGCCACCCAAGTTGCTGGGACTTCAGGCATGCAACGCCATGCCCGGCTAATTTTTCTATTTTTAGTAGAGATGGGGTTTCACCATGTTGGCCAGGCTGGTCTCAAACTCCTGGCCTCAAGTGATCCACATGCTTCGGCCTCCCAAAGTGCTGGGATTACAGGCATGAGCCACCACACCTGGCTGATTTAGTACTTACATTTAAGTCTTTGATCCATTTTGTTAATTTTTCCATACGGGCAGGGCCTCAGCCTCCTGAGTAGCTGGGACTACAAGTGCATGTTACCATGACCAGCTAATTTTCTGTATTTTTAGTAGAGACAGAGTTTCGCCATGTTGGTCAGGCTGGTCTCAAATTCCTGGCCTCAAGTGATCCGCCTGCCTTGGCCTCTCAAAGTGCTAGGATTTCAGGTGTGAGCCACTGTGTCAAGCCAACAGCTGTTATTTCCAATCCCAGTAGAAAGGCTCCTGCTGGTGTGGAGAGGGAGCAGGGGGTTTTAACCAATGGATCTTTTAGTATTTCCAACTAACAAGACCATTTCTGTTGTAAGATAGATGCATCAGTTGTTAGATGGGTGCTATTGATAGGGACAGGAGGCAGGCAAATTTCTGGGCAGAAGAGGGTAGGTCTCTGGTGAGCGCCCCATCCTAAAGCCAAAAAGCCTAATACCATGGCCCAAAGTGAGAACTTACATCCTTGTTTTCCTGCTCAAATGTTGCCTTTTCCAAAATCACCCATGGCCCACCCCACCCACAATCCTGTGCCCATAAAAACCCCAGGCTCAGCCAACAGAGAAAGAAGAGGAGAAGCAGCTGGATGTTGTAGACCACGGTTGGACATCGGAGAGAAGCGGCTTGACTTCAGAGGGACAGCTTGATGGCATAGCTTTGGAGAGGAGTCTGGCTGGGGATGACCGGACTCCAGGGGATTATCTTCCTGCTTCATCCCCCTTTCAGCTCCCCTTCCTGTTGAGAGCCACTTTCATCGGCAATAAAATCCCCTGCATTTACCATCTCCAACTCGTTTGTGTGACCTCATTTATCCTGGATGCCGGACAAGAACTCGGGTGCCATGAGTGTGGGTGCAAAGGGCTGTCACATTGGTGACAATGGAGGGTCACTCAACTGAGCTGTTAATGCTTAAGCTGTCTACAGACAGCAAAGCTAAAAGGGCACTGTAACGCTTCCTCTGGGGATCCAGGGGTCACGGGCAGCTTCCCTTAGATGCTGCCACTGGTCTGGTATGGAGTTCGCTCTTACCAGTGCCCAAAAGCGCTCAGCCCAGCTCCTGCACCTGCTCACGTGTGCTCACCCTCCTGTGAGCAGTGGAGAAGCGAGTGAGTGAAGTTCGCTCCTGCTGGCACCAAAGTGGCTGGCTAGTTCCTGCGCCCACACACTGCAATTTCTGCCTGAGAAGGGCTTAGGGAAATATCCTGCTTCACTATTAAACAGCTGATTCATATAACTCTCTTATTTGGAGCCCATGCTAACCAAGCAAGTTTATCATCTGGCTTTCTGTATCTCTGTAGTGCAATCGATTCTACTGCTTAGCAAAAAGCTCTTGGTTGAAACTCACCAGGGACTACAGTTCTTGGATTCTCTTCCCTTTCAGTTTTTCTTTCTTTTCCTCAACAATCTTACCTTAGAGTCCCCAGAACCCTGTCAGATTACAACAGATCCTTTTCAATAAAGTAAGTCATCTACTCAGATAACAGGAAGATTCTCTGGCAAAACCAGCTTTTGTCAGGAAGGCTGGTCTGTGGTTCTCAGTTCTAATGGTGAGATTTACATAAATGTTTAGAGAAGCAGTATTAGTGTGGTGAGTAAAAGCACTGACTTTGGAGCCAGACTTTCTGGGTTTGAATCCTGGCTCTGCTACTCTCTAGCCATGAGACTATGGGCACATTATCTCACCTTTCTTTGTCTCTGTTTTTTTCATCAGTAAAATAGGGGTAAAAATAATCTACCCCAAGAAGTTTTTGTGAACACTAAATTAGTTAATATATATATAAAGTGTTTAAGATATTGGTTGGTTAGTAGGTACTGTATAAAAGTTATCTATTGCTATTACTTTGTAGCTTGATTCACATTTGACAGAATGTGCTAAAGATGGCAACATAAGTATTCTATTAATAAACTGACATTAGGATGTTCATCTCATTGCATGACCCAGTGTTTTGGGATCTGATTACCCTGGGAACTGAGTAGGTTCAAAGTGAGAAAAATGGCTATCTAATTGTATTACCAGTAAAGTCCTGCCTAGTTTCTACCTGCTTTCTACTTTCTCTATTCTGATTTCAACAATGTATAGTGAAATCCAGTGTCTGGAGCTTTGAAATGCTAGAAATGAATAAAGTGAGGAAGCTGCCCATGATTTAAAGAGGGTTTGGCAAACTATAGTCTGTAGGCCAACTCTGGCCTATGGTATGTTTTTGTACAGCTGGAGAGCTAGGAAAGGTTTTTACGTATTAAAAGTGCTGTAAAAAAACAAAACACAAGGAAGCAAACAAAACAAGAAGATATGCAATACAGCCTGTATATGACTTGCAAAGCCTAAAATAGTCACTATTTGGCCTTTAAAAAAGACGACTGTGGATCCCTGTTCTATACTCTTTTTCTTTTTTGCTTACCTAACTATACCCCAACAATAAATATAATGAAGTAGGATAAAAAGAGGCTGAAAAATCCTCTAACAAAAAAATCCCAATTGCTTTGATGAAGTAGTTTATTTATCGTTGTAACCACAATACAAATGGTAGCTAGCTGTTCCTACCTCAGTATCCTAAGAATGGCCTCTCCCTCCCTCAAAAAGTCTACATGTTCTCACCTAGTATCGGTAGCATTACAGATAGTTAGGTGTCTGTAACAGAATCTGTTGTTGCCGGGCCAGGAAGCCAAGTAACCCAAGGCCAGAGGTAGTGGCTATTTAGGTCACCATCAAATCTATGATGGCCTCATTATGTGTCCCACTGAATGTCAAAGAAATAGAATACTTCATGTTTTAAAGATTTTAAAGTACTTAAGTAATGTACATACAGTGTATAAGTTTAAAAGTTTCTAGACTAAGATTCCTGGTTTGACCAATTTCTAACCAAGAAATCACTAGGGTTTTCTTAATGTATTACAGAATATGGTTAAATTCAGAATAAAATATTTTAGCCTACATACATCTATAGCTCTAAAAAGTAAAAAATAGGAAAATTGGCTGCTAAGTACTCTAATATTATCAATAATGAAGACTTTCCGAGCAAGGAAATAAAAAACACAATCATAACAGTGAAGTAGAATGTTGTCTGTGGTACAGACTCTTTCCAAAGAACAAGGGCATGGGGCATCCTAATGGTTAATAGTTCATTTAAGACTGGGCATGACCAGCCTGCCCAACATGGCGAAACCCCGTCGCCACTAAAAGTACAAAAATCAGCCAGGTGTGGAGGCATGCACCTGTGGTCCCAGCTGCTTGGGAGGCTGAGGCAGGAGAATCATTTGAACCCGGGAGGTGGAGGTTGCAGTGAGCTGAGATTGCACCACTGCACACCAGCCTGGGAGAAAAAAAAAAAAGACTGGGCATGAATAGTTTTAGAGAAAGAAAAATAAAAATTTATGTTGGCAAAAGACTATTAAAATAAAATATTAAGTTAAAACCATCACACAAACTTAAATAAGTTTCCCATGATTCAAATTATCCTCCAGAGAAAAAGGGACAATCATCAGCTCCACTTGCTTGCTTTTTTTTTTTTTTTTTTAAATTAACCTGGTCTGGCTTGATGTTAAGAGAAAGAAACAGAGACCAGGAAAGACCCCTTTGGGGTATCTGTGAGGAAGCGAAAGCTTTCTAGAGACTATAAACTAGCTTAATTAACTACACTTAACTAGAAGGAATTTAGACTTATCAAAAGAATTTTTGAATCAGATTTTAGATCAATCTAAGTCATCAAGCCAAGTCTTCTATTGTTTTGATTTTATTTTTGAGTATTCATTACCAAAATCATTAGTTCACATAAAATTTGCCAGTTCTTATTGAGCCAAAAATAGGCAAAAATTTAACCCTTTTTAGTATAACAAACAACCACTATTGTGTTTGAAACAGATGTTTTAACCAAAGGATTATCATCAAAAGACATCATCCTTAGTTATTAGCATACTGTTTAATATTCATCACAACTTGTTTTAAAGAACAAAAATGTGTTAACATTTAAGCCTGAAGGGCTATGAATATACTATATACTGTACTTGATGCAGTTTGTTTATGCAATTTTCTGACAGATACAATTAATCTTGTGAAAATGACTGGGGTACAGCATAGTAGCAAATTATCTTTTCCAAACACATATTTTTCCTCTGGTAAAACCCTCTAATACTGACAATGATAGAAGTATATGGAAAGAACTTCAGAAGTTAATTATTTAAAAGAAGAAATTAGAAGTTACTAAATGAATAAATCTTGGTTATATGGTAGAAACAAGGGTTAAAATGTTTTACTTGTAAGTAAGAATGAAATAAATTAGTCTGTACCTCCAACAAATGCATCTCCAGCTCCATTGGTATCAATAATTTCTTTCTGGTCTTGATCCAAGACAGCAAAAGCAGTGACTTCACTTTCTGCAATTAGAGCCAAAGAAAGGCAGAATGACTTCTCTTTGTAACACTCAATACAAGCTCACCCAGTAACATCTGAAGCTCCTTCATCACTCATCATTCAAAGAGAGACAGGACATAAGCTCCATATTCTGTACAGGGGCACTTGGGAACTAAGGTGCAAAATCATCTGCAAGTAATACTTTTTTGGTAACTTTCAGCATACAGATGCTGCTGTATACGTCTTATGAGAGTTATACCTAGGTAGTTCACACTTTTTTTTGGAGTGACTACAAATGGTAGCAGTACCTTTCTGGACAGTGCAAATGAACAGAAGCCATAAACTAAAGGAAGTGTTGGTATGGATTGGATCATGGGTTTCTAAAAAAGCTTCGAGCCTGACTATATTCCTGGCAGTGAAATGTTGGATACAGTTAAAGAGTTGTAAATTTAAAAAAATATAAATAATGAATATTGGGTGTTTCTTTATAGAAAATCACAATGGCACAATAAAAACATTACTATTATTCTGTTAAAATACTTCTTCCCAATGTCAAGAATTTTTTATTTTAGTTGGTTTACTAAAAATAACCTAATCTGGTTATGTTTTGCAAAGAAGTCACTATCTGTCAACTGGCAAAAGGGAAAGCTACAACTGAATGCATGGGCAGAACAAAAGGGACAGTGCAACGGGATTTTGCCCTAGAGTAGTCTGGACCAGGGCTTACTTGTTTTGACTACAGAGTAACCTAATTTAGTACTTTAAACATGGCACATGACAGTGGAATGGACTTATCTGTCATGAAATCTGGCTTACAAGATACATCTGCAAACGATTGGACAGTGCTTCTTATTGGGGGCTGGAACTTCTGAAATCATAAATTTGCATCCCTATGGGGACAGAGTGGCTAAAGACTCTTAAACTTCAGTCTCGTTTAAGATCAAGAGGGAGGCAAAAGGAGATCTTGAGAAACTTAAGAAAGGTATTAATAAAGAGCATAGAGAATCTTCAAAAGCATATTCTGTCTAGCTTTTGCTACCTGCTCTTAATGGATACTTTCAACAAGAGACATAAATATGTTAATGAAAATACTCTCCTGGAATGACTGATATTCAAGAAGAGGACTCATTCACTTAGTCAATCTTTTTTAAAATCTTTTTTTTTTTTTTAGGTCTTGCTCTGTCATCCAGGCTGGAGTGCAGTTGTATAATCATAACACACTCCAACCTTGACCTCCTGGGCTCAAGGGATTCTCTCTGCCTCCTGTGTAGTTGGGACCACAGACACGCAGCACCACAGCTGGTCAATTTTTTGCTTTTTTTTGGGGGGCGGGTGGGTAGAGACAGGGTCTCACTTTGTTGCCCAAGCTGGTTTCAAACTCCTGTGCTCGAGCAATCCTCCTGCCTTGGTCTCCCAAAGTGCTAGGATTACAGGCATGAGCCACTGCATCTGGCTTAAACTTTTTTTCTTTGAGACGGAGTCTCATTCTATTGCCCAGGCTGGAGTGCAGTGGCGTGATCTCAGCTCACTGCAACCTCCGCCTCCTGGTTCAAGTAATTCTCCTGCCTCAGCCTCCCAAGTAGCTGGGATTACAGTCATGTGCCATCACGCCCAGCTAATTTTTGTATTTTTAGTAGAGATAGGTTTTGCCATGTTGGCCAGGCTCGTCTTGAACTCCTGACCTCAAGTGATCTGACTGCCTCAGCCTCCCAAAGTGCTGGGATTAGGTGTGAGCCACAATGCCCAGCCAAACTCTTTAAGTAACTGAACTTTCCACATTTTGTAACATGAGGGCCTATATGGCAGTTGACAAGATTTTGATTAATTGAAAGTTATGGCACAAATATCCAGAATTACATTTTCTAGAGAGTATATATAGCACAAACTACTATGCAGGCCAAAAAAAAAATGTAAGCAGACTTTATTAGAAATACTCAGGAAAGGTCTGCAGTCTGATTTAGGAAAAGGTCTGTACCATAAATACTTATAAAGAAATCTGGTTTTACTACTTCCAAGTACAAGCTACACTATACAGGGAAATAACAACTATAAACTAAAACCAAACAGGTACTAAATAAGTAAAATGAGCTCAAGTTAATGAAACCATTACTATTTACAATACATTTACATTATGTAATAATCTAACATGTCTATAAAACATTTTAGGTAATATAAGAATTAATCACTAGACTTACAGATTGGAAAATAATTATATATAAATAGTAAGTAAACCAAAATTACATAGAATTCCTTGAGCTCCTCGTTTGAAAACAATTATTCATTTTTGACTGCATAAATATTTATTTATGAACAGAACCTAATCGACAACGGAAGAGATTATTTTGAATTTTATTCTTAAGAATCATGACTTCTGGTCAGGCATGGTGGCTCACATCTGTAATCCTAGCACTTTGGGAGGTGGAGGTGGGCAGATCACGAGGTCAGGAGTTCAGCCAGCCTGGGCAACATGGTAAAATCCCGGCTCCACTAAAAATACAAAAAAAAATTTGTCAGGCATGGTGGCACATGCCTGAAATCCCAGCTACTCTGGAGGCTGAGGCAGGAGAATTGCTTAAACCCAGGAAGTGGAGGTTGCAGCGAGCCAAGATCGCACCACTACACTCCAGCCTGGGCGACAGAGTGAGACTCCCTCTCGGAGGAAAAAAAAAAAAAAATCATGACTTATTTATCTAAATTGCTGAAAATTCTACATAAATGCAGCTTTATAATGATTTTTTCTGGAGATATATATATATATATACACACACACACATCATTGAGATACTTTATCCTTAGTTTTCATATGAAGCTCAATTTCCTGAAATACAAAGTAGAATTATTTTCTACCTTTTTATACTTATCAGTACAGATAAGTATATAAGAATATCATATATGCAAAAGATGCGTCATAAACTCAGTTTTCATTATTTTCTATTATCTAAAGAACTACAAGAACTCCTTTCAAAATGATGACTCTGAAAAATCTTCAATAATATTTATGTTTTATTACATTTTCAGTATGCTCTGATTTTCAAATGACTTAAGCTGGTTTACAGATCTATTATAAAAAGTCATGGCCGGGCACAGTGGCTCATGCCTGTAATCCCAGCACTTTGGGAGGCTGAGGCGGGTGGATCACTTGAGGTCAGGAGTTTGAGACCAGACTCGCCAACATGGTAAAACCCTGTCTCTATTAAAAATACAAGAATTAGTTGGGCATGGTGGCATGTGCCTGTAATCCTAGCTACCTGGGAGGCTGAGGCACGAGAATCACTTGAATCTGGGAGGCGGAGGTTGCAGTGAGCAGAGATCATGTCACTGCACTTCAGCCTGGGCAACAGTGAGACTCAGTCTCAAAAAAAAAAAAAAAAAAAAGTCACAAAACTAACAGTTTTTACCGGCATGACCTACTCCATAGCTATTCTAGGAAATTTATTATATGAACACATGAAGTACATTCACTAAATCTGAATATACACTTACAGGTAAGGACGTTATTCAACCAATGAAGCCTACAACACTCACATGACTCTCACTGGGACCTAGTTTTCTTAGGCATGAAATGGGCCTGGAGTAGCTGTGGGAACAATTAGTAAAAACTAGCTTTCTGCACTAATTGTAGAAAAATGACCTGGTTAGTTTTGATCAAGTACTTCTACCTAAGAGCTTAAGATTATTCGTAGCATTTATTTCTCAATTCTTCACAAACTTTTTGTAAAGTGAGAAGGAAAAGGGTTGGGAATAATTATTATTCCTACTTTCTGGATTTCTAAAAAACCACTAAATCATAAGCTTCCCCAAGCAGACAGGAAACAAACACTAACAATTCAGTTGATAACAGATTTGTTTTGTGTCATTTATTAGATAAGACTTGCAGAGTGCCTTCATTCAAAACAATAAAATTTAGCTTACCTAGAATACAAAATAATCAATTTTAGGCATCCTCTAGACACTTCATACAAATAATTTACTCTTCACTTAAATATGAGACAAGCTTCACTACCTAATCACTTAAGAGGCCAATCTAATTAGAATAAAAACATCTTCATGCATCAATAATGAAAGTCAATTATATTAGAGATGGTTAAGTTTCTACAATTGCCACAATATCTAATTGAACAATAATACAAATCCAGTTACTCAATGCCAAACAATTAAATGTTTCTGCAGGTTTACCTCCACTAAATTAACTATATATTTTAGCACTAGATACACACAACCTCACGATATCCTTAGAAAATTTTGTTCAAAGAATTTTTAAAATGCCACATTGTTACTGTTTTGTTGATGTCCTAAACTGTTGAGAAGATACAAGTGAAGGTGATCCAGCAGGTTGAAAGGCAGGTAGGCAGGTGTTTTTCTTTCTTTCTTTTCTCTCTCTCTTCCTTTTCCTTCCTTTCTTCATTTTCCTTCTGTCTGTCTGTCTCTCTCTCTCTCTCTCTCTCTCTCTCTCTCTCTCTCTCTCTCTCAAGAGCTAAGGTCTCACTCTGCCTCCCAGGCTGGAGTGCAGTGGTGTGATCATGGTTCACTGTAGCCTCAAACTCCTGGGCTAAAAGGATCCTCCTGCCTCAGCCTCCTGAGCAGCTAGGACTACAGGTGCAAGCCAACATGCCTGGCTAATTTTTAAATTTTTTTTGTAGAGACAGGGTCTTGCTGTGTTCTCCAGACTGGTCTTGAGCCCTTGGCTTCAAGTGATCCTCCTGCCTCAGCCTCCTAAACACCAGGCATGAGTCACCACACTTGGCCTGGTGTTTTTCAACCTCAAGGTAAAATTCAGTCACTACCCCTGCCACTGCCTCTGACCCAGCATCAATAGGCATGGAAGAAACAGAAAAGTGATGGTAAAAACTTCTCCAGAAAGTGAAAAGTATGACTACGTAAAAACCAGAACCCTTCACATTCTTATGCCATTGCTTATAATAAGGTAATATCCATAGTATTAAAATGTTTTTGTTTGTTTCTTTTAAAAAACTATTTAGAAATAATTTTAAATTAACAGAAAAGTTCCCAGAAAAATACAGACAATTTCTATGCAACATTTATCCAGATTTACCATTTTTTAACATTTTGCCACATTTAGTTGATCATTCCTCCCATATATATAACATTATTTATTCTTTCAAAGTTTTATTTAGCATTTGTGGTATATATTATGCCTTTTACCCCTTAATACTTCAGTGTGTATTTCCTAAGAGTGATGATATTCTGTTAGCCAGGTTATAGTTGATAAACACAGAAAACAACATTTTAATCTAATCTATAGTCCACAGTTCAATTTTCTTAATTGTCCTAATGTATTTTATAGCAATATTTTTCATCTGGTATAGAATTCAGTCCAGAATCACATATTACTTTTTTTTCTTTGAGATGGAGTTTCGCTGCGTCGCCCAGGCTGGAGTGCAGTGGTGCGATCCTGGCTCACTGCAACCTTCACCTCCCAGGTTCAAGCGATATCCTTCCTCAGCCTCCTGAGTAGCTGGGACTACAGGTGTGTACCACCATGCCCGGCTAATTTTTGTATTTTTAGTAGAGACGGAGTTTCATCATGTTGGCCAGACTGGTCTTGAACTCCTGACCTCAAGTGATCCATCCACCTTGGCCTCCCAAAGTGCTGGGATTACAGGCGTGAGGCACCATGCCTGGCCACATATTACTTTTAGTTGTGCTTGTTTTTAATTTAACTTTTTGAGTAGGTAATGTATTCGTATGATTCAAAAATATAAAACATATGAAAAGCTATGCTATAAAATCTCCCTCTCCTCATCTCTGCCCTTCAGCTGGTTTCTGCTCCTTCTACTTCCCAATCTGGTTATCACTGTTATTGCTTTCTTATATATCCTTCTAGAATTTTTCTATGCATATACAATAAACTACATTCTTAATTTTTTCCTCCCCTCACCCACACAAAAAAAGGTATCATACTATCTAGGCTACTCTGGATCATATTTTAAAATCTTGGATATCTTTCTATATTGGTAAACAGAGAATGTCCTCATTATTTTTTATTGCTGCATAATAGTCCACTACATGGATATAGTATAATTTATTTAACCAATCCTTTACTGATGGACTTTTAGGCTATTTTCAATCTTCTATTATCATAAACAACGTCACAAAGCATTAATGCTTTTAAACAGACCTTAAATTTAATTATTTTGCTTCATAGGTCAATAATATCATTCCAGCTTTATGGAGAGAACTGATAGAAGGAAACTAAATTGTTATACTAACAGCATGAAATATGCCTATATCAAGGAATAGGGAAAAAATGAGAATCCGGAAATGCTTTTCTTTTCACTAGGACACACATATCAGGATATGAGCAAAGACACCCTGCTTAGACTGCCCTAATAAACAGGGCAATAAAAAAGATGATGAACTCTGCTAATAATAGAGATTTATAGAACAATCCTAATTAACAAGGACTTTTGAGGCATAAAGAGCTCTGAGTTAATTTAATTTTCTAGTTAACTAAAGAAAAAGCAGAAAGTCTTTTTATTTGGAAATCTTTCTAAATGTGTTAATATAATAATATGCCATGACATCCCTGCTTTAATTAGTTTAGTTTATTGAACTGAATAAAATTTTTCTTTGATAATAGAGAATCCTACAGCACATCTTAATGTCATTATTCTGAACATCAATTCTTACTGTAGTTCCAAAGGTATAAGTGCTTCCACAAAAAGTAGGAAAAATTAAATGTTCATGGGAAGTACACTTGATTAGGAGCAAAAAAGCCATAGTTTTAGTCTAGTTCGGGCTTAGCTATTTTATTTAATAAATATTTATTAAGACTCTACCATGTGTCAGGTACTTTATTAGGGACTGGGAATACAGATGTGAATAGGATAAAAACTCTGCTTTTATGAGGCCAACATTCTAGTGGGGATAGACAATACACAAGTAACAAATATATAAACAAGCTAATTTGAGATACATATATATATATATATATATTATTTTTTTTTTTTGAGATAGCATCTTGCTCTGTTGCATAGGCTGGGGTACAGTGGTGTGGTCTTGGCTCACTTCAACCTCCACCTCCTGGGTTCAGGCTATTCTTGTGCCTCAGCTACTCTTAGCTGGGATTACAGGCGTGCACCACTATGCCCAGCTAACTTTTTGTACTTTTAGTAGAGATAGGGTTTCATCATGTCGGCCAGGCTTGCCTTGAAATCGTGAGCTCAAGTGATCCATGATCCACCCACCTTGGCCTCCCAAAGTGCTGGGATTACAGGCATGCGCTACCATGCCCGGCCTAATTTGAGATATTAATAGGTGCCATACAGAAAATAAAACAGGATGATATGATGAAGTGTGACAAGGGAGGGGAGTTAATTTACATAGGTATTACTTCCTCACTGAGGAGGTGATATTTGAGTTGAGATTTCAAGGGTAAGAAGGAACAAGCCATGTGAAGTTCCAGGGGTAGAACATTCAAGTGCAGAGGCCCCAGACTAGCAACAAGCTTGGCAAACTAAGACTGCTGAAGCTAAAGAAGGCCACTGTACCTGGAGTATACTGAATGTGGGGGTTTTGCAGGATTTCATTCTATGTAAAATGGGAAACTGTTGGAAAGTTTTAAATAAGGGAGTGATGCAATCTCATCTTTGATATGAAAATATTGCTGGGCACAGTGGCTCATGTCTATAATCCCAGCACTTTGGGAGGCTGAGGCGGGAGGACTGGTTGAGCCCAGGAGTTTGAGACCAGACTGGGAGACATGGCAAAACTTCATCTCTACCCAAAATGGAAAAATTAGCTGGATGTGGTGGTGCACATCTATATTCCCAGCTACTCAGTAGGCTGAGGTGGGAGGATCGCTTGAGCCCAGGTGGTTGAGGATGCAGTGAGCTATGATTGTGCCACTGCTCTCCAGCCTGCATGACAGAGCAACACCCTGTCTCAAAAGAAAATTATTTTGGCAGCCTGATAGAGAACGGACAATGGACTGGAATGGCAGGGGTTGAGGGTGGGGTCAATAACGCTACTTACCAAGAATCCTTGGGCAAGCCACAATGTAATTTAAACTCAGTGTTATTACCTAAAAAATGAAGATAATATCTGTTCTACCTATTTTCTGTGACTATTATATGGATTAAGTATTAACAGTGTTATAAAAACACCCTGACAATATAAAGACCTATATAATATTATCAGGTATTTTTAGGAGCTTATTTTCTTCAATCAGGTAATAAGTATTTGTTGAACAATAGCTGTGAGCTCATTAGATCTCATAGAACAATAGTTATGATACTCTGTTAGATCCTCTGGGGGAGATACAGGAAAAATATTAAGACATGATCTATCTTCTCAAGGAGCTTAGAATCTAGATGGAAAGAGAAACCTAGCATATATCAAAGAATTTGTGAAATATCACACAATGTAACATCTATTATAACTGCAACAGGAGTTCAAAAAAGGGAAAGAACAATATAGTTTAACTGGAGATGCTTTCACGGAGAAGACTGAACTTAAACTAGGTCTTAAACATGTGGATAATGAAAAAGAGAGGAAAAGAAAGGTGTGTATGTCCCAAGAGGAATAGAGACAGAAGAAAGTTTATATATCAAGTAAGGCAAGAAATAAATCAAGATGGGTGGGATCTAGCCATTTCTAGGGAGACTTTGAAAGCCACGCAAAAGTTTGGATTTGATACATCAGGCAATGGAATGCAACGGTAGTTATCTGAGTGAAAAAGCACTGCATCAAATGCTTTGTATACTTTATCTCATCTAATTCTCACATGAGTAAGGTATCACTAACCTTATTTTATAAATGATGACTCTGAGGCTCACAGAGTTTGTCAACTGCCTAGAGTCCCATGGCAAAGGCAGGAATTTGGGACAAATGAATGAAAGAGAAGTAGTAAAATATGATCCCAAAGTTGTCATTCAAGTAATGTTGCTACTATTTTCCTGAAAAAAAGGTGATGATGGAATAAATAGATTTTGATTCATTGTTACACAGCAGTTAACTGACATTTAAATTCCCTTAAGCCTGGTACTGATAACCAAATTTGACTAAATTAAGTTGATAAATTCTCCATAGAGAGTAGAGGGAGTATAACTGTGGTTAAGTGCATAAGTCAGACTGCTTGGGTTCACATTCCAGATTTGCCATTTACAATCTGGTAATCAGATTAAATTCTCCTTTTTCCTTTTTTTTTTCTTTGAGACAGAGTCTTGCTCTGTCACCCAGGCTGGAGTGCAGTTACACAATCTCAGCTCACTGCAACCTCCGCCTCCTGAGTTCAAGCGATTCTTCTGCCTCAGCCTCCTGAGTAGCTGGGACAGCAGGTGCGTGCCACCACGCCCAGCTAATTTTTGTATTTTTAGTAGGGATGGGGTTTCACCATATTGGCCAGGCTGGTCTCGAACCCCTGACCTCATGATCCACCTGCCTTGGCCTCCCAAAGTGCTGGGATTACAGGCATGAGCCACTGCGCCTGGCCTCTTTTTTTTTTTTTTTTTTTTGAGACAGGGTCTCACTTTGTCACCCTGGCTGGAGTGCAGTGGTGCAATCTCGGCTCACTGCAACCTCAACTTCCCTGGCTCAAGTGATCCTCCTATCTCAGACTCCCAGGTAGCTGGGATTACAGGCGCATGCCACCATGCCCAGCTGATTCTTTGTAGAGAAGAGTTTTCGTCATGTTGCCCAGGCTGGTCTCAAACTCCTAGGCTCAAGTAATCCTCCCAACTTGGCCTCCCAAAGTGTTGGGATTACAGGCATGAGCCACTGTGCCAGGCCAATTTTCTCATATTTAAAATAGGAGGCTAGACACGGTGGCTCGTGTCTGTAACCCCAGCATTTTGGGAGGCTGAGATGGGCAGATTGTTTCAGCTAATAAGTTCGAGACCAGCCTGGGTAGCATGGCGAAACTCCATCTCTACAAAAAAATACAAAAAAACTAGCCAGGTGTGGTGGTGCATTCCTGTAGCCCCAGCTATTCGGGAGGCTGAGGTGGGAGGATGGTTTGAGTCCAGGAGGCGGAAATTGCAGTGAGCCGAGATAGTGCTGCTGCACTCCAGCCTGGGTGATAGAGCCAGATGTTGTCTCAGAAAGAAAGAAAAAAGGAACAATAATAGCATTTGCAGGTACTTACAGGATTTTTCTGAGGAGTAAATTAGTTAATACATATAAAGCACTTGGAAAAGTTGGCACATAATAAGCATTCCTTTTTATGATTAAATGGACAAGGATATTATTAATCTTGAAATGAAACTTGTGATGGTTAATACTGAGGGTCAACTTGATTGGATTGAAGGATGCAAAGTATTGATCCTGGGTGTGTCTGTGAGGGTGTTGCCAAAGTCAGTGGGCTGGGGAAGGCAGACCCACCCTTAATCTTGGTGGGCACCATCTAATCAGCTGCCAGAGAATATAAAGCAGGCAGAAAAACATGAGAAGGCCAGACTGGCTTACCCTCCCAGCCTACAACTTTCTCCTGCGCTGGATGCTTCCTGCCCTGGAACGTCAGACTTTCTTCAGCTTTGAGACTCGGACTGTCTTCCTTGCTCCTAGCTTGTAGGTGGTCTATTGTGGGACCTTGTGATTGTGTGAGTTAATACTACTTAATAAACTCCCATTTATATAGATACATATCTATCCTATTAGTTCTATCCCTCTAGAGAATCCTGACTAATGCAAGACCTTTGAGTATAGGAGATTCAGGTCTCACTTAAAATTGCTGCTTCTGAAGGCATGGTTCTGACCTTGCAGACTACCTGCCTCTACATCATTGTTTGTGGTAAAATCTCTTAGTTTGTTCATGTTTGCATCTGATTTTCTACAAATGTTTTAAGTTAATTCCAGTTAAGGTCTTCAGTTCTGAATGTAAACATATAAGAGAATGAGTGTTGACTTTGAATACAAAAATAGTTTTCCATGGAAAAATGACCAAGAAAACAATGATAGATGGAATTACTGCTCTAAAACCTTATTTCCCCTTTGTTTAGTGTGTGTGACTGCATTTAAGAAATTTTTTAGAGACAGGATCTCTCTCTGTCACCCAGGCTGGGGTGCAGTGGTGCCATCACAGCTCACTGCAGCCTTGAGCTCTGGGCTGAAGTGATCTTCCTGCCTCAGCCTTCCAAGTAGCTGGGACCACAGGCATGCGCCACCATGCCCAGCTAATTTATTTTTATTTTTTTTATAGAGATGGGCCTCCCTATGTTGCCTAGGCTGGTTTCAAACTTCTAGGCTCAAGTGATCCTCCCACCTTGGCTTCCCGAAGTACTGGGATTACAAGTGTGGGCCACTGCACCTGACTATATATATACACATATATATATGCACGTGTATATATGTGTGTGTGTGTGTGTGTATAATGAATTAACGAGGTTTCTGTTATCTTTAATAGGTTCACTAAATGAAGCATATCACTTTAATCTTACTATAAAGCTGTTCATGTCAACCTGGTCTCTACTTCTTTAAATGTTACATGCTGCACTCTCTTATCTGAAGAACTGGTTTCCAGCCAGGCATGGTGATTTATGCCTGTAATCCCAGAGCCTTGGGAGGCTGAGACAGGAGAATCGCTTGAGCCCAGGAGTTTGAGACCAGCCTGCACAACAAGCTGTCTCTACAAAAAAAATTAAAAGCCAGCCGGGCATGGGGGTGCGTGCCTGTAGTCCCAGTTACTTGGGAGGCTAACTAAGGTGGGTGGATTGCTTGAGCCCAGGAGGTTGGGGCTGTAGTGAGCCATGATAGCACCACTGCACTCCAGCCTGGGTGACAGAGGGAGATCCTACATCAAAAACAGACAGACAAAAAACTGATTTCCTCTGCTGTTTTAGCTCATAGCTCACTGACCATCTATGGACTGTCTACCTTTGGTTATGTTCCTAACCCTGATTCACTCAGCTGAGCACAGGAAAGGAGCTAGGGCTCAGGGCACAAAACTTGGCTGCCTAGGTAAGAGGAGCTATAGAAAAGGCAATATTTTTTTCTGATGATTGCTAGCATCCAGAACTATGCCTGGTATATTATAGGGGCTCAATAAATATATGATGAATAAACAGAGTACTTTTTCATGAATACAAATCTGATGTTATTCCCCTGTTAAAAACTCTTCAATGGTTCTCTATTGAATGAACTCTTAACTCTAGGATATGAATCCAGCCTATTGTTCAAACTTTATCTTTCCCTGACCAAAAGAGTAACTTTAGTCAGTTACTCTTTGGTCATACTCATGATGTCCCAAATGTGCCATGATCTTTTATTCTTGTGTATGTATCAAGTCTACATTTCAAATTGTCTTTCACTCTTAGTTCCAAATAAGGCATGTCTTCTTGGCTATAGTCCTTGGCCTCCAAGCAGAACTGATTATTCTCTTTTATGCCATCACTTATAACCTTCACATACTTCCAGGAAGGTATCTATCATAGTTACAATTACTTCTTTACAAATGTCTTCTCAACTAAACTTTGAACTCCTTATAGGTAGGAATTATGACTTAATCTTATTCCCAGCTCTTAGTACTGTATCTAGTACAGAGTAGGTGCTCAATTAACAATTATTGCTGAATATAGTGATTATTCCTACTAGATTTTAACTTCCTTGAGACTGGTATATGTTTTACATTTGATTATCTCCCAGAATCTAGTACAGTATGAACTCACTATACATTTTCTGGCTGATCTTAAGTAGTAAATAACTGTACTATATTTCTCTAGCTTAGTTTAGTAAACCACGGAAGCAAATAAACTCAAGTTTCTAGTTGTCAGTGATCCTGCCATTGGGATTTAATAATTTAGCATTTCTGACACTTGTATAAAAGTAAATCATACAATTGCTTGAAATTTAGAGGTGCTATTTCAACAGTGAATAAATTCAACCTTGCACAACCTTTCCCAAAAACCTTTCCAGACCTAACTGTGCTGAACACATTCTGGAAATAATGAAAATATGATTTGATTGGTGCTTTCACTTTCCATCATTCCATCATTTAAAAATGAGAACATATTTATGAGTTGATGAATCTAGATTCAGATCCTGTTTAAAGATAGAAGGCTGACCACGTGCAGTGGCTCACACCTGTCGTCTCAGCCAAGGTGGGAGGAACACTCGAGGCCAGGAGCTCAAGACCAGTCTGGGCAACAAAGCATGGCCCTGTTTCTACAAAAAATTTGAAAAACTGTCCACAGAGGCAGTCTACAGATTAAAAAAAAAAAAAAACTAGCTAGGTATGGTAGCACATGTCTATAGTTCCAGCTACTCAGGAGGCTGAGGCAGGAGGATCCTTTGAGTCCAGGAATTCGAGGATGCAGTGAGCTGTGATTGTGCCACCGCACCCCAGCCTAGGTGAAAGAATGAGACCCTGTCTCTAAAACAAAACAAAACAAACACCACAAAACACAGAACGCTCTCATGTGGGACTTTGAATTAACATTTGATTATTTATTTATTTACTTAAAAGGAAATTAACATTTATTGAGTGGCTACTGGTTCTGGCCTTGTGCAAGGAGTTTTCATCTATAATATCCCATGTAATCCTCACGTCAACCCTGTGAAGTAGGTATCATCCCCATTTTTGTCAGATGAGGAACAGGAGGCTCAGAAAGGTTAGGTAGTTTGCGCAAGGATACAGAACCAGGAACTGATGAGTTGGGACCCCATGCTTAAGTCTCAGACTCAATCCTTGCTCTCTCTCCTATACTGCCTCTGGGAGGAAGAAGGGAGCACCAGCAAAAGCTGCAGTCCTCACACTTGCTGCCTGACGGCCCAACAGCCACCAAAAGCCTGCACCTTCCCACAGATCCTCCCTCCTCCCTTGGGAGGATGCAGTCAGTTGAAGAGATTAAGACAAAATACAAAATATAAATACAAAAACAAATAGCATGGACAAGTCCCCAGCAGCAAGGATGTACCATCTTCACACTGTGGGAAGGTAACTGTGCCATTCACAGCTGCTGTGGGAGGAAGCCCTGTGGGCCCTGGGGGAAACTGGGACAATGGCTGCCAAAGGCTGGAGTGGGTGGGCTCAACTGGCCTCTCCTGGGTTGCAGAGATTCGAGAACAAAATGTCTGGAGCAGACAGCAGCCGCCATCCTCCTCCATCTGATCATTTTACCAGTGTTTGTGATCCAAGAGGGATTCAAAATCGGGGGAACACAGAAGTTTGTGCTTCACATGTCCCAGGTCTATCATCTCCCCAGTCCTACTCTCTCCAAGGCCCACAGACACCAGCTCCTGCAGGAAAGAGCAGGCGGTTCCCATGGTCACGTCCAGAGTCACCTTGCCCAGGAGGAGTTGCACCCTTTCGGACTTGCAGATGGGCAGCTTGCCAACCTGACCCTCTGTCAGGTCAGCTAGGGTAGAAGCATTCTTTGCCAGCCTGGCTTCCTGGTCGTTCTCCTGCTTGATGAGTACCACCTCTCTGTCCTTGCCCTGTACCTCTGCCTTGATGGGCTTGATGTCCTGGATAGGTGGGTGGCCAGGGAGGGTGTCTGGCAACTGGAGGAACAGCAATTCCTCCTCCTTGGTGAGGCTCAGCTCCCTGGGCAGCTCTGCCACGGATATGTCCTTCGGGAGGCCCGGGGGTCTTCCTGGCTGCTCTGGAAGGAGCCTTTATCTTGGCCTCCTCCTCATCTTGTAGCTCCTCTTTCAGTTTCACAGTAGGTACCCCCACCTCTTTCTTGGGGCCAGCCAGCCAAGGTTTAACATCTGGTTCATTGTTTTCTTCCTTAAAAAGCCACCCTGAGTGAGCCAGTGGCAGCTGCACAGGCATGTTGCGAGTGTCATTCCTCAGCCCAGGGTCATCAATGAAATCGTCCTTCTACAGCATGGTGAGATGTTTCGTGT
Source organism: Homo sapiens (assembly GCF_000001405.40). Lineage (NCBI taxonomy): Eukaryota > Metazoa > Chordata > Mammalia > Primates > Hominidae > Homo > Homo sapiens. The sequence continues at coordinate 74,655,400 of NC_000010.11, read as the reverse complement.
CTTCGTCCAACTCTTTCTTCTCTTTTTTGATGTGGACGATATGAGAAGGTCCCATGTCTGACACATTCACTTTCTTATTCCAGTTCCTTTTTTCTTCATCATTTCAGCTGGGCCCTTCTCAAAGATGGAGTGAGACTGGATCACTTCTGGGTGGCCTCATCCCTGTCCATGCACCTGTCTCTGTCCATCTCTGTCCCTTTCATGTTTCTCCTTCTTGACGGTTACTTCTTCCTTGGGTTCTTCTGACTGATGATATTTGGGGTGAAGGTTTTCTTCTTGACCCCCAACCTCAACCCCCAGGGTAAGGTTCCCAGAGCGGATGAAGGGAAGGCGGCCCGGGGTGAAGGGGTGCCAGTCGCTGCCTGCTGAGCTCCTGGGCCCCAGTCAGGAGGGGTCGGGGCCCTTGCAGAGTGCTGGGTTCGCTCACTGCATTTCCTTCCGACATGTTGCCCAGGTGCGGCTCCACACCGCTTGTTATGACTTCACCTGCGACTAACCTGCTGCCATCCCTTGGTCTCTGCCACAAGCGGAAGTCTGAATGGCAGGCCCTGGGCCCATATTGGCCTTTTTTTTTTTTTTCTATTGAGACAGGGTCTCACTCTTGTCACCCAGGCTGGAGTGCAGTGGCACAATCTTGGCTTACTCACTGCAACCTCTGCCTCCCGGGTTCAAGCAATCCTCCTGCCTCAGCCTCCCAAGTTGCTGGAACTACAGGTGCCTGCCACCACACCCGGCTAATTTTTGTATCTTTAGTAGAGACGGGGGTTTCCCCATGTTGGCCAGGCTAGCCTCGAACTCCTGAACTGAAGTGATCTGCCCACCTCGGCCTCCCAAAGTGCTGGGATTATAGGCATGTGCCATTGCACCTGGCCTGAATTAATACTTGAATTGGATCAAACCAGGGCAATCAAATGAATCCTAAGTGACATAGGTGGGATTCACCTCATGAGGATGCCATATAAATTCAAGTAATATCTGTATGTATATGATTCTTCTTTATAAAGAGACCATGGACTCTTAGGGCGGGAGAATAGGAAGAAGCATTTATTAGATAATTTGGACCAAGGCGTCATAGTTATAGAAAATACTGAAAGGCCAAACATCAGGTGCTTTCTTTTTAGCGGCCTGGTCCCAATTATTTCAGGAGTAGGACATTATTGGTATTCTAAATGTGACCCTTCTTAAAATCATATCTCTCCTTCTGAGCACAATGGTTAAGATTTTCAAAATGGATAGGTACATACAAAGTTCTTTATTTTTGAAGAAGCAGCTATTTCTAATCATGGACTTTCCATCAGTAAGATTGTTATTTGAATTGTTGATGGTGGCAATGGAAAATATTTAGAGTTTACAAAAGAAAAAACTGCATTAGATATGAAGGAACCAAAAGTTCCTTTTTTCTTTATGACATAGAAGAAATCTTAGAGCAAGAAAGCATCTCAGGGATGATAATGCCACAAGGCAATGTCATAGGTTTATACTGAAAGACAAGGATATTTTTTTTAACAGTGCATACTGTACAATAAAATTAAAGTTCCCTAAGTATGAAGTCAATTTCAATGGGCATCCTGACAATCAAACACTGATAAAAGTTCTGAGTACCATTTATTGTCCAATAAACTAAACTGGATTCACAGATTACTTGTCTACTTGGAATACAGCAATAAACACCAGTAAACAACCATTTTATCCAATTTAAGCAGAAGTCATTTCTTTATTAAGTCATTTGCCAATCTCTCTTGCACTTAAAAGCAGATTAAAATGTGTAACATATGGTTAATTACCTGTAAAAACAACAACAACAAAACCTCTCAAGTACACTGATTTTAAAGCTTGGTTGTGTTCCTCACCATTCTTTACGAATAGAAGCTGCAGCACCAGGGGAAAAAAAAAGTTGCAGAAATATTTTAAGGATCATACGCATGTTATTCCTTATTATTATTATTTTTGAGATGGAGTCTTGCTCTGTCACCCAGGCTGGACAGCAATGGCATGATCTCGGCTCACTGCAACCTCTGCCTCCTGGGTTCAAGCAATTCTCCTGCCTTACCCTCCCGTGTAGCTGGGATTAAAAGTGCCCACCACCAAGCCCAACTAGTTTTTGTATTTTTAGTAGATATAGGGTTTCATCATGTTGGCCAGGCTGGTCTTGAACTCCTGACCTCAAGTGATCTGCCCACCTCAGCCTCCCAAAGTGCTAGGATTACAGGCCTGAGCCACCGCACTCAGCCCTCGTGTTCTTCCTTCTGTTAAAGGATCTAAAGTTGAGCTACAGCCTAGCCAGACATCTCTGAGGTTCAATAAAGTCTCTGGGCAAAGACACAGCTCTGGGAAAGATTGAATAATCTAAAGAACTAAACTAAAACCAAGAAAATTCAGTCCGTCAATAATAGTGACGGGTAGAAGCAGTTCAGAAACTGAGTTCACACCAGCTTATGAATTGATCGTACATTTCTCTTTCCAACTCACCATTCAATGCCTTCATCTTGGTAGTTTGAATGGTGAGTCATGGTGAGAGTATTTACACCATAGAAATTAGAAAACACAACAAACTAGGGCTTGGTTTGCTATGAGCTGACTGTTAAATATATACTAGCATACTGGGTTCCATCTTACTATTAGGCTTTTTTTTTTTCTTTTTGATACTAAGTCTCGCCGTATCGCCCAGGCTGGAGTGCAGTGGTGCGATCTCAGTTCACTGCAACCTCTGCCTCCCAGGTTCAAGTGATTCTCCTGCCTCAGCCTCCCAAGTAGCTTGGATTATAGGCGCCCACCACTACAGCCGGCTAATTTTTGATTTTGAGCAGAGACGGAGTTTCACCATGTTGGCCAGGCTGGTCTTGAACTCCAGACCTCAAGTGATCTGCCCACCTTGGCCTCCCAAAATGCTGGGATTACAGGTATGAGCCACCACACCTGGCCTACAGGCTATCTTTAAATTGCTGTTTGGTTATTTTTCCTAAGCAGAGATTGAAAATACAATTGTTATGTTGATAGTTCTGTAGAAAGTTCTATTGGGTAATGCTGCTATGAATATTTTCATCTAAGAAAGTTCCTGGCCAGGTGTGCTGGCTCATACCTGTTATCTCAGCACTTTGGGAGGCCAAGGTGGGTGGATCACCTGAGGTCAAGAGTTCGAGACCAGCCTGGCCAACATGGTGGAACCCTGTCTCCACTAAAAATACAAAAATATTAGTTGGGCGTGGTGGTGGGCACCTGTAATCCCAGGTACTCGGGAGGCTGAGGCAGGAGAATTGCTTGAACTGAGGAGGCAGAGGTTGCAGTTGAGCCAAGATGGCGCTACTAGCATAGTGACAAGATCTATACTCTGTCTCAAAAAAAAAAAAAAAGAAAGAAAGAAAGTTCCTTCATATCCCTTCATAGCCAAATTCCTTCTCAATAAAACAAAAACCAAAAAGCTACTGATCTGATTTCTATCACTGTAAATTAATAGTGCCTGTTCTAAATTCAAATAAATGTAATCATACAGTATATGTTCTTTTATATCTGGCTTCTTACCTCAGCACATTTTTTTTAGCATAATGTTTTTGACATTCATTCATGTGGTTACTCACATCAGTCATCCACCTCTTTTAACTGTCAGTGGTGTGCTGGAGCCTGCTCAGATTGGCTAATGAGAATTAATTCTGCATATACAAAGCTCTTCTCAAATCTACATTCAGTGACCTCACATTGATGGTGGGAGTATTTAAACCATGACACAATTGCTATGAATCTATGTTCTTTTTTCCTGAAAGCCAGTCATAAAATATTTGCTAACATATCACTGATTCTGTTTTAAATAACCTTCATCAACAGTGATAAAAAAAAAGAAAGAAATGTTGGTTTGCAGCATCAGGATCTGTTTAGGCAGGAAAGGACAGGGAAGGGTAACTGTTATCAGTTCAAAAATGTAGCTGCATAATACAACCCCTTAAGTTTTCTCCTTTGGCTTACAACTAGCTGAATGGGACAATTTTCCCATTCTACAGGAGAGTAGAATGTCCTTTCTAAAATTTTTCATCTGGGATTTCTTCATTTGACTCAAGTGTCTATCAAAAAATTTTAAAGAAGGAAACATTCTTCCTATGTTTGGGATGTCACTAGACAAACCAGTTCTCCGTAATTAGGGATTGCCAATGCCTATTAGATTAAGAAGAATGGCACAAGCCTATTAAAAAAAAAATTAAGACCCTGTGTCAAAATAGGCCATATTTGTTATCCAATACCATACCGAATTTTGGCAATTCCACTCAATTTAGAACTGGTTCTAAACTATCCCTAGCTGATGCCTCCATTTCCCCACCACCACCCCAAATATCATTCTAAATGCCTACAGCTCTTCTTAAGCTACATACTAATTCTAACTCTCAGAGAAAACAGAAGCCATTAGGTGTCAAGTCTTTATACTTTGCTGGTTATGTTGAACAACTAATAGTTTTCCATCAAACAATACAAGAATCAGTATTTTTGTTTCTGAGAATGAAAGAAGATGGGAGATAATTCATTTTAGGGACATTACATCATATAGCTTTAGAGGATACTATTTATATTCTAGTCTATGCAAATGGCACCTGCTAGACTTGGCCTGTTCACAGATCACAATACTATTTTAACTTCCTCAGATGACCCAGACACCATATACAAACTGGGCATGATATCGCTGTCAGTACTGCAAGGTTGATGTCATTAATTGTGTGTGGTATGTGAAGTCTCAACACTGGTTACACCTAGGCACAAGAAATTTGTGTTGTGCTAGTTAATCTTGGAAAAAACAAAGTAATGCCAAAAAGTCTCTATTTTTAATGTACTGACAGGCTGTGCTAGTAGTACCCCAAAGAAATAAAAGAAGCAACAACTCCCTCCCAGCCCAGATATCAGTTTGTTCATCTATTTTAATACCTCATTTTAGATAATATAAGTAAATGTTCTATGTGAGCTGTAAAGCGCAACATTAGGTATTAGCAATTATTATTATTACTTTTTTTGAGACAGAGTCTCACTCTGTCACGCAAGCTGGAGTGCAGTGGCGAGATCTTGGCAGCCTCCACCTCCTGGGTTCAAGTGATTCTCCTGCCTCAGCTTCCCGAGTAGCTGGGACCACAAACGCCGGCCATGACACCCGGCTAATTTTTGTATTTTTAGTAGAGACAGGGTTTCACCATGTTGGCCAGGGTGGTCTCAAACTCCAGACCTCAAATGATCTGCCCGCCTCAGCCTCCCAGAGTGTTGGGACTACAGGCATAAGCCACTGCGACTGGCCAACAATTACTTTCTATAATATTTTACCACAGTGGCCTCTGATAAGGAAGGAGGAAAGCCCATGTTCTAAGATTAGCTTAATCTGAAAATCTAGGATCTGAGGGGAAAGTTCACATTTCTGATAGCAATGGCAATACTCTAAACACGCTTTGAGATTGAAGAGAACATACACTGGACCATATAGGGGTCTTCTACTCCTCACAATCAGGTATCTTGGTTTTGAAGGGATGGAGACAGAAATATCTTTTAGACCTTCAGGAAAGTCATGGGGACAAGTATTCATATTTTTTGAGCTTAAATGTGGCTGGGAAATCTGAAAATGTGAACATCTTATCTAGCATTTCCCAACACTAGAATGTCACTCTAGACATCAGATAGCTCTTCCTTCTTGACTATACATTAAAAAATTTAGTGGGAAGAAATGGAGACAATTGTTGAAACTTAGCAGGAAGCCTACTATATTAAATACTTGAATATTAGTTGATTGACTGACAGAATTTGTTTTTTTTTTTTTGATATAGAGTCTCACTCTGTCGCCCAGGTTGGAGTACAGTGGTGCAATCAAGACTCACTGCAGCCTCAATCTTTCAGTCTCAAGTGGTCCTCCCACCTCAGCCTCCTGAGTACCTAGGATGACAGGTGCTTGCCATCATACCTGGCTAATTGTTTTAATTTTTTGTAGACAGGGTCTCCCTATGTTACAGAGGCTGGTCTTGAACTCCTGGGCCCAAGTGATCCTCCCACCTTGGCCTCCTAAAGTGTTGGAAATACAGGGGTGAGACACTGTGCCCGGCTGACAGTAGAATTTAAAAGACTTCTAAGCTAGCAATTAAGTGTATTTTCTAATAATCTAATTTTTATATACTACTTTAACAAAACTAGAGAAAACTTCATTATTTCTTATTTTATTTCTTTTTTTGTTTTTTGAGATGGAGTCTCGGTCTGTCATCCAGGCTGGAGTGCAGTAGTGCGATCTTGACTCACTGCAAACTCCGCCTCCCAGGTTCAAGTGATTCTCCTGCCCCTACCTCCGGGGTTCAAGTGATTCTCCTGCCTCAGCCTCCCAAGTAGCTGGGACTACAGGCTGCGTGCCACCACGCCCAGCTAATTTTTGTATTTTTAGTAGAGACAGGGTTTCACCATGTTGGCCAGGATGGTCTTGATCTCCTGACGTCGTAATCCGCCTGCCTTGGCCTCCCAAAGCACTGGGATTATAGGTGTGAGCCACTGCGCCCTGACCTATTTCTTATTTTCTTAGTGGTTACTATGGCAATTACAATTAAAATCCTAAATTCATAACAATCTAGTTTGAATTGTTACCAACTTAGCCTGGACAGTATAAAAAACCTTGCTCTTATACAGCTCTGTTTCCCTCTTTATGTTGTTGTTATAAATTACATATTTTACATGTCTTTCCATTAACATATAATTATTGTTTTAGGCACTTTTCTTCTTTTTTTTTGAGATGGAGTCTCGCTTTGTCACCAGGCTGAAGTGCGGTGGTGTGATCTCGGCTCACTGCAACCTCCGCCTCCCAGGTTCAAGCGATTCTCCTGCCTCAGCCTCCCGAGTAGCAGGGACTACAGGCGTGTGCCACCACGCCCAGCGAATTTTTGTATTTTTAGTAGAGATGGGGTTTCACCATTTTGGCCAGGATGGTCTTGATCTCCTGACCTCATGATCTGCCTGCCTTGGCCTCCCAAAGTGCTGGGATTACAGGTGTGAGCCACGGCGCCCGGCCTAGGCATTTTCCTTTCATGAATGAAAGAAGAGTTACAAACCAGCAATACTGGTTTTTATATTTACTTATATAGATACCTTTACAGGAGTTCTTTATTTCTTCATATGGCTTTCAGTTACTGTCTAGCATTCTTTCATTTAATCCTGAAGCATTCCCTTTTAGCATTTCTTGTAGGACAGGTCTATTGGCAATAAACCTCTTTATCTTTTATCTGGAAATGTCTTAATTTCTCCTTCACTTCTTAAGGACAGTTTTGCCAGATTATAGAATTTCTGTATTCTTAAGCCTATGTATGTGTATATATATATACATATATATACTTTTTAAATAAAGAAGCTAACTTACCAAGTAGATTCTCCACAATTCACAATGCATTTTAATCTATTGAAGATGCAAGAAGATAAATTGTAGTGTGGGCTGAGATCAGTGTTGAACTGAAGATAGGAAAGCTTTTCAAGGAATTAGTTGCTGATTGTACCTTGATAATTAAATACACAAACCTATGATCCTTTTAGACTTACTTAATTAGTATCAAATGAGCTTACTTAATTATAGCTGTAAATTAAATGCATAGGGTTTGCCTCATCTCAAAATAATTATATGTGCATTATAATGTGAATTATGGAACATTAATTTGTAGTTTATCGATTACTCCCTAAACAGAGACTGAAACTCATTAGGACAAAGTTATTATTATAGCAGTTTTGATAAATAGCTCCTAGAAGACGTTTCTGAATAACGTTTGCATACAAGTTATTTAAAGGAGAACTATACATGTGTCAGAATTAGTAGTACACACATTTATTACAAAACCCTGGTTCAGAAAAGTGTGCTCCCTGAGGTATTCAGGTAAGAGGCATATACACTTATATGTATGTATATAGTAATATCTCCCCGCTCATTCGGCACAGAGTTAGACCAACTTTTTCAAGTTTATAGTAGAAGCTGTAATTACCTTTTAAAAAAGTATTTTAACATAAATAACTACAGATCAAACTATTACCTCTAGTAAACCAGTTCTTAGCATCCCCCAAATACAGAAAATAATAGATTAACTATCATATTAAGAAAGCTTCTGTTATGTCTATTATACTCAAGAACCACACAAAGAGGGACATAACTCTATATCGTCTGTGGATACTATACTGTGGGTAGCTATCTTTTTTTTCCTTCCTTCTCCAATTTAATCTGAGAACAAACATTTGCTGCTAGAAAATGAACAGATAATTATTAAAGGCATAAATACAGACTAATTAGTGAGAGAAAACATTCTAACTCTAGAGTTTTTTTTTTTTAAGGAAATGACTATGTTTATTAATTGGGAAGAGCTGAGTACAAACGGAGCTCACTCAATATACAATTTAATACCTTTTAATTTGAGATGGGGAGGAGACTCTAACCACAAATTAAAATATTTCAAGTGTAATTTCATGAACAAGCCTTAGATTTTTCCTTAAATATAAAATGGATTTAAGTAAAAATGTGAGATTTTCATGATTAAAATAGACAAACTTTTCAGACTAGCCAGCTCTTGTCTTACATGCTTTAAATGCACCCACTGTTTTTCACATTTTCCTTTTCCTGCTCTCTTGTGAGACAACTCCCACTGACCACACCAATAACTGTGGCTGAGCTTATATTGTTTTCCTTCATTTTTTCTTCAATATTTTGCACTGCGAAACTGCTGCCACAAAGCCTGAAGACTGCACTTGATTGCTTACTGTAATACTAACATTTGCTAATTAGGAGTAGTGTGGCATTATCAGGCTTCAAAAGCAACAGCAATGAAGGCTGAGCAGCTATGTCAAGGCTTTCCTCAGCATGTGGTATTTTTAACTTTGGCCACCATAGCTTTTTCCTCACTATATTTGTAGTTTTCTGCCATTTTCTCTCTTTAACTACAGAGACTGAAGGGAAGACCTAAGCATAATAATCCTGTTTTAATTCAGCTCAATTTGGGCCTAAAGCAAACATCGAATTACTCATGATTAATTCTAAGGAACATAACCTACTCTCATGTCCAATGGGTCTATGTTTGAATCTAACTAGTGGCTTCCCCTCATCTTTCACTGCCTTTCAGTCCTGTTTTTCCTTGTGTTAATCCCCAAAGTGACTGAAGAATCATAACTTGCCATTCTCCTACTACACAAAATTTTTGTATTATGCAACTCACATTTCAAGGAACTTGTATTATTATCCTTGTATCATGTGTTCAAATTCAAATTAAACTCAGACCACTCTATAATAAGTGACAAGATGCATGAGGGCACTGTGATCTAGGCAACCATAATTATACAATTATTGATGAAGTTCGTGTTGATAAACAATGCAAACATTAGGAAATACTATTTTGCAATTAAGTGATGAAGAAAGCTGTTTACTGCCTTCCATTCTATCCTCTGTTAATAAGATCGAAGTTGCAGATGTTCATGTATGCTGCATTGATGTTAAATGGTGCATGATGCTCTAGGTGGTTCCCATAACCTTGCTTTGTCTACTCTGAACTGACTCAATTGATATGATAATATCGAAAAAATGCAGGGCTGAACTGGCACAATTTGCATAGCCTTGAAATCTGCCATTAATGGACAGCCAACTGCTTCTAAAAGTTCTTGTTCAGTTGTCACTGACAACAATGTATTAGACAAACAATATTTTGAAATTAACCACACAGGTGGGGATATCACTTACTGAAGCTTTTATCTCATCAAACAAGGTACACATCAATGTATTTATAAAGCTAGCAATTGGGGACTTTGTGATCTTTTTGGGAGTTCAATTACTATTAGAGTAAGTATTAATATAAAGAAAGCAGAAATCATTCAGGGGTCACAAAACAGTGGTAGTAGCACTTGCAGCTTTTTGACACAGGTATAATATTTAGAGAAACACCTTTCTCCCTTTCACAAAACCTATATTTCCATTTCATTATTAAATAAATATTATGTTTTAGATTAAGAAATAAAATCTTCAATGTTGTTCAATATTGCACTTTACTAATTAAAAAATCATCAGGTAAGAGACTCCATATAAGAATGGTAGGAATTACTCTGATGCATGAAAATGAAATGACACACTAGAGAACCTCAAACACTGAAGAAAACTGAAACACTTGCAAAAATATACTGAACAGAGAAGTAGAAAAATACCATAAATATAAGGGAGAACCAGAAATCTTTGAGTTTAGAATTTATGGGCACATATGGATAAAAGACAGTACATTTGCCTTGGGGCAGGGGGTAGGGGATGGACAATTAAACAATTAGAAGAGAAAAACTGCAAATAAATTAGAAGAATACAATTTTGAAACAAAAATTCTAGACAAGCTGATACAGAAAACTTAGTGCTAACAAAGGAATAATACAAAAGTGAAACACAGTGGGCTGCTCTGTACTACCTAGAAGTTAATATTAAATATTTAATTCCCCAAAGAGGAAATTCCCACATGACTAGTTGGATAAGACGTGGGCTAAAGGAATTTAGAGAAGCACCAGATAAAAGAAAATGTGCATACATATAATTAACATTTTACAGAAGGGCAGCAAAAGTGTTTTTTAAAATAAAACCAGGCCGGGTATGGTGGCTCATGTCTGCAATTCCAGCACTTTTGGGAGGCCAAGGCAAGAGGATCACTTGAGGCCAGAAGGTAAGACCAGCTTGGGCAACATACAAAGCCCCATCTCTACAAAAAAATTAAAAAATTAGCTGGGTGTGGTGTCACTTGTTCTCCTAGCTACTCAGGAGCCTGAGGCGGGAGCACTGCTCCAGCCCAGGAGTTCGAGGTTACAGTGATCTATGATTGCATCCCTGAACTCCAGCCTGGGTGGCAGAGCAAGACCCTGCCTCAAAAATAAACAAACAAATAAAAAAACCAATTCTTTCACTTAAGTCAAAGTTTGAACAATAGCTTGTTTTAACTTTTTGTTTATACTTGGTTTAAATCCTAAATTGAGACCTTTCATTCTGAGCATTAGTTTTATTACAAGACTAGAATATAAACATAAAGGAAAATGGGGCCACTGTACACCGTATCCATTGCCCCTCTTAACTGAACTCATCCCTGTGGGAAGACTGAATCTGTTCATAAGAACTGTACTTCCTATCTGATTAATATCAGATTAAACCTTCAAGAGGAGCTCTTACAGAGCATCTGGTTGAATGTGGTACAGATGCCTGGTCAGGGTTATTCCTGCTCTTTAACAGTTTCCCAAGCAATCCAGAAGGACAGAAAAATATTAATACGGATTAAAGTAGGTTGCAGGTACTAATGGCAGCCTAGGTAATTCAGACCAACTGTCTTATCAAGAATTAGAACATCTGGACATATTTTTAAAAAATCTGTTTGAAGGCATTGAAGTCCTAACAAAAGAATGAAGAATTACCAGGCTATAATACAGAGGATGATAGAAACCCAGAGAAGTGAGTCTGGTGTTTGATGCTAGGAGGACAAAGTCTGGAACCCAGTCTGTCAAGAGTAATGGGCCTAGTTAAAATCTCCTTATCTCAGGGTGGGAATCAAAAGGATTAAGGGTGTGTGAACAGGCAGTAGAAAGACCTAGACAAGGGATTGTAGCTTAGCCTCTAATCATCTAAATCTTTAAACTTAGATGAAGATAAATATAGTGTGCCAATGTCCCCATGCCTGCCAAAAGCAAACATGAATCATCCTATACTTCAAATTATTTCTATAAGCAATTTTGCAAATACAACATATCACCCACAATAAAAAATAAACAGTAATACAAAGAGGCAAGCAGGAAATTAAAACCAGCAGAAATTACAGCTTAATAAAGCAGTTCCAGATATTGAACTTAACAAACAGAAACTTTGAAATAGCAAGAGTTAAAGATAAAATCGAGAATTTTAACAGAGGACTAGAATACAACAGGTTTAAATGGAAATTGAAAGTAAAAATTTAGTGGATAGTTTTAATAGAAGCTTAGACACAACTTAAAAAAGAATTAGTGAACTGGAAGATAGAACAGAAGAAAATACCCACAATGAAGCCCAGTGAAGACAGATAAGATGCATTCTATATAGTTTCCCAAAGTAGAACTAGAACCTATGGGTAAAAGTGATCAAGAAGGCAAATTTATGTCCAAGAGAAGGAAAAAGTTTCTAACAATTTAGGGTTTATAAAACCAAATTAAATGGACCTCTCAGGTTGTGAATGTTTTAGAGAGGGTTTCTGACTTGAGTTGGGAATGAGATAAGATGACCCCTCTGTCCCTTTCAATTTTAAGACCTTAGGATTTAGGCTAAGCATGGTGAGTCATGCCTGTAATCCCAGCACTTTAGGAGGCTGAGGTGGGTGGATTGCTTGAGGCCAGGAATTTGAGACCAGCCTGAGCAACATAGTGAGATGCCTGTCTCCACTAAAAATAAAAAAAGTTAGCCAGATATGGTGGCACACACCTGTAGTCCTAGCTACTTAGGAGGCTGAGGTAAGAGGATCCTTTGAACCCAGGAGTTTGAGGCTACAGTGAGCTATGATCATGCTACTGCACTCCAGCCTGGGTGATAGTGACTGAGTGAGACCCTGTCTTAAAAAAAAAAAAAAAAAAAAAAAAGAACTTAAGATTTTATAAGAATTCAGAGAGTGATCAGGTAGAAAAATTAAACTCAGGAGAATAAGTTTTGAAAGACCACAGTATGATCCAATAAATGTAAAAGTATATATATTATGTGTGAATGCAAGCACTCAGTAGAAAGATGTCTAGAAGTAATCACTAAATTGTTAACAAGGGTTATCTCTGGGGATAATTTTAGTAAATATTTTATAAGAGGGAATATGGTAAAGATGATATCAGTAACCATGAGATCAGAGTATTGCAACTAAGGGTATTACATTAGAGGAGGGGTTCTCAAACTTTTTCTCTTAAAAAATTATTGAGGTCAGGTGCACTGGCTCATACCTGTAATACCAGTACTTTGGGAAGCCAAGGCAGGAGGATTGCTTGAGCCCAGAAGTTTGAAACCAGCCTGGGCAACATAGTGAGACCCTGTCTCTTTTTAAATTAAAAAAAAAAAAAAAAAAATTGAGTGCATCAAAAAATGTAAGCCAGGAAAAAAAAGAAAAAAAAATTGAGGACTCCAAATAGATTTTGTGTGAGTCATATTTATTAATATTTACTGTATTAGAAAATAAAATGATCTCAGAAAATTTCTGAATAAACCTACATTTTAACATATTTTCATAAGAATAACTATATATTCCAAACAAAAATATTAGTAGAGAGTATGACATTTAAGTTTTTGCTAATCTCTTTAATATCTGGTTAACAGAAGTCAGCTGGATTCTTAACATTTGCTTCAGTATTCAATCTGTTGTGATATCATACATTATGTAGTCTCTGGAAAACTCTACTGTCATTGAGAGTCAAAAAGGCAAATAATATATTTGAATTACTGTGAAGTAGTTTTGATTTCATAGAAGAGATTCCTTGAAAGAGCCTCAGAAAGGGCACCCCCAGTGAGTCTATACTTTGAGAACCACTGCATTAGATTAAGGGCTATAGCTGTCACTATGCTGGGAAGGTGGCCCTGTTCACTTTAGATAAGGTATAATTACCAGGTATGTGTCAGTTCTGTTGTGCTCACAGCTGTGGCTAGTGGGATAGGCCAATAAGGAATTCATGTTCTGCAACTTAGAAAAGATCCCGAACAGTGCTTATGTGAAAGCAAGCTGGCCAACAAGAATATTTTAGACTTCCCTAGTCAGATAAAGTACCACTGTGCTGATCCTTTTATGTAGTAATGGGCCTGAATTACATATCCCAACCTGTAATTGCTTTTTCATTGTTGGAAACAAGTTTTATATAAATGCATTAGACAAACTATACTAGCTGAAGCCTGACATGGAAGAACTAACAAAGGTCTCCAAAGTGAAGGCAGACTTATCTCCATATTAGAATACTGATAACTTAAGACCAAGATAGAAACCCAACCCAAGATAGATGGGGATCTGAAACCTGCAAAGCATGGCAGCTGCCCCTTTCTGGACCACCAAAAAATTATTTATTTATTTTTAATTTTTAAAAAGTTATTTTTTTTAGTAGAGACGGGGTCTTGCTATGTTGCCCAGGGTGGTCTCAAACTCCTGGGCTCAAGGGATCCTTCTGCCTCAGCCTGGGATTTTAGGCATGGGCCATTATGCCTAGCCAAGAGAAATATTTAAAAATAAAATAGTAAAGGGTCCACAGCCTACCTTCTACTATGAAAAGCATGATTTGGCCCATTTGATGAGAAAGAAAATGAACAAGCCCTTGAGACTCTCTTCTACTAGGCCCCTAACTTTTGAAGACTTAAAATAACCCAGTCACAGGTGTTGCAGACACCATTTTCTTCCTTAATTGGGAAGTCAAAGGCTCTATTTCAGATAATTTACTACAACAGTTTGGTGCCAGAGTATTTTTAATCTTTTTCCCATGGTATTACATCCTGACAGTGAAATAATATTTTATATTTGCCTACGCTTTAAAAATAAAAAGTCTGAGAGAATGGTCTCTATGAAATAAGAATTATATCCTATTCATCAAATAATTCTCTTAATATGACATTCCCATTACATTAACATCTAGACCTGGGCTTGTTAAAATATGGCCTGTGGGCCAAATCTGGCTAGCTGCCTATTTTTATAAATAGAGTTTTATTGGAATACAGCCACACCCATTTGTTTATATACAGCTGTTTTCACGCTACAGAGGGAGAGTTGAGCACTTGCAATGGAGGTAGTATGCCCTGCAAAGCAGAAAATAATTACTATTTGACCCTTTATAAAAAGTTTGCCGATTCCTGATTTAAACATGTAGTCTATTAGAACTGAAAGATATATTAGAGATTTTTTAGCTACTCCTTTTACTTTATAGTTGAACAAAATAAGGCCCAGAGAATTGAAAAAGCAGTACACGGAGCACACAGAAGACAAGAGGAAGCTTCCTAGCACATGGGATTCCCTCTTTGTTATTTTCCAGCTTACTCATTCCACACAAGGAATGCTCTGCCTAAAGCAAGAGTCCTGCCGAGTCTCTTAAAAGCCACATATGGTGTTGGCACAGAAACTGTTTTTTCAACACCTGGGTAACCAGGCTGTGTAGGTCCCAGGAGTGCACCAGTACCCTCAGCTTCAGCTTTAGCCAGTCCCTGAGGAGTTAGATCTGAGAGAGAGCCACTTTCAAGGCCCTGCCTCATTAGTCCCTGCTGCTACCGATCTAGCTCAGAGAAAACTGGTCCTTCTCTCATGCCTACTGCACCAAGGCCAGTCTTGAGTGAAGAGGCTTTGTTCAAAGAGGATTTGTTAATTAAGTCATCACTGTACTAATAAAACCCCAGAGCTTCAGCCAGTAGTAGTCTATGCTACTTTAGGGTTGCTGAATGTATATGTTTGTAACTAAAAGGAATATGTTCTTTTAGAAACAACTGATATGTTTTTTAAAGTATGAAAATAAGACATGGAAAATACAGAGTATCTAAATCATCTTACCCCCAGCACACTGGCATACTCACTCTTGCTACTTTGTTTTTGTTTTGTTTTTTGTTTTGAGATGGAGTCTCGCTTGCTCGCCTGCTCTTGCTCGCTCTGTCACCCAGGCTGGAGTGCAGTAGCGAGATCTCGGCTCACCGCAACCTCTGCCTCCTGGGATCAAGCGATTCTCCTGCCTCAGTCTGCCATGTAGCTGGGATTACAGGTACATGCCACCACGCCCGGCTAATTTTTGTAATTTTAGTGGAGATGGGTTTTATTGTGTTGGCCAGGCTGGTCTGGAACTCCTGACCTCAAGTGATCTGCCCCCCTCGGCCTCCCAAAGTGTTGGGATTACAGGTGTGAACCACTGTGCCCAGCCTCTCTTGCTACTTCGTAATAGCAGGTAATTTTATATTCTGATTTGTTTATACTCAAAGTCCTCAAATAAGTGATGAAGTTTCACAAAGTGAATGAACCCACTGTGTTAGTTTATTTTTCATGTAACATAATATATATAGTTTCAAGTTGCTACACTATTATACATAAAAGTGACATGAATGTCTTCACATGTAGATGCTCCCAGACTTTTGATTATTTAAATTCCAAGAGCTGAAATTGCTGTATAAAAGGATATGAAAACTTTTACCAATTTACACTCTAGCAATATTAAGAGTATATGACTACACCCTAAGTATCAAATAACAATTCTTTTAAAAAATTCTCCTATCTCACATATTCTAATTTGAACTTCTTTATGAAAGTCCCCTATGTCTTCTAACATATCCAGGTTCAACCTATAGAATTAATCTTCAGTAATTAGAGCTCAGCTGAGCATGGTGGTTCATGCTTATAATCCCAGCACTTTGGGAAGTTGAGGTGGGTGGATCACCTGAGTCCAGTAGTTCAAGACCAGCCTGGGCAATATGATGAAACCCTGTCTCTACAAAAAAATTTAAAAATTGGCCAGGTGTGGTGGTGTGCACCTATAGTCCCAGCTACTCGGAAGGCTGAGGTGGGAGGATCACTTGAGTCTGGGAGGAAGAAGGGGTTGCAGTGAGCTGTAATTGTGCCACTGTACTCCAGCCTTGGCAACAGAGAGAGACCCTGTCTCAAAAAAACAAACAAAAACAATAACAAAAAACACAAACTAGAGCTCATATTAGTCTCAACCACAACCAGGATGACACTGCCAGAAAGCCATTAAAAGTCTGATTTTAAAAGAAAAGCTCATTAATAAAAGCAAAAATGTACGAAGGTTCAAATAAGTTTGATTGAATGAGACATGGTTTCACTCTATTGCCCAGGCTACATTGCAAGTGGTATGATCATAGCTCACTGTAACCTCGAGCTCCTCAGCTCATGTGATCACCTGCCTCAGCCTCCTGGGTAGCCAAGACTACAGGCGTGTGCCACCATGCCTGGCTAATTTCCATATTTTTTTTGCAGGGTCTCACTATGTTCCCAGGCTGGTCTTGAACTCCTGGCCTCAAGTGATTCTCCAGCCTTAGCCTCTCAAAGTGTTGAGGTTACAGGTGTGAGTCACCCTACCAGGCCAAAAAAGCTTTATTGAAAGTATTTATGGTGATATAGAGCATGTAAGATATTGATCTTTCTGCATCTCTCGCAATAAAAAAAATCAAGCTAATGTGGTATTGATATATTATATAAAACCTGCTTAAAACCCACTTTAACATTCAGTCCATAGAAACCAACTCAAGAAAAATAATCATCCAGAATTAGCATAAATTTACAAATCTATATCTTAATAAAGTGTATTACATCAGGACTCTAAATATCAAGACACTCAATTTATTATACCTCAGGTTACCTACATTGCTTCAAGTCTTGTATAAATATTTTTAAATGGCCATCTCTTCTTTATATGGATAATGGTGTAGCACTTAAAACAGTTTATCTGACCATTCTAAGATGAAAGTCATTTCCTTTGCTAACATCTTTATCGAAGCATGATTGACATACAATAAACTGCACTATTTAAGTGTACAACTGGAAAAGTTTGAATAGGTATTACTCATGAAGCCATCACCACAATCAAAACAACAAACATATCAATTCTAAAAGTTTCTTCATGTGTCTTTGTAAGGTCCCACCCCTTCCTGCCCTCTATCCCTAGGCAGCCACTCATCTAGACTCAGCAGTCTCAAGGTTTGATTTGGATTTCTAATCAATTATCTTTTAGTGATTCAGGTAATACTACCTATACCCAGTGGGTTTTGTCTCCACAAATGGCTATCTAATTTGAACAACAGAGGTTACTTTCTAGGAAAATCTCTGAGCTACAGATTCCCTAAACCAAAAGCAGCCTCAAGTATTCTGCTAAGGATGGTACCAGTCGTCTGTAGAGAATGATAGCCTTCTCATATATCAATGCATAATTATAGACTTCCAGCATAGCTGATGGTTGGTTCTTGGATCAACAATATTTTAAAACACATGAAAGAGGAATTAACTTGATTATATAGAACCAGGTCTTTAGAACATTCACAGCAATTCTGCAATTCTGTTTTTTCTTCAGGTAAGCTATATGTAGTTAAAGATTTTTCTTTTCTTCTGAGTTAAGAAAAACATTCATTCAAGGCATTTTTTTTTCTTTTAAAGTTTGTCATTTTTGAAAAAAACTGTGCCAGTGGTCAGTATCAATTCTTGGTTGTTGACTGGCTTTAAGAACCTATGATGATTATTTTATATTCAGAATTTCATTGATGAAACACATCTAGTGCTATTCTTCACACACATATAAAAAGAACTCCTAGGTATTTAATGTCCACTCAGATGAAAAGTGTCTATAAGTTATACAATTCTTACTATTGGGTTTATCATTATCCTTCTAGTCACTTAAATTCAAAATATTAAGGTCATCCTTGTCTTCTTATAAAGTCACTAAATCTTGTTTCATCTCATATAGTCACCAAATTTTTCATGTCTTTTGCCCTTAGTGATGTGATCCTTATCTTTCTAGCTTCTGTACCTATGCTTAGCTTGCACATGTAGATATAGTGAACTATGTCCCCCAATTCACCATGCTCTACTCTTCTTTGCCTGTGACTTTTTATGTGCTGTTTCTTCTGGCTAGAATGTTGTTCTTTGCCTTCTTTGTTTGGTAAACTGTAACTACTCATGTAAGGTTAAATCTTATCTAAAGCATGTCTTAGACTCCTCTGTATTATTGGCTGCTTCCTCTTCTTGTGTCCTTAACACCTTAAATATTCATCTATTATAGTTCTTATTACAACAAATTGTTATTTTTTCATACTTCTACATTTCATATGTTGTGAATTCCTTGACTATAAAGACAAAAATATATACAGTCCTTTACCAAGTACATAGAACATAGTAGGCTCTCAATCTGTGTAGATGTAGAATTAATACATTTTATTCCCTTTTTTTCATTAGCTTGCTATTATTTTAATTCAATTCCTATTGGTGCTTATCTAAATTGTTTCCAAATTGATCCGTTTGATAATAGTCTCTCCCTCCTCTAGTCTAATTTGTACACTAGCATGGGATTATATTCCTAAACCACTGTTTTGAACATATCATTCCTCTGCTCAAAACCCTTCAATAGTTTCCCACTTCCCTTCAAATAAGACCCAGCTCTGTAGCCAAGCACTCAAATCTCAGTGTAATCTAACCCTAAGTTATCTTTTTTACTTTATCACCTATTAATGTTTCTTATATTAATTCTACACTAGTCACACAGGAATACTTACATTTTCTGGAACATTTTGTAGTTTCTATTTATATTAGATTATTCTATTTTTGTTAGATTGTAATTAAAAAAATAATTATCTATTGCCCTTTGAAAGTAGACTTTTTTTTTTTGAGATAGGGTCTCACTCTGTTGCCAAGGCTGGAGTGTAATGGTGTGATCACGGCTGACTGTTGCTGCCTTGAACTCCTGGGCTCCACGAACCTCCTTGCCTCAGCCTTCTGAGTAGCTAGGACTACAGGCATGTGCCACTGCGCCCAGCTAATTTTTTTTTTTTTTTTTGGTAGAGATGGGGTCTTGCTGTGTTGCCCAGGTTGGTCTCCAATCCCTGGCCTCATACAATTCTTCTACCTTGGCCACCCAAAGTATTGGGATTACAGGTGTGAGCCACTGCACCTAGTCTGAAAGTGGGCTTTTAATTGAGGTATGACACATACAGAGAAGAGTACAAATTGGAAGTCTGACTCTGGAAATGTTGGCCTTTAGACTAAATAGAGAGTTCTGAACATCCCTAATGAGTCTAGCCTGCAGCCAACGTACTACCTTAATGTAGCCAACAAGTGACCACTGTCAAGACAAGTAGAACTACTCGGCTGAGCCTAGCCTTGACTGGAGAATCATGAGAAAATAAAACTGCTGTTTTTTATGTTACTAATTTATGGAGTGGTTCATTATGGTGAAAAATTCCCTCCCCTCCTTGCAATTACTAATCCCCATCAAAAGTAACTTGAGGCCTGTTTCCATTGACTTTATACAAATGGAATCACATAGTATATACTCTTATGTTTATATAACAATGTTTTAATATCACCTTCATCACTGAAGGAAAATATTGCTGGAGATAGAATTCTGGGTTGACAGTTTTGTTTCAGCACTTCAAAGATGTTCCACTTTCTTTTGATCTCCACTGTAAGGAATCTGTAGTTGTTCATATAATTTCCCATTCTATGCAATGTGCTACTTTGCTCTTCAATATCTTCTCTTCATCTTTTGGTTTCAGTAGTAGTCTAATTAAATGTTTAGGTGTGGTTTTCTTTGTATTTATTCTGCCTGTGGTTCACAGGGCTTCCCAAATCTGTAAGTTCATGTCTTTCACCAGAAGTGGGAAACCTTACAGCCATTATTCATCAAATATTTATCTTGCCTCATTCTCTAGCTCCTTTCCTTTTGAGACTCCAATTATGAACATTTTAGGCCTTTTGCTGTTGTCCTAAAGGTCAAGGAAGCTCTGTTCTCTGTTTTTGTGGGTTTTTTTTCTGAGATGGAGTCTTGCTCTGTCCACTTGGGCTGGAGTGCAGTGGCATTATCTCGGCTCATTGCAACCTCTACCTCCCAGGTTCTAGTGATTCTCCTGCCTCACCCTACCAAGTAGCTGGGACTATAGGCGTGTGCCACTGCACCCAGCTAATTTTTGTATTTTTAGTAGAGACGGGGTTTCACCATGTTGGCCAGACTGGTCTCGAACTCCTGACTTCAGGAAATCCACCCACCCTGGCTTCCAAAAGTGCTGGGATTACAGGTGTGAGCCACTGCACCCGGCCATGTTCATTGTTTTTTTTCTCTTCATTTTCCACACTTGATAATTTCTACATACCTATATTCAAGTTTGCTCCTTGTCATATTTAAATTACTGAAAGAGTACCCTGTGAACCTAAAATATTTACTCTCTGGTCCTTTAAGAAAAAAATGCCAGCCGGGCATGGTGGCTCACGCCTGTAATCCCAGCACTTTGGGAGGCCGGGCGGATCCCGAGGTCAGGAGATCGAGACCATCCTGGCTAACACGGTGAAACCCCGTCTCCACTAAAAATAGAAAAACAAAATTAGCTGGGCATGGTGGCGGGAGCCTGTAGTCCCAGCTACTTGGGAGGCTGAGGCGGGAGAATGGCGTGAACTGGGGAGGCGGAGCTTGTAGTGAGCCGAGATCGCGCCACTGCACTCCACTGCACTCCAGCCTGGAAGGCAGGGCGAGACTCGTCTCAAAAAAAAAAAATAAATAAAAATGCTGACCTCTGTTGTACAGTCTACTCAAATGTTTCTAAGGAGGGGATTATTATTGTTTTTTTAAGGAGACAAGTAAACTTGGCTAGAATGAAATTCCAAACTCTGCACCCCAGCAATGGACAATGAGACATCTTTATTAAGTTCTTTTAGCCTTAGCTGGGCTGCTAGGAATCCACTCTGCATATGCGTAATTGAGGGGTCATCCAGAGATTTGGATAAGGTCTGTATGTAGAATTTAGGGCTACCTCTGTATGGTTTTTCTCCTTTCTGAAATTTCCTCACTCACTTTTTACCTAAACTCTTCCTCTGGATCTTCAAGCCAGTAAGACTGCGTGTTTTCTACCAACTTTTAGGCATGCTACTTGGTGCCAACTTGGGCTGGCCCTAGAGAAAGAGTCATAAAAATAGGAAATGTACTCAAGGCCATTCTCCTCCTCCAAGTATAGACTCTCCTTCAGTTTCTGCCTGATTTTCATTCTTCTCCAGTGTCTCCAGGTAGTTGGTTTTGTAATATTTTGTTAAGAGTTATAATTGCTACCTGAAGAAGGGCTGTTCTGACATGAGCTATTCCTACCCTATTTAGTTTGGAATTCTGTATACACTCTTTTGGGTCTGACTTTGTTCCACATTATGTTTGTTATATTCATTGATATTGTTGAGTTGAGTGGTAATCCATTCATTCTCTCTTCATTATGTATGCTATCACATAAATATATAATATATTCAGTTTACTCTTTATGGACCTTTGGGGTTGTTTCCAATTATTTTGGTCATTGCAAATAGTGCTGTTATATTTGTTGTAGCAAAAGACTAGAAATACCAAGATGTGTACCAAAAGAGGATTAGTAAAATAAAGTATGATGTGACAAGAAAATGAAATATTATACAGCTATAAAAAAATGGAACAATCTCTAAGATATATTAAGCAAAAAGGCAAGGTGTGGAACAATGTGTATAGCTGACATTCAGTGGAAGCATTGGTTCACTCTGGGAAAGGGCTGATTAGATGGGTAACATCTAGAAGGAGGAATTTCATACTGTGTGAATATAATACCTTGAAAACACAGATTAAAAAACCTATAGAAGAAAACATCCCCAATATATTGTATACATCATTCCATGTTCATAAAAATTAAAATACTAAATCAATTTCCATCTTATGTATATATTAATAAATTCTCTATGGCTGAATATTTAGATTAGAATGAGCTAGAGCTCTGTGAAGTGATATGAAAAAACTTCCAGAATATATTATAAACTGAAAAAAGGAAAAAACAAACATATCAACAGTATGCCACTTTTCAAATAAAAAGGAAGGAGAAATAAGAAAATGCTCATGTATCTGCTCATCTGGGCATAAATAAATACAGGAATGAAATTCCATTAACTGAAGAATAGGTAAATAAAATGTTGTATCTCTATATGTAGAAAGCTAAATAGTGTTGCCCCTGAATTCATGTCCATCTGGAACCTTAGAATGTGACCTTGTTTGGAAATAAAGTCTTTGCAGATTAATTAGTTAAGATGAGGTCACACTAGATTAGATTAGGCCTTATATCCAATTATTGGTGTCTTTAAAATAAAAGGAGTGGGCACAGAAAGATATACACAGGGAAGAAGGCCATGCGAAGACAGAGGCAAATACTGAAGTGATATAGCTACAAGCCAAGGAATGCCAAGAATTGATTTCCAGGAGCCCAGTAGCTAGGAAGAGACAAGGAACAATTTCCTAGAGTTTTCAGAGGGTACAAGGCCCTGCTGATACCTTTTATTTTGGACTTCTAGCCTTCAGAACTGTGAAATAATAAATTTTTGTTCTTTTAAGCCACTCACTTTGTGGTAATTTGTTATGGCAGCCCTAGGAAATGAATAAACCATGCAATAGAATGTTACATGGCAATAAAAAGAAGTAAAAAACTGACACATGCTATAATGTGGATGAACCTTGAAAACATTATGTTAAGTGAAAGAAGCCTAACACAGAAAACCACATATTGTAAGAGTCCATTTATATGCAATTTCCAGAAAAGGCAAATGCATAGAGGCAGAAAGTAGATTAATCGTTGCTTAAGGTTGGGAGAAGATGGGTGAAGCTGGAGAGAGACAGTTTCTGGGATGATGAAAATGTTCTAAAATTGATCGTGGTCACGGTTGCACAACCTATGAATATACAAAAAAAAAGAATTGTATACTTTAAATAAGGAAATTGTATGGTGTGTGAATTATATCTGAGTGAAGCTGTTAGAAAAAAAAAGAAGAAATACAGAAAAGATAAGTAAAAAACTGAGATTGGTTACCTACAAGAGGTAGGTGGGAACAGGGTGGGAAGAACGCTAAAACAAGAATGGCGAAAAAGTAATGTCAGGGAAGTGACACTTCTTTTACTCTATCTTTGTGAATAGTTCTTGACTTTTAGAACCATGGTAATTTTCTATATATTTAAAAAACTTAATTAAAATTAACCAGGATGTGTGGTTGTGTGAGCTCCTCATTTTGCTCTGCTTATATGTTTCCCTGGTCTTGATGGTTCAGGCTGCACTTACAGAGCTGGGGTAACAGCTCTAAGCCAGTCCTGAACTCTGTGGTATTGGATTGCAATAGGTGATACTACTGTGTACTCATGTTTTAAAAATATATACACAGGGCCAGGCACAGTGGCTCACGTCTGTAATCCCAGCACTTTAGGAGGCTGAGGCGGGTGGATCACCTGAGGTCAGGAGTTTGAGACCATTCCTGACCAACATGGAGAAACCCCATCTCTACTAAAAAAAAAAAAACAAAACAAAAAATTAGCTGGGCATGGGAGGCTGAGGCAGGAGAATTGCTTGGACCCAGCAGGCAGAGGTTGCAGTGAGCTGAGGTTGCGCCATTGCACTCCAGCCTGGGCAACAAGAGTGAAACTCCTTCTCAAAAAAAAAAAAATAAATAAATCATATATATATCACACACATACACACACACACACACGCACACAGGTTAAATATAGACACAGATATAGATGTGTGTATAAATTCTTAGTGTACAATAAAAGAAACCAGGGCTTCTTGGAGAAATTCCTATTTCATGGCTGGGGCAAGGAAAACACAAGCTGAACCTGGAGATCTTGTGGTCGCAGAATGTAAGGAAGTCAGAAAATAACTGTAGTACATTGGAAGTTCATAAGAACCAACTTGAGGGCACTTCCAATGGTCAAATCTACGACAATTTGAGAAACACAATAAATAGTGATAGTAATATATTTTAAATAATAGAATAAAATATTCATGAGTCCATATGACATAAGTAAATTAATAAACAAAAAAAGGGGAAAGCTCTTCTCTATTAATAAGTGTATAATTTTGAATTGAGAAGTTTATAAGGAATAATAAAAATAAAATATAATTCTTTGGCTAATACCACAGTAATAATTATTTCAGGCAAGATTAATCCATGTATGTATGGAAGACGTATCTTGAAGTACCTCCCCATGAGATATTTATTCAATAAGAAAGAAAAAATACTAACTTTACAATGGAGAGAACTGGCAGGCACCACTTTAACCAAGTAAAGTGAATCAGAGTCAACATCACTACTATCGAGGCTAATTAGTATCACGTCTTTGAATATGATTCACTGAGAAGAGCATAATATTATTTCTGTGGTATTCTTGCCAAAAATGCATAATCTGAATTTTATCACAGGGAAACATCAGTCAAACAAAAATTGAGAGACATTCTATAAAATAACTGGCCAGTACTCTTCAAAAGTGTTAATGTTAAGGAGGAGAAAAAAAGACTGAAGAATTATGCCAGATAGTAACAGAATAAAAGAATATGATTACCTATTAAGCACAGAGTAGAATCCTAGATTGTATCCTGGACCAAAAAAAAAAAAAAGTGGGATAATTGGGAACATCTGAAAAAGGTCTGTAGCTTCAATAATAGTATCACATCTATAGTAGTTTGCTGGTTTTAAAATTTTATTTATTTATTTGACAAAAATTCTACCTATTTATTAACTCCTTGGTTTTGATATATGTACTCTGGTTATATAAAATGCTAATGTTTGGGAAAGCTGGATGAAGGATATATGGAAAATATCTACTATTTTTACAACTTTTTTTTTGCTGCAAAATGAGAAGTTAAAAAAATTAAAAAATTTAAGACCAATGCTATGAAGAACATTCTTGCATGTAAATCTGTGCATATGTTAAATTATTCCATAGGATTAATTTGTAAGTAAAGTTACTGAGTCAAAGGATATGCATATTTTAAGGCTTTTGATATGTATTCTCAAGCTGTCACCAAGAAAAACTGTACACCAACATTTATCCCACTAGTAGTGGGTCTTAATTTTTCTCGAATTTCTAAGATGTACCAGCTGATATCTAAGGTCATTTCTAGTTATATTTTGCATCAAAATTTCATTTGTATTTCACAAACCAGTTCATATGTCACTTTTAAAATACATTGTTTCTCTGATCACCAGTGTGATGTGAAGTCATGCATTATTTCTATAGTGAATTTTTTGGTAAAATTCATACTGTAAATTGATAAAAATTTGGTAAAATTTCTACATACTGTCTTCTAGTGTACACTTCACAAGTATAAGCTCTTTGAAGTAAGGGCCATATACCTTTGTATCCAATTATTACTTCAAATATGGTATACATAGCAGTGGTTTAATTTAGCACTGCAGTAGTTAAGTTGCAACTGGCTTCCTGTCATAGACATGTTCAGATACCTTATCTGCTGACATTTCAAGTCTTAATTTTGCTTGCGTGAGCTCCTCATTTTGCTCTGCTCATATCTTTCTTGGGTCTTGATAGTTAAGGATGCACTTACTTATACAGTTGGGGTAACAGTTCTAAGCTAGTCCTGACAAGGGAAGAATAAAAATCAAGAATAGGGTGCCCTGCAATCCCAGTGACTCAGGAGGCCAAAGCAGGAGAATCACTTGAGGCCAGGAATTTGAAATCAGCCTGGACAACACAGCAAGACCCTGTCTCTAAAAGAATAGAAAAAAATTAGCCAGCATGGTGGCGTGTGCCTGTAGTCCCAGCTATATGGGAGGCTGAGGCAGGAGGATTGTTTGAGCCCAAGTGTTCCAGGATGAAGTGAGCTAAGATCACTCCACTCTACTCCAGCCTGGGAGACAGTCTCTTTAACTTAAAAAAAAAAGAGTAGGGTGCAGAATTATTTCTGACATCCAGATGTACGTTGTGATGATCTAATTGTGACTGCAAAGCTTCTGTTCTAGCTTAATAAATTGTATTCTGCACTAATCCTAGGAACTGGAATGAGCTTTGGTCTAGATTCCCTATCTTTAGCTATGACTGATTATCCCTCCTAGTCTCTGCCTTCTAAAACTAGACTGCTCTAACTCCAAGGTGTTGGTTAGGCATTTTAGTGCTTGCCAGTTCCTGACAACCTTTCTTCTTAGAAGACCAATATAACTCCTTTTACATAAGAATAGACTTCTCCAAGTGACACTGGCTATCTAAGAGAGAGCTTTTTCCAGTTTTCTTCTGCCACTCTCAGCTCACACAATATCTTGGTTGTATTCATATTAGAAGTGATGAGGTTGTTGTACCCCTTTGGAGTTAGATTAGTGCTCCAAAAAGGATGCATAGTGGTTTGGTTGAATAGCAGTCAGTAAAGTGGAGCCAGCAGGACCTGAAAAAAACTTAATCCAGGTGAGACGAGTGAGATTCTTCAGAACATCTGCCTCACCTGGATTAAGTTTTTTTCAGGTACTACTGGCTCCACTTTACAGACTTTCCTATTCAACCAAAGCACTATGCCTCATTCCTGGACCATTAATCTAATTTCCATAATCCTATTTAGTGCAGCTTTGGCTTGTGAACTACAAAAACAGCACAAGAGGTCAACATCCAAGAATCGTGACTGGCATGACTCATCTGAGGAGAAATGATCACCTCAATAGTAAACAGATATTTCTATTTTCCTTTGTTAAGTAAAACCTAGAAAAACTAGAAGAAAAAAGCTGATGCTTTGAGCCTGAATTGAGACTGTTAAATACATAGTAATACATAGGAAGCTGAGTTGCAAATAGATCCCAGATTAAATGTCACAACTGTCAATGGTGACAAATGTCTCTATGTATAGATGGTTTACAAGTGGCATGCTGGGTTGGGTTCTTAATATCACCTGTCAAAGAAACCTAATGATCCCCATTATGATCCACCTCGTATGCTCAAATACCAACGTGTAGGCTTCTAAAAGCTTACTGCAGCCAACTGTTCAGTTAAAAAACATTGTGGTAGGCCAGGTGTGGTGGCTCACACCTATAATCCGAGCACTTTGGTAGGCCAAGGCAGGTGGATCACTTGAGGTCAGGAGTTTGGGATCAGCCTGGCCAACACGGTGAAACCCCATCTCTGCTAACAATACCAAAAAAAATTAGCCAGGTGAGGTGATGTATACCTGTAATCCTAGCTTCTGGGGAGGTTGAGGTGGGAGGATTGCTTTAACCCAGGGGGCGGAGGTTGCAGTGAGCCGAGATCGTGCCACTGCACACTCCAGCCTGGGTGACAGAGCGAGACTCCGTCTCAGAAAACAAAACAAAATACAACAACAAAAAAACACTGTGAATTTCTTTCCCCTGCCCAAAACACTCTTAGTACTTAAAAAAAAAAAAACTCAACAAAATAAATCTGTAGAGCAATGTTAAATTAAAAATCGATAAACCTGAGGCCATTTCGAAAGAAAGCTTTTTTTCTTTAGACAGGGTCTCACTCTGTCACCCAGGCTGGAGTGTGCACAATCATAGCTCACTGCAGCCTCAAACTCCCTGGATCAAGTGATCCTCCCACCTCAGCCTCCTGATTAGCTGGGACTACAGGTGCGCATCACTGTGCTGGGATAATTTTTTACTATTTATTTTTTAGTAGAGATGAGGTCTCGCTATGTTTCTCAGGCTGGTCTTGAACTCCTGAGCTCAAGGGATCCTTCTGCCTTAGCCTCCCAAAATGCTGGGATTACAGGCAAGAGCCAAGAAAGCTTTTTTTTTTGATTACCCTGTGTGCCAAATTCTCAAAGTAGTGAGAGCCAAGTCTCCAAAAAGCTTATATATATATGCTATGAGGGCCTAAGGTCTAAATGCTTTAACAGATCCCTGAATAGTCAACTGCAAAAATACTGTTTATTTGATCATAACAAATAGCAATGTAGATCCTTCATAGTAATCATGTAATGATCTCTAATTTATGGTAGAAATAAAATGATAAATCTTACTACAAGAAACAGAAAACCAAGGCCATGGATTATGTTCCACAATTTATGGGAATATTCAGATTAACCAGCAGTATAGACAGAAATATGAACCTTGCTAGGGATCCATATAACTGTTGCAGGAAACTACCCTTGTTCTCTAGGCCTCCACTCATTGTTCCACATCCAATCTTCCTTAAGCCCTAGATACCCTCTAGATATTTAAACAACATTGGGAGGGAATAAGGTAATTTTAAAATAATTCCTTCATTAAAATGCAAGCCACTGAAGGAAAAATGTTCCATAGAAAATTCAGTCACAAATATTTATTTAAATGTTCACAAAAGTCACTTTTAATCATATACATCCTATAAATTTAGACTCTTGGGCCAGGCGCAGTGGCTCATGCCTGTAATCCCAGCACTTTGGGAGGCTGAGGCAGGTGGATCACTTGAGGTCAAGAGTTGAAGACCAGCTTAGTAAACATGGTAAAACCCCATCTCTACTAAAAATACAAAAAATTAGCCAGGCATGGTGACACACACCTGTAGTTCCAGCTACTTGGAAGAGGCTGAGGCAGGAGAATCGCTTGAACTCAGGAGGTGGAGGTTGCAGTGGGCTGAGATCGTGCCATTGCACTCCAGCCTGGGGACAGAGCAAGACTCCTCCAAAAAAAAAAAAAAAAAATTTAGACTCTTTAGTGAAGACATATTTCTACTGTTCTAAATTTCAGGTGATTCTACCATTGATTTCTGGACCCTTAAACCATGACTATCTCCTGGAAGTGGACACAAGTTTTTAATGTTAACTGCTGCTTCTATGTGGATTTAAAATGGGGTGAATATGATTTTCTTTAAAATATTATTTTAAACACCTATTTCAAACATCTATTTCTAGAGTCTATTACCAGAATTTCTAGAATTTAGTATCAGCTACAGTATCTTCCTAATTTATTATCAACTACACTAGTTGATTTATTTATTTAGTATCAACTACACTATCTCCTAATTTAGTATCAACTACACTAGTTGATTTATTTATTTAGTATCAACTACACATTTTATTAATGAGTTACCCTTTTTCTTTGAATAAAAAAATGCTTAATAAAATCCCATCTAGTGGTAATTCTTTTAGCAAACACTATAGTATAAACTTTCTCCATGACTGAATTCATTAGCCTTTTGCATTAGTCTTTATTTACCGTCTTTAAACCAAGCCAATCTTTATTAATTTTCTAAGGCATTTCCCTAGTGCTTTTACCATAATTTTTCTCTACAATTTTTCTAACCCTATCACATTTGTCTCACTATAACCCCATGGGATTGTTCATCACTAATACTTTTTAGAGGGATTATTGCAGCTTTTATTCTTTAGCATTTAATTAAAAAAAGGATTTTCATCTTTAGTATTTGTTGATCCCTCTGAAACAGGGCTTTATAAACAAATGGAAGTGTGATTCCTTTCTTTTATGGAATTACGGTAAACTGATCACAAAATGTTTCTCAGTCCAAAGGATGTCTTCTCTATATATATATATACTTTAAGCACTTAATAATGTATTGCCCAGCATAGCATTTAAATCCCATCACAATTACCATTTCAGAGATGGTTGCCCCATATCTCCCTTCTGCCATTTCTTGTAACAAATCATATGAAGGACTCTGCCTTTTGCTTTTATTACCTCATTAACTTTGAATACCTTTGTAATCTCAACTTGCCAAAATTGTAAGGATTCCTCAAGGCCTAGTTCATACATCACTTGCTTTGAAAAGCTTTCCCCAACTTCTTGTTCCATTTGTTCTATAAAAATTAGTTCATGAAAATAATATCATTTTTCACATCATATTATTTAAGTATGTCTCTTCTAGATTTCAAGAAAAGGAGTTTTTGTTTTGTTCATCTTTATAACCACAATTCTTGACATACAGTAGGCACTCAATAAAACCATAATGAATTGAATTTATTTGTGCTGTTACATTACTGCATTATCTATAAGTATCTTGCCTCTCCAACTTGTCCTGCTTGAGATTAGAGGTTCTCATGTTTTTTTTAAGTTCTATATTACCTGGCATATACTTAGCACATGATCAAGAATCTTTTCACTGGAAGAAATGTTAGAAATAAACACAGCCAAAAACCTCAACCAATACACAAATTCATTTTACCAAATATTTTTGTTTAAATATCTATAATGATTAGTGTGACCATATGGGCTGGTTTGCCCAGAACTGTCCTAGTATTATTAATAGCACCCCACTCTTTCACTCTCAAAAGCATCTGAGTTTTTCTAATAAGTTATATGGTCATCCTAATAACGAAAAAACTGCTTACTTCCTCACAAGTACTGACAGCTAAACAGCTCTATTATTGTACTTTTTGCATACTAAACCATGTAAATTACTTACAAAAACACCTGTTTTATAAACTGCCCCTTTATTATGGTAAGGGGTGGAGTTCTAGGACTAGAGGAAATAATTAAGTATAAGCAAAATTTACCATGATAAATAAATTGAATAGATGGCTAAGTGCCAAATTATTAACAAAAGAATTTGGATATTTTCTTGAGATTTTAGAATTGTTTATTAAACCAGAAAGGCTTTAAAAACACAGAAAGGTTTAAAAACACAAAAATTTAAAATTTAAAATAGCTTAACAACAGCAGAGAAAAGCTAAACAAATTTTCTGGGCCAAGGCTCAGCAAAGTTGGGGTGGAACCTTAGAAATGATGGCTTCTATTGGGATACTAAAAAAAAAAAAAAAATCAATGAATCAAAAATGATGTGAGTTCTAGAGCAGTTGAAATAGGATAAGCCAGCTTGGTTAAGACTTAAAAGAAATAAGGCAATAGTTAACTATCCATTTAAATACAGTTTTTAATATTTCACGTGTAACCAGTTTATTCCTTTTAAACAAGGAAAATTTTAGCCATTCAGTTATCTGAATCAGACTTTTCAGCTATACTTCCAAAGATTTTTTTCTGAGCCAAAAGCTTGCATGCAGTGTTTCAGCCAAAAGAAAATTTTGCCGCCAAGTTGTAATGCTCTGAAAAATGAATTTTAGAGTCTAATTGAATTTCTGAAAGAAATACTCACTGGTACAAACAATAATTATTCTGAAAAACATTTGGTAATATACCTCTTTAATTAAATATCTATTTGTATTACATTTTCAAGAGCTTTTGATTATAGAAATTGATTAGAGTTATAAACCAAAATGAATAAATTTTCTAAGAACCATTTAGACTAATGTGTGTGTATATATATATATATGCCTAGAATACATATATATTATGTATATATGTGTATATATATAAATAAAATCTATAAATGTGTAGGTAAATGTCACTATCATCTAGATATCCATTCATGCATACAAAATGCATTTACAAGATATGCACGCACAATTCTACACCAGAAAGTTTTCCAGCTCTAACAAATTCTAACTAAAGAGAAGTCTTAGAATTGGAGCATATTTGGCAAAAGCTTTGAGAAACACAGTTAAGCAAGTACGGACTAGATCATATATGGACATTTTCTTGGGTCAAAGGGCCTCTGGATGTAGTTTAGTAGGATAAAGATGCTTTATCCTACTAAAGCCTATTGGTGTTGACCTTATGATTAAGTGTAAAGAGGAATCAGCCAGTGATCCTTTAAATATATAAATTTTGAGGGATACTGTAAGACAGGGCTTTTCTAATCTTGAGGCAATTAATAATTTGGGCCAGATAATTCTTTATTGTGGATTGGCTGTCTTGTGCATTATAGTATATATAGCAGCATCCCTGGCTTTTACCCACAAAATGCCAGTGGAAGACCCAACTCTTCCATACCAGCCAGTTGTCATAACTGAAAGGAAGGGGGAAAGTTGTTTCTGGTTGAAAACCACAGATGTAAGCCAATGAGTTAACATGGTATGGAACAGATTGGACTAGTCTGGGATTCAAGAAGCCGGGTTCTTTTTTTGTTTTTTGTTTTTTGTTTTTGAGACGGAGTTTCACTCTTGTTGTCCAGGCTAGAGTGCAATAGTGTGATCTCGGCTCACCGCAACCTCCGCCTCCCGGGTTCTAACGATTCTCCTGCCTCAGCCTCCCGAGTAGCTGGGATTACAGGCATGCACCACCACACCTGGCTTATTTTGTATTTTTAGTAGAGACAGGGTTTCTCCAGGTTGGTCAGGCTGGTCTTGAATTCCCGACCTTAGGTGACCCTCCCGCCTTGGCCTCCCAAAGTGCTAGGATTACAGGCATGAGCCACCGCACCAGGCCGAGGCTGGGTTCTAATCTAGCTGCTTTTGTTTCTAATTCTGAGACCTTGGGAAAGTGACCTAATCCAGCAGTTCCCAAAGTGCGGTATGAAGAACAGTATTCCTAAGTCACATTCCTAAAAACAGTATTCCTTAATACACAGATAAGCCCACTTAACTTTCTCGGGCTATGTATTTTTCTATTTAATAATAAAAAAATGTATTCAATAAGGGACCTATTGGTTAGGCTCTAATGCCATAGCTTGTAGTAAACCAATTCCCAGACCATAAAAAGGCAGAAAAGCTTAATTTTTTTTTTTAAATAAAGAAGGGATGAGAGAGCTGACAAGGTAGTCAAAATTTGACAAGAGAAGGTCTCAGAGAGAAGAGGATCTTAAAGAGCTAAACTGACATTCAAAAAGTCGTTTTCTCCCTAGGGTATTTGCAAATTCCTGTGTCGGGTAAGAGGCTGAGAATCTGGGCAATGGACTACTACTAAGAGGCAGAGAAGCCAACATAACTTTTTGCAATCTCTAGTGGGTGGTAAGACAAAAATTCGAGTTTGGGACTGTCAAGACAGACAGAACTGAGGGTCATGATCCTGAAGAGGAGGGGAAAACAATAAAGTAGGCCTGAAACTCAGGAGAGGAAATACTCTACTCAAGGTATTTGCCACACTTGTCAGGAAGCAGGACAAGAGGCCAAGACACCAAGTATAAGGCATCCATAAGGCAGAGTGGTGATTGTGCTAGTTGTATGGTACACAAAACAGATAAAATTTGGAGTTCAGAACCCATTAATGAGTAGGGATCTCATAAAAACACCAGGATTTCAGCTGAGATTCCAGGAGGGCCATGGTATAGAAGTGGAAG
Organism: Homo sapiens; assembly: GCF_000001405.40. Classification (NCBI taxonomy): domain Eukaryota; kingdom Metazoa; phylum Chordata; class Mammalia; order Primates; family Hominidae; genus Homo; species Homo sapiens. The sequence goes on along the minus strand of NC_000010.11, from coordinate 74,621,875 downwards.
CAAATGAGAGGTAGACTGGGTCTTACAAAAACTATAACCCAACCTTGAGGTGGCTTAGTCCTAGATCTAATTGGACTCTACACTAACAGAAGCTCTATAATTTATTATGGACAATGTTTAACATTTGATAAAAAATTATCAGGCAAACCAAGAAACAAGCCCCAAAAGGAAATAGAAACCAAACCGAACAAAAACAAAAAAACAGACCTATATACTACCCAAAGTGATCCGCCAATTCAATACAACCCTTATCAAAATACGAATGACATTCTTCACAGAAATAGAAAAAATATTCTAAAATTTCTGTGGAATCAGAAAAGACCCTAAATGGTAAAAAACATCCTGAGCAAGAAGAACAAAGCTGGAGGTATCATACTATCAGACTTCAAAATATATGACAAAGCTATAGTAACCAAAACAGCATGTTATTGGCATAAAAACAGACACAAAGACCAATGGAACAGAATAGAGAACTCAGAAATTAATCCACGTATCTACAGTCAACTGATTTTTGACAAAAGCACCAAGAATAGTCACTGGAGAAAGCACAGTTTCTTCAATAAATGATGCTGGGAAAACTAAATATGCATCTAGTCATATGCATAAGAATGGAACTAGACTCCTAGCTCTCACCCTCTGTAAAAATCAACTCAAAATGGATTAAATGTAAGACCCAAAACAATAAAACTACTAGAAGGAAACATAAGGGAAACACTTCAAGACATTGGTCTGGGAAAATGTTTTATGAGTACAACCTTTTATAAGCACAGGCAACAAAAGCAAAAATAAACAAATGGGATTATGTCAAACTGAAAAGCTTCTGTATAGCAAAGGAAACAATCAACAGAGTGAAAAGATAACCTATGGAATAGAAAAAAATACATACAACTTACTCATCTAATCAGATAGGGAATTAATATCCAGAATATACAAGGAACTTAAACATCTCAACAGTAAAAAAACAAACAAACAAATAAAAACAAAAAACTCTACTCTGTTTTAAAAAAGGGCAAATGACCTGAACAGGCATTTCTCAAAAGAAGATATATAAATGGCCAAAAAAATGGGAAAAAAGCTCATTATCACTAATCATCAGGAAAATGCAAATCAAAACCAGTGAGGTATCATCTCACTCCAGTAAGAATGGCTATCATTAAAAAGAGAAAAAAAAAGCAGATGCTGGTGAGGATGCAGAGAAAAGAAACAAACAGAACTACCATATGATCCAGCAATCCCACTATTGGGTATTTCTCCAAAGGAAAGGAAATTAGTACGTTAAAGAGACATTTGCACCCCCATGTTTACTACAGCATTATTCACTATAGCCAAGACATGAAATCAACCCAAATGTCCAACAACAGATAAATGGATAAAGAAAGTGTGGTATATATACATGATCGAATACTACTTATCTATAAAGAAGAATGAAATCCTGTCATTCACCATAACATGGATGGAACTGTAAGACATTATGTTACATGAAATAAGCCAGGAACACAAAGTTAAACACTATGTATTCTCACTCGTACGTGGAAGCTAAAAAAAGTTGATCTCACAGAAGTAAAAAGTAGAACAGAGGATATTAGAGGCTGGGAAGGGTAAGAAGGAGGAGGCAATAGGGAGAGATTTTTAAAAGTATACAAAATTAGAGCTAGATAGGAGGAATAAATTCTAGTGTTCTACAGCAATGTAGGATAACTACAGTTAACAATAATATATTACATAGTTTCAAATAGTGAGAAGGAGGATATTGAATGTTCACAATACAAAGAAATGATAAATGTTTGAGATGATGGATATGCTAATTGCTCTGCTCTGATCACCATACATTATATGTATCAAAACATCACGATGGGCAGGGTGTTGTGGCTCACGCCCATAATCCCAGCAATTTGAGAGGCCAAGGTGAGAGGATCGTTTAAGCTCAGGAGTTTGAGACCAGCCTGGGCAACACAGCGAGACCTCATCTCTAATAAAAATAAAAAAAATTAGCCAGGTGTGGTGGCATGTGCCTGTAGTCCCAGCTACTCAGGAGGCCGAGTTGGGAAAATCTCTTGAGCCTGCAAGATACGGGTTGCAGTGAGCTGTGATCACGCCACTGCACTCTGGCCTTCTGGCCTCGGTGACAGAGCAAGACCCTCTCTTAAAACACCAAACCCATCACTATGTACCCCATAAATATTTGCAATTATTATGTGGAAATTAAAAAAAATCTTTAAAAACCAGACCTACAAATGACTGAGATATTGTAGTTTTCAGACACAGAATTTATTACTACTATGATTAATATGTTAGAAAAAAATAGATGACAAGGTAGAGGATTATACTACAGAACTAGGATGAATAAGAAATAATCAGATACTTTAGAAAATAAAAAAGGGACTATTGAAATAAAGCATCCACTAGATTTTTTTTTTTTTTGAGACAGAGACTTGCTCTGTCTCCCAGGCTCGTGTGCAGTGGTGCGATCTTGGCTCACTGCAACCTCTGCCTCCTGGGTTCAAGCAATTCTCCTGCCTCAGTCTCCCAAGTAGCTGGGAGTACAGGCACCTGCCACCATGCCCAGGTAATTTTTCTATTTTTGGTAGAGTCAGGGTTTCACCATGTTGGCCAGGCTGGTCTTGAACTCCTGGCCTCAAGTGATCTGCCTGCCTTGGCCTCCCAAAGTGCTGGGATTACAGGCATGAGCCACTGGACCCAGCCTCACTGGATGTTTTGAAATGCAGATGGGACAAAGCAGAAGAGAGAATCAGGGAACTAAATGCCAGGTCAGTGCAAAATATACAGCCTGAAGCTCGGGGAGGAAAAGGGGTAAAACACACACACACACACACACACACACACACACACACACACACACACAAAGAGCATAAAAGGCATATGGGATACAATGAAAAGACCTAGTATATGTATAACTAGATTCCCAAGTATAAACAGTTCTAGTATCTAAAGAGATAATGGCTGAGAATTTTCCAAATCTGATGAAAGTCATCAATCACAGATTCAAGAAGCACTAAAAATCCCAGCAGGATAAATAAAAGGAAAACCAGAACTAAGGATAAAGTTAAAGTTTGACAAATTCTAAAAAGCAGCTAGAGAAAATAAAAATATTATATATAAAAGAGCAGAATAAGAGTAACAGCTGACTTCTCAACAAAAATAAGAGAATCCAAAAGATAATGGAAAGCCATTTATAAAGAACTCAAAAAGTATAACTCCCAACATAGAGAACTATACACATTGAAAGGCAAAAGGAAACTTTCAGACAAACAAAAACTGAGAATTCAGGCTGGGCACGATGGCTCACTCCTGTAATCCCAGCACTTTGGGAGGCCGAGGCGGGCGGATCACTTGAAGTCAGGAGTTAGTGACCAGCCTGGCCAACATGGCAAAACTGTCTCTAATAAAAACACAAAAACTAGCTGGGTATGATGGCGCATGCCTGTAATCCCAGCTACTCAGGAGGCTGAGGCATGAGAATTACTTGAAACTGGAAGGTGGAGGCTGCAGTGAGCTGAGATCACACCACTGCACTCCAGTCTGGGCAACAGGGCAAGACCGAGAAGCTAAATGAGAAGAAAAAGAAAAAAATACTTGATCAATCCAAAAACAGCAGGAAAGGAGAGAAAAAAGAAGATACACATGTAAGACAGAACAAAAAGAGTAAGATGTAAGATATGAACACAAATACATTAGTAACTTATATTAAATATAAACAGGCTGATTAAAATATGAAGATTGTCAGAATTAATTAAAAAACAACAAAAGTCATATAAGAACACAGAAAGGTTGAAAATAAAGGAATGAAAAAAGATATCATGTAAACACTAACCAATAGAAAGCTGGCATAGATATTAAGGCAAGATGCATCATTAGAGATTAAGAAGGACATTTCATAAGGTAAAAGGTTCAATGCATCAGGAAGACGTGAGAATTATAAATTTATATACACTTAGTTAAGATAGCTTTAAAATACATAAAGCAAGGCTGGCATGGTGGCTCACACCTGTAATCCCCGCACTATGGGAGCCCAAGGTGGGTGAATTGCTTGAGCCCAGGAGTTCAAGATCAGTCTGGGCAAGACAGTGAGACCTCGTCTCTTCAAAAAATTTAAAAAATTAGCGTGGTGGTACGTGCCTGTAATCCTAGCTACTTGGGAGGCTGAAGTGGGAGGACTGCTTGAGCCCAGGAGGTGGAGGCTGCAGTGAGCCTGGAGAGCACCACTGCACTCCAGCCTGGGTGACAAGACGAGACCCTCTCTCAAAAAAACAAACAGAAAACAAAATAACATCACATCAAATCCAATAAGACATTAAAAAGATATGTCAATGTTGGCATTATTCCAAGAATGCAAAGGTGAAATATCTTTCCATAATCAATCTGTAATTCACACATTAAAAGAAAAAAGGGAAAAAATCATATAGTAATTTTACATGCAAAAACATTATCTGATGAAATACAACAACTATTCATGATTTTTAAAAAATCTCTTAAGAACAAAACAAAAACTCTTAGCAAACTATTAATGGAAAGAAATTTCCTTTATCTGATAGAGTATCTACAAAGAGACTATAGCAAACATTATCCTTTTTGATAAAATATTGATGGTTTTTCAACTGATATCGGGAATAAGACAAAGGTGCTCACTATAACCATTTCAATTTACTTGTATTCTACATGTCTTACCGTGCTAACTAGTGTAGTAAGAAAAAAAGTACTGTATGAGAATTGGAAAAGCAGAAATGCAAATTATTTTTATTCACAGATGGTATAATTATATGCATAGAAAATCCAAAATAATTATCTGATATGTTATTGCAGTTAATATGTGAAAAAGATCATTATTTAGAAATCTATATACCAGTAAAAAACAAATAGAAACAGAAACCTAAAAGGATGCCATTTAAAAATAGATAGCATCGAAAACCTAAGAATCTTACAAAAGATACATATACAAGACCTTTACACTGAAAAGAAAAAAACATCCTGAGAAAAATTAAAGACTGCATAAATAGAGGAAAATATGGATTGGAAGACAAAATACTGTAAAGAAATAAGTTTTCTCCAAATTGACTTGCAGATTCAATATAATCTGAAAAAACTCTAGTAAGGAATTTTTAAAAAATTCCTTTGGTGACAATTAACAGGCCAGTTCTAGAATTTAAGTAGAAATGCAAAGAGCCAAGAAAAGCCAGGATAATCTTGAAGAACAAACTCAGAAGACTGACATTGCCAGATAAAAAGACTGATTATAAACCTAAGTTATCATGAGAGTGTGCAATTGGTAAAGGATAGAGAATGAGGACAATGAAATAGCCTAAAAAAAGACTCACCCATATAAGGTCATCTGAAACATGACAAAGGTGTCAATGTAATGCAGTTAGGGAAAGGATATTCCTGTCAATGAATGATGCCAGGTCAATTGGTTATTCATATGGGCAAAATAAATGAATCATTCTCCCTATCCTACACCTTATATATATATATAAATTAATCTTAGATGAATTGTGCTAGTTGAAAAAAGTAAAAGAATAGAAGTTTTAGAAAAAAACAACAGAAGAGTATCTTCACAAGTTTGAGATCTGCCATGATTTTCTTTAATGGAATATAAGAAGCATTAATCATAAGGGGAAAACATTATGAATTGCCCTATATTAAAATCAAGAACTTTTGTTTATCAAAAGATACCATGAAGAGAGTGAAAAGGCAAGCCACAGAGTAGCAGGAGATATCTACAATACATTTATCTAACAAAAGACTGGCATACAGGCTGTAAAAAGATTTCTAAATCAATAAGACAACTCAATATGGGCAAAAGAACCCAACAACAATACAATCAAAGATGATATCCAAATGCCAGTAAGCAAGGCCAGGCACGATGGCTCACGCCTGTAACCCCAGCACTTTGGGAGGCCGAGGCAGGTGGATCACTTGAGGTCAGGAGTTCAAGACCAGCCTGGCCAACATGGTGAAACCCCGTCACTACTAAAAATAAAAAAATGAGCCAGGCGTGATGGTGGGCACCTGTAGTCCCAACTACTAGGGAGGCTGAGGCAAGGGAATCGCTTGAACCCAGGAGGTGGAGATTGCAGTGAGCCGAGATCCCGCCACTGCACTCCAGCCTGGGCGACAGAGTGAGGCTCCATCTCAAAAAAACAAAACAAAACAAAACTACACACAAAAAAACAAATACCAGTAAGCAGATGAAAAGGAGCTCCATCTCACTACACATCAGAAAAATTCCAATCAAAATCATTATGAGGTCTATTACATACTCACCAGAATGGCTAAAATTAAAAAGATGGATAGTAGCAAATATTGGTAGAGATGTGGAACAATTAGTGCCGTCTCATAAAATTGGGGGAGTTTATATTGGTACCATCCTTGCAAATCCGGAGCTGAAAAATGTAACTCTTTGGTATCATAACTATGGTGGTGGTTACATGATCTTATGTGTTTGTCAAAACCCACAGAACTTGACACTACAAAAAGTGAATTTTATTGAGAAAATAAAACCCCAATCAGGATGTGAAAAGAAACCAAAATGGAATACTCTTAACAAGTGACCCTACCTGTATTACAAATGAATAATGTAACCATAATGAGTGGATGAAATAAAAGAGCTAATTTACTTTGGATAACTATATATTGACTGGACACTATTGGGCTACAGAAAAAAAGAACTGTAAGCAAATATTATACTCTAAAGGGTAAATCTCTTTCTCATACAAGGGTATGGGCAAGCAATTCAAAACTACTTTAGGATAAAACAAATAAGTAAATACATTTTAGATAATGAGAGCCAGAATTTTCAATGTCAAAGGAAGAAGTTGTACAAAAGGAAGAATGAAGGCTAGAATGAGCCTTGTGCTGCTGGACTGAAATAAAATTTATCAGTATGACTTCATGTTTTAAAAATATATAAACATATAGATACAGAAATAAATATAGATGAGTGAGTATACATAGGTTATTATACATACATATATTGCCAAGTTCTGTTTGCTAAGAGGGCCTAGAAGCAAAGACACTCAAGGAACAAAGAGCATATCTAGAGCACAGTTACAGGTTTCTAAAAACCATTCTTCAATAAAGGGAACCAGGGTTCCTTGGAGAAATAGTTGATTATAGGACTGAAGTGGAGAAAATACAACGTGAGCCCGGGGGATCTTATGTTGTCAAAAAGTAAGAAAGTGCACAAAAATGGATGGAGATAGAGCAGACAAAAGTCTACATACTGAGTGGTTCCATTTCAAAAACAGGCAAAGCTAACTGTCAGTAGTAGAAGCTAAGACAATGGTTACCTTCAGTGGGGATAAAGATTAGGAGGGGGCACAAGGAGAAGCTTCTTAAGTGCTATAAGTATTGTATTTCCTGATCTGGTTATAGCTACACAGGTCCATCCACTTAATGAAAAGTTGTATCAATTTTGTATGCACATTATACTTCAATACAAACTGTACAAGGTGGTCTATAGTCTGTGGTGGTTGTTACATGTTATTTAGTAACATATTTGTGGATTTTACTATATGTAATCTATATCTCAACAAATCTGACTTAAACATCCCTCCAGAAATCAGTGCTATAATAGGGCTTATATCTGCTTAGGATAGGTTGCCTCTTATTTTGCCTTCTAGCAGGATCCTTTTCAATAAAAAGGTGGGAGTTGAAAGAAGTCTCATTTCTTCAGGCTTGAGATCACTGAACTAAATGAACCACATCCCAAAGATACTACTTTGTCAAAAATGTGACAGGTCCACATGTTATTCTAAATTATTTTTGACCAATTAATTAAAGGAGTTTATCTTTTGTGATTACAATAATCTAAAAATGGACCATGAGCTAATAACTTAGTAACTTACATTCATAGGTGAGAAATATATTTTCTCTAAGATCTTACCTGGTAAGAACTTTTTTCTATGAATGCCATACAAGACATTTTAAAAGAATGCCACTTAGTTTATTCTATCTTTACCATCACCAATCTAAGCCAACAAGGTTATCATTTAAAATTGATTTGGCTGTAGTAGAGACATTTTCAAAATGATTTATATTAATATTTTGAGTTGGGATCATGTGCTGACATTATTCTTCCAATGCTGAGATTGTTTTCCTTTAGAGTTTGCATTTTCTAACGCACATTTTCTGAACTTTACGTCTACCAGAATTGCAAATCACACTGACCTTTTCTTACAGAGTAATGGGCAGCATTGAGTGTTTTCATAGAACATGAAAACTTAACTAGCAGATGAGGTAACACGTTTCTTTAAGGACTCAGGAACATGAAGACAAGTAACGTCAATAACCCCATTTACTTAAAATAAAATGACAAAGGGCATTGGGATGTAACTATGTTAAATTATAAGCACCTCAAAAGTAGGAGACTATTTAAAGTAAACTGTAGATTGCCTGTAAGTGTGGATGGATTTTGAAGGATCGAAAAAAGAAGCATTTCCCAAGGCCTGAGTTATTGAAGAACTAGACCCTTAGCTGTTAAAAAGTTCTGTTTTCGTTTTTCCAGCAGATTACGGAACTTGCAGCATTATTAAATCACCTAATCCAGTGATTCTCAAAGTGACAGGTGGAGGATAGACAGCATTGCTATATCACCAAAGGGAACATTTTCAACCATACATAATCCTACACTCCCCTTGCCCCAGACTGTACTGCCCGCATTCTCAAACATCTCCTTGAAGTTGTATTTTCTAATACTCCTCACAGGGTTGTATCAGATTGAAAGAAAGGTGCTTTTAAGAAGGCAGGGTAGCTGAATAGCCAAAGCAATCCTAAGCAAAAAACGAAGCCAGAAGCATCACATTACCTGACTTCAAACTATACTACTAGGGTATAGTAACCAAAATAGCAATGGTATTGGCACAAAAATAGACACATAGATCAATGGAACAAAATAGAGAACCCAGAAGTAAACCCACAAACCTACAACCAACTGATCTTAAACAAAGTCAACAAAAATAAATAGTGATGAAAGGACACTCAATTCAATAAATGATATTGGGAAAACTGGCTAGCCATATGCAGAATAATGAAATTGGACCCCTACCTCTCACCATATACAAAAATTAACTCAAGATAGATTAAAGACTTACACATAAAACCTCAAACTATAAAAATCCTAGAAAAAACCTAGGAGAAACTATTCTGCACATAGGCCTAGGCAAAGAATTTATGACTAAGACCTCAAAAGCAAATGCAACAAAAATAAAAATTGACCATTGTAACTTAACTAAAGAGTTTCTGCACAACAAAAGTAACTATCAACAAAATAAACAGACAGCCTACAGATTAGGAGAAAATATTTGCTAACTATGCAACCAATAAAGGACTAATATCCAGAATCTATAAGGAACCTAAACAAATTAACAAGAAAAACCCAAATTACTCCATTAAAAAGTAGGCAAGGGACATGAACAAATGCTTCTCAAAATAAGACATACAGCTAGGCATGGTGACTCATGTCTGTAATCTCAGCACTTTGGAAGGCTGAGGCAGGAGAACTGCTTGAGCCTCAGGAAGTATGAGACCAGCCTGAGCAACATAGCAAGACACTTTCTCTATAAAATACAAATAAATCAATACAATTTTTAAAAATGGGAACATACAAGCAGCCAACAAACATATGAAAAATGTTCCACATCACTAATAATCAGAGAAATGCAAATTAAAACCACAATGAGATATCATAATACTAGTTAGCACAGCTATTATTAAAAAGTAAAAAAATTACACATTGGCGAGGATACAGAGAAAAGGAAACACATACTGTTGGTGGGAATGTAAGTTAGTTTGGCCCCTGTGGAAAGCAGTTTGGAACTTTCTCAAAGAACTAAAAACAGGATTACCATTCAATCCAACAACCCCACTACTGGGTATCTACCCAAAGTAAAAGAAATTGTTCTATCAAAAAGATACCTGCATTCTTATGTTTATTACAGCACTATTCATAATGGCAAAGTCATGGAATCAACCTAAGTGTCCATCAACAGCGGATTGGATAAAGAAAGTGTGGTACATATACACCATGTAATACTATGCAGCCATAACAAAGAAGGAAATAATGTCCTTTGCAGCAGCATAGATGCAGCCAGAGGACATTATCCAAAGTGAATTAACCCAGAAACAGAAAACCATATGCTCCACAATCTCACTTATAAGTGGGAGGTAAACAATGGGTATACATGGACATAAAGGGGGAGGCAGGAAGTGGGTGGGGGTGAGTTGAAAAACTACCTATTGGGTATTATATTCACTGTTTGGGTGATGGGTTCAATAGAAGCCCAAACCCCAGCCTTATGTAATATATCCATGTAACAACCCTGAAAAAGTATCACACCCTCCCCCAATTCTAAAATTAAAAAAAAAAAAAAAAGGTAGGACTGTATTTACCAAAAACTCACTAGGTGATTTTGATGTGATAGCACCAGTCTTCCAGTTGAAAACATCTGACTTAATATATTTTCTCCCTTTGTGAAAAATTACAATTCAAATAAGAATTCTGAGTGTTCAGAAAAGTCTACAATTTAGGCCAGGTGTGGTGGCTCACACCCGTAATCCTAGCATTTTAGGAGGGAGGCCTAGGAAGGCAGATTACTTGAGCTCAGGAGTTTGAGACTAGCATGGGCAATATGGCAAAATCCAGTCTCCACCAAAGAAAAAATACAAAAAAATTAGCTGGGCAGGGTGGTAGGCACCTGTAGTCCCGGCTACTTAGGAGGCTGGGAAGGGAGGATCGCTTGAGCCCGGTTGAGGTTGCAGTGAGCCATGATTGTGTCATTGTACTCCAGCTTGGGTGACAGAGCGAGGCCTGGTCTTAAAACAAACGAAACAGAAAAATCTACAGTTTATTTTTCAGTGGACCTATTTAATTGGAAACACATTATTTCCAATTCAGAACAAAAGTTGTATTGCTTTCTCCAATTTTTGGTGATTTATTTAGTATAGAAACTTGGGGAAGTTTAAACTTTCTATAAAGCACTATATATGTATTTACATACATATATATATTTACTTTTTTACTACCATGCTTAATATAATAAGGTTTTATTGTATGAAGATCTCATTAGTAGTTGCTCTCCAACAGGTAAAGAACACTGTTAGTTTTTCCAGTTTATAAACACAGAAATGATTTCCTTCACCTTACTGCCATGTTATTCAACAGATTCATTCAACATTTATAAAGAGGATCAAAATGGACAGTCATCTTTTCTGCCTTCACCCCCAGCATCTTACTCTTTAGGTTATGTTTAATTTTTTTTAAATTGAAAAATATGCTTAAAAAATAAAAATATACATAAAATGTAACATTTTAAGCATTGTTGAATATACAGCTCAGTGCCATTGTACATTCATATTATTGTGCAATTATCACTACCCATCTTTACAACTTTTTCATCCTGCAAAACTGAAACTTTTTACCAATTAAACAATAACTTTCCATTCAGCCCTCCCCCAGCCCCTGGCTAACATCATTCTACTTTGTCTATAAAGCTAACTACTCTAGGTATGTCACATAAATGGAATCACACAGTAATTATCCCATTGTGACTGGCTTATTTCACTTAGCATAATGTCTTCAAGGTTCATCCATGTTGTAGTGCATGTTAGGATTTCCTTCTTTTTTAAAGCTGAATAATATTCCTTTGTATGTATATATCACATTTTATTTATCTGTTCATCTGCTGATGGACACTTTGATTGCTTCTACCTTTTGGTTATTGTGAATAATGCTGCTATGAAGATGGGTGGGCATATATCTGTTTAGGTTCCTGCTTCAATTATTTTGGACATATACTCTGCTGTGGAATTGCCCAGCCTGTTACTCTTAATATTCTTCAGTGCCCAGCACTCCCTTGAAAATTTTTTTGAAACTCAATTAACCTGCAAGGACTGAAACAATGATTGGTATGTGACAGAACCTCTAGGGTAGATGGAAACTCAATCTGAAAGAGGTATGACCCATAAAACAGGGTGAGCGGAAAATACTTTAGATTTACAGGCAATTTAAAGAATTAAATTTATAAAATAAGACAAAGTAGTTTATGTATATCATATCTCAAAAGGAGATAGGTCTGTAGAATAAAACTCCAAGGAAACATTTTGATACATTATTGCTAAGTACTGCAAACTTAACAGTGTGATCATTTAAAAATAGGTTTGGGTGGCTGGCAAGATGGCTGAATAGGAACAGCTCCGGTCTGCACCTCCCAGCGAGATCAACGCAGAAGGCGGGTAATTTCTACATTTCCAACTGAGAGTCCTGGCTCATCTCATTGGGACTGATTAGACAGTGGGTGCAGCCCACAAAGGGCGAGCGGAAGCAGGGTGGGGCGTCACCTTACCGGGGAAGTGCAAGGGGTCGAGAACTCCCTCCCCTAGTCAAGGGAAGCCATGAGGGACTGTGCCATGAGAAATGGTGCACTCCAGCCCAGATAACTACACTTTTCCCATGGTCTTCACAACTCGCAGACCAGGAGATTTCTTCGGGTACCTACACCACCAGGGCCCTGGGTTTCAAGCACAAAACTGGGCTGCTGTTTGGGCAGACACCAAGCTAGCTGCAGGAGTTTTTGTTCATACCACAGTGGCGTGTGGAACGCCAGCGAGACAGAACTGTTCACTCCCCTGGAAAGGGGGATAAAGCCAGGGAGCCAAGTGGTCTAGCTCAGCGGATCCTGCCCCGACGGAGCCCAGCAAGCTAAGATCCACTGGCTTGAAATTCTCGCTGCCAGCACAGCAGTCTGAAGTCGACCTGGGATGCTCAAGCTTGGTGGGGGAAGGGGCGACTGCCATTACCGAGGCTTGAGTAGGCGGTTTTCCCCTAACAGTGTAAACAAAGATGCAAACAAAGTTCGCAAAAAAAGTTTGAACTGGGTGGAGCCCACTGCAGCTTGGAAAAGCCACTGTAGCCAGACCGCCTCTCTAGATTCCTCCTCTCTGGGCAGGGCATCTATGAAAGAAAGGCAGCAGCCCCAGTCAGGGGCTTATAGATAAAACTCCCATCTCTCTGGGACAGAGCACCTGGGGGAAGGAACAGCTGTGGGCACAGCTTCGGCACTTAAACTTTCCTGCCTACCAGCTCTGAAGAGAGCAGCAAATCTCCCAGCACAGTGCTCGAGCTCTCCTAACAGACAGATTGCCTCTGGGTCCCTGACCCCCATGCCTCCTGACTGGGAGATGCCTCCCAGCAAGGGTCGACAGACCCCTCATACAGGAGAGCTCCAGCTGGCATCTGGCGGGTGCCCCTCTGGGACAAAGCTTCCAGAGGAAGGAACAGGCAGTAATCTTTGCTGTTCTGCAGCCTCTGCTGGTGATACCCAGGCAAACAGGGTCTGGAGTGGACCTCCAGAAAACTCCAGCAGACCTGCAGCAGAGGCATCTGTTAGAAGGAAAACTAACAAACAGAAAGGAATAGCACCAACATCAACAAAAAGGATGTCCACACAAAAACCCCATCCGAAGGTCACCAGCATCAAAGACCAAAGGTAGATAAATCCACGAAGATAAGGAAAAACCAGTGCAAAAAGGCTGAAAATTCCAGAAACCAGAATGCCTCTTCTCCTCCAAAGGATCACAACTCCTCACCAGCAAGGGAACAAAACTGCACAGAGAACTAGTTTGACAAATTGACAGAAGTAGGCTTCAGAAGGTGGGTAATAACAAATTCCGCCGAGCTAAAGGACCATGTTCTAACCCAATGCAAGGAAGCTAAGAACCTTGAAAAAAGGTTAGAGGAATTGCTAACTAGAATAACCAGTTTAGAGAAGAACATAAATGACCTGATAGAGCTGAAAAACACAGAACGAACACTTCGTGAAGCATACACAAATATAATAACCAAATTGATCAAGCAGAAGAAAGGATATCAGAGATTGAAGATCAACTTAATGAAATAAAGCATCATGACAAGATTAGAGAAAAAAGAATGGAAAGGAACTAACAAACCTCCAAGAAATATGGGACTATATGAAAAGACCAAACCTACATTTGATTGGTGTACCTGAAAGTGATGGGGAGAATGGAACCAAGTTGGAAAACACTCTTCAGAATATTATCCAAGAAAGCTTCCCCAATCTAGCAAGACAGGCCAACATTCAAATTCAGGAAATACAGAGAACACCACAAAGATACTCCTTGAGAAGAGCAACCCCAAAACACATAATTGTCAGATTCACCAAGGTTGAAATGAAGGAAAAAGTATTAAGGGCAGCCAGAGAGAAAGGTTGGGTTACCCACAAAGGGAAGCCCATCAGACTAACAGCTGATCTCTCTGCAGAAACCCTATAAGCCAGAAGAGAGTGAGGACCAACATTCAACATTCTTAAAGAAAAGAATTTTGAACCCAGAATTTCATATCCAGCCACACTAAGCTTCATAAGCAAAGGAGAAATAAAATCCTTTAAAGACAAGCAAATGCTGAGAGATTTTGTCACCACCAGGCCTGCCTTACAAGAGCTCCTGAAGGAAGCACTAAATATGGAAAGGAAAAACTGGTACCAGCCACTGCAAAAACATACCAAATTGTAAAGACCATCAAGACTATGAAGAAACCACATCAACTAACGGGCAAAATAACCAGCTAGCATCATAATGACAGGATCAAATTCATGCATAATATATTAACCTTAAATGTAAATGGGCTAAATGCCCCAATTGAAAAACACAGACTGGGGAATTGGATAAAGAGTCAAGGCCCATTGGTGTGCTATATTCAGGAGACTCATCTCATGTGCAAAGACACACGTAGGTTCAAAATAAAGGGATGGAGGAATATTTACAAAGCAAGTGGAAAGCAAAAAAAAAGCAGGGGTTGTAATCCTAGTCTCCGATAAAACAGACTTTAAACCAACAAAGATCAAAAAAGACAAACAAGGGCATTACATAATGGTAAAGGGATCAATTCAACAAGAAGAGCTAACTATCCTAAATATATATGCACCCAATACAGGAGCACCCAGATTCATAAAGCAAGTTCTTAGAGACCTACAAAGAGACCTAGACTCCCACACAATAATAGTGGGAGATTTTAACACCCCACTGTCAATATTAGATCAACGAGACCAAAAATTAACAACGATATTCAGGACTTGAACTCAGCTCTGGCCAAGCAGACCTAATAGACATCTACAGAACTCTCCACCCCAAATCAACAGAATATACATTCTTCTCAGCACCACATCACGCTTATTCTAAAATTGACCACATAATTGGAAGTAAAACACTCCTCAGCACATGCAAAATAATGGAAATCATAACAAACAGTCTCTCAGACCACAGTGCAATCACATTAGAACTCAGGACTAAGAAACTCACTCAGAACCACACAACTGCATGGAAACTGAACAATCTGCTCCTGAATGACTACTGGGTAAATAATGAAATTAAGGCAGAAATAAATAAGTTCTTTAAAACCAATGAGAACAGAGACCCAACGAATCTCTGGGACACAGCTAAAGCAGTGTTAAGAAGGACATTTATAGCACTAAATGCCCACAGGAGAAAGCGGGAAAGATCTAAAATCGACATCCTAACATCACAATTAAAAGAACTAGAGAAGCAAGAGCAAACACATTCAAAAGCTAGCAGAAGGCAAGAAATAACTAAGATCAGAGCAGAGGTGAAGGAGTTAGACACAAAAAACCCTTCCAAAAATCAATGAATCCAGGAGCTGGTTTTTTGCAAAGATTAACAAAATAGATAGACTGCTAGCTAGACTAATAAAGAAGAAAAGAGAGAAGAATCAAATAGACACAATAAAAAATGATAAAGGGGAGATCACCACTGATCCCACAGAAATATAAACTACCATCAGTGGATATTATAAACATCTCTACACAAATAAACTAGAAAATCTAGAAGAAATGGATACATTACTGGACACATACACCCTCCCAAGACTAAACCAGGAAGAAGTTGAATCCCTAAATAGACCAATAACAAGTTCTGAAATTGAGGCAGTAATTAATAGCCTATCAACCAAAAAAAGCCCAGGAGCAGACGGATTCACAACTGAATTCTATCAGAGGTACAAAGAGGAGCTGGTACTATTCCTTCTGAAACTATTCCAAACAATAGAAAAAGAGGGACTCCTCTCTAATTTATTTTATGAGGCCAGCATCATCCTGACAGCAAAACCTGGCAGAGACAACAAAAAAAGAAAATTTCAGGCCAATATCCCTGATGAACATTGATGCAAAAGTCCTCAATAAAATTCTGGCAAACTGAATCCAGAAGCACATCAAAAAGCTTATCTATCATGATCAAGTCGGCTTCATCCCTGGGATGCAAGGCTGGTTCAACATACGCAAATTAAGAAACGTAATCCATCACATAAACAGAACCAATAACAAAAGCCACATGATTACCTCAATAGATGCAGAAAAGGCCTTCGATAAAATTCAACACTCCGTCATGCTAAAAACTCTCAAAAAACTAGGTATTGATGGAACATATCTTAAAATAATACGAACTATTTATGACAAACCCACAGCCAATATCACGCTGAATGGGCAAAAGCTGGAAGGATTGCCTTTGAAAACCGGCACAAGACAAGGATGCACTCTCTCGCCACTCCTATTCAACATGGTATTGGAAGTTCTGACCAGGGCAATCAGGCAAGAGAAAGAAATAAAGGGTATTCAAATAGGAAGAGAGGAAGTCAAATTGTCTCTGTCTGCAGATGACATGACTGTATATTTAGAAAACCCCAGCATCTCAGCCCAAAATCTCCTTAAGCTGATAAGCAACTTCAGCAAAGTCTCAGGATACAAAATCAATGTGCAAAAATCACAAGCATTCCTATACACCAATAATAGACAAACAGAGAGCCAAATCATGAGTGAACTCTCATTCACAATTGCTACAAAGAGAATAAAATACCTAGGAATACAACTTACAAGGGATGTGAAGGACCTCTTCAAGAACTACAAACCATTGCTCAAGGAAATAAGAGAGGACACAAACAAATGGAAAACCATTCCATGCTCACGGATAGGAAGAATATCGTGAAAATGGTCATACTACCCAAAGTAATTTACAGATTCAATGCTTTCCCCATCAAGCTACCATTGACTTTCTTCACAGAATTAGAGAAAATTAAATTTCATATGGAACCAAAAAAGAGCCCGTATAGCCAAGACAATCCTAAGCAAAAAGAACAAAGCTGGAGGCATCATGCTAACCTGACTTCAAACTATACTATAAGCCTACAGTAACCAAAACAGCATGGTACTGGTATGAAAACAGATATATAGATCAATGGAACAGAACAGAGGCCTCAGAAATAATGCCACACATCTACAACGATCTGATCTTTGACAAATCTGACAAAAAACAAGCAATGGGGGAAAAGAATCCCTATTTAATAAATGGTGCTGGGAAAACTGACTAGCCATATAGAGAAAACTGAAACTGGACCCCTTCCTTACACCTTATACAAAAATTAACTCAAGATGGATTAAAGACTTAAAACATAAAACATAAAACCATAAAAACCCTAGAAGAAAACCTAGGTAATACCATTCAGGACATAGGCATGGGCAAAGACTTCATGACTAAAACACCAAAAGTAATGGGAACAAAAGTCAAAACTGACAAATGGGATCCAATTAAACTAAAGAGCTTCTGCACAGCAAATGAAACTATCATCAGAGTGAACGGGCAACCTACAGAATGGGAGAAAATTTTTGCAATCTGTCCATCTGACAAAGGGCTAATATCCAGAATCTACAAAGAACTTAAACAAATTTACAAAAAACGAACAAACAACCACATCAAAAAGTGGGCAAAGGATATGAACAGACACTTCTCAAAAGGAGATATTTATGCGGCCAACAAACACATGAAAAAAAGCTCATCATCCCTGGTCATTAGAGAAATGCAAATCAAAACCACAATGAGATACCATCTCATGTCAGTTAGAATGGTGATCATTAAAAAGTCATAAAACAACAAATGCTGGTGAGGATGTGGAGGAACAGGAATGCTTTTACACTGTTGGTGGAAGTGTAAATTAGTTCAACCATTGTGGAAAACAGTGTGGCGATTCCTCAAGGATCTAGAACAGGAAATACCATTTGATCCAGCAATCTCATTACTGGGTATATACCCAAAGGATTATAAATCATTCTACTATAAAGACACATACACACATATGTTTATTGCAGCACTATTCACAATAGCAAAGTCAACCCAAATGCCCATCAATGATAGACTGGCTAAAGAAAATGTGGCACATATACACCATGGAATACTATGCAGCCATAACAAGGATGAATTCACGTCCTTTGCAGGGACATGGATGAAGCTGGAAACCATCATTCTCAGCAAACTAACACAGGAACAGAAAACCAAACACTGCATGTTCTCACTCATAAGTGGGAATTGAACAATGAGAACACACGGACACAAGGAGGGCAACATCACACACCAGGGCCTGTCGGGGGGTGGGGGAGCTCAGGGAGGGATAGCATTAGGAGAAATGCCTAATGTAGATGATGGGTTGATAGGTGCAGGAAACCACCATGGCATGTGTATAACTATGTAACAAACATGCACATTCTGGACATGTATCCCAGAACTTAAAGTATCATTAAAAAAAAATAGGTTTAAGGCACAATGATTCCTAATTAGTCTTTTAATATGTGTGTTAGCACTGCCTTGTGCCATTCTGGAATGTCACTTATGGTAAATTAAGGGACACTTTCCCTCCCTATCTTCCATTAGTATTTTAATGCTAGGAGGTGGGAAAAAGCTGATCCATATTCAAGAGGAAAGGAGGGAAAACAATAACAAATTGGCATCTCTTTTGTGAATTGCCCCACAGGCCAAGCATTTTTATGTTCTTAATCATTATTAAATGGCTTAACATGACACCCAGAGCCTGGCGAATGATTGCATCCTGACATGAGAACGAATTACAAATGAAATGAAAGATCAAGCCGTATTAGAGGACTGCCTCTGGGAAATGAAAATCTTTAATTCTCTTTTATTATTGACATTTATTTGGCTGCAATGAATAACAACATAGCAAAGAGATTCAGCTACACTTGTGCACTGAATAGCTTATCCCAGGGCTCAAAACTGCATTAACATTTATCATGTTTGCTTTTGTAGCTGACACCACTGAACAGATTCTCTATCCATCTTGTATTTATCATGCATTGCAGATATAGTGCATCCTTTGATTTAAGTTCATTTTCATATGGTAGGAACAGCAAAGATTAGCCAGTGTCTTTCCTCAAATAAATTCCAGCTTGTAAGCATTCCTAAGAATGGCTTAATAGATTTAATAAAGAATAAAATGAGTTCACAAGGAAATACAGTCACAGAATGGGGAGGTTAATTTTCAATTTTGGGAAAACTGCAAATTCACAATAAGGAAGACACTTGTACAGTATGTATATCTAGAATATACAAAGACTTAAAATGAATGTCTCCACAAAGAGCAACCAAAGAATATTTTGTAAATCTGAAGGTAGTACTACAATTCCTATAAGAAGCCTGTATGTTTTTCACTTTTCTAAACTGTCCACTGCTAAGACAGGAATAATCCTTATACTATAGGAAGAAAGCAATTCAGATAGTTTGTATCAGTGCAGGGATATCTTTTCATGGTTTCTTTTCTCTCTTGTACAAATTAACAAGGTGGTTCTTCTTGCCATCACAATAAAAGATTGCTAGTACTTGTGCCTTTGCTTACTTGATCCTCTTTGACTCCATTGCCCTCCGTTCTTTTTTTTTTTTTTTTTTTTTTTTGGAGACAGGGTCTTGGTCTGTCATCCATGCTGGGGTGCAGTGGAGAGATCATAGCTCAACACAGCCTCGAACTTCTGGGCTCAAGTGATCTTCTTGCATCAGCCTCCCAAGTAGCCAGGACTATGGGCATGTGCCACTACTCTCTCAGCTAATTTTTTTTTTTTTTCCATTTTTTTTTGTAGAGATGAAGTCTTGCTGTTACCAAGGCTGGTCTCCAACTCCTGGGATCAAGCAATCCTCCCACCTTGACTTCCCAAGGTGCTAGGGTTACAGGTGTGAGCCACTGTGCCCACTTGTCCTCCTTTCTTTTAATCCTTCCTAGAATTTAAGGATTAGCAAGGATATCAATGTATCTTGGGAAAGCCACTCAACATCTCTGAATCTTGTTTGAAATTTAAAAAAAAAAACTTTTCTTTCTTTTTTTAAAGTTTTAATTATGGATAATTTAAAACATATCCACAAGTGGAGATAATAGCATAATGATGCCCCCATATATCCACTGTCTAGCTTCAACAATTAATTCATTACCAGTCTCATTTCATTTATACCCTCACTTTATCTACCACTCACTGAACTACTTTGAAGCAAATATTTTTTGAAACAAATCTCTGAATCTTGCTTTTGACCATTCTGAAATAAGAAAGTTGATCTATATATATCTATGTATCCTATAACATCATGTTATAAACCTCAAATATAAAGAATAAAATTTATTTTAAAAAAGAAAGAAAATATCTTGACAGTAATTTCATCTTTGGCCTATTTCAGGCTTTATATTTAATTCAACACAAATGTACTTCATATTCACTATAACATCTTTTTTCAAGATTTACTGATCTCCTGAGTCAATACAATCCATATAGTTAGCACCAATAGATAAGAACTATAATTATATTTTACTTTGTACTTATATTTTATGAATATTAATTCCCAGTTAGATCTTTAAGGTTCCTATTTTATATTTCAGTGTTCAGCAGAGTACTGAACAAACACATAGGTAATACTAAATTGCTCCAGTTTACAATAACTAATCAACTGATTGGTTTTAATCTGAATGGTACAGACAGAATTAAAACATTTATATTTTTAATAGTGGGTAGCTCCATATTAACACTATTAATCATTTTAATCAATAACATGTTTGCTTACTAGATGAAATTCCTGTTTTATGAGTGCTATAAAATAGATGGTGAAATAAAACAAAAAATGAGATTTTCTTCTTGAAGGAAAAATGGAAAATGTAACTTAGTTCTGGATTTTATTTGTTCATAATTGAGTAAATTTATTTTACTCTAGTGCAGGTATTTTATAAATGAAATGTATTCTTTTTTTCAGGAAAGATATTTCTTGATTGACAAAATCCCCAAGATAACTAAGTAAATAAATTATATCAAAGTGGTTTATTTAACTAAATGTTAATAAACTATCTTCTTGAACATGAAATCTTTTCTACTGAGATACAGGGTAGAAATATTTATTAAAATAAAATATTTCATTTTATATATATTGTATATGTATATTGTATATATTATAATAGAAAGAATACAGAATTTTTTTTTGTAATTGATTAATCTCCATAATACTAGATTCATCACACATTTCCCACATGTACCTGTAGCCATTATAGTGTCATCTCTCCCTTGGGTGAAGATCACGATTCGCTGCCTCTTTGAGTTCATCTTTGGCAGGGCTTGTGTCTTTTTGGCTATCTCTTTAATGTCTTTAGTCTATTAATAGAAGGAAGGAAAAAATTCTCATGACCAATAAAATAAAACAAAACTTTATTAGTAGATTAACAATTTAGCTTCTATTGATCAAAATAAGAGACCTGCATATCTATTAAGAGACATTAAAAATTTCTTTAACCATATACAAAAGTAAATAGAATAGCACAGTGACTTCCAAGGAACCCATCAATGATCTACACAAATTTAAAATGTATGATGAATCTTATTTCACCTATATCCTCATCCACTTGCTTTTCAAATTATTCTAAAGTAAACTCCAAGAACTATACATAATTTCATCTATAAATGTTTTAGTATATATCTTTGAAAGGTAATGATAAACATAACCACAAAACTATTATCATACTTCAAAAATTATTAACAATGACTAAGTATCAGCAAATATCCAGGCAGTTTTCAAATTCCCAATTAAAGAGAGGTTTTTATAAAGAGGAAAATTTAATTATTTTAGAGGTTTACAGAACATAATTATGCTGACTTTGGAAAAAATACAGTTCTTATAATGTCAATTTTTCAAAGGACTGATTTGAGAGAAAGAAATGCTAATCCTTTCCTACAAAGACTTAATTTTCTTTAAAAAAGATAAAGTTTAAAAAATGACAAACTAATTGTCAAACTCTGATGCTGTTTTTCACACCACATAGGCCATAAAGTTTTACTGAAATCTTTATTGAAGTTTTCTGAAATCTTGAAACCTAACCTTGAGCTAAAGGCAGAGGTTTTAGAATCATCTTTTCAACCATTTTGGATAATTTGAAAATCCATGTCTGTATTCAGTGGGCTTTTAAAACTGTCCATAGTTTTGGGCTTTGCTAACAAAACTAGTTTATTCTATCACTATGCAAAGTTTCAAATAGTTATAGAGAAAGAAACACCTATCAGAGCGGAAATATAGCTGAGTGGCATAAATAAAGTATATATAAGAGAACAAATAGAATATATGAGAGAGAACATTTAGGCAAGCAAAGCAGACAAGTCACAATGGTTTGCAATCGTTACAAACGTCACCAGAAACTGGCATTTTTAAAGGGATGACAATTAGTGGTGAAATATTTTTATATTGTTTGTTCACTCAATATTTAATAAATTCCAGATAATATATGAAGCTAAGCTTCTAATATACCTAACAGGATGACTTCTAGAGGACAGTTGTTTCTGAAAAGAATAGCCATTTGTAGTAGGACAGTGCTGCTGACTTCAAACATGCTGACTATTTCGCTTTCGGTTGCTTATTTTAGAACAGAACTAAGTCTGAACTCTGATAAGATGAGAAGAAATTCCCTCAGTTTCAGGAGACAGACTTTTAGAAATGACTAGTAACAGCTGAAAGGACCAAAAAATGCCATGCAATGTCTTCACTCACCTAAATAAGTGTACACATATAATTAAAATGACTCATGTATATTTTGGCAATTTCCTTAGCACAAATATATTTTACTACTATAGGATTTTTGCTTGTGATTAAGTACAGCTCATATTTAATAAAGATAAGAGAAAAACACATTCACTTCATCATCTTGAAAGCAGAATCTTATGAATGTACTAGATGTTCTTTAAAAGAAAGTCTTTCTTCAAGGTGATATAAGGAATAAATTAAGAATAAGATTCTGGCTGGTTATAGTGGCTCACGCCTGTAATCCCAGCACTTTGGGAGGCCGAGGAGGGCAGATCACGAGGTCGAGAGATGAAGACCATCCTGGCTAACATGGTGAAATCCCGTCTTTACTAAAAATACAAAAATTAGTTGGGCATGGTGGCACGTGTCTGTAGTCCTAGCTACTTGGGAGGGCTGAGGCAGGAGAATCGCTTGAACCCAGGAGGCAGAGGTTGCAGTGTGCAGAGATCATGCCACTGCACTGCAGCCTGGTGACAGAGCAAGACGCCATCTCAAAAAAAAAAAAAAAAAAAAAAAAAAAGGAATAAGATTCCATGGTTGCTTTCTACCAACCCTGTGAGAAGACATATTTTGTTGAGAGCTTTGGTAATTTAATCAAAGAAATGTTTCTTATGTCTCAAATTAAACCTCATAAAATGGCAATTAAAGGACAAAATAAACTTTCCAAGTACAAAACATAATTCTTCCCAGATGTATGTAAAACTTTATTTCTCCTTCTACAGTAATTCCTCTCCTCTGTCCCCAATAGGTTCTTCTCCCTTACACTTAAGCTCACACATCTTAACAAACAATGAAATTACAAGGACTTTTAGAATATGACAGGCTTGGATTTACTATTTGTATGATTTGGGGCAAGTTAATAAACCTCTCTAAGATCCATTTCCTCATCTACAAAACTAAGAAAATGTTCACATTAAAAGATTTTGAGGGATAAGTATGCTAAGATTAGTGGGCAAAAATTAAAGAAAACAGGATATTTACAGTCTCAAAGTATGTCCCCCTAAGATATTCATTACAAAAGGAAAAATCATAATGTTATAGTAGAGAAAATTGACAGACATCACCTTAAGCCAGATAGATTAGTTTAGTGATGCTAAAATTAGTGGATAAAATAGAATGTTTCCATAGCCCCAAAGTAGTATCTCCTCCAAGATATTTATTAAATACAATGGGAATTACAGAGGATAAACTAGCAAACACCACCTAAACCTAGTGATAAAGGTTTAGCATCACCAGCAATAAGAATCTGTGACACTGTGTACCTCCCTGATATGATGCACCAAGAAAGGAACATCACTTCTGTGGTTTTCCTGCCAAAAATGCCTAATCTCAATGTACATGAGAAAACATCAGACAAACTCAAATGGAAGGACATTCTACAAAATGACTGACCAATAATTTTCAAAAGTATAAAGTTCATGAACAACAAGAGTGAGGAACTGTCACAGATTAGAAGAGACTAAGGAGACATGACAAATATGCAATGTGGGATTCGATTCTGGAACAGAAAAAGGAAACTAGAGAAAAAACGGTTGAAACCAGAATAAAGCCTGTATATAGTTCAGTTATTGTAGTTTAATGTTAATTTTCTGTTATTCATTATACTTTGGTTATGTAAGATGTTAATATTAGGGTAAACTGGGTGAAGGGTATGTGGGAATTCTGTACTATTTTTGTAATTTTTCTAAGACTAAAGTTATTTTAAAATAAAAAGTTAAAAATTGTGAGGATGAAAGAAGATGAGGTAAGTGAAATAGCTTAATGCAATTTTAGCACATGCTAAGAACTTAAATATTAATTTATTTCCTCTAATTACTCTCATTTTAATACTCTCTAAAATGGTTACATACTTAGGTTGCCCCAAAATCGCTAGAAAGGGCTTCAAGAGTTTTGAATATGGAACATTCAATTATAGTATCTATAACGAAGAAGATGAAGACAGGGAGGAGTAAGAAGTATGAGTTGAAAGCTCATAAAATTGAGCTGTGAGCCATGTACATAGCTCTAAAGTGCTCATTAAATCTTAACTTCTCTAGTCAGTAGGTACTATTATTATCCCTATTTTATAGATGAAGAAACTAAAAGCCATGTATAAAGCTCTAAAGTATTCATTAAGGTAAGGCGTGGTGGCTCATGCCTGTAATCCCAGCACACTGGGAGGCGGAGGCGGGTGAATCGCTTGAGCCTAGGAGTTTGAGACTAGCCTGGGCAACGTAGTAAAACTTCATCTCTACAAAAAAATACAAAAATTTGCTAGGTGTGGTGGCATGCGCCTATAGTCCCAGCTACTTAGGAGGCTGAGGTGGGAGGATGGCTTGAGCCTGGGAGACAGAGGTTTCAGGGAGCTGAGATCACGCCACTGCACTCCAGCGTGGGCAACAGAGCCAGACCCTGTCTCAAAAAAAAAAAAGAGAGAGAGAGAGAGAATGACATTGGAATTTTGATAGGGATTGCATTGAATCTACAGATTGCTTGAGCCCAGCAGGCAGAGGTTGCAGTGAGCTGAGACCGTATCATTGCATTTCAGTCAGGGCAACAGAGTGAGGCTGTCTCAAAACAATCAATCAACCAATCAATAAAATAAAGTACTCATTAAATCTGAACTACTCTAGGCAGTAGGTACTAATACAATATGCCATTTTATAGATGAAGAAACTGAGTCAGAGACGTTAAGTAATGTGCCTAAGGTCATAAATACAAGTAGTGGAGAACAGACTAGCACCCACAGTCTGACTCCAAGGATAATACACTTAACCATTATTATAGTGCTTCTATAAATGCTAGCAATGTGCTTTTTGTTGTTTTTTTTTATCACAAAACTATAGCATGTTCATCCTAAACCATTTTCCTACCACATTCACAAGTCATTCCTGATCTTGTGTTTAAGTTTGCTATTTTTTCTTAATTAATTTGGCTCATATTTTTACTCCAGCGAATTTCAGTGGTTTTTTTTTTTTTTTTTTTGAGATGGAATTTCGCTCTTGTTGCCCAGGCTGGAGTGCAATGGTGCGATCTTGGCTCACTGCAACCTCTGCCTCCTGGGTTCAAGTGATTCTCCTGCCTCAGGCTTCTGAGTAGCTGGGATTACAGGTGCCCGCCACCACACCCAACTAATTTTTGTATTTTTAGTAGAGACGGGGTTTCACCATGTTGGCCAGGCTGGTCTCGAACTCCTGACCTCAGGTGATCCACCCACCTTGGCCTCCCAAAGTGCTGGGATTACAGGCGTGGGAGCCACCACACCCGGCCATATAGCCTATTTTTTTAATCTGTTGAACTGATATGGCGATGGGCGCGGTAGCTCACGCTTGTAATCCCACCACTTTGGGAGACGGAGGCGGGCGGATCATGAGGTCAGGAAATCGAGACCATCCTGGTTAACACAGTGAAACCCCGTCTCTACTAAAAATACAAAAAATTAGCCGGATGTGGTGGCGGGGGCCTGTAGTCCCAGCTACTCGGGAGGCTGAGGCAGGAGAATGGAGTGAACCCGGGAGGCGGAGCTTGCAGTGAGCAAAGATCACGCCACTGCACTCCAGCCTGGCGTGACAAAGCCAAACCCCCTCCCCAAAAAAAAAAAAAAAAAAAAAGGTATTTTTCATTTCTCAAAGTCATTTTGAAATCTAATCTCCTCTTCCAACATGTTAGAATGTGTGAGAGAAAGCTGTGTGCTTTATAGTAAAGAGCACCAGACATAGAGAGCTGAGCTCTGGTTCTGGCTACATAATGTATTAGCTATATGACTTTGAAAAAGTCATAGAGCCTTTTTTTTTTTTTTTTTTTTTGAGATGGAGTTTGGCTCTTGTTGCCCAGGCTGGTGTGCAATGGTGCAATTTCAGCTCACTGCAACCTCCACATCCTGGTTCAAGCAATTCTCCTGCCTCAGCCTCCCAAGTAGCTGGGATTATAGGCATCTGCCACCATACCTGGCTATTTTTTTGTATTTTAAGGGGAGATGGGGTTTCACCATGTTGGCCAGGCTGGTCTCGAACTCCTGATGTCAGGTGATCCACCCACCTTGGCCTCCCAAAGTGCTGGGATTACAGGCGTGGGAGCCACCACACCCGGCCATATAGCCTATTTTTTTAATCTGTTGAACTGATATGGCAATACATGCCCTACCTATCTCTCAAGGTTTGTGCAAGTATGAATGTATTACTGATATGTTGGGAAAGGTTTTATAAACTGTGAGCATTTTATAAATGTAGAAATATGGTTTTATTGTCATTGGTGATCACATTGTCTTCCAAATCAAAGAACATACTCTCTTCATTCTTTTTTTTTTTTTTTACCTATTTGTATCTTTGAATTGAAGATACATCTCTTTCAGACAGCATATAGTTAGACCTCAGTTTTTTTATCTAGTCTGAGAATTTCTGCCTTTTTATCATATTATTTACTCCAGATTAACATTATTATTAATGCAGTTGAATTAATATCTGCCATTTGCTATTTGTTTTCCATATGTCATATTTTAAAAAAATATGTTCTATCCCTTCTTTACCTCCTTGCTTTGTATGAAATAGGTATTTTCAGATGTAGCATTTTAATTTTTTTTTTATTTCTTCTGTTACACACACTTCATTTGAATTACTAGTAGTGTTACTATTACTAGAAATTTTTTTTAATCATACTTTAATTTCTGGGATACCTGTGCAGAACATGCAGCTTTGTTACAGAGGTATACGCGTGCCATGGTGGTTTGCTGCAGCCATCAACCTGTCATCTACATTAGTTATTTCTCCTGATGATATCCCTCCCCAACCCCCCACCCCACAACAGGCCCCGGTGTATGATGTTGCCCTCCCTGTGTCCATGTGTTCTCATTGTTCAATTCCCACTTACGAGTGAGAACATGCAGTGTTTGGCTTTCTGTTCCTGTGTTAGTTTGCTGAGAATGATAGTTTCTAGCTTCATCCATGTCCATGCAAAGAACATGAACTGGATTCCTAAAGGATCTAGAACAAGAAATACCATTTGACCCAGCAATACCATTACTGGATATATACCCATAGGATTATAAATCATTCTGATATAAAGACACATGCCCATATATGTTTGCTGCAGCACTATTCACAATAGCAAAGGCTTGGAACCAACCCAAATGCCCATCAATGATAGACTGGATAAAGAAAATCTTTATTCTATTTTTAACCAGCTGGTTATACAAAGGTTAAGCAATCCTGTCACAGTCTACCTAGTTCTGTAGAAAACCAACTGTAGTGTTTCCACACATTGAGTCATCTAGCCATACCATTTTGTTTTGTTTTCCAAATAGAAACTCCTTTAATAGTTATGCTGTTTATATGATGTGTCAGTGCCAGATTGATCTCATATGCTGTCCCCACTAACTCCATTCCAGTCACACTGGCCTTCTGTCAGTTCCTGGAGTACATAGTACATTAAGTTCTCTCTCGTTCAGAGACTTTTATAGTCCTGTTCTCTCTGTTTGAAATTTGTTTTGCTGTTTGTGTCGCTTTTTTTTTGTCATTGCTAGATATTCATATTTTTAGGGTCATTCCATAGCCATCATAGCTAAAATGGGAACCCTTCCCACATGCTCTTTCATGGTACACTCTCTGGTCACTTCCACCTTGTCTTGGGGTCTATCAAAGTGGTATGTACATAGTAAGAACTCAGTAAATATTTGTTGAATAAATAAATGATTAAATGAAGAGAATTAGAAGACTAGCTTATTGCTTTCCCTTAACTGAACTGTTCTAAAATTGTCCTCTTTTGGGGTTCAGGCACCTACAAAAACAACACTGCACTCTCTTAGCCAGCAGGGCCTGATTTAGGGTCTTATTTTCAGAAACTCTGAAACTCTGAGTGATCATTCATTGCACTATTTATATTTGTGAAGAACACAGGAACCTAAAAGTCACCTAAGGTAATTCTTTGGTAATCAACACTGCCTGAATACATTCTCTGTAGACTTTCTATCCATGCTGATCAATGAAACTTTCTGTGATGATGCATATGTTCTATCCTGCATTATCCAATAAAGTAGTCATTAGCTACATAGTCTATAGAGTACTCAATATGTGCCTAGTATGACTGAAGGACTGAATTTAAAATTTTACATTTGATCTTAGCCAAAAGGCCAAGAAGTGATGAATTTTAAATTTTATTTAATTTTAATTAATCCTAATTTAAATAGCCACATGTGGCTAGTAGATGCTGTATTGGATAGCACAATTCCATACTTTTCTCTTTCAGTGGTGTAAGATGAAAGAATCCTCATTGGTCAGAGAAAGACTACAAGTCTAGGATCTTCTGGGTAGTCAGGGGCTATGGAGGAAGTGAAAAAGGCGAAAAGGATTGCTTTGTTTCCCCTATGAGCAGAAGTATTATTCTTAGAGATCTAAAATTTAAAAAAAATCTAAAATTTATTACTTGGAGTAAAAGGAAATAAATGATCCAATAGAGAAGGTATGAATTCTCTTCATCATTTGTCATTTACTCAGTTGCAGAGACAATGAAAAGATAGAGAATATATATATTTAGGTTTTGAGGTATTTTCTTCACTTTATTTAAATCAATTTTCAATAGTTTAAAAAAGGCTTTATAATGAAACATGCTTTTGAGCACCTTATTTTTATTTATGTTCTAAAAATACGAACATTTAATCAGTTCGGCTCAAGAAAAGCTAGATTTAAAAACACACTCCAGTCTGAACTGATTTTCTAGAATAATAAAAGGCCTTATAAAACTTTTTACCCCAAGAATTGTCATTTTAAATTCTTAGCAGGTCTGTCATTTAAATCAGGCACTATGCAATTTTCCATCACCTATATATATAAAAAAATCCTCTCTTATGCTTTGTGTTCTGCCCAGCTCCAGTTTTTATCTCATTCTCCAGTGCTCTCCTAAGCTGCTGCTTCTCACTGAAAACTGCCGAATTCAGTTTAAAGATTTTTTTTTTTACAAAAGTAAAATTTGCAGAGAAGCTAACCAGAATAATAATCAATTAAAAAAAAAATGCCACTGAGAATATTTCCTGACGAATAAACACTGGTTATTTTTAGAGGCGCTTGGATTGGTCTGTCAGCAGCCAGATCACTAGTGGCAATACTCAGTGGCTTTTGGAACTGATTGGGATTTATAGGAGAAAATGAGGGTAGGACAGCGGCACTGATGGAAGGAAAAAATACTCACCTTTCCTTTCTTTTAATCTTTTCACTTCTTTCTTCTCATTCATGCTCCAAATTTAGAGTCAAAATTAAAGTTAGAAGGGATAAAATGCAGATTTTTGTCTAGTTTGTCACACTAGCCAAGAGTATTAATGCATTTTCACACAGAAAACTATTAAGATAAAGTGATTTATTTTTGTTTTATTCCTTAAGAATACCAAGTTTCAAACCTATGCTCTGCCATTTCTGTCTAATGACCTAGGAAACTTTAGTGACATTATAAAATCATTGAATTTCTCTAGATAGTGTTCCATACATGGATTACATTTGATTAAAAATATCTATTTGAGGGTACCCTACTCATGGTTCAAATATATTCTGCAATGCTTGTGATGGTTTTGGGAATCTACGAAGAGACACATCAAGACACTATGTGCTTTATTTAGTCTAACATATCACTGTCAATATCACTGACAGAGCAGTTTTGCTATGTCAGGAGGTAATAAGGTATGTGATTATAATCATTATCATTTTGCTTATATGCTGTAATCAATTATGGCAGATTTATGGCAAAAACAATTCAAGAATCAGTAAGTAAGAACTAATGGAAAGGTGAATATAGTGCTAGTTAATGGAAAATAGAAAAAGTAGTTTGTTGCTATGACTGAATGTAA
The DNA here is from genome assembly GCF_000001405.40 of Homo sapiens. Lineage (NCBI taxonomy): Eukaryota > Metazoa > Chordata > Mammalia > Primates > Hominidae > Homo > Homo sapiens. Next base: position 74,591,154 of record NC_000010.11, on the reverse strand, counting down.
ACCAGGCACATGAAAAGCAAGTAGCTCAAGGGGGAAATAAAAGTATTAATCAGGCTTAATAAACTATTTTTTAAAAACTGCTATGTAGATACTACAGGATCATGATCATGTTATATAACAAATTATATTTCTAAGTATCTGCAAAATTGGTTATTTTATAGAACCAAAAATACATTTTTTATGGTAACACAGTAAACTGACAGGATACAAATGTATGTTCTGAAAGTTTTCTTCTATGGAGAATTCTGATGTATCAACAGATAATATAATTTTTGTAATATTAAAACTTAAAATCAGTAAAACTTTAAAAAATTCCTGAAAATTTTTATTTATATTCTCATGATCAAAACATTTGACTTTTTAATTGAATATTCCCATGATTACATTTTGTCCTACATATAATTGCCAGTTTGGGAAATTAAAATGTGAAACTTAAATTAGAAAAAAACCCACCACTTGGAAATCCTTTTTCTAAATGTGACTTAAACCTAGATTTACTATAATATGGTAAAGCATAAAAAAGCAAACTTGTAAGAAACTATCACAGCTCCTAATAATTGAGTACAAAGAAGCAAGTTTCCCTACTCTGGAGTAGTTCTTTTATAGGATCTTCAGAACAGAATATCTGTATCACATGTTCCTTGTCTTTCCTCTATGAAGAGGAAGCTCTATGTCTCGTTTGTCAAGTCTGATGACATGAATAACATGAACATGTATTACTTTGCTGCTTGATAATCTGCCTTTACTACATTTAAAAAGAGTTTCACAAACTCATATAATATCTTTCTCTAGAGTTCAAAGTGAGCTTACTAGTCCTTACTGATACTATTCAATCACCACTCACCTCTTCCCTGTTTGATAGACAATACTGAATATGCAAATAAAAAGAAAGTTCCTACATTTCGGCTGTGGTTAGATTAAATTTTTAAAAATTACTACCCTGTAACACTTTAAGTTGCTGTAAGAACACAGCATTCTACATAGTTCACTCAATAAATATCATAGTCATAAACAACTCCAACTTAGTTAATTCTCTGTCAGTTAACCTGGGTTCATATTAGTCAGTGTTTTCTAACAATCAGTTGGAAGAGGGGTATTATACAGATAAAAAACACGGTTATCTCAGTTTTGCCAACAACAACCACATGGAGTTTTGAATCTTGACAGGATAACACTTATATCAGAAAAACAGAATTAGGACCTAGAAATTAAATCCAATTATTGATATTTTATTTCAGAAAATGTATGTATATTTTATGCTACCTCCGTCTCCCCAGAAAAAAAGAGGGAGAGAGAAGAAAAGATAGGTTCAAAGAGTAAGTTTATAAAAGCAGGATTTAAATTAATCAGTTCCTAACAACTGTTAAGTACAACCTTTTAGAAATTAATTTGCATAATGATAATCTACATGTGATAGGGCTGAAATTATTTAAACGACATTATATTTCATTATTTAGTCTTGTTCCACCACTGCTTTAGCAGTGAATCCTTATGAAATGTAATGCAGCTAATGAGGTAGCTTTTTAACTGAACAAACTGACAGGCCCCATATCTGCAGAGGCAGCTTGAAACCGTGCCCAACCTCTTGGCTTCCCAAGAGGCTTTTCAAAATTCAATAAATAACATCTGTAGGCGATGTTGGGTGCAGACCTAGCAGAGTGCGTCATAACACTGTGCTGGCAGAACAAAGAAACCATGACGACTGCCAAGTTTCCATGGCAACTGCTGCGAGGCTCTGAGAGTATAATAGCACATCAATCACTGTCCAAAAGAACTTCATTATCAGCTAGAAAAAACCTTTAGGATCTGTTTAGTGTGCAATTGTGGGTTAACTCACCTCAAAGCCTTGCTCTCTAGCAAAAGTGGCAGCTTCCTGAAATAAAAAAAAAAAAGAACAGTTAATTATAAAGTGCTCGGTAATGAAGAAATAATCCATTTTTTGAAACTCATTCAGTCTTCTTCTTTACACAATTATCTCAATATACCCACATAGTTCAATTTTTATTCTTACAGCAATAAAGATTTCTTTTTTCCCTTGGAATAATAATAATAAAAAAAGGCAGCCTAATGTCAACACACTTCACAAGTTGGAATAAAGAAGATGTAGTACATGTTTTTACTGTAGCTGCCACAGTGAGTTCAGGTGTTCTGACCTCAGCAAAGAAAGACAATCCAAGGAATATGCTGGTGGTTGTGTTTTTAATTAAAACAATACCTCTCAAAAAGCTCTTATGTAGAGAAGAATGCCTGCTAATAAATGTATAAATTCAGAAAAATCATCTTTTTGCAATCCTCATAACGAAATTTATGCAGGCAAGGATCCTCAGTAGATGTTAAACTCATTGGGTAAAAAGGATGATAGGGAACTGGGTATTTCCATGGAATCAAAGTATCTCAGATTATATGCTGGTCACGGGAGCAAAGCATAACTTTATAATGGAAGGATCAAGCTGTCATCACTTTAACCCAGTGATCGATGCTATCACTTATCATCACTAATAGTGGGATCACCAAATATTCTTTGCCTTCTGTTGTGATGCAGTGTGAAGTTCACACCATCACCTATAAAGTATTCTAACCTAAATACTTTAATATGAATTAATCAAAACTTTAGTCCAGTAACTTGCAGTCTATAAGAAATACAGAGGATAGGGGAACAAGTTAAAGTATACACAGAGAAAGCAACTGAAAACATTCATAGGGTAGGACATTCTGTAGGACAACTAGCTTAATGTTTTTAACAAGTCAATGTAATGTAAAGTAGAAAAGGGAAAATGACCAAGAACAATGTATAAACCTTAATTGGTTTATACAAACCAGCTATAAAAGACATTTTTGGGACAAGGGGAGAAATTTGAATCTGAAATGAAAATTAGGTAATATTAGGAATTATCAGTTTGATTTTAAAAGTCCTTAATTCTTAAGATGAATCCTGAGGTATTTAGAAATGAAATGTCATGATATATGTAATTTATTTTAGAATACTGCAGAAAAAAATTAAAATGAAGCAAAAGTGGCAAAATGTTAACAAGTGTTAAATCTAGATGTATGTGCTATGTAGGGGTCCAATGTCTCCTTTTTTGTTTGAAATTTTTTATAATAAACAGTCCAAAAATCCTCTTTAATATAAGATGACAGGGTAAAAACAGTTGAGCATTAAAAATATGTATGGTTAAAAAATTTTAATATGCAAAGTTCTTCTAGATTTTAAATATCTTAAGGACACAATCTAATGATTATTATATACCCTAAGGCTCTTATAACAGGTTACTAAATGACAAAAATACATATGTGTAATCAAATCCTTTCCCTTTCTTCACTCTTTGTGCTTATACTTTAATTTTAGGACAGATAGAAAAGGGAGGCAATATTACTTTTCAACTCTACTTCCCTCTTGAAAATGAAAAAAAAAAAAAACTGCAGACAACTGTCAAGAGTCTCTACATCTTAACTCACATTCTTCCAAAATTATCTTTGCCAAGAGATATTAATAGAAGGATGGGATTTGAGCCTGAGTAGTGAGCAGATCCAACTCAACTAAAACGACTGTAGCATCAAGCCATGTAAGGCAGAAAGTACAGTCAGTGTCTTCAGCAGAAATTTGGGAAAACATTGGGAAAAAAATACATGTATGCACCTATGGTCCAATGTACTAATAACATATAGGTTAGAGAACCATTTTGAGGATTTAGAAAGGTCAAAATGTATGATTACAGCTAAACACTGAAGTCAACAGGAAGTGTTAAGTTGAAAGTACAACTCCTTACGCTATTTACTAGAGAAACATAAGCCTGACCAAGTTACCCTTAGTTCATGTAGACAAAAATAAGCAAATAAATATTGATCTTGACAACTGGTCAATTTGTGCAAGCAAGGTTAGAACTTTGTACATCACATAGTCAGTAACATTTGCTGGCGGTGATATCAAGGAATAGGAAAAGGTTCAAAAGCTATTGATGTAGTGCTTCCCAAGCTGTCACTCTGAACCAAGCAAATTCTTATATGAAAAAGACAACAAAAAAGCTATACTAGAACCACTTATTTATATGGAACTTCATCAGAGACATGAGAGAACCCCAGGGGACTGTAAGACAAAGTTCAAAGGAAGAATGTGTAGGACTAAAATTGCACTAAGCCATAAATGCTCAAAATTCACATACAGTAAAATTTTTTTAATGTCCAGTTTTGCTCAAATATAAGAAATTAACTGTAAAAAATTTATGTGTGTGTATATGTATATATATGTGTATATAAATATGTGTGTGTGTATATATATACATATATATTTTTTTTTTTTTTTGAGACAGAGCTTTGCTCTTGTAGCCCTGGCTGGAGTGCAGTGGTGCGATCTCAGCTCATTGCAACCTCCGCCTCCTGGGTTAAAGGTATTCTCCTGCCTCAGCCTCCCGAGTAGCTGGAACTACAGGTGTGTGCCACCATGCCCAGCTAATTTTGTATTTTTAGCAGAGATGGGGGTTTCACCATATTGATCAGGCTGGTCTCGAACTCCTGACCTCAGGTGATCCACCTGCCTTGGCCTTCCAAAGTTCTGGGATTACAGGTATGAGTTACTATGCCCAGCCCAAAAAAATTATTTTTAAAAATTAACTGTGATCTGTTATGGTATGGAGCTGACTAACTGCAAGAAGACACATATATAAATGTCAAATCATTATCTTTTAAGGAAACCAGGCCCTAGGACACTTCCATGTCTGTAAACTATTTCAAGCATCAACATATTTCTGACTGAGGAAAGATGTACTTAAAAAAAGTCAACTCAATTTTTTGTCTTAGTGCCCCCTCACACAGGTTTGCTGAGCTGTGCCCTATCACTAGAAAAGCTAAGCTTGTTGTTCTGTGGCTTAAAATGATCTTATCTTCTGACTTCCTCCCACCTTCCTCTGATCTTGGACTGGTGCCCCAAGTCACTCCATTAGAGAAGGCAGCTGGCTCATATCACTGCAGACTTTCCCACAGCTAACCTCTGATCTGAAGGTGTTTGTAGGTACAATGATGGAACAACATTTATTTTTCCCTGTCAGCAAAACAAACAAAACAACACGGGGGAACAGTTTGACCCAGTAAGAATTGTAAGCAGAATTTTAGTTGTCAGATTCATGACATGCAGAGGCAGAAAGAAAAGACATTAGGTCAGAAAGTAAGGAAGAAAGAATAGGCATAGTTGGTGGGCAGAAGAGCAAGACAGGTTCCAAATATCAGAGATAATTCCAAGTGAACTGATCGCACTAAATTGAAAAGGACTTTTTAGTGTGCCTTTGCAGTAAAAGTGAGAAAAGAAAACAAGCAAGTCCCCATCTGTGCTGCCCCAGGGCGCCTCGTACTGAGTTTCACAAATCTAATGAAGCAGTCAGGTTAAAATCCAACCACAGAGTGGATGTGACATGTGGAGAACAGCTCGGGTTAGAATAGAAAAGCAGGGCGGTTCCTAATGCAGGTGATTATCCGTGTGATAATCATTATATTTACAGGCTTTCCATTTTAGATCTGACATCAAAAATCACAAAGGAGGAGGGATTAAGGAAATAAACAACCGACACAGAGGCTTTCCTGCTCCCCTGAGAGTACAGCACTTTCATTCATGCATGACAAGCAACAAAAGCAAAACTAAACAGGCCAGGAAAGAGTATTTCTGAGAAGGCTGGATTTCACATTAACGCTTTTTTTCCATTTTGATAACTTTCACTATTACTCAGTTTCTCAGTCAGGTCACATTTTCAGAATCAGTTCTCATTGTTGTCTATGCTATAATACAGTATCATTTTTGGTTTACAATGAATGATACTCACATAATATGTCCTTTACAAAAACAGACCCATTTTTTCCTTCCTGGAATTGAGTGTTGTGAATAAAATGACATATAATTAAAGTCTTAGACTCTCATCTATACCACACCACTTAGGTTTTGCAGTAGGCTTGCTGCTTCAGCAACCAGGGTAAAACAACAACCAAATATAGTTTTTGAATGGAGGTTAGGGAAAAACTATGTTAATCAGATTAATGAAAACTATGGAATACTTACATTAAGAGCTATTTAAAGGGATCAGCAAGCCACTATTAAAAAGCACAATCCTCAGATTATGCAGGAAAGGAAAGAAACTCAAGTGCATGTTTGCGTATATGAAAGACAACTATGGAGGAGAAAACTTTCTCTATATTTCATCTGATAACACAAGTTCTTACTTATAAAGTAGAATTATCTATAATCAATATTAAACTAAAACCATAACTTGCCCATACTCACTGCAATTCCAATTATTTGTTACTAGTTATATAGAAACACAATGATTTCTGTATACTGACAAGCCAAGGGGGAATGGAGCCACCAGACCAGGTCTGTTTTCTTACTTTGCTTCTTCATCTCTCCATGCAACAAACATTTACCTCCTAAGTGTAGTTTTAGGCTGCTAGCATCTGTGTACATGTGTGTCATTGCTACAGCTGTTACAGGCCTTATAATGATATTAGACTTTGACTCAATAATACTATAACTCCTAAACGGAGTGGTATAGGTTAGAGATTAAGACAGGGGGGTGTCTGTCTTTCTCTACATATATGTATAAAAATCTCTGTATAATAAAAATTCATATAATTGTATATAAATTTAGAGGTATAATATTCTCCTTGAATGGCTTTAAGTGCAACATAGTACTGGTAGGAAGCAATTATAGCCAATGGAAAGAGTACAGGGTCTAGAATCAAAAGGCCTACACTAAGGTCCCAGTTTTACAAATTATTTGCTATGTAATCTTGAGCCAGTCACTCAGTACATCAATTTCTTCATCAATAACATTGGGGTTAACCATACCTATTTCGTTGCATTGTTGCTAGGAATAAATGAAATACTTTATGTGAAACTGAAATCATTTTGCCTATTGAATTCAAGTTCTTGTTAAGATCTCAGGATAAACAAATGAGTGTCAGAGCACCTAGAGTACTTTAATGATCTGTCCCATCTGTGGATTATATGTGTAGGAGGCAGTCTTCAAAATGGTTTTCAATGATCCTTGAACCTGGTATTCAAATCCTTGTACATTCTCCTCCCCTTGAATGTGCTCTAGACCTAGTGACTTGCTTTAACAAATATATGACAAAAGTGATGGTATGTTTTGTTCATCTTCTTGATCACAAGCCTTCTCTCTCTGAGCCCTCGCTCTAGGAGAAATAAGTTGCAATGTTGTGAGGACTATGGAGTGGTGCATGATCAATAACCAGTGAGGATCTGAGGGCTGTGACCGGACATGAGTGGGCTTGGAAGAAGATCCTCCCCTAGCTGAGCAGCAAGATGACTACAAACCTGGTTGACACCTTTATTAAAAGTCTTATGAGAGCCAGAGGCACCAAGCTAAGTAAGCAGTGCCTGGATTCCCTATCCCACATTTTATACATGAGGTTAACAAGAAAAACTCAGGTAATTTCACATTCAAATTATGTTAATAAAAACTTCAAAGTGGCCAGGTGCAGTGGCTCATGCCTGTAATCCCAACATTTTGGGAGGCTGAGGTGGGAGGATTGCTTGTGTCCAGGAATTTGAGACATGCCTGGGCAACATAGCAAGACAACAAAAACCAAAACTTCAAAGCAAGTGTGGTCAGCAAATCAGAGGGTAAGCAAATTCTGGAAAGAAAATTTAGATATATGCTATCTAAATGGCTTTGTATACCTGATTATGGTCAACCATTTCTTCAACACAGATTAACCGGGAGATATTATCCTTTGCATGAAATTTATTTGAAGTTTTAATTCACAATGTCTTCTGTTATTCTGAAGCAATGATTGTTTCTGACACTAAAATAAGAGTATTAAATAGTGCTAGAATCCTCAGGTGAGAAAAACAATATTGAGTCAAAGTCTCCTACCACTAGAATGTCTGCAACAGCTGTAGCAGTGACATAACTAAGTCATGCTGAAATTTAACAATAAAGAACTATCCACTGTGTATTTCTTTTCATACAATATATCACAACATAAAGACTTATACTGCTAAAGCTTCTAAATATTTTCTCATGCTGTCCTTCAAACTATGAGTTACCTTTACTTTATGTTATCTATCAAACCATTTATATACTTTCTTATGATACCACGTTAGTATTATACTATTTTAACTTATGCATTATTTCTGATAAGGAAAAACTTTAATTTGTAAATAAAGTAACTGAAGGCTGGAGAAATTTGTTGCATAAAATGTGAGTCTGGGAACCCCTTTTAAGAGAAATTTCATTCACAAAAGTATCTCTACTAGCTTTTCCAAAGAATATATCATATAACTTTTTGGAGATTTTCAACCTGTGCTCTGACATTTGTTACCATATGCTTCCCGTCTACAGAATGCTGAATAAAAATATTATTTAACATTTTATTGAGTGCCAAAAACTCTATGGGGCAATGCACAGCTATAAAGACACTCATGCCTCTATCCAATAGGTTTATAATAAAAATTAGATAAACAGTATATAAATTATACCTCAATAAACATAACTGAAAAAAATTAAGCAGCCAAAACACAGGCAAAAAAATAAAGTGCAGTTTACAAGAAACTTAACTGTTTCACAAAGTGATTAACTGACTTGTCTATTCTAGCAAGGAGAGTTGTTCATTCCCACTTTTAAGCATATTTAATCTGGTAACTAAAGAACAAATTAAGTTAGGAAAAAGTGCTTCATCAAAACGTAAGACAGACAAGCTACTTAGACTAATTTCTTTCAGAACAACCCAAGTTTTTAGTATTAAAGAACAAGAAGAAAGAGGCTAGCATAAGAAAAATGTTAGGATAGTAGCCCTATTATTGGGAATTTTATTTCCATTTTTATTTTTTATTTTTTTTTTGAGATTGGGTCTCACTCTGTTGCCCAGGATGGAATACAGTGGCAGGATCACAGCTTACTTTAGCCTCAACCTCCCAGGCTCACCTCAGCCTCCCAAACAGTTGGCACTACAGGTATGCACCACCATGCTCAGCTAATTTTTGTATTTTTTTGTAGAGACAGGGTTTTGCCATGTTGCCCAGGCAGGTTATTTCCATTTTTAATGAGATAATACGTGGTTGGTATAAAGAAGACATTCAATGAATGTCAGTTCTTTTCCTTTCTATCATTGGATTCTCACGAAACCCCTAAAAATTAGCATTATTTTTATCTTACAGATGAAAATTTGAAGGTTCAGAGAGATTCAAGTATGTCCAAGGCCATACAGCAGGTAATTGTTACAGGCAGCATTTAGATCTGAGGCTTTCTGAATGGTCTCCTGCTGATGAACTCTTTCAGGTTTTATACGTCTGAAAAAGTATTCTGCTTTTGTTTTTGAAAGGTATTTTCACTGGGTCTAGAATTCTGGGTTAATATTCTCTTTCCTTCTGTGTTCCAAGGTCTAGCTTGCATTGTTTCTGTTGAGGAGACTGCTGCTATTCTTATCTTTGTTTCTCTGTATGTAATGCATTTTTGTTGTTGTTGTTGTTGTTTTTAGAAACCTAGCTACTTTAAGTTTTTTTTCTTTATTACTGATCTTATGCAATTTGATTATGTTCCTTGGTGTAGCTTTTCAGTGTTTCTTCTGCTTTTGGTTTGTTGAGCTTTTTGGATTTGTGGGTTTACAGTTATTATCAAATTTGGAAAAATTTCAGCCCTTATGTCTTCAAATATTTTTTCTGTCTCCCTGCCCCATCCGTAGTCTTTATATATTTGATCATCTAAAGTTGTCTCACAGCTCACAGTGACACTGCTTGTTTTTCCAGTCTTTTTTTCCCTCTAGGTGTTTCATTTTGAACAATTGCTATTGCTATGTCTTCAAGATCCTTAATCTTTTCTTCTGTAGTGCCACATCTTACCCAGTGAACTTTTCACCTCAGACATGGTATTTTTTATTTCTAGAAATTAGGTCTTTTTTTACATTTCCCACATTACTCTTTAATAGGATTATGTTTTTATTTACCTTCTTGAAATACATAATATATTTAGAAATGCTGTTTTAACATCTTTGTCAACGAATCCTAACATCTGTATCATTTCTAAATCCATTTCTATTAATATTTCTCCTCATTATGGGTTGTATTTTCCTGCTTCTTCGCATGAATGGTTATATATACGTGTGTGTGTGTGTGTGTGTGTGTGTGTGTGTGTATTTATTATTGATTGACTGAGATAGGGTCTTGCTGTGTTGCACAGGCTGGCCTCAAAATCCTGGGCTCAAGCTATCTTCTTGTTTCCACCTCTCAAGTAGCTAGAAACTACAGGCATTTGTCACTGTGCCTGGCTTACTTATTTATTTTTTAACAATGCCTTTCTCAGGTAATGAAAGGTAATTTTTGATTGGATAACAGACATTATGAATTTTATGTTTTAGGTGTAGAATATTGTATTAGTCCATTTTCATGCTGCTGATAAAGACATACCCAAGACTGGGCAGTTTACAAAAGAAAGAGGTTTATTTGGACTTAGAGTTCCATGTGGCTGGGGAAGCCTCACAATCATGGCAGAAGGCAAGGAGGAGCACGTCACATCTTACATGGATGACAGCAGGCAAAGAGAGAGAGCTTGTGCAGGGTAACTCCTTTTTTTTTTTTTTTTAGATGGAGTTTTGCTCTTGTTGCCCAGGCTGAAGTGCAATGGCATGATCTCAGCTCACTGTAACCTCTGCCTTCTGGGTTCAAGCAATTCTCCTGCCTCAGCCTCTCAAGTAGCTGGGATTACAGGCGTGTGCCACCATGCCTGGCTAATTTTGTATTTTTAATAGAGATGGGGTTTCACCATGTTGGTCAAGCTGGTTTTGAATTCCTGACCTCAAGTGATCCACCTGCCTTGGACTCCCAAAATGCTGGGATTACAGGTGTGAGCCACCGTGCCTGGCCAGGAACTCCTCTTTTTAAAACCATCAGATCTCATGAGACTTATACACTACCATGAGAATAGGATGGGAAAGACTTGCTCCCATGATTCAATTACCTCCCACTGGGTCCCACAACACGTGGGAATTCAAGGTGAGATTTGGATGGGGACACAGCCAAACCATATCAAATATTTTGTTTCTCATTATATATTTTCAGGGCTACTCTAATGGCCCTAACTTTACTCTGAAATTCAGTTGGTTACTCAAAAACAACTTGATTCTTTACAAGCTTATTTAGAAGCTTTACTAGGTGAGATGAGAGCAGCTCTTAATCTAGAGCTAATATTGTCCCCAACTGATGTAATATTCTTTTGAGTACTAAAAAAGATGTCCAATTTATTAGAGGCTTTTCCACTGTGATTATTGGGGCTATAAACTATTATTAATCTTATCTGAGTTCAGGAAATGTTCCACTTATTCCTTTCCAGTGGCTTTATCCCTGTCCCTAAGTAGTTTCCTAGCATACTTATGTGGTTCAGTACTTGGCTTAAAAATCAAGGGGAGCCCTCTGCAGATATCCAGTGTGTGTGCTCTATCTCTGTGGAGCTCTGTCTTCTCTCGCACTGTCTCATGCAAATTCTAGCCACCTTGGCTTTGTCTCCATTCAGTTGGGCCACTGGGTTCTTTCTGTTTTGGATCTCCTTCCTGCAGACTACAGACTGGAAGCTATCTAGGCAGAATGCTATGGAAATTGTAGGGATGCCTCATTCATTTTCTCTCAGGGATCACTGCCCAGTATTGTCTAGTGTCTAAAAACTCTTATGTTATATACCTTGTCTGGTTTTTGCATTGTTTGAGGAGGGAGGATAAATCTGGCCACTCTTACTCCAGTACATCCAGCAGAAGTTCAGTGTGGATCCATTTTAAAGTATTACATGCTAAAGGATCCTGCCATATTCAGTAAGTCTGCAATCCTCCATTTATTAGTTTAAAAAAATGTATCAGGACATTTTTTGGACAAGACCACTTGATCAGATATATTAAATGTGTCTTACCTTGTTCTTCACTTTTTTTTTTTTTTTAAGACAGGGTCTCACTCTGTTGCCCAGGCTGGAGTGCAGTGGCATGATCTCAGCTCACTGCAACCTCTGCCTCCCCGGTTCAAGCGATTCTCATGCCTCAGTCTCCCTAGAAGCTGGGACTACAGACACACGCCACCACACCCGGCTAATTTCTGTATTTTCAGTAGAGATGGGGTTTTGCCATGTTGGCCAGGCTGGTCTTGAACTCCTGATCTCAGGTGATCCACCTGCCTCGGCCTCCCAAAATGTTGGAATTACATGCCACCATAAGCCTGTACCAAACATGTACATGTAAAAATATGGTGGCTAAGATGTAGCCACCATGTCCAGCTACATTTTATTTTATGAAGGATATAGTTCTTGATGTATTAAACCATAAACATTCTACTTTACCATAATCTACATTTGACATGCTCTGAAGAATTACCTACTCAGTTCTGAATCCTCCTTTATTTTACATATTCTATATTACTGTAATTTTCTTGCTTTTTGTCTTACCAACTAGAAAGTTCTGTATAGCTAATACATCTTCACTTTTTTTTCCCTGGTCCTCTCTTCCAACCAACAGAGGGCTCTACCATAATGTATAATCAATACATTATGCTAGGATCAGCAACCTACAGCCTATAGGACAAATTCATCCTGCCACCTGTTTTTATAAAGTCTTATTGGAATACAGCAAATGACTATTTGTTTCCATATTATCTATGGTTGCTTTTATGCTACCACAGACAGAGTTGAAGTAGAGTAGCTTAACAGAGACCATACTACTTGGACTTTCATTAAAAAAAATGTTTGCTAGGCTGGACATGGTGGCTGTTAGCCTTAAGATAAGTAAAATGTATATCTTTTGACAGGACTTCCTTCATTCATTGGCAACACAATTTAAAAACCAAATAACTTATATTAATAAAAAGGCACTAAAAGACAAGATAAATAATCAATTTTTTATAAGTTTAGATACCTGCTTATGTAAAATAATGAGAAAGAATTCACTGATCAGTGCTTAAAATTAGATGAAAAGAAGAAAGAAGACCTCAGATGGGGAGAGATCAGCACCCTTGTTAAGTGCTTTTCTAATAATTCCTTCCACTTTGTTCAAATGTGAACCAATGTCCTTTTATATATTTTCCACATCCACATCCCATGGCCCTTCCCAAGTTGTCAAGGTGTGATAATCATTGCCACTATAAGTCTCATCCTCCAGGGCTACTCTAATGGCCGTAACTTACTCTACTCTGGAAGTTTTACAAAATTCACTCTTGAAAAAAAGTAAAAACAAAATGGAAACTCTACATAAAACACAAAAATGAACAAATATACAGGGTACAGTTTTATTTTTTAAACTACTGTGAGTAAAGTGGTAAGAGTAAGGTGTGAGATGTTCTAGATGAATATGAACTTTAAAGAGAGAGCGCTAGTTTTTAGCTATTTTGACTAGAACATATCACAAAAGGTCTACTACTCTTTGGCACTTTTGATTTTTAGAGGGAGAAGAGGGAATAGAACTAGAAATTCCAGTAATATTCACAGTCTAAAATAGTACTGGATAAAATAAAAAAAGAAACTTATAGGACTACATTGTAATTTTTTTTTAATGTAACAAAATGGAGTAAAAACAGAGCAGCATCTACTTTCCTACATCTAGTGAAAAATAAAGGTAATATCCCCCAGGTCAGAATTTTTACCTATGGATAGCACAACCCATCTAAATACTACCAAAAGCCTCTTCAGAGGTAGCAATAGTTGAAAGAAAAAAGATAAGAAAAAAAAATCTTTAATAAAGCTAACATATAAAATCAACAAATATTACCAATAACCAGTATTATTTTCTTCTTTCTTGCCAGCTGATTCATAGTAATTATGTACAGAGTGTATTGTAATGTGGCTGTCTTAGAAACAAATACACCATAGACAAGATTTTTCACAATGGCCAGTGGGAATTAGCAAGGACAGCCATAGAAATAATCAATACAGGTCTCTTAAGTAAAAAACAAAACTACCCCACATCTACAAAGAAGTCAGAGAGAAAAATCTAACATGCTTGAAAAAGAAATTGGCCAAATGTACAAGTTAGACTACACACACACACACACACACACACACACACACACACACACACAGAGAAATAATACAAAACACTAAGTGGAGCATGTAGTAGATGGTGAATAAATACTAAATTGAAAGTAGGTACCACTGCTATATGGAAAAGAAACAGGTTTTAAGAGATACTGAATACTTCTGCAAAGTTCATACTGCATTTAATAATGAAATAGCCAATTATCTTAGGAGCCAATTATCCCAAAACAGAATCAAGAAATGTATCTACCATGTAGACCCTCCTTTCAGAATGTGAGATAACACATTATCCAACCTTAGTGCCTGCTTGTGGTATTCTGTAGTCTCCATGACAAAGAATGAGTTCTGCTTGGGTATCAACAACACAATGGAAATTGAAGGTAATACAGCATTTAGGTGGTTACAAAGTAGTGGCATTTCTGTTGTACCGAACATTATAAAGCGACTGGGCTAACAGATGAGATGTAAAATTAACTTTTTGTTAACAGCCATCTGACTTATGATAAATAATACTACAAATTCCACCTACACTTATCTCAGAAACTTTTCTCACGGGTCACCAACCTCAGTCTTTCTTCTTGACCTTTTTGAATAGGACTTGATCTCATTTTTTCCAGGGAAGAAGGATTTCTGCATAGTGTAACATTTAGAAATATTTATTTAAGATATAAATTGAGTATTAATTCCCTTTTATTCTTTCAGAGATTTAATTTTAACTCCCATCCAAAATTTCTTAGCATCTCCTATTACTTTTCATTTTGTGGTTAAATATTTTTCTTTTAGGTCTTTTGTCAATTTTCCCCATGCACTCTAGCATATTTAATTGCTCTCTTTTGGATCTTCCAACTCCACTGGATAATTTAATACATGAAAAATGAGACTTCATCGATATTTTAGAATTTGAATTTCCCCACCCTTTCCTAGGAACTCTCTTCCCTTCTTTTCTGTTGCATATCTTTATTCCCATTCTCTCACTTTTCTGTTGCTTATCTTATTTGCTACATTCCCTAAATGCAGTCTTTCTCTAAAAGTTCAGTTTTTAACTTTCCAATCTTTTCTCTTTACTTTTTTTTCTCTGGGGTGGGGGGTAACTTCTATTATTCCTTTCCTTTAACATTGTAAGATATCCTGCCTCACTTTCTGTGTCCTTTTGACACTTTCTCTTTCTTCAAGTTCTGTCAAGTCCATTTTATATGCATAAATCCTATAATACCTAAAACTCTTGTTTCCAATCCTACTCACTCAAAACTAGGTCAGGCCTGTATTAATTCTTACTCAGGTTATTGTTGTAGTCTCTTAACCAGTCTCCAGTACTAGTCTCACTCAGTTTGAAGGCATCCTTGCACACAACTGTTAGATTCATCCTCCTAAATATCAACTCTAATTAGCTTTTGCTTGAAAAAACTAACTACTGCTTCCTGATAAAAGTTCCAGTTCCACAGTCTGACTTTCAGAGGTCCTTCGTAACCTGCCCCTACTTTTCCTTTCCAGCCAGATCTTTTACTATTCCCTTATATACGTACCAGGTGCCACTCAAACTAGAATACTTGCTATTCTCTGAACATGCCCCAGGCTTTTTTGCCTTCATGCTGCCTCGCACATGTAGGTACTAAGTGAATTAGAATACCTTCAACCACTCTTGTCAAAATCCTACCCATCCCTCCAGGGTTAGTTCAGCCATCTTTTGCATAACAGAAGTCTTCTTGAATTGTTCATGTTCTCTCCTTTCTCTACCTCCAGGAGTGGCTTTCTGCATTGTAAAAGAATTTGGCTCAAGTTGTAAAGGCTTCTTTTATAACAATTATGTGCAGACTGCAGACACAGTTATTTGTATAGATAGCTTATCTCCTCTACTAGATTATACATTCTTGGTGCAGAAACTCTTTTTCATTTAGTATCCTCAAAGCATCTAACATACTACTCTGCAAAGAATAGATAATAAATCCTTGCTGATTTACCAAATAGCAAGGATAAAGCACTCACCTACATTAAGCAAAGAAGAAAAGAGAAGCCCTCAAATAAATCTGCATTAGATTGACACTGACTTGATTTTTTTGTGGTTCATACTTAATTTTGGGGATCAGAGTTGACTGACTTTAGTGGTCTGAATATTCTTCTATTATGCTATTTCTTATGTTGCATTATAATTTATTTGTACTCTGTTTCCCCCCCACCTAGTTTATCAGCTTCTTCAAAACAAAGTTTTCTATCACATCCTAAAACTGCCTCACACATAGTATGAATTAAGTAAATGTGCATTAGAATGAGTTAATTTGATTATTCTAGTAGTAGAATCTTTGCTTACAAAGGTAAAAAATTTTTCTACTCATATGCATTAACAGTTTCAGGGATGGTAGCAAAGATCTGACTAAAAACTTGGGAAAGTGCTAGTCTGATGTGTTCTATAAGAGTATTTATGCAATTCATATTTTGTGCCATTCCTGCAGTTGTCCTGCTGTGGGAAGTTATCCTGAAGGATTATGGTATTGTTTCATTTCCAATATCAAACAAAATCAGGGAAAGAGATTTTCCTGAAAGAATATTGCATTTAAATCTTTAATTACAGTTGTATTTTCAACGATGTATGCAGTCCAGACATTACTGGTAGATACTGGATATCAAAGAGTACAATAAAGCAGAATAGCAAAGCCAAAGCCAAATGTTTTGCTATGAAAGTAGCAAGAATGGCCAGGCACAGTGGCTCATGCCTGTAATCCCAGCACTTTGGGAGGCTGAGGCAGGCAGATCACGAGGTCAAGAGAGCGAGACCATCCTGGCCAACAAGGTGAAACCCCGTCTCTACTAAAAATACAAAAATTAACAGGGCGTGGTGGCATGCGCCTGTAGTCCCAGCTACTTGGGAGGCTGAGGCAGGAGAATCGCTTCAATGTCGGAGGTGGATGGAGGTTGCGGTGAGCTGAGATCGCACCACTGTACTCCAGCCTGGTGGCTGAGTGAGAATCTTTCTCAAAAAAAAAAAAAAAAAAAGAAAGAAAGTAGCGGAGCCAAGATGGCCAAATGGGAACAGCTCCAGTCTACAGCTCCCAGTGTGAGCGACGCAGAAAACGTGTGATTTCTGCATTTCCATTTGGGGTACCGGGTTCATCTCACTAGGGAGTGCCAGACAGTGGGCGCAGGACAGTGGGTGCAGCGCACTGTGCGTGAGCCAAAGCAGGGCGAGGCATTGCCTCACTCGGGAAGCGCAAGGGGTCAGGGAGTTCCCTTTCCTAGTCAAAGAAAGGGGTGACAGACGGCACCTGGAAGATCGGGTCATTCCCACCTCAATACTGCGCTTTTCCAACAGGCTTAAAAAATGGCGCACCAGGAGATTATATCCCGCACCTGGCTCGGAGGGTCCTACGCCCATGGAGTCTCGCTGATTGCTAGCACAGCAGTCTGAGATCAAACTGCAAGGCAGCAGCGAGGCTGGGGGAGGGGCGCCCGCCATTGCCGAGGCTTGCTTGGGTAAACAAAGCAGCCAGGAAGCTCCAACTGGGTGGAGCTCACCACAGCTCAAGGAGGCCTGCCTGCCTCTGTAGGCTCCACCTCTGGGGGCAGGGCACAGACAAACAAAAAGACAGCAGTAACCTCTGCAGACTTAAATGTCCCTATCTGACAGCTTTGAAGAGAGCAGTGGTTCTCCCAGCACGCAGATGGAGATCTGAGAACGGGCAGACTGCCTCCTCAAGTGGGTCCCTGACCGCTGACCCCTGAGCAGCCTAACTGGGAGGCATCCCCCAGTAGGGGCAGACTGACACCTCACACGGCCGGGCACTCCTCTGAGACAAAAATTCCAGAGGAACAATCAGACAGCAGCATTTGTGGTTCACGAAAATCTGCTGTTCTGCAGCCACCGCTGCTGATACCCAGGCAAACAGGGTCTGGAGTGGACCTCTAGCAAACTCCAACAGACCTGCAGCTGAGGGTCCTGTCTGTTAGAAGGAAAACTAACAAACAGAAAGGACATCCACACCAAAAACCCGTCTGTACATCACCATCATCAAAGACCAAAAGTAGATAAAACCACAAAGATGGGGAAAAAACAGAGCAGAAAAACTGGAAACTCTAAAAAGCAGAGCGCCTCTCCTCCTCCAAAGGAACGCAGCTCCTCAGCAGCAACGGAACAAAGCTGGATGGAGAATGACTTTGACGAGTTGAGAGAAGAAGGCTTCAGATGATCAAACTACTCCGAGCTACAGGAGGAAATTCAAACCAAAGGCAAAGAAGTTGAAAACTTTGAAAAAAATTTAGATGAATATATAACTAGAATAACCAATATAGAGAAGTGCTTAAAGGAGCTGATGGAGCTGAAAGCCAAGGCTCGAGAACTACGTGAAGAATGCAGAAGCCTCAGGAGCCGATTCGATCAACTGGAAGAAAGGGTATCAGTGATGGAAGATGAAATGAATGAAATGAAGCGAGAAGGGAAGTTTAGAGAAAAAAGAATAAAAAGAAACAAACAAAGCCTCCAAGAAATATGGGACTAAGTGAAAAGACCAAATCTACGTCTGATTTGTGTACCTGAAAGTGACGGGGAGAATGGAACCAAGTTGGAAAACACTCTGCAGGATATTATCCAGGAGAACTTCCCCAATCTAGCAAGGCAGCCAACATTCAGATTCAGCAAACACAGAGAATGCCACAAAGATACTCCTCGAGAAGAGCAACTCCAAGACACATAACTGTCAGATTCACCAAAGTTGAAATGAAGGAAAAAATGTTAAGGGCAGCCAGAGAGAAAGGTCGGGTTACCCACAAAGGGAAGCCCATCAGACTAACAGCAGATCTCTCGGCAAAAACTCTAAAAGCCAGAAGAGAGTGGGGGCCAATATTCAACATTCTTAAAGAAAAGAATTTTCAACACAGAATTTCATATCCAGCCAAACTAAGCTTCATAAGTGAAGGAGAAATAAAATACTTTACAGACAAGCAAATGCTGAGAGATTTTGTCACCATCAGGCCTGCCCTAAAAGAGCTCCTGAAGGAAGCACTAAACATGGAAAGGAACAACCGGTACCAGCCACTGCAAAATCATGCCAAATTGTAAAGACCATCGAGGCTAGGAAGAAACTGCATCAACTAACGAGCAAAATAACCAGCTAACATCATAATGACAGGATCAAATTCACACATAACAATATTAACCTTAAATGTAAATGGGCTAAATGCTCCAATTAAAAGACACCGACTGGCAAACTGGATAAAGAGTCAAGACCCATCAGTGTGCTGTATTCAGGAAACCCATCTCACGTGCAGAGACACACATAGGCTCAAAACTAACATCACAATTAAAAGAACTAGAAAAGCAAGAGCAAACACATTCAAAAGCTAGCAGAAGGCAAGAAATAACTAAAATCAGAGCAGAACTGAAGGAAATAGAGACACAAAAAACCCTTCAAAAAATTAATGAATCCAGGAGCTGCTTTTTTGAAAGGATCAACAAAATTGATAGACCGCTAGCAAGACTAATAAAGAAAAAAAGAGAGAAGAATCAAATAGACGCAATAAAAAATAAGGGGATATCACCACCGATCCCACAGAAATACAAACTACCATCAGAGAATACTATAAACACCTCTACGCAAATAAACTAGAAAATCTAGAAGAAATGAATAAATCCCTCGACACATACACCCTCCCAAGACTAAACCAGGAAGAAGTTGACTCTCTGAATAGACGAATAACAGGCTCTGAAATTGTGGCAATAATCAATAGCTTACCAACCAAAAAGAGTCCAGGACCAGATGGATTCACAGCTGAATTCTACCAGAGGTACAAGGAGGAGCTGGTACCATTCCTTCTGAAACTATTCCAATCAATAGAAAAAGAGGGAATCCTCCCTAACTCATTTTATGAGGCCAGCATCATCCTGATACCAAAGCCTGGCAGAGACACAACAAAAAAAGAGAATTTTAGACCAATATCCTTGATGAACATCAATGCAAAAATCCTCAATAAAATACTGGCAAACCGAATCCAGCAGCACATCAAAAAGCTTATCCACCATGATCAAGTGGGCTTCATCCCTGGGATGCAAAGCTGGTTCAATATACGCAAATCAATAAATGTAATCCAGCATATAAACAGAACCAAAGACAAAAACCACATGATTATCTCAATAGATGCAGAAAAGGCCTTTGATAAAATTCAACAACTCTTCATGCTAAAAACTCTCAATAAATTAGGTATTGATGGGACGTATCTCAAAATAATAACAGCTATCTATGACAAACCCATAGCCAGTATCATACTGAATGGGCAAAAACTGGAAGCATTCCCTTTGAAAATGGGCACAAGACAGGGATGCCCTCTCTCACCACTCCTATTCAACATAGTGTTGGAAGTTCTGGCCAGGGCAATCAGGCAGGAGAAGGAAATAAAGGGTATTCAATTAGGAAAAGAGGAAGTCAAATTGTCCCTGTTTGAGATGACATGATTGTATATCTAGAAAACCCCATCGTCTCAGCCCAAAATCTCCTTAAGCTGATAAGCAACTTCAGCAAAGTCTCAGGATACAAAATCAATATGCAAAAATCACAAGCATTCTTATACACCAATAACAGACAAACAGAGCCAAATCATGAGTGAAATCCCATTCACAATTGCTTCAAAGAGAATAAAATACCTAGGAATCCAACTTACAAGGGATGTGAAGGACCTCTTCAAGGAGGGACCTCTTCAAGGAGAACTACAAACCACTGCTCAATGAAATAAAAGAGGATACAAACAAATGGAAGAACATTCCATGCTCATGGGTAGGAAGAATCAATATTGTGAAAATGGCCATATTGCCCAAGGTAATTTATAGATTCAATGCCATCCCCATCAAACTGCCAATGACTTTCTTCACAGAATTGGAAAAAACTACTTTAAAGTTCATATGGAATCAAAAAAGAGCCCGCATCGCCAAGTCAATCCTAAGCCAAAAGAACAAAGCTGGAGGCATCACGCTACCTGACTTCAAACTATACTACAAGGCTATAGTAACCAAAACAGCATGGTACTGGTACCAAAACAGAGATATAGATCAATGGAACAGAACAGAGCCCTCAGAAATAACGCCGCATATCTACAACTATCTGATCTTTGACAAACCTGACAAAAACAAGCAATGGGGAAAGGATTCCCTATTTAATAAATGGTGCTGGGAAAACTGGCTAGCCATAAGTAGAAAGCTGAAACTGGATCCCTTCCTTACACCTTATACAAAAATTAATTCAAGATGGATTAAAGACTTAAATGTTAGACCTAAAACCATAAAAACCCTAGAAGAAAACCTAGGCAATACCATTCAGGACATAGGCATGGGCAAGGACTTCAAATCTAAGACACCAAAAGCAATGGCAACAAAAGTCAAAATTGACAAATGGGATCTGATTAAGCTAAAGAGCTTCTGCACAGCAAAAGAAACTACCATCAGAGTGAACAGGCAACCTACAGAATAGGAGAAAATTTTTGCAATCTGCTCATCTGACAAAGGGCTAATATCCAGAATCTACAATGAACTCCAACAAATTCACAAGAAAAAAACAGCCTCATCAAAAAGTGGGCGAAGGATATGAACAGACACTTCTCAAAAGAAGACATTTTTGCAGCCAAAAGACACATGAAAAAATGCTCATCATCATTGGCCATCAGAGAAATGCAAATCAAAACCACAATGAGATACCATCTCACACCAGTTAGAATGGCGATCATTAAAAAGTCAGGAAACAGCAGGTGCTGGAGAGGATGTGGAGAAATAGAAACACTTTCACACTGTTGGTGGGACTGTAAACTAGTTCAACCATTGTGGAAGTCAGTGTGGCGATTCCTCAGGGATCTAGAACTAGAAATACCATTTGACCCAGCAATCCCACTACTGGGTATATACCCAAGGGATTATAAATCATGCTGCCATAAAGACACATGCACACGTATGTTTATTGCGGCACTATTCACAATAGCAAAGACTTGGAACCAACCCAAATGTCCAACAATGATAGACTGGATTAAGAAAACGTGGCACATGTACACCATGGAATACTATGCAGCCATAAAAAATGATGAGTTCATGTCTTTTGTAGGGACATGGATGAAGCTGGAGACCATCATTCTCAGCAAACTACTGCAAGGACAAAAAGCCAAACAATGCATGTTCTCACTCATAGGTGGGAATTGAACAATGAGAACACATGGACACAGGAAGGGGAACATCACACACCGGGGCCTGTTGTGGGGTTGGGGGAGGGGGGAGGGATAGCATTTGGAGATATACCTAATGTTAAATGACGAGTCACTGGGTGCAGCACACCAACATGGCACACGTATACATATGTAACTAACCTGCACGTTGTGCACATGTACCCTAAAACTTAAAGTATAATAAAAAAAAGATAAAAATATAAAAAGTACAAATAACTATTATACAGAATTATAATACCTAGGCATTTGAAATAAAAATAAAATAATTCTGTATTCATAAGACCAAATAAATATTTTTATTAAAAAATAGAACATGTAAAAAAAAAAAAAAGAAATAACCATAGAAATGGGCAACCAGCAGTCCTCAGGGCTGCTCTGTCTATGGAGTAGCCATTCTTTTATTCTCTTACTTTCTTAATAAACTTGCTTTTGCTTTGCACTGTGGACTTGCCCTGAATTCTTTCTTGTGCAAGATCCAAGAACTTTCTCTTGGGTTCTGGATTAGGACCCCTTTCCTGTAACAGATGGAGCCTAGATTCTGAGCAACTGTGGAGGCAACACCGTATCAGAGCCAAATCCTGTACCTCCTAGGAGAAAAAGTTCTCAACATTGATGCTGACTGTACTTGCAATAAAGTGAGGAGATGACAATGAAAAAAAAATTAAGGGGAAAGCAATATTTAAAGTCAGAATATAATACATAAAGGATGTCCAATCTTTTGGCTTCCTTTGGTCACAATTAAAAGAAAAAGA
Source organism: Homo sapiens (assembly GCF_000001405.40). Lineage (NCBI taxonomy): Eukaryota > Metazoa > Chordata > Mammalia > Primates > Hominidae > Homo > Homo sapiens. The sequence goes on along the minus strand of NC_000010.11, from coordinate 74,568,218 downwards.
ATTGTCTTGGGCCACACATAAAATGTACAAACACTAACAACAGCTGATGAGCTAAACACACACACACACCCAGCAACACCCACCTCATAATCTTTTAACAAAGTTTATGAATTTGTGTTAGGCTGCATTCAAAGCCATCCAGGGCTGCATGTGGCCCATGGGTCATAGTTTGGACAAGCTTGTACTACACTGTAATTGGAATTAAAAAGAGAGAGAATAGGGCCTGGCGCGGTGGCTCAGGCCTGTAATCCCAGCACTTTGGGAAGCTGAGGCGGGCGGATTACGAGGTCAGGAGATTGAGACCATCCTGGCTAACTCGGTGAAACTCTGCCTCTACTAAAAATACAAAAAAATTAGCTGGGCGTGGTGGCAGGCGCCTGTAGTCCTAACTACTCAGGAGGCTGAGGCAGGAGAATGGCGTGAATCTGGGAGGCGGAGGTTGCAGTGAGCTGAGATCGCGCCACTGCACTCCAGCCTGGGCGACAGAGCGAGACTCCATCTCAAAAAAAAAAAAAAAAACAAAAAAAACAAAAAAAACAGAGAGAGAGAGAACAAAAGAAATGGGAAATGTGAAATTTGATCAAAGTCTCAACAAATGGGCACAATTTTAGGCAAAGTTGTTATATGTATAAGAAAGGATAGAGTGGTATGAAAAATGAGACGTGTGTCCTGAGAATAGCAAGTAAGTAGTCCATTTGCCTGGCCCATAAAATATGAGCAGAGGAGTGGAAAGTACTAAGATTTGAAAGGCAGATTTAGTCTGCAATGGGTTAAATGATTGGATTTAATTTATTTAACTATGTGGCTGATAGAAGGGGTGAGATATATTATGGTTTTTGAGGGACATAATTAGGACTATACTGTAGAAAGATTATTTAGCAGCAGTATGCAGACTCAATGTTAAAGGGAAGACAATAAGTGAAAATTCTTACATGGCAGATCAAAAAACAGGTGATAAACATAAAATATTTTAATTTAAATAGTGAAGCATAGAAATGACAAATTCCAAGATACAGTGTAATGAACTTAAATGAACAATCAGCTTGCTCTCCATGTTTCATAAAATAATGAGATAAAAAGAAAGAGTCCTGGACTTGGAATCTAGAAACTTGAATTCCAGTTCTTCCTTTGCCTCTTACTTTACCCCTAGTGTGACTTTGGGCAAGATACAAACTGTTTTTAAAAAATGAGAGGCTAATAACACTTTCTAAAGTCTTTTCTAACTCTAAAATTCAATGACCATAAAAATGAGTTTTTAGGAGGTCTCGTTAAGCAAAACACATATTCACAGAAGTAGAGATTCCATTATGAAATAATTGGTCTAAGTCAGTGAGTAGATTTAAATACCTGTTCTTTTCTACTGCTATCTTTCTATAAAAAGTAAAGTATCTTTTTAAAAGGTAACAGGAAAAGATTAATTACTTGTTTCTAGAAGCCAAAATTCAATTAACTTTTCTCCTCATTCATAGATACCTAAACTCTCATCAAGAAAAACAAATTGTAAAGTATAAAAGTTGGAAAATGTGAATCATCACTAGTATTAAAATCCACATTTAATAATCATGTTGAAGTTCAAACTACTGCTAAATCTTACTATGTTTAAGCACAAATAAGAATTTCTGATTTTATAACTGGCATTTAAATGTATTCAGAAATAGAAACAAAAACCATAAATAGATAAGTGATTATGGTTAGAATGAAAAGAAAGAGAAAACAGGCCCAGGTATGGTGGCTCACGCATGTAATCCCAGCACGTTGGGAGACTGAGGAAGGACTGCCTGAGCCCATGAGTGCAAGACCAGCCTCTCACATAGTGAGACCCTGTCTCTACAAGACATCAAAAACATAGCCGGGTGTGGTGGTGCATGTCTGTGGTCCCAGCTACTCAGGAGGCTGAGGTGGGAGGATTACTTGAGCCCAGGAGTTGGAGGCTGCAGTGAGCTGTGATCGTGCCACTGCACTCTAGCCTGGGTGACAGAGTGAGACTGTCTCCACAAAAAAAAAAAAAAAAAAAAAAGAGAGAGAGAGAAAATAAAAACATGAAGAGGCCAGATGTGAAGGAGAGAAAGAACATAGAAACAAGTTGAAAGTGAATGTACTATGATAATGATTCTGTGTCTAAATTGGGAGGCAAATGCTTATAAATTTATCCTTTGTATCATGCATTGTCTTATTTGATGGGATTTAGAATTAATACCACAATAAAAGATAAGGCATCTGCCACTTATCAGTCAGAAATTATTTCAGCAGCACTTGTGCCAAGTTCCTAAGGAATTTTAGAACATATGGAAAGATGCAACATGTGTCTCAAGATAACAATTTTGTCTTTATTATACAACCAATTTGTATTTTATTTAATTGTTTTAATTTTTATTCCATCTTAATTTTAATCATATTCATTAATCTGAAAAATAAAATTGCAAGTGGGGTTATACTACATTGCTCTATTTCCTAAAGGAAGGTTCATGGTTTTTTTTTTTTTTTTTTTTTTGAGACGGAGTTTCGCTCTTGTTGCCCAGGCTGGAGTGCAATGGCATGATCTCGGCTCACTGCAACCTCTGCCTCCTGGGTTCAAGCGATTCTCCTGCCTCAGCCTCCCCAGTAGCTGGGATTACAGGCATGCGCCACCATGCCCAGCTAATTTTGTATTTTTAGTAGAGATGGAGTTTCTCCATGTTGGTCAGGATGGTGTCGAACTCCCAACCTCAGGTGATCTGCCCGCCTCAGCCTCCCAAAGTGCTGGGATTACAGGCGTCAGCCACCATGCCCAGCTAGGTTTATGGTTTTTTTATTATTATTATTGATATGACAACTTGTTTAAAAATCATAAGTATCATAGGCAGCAATCTTGAGTTGTTAAAATCTTTAACTTTCTCATTAAGTTGTTAGGGGAACAGTTATGCCAATATTGTTTCATGAACTAAAAAAGCACATGTTAAGGATATAGTAGTAATGTTTCAGGAGTGCTACTAGAGCTTGGCTGAATTAGAAGATTTGTGACTTGACTAGGCTCCAACTCCTCCTCTCTGAACACGTTTTTAACTTTCACCAAACTTTCCCAGAGCTTTAAAACTATCCTTTGAATAATTTACAGTCCCAGAAACTATATCCCTTTTTTCTCCATGTTACTAATACTTAGCAATTTTCTCAGGGCCTTTGGGCACAGAATAGGGAAAGAAAAGAGTAAAAAGTCTATCTGGAGATGCCAGGAGAAAATATCCAACACAGAAAGCTATTGAAGCCTTGGCCAAGATGTTCATGTCCTAAGAAGCAACAGAGCCACTGAACTATAAGGGATTATGTGGTTTAACAGTGGACAACTCAGGACAGCCAACATGGACAGAAGATTAGGGTGGGGTGGGGCAGGGGCGATTAATTCTCTGAATGTTTTATTTTGTGTGAGATTCTGGGGGAGGTGAAGGAAAGCACCCCCAAAATGACTTATATTTAATTCTCCAGGAAAGGGATTTAAAATTGGATTATTTCATTTAAGAAAAATAAGATTAAAGTAACTTTTTGCACATGTAAAATTAGGAAGAATGCAAACACACAAAAAACCTACTTCTAACACAAAATAAAGTTATAAATAACTGACTGTATTATAGTATTGTATACAAACGTTAAAAAATAAATATCAAAAACTGTTGAGAAAATGCAAAGAATTTTAAAAAAGGAAACAGGGTTAGTCAGGAAAGGTTTGTTGAGAAAAAGGATTTCTGTGTTGGACCTTGAAAGAAAATTCTAGGAAGAAAAACAGTAAAAGGATAAAAGCAAAATGTATTATGGGATGCTAAGAAAATCATAGGAATTGTGGGCTATCAAAGAGAATAGATGGAAATACCATTAGTTTTCCTGGATTTGAGAAGGTTTTCAGGTTTTGAAAATTAAAAGTAGAATGTAATATAGTGTTTTTCTTTTTTTAAGCCGCCTTCCTTCAAAGCTTGATGGGTGCATTTAACTTAAATCGTCTTTCTGGGGGATTTCTGAGATTCTGGCTCTTTACTCTCAGCAAAGAACTCTTAGAAGCCAAAGACGCATCATTCTCAGTAAACTATCCCAAGAACAAAAAACCAAACACCGCATATTCTCACTCATAGGTGGGAATTGAACAATGAGAACACATGGACACAGGAAGGGGAACATCACACTCTGGGGACTGTTGTGGGGTTGGGGGAGGGGGGAGGGATAGCATTGGGAGATATACCTAATGCTAGATGACGAGTTAGTGGGTGCAGCGCACCAGCATGGCACATGTATACATAGGTAACTAACCTGCACATTGTGCACATGTACCCTAAAACTTAAAGTATAATAATAAAAAATAAATAAATAAATAAAAAAGAAGCCAAAGACGCAGTCACCAGAGAGATGTTTGGGGAAATTGATAAGTAAAACAGGTTGTTTTCTAGACGTGCTTATTTGGAGATTATTATACAACAGTATCCACTAACACAGTGGCTTTCAAGGTTTATGACAGCAATCATGGTATTCATGTTACTTTGCAACTTGCCATATTTAGACATATGTATACATGCATTTATACAATGTACATGCCTATATTTTTAAATCTATTTCATTTAAAAATGCTGATTTTGTTCCCTAAAGTAAAAGTAAGAATATTATTTACAAAATAACATGGCCCTTTGGAACTCAGATTTAAGAAAGTTCCTTGAGGACATTTTATAATGACTAGAATATACCTATTGTATGTGCTCTATGTTTCAGTCCATCCTTTCACTTATCACACATCCACTATATGCTAGGAACTAGTAACACAGAAGAGATTTTTAAGGGAGATCTAACTGAGATATGGAGGCATGGGTGAAGAAAGAATCTCTGAGAAAATATTTGAGACTTAATAAATTAGTGAGAGTAAGATGGGTGAGTAACACTGAACATGATGTAAAAATAGGTCAAGGCAGAGGGAAGAGCATGTACAAACAGTTTGAGGGGACAGGTGAAAGAGCTCAACTGTCTTAAAAACAGAAAGAAGTCAGGTGTGGAGGTGCAAGCCTATAGTCCCAGCTACTTGAGTGGCTGAGGCAGGAGGACCTCTTTAGCCCAGGAATTCAAGGATGTAGTTGTGCTATAATCATGCCTGAGAATAGCCACCGCACTCCAGCCTGGACAACACAGTGGGATGTCATCTTTAAAAAAAATTAAAAATAAAAAAATCTCAAACTGAAAACAGGCCAGTGTGGCTAGGGAGTATTTAGTAGATTTTGAATTTTGTTCTAAGTGAAAACCAAACCAAAACCAAACCAAAATAAAACAAACACCCATAAGACAACACAACACAAAGAAAAAAAATGGTATTTGTTGATTGTAAAACTGAATACAAAATCCAAATTTAATTTTACCCTCAACCTGGTTCACAAGGACAGTTTAAAAGTTACAGAGTACAACAGCTTGTACTTGACACAAAAAACACTGGTTTTATTTTTTGCCAAAGCAGGCATTTATTGAAAGCACATGTACTATATTAAAAAGGATCCTAAATATTTTTGTGCCAGATTTGATAAGGGACCTAATTTATGTTCTGGCATTTAGCTGGAAGCCTGAATTAGTGATACAGCAACATAGTAAAGACTTGATTTTCTCTGTTCTTTTATATGTATATCATATTCACTTGGTCACTGGCAATTCCTCTTAGTACAAACTGCTAAACTAATTTGAAGCAAAGGTTAAAAGTTAGGACAAGGAGAGTAAGACTATCCTTGAAGGAAATATGTAAACTGCTAATCAGTGAAAGTGTTTGCACCCATCCCAATATACTCTTGAATCCATCCCCAAATCAGAAGCTTCTTTGCTTTTCTACTAGCTCCAGTTACCCTAGTTCTGTAGCAAGACTCAGACTCCTAGTCTTCTCATCATCTCTTTCCTTCCCCATATATACTTATTTTTAAAGAGGTCCTTACTCCTTTAAAAATGCCATGTGGTCTTATTTATTTAAAAGGCATTTATTAAGCATCTACTATGTGTTAGGCAGTGGGTCATGAAGAAAAAAACATGACTAATGTCCTTCTACTTCCCCTGTAACTATGTTTTCCACAGTAATGTTGGTGTTTCCCTGTCTCACTTTTCTACTAGATTGTCATGCTCACCACTCTATCAAGAGAAGTGCTTGGTACATAGCAGGCATTTAAATATTTTTTGAATTAAGAAATGACTTTTAGGGACCTAGAGAAGGCGAGAAGGTTGTATACGTGCTCAAGAGCACCAGATATAGACAGTTAAGAATACAATCTCACAATCAAATTTCACTTAAATGTAACTCTAGACCGTCATATTAGTTGGTAAACTCTAGGAATCCATTATAGAAAATTACAAGGCAAAGTTAGGTGAGCCCTTTGAAAGAGAGCTTAGGCTTTCCCTGAGCTGAGGGACTCTAAACAGCTTATGCCCATGGGTTTCTAGCCTGCTTTCCTCTTGACTGGGCTTTGGACTCGCTTAGCCAGCCTCCATACTTCCATCATCCAATTCCTTGTAACAAATCTCTAAATCTATATTGTCTACTGGTTCTGCTTCTCTGGTTTAACATGGACTCATATAATGATGTTATAAACAGTGAACATCTTAAAATATTGTAACTATTTGTATTGAAAGTACTCATCAATTTCAATGAAATGAATAGATTCAGGGATTAGGAACACATACATTAGACAAATAAAGTTTACTTTTAAATAAATGTAGGTTATATTGATGCCTGATCAAGACAGATAAAGTCTACATTTAAATAAATGAACGGTTATCTTGATGCCTGATCCCTTGATTCATATTCTTCATCATCTTCCCTCACCTCAGACTCCTAGTCTTTTCATTGTGTCTTTCCTTCCCTATCCAAAACAAATGAACAAAGAATCTTAGCCTATCACACTGTGCTATCAGGTTTGACAACATCTAGCAGGCTAAAATTTCCAGGAGGTACTTCTCTTTAATAACGGTGAAAGCTTTAACAAGAAGGAGTAACTGGTGGAATAAGCAAGAAAATAAATATATTCTGGCAGACAGATTCACAAACTCACAGATGACCACTTACTCCATTTGACTAGTAAAACTGGCCACTCTCAGTTTTTTGGATGATTTCATTTTGCATTCTAGGAATGACTGCAGCCAAAGCTCTTCGACCAGTAACATGTCCTCAGCAGATAATACTGCTCACAGAAGAGACTGACAATTTTGTTGTTCTGTTTTGTTTTGGTTTGGAGAGGGGGGTCTTTACATATTGTTGAGCAATTATCATTTGTTTTATTATTTACCTTTGGATGTACTTATGCCAAACATTCCAAACTAGATTATGAGCTCTTTAAAAATAGGATAATAGCTCGCACCTTAAAAAAATCCTACCACCTCTCTCTTTCTCTTGCAAGAGCTTAGCAATAAAAACAGGTACCCAATAAACATTTACTGATTTTGTAATTTGTAGAACAGTATGTAGAATGAGGCCAACTGTGATTTGGCTTTTATCTAAAGGAATTTTTTCTGTTGGGTGAAATGCTACTAGCTATGCTTCTCAATACTATAACTTGGAAAAATGTACACATTTTAGCCACAAAACTAATATTTATAAATATAAGGACACATAAAAGACTAAATTAACAAAATTTTAGGAAGGAACAAACTGTTACATGTTTTTACTATTGCTGTACATGTTACATGCTACTATGACTTTACAGCAATATTCAGAATTAGCTGCTAATCATCCTAGAGAATTTGGTCTGCTGCTACGCTAAAGCATCATTGTTGCAAATAAGATTCTTCTTAGATTGTACAGTCAGCAATGACCCATCATCTAAGATACTTGGTACACTAGGACTCAAATGATTAGCTTCTGTAAGTGAATGAATGCATAAATTAGACCCATATGAAACACATCATCTGATATTACTAAATAAGGTAAAGGCTAGAAGGGATAAAGGACAAGACTAACAAATATGACTAAATACTAATAGAAAAAGTTCCATATACAAAAAAAGCACCGAAAATAAAATCAACAGACAGGCTGGGTATGGTGGCTCATGCCTGCAATCCCAGAACTTTGGGAGGCCAAGGAGGGAGGATCACTTGAGCTCAGGAGATTGAGACTAGTCTGGGCAACATAGGTCCTTTTTCTACAAAAAAATTTTTTAAAAAAATTATCTGGGCATGGTGGTGCGCACTTGTAGTCCCAGCTACTCAGGAGCCTGTGGCCAGAGGGCTGCAAGGTTGAGGCTACAGTGAGCTGTGATCATGCCATTGCACTCCAGCCTGCACGACAAAGCAAGATCCTGTCTCAAAAAAAAAGTCAATGGACAAACTGCAAGAAGTATTTACAAGTAAGGATTTATTTCCCAAATACAAAGGAAAAAGAAAAAAAAAAACAACATGAAAAAACTTAGTTGGAAAAATTGAACCAACCAAAAGAAAAAGAAAGCTAGGCAAACAAGGAGTTAAGAGAAGAGGAAAATATAAATGCACTATAATATGAAAAGATATAGAATTACAACATTACCTCTAAAACTGCAAATTGAAACAATAAAATACCATTTTAAATATATCAGTTTGGCAAAGCTTAAAAAGACATTTAAACAGAGAATATGATTTGGTAGAATCCCCTGAAGGGGCAGTTTGGTAAAATGTATCAAAAGTTAAATTTTCCTTTACTAAGAATTGGCAGTTCAATTCTGGAGATTGAGCCTATAGAACTATTTACACAAAAGTACATAAGACATATTACTACAGAACTATAATAACAAAAACCCAGAAAACAACATAAAAGCTTTCAATAGAAGAATAAACAATGATGTATTCATATAATACCACTCTTATACAAAATAAGGCAGATAGATAAGTTTGTACTACTAGGAAAAGAGATCTAGCTATTTTATGTGAGAAGATACAAAACAGAATTAAAGTATGATTTCATTAAAATGAGTGTTTTGGCCATCAGGTCCTAGTGCTGCTGGCTCCGCCTGGTCCCCACAACCCAGGTTGCGTGTAGTCTGCCATGCCTGGGCAGCTGGGCCAAGGAATGGAGGTCAGTGGATGAACAGCGTCAGGGAGCAGTGCTGACACACAGCAGGGTGGCAACTGCAGGCCCCCACAACACCAGCTTCCAGGGAAGCCCAGAGCATGAGGCTGCAGGCCTGAGAGGGAAGAAGCCAGACTGCCATGGTGTGAAGGTATGCAGACTGTGACATCCTATTGGGTTCAGGGAATGCATGGGACCTATGAGGCTTGAGTTCTGGATCATGAAAATCAAACATTCAAATGTTTCAGCTTCTGTTTACTTCAAAGCCTAAAGTTAGTCCTAAGTCTTCCTGAGACAGATGAGGGAGGAACCCTTGTCTCTGAAGCATCAGAAGTCCAGCCCGGCCTCACTAGGGTAAAATCAAGGTGCATGCAGGGTTGATTTCTTTTGAAGCTCCAAGGGATAATCTTTTCTTGCCTTTCTAGCTTCCAGAAGTGCCTGCATCCTTTGGCTCATGGCCCATCCCCACTTCAAAGCCAGCCAAATTACTTTTCAGAAACCAAGTGTATTAGCCTGTTTTCACACTGCCATAAATAACTACCGGAGACTGGGTAACTTAAAAAGAAAAGAGGTTTAGTTGACTCATAGTTCCACATGACTGGGGAGGCCTCAGGAAACTTATAATCATGGCTGAAGGTGAAGGAGAAGCAAGGTGCATCTTACACAGTGGTAGGAGAGACAGAGAGCACGAGCAGGAAACTGCCACACACTTTTAAACTATCAGATCTTGAGAGAATTTACTCCTGTCATGAGAACAGCATGGGGAAAACTGCCCCCATGATCCAAGCACCTCTCGCCAGGTCCTTCCTCCAACATGCCAGCATACCCACCAGATAGAAAATGATGAGCTGGGCACAGTGGCATGTGCCTGTAGTCCTAGCTACTCAGGAGGTTGAGGCAGGAGGATTGCCTGAGGCCAGGAGTTCGAGACTGCAGTGAGCTATGAACGTGCCACTGCACTCCAGCCTGGGCAACAGAATGAGACACTTCTTTTAATAAATAAATTTAAGAAAACAGAAAAAAGAAAATGTCAACTGCTGTCACATAGACCTTTGATAAAGGGAAACTGAAGACTGAACTCTGACTGCTGCTCTTTGTTCTAAATTGCTTCCTGAGGGGCCTGGAGAGAGTCACACCTGTGGGCTATCAATTTCCTAAACTGGTCACTCTGACCCAGTGCATCGTGGCTTGCTCTCATACCTTGACCCTGACATAGCACCCCATAATGATTAACAGGTTTCCTTATCCTAACTAACCTATGTTAAGGCCAAACCTCAACACTCCTTTCTGCTGACCCCAAGTTTTTAGACAAAGCCTTTCTTCCTTAACCAACTGCAAATCAAAGAATCTCCTAATCCATTGATGACCTGTAAGCCCCCACTCAAAACCTTACTCCTTTTTGAGCCAACCCATGTATAACCTCTATGTATTGATTAACAATTTTGCCTGTAACTTCTACTTTCCTGAAATGTACCCCTGCCTTTAAAAACCCATGCTTGTAAGCCAGCAGGGAGGTTGGGTCTTAAGCATGAGCTGCCCATCTTCCTTGCTTGGTGCCCTACAATAAATGCCCTTCTCTCTCTTGCGGCAATAAAATAAAATGAGTATTTTAAATACTTTTTACAATAAAATATGTCTAGAAGGACATATTTTAAAACTAATAACAAAGATTGAGATGTGGTGGAATTATGAAAGAATTTTCTCTCTGCATTATCTGTTTCTATGATGTCCAGATTTTAAACAATGACCTAGAAAAAAGAAATAACATTCAACCATAAGATTACAATAACATCTCTGGCCATTTATTCTACTTTGTTGCAAATTATATAGACACAGAAGTATCCAATATTACATAGTTTATGTAGTATATAAATGGTTTTTAAATTATAACTGAGATGAAAGGGTAGATAAAAATATTACACAATCAACATATTGCCCCCATCAGTAGTCAAATATATATGCCTTTTTAGCTTCCTAAATTTACTAATTTGTGTTTGAAGACCTATGAATCACTTCTTACACGTTTCAGTCAAGAGAATAAAGCCCTGGTTTCCTCTACTATATATAAAACAGTTGTTCCTAGTAGTTTCAATAAAGAATATTTAAAATTTTGAATTTGTAGTGCCACTTGACCATAGGTATAGTATAGCCAAAAGCTCACATTGAAATTTATTTTGCTTATTAATGGTTAGAAAGAGTTAGCACCATTCCCTAATATGCCAGTGCTTGGACTGTTTCAAATAAGTATCTGGTAAGAGTCACAGTAAGAGGGGTATGTTCCTACTTTATTTCTGGAGGTCTGACAGCCTACAACACACTCTAAATGTGATAGTAAGGCATAAATACGGCCTGATACCACCAGGCACTGAAATCTGAAGTCCTTTTCTATAGATAAACTGCTATATAACCAATGCATTTTAAAACCTTACACAACAATAATGGACATAAAAGGAACTAATAGCATGCCTCCAGTTGTGCCTGGCATCTTCCTTTCCTCAAATTCTAAAACAGAGTCCTATATTTTTAAAAACTTGAAACATTAAGGGAGACAGTAGGAGAAAAGCTAAGATTGGTTAAGAATTGCTCAGTAAGACTTAGAAAATGTGTCCATGAATGCTATATATGCCTCTCCCACCAATCTTCTAAGTGGCACTGCTATTCCATAGACAATCTATGGCTAAATATACAACAGCAGAGTCCCTGGTGGTCAAAGCTAGTGAAACTGTTCTTTTAGCTCAGTGGCAAATAACAGTACAAGAGAAGCTAGAGACTTGAAATATATTACTGCCAATTGCTTTTTACTTTGAAAGCTTTCTAAATCAATGATAAGCTATCTGCACTGAGAAGGTTATGGAATAGCCTCAAGTTGTATATGCAGTCCTTACGTAGAAAATAAGCAGAGCTCATATGGCATATTGCTGTTCTCTATTTTAGAACTAGCACAGGAACCATGTGATGTGTTCATTGCTATGGTAACTACATTTCAGTAGTGAAAAGGAGAGCAAATGGGCATGTAAAACATGTATAAGTTGTCAATATATAAGTAATTGCTGCCCCGGAGCTGCAATAACAAATTTTATTGATGTATGACTTATTAGAATAAAAATCTACTATTTATATCTTTAAAAGTGGCATTAATAAACCTTCACTCCTTTTAATGCCTTCCCCATTTAAGAAAATAAGTGAATAGTGTCTTTCATCCCAGTTTGCTTCTTAGAGAACTGCTATTATTAGAGACCTAAAAAGTATATGCTATGTCTCATGTGACACAAGAATGAATGGCGTCTCAGATGTAGTCAATAGGAAAATTGCTCTGCCTAGTCTTTTCCAAGGGGTTGAGTCTACTGTTAGGACCAACTCAAGTTCTGAGGTTGATTACATGGGGGGAAATCTCTGATTTTGCATTGAATTATCTCAACCTTCTAGGTGCTTTCTGTCCAGAGCAACTGAGAAACAGGATACTCCCAAGACATGATCATCCTTGATTACTTTTAGATCAGTCTCTGATTGTCTTGCATTTTAATAAGATATTCATAACAGTATACATTTAACTTTAAACTTTCTGTATGAAGCCACTTAGATTTTTTTTTTTTTTTTCGAGACAAGGTCTTGCTCTGTATCCCAGGCTAGAGTGCAATGGGATGATCATAGATCACTGCAGCTTCGAACTCCTGGGTTCCAGGGATCCTTCCACCTTGGCCTTCCAAAATGCTGGAATTATAGGCATAAGCCACTATACCTGGCCAGGATAGAAATCTTAGTAAGTTTTTCTGACAATTCTCTCTCTCCCCCACTTCCATCTATAATTCTGGCTTATGGCACTGCTAGCTGGATCTGACACCTATGACATAAAAAAAAACAACAAACAGTTAATCAGTTTAATCAGTTAAATATAGAAAAAGAAAGACCAGCCCTTAACATAAGTTATATTATTATTGTTATTATTATTGAGACAAGGTCTTGCTCTGTTGCTCAAGTGGGAGCACAGTGGCATGGTGATGGCTCACTGCAGCCTCAACCTCTGGAGATCTGAGACTACAGGCATGGGCCATGCAGGGCTAATTTTCTTTTTTTTGTAGAGACGGGGTCTCCCTATGTTGCCCAGGCTGGTCTTGAACTCCTGGGCTCAAGTGATCTTCCTGCCTTGGCCTCCCAAAGTGATGGGATTACAGGCGTGAGCCACCGTGCCCAGCCTAACATAAATTATTTTTTAAAAGTTAAAATCTATTCCAAATTTCACATTATATCTTAAACCTGTAGTCATATTAACTGAATTGCTTACCACAAAGACTATTACAGTATGGTTATATATAAAATAAGCTACATTTGCATATATACCAAATCATATTTTTATAAATAAATGAAGAACGATATTCTGTGGGAAAGAAAACACTGCTTCACTACAACAATTTTTTTTTTTTTTTTAAATAGAGACAAGGTCTTGCCATGTTGTCCAGGCTGGTCTCAAACTCCTGAGCTCAAGCGATCCATCTGCCGTGGCCTCCCAAAGTGCTAGGATTTCAGGCATGAGCCATTGTGCCTGGCCACAACAAGAAATATTATCAAAATGGACTAGTGAAAAAAGAAACCAACAATAGAATTGCAGCTATTATTTATAGTCAATGACAATGTTCTAAGCTTTACCATTCTTGTAATTTGGTATTAATTTTGTCCTGGCACATTTTTTAAAATTGTAATACCTTTCTAATTTAGAAAATATTGTATTGGAACTTAAAGAAACATAACCCATTAAATAAACAGGATGTATTTGCAATTATTATATATATAACTATTCATGATATACATATGTATACACCTACTAGGACTACATATATAAGGGATATATGAAAGGAAATGAAAACCCCAAAGTCAGAATAAGCATTAGCTCTGCAGAGGATTGGCAGGATCTTCAAATGAGGAGGGAGGCAGAGGATATACTTTGTAATACACATATGTTAGACATATTCTTTGATATATGAAATATTTCATAATAAAAAAAGGACAGGAGGGAAAAAGAGTACATTAATGTATAATTACCCTTTCATGGGAAGAACATCAGTTTCCATTTTATCACAAGAAAGAGTATGAGAACAGAGTATAAGAAGCTACCATGGGAAATCACTTTGGTTTTACTCAATATAAAAGCATATGCAATAAGGCAAAAGATTCACCTTCTTCATGAAGTTTCTTTAGCCAATTTGTTTAAATAATCTTTTCACAATTTATATGTCATATATAAGCATATGTTAAATAGCATTAAATAAAATTATAATTATTTTTTCTCAAAATAGAGATGTAGGATTTACTGTTCTTTTTAAAATGGTGAGATTTATTAGTAGAGATGTTGGGTTGACTTGCTTTTGTAGCATTTTGCATTCTTATTACTGAGGTATGATCACATAAAATACGATGTACGGATCTTAAATGGTTATCCAAAACAAGACATAGAACATTTCTATAATCCCAGAAAGTTTTCTACTGTCTCTTACCAGTCAATCCCTATACCCCCTAACAAAAAGGAAACTACTTTCTGATTTCTATTATAGACTGTTTTTGTTTGTTTGAATGGTATAATGTAGAACACAAATACTGTTTTGCATCTGACTCTTCTTGTTCAACATAATGTTCCTGAGATTTATCCATGTAGTTGGGGGTAGTAGTAGTTCATTTATTTTTATTGCCCAGTAGTGTACTGTTAAATGAATACATAGGCCAGGCGCGGTGGCTCATGCCTGTAATCCCAGCACTTTGGGAGGCCGAGGAGGGCAGATCATGAGGTCAAGAGATCGAGACCATCCTGGCCAACATGGTGAAACCCCATCTCTACTACAAATACAAAAATTAGCTGGGTGTCGTGGTGCGTGCCTCTAGTCCCAGCTACTTGGGAGGCTGAGGCAGGAGAATCGCTTGAACCTGGGAGGTGGAGGTTGCAGTGAGCAGAGATTGCACCACTGCACTCCAGCCTGGTGACAGAGTGAGACTCTGTCTCAAAAAAAAAAAAAAAAAAAAAAAAAAAAACACAATGTGCTGAAAAATTGTCTTGTTAATGAACATGCCTGTTTGCTGCTATGAATCTTCTTGCACAACTCTTTTTGTGGATATATGTTTTTGTTCTTCTCAGGTAAATGACTTGCTGGATCATAGGGTAGATGTACGGTTAATTTTTACCAGGAAAAAAAAAATAAAAAACTACCATACAGTTTTTCAAATGTGTGGTCCCACTGCATGGTCTCACCAGCAAAGAATGAGAGTTCCAGTTGTTCTGCATCCTTGTCAACAATTAGTAGTCCTTTTGATTTTAACCATTCAAGTGGATGAGTGATGGGTCAGTATCTCACTGTGATGTTAATTTGTGTTTCCTAATGATTAATAATGTTCATCCTCTTTTAGTGTGCTTATTTGGCCATTAGATTATTTCCCTCTATGAAGTGTCCAAGTCTTTTGCCCAATTTTTAAAAATTATGCTATTTGTCTATTGATTTGTCTTATTATTGATTTCTGGATACAATCATTTGTCAGATACATGAATTGTAAATGTTTTCTCCTAATCTGTGGCTGGACAATTCATTATCTTAATGGTATCCTTAAAAAAAAAAAAAAGCTTTATTAAGGCATTCATTTACACACTATAAAATATGCTTTCAGTGTATAATTCAATGCTTTTGTGCAAATTTTGTGCAAACATCACCACAATCCAGTTTTAGAACATTTACATCACCCCCAAAAGATACCTCCATGCCTATTTACAGTCAATCCCTCTTCTACCCTCAGTCTACTATTTGAACTGCCTTAACCATAGGAGACCTTTTGAATTAACAAACCCTTTTGAAAATGTAAGGTCATTTAAAAATAAAGAACTACAAAATGTTTTAAAATCTCAAATAAGTGCTGACAGCAGTGGCTTATGAAAACATTTTTTTTTTGGTTAGGTTTATCCACCACTTTTTAATCTTTTCTATCAATATAATCAGTGGAAAGGGCTAAGACATTTCACTATTTAATCAGGACAAATGTGGCATATTTCATAACTGGCTGTGAATTAACAGAAACAGTTGGGGAAAACCAAGTTTTACTACCCACTAAAATGATCCCAAAATATGTATACAGTTGGCCCACTGTATCTGCATCCACATTCAACCAACTATGAACTGAAAATATGAAAAAAATCCAACAATAAAAAATAATAATAATAATACAAAAAACCATGGTATAGCAACTATTTACATGGCATTTACATTGTATCAGGTATTATAAAGAATCTAGAGATTAATATTTAAAGTACATGGGAGTATATGCATAGGTTATATGCAAATACTTCACCATTTTATGCAAGGGACTTGAATACTGGTATCCTGTGTATGTGTGAGAGGGGTCCTGAAACCAATCCCCTGAAGATACCAAGGGAGGACTGTATATTATATGCATGAATCTATAAGGTATGTACATTTACTAAGTAAATGGCATAAAATGAGAACAAATATGGCCTCAAAATATTTTCTGCCTTCAGTTAAATATAGGGTTCTCTATTCTTAGTATTGGTTATAGGGAAAGAAATTATGTACAAACATATTTTCTTCCACTAGTCCTCTGTGCTGAACTTCTCATAATTCTTAAGCCCACTTTATATTTTGCCTTTTCACTTTCACAATGTCTTCTGGGGAAAGGTCCTCAATTTTGACACATCCAACTTATTTTTCCTGAAAAATTGTTTTTTCCTAAGGCTAGTCAAGTAAAGCAGTGGAAGTGGAGAAGGAACAAAGAAATCTGTAACTGGCTGTGATCAATTAGTTGTAAATACCACTGCATTTGGACCAGACTATATTTTCTTTATTGTTAACATTTTTAAATTCTTTGTAAGAAAGCTTTGCCTAACCAAGACCATGATATTTTCATACGATTTCTTCTAGAGGTGTTATTGTTCTATTTTACATTTATGTACAATCATATAGAATTAATTTTGGTGTGTGGTATAAGGTAGGAGTTAATTTTTTCCATATGAATATCCACTGATCCCAATACTATCCTTTCTCCTCTATATCCCAGTGGCATCTTTGCTGTAACTGTATGACTGTATGTGTGTGGGTCTGTTTTCTATCCTTTGTCTATTAGTACATCCTTGAGTCAGTACCACACTGTCTTAACTACTCTTGTATACAAGCTTGTCTTCATCTAAAAAAAATTTTACTTAAAAAATAGTTCAGAGCTGGGTATGATGGTGCATGCCATCCCTGTAGATCCAACTACTTGGGAGGCTGAAGCAGGAGGATTGCTTGAACGCAGGAGTTCAAGACCACCCTGGACAACATGGTGAAACCTGCAACATAGCGAGACCTTGTCTCTAAAAAGTAACTCAATTACATTTGAGCATAGCATATGATTATAGATATTATAAACTAAGATTCAAATGAATATTAATAAGTAAAATGATATAAATCAATTAAAATTAAAATTACAAGTACTGGTAGGCCTATATTCTTTAACTACCAAGAAAATGAAATGTCTTTAAGATTGATTGTTGGACTGTCTTGACTACCTACTATACCATGTCAACCCACATTTACTATGCCCCTATTCCAATCTACCAAACACTACTAGCCAGCTGTGTCAAAGAACAGATCCAGTGATACTACCATGCTTACTTAAAAACTTCCATTATTTCCTATCACTGCTGGAGGGGAGAGGCAAAACCAGAGGCAGGGAGAGCAATTATGAGACTACTGTAATAATCTGGGCAAGTGATAATGGCATCATGAACTAGAAGGGAAGAAGTAGAGGTAGTAAAAGGTAGTTAGATTTGCAATATATATTGAAGGCAGAGTCAAAAGTGATTGGGTTCTCGGCTGGACGTGGTGGCTCGTACCTGTAATCCCAGTACTTTGGGAGGCTGAGGCGGGAGGATCGCCTGAGGTCAGGAGTTCGAGACCAGCCTGGCCAACACAGTGAAACCCTGTCTCTACTAAGAATACAAAAATTAGCTGGGCATGGTGGTGGATGCCTGTGATCCCAGCTACTTGGGAGGCTGAGGCAGAAGAATCACTTGAACCCGGGAGGCAGAGGTTGCAGTGAGCCAAGATCACGCCACTGCACTGCAGCCTGGGCGACAGAATGAGACTCCATCTCAAAAAAAAAAAAAAAAGTGATTGGGTTCTGATTTATGCTAACATGTGACAATGGTTATCAAAGCTCCCTGACTGCAAATCATTAGACATCTATCCCCGACCTAATATTGCCACAGAAGGTCTAAGGACCCAAGAATGACAAGTAGGCATCATAAACTTCTTTAAGAGGGTCAAAGAATCAGGAAATCGTCTTTTATGTGCTCATGGCATATCTATAGCTATTAAAAGCCCCATTATAATTTCAATGAATCAACATGTCAATAATTAACGCCTGTGTATATTTTACATACATGAAACAATAGGGGATAAAAGCAAATTGAAATACCCCCAGCTCACTAAAGAATTTACGATCTAGGCCAGGTGCAGGGCTTATGCCTGTAATCCCAGGATCTTGGGAGGCCGAGGTAGGCGGATCACTTGAGCCCAGGAGTTTGAAACCAGCCTGGGCAACATGGCAAAACCCCATCTCTACACAAGATATGAAAAATAAGACAGGAGTGGTGATGTGCACCTGTAGTCCAAGCCACTCAGGAGGTTAAGGTGGGAGGATCACCTGAGCCTGGGAAGTTGAGACTGCCACTGAGTGGTGATTGTGCCACTGTACTCCAGCCTGGGTGATGTGAGTGAGACCCTGTCTCTAAATAAATAAATAAATTAATTAATTTACAATCTAGTAAGTAAACTAAATTGCACATATAAAAAGATTTTAAAAGATGTATAAGTGTAATAGTCCAAAGAGTGTTCTATAAATTCGAGGGAAAATTAGTGAATGAATGAAGATTTCAAAGAAAAGATTGGATCTATCCCTAAGACACAACACCATGTACATTTATCTTGATCAGGTTCTTTCAAGAATACCCCCTCACTGTGTGTGATTTCAGAATGTAAGTATTATATACTTTTCCCTTACAGTACTCATATTTATAAATTGAATGATTAAAAATTCAATTTTATAAGTTGTACGCTATAATTGAATTGAAATTTATTGACTATTAAATGAATAATTGAATTATAAATTGAATGTCTGCCTCTAATACAGACTATAAAATCCATGAGGGTAGAAGCCATGTCTGTTTTTGTTCTCCAAAGTATCCTGTGCATGTGGCACATAACAGTCACTTAATGAATCATTATAAAATAAATAAGGGAAGGCAGGAAGTCCAAATTCTTCTGCCAGGTTTTCCACTTTCATGGAAATTTTATCTTTATCTACTTAGTTACAACAGGTAATCTTTGTCCCAAGTTGCCTGGCTTTATTTATAGTGCAAATTCATTTACTCGTTCAACAAATATTTATTGAGTGACTACAGTGTACAGATTGTTTAAGGGATCGGGGATACAGCAGTGAATGAGACACAAAGTCTTTATCTTTATGGAGACTATTTCACATAAACTATGTTCACTCTTGTTTTGGAGGTAATCTCAACCATTCCTTTTGTGTAAAACATCTTCTTTATTCCCTCTCTTTATCTCTACCATGAAGTCTTCCCGAATACTCAAACCACTGGTAGGGTTGCCAGATAAAATACATGATGCTCAGTCATATTTAAGTTTCAGATATGCAATGAATAATTTTTTAGTATAAGTATGTCCCAGATATCGTGTGTCCCTTCTGAAATTCAAATTTAAATGGGCATCCTGTATTTTTATTTGCTAAATCTGGCAACCTCTTTATCTGGCAATTTTCCCCTTTTCCAAATTTCCATTCTAATTGTATTCAGAATCAAAAAGATTAACATTTAATTATCCTCTTCTGTAGGATTTTTGTTTTGTTGCTTTATGTTTTAACAAATACTTGATAGATTCAGAAATTAAAATTACAACAAAGATTTATTTACAAAGTTTATTTCCCAATTGTATTTGCAATACTGAAAAGAAAACAAACAGTAAAAATTTCCAACACTAGAAGACTAATGAAAATAAATTATATTATACAGCAATCCAAAATTATAATTGACATAATTAAAGACATTGGAAAATGTTGAAAATATATTAAGTGGCCAGGTGTGGTGACTCACGCCTGTAATCCCAGCACTTTGGGAGGCCAAGGCAGGTGGATCACAAGGTCAGGAGATCGAGACCGTCATGGCCAACATGATGAAACCCAGTCTCTGCTAAAAATACAAAAATTAGGCCGGGCGCGGTGGCTCACGCCTGTAATCCCAGCACTTTGGGAGGCTGAGGCAGGGAGATCACCTGAGGTTGGGAGTTCAAGACCAGCCTGACTAACATGGAGAAACCCTGTCTCTACCAAAAATACAAAATTAGCCGGATGTTGTGGCACATGCCTGTAATCCCAGCTATTCGGGAGGCTGAGGCAGGAGAATTGCTTCAATCCAGGAGGTGGAGGTTGTGGTGGGCCAAGATGGCGCTATTGCACTCTTAGCCTGGGTAACAAGAGCAAAACTCTGTCTCAAAACAAAACAAAACAAAACAAAAAATTAGCTGGGCATGGTGGTGCGCGCCTGTATTCCCAGCTACTTGGGAGGCTGAGGCAGGAGAATCACTTCAATCCAGGAGGTGGAGGTTGCAGTGAGCCGAGATTGCACCACTGCACTCCAGCCTGGTGACAGAGCAAGGCTCTGTCTCCAAAAAAAAAAAAAAATAATAAAATAAAAATAAATAAATAAATAAATAAATAAATATATATATATATATAAAGTGGGAAAAATGATGTAAAATCTATTTCAATTGGTTAAGAATTTACATACACAGAACAGTTGACAACACTCTTTATAAATGCAATGGCATGAAGGAGAAAGATCAAGGAACTCCAGATTAAGGAAACCAAAGAAACATGACAAGTTAAGGCAATGCATGATCCATGATCCTGGAAAACAAAATCACTAGAAAGAACATTCTTGGGACAGCTAGAAAAATCTGAATATGTACTATGGTTAAGCACATATATTTAGAGAGACAGAAAGAGAGAAAAAGCAAGAATGCTCAAAAGTGTAGTAGGAGAGAACTCTGTACTCTTCTTATAATTCTTTCCTAGATTGTAAATCATTTCAAAATAAAAAGTGTGTGGAATAAAAATAAATATGATAAAAACAAATAAAAATGTGTGGGAAAAACCCTACAAGGAAACACAGGAAAAATTATAGAGTAGTTAATGCTGGGTGATATGACACATGTTAATTTTAATTTTTTCTTTTGCATGTTTTTGTATTTTTAACGCTCTACAATGAGCATGCATTGTTAGAGTCAGAATTTTTTTTAAAAAATCGCTTAAAGGTACCTTGATGAAATGTATAATCCATGAATCTTTGTCAATTTTGATGTCTATAAACCTCCAGAATAAGAAATTATTTTTAATGTTTTACTAAATAATCATTATATAAAACACTCTTCTCAACATTTTTTCCAACTGAATACATTCCCAATTATTTTCCTAAGAGGTACCAAAAATGAATATCAAATAAGTTTTTCCATCTGCCCTACTATATAAAACACTCAAGAGACTTATAAGTAATTTTTAAATGATCTAACTTAAAATTTAGGTACAAGTAACCTTTTCAGATATATTTCCTGTACTCACATTACCTATTATATACAGAAATAAAGCAAATCTGATAACTAAATCAGTGACATCGTGGAGTATTTTTCTCATTGTTTAAAATAAAATAAAAAGAAATGAAAATGTGAAGCTGAGTTAATATAAATCTAAGTAAGAGCAACTAAAAAAAACAGAGATGAGAATATTTCTAGAAAAGGCCTATCTCTTACCATGCCCATGCCACACAGTAATTACTGCATTGAAATCACATTAAGTCGACCTAGTCTCACAAATCTTCCATTTGTTAGTTGAAAAACAGTACTAAGTTCCAGAGAGTTGTGACAACATTCTTTGTTAAGTTTATATTACTTTCACCCATTTTGCAGCCATCTAAAAATCCTCAGCATCACGCAAAATTTCTGCTAGTTTATTTTTCAGTATTCCTCATGGTATATTTCTAGGTTCCACATAACAAGAAAGATAAACTCTGACTTCAGCATAACAGATGTGAAGTTTGCTTGTAGAGTAAATTGAATTTACCTCCTAACCAGCATTTCCCTTCTGGAAGCTGGTAGGAAATGAAGAGGTCATTTTTGCATTAATACCTTGCTAAGAGAAAGAAAACCTGTCTTTCCTCATGTAAGAAATTACCTTTCTACAAACTATCAATCCAATTGGACTGATGCTGTAATATAAGAATTCTATTTATCAAATTAAGAATTCTATCTTAATTTGAACAAATTAGTACTAATACCCACTGTATTAACTTAGTAACTCCATGTTTAACATTTACTTTTATTCAAGTCAATTACTGAAAACATATATTGCCTCTCAGAATGAATTGTTCATTACAGCTCAAAAGGAATAGTAGTTTAACAATAAAACAGAAATGGGAACATCATATCCATCTGGCCCTGAAAATATCTAACACAAACCCTATGAGAAGTCATATTTCTGAATGAAAATTAGAATACCCTTCAAGGACAAGAAGTTAAAGACAGGAGGAACCAGTCAACTCTGGAATATAAGACAAAATGATAGATTTAAATCTTCTGTTTCTTAAGTAGCAAAATTTGACAATTTGGGGCTGAAGTTCCTTAGTTTTCTTTCTGTACACCATGGACTGAAACCAGAGAGGATGGAACAAAATATTTTTGGTGGAACCTAGAGTCCACGGCTTGTTAAATTAGTATAAGGGTACCACGAATTGAGGCCCAGCTTAAAACTATTCACATTGTCAGGGACCCCTAAGCCTGACCTGAACTCCATACGTGAAAACATACCGCAGATTCCTATTTTGAAAAAAGTTGAGAGGAAAAGAATGTGATCAGTAACTGACTATGTAACAGCAATGTTAACATTCTTTTTAGAAATTCCTGAATATCTAGTGCAGAGTGCAATGTCTGACACAGAATATGCTCTCAATAAATTGTGGTCAAATTTAAGTACATTAAATCTCCAAGAGAATACCTTAAACTAAAAGGAAAAAGTAGAATCTGTATGACCCTGAACACAGACATAAGTATGGAAGAATAAAATCCTTCACAATTTTGGTAAAACCCCAATTGTTCGCTTTAGTAAAGTGATCAACATGAAAAAAACATTGTTGGGTGAGAGATATTCAAGAGAAGAGAATTGAAAGTTTATTTTAACCTGGCGACATGGCAAGATTCCGTCTCAAAAAAAAAAAAAGAAAGAAAGAAAAAACTCCTCGGTTTTCATTATTTTTTGAGACAGAATCTCACTCTGTCCCCAGGCTGGAGTGCAGTGGTACCATCTCAGCTCACCGCAACCTCCACCTCCCGGGTTCAAGTGATTCTCCTGCCTCAGCCTCCCGAGTAGCATGCATCACCACGCCCAGCTAATGTTTGTATTTTTAGTGGAGAAGGGGTTTCACCATGTTGGCCAGGATGGTCTCGATCTCCTGACCTCGTGATCTGCCCGCCTCAGCCCCCCAAAATGCTGGGATTACAAGTGTGAGCCACCGTGGCCAACCTTCATTCTTATTTCTCTCTTATTATTTCAAATTTTATCTGTGCTTTCATTTATAATTGATTATATCACATGATTCTGCACCACCTCCCACCACATTTATCAAGTTTCTATAAATAGTAATCTATTAATAAAGTTGTTACATGGTATCATTAACCCTTAAACTGGTATAGTAAAAAATATATCAAGTCCTTGTCTGGATTCCTAGCACAGAGCTTCAAAAACCCTCAGAATTTCCTGATTGTTAAAAGTGCCTTTGTTATGCTGATGGGGCGACTCACTGTCAGCCCCAGGATGGGAAGTGGTCACCAGAAAGTCCAACTTTGTGATTAAATAATTGGAACTTCCGGTCAGAAAGTGATCACCAATCAAGTGGCCAGAATGTAGTGAAGAATGAAAGTCACTGCTGTAAAGGAACACATTCTAGTGTAAAAGAAACATGTAAGCATTGTAATTATATACACAAGATCACAGAATCACATTTATAAAATAACCAACTGAATGGGAGTGGAGAAGGGAGGGAAAGAAGGGGAGAATGTGAGGTAGGGAATATATGAAATGAGTATTGATGATAAGAAAACATGAATAGTTAGGCAGTACAGGAGAAAGGAAGAGGTGCTTGTAGGAGAGAAGTATAAGATGAAAATACAGGGCCAGAAAATGAAACTAAAGAGTGTATAATGGGGATTAATTCATATTCCTCTAATGTGTCTGATAAAATAGCAAAAAAAAGAAAAAAAAAAGATAAAAGAGTCTTTAAAATCTGTACCTTAAAGAATGATCACTTTTTAGTTCTTGGATTACTTTTACTGTGCTAAAATGAATTGGCTGGTTCAACTAAGTATTTGAAATAAAGCTAGAATTTTACATGCTTCTAGTGAATTCCATTTGATAGCAATGCTTAATAATTGATAACCAAATATTAAAATAACCCCATTAAAAACAGGCATTCACCTACACTACTGCTGAGAATGAAAACATTTCTAATTATTTTGGAGAGGAATTTAGCAACATCTAACAAAACGTTATATGCACTTATCCTTTGACCCAACAATTCCATTTCAAGGAATTTACTCTGAAGAAATACCTCTAGCAACCCAAGAAATATGTATGAACAAGATTATTCATTGAAAGATTGTTTTTAAGTGCAAGACTCTGGAAACAGTCTTAATGTCCATACATAAGAGAGTGACTGGGTAAAATATGGTACATTCACACAATGGGGAAAATCCAACTAAAAAAATGAGGATTATTGTGGCTGGATGTCTGTAATACCAGCACTTTGGGAGGTCAAGGCAGAAGGATTGCAGGAGGATTGCTTGAGCCCAGGAGTTCAAGACCAGCCTGGGCAACACAGTGAGACCCTGTCTCAGTTTTTTTTTTTTTTTTAAATGAAATAGGCCAGGCGCTGTGGCTCACGCCTGTAATCCCAGCACTTTGGGAGGCCAAGGCGGGAGGATCACGAGGACAGGAGATCAAGACCAGCCTGGCTAACATGGTGAAACCCCGTCTTTACTAAAAATACAAAAAATTAACCGTGGGTGGTGGCAGGCACCTGTAGTCCCAGCTACTTGGGAGGCTGAGGCAGGAGAATCCCTTGAACCCGGGAAGTGGAAGTTGCTGTGAGCCGAGATCGCACCACTGCACTCCAGCCTGGGTGACAGAGCGAGACTCCATCTCATTAAAAAAATAAATAAATAAATAAATAAATAACTAAAATAAAATTAAAAATGAGAAGGATCTCTATGAGCTTTTATGGAATGATTTCTAAGATGCACTTGATTGAAAAAAAGCTAAGTTCAAAGAGGATCTATCTATAGTGTGCTACCTTTCATGTAACAAAGAAGATACAGTAAAATATGCATTTAGCTGCTAATTTGTGCTAAAAGAAATTTAGAAATGTGAGCCAGAAACTAATGAGATTATTTATAGAGGGTAGGTAGGAAGAAACAGGGTAGGAATAGAGACAGAATGGGGAATGAGGAAGATGAGGGATAAGGGAGGAGCGACACTACTGAGTAAACCTTTTCATATAGTTCTGATGTTAAGAACCATATAAATGTTTCACATATTTAAAAAAAATTAAAATACTTGAAGGGGAAAGGAACTAACTTTAACTAAAAGCCTGTGTTTTGACAATATACACAAAAGGCTAAAGACAAAAAAAATTGTACACAGATATTGAGCTCTTAGTAAATTTGTTTTTCACAGCATATTAGTTATTATTGTGTAACAAATTGCTCCAAAACTTAGTGACTTAAAATAACAAACACTTATTATCTCCATAGTTTCCAGGAAAAGGAATCCAGGCATGGCTTAGCTGAGTGCCTCTGACTCAAGATTTCACAAGACTGCAACTGAGATGTAGACCAGGGCTGCAGTCATCTCGTGTTTGAGGGAGCATTTGCTTCCAAGGTCACCATGTGACCTCCTGGGCTCAAGCGATCCTCTTACCTCAGCCTCCCAAGTAGCTGGGACTACAGGTGCATGCCACTATGCCCAGCTAATTTTTATATTTTTAGTACAGATAGGGTTATACCATGTTGCCCAGGCTGGTCTTGAACTCCTAAGCCCAAGCGATCTGTCCTCCTTGGCTCCCCAGAGTGCTGGGATTACAGGCGTAAGCCACTATGCCTGGCCAGAAATAGTAACTTTGAAGTGAATAAACTGGGCCAACATTTTCTTAACCATGTGATCAAAGTTAGTATTACCAGTAACGAAACACACTAAAATCTTAGTATAACGCATGAAAAAAGACACAATAGCATTTCTGTGTTGTGTTGTTTTTTTTTAGGGGGGGGGGGTGTGTGGGGGTTCTCGTTCTGTAACCCAGGCTGGAGTCCAGGGTGGCAATCATGGCTCAATGCAGCCTCAAACTCCTGGGCTCAAGCAATCCTCCTGCCTCAGCCTCCCAAGTAGTTGGGACTACAGGAATGTGCCATCATGCCTGGTGAATTTTACTTTTTGTAGAGACAGCATCTTGCTATGTTGCCCAGGCTGTTTCTATGGTATTCCTATAAAAAATGTATTAATCATGAGGAAACTCCACACTGAAGGGCATTCTACAAAAAACCAGTCAGGACTCTTCAAAATTGTCATGGTCATAAAGACAAAGACTGAAGAACCATTCTAGATTAAAGAGACGAAGGAAATGTGGTAACTAAATGCAATGTGAGCAACCTGGACTGGATCTGGATCAGTCAAAAAGGATATTAGGATTTTTCCAAATGTAAACATTCTATATAGCCATATTAAAATTACCAAAACTAAAAAAATTAATGTTAAGCTGGGTGCGGTGACTCATGCCTGTAATCCCAGCACTTTGCGAGGCCAAGGCAGGCCAATCACCTGAGGTCAGGAGTTCGAGACCAGCATGGCCAACATGGCGAAACCCCGTCTCTACTAGTAATACAAAAATTAGCCAGGCATGGTGGCAGGAACTTGTAACCCCAGCTACTCAGGAGGCTGAGGCAGGAGAATTGCTTGAACCCGGAAGGTGGAGGTTGCAGTGAGCCGAGATGATGCCACTGCACTCCAGTCTGGGCAACAGAGCAAGACTCCATATCAAAATAAATAAATAAATAATAAAATAAAAATTAATGTTGATAAAATACCATTGACTAATCAATGGCACCTATTTAAATTTTGCTAATTATTTCCCTCATGTCAGAATTTTGGCTTCTTGACTCCTATTTTCTCTGTGAAAAACTCAAGAGCTAGGATAAAAGACAGGTTTTCTAAATTTAGGTCTAGCACTTTTTCTACTGTGATATAAATTTACAGTTTTTATTTATAAGGATGTCAATGTCATTAAATGATTTTTAATAAACAATAATTTTTGGCTGGGTGAGGTGTCTCACTCCTGTAACCCCAGCACATGGGAGGCCGAGGCAGGTGGATCACTTGAGGCCTGGAGTTCAAGATCAGCCTGGCCAACATGGCAAAACCCCATCTCTACTAAAAATACAAACATTAGCTGAGTGTGATGGCGCATTCCTGTAATCCCAGCTATGTGGAAAGCTGAGACTTGAGAATCGCTTGAACCTGGGAGGTGGAGTTTGCAGTGAGCCGAGATTGCATCACTGTACTCCAGCCTGGGTAACAGAGTGAGACCTTGTCTCAAAGAAAAAAAAAATTAAAGGCATTAAATAAGAACATTAAATATATATTTAATATTTTTCATTATTTTTATATTATGGCATACTATACAAATAATACCAAAATAATCACTTACAAATTTATAGTACAGTAACTGAAACAAATAAAGATTAATAGAAATAGTGAATAAAATAGAAAGGCATTACTGCATAAAATATGATTATCTCCGTAGTAATTCAAACTATTTCAAATTACACAGTGTTTTTCTTTACTTGAGTGTATTTATTTTCTCCTTGCAATTAAAAACATTTAAATGCTCTTCTTAATTTTCTAATAATTTTTTTTAATTTTTAAAAATCAACACATAATAATTAGATGGCTTTTTACCAGTGATGGATGTTAGATTGGGGATGATTTAAAAGCATTTCATCTTCAGAGAGGCAATGTAGTTGGCGTAAAGAGGGAGACGAAGGAGTAAGAAAGAAAGGAGAGAGCTATGTAGAAAGGAAGAGAGATGCAGAGCATATAGTTAAATAGCCTTTGCATTTTCTGAATCTTTCCCATAGCACATCTTTACAACATGCCACTGACATCAGAAGTCTCCCTTGTGCTACAGTCAATCTCACTTTTTTCAGATGAGTAAATATATTAGAAAAACCCTAGGGAGAAAGTTAAATCTAGGAGCTGAGCAGCAATTTTACGAAGTTACAGTTCCATGTTAACTGAAATTTCATTATCCTTCTCAGAAAATACAACTATGTCAGAATTTCTTCCAAAAAGCACCATAAGTTTTTGTTTTTTTTTCTGAAGGGGTTATGTATATCCTCCGATAAAGTTTCTTTCCCAATTCCTTGATGATTTTATAACAACCTTACATTTTGTCTACATAGCCCCTCTTATCACTTATAGCAGAAAAAGGGGAATAAAGAGATCTATATGCACAGTCTCAGAAAGGGGACTTCCACCTCTCTTAGGAAGAAACAGGGCACTTCTGTATACTTTAAAGGGCAGAGTTACCATTTTTAGATACAGCCCCATTTCCCTCAATTCATGGGGGAAATATTCTGATATGAAGAAAGAAAAGATCATCTCTTTTGTCAGAATACGGATCTAGGTAACAGTCTTGAATTCCTGGAAATACTTGGAAATCACATCCTTTAAAGAATTAGACTTGGCCAGGCTTGGTCGCTCATGCCTGTAATCCCAGAACCTTAGGGAGGCCAAGGCGGGAAGACTGCTTGAGGCCAGGAGTTTGAGAACAGCCTGGACAACACAGTGAGACCCTGTCTCTAACTGATAATAAATAAATAAATAAAAGAACTAGACTTGACAAAATTTTTTAAAAATTCAAACAAGAATTCTCTGTGTATAGGGACTTGACAGAAAGTTTCTTTTTTCCTCCCAAACATGTGCTCCAGTGCACAGAAAAATAGTTCTAAAAATTAAAATAATACCTTTACAAAGAAAAAAAGGCTCTTAACCAAAAGAAGAATATCTGAAAGAAGTTGTATGCATGTATAGCACTATTTGGTGTACATAATTACACATAGATTCACACAGATTTTTTATCTTAAAAGAGCAAATGACTTCTATTTTACAGAAGTATAGAAACTGAAAAATAAGATAACCTGTATCAAAGTTATTTACAATTTAAAGAATTGATGGTTTCAAATTATTAATTAACTATTAGAAACATTAAAAAGGGTTTAAAAGTGTAAACAAAATATCAATAAAGTCTCTTCCCATCCCCATGGCAGTAAAATATATAACAGAAGAAAAAGCCAATGTATCCCATCTGGTTTAGTAAAAAGATAATGATAGTTTACTTATAAAGAGATACAAGCATCATTCAGGCTTAGAGGACATGGATAACAAACCTAAAGACATTTTTATATTTTCTTTCAAAATGTCCTGATCTATCTAGCAGTCTTTCTGTTTTTGGCATATCCTGTCCAAATATGAGTGAAGCTACTCAACAACAAAAAACAACCACAACAAACTGCAGAATTTTGCTCACTGTTTTGTAATTCGTTTGTTGATAAACGAGATTTTTTAAAAGTTAAATCAATATGTAAAGAAAGTAATTTCCATTTTCTTGGTGTATATTAGAGATTTTTAATATATTGAATCCTCTGTGAGGTTAACAGACAAAATGGCTTTCCTATAAGAAAATTTGCAATGCAGGAACACTGCCAGCAAAAGGACTGATGAAGCAGAGCAATACATTACCTTTTTTTTTTTTTTTGTGAGACGGAGTCTCGCTCTGTTGCCAGGCTGGAGGGCAGTGGTGTGATCTTGGCTAGCTGCAACCTCCGCCTCCAGGGTTCTCAGGATTCTCCTGCCTCAGCCTCCTGAGCAGCTGGGACTATAGGCGCGTGCCACCACACCCAGCTAATTTTTGTGTTTATTAGAGATGGGGTTTCACCATGTTGGCCAGGCTGTTCTGGAACTCCTGACCTCAGGTGATCTGCCCACCTTGGTCTCCCAAAGTGCTGGGATTACAGGCATGAGCCACTGCACCTGGCCTATATTATCTTTATAAATTGAAGTCATTTGTGAAATTCAAAATACTAGATATGAGGGGGAGCTTTATCTAAAGCATATCATTCTTATCCCTATGAAAAAATTTAACTGAATTCTTCTGCCCCATTTCAAACTGTTATTTTATTATTGAAACTATCTTAAAGTGCATGGTATGGGTGATTTGACTTTTCACTGTGGAGTTAAGTGGTAACTCTTGACAAAGCAGTTATTATCATGAGATAATTGACTGTATTTGAGAGTTAAGCATCCTGAGGCAAAGTTGAGTGTACTTAATCCTTGCAGGTTAATTATCTAGTGATTATGGAGCCTTGAAAGGCATTACTCCTAAGAACCATTTGCAAAATGACATAATTTAAAAAAACCTTCTTAATTTAATAAAAATGAAAAACAAGAATAATCAAGTTCTTTAGTCATCTACTGCTAGATAATGACTACAAAGCAGCTTGCATTAAGGGGCATCAATGGATTATAATTACCTTTGTGTAGAATGTCCTTTATTAAGCTGCTTTCGTGTGAATGTAGCTAACAAATGGTTGTTGCTGAAGGGAAAATTTCAAACTTTGAAGATGTCAGAAACAAATTAAAACTACAATGTAATATTTAAAGAGTTTTTAAACTACAGTAATTTTGGAACTACTTTAACAAGGATAACCAATCAATTCAGATGTGTAATTTAAAAGTACAAAATGCAATGTAACAGGTTACCAAAGATTTTAAATTAAAGAAACAGAAATTTGTCACTATGTATTTCTGAACCTTGGCTGAAAGTAAACCACACAAATCAAAACCAAAGTGAGATGCCACCTCGTGCCCAGCAGGATGGCTATTATTTTTTAAATGCAAAATAAGTGTTGGTGAGGAGGTGGAGAAATTGGAACCCTTGTGTATTGATGGTAGGAATGTAAAATGGTGTACCTGTTGTGGATCCAACAGTTCCACATCTAGGTATATATCCAAAAGAGTTAAAAGCAGGAACTCAAACAGATACTTGTTCATTAACATTCACAGTAGCATTGTTCATAATAATCAAAGGTGGAAACAAATTAAATGTCTATCAACAAAATGAAGCAAAAAACAAAATTTCACACATACAATGAAATATTATTCAGCCTTAAAAAAGATGAAATTCTGATAACATGCTATAACATGGATGAAGTTTAAAAAGATTATGCTAAGTGAAATTAAGTCAGACAACTTTTGTATGATCCTACTTGTATGAGGTACCTAAAATAGGCAAATTCATAGATAGACAGTAAAACAGTTACCAAGGGTGAGGAGGAAGGAGGAAACAGGAAATAGTGAGTTATTGTTTAATGGGTACAGAGCTTCTGCTTGGGTTGATTAAAAAAAAAAAAAGTTCTGGAGAGGAATAGTGGTGATGGCTGTACAACATTGCAAATGTACTTAATGCCACTGATTTGTACACTTAAAAATAGTTAAAATGGTCTAAATTTTATATTGTGTATTTTTTTTTTACCAGAATTAAAAAAAGAAAGTAAATTGTATCATTTAGTAATTATAATCTGGTTATATCACAAGAACATAGCAATGGTATTACTGTGGATACTTCACTTTTTGTCCCAGCACGTGTCTAACCAAATATTTTCAGGTATTTTTTGGAGAGAAATATCATTTCCCCTAGGTTCACTAAACAAAAAAGGAATACTGGGGTCACAAATGGGGAGAATTCAGCTTCAAAGGCACTACAGTTAAGGCTACACTCATAATAAAAAATCAGAACTACCTAAAAGAAATGTCAGGCATTATTTTACATGTTAAAAGAGGAACTTTATTAATTTATAATAAAATCTAACAGTATTAATCTTAGAATGTGGAAAAAAAATGAATCATCAGTTTTATAACATGTTTAAGCTTTAAGAAAAAATTTAAAAGATTATCTAGTATTTCTATGCAAATCCCCTCAATTTACAGATGAGGAAAAGGAATAGTAGTTGATAAATAAATCAGAGTGATGATTAAATTAAGGGAACAAAAAATAGCTTTCATAATCTAAACATTTTATTTTAATATATAAAGATACATCATTTGCTAATATTTAAAATAGGGTCAGCTGGGTGGGGGGCTCACACCTGTAATCTCAGCACTTTGGGAGGCAGAGGTGGGCAGTTCAAAATCACTTGAGGCCAGGAGTTCAAAATCAGCCTGGCCAACATGGCAAAACCCCATCTCTACTAAAAATACAAAAATTAGCCAGGCATGGTTGTGCACGCCTGTAGTCTCAGCTACTCGGGAAGCTGAGACACGAGAATTGCTTGAACCTGGGAAGTGGAGGTTGCAGTGAGCTGTGATGGTGCCACTGCACTCCAGCCTAGGCAATAAGAGCAAGACTCTGTCTCAAAAAAAAAAAAAAAAAAATAGGGTCAAAACCTTTGAGCATGCCTACAGACTGACATTCTAGAGTTTTTCTTGTAGAACCACATCTAGAATTCATAGTTTATGAATTCTCATTTTACTT
Organism: Homo sapiens; assembly: GCF_000001405.40. Lineage (NCBI taxonomy): Eukaryota > Metazoa > Chordata > Mammalia > Primates > Hominidae > Homo > Homo sapiens. The sequence goes on along the minus strand of NC_000010.11, from coordinate 74,535,480 downwards.
TCTTAAAAATTTTATTTTTAGACAGGGTCTTACTCTGTTACCCAGACCGGAGTGCAGTTGCATGATCGTAGCTCACTGCAGCCTCAACCTCCCAGGTGCAAGCGATCCTCCCACCTTAGCCTCCCGAATAGCTGGGAATACAAGTGTGTGCCACCATGCCTGGCTAATTTTAAGAAAATAATTGGAGAGATGGGGTCCAACTATGTTGCCCAGGCTGGTTTCCAACACCTCTGCTCAAGCAATCCTCCCACTTCAACCTCCCAAAGTGCTAGGATTACAGGTGTGCGCTATGGTTCCTGGCCTAGTTTCAACTTCTTTAAAGCAGAGAGAAAACATAAAAACACCTATGAAGCACTCCTGAATACAGATGTTTACAGCTTTTTACTGCCTTTAATCTTTTATACTTTTCATGCCCACATCCAATTCAATAGCAACATTAAAAATAACTCATATGTATTTAGTTTTGGAACCAACCTTAACTCATTAAACTAATTCTCATTCTACTTGCATTCATATTTCATCAGAATATATAATGTTAAATAATTAAATAATGAACACAAATTTCACCAAGTTTAGGAAAAACATAATTAACTTTTGTAAGCAAATAACTTTGTTGGAACAGAAGTAAGGTGGTATAGCAGAGAGCAGCCCAATAGCTGTGAGTTTTCCCTCATGCACTTGGTACTATATTCATTATGTTTTAACAGGAATGAATGAAGAGTGTGAGTTATCAAAGCAAGTTAAAGTGAAGTGAAACTTAATAGATAACATGATCAATACTCCTAAAACTACTACCAACATTACCTAACAAAAATTGAGAATATATTCCATGAGCCAAGCTGAAACTTTACATGCATTAGAAAAACACATGGAATTGCCTTGTAGATTAAATGACGGTTTTTGTGAATACCCTTTTTAACTTTAAAGCATTATTCAATGGTAGGTTATGATAATTTTTAGTTGTCATGATTAGAACCCAGGACTATCAAAACACTCTTCCTCTGGCTTGACATTGCTACTTAAATATAAGGGGATCTTCCATGGAAATAACAGAAGTTTCATATATGGTGATCAAAAAATAACAAATTGGCACTTCTTCATTTTAGCAGTGTATTTTTGGAACTTAATGGCTTTAGAATAATGTTTCCTACTTTTAAACATATAAATGGAATCAAAGTATATATTCATTTTAATAGCTTTACTGAGGTATAACTGACATACAATTATCTGCACAAACTAAAAGTGTTTAATTAGATAAAACTTGACGTATGTATAAAGTACTGCAACCACAACCTCAATGGGAACACATCTATTACTCCTAAAAGTTTCCTCATGCCCGTTTGTGATCACTGCCTCATAGCATAACCCTGTCCCCAGACAACAATGGATCTGCCATCACCATAAATTTGTTAGCACTTTCTAGAATATAAATAGAATCATATAGAATGTACTTTACAGTATCTTACACTCAGCATAGGTATTCTAAAATTCTTCTATGCTGTTGGTTCATTTCTTATCAATAGTACAATTCTTTTATAGTTGAGTAGTATTCTATTCTATGGAAATATCACAATTTGTTTAACCAGTTACTAGTTGTGGATGTTTGGTTTGTTTTCCAGACTTTGGCCATTACAAATAAAGCTGCTATAAACACCTGTGTATGTCTTTACATGGACAGATGCTTTCATCTGTCCTGGGTGAATATCTAGGAGTGGGATAGCTAGGTCATTTGGAGGATGTATATTTAACTTTGTAAGAAACAAGAACACCATTCTCCAAAGTAGTTGTACCATTTTACATTCTAGCTGCTCCATATATCCTTACCAATATTTGGTATGGTCACACTTTCAGACATTCTAATAGCCGTGCAGTTGTTTGTTACGTGGGTTGAAGTTTGCGTTTTTAGATATGGATATTTAATTGCTCCAGAACGACTTGTCAAAAAGACTGTTTTCTTCCTCCATGAAAAAGCCTCTGAAACATTGTTGAAAAATAAATTTAGGTCTATTTCTGGACGTTCCCTTCTGTTCCATTGACTATTTGTCTATCATTACACCAATGCCACATTGTCTGGATTACTGTAGCTTTGTAATAAGTCTTCAAATCATGTAAAGGTCTTCTGATTTGGTTTTTAAAATCCACGTTGGTTTGGCTACTCTAGTCCAGTGCTTTTCCATATAAATATTAGAATCAACTTGACTTTAAAAAAAACTTCTGAAATTCTGACTGAATTACACTAAACTATAGATTATTTTGAGTAGAATTTATATTTAACAATACAGAGTCTTCTAATCTATGAACATGATATATCTCCCATTTGGGTCTTCTTAAATTTTTTCAACAATGTTTTGTAGTGTTCAGTGTATACATCTTTGGTCTGGTTTATCCCAAAGTAAATACTTTGTTATACTTTTTGATGGTATTGGAAATCGTATTTTTAAATTTCTGGTTGTTTCTTGCTAATATAGAAAAATACATTTGAGATTTAAATTTTTTATTCTGTATGCTACAATCTTGCTACGTCACTTAGTTCTAATAGCTTTTTTTTTTTTTTTTTTTTTGAGACAGAGTCTTGCTCTGTCGCCCAGACTGGAGTGCAGTGGCATGATCTCGGCTCATCGCAACCTCCGCCTCCTGGGTTCTCCTGCCTCAGGTCAGCCTCCCGGGTTCTCCTGCCTCAGCCTCCCAAGTAGCTGGAATTACAGGCGTGTGCCACCATGCCCAGCTAATTTTTGTATTTTTAGTAGAGACGCGGTTTTGCCATGTTGGCCACACTGGTCTAGAACTCTTGACCTCAAATGATCCACCAGCCTCGGCCTCCCAAAGTGCTGGGATTACAGGCGTGATGCACTATGCCCAGCCAGTTCTAATAGCTTTTTGAAGATGACATCAGATTTTGTATGAAGATGATCATGCTTTTGATAATAGAGACAGTTTTACTTCCTTCTTTCTAAATCTGGATTTTTTCATGCTTCTACTATTCCAAGGGTTTTTTTTTTTTTTTTGACACAGTTTCACCCTGTTGCCCAGGCTGGCGTGTGGTGGCATGATCTTGGCTCACTGCAACCTCTGCCTCCCCAGTTCAAGCGATTCTCCTGCCTCAGCCTCCCAAGTAGCTGGAATTACAGGTGCCCACCAACATGCCCTGCTATTTTGTGTATTATTAGTAGAGATGAGGTTTTGCAATGTTGGCCAGGCTGGTCTCAAACTCCTGACCCTCACCAATCCCTATTGGGATTGCAGGCATGAGCCACCATGCCCAGCCTCCGAGGGCTTTTAACAGAAATAGATGTCTGGATTTTTCAAAAGCTTTTAGGATAATCATGTGATTTTTCTTTTTAGTCTTAACATATTTAATTACATTGATGGATTTCAAAATGCTAAACCAATTCTACACTCCTAGTCATGATGAATTACTCTTTTAATATATTGTTCGGTTTGATGTGCTAAAATTATTTGAAGAATTTTTACATCTGTGTTTATGAGGGATATTGGTCTGTAGTTTTCTTGCAATACTTTGTTTTTGGTATGAAGGTAATGCTGACCTCATGAAATAAGATAGGTATATTTCTCCCTCTTCAATTTTCTGGGACAGTTTGTATACAATTGGTACTACATCTTTCTGAAATCTGTGTTAAAATTCAACACTGCCAAGTGCAGTGGCTCATGCTTGTAATCCCAGCACTTTGGGAGGCTGAGGTAGAAGGACTCGCTTCAGTGCAGGAGGTTGAAACCAGCCTGGGCAACAAAACGAGACCTCCTCTCTACAAAAATTAAAAATTAGCCAGCTGTGGTGGTTTGCACCTGTCGTCCTAGCTTCTCGGGAGGTTGAGGTAGGAGGATCATTTGAACCCAGGAGTTTGAGCTTGCAGTGAGACATGATTGTGCCATTGTATTATAGCCTGGGTGAGAGAGTGAGACCTTGTCTCAAAACAAACAAACAAACAAACAGAAAAGAATTAAACACTGAAGCAATTCAGCCTTTGAAGTTTCTTTGTAGCAAGGGTTTTAACTACAAATTCAATTTCTTTAATAATCTAAACAGACTTTTTCTATTTCTTCTTGAGTATGATTTAGTACTTTGTGTCTTTTAACAAATTTGTCCATTTCATAAAGGTTGTCAAATATATTGTAATAATATTGACAGGAGGGACCAGAACATCTAGTCTAGAGCTGATTTTAACCTGCTAATGAGACAAAATTCCTTTTAATACTCTACTTGAAGCCTCGTGAATTACGAGGTTATCCACTCTGACTAGTAGGATAGGAATGGTTATAGGTCCTCATGTGTGCACTGAGGATTGTCTTCTACAATCTTTTTAGGTGGTTCTTTTTGTGGTCTTCCTTAATTTCTTCACAAAAATGCACTGATTCATACTCAGCTGAAGACTTGTTGGGATTCTGCAAATGTCCTGTGTTCTCCCTCTATTCAGCTATTTCTTCTCTGGTACTTTTAACTTACAAACACTAGCTGTCTTAGACTCCTTGAACTTCCGGCTCCAACTCCTCATTAAAAGAGACTGCAAGGGTCTACTTGAGATACCCTTCTTTTTTCTTTTTGAGACAGAGTCTCAATCACACTGGCTGGAGTGCAGTGGTGCAATTTTGGCTCGCTGCAACCTCTGCTTCCCAGGTTCAAGTAATTCTCATGCCTCAGCCACCCGAGTAGCTGGGATTACAGGCGCACAACCACCCTGCCAGGCTTTTTTGTATTTTTAGTAGAGAGGGGGTTTCACCATGTTGGCCAGGCTGGTCTTGAACTCCTGACCTCAAAGGATCCACTCGCTTCAGCCTCCCAAAGTGCTGGTATTACAGGCGTGAGCCACTGTGCTTGGCCTTAGTTACCTTTCTTCTGTTGCCTGGAAATTATCTCCAAGGAGTTAGCTGGGGTAATCATCAGGTTTATCTTATTTATTTCTTGTCTCACAGGGATCATTGATCATTGCCTGTGAAGAAATAATCTTTGTGGACAAGGTATTATTTTTTTTAAATATTGAGGCTATCAGAAGTTTTAAATCATCATTACTACTGTACAATCCTCTGACAAGAGGAAGGTGACATGTAGAAAATAAGGGCCAAGTGTGTTTGATTTTAGCTGAGTTTTGACATTTTAAAAATTTATACTAAACACAGTATACTTTATTTTTTTGAGGGGGGAAATATTAAAGAATCCTACGTATATTCTCTGATAACTATATTTTATCCTTCGTCACATTTTAGAAGTAAAATGTCTCTTTTTTCCTGGAAAACTGAAGATAACATTATCACTATAGTATTCAAGGAGAAAAACAATGGATGATGAGATTAAAGGGATAAAGCATTTTACTCTACTTGCTTTTTATAATCAAATACGATATAATTTTTATTATCCCTATTAAATTTCATCACTCAACTGATATTTAGAGTCTACTAACATTTAAAAAAATCTGATTTTGACCTTCAACTTACCTAGTATGTATTAAGGTGTTGTATTATTTGCATTTGAATTATATGCAAATATAGCTTTATCTAAATCACTGTTTACTTAAGCAAAGGCAGGGTAAACACTGAGGCGTACCCCTAGAAATCAATTTATTTATCAACAGACCTTTTGAGACTGCTTCAATAAAATACCAAATACCTCTAATTGTCTTATAGCCAATCTTTATTATTCTATAGTCCACGTAATGACAGATGTTCTAAAATATACTATGTATCCACTGCTTATTGGTCTGCCATAATAGGTACTTAGGTACTATATAAATACCTCTTGAAGCGAATTCAAATGAACAATAATCATACCAAAAGAGAAAAGATTTTCTTGCCCCATGACTTACAGCCACGTAGCAGCTTACAGTTTTACCACTTCCTCTTCTAGGTGGGGAAAAATAATTCCTTTAATAATCTATGCTAAGCTGTGATCCAACTTTTAAGTTTACTGATTTGTAGAATAAAACTTTTTCAAAAAAATTGTGGTAAACTATACATATGATAAAATTTTCCATTTTAAGTATGCAATTCATTGGCACTAAATACATTCACAGTGTGGCGCAACTATCACCACTATCCATTTCCAGAACTTTTTCATCATCCCAAACAGAAGCTCTGTACTTATTACACAATAATGCCTCATTCCTCCCCACCCCACTCCCAGGTAATCACTATCCTACTATGTGTCTCTATGAATTTGCCTATTCTAGATACTTCTTGTAAGTGGAATTCTTCTTAGAAAATCCAATAATTGTCTGATGTGTCTGGCTTATTTTACTTAACATAGTATTTCCAAAATTCATTCATGTTGTAGCATGTATCAAAATTTTATTTAAGGCTAAATAATACTCCATTGTATATATACATGAAATTTTGTTTATTCATCTGTTGATGAATATTTGATTTGCTTCTATCTTAGCTATTGTGAATAATGCTGCTATGGACATTGGTGTACAATTATCTGAGTCCCTGCTTTCAGTTATTTTGGGTAATATACCTAGAAGTAGAACTGCTAGATCATATGGTAATAATTCTATGTTTAACATTTTGAGGAACCACCAAATTGTCTTCTACATTCCCATTTTACATTCCCACCAGCAATACACAAGTGTTTCCAATTTCTCCACATCTTCACCAATACTTGTTAATTTCCATTTTTTAAAACAATTGTCATTCTGATGGGTGTGAAGTGGTATCTAATTTTGGTTTTGATTTGCACTTCTTGAATGGTTATGTTGAGCATCTTTTCATGTGTTTACTGGCCATCTGTATATCTTCTTCGAATAAATGTTTATTAAATTCCTTTGATCATTATTGAATTATGTTGTTAGTTTGCTTATTGTTGAGTTGTTACTGTGTTAAATATTCTGAATATGAATCCTTTATCAGATATATGATTTGCAAATATTAACTCCCATTCCACTAGTTGTCTTTTCACATTCTTGTTAGTGTCCTTCGATGCCCAAAAATTGTTAATTTTGATGATGTCTAATTTATCTATTTTTTCCATTTGTTGCTTGTACTTTGGAGTCTTTTTTTTTTTTTTAAGTGAAGATTGTTTTGATATCATCAGCATCTGCTGCAAACTTAAACCACTTTTGGGACTTTCTTTTCTCTTTTGTCTCTACCAAACTTTTAGCATCATTCCCTGATTCTAAATACATTTTCCACCTTCTTTTTACATGTCTTTTACAAATTTGAGCTTTTTTTTTAAGTTTTAAAACTTTTATAAGTTCAGTGTTGTCACTGTATGTTTACATATTCATTGATACAATTTACATCGAGATTTTTACTTATCCATTTTTGCAGATATGTACACAAAGATACATATTCAATAACTGAGAAACAAGTGAAACTTCTGATCTATACTTTCAGGTTTGTTCGATCATGACACTTCTGATAAGGATCATGGACATACCAGTTTCACCTCTTCCAGAAGGACGTCGTCATTTTATCTTAAGAGTTTACTCTGGGTTTTATTGCCGAATACAAATTCCCTCAATCGCTTTTTTCTTGCAGGTGCCTTTTTCCATAATTTTTTCTTATAACCAGCCCTTCTCATCCAAAGGCCACAATGAAGTCGAAGAAACCTATAGATGACAGCTTTCACAATCCTTCTCTTGCCTTTTCCTGTACTGACGTATGTTAGAGATCTGGCTGGCAGCTTCAAGACACTTGGAAGCAAGAGGGCCACTCTATTAAGGATCGCTGAAGTATGCCCACATGTCAGGTTTCTCTCAGATGTGGTAAGTCTGGGAGTGGAGGAAACAACTGGTGTCTGAATATGACTAAAACGTCCAGTGGACAATGCAGAAATAAGAGAGGCATTTTTGACACAGTTTTGGTAGGCTGAAGATGCCAAAATATTCAGAGGCCATAAGATTCCTGAAGCTGCTCTCACTGCACCGGCAAAGGCAGAGGCAGCTATCTCGTTATCCTCCAAATTTGAGCTCTTATTAAAGAGTTTTCTGCGTGCTCTGCTATATTTTTTCAAAAGGTCCCTCCACATTCTCTCCTTAATTAAGATCATTTGTGACTATAAAGTCCAAATAGCATTTTTTATGGCATTCAATCTCCCTAAGCTTTCTTTACTTCCAAAGTTTCATTCTTTGGAATCATATTTATGTTTTTTTTTTTTTGTTTGTTTGTTTTTTGAGACGGAGTCTCGCTCTGTCCAGGCTGGAGTGCAGTGGCGCGATCTCGGCTCACTGCAAGCTCCGCCTCCTGGGTTCACGCCATTCTCCTGTCTCAGCCTCCCGAGTAGCTGGGACTACAGGCACTCGCCACCACGCCTGGCTCATTTTTTGTATTTTAAGTAGAGACGGGCTTTCACCGTGTTAGCCAGGATGGTCTCAATCTCCTGACCTCGTGATCCACCCGCCTCTGCCTCCCAAAGTGCTGGGATCACAGGCGTGAGCCACCGTGCCCGGCCTCTTTGGAATCATATTTATCTTTTTTAAAAGTTTTAAGATTTGTCTCTTAAACTCTAGAGAACTTATTTAAGTGCTGCCAGTCTGATCTTTCTTGACTATTTAGAACTCTGAGACCAAATGTTAACTTCTCCCAATGATTCTCAAGACTACTGAGACCAATGCTTTAATGTTATTCAAAAGGCTTGAATAGCACTTTTCCCATTTACTTCTTTTACCCTTTACAAAATAAAACTGTTAATAAGGAAAAACTAAATGGTAGATCTTAGTCAAATTAGGCTTCTAGCAGTTATATGGCACTTGGCTATTACCACTATTTCTTGCCAGTATCTCAATTTGTGAATTATCAAGAATATAGCATTTCCTTCCAATGTCACCATTTATAACCAATGTAACCATCACCTTTGCAGATACACTGTGATATTATTTCTATGGATCATCCTTTAATCTTTACCCAGGTGATCTCGTAAACTTCCAGGTCAATTTTTATGTTATTCTAGGCAGATGGCAGTTATTAGATATAAAATTGATGAATATATTCAAACTATGTTAGAACTATGGAATTAGAATCAGAATGAACTTCTGGGATGATTAATACAATACCTTCATTGTATACATTAAACCATCAAGTGACATGGCCAAGTCATAGGAAGACACACTGAAGGATTTTTTCCTCTTTCATGGATTTTTAAAGAGGTATAAACAGTAAATAAGAGGTATAAACAGTAAACAAGCAATCAAAGTAAATAAGCATTTAAGTAAATAAGCATTTCCATAATTTAGAATGGAAGAAAATACATTCTTGGTAGAAAGAAAAAACTGTACTTGTTGAGATGAAATTCCATTTTATCACCTTCAACTATAACAGACAATATTTTAAAAATATTATTAATAAAGAAATATAAATGTAATATATCAAAATTTACTCATAATTTATTAAACAAATATCAAATGGACTTAGACTCTGAAGAGACTTAAAAAAGTGATGAATGTGCTTTTTTATCCTGATTGTGGTCATAGTAACAGGACAGGTATCCATCTGTAAAAACTCACAGAAATTACAGTAAAAAGGATGACTCTTACTATAAGTAAATCAAACGTCAAACACCTTAAAAAAATAAATGTTGGGCCGGGCACAGTGGCTCATACCTGTAATCCTAGCACTTTGGGAGGCTGAGGCGATCAGATCACCTGAGGTCAGGAGTTCGTGACCAGCCTGGCCAACATGGTGAAACCCTGTCTCTACTAAAAACACAAAATTTAGCTGGGCATGGTGGCATGCGCCTATAACCCCAGCTACTTAGGAGGCTGAGGCAGGAGAACTGCTTGAACCCGGGAAGGAGAGGTTGTAGTGAGCCAAGATCATGCCATTATACTCCAGCCTGGATGAAAAGAGGGAAACTCCACCTCAAAAAAATAAAAATATAAAAATAAATAAATAAATGCTTCACTAAGAAAGAAGTTAGTATATACTGAAGGAAATATTGAAAATACTGAGAGCAGTTGACATTGAGGCAATTTTGTTGCACAATTCTCAAGGACATTTACACAAAAATTTAGGATTTAATTTATATATTTCTAAACATATATACACACATCAGAAATAAACAAACAAAAAACCCCCAGGTTCTTTTGAAAAAGGAAAGGTAACTCACTGTCTCATTTCCAAAAAGTATATCAACATAAGGCATAACTTTCATCAATGATTCCTTGTAGAACTGGCTAATAAACGGTGCAGATAGATTCAAAGTGAAAATCCTGTTGTTTTCAGAAGCATGGTGAGCCACCTTTAATACTGACTCTGGGGAAACTGTAAGAAAAAAGCCCTGGATGAAGAAAAAAGGAGGGAAAATTAGAAATACCATCTCCACAGTCACTCTCAGTGAGAATAAAAGAAACCTATACAAAATACAAAAGTATATAAAATACAATTATAAGATGCAAGGCAGAAAATAGCAACATTTGACTGGAAGGATATTTGATCATATGAGTACCATATGCTTGATACATGCCATTACTTCAGAGAATAAAGCATTACTTATTTCATACTAGGTTTATATGCTCAATACTAAAGAATTCTGGAAATTCATGAAAGAAAAAATGTTTGAAAGGTCTCATTCAAGACAATAATTACATTCGAATTAGGGAAATTGTACTATGAAGGCAAACTGAATCCTTTTAGCTTCTTACAAACAGTTTGGAATATATATTTTTTGAGATAAGGTTTCACTATATTGCCCAGGCTGGTCCTGAACTCCTGGGATAAAGCAATCCTCCTACCTCAGCCCTCCAAGTAGCTGGGATTACAGGTGCACACCACTGAGCCTGGCTGAGTTTGTATTCTTATAAGTGACTTTAAAATAATCTGTTAATTAAGATCATAACTTCTGGCTGGGTACAATGAATCACACCTGGAATTCCAGCACTTTGGGAGGCCAAGGTGGGCCAATCACTTGAGTCTAGGAGTTCCAAACCAGCTTGGGCAACATGGCGGAACTCTGTCTCTACAAAAATTTCAAAAATTAGCTGGGTGTGTTGGTGTGTGCCTGTGGTCCCAGCTACTCATGAGACTGAGACGGGAGGATTGCTATAGCCCAGGTGGTGGAGGTTGAAGTGAGCCGAGATGACACCACTGCACTCCAGCCTGGGAAATACACGGAGACCTTGTCTCTATATCAATCAATCAATCAATCATAACTTGTTACCTTAAGAAATATCTAAATTGATTTTTGAGGAAGATTCTGAATTAGAATTTTCAAATAATGAGAAAAGAATGCAGTAATGCAAAAGAAAAATATTTAATTTTTCTTTAAAATTTTCTTTAAATTTCTTTAAAATTTCATGTCAGGAAAGCTGCATTTAAAATGCTATTTATGTACAGCTTTAATATTAATGAAAGTCTTATTAAAACATATTCATGCTTTCTAGAGGAAAGCATAAGCAAAGACATACATGTATATACAGGAAATTAGTTTGGATGGTGCACAAACAAGTAAAGGAATACACAAAGGGCAATAATAGAGACTTGAAAAGGTCGGCGAAGTTAAGAATACAAAGGGCCTTGGATGGCAGGGTAGGAATCTATTTGGTGGGCAATGTGCAAGAGGGGTAGGGGTGGATCATGGGTAATGAATATTTCCGTGAAAGGAAGGAATAACAAGCTTATGGGAAAATTTAAAGCAAAGTTAACCTGGGCAGCAACAATTCAGCAACAGTTAATAAATGTCTACATTTGGCTGTGTAAAAGAAAACCATATTAGGAGTACTACATACAGGACTTGGCAATTGTTTAAGATGTGGAAGGCAAAGAAGAAAAGAGTCAAAAGATGATTGAGATTTTTGAATCTGGTTCTACCATTAATAAAAGTGGAAAATTCCAGAATAAGATCTGGCTTAGATGGTAAAGAGTGTTTAGTTGTGGTCATACTACAGTTGAGGTTCTAAGGGATCTCTAAGTATCTACCAGAAAGTTGGACTTAGAGGAAAGGTCATGAAAGAGGTGAGGTCAAAGAGGTGGTGTAATTCCCAAGGCAGAGAACACAGAACAAAAGACGACGAAGGAAAAAATGGAGAACAAAAATTAGAGGAAATAAAAAAGGAAAAGGAGAAAACAAGAGGAGGCCAAATGAGGAGAGGAGAAGTGATGGTGGAGAAACTAAGCAAGGGAAATTTTAAGAAGGTGCTATGGGGAAGTAGAGAAAGAAAGGAATGAGTAAAAGTCATAAGATTTGATGATTAACAGAAAGCACTTAGTATGATGGTAGAAGTAGTTGTTAAAAAAGGAATGGTGAGAAAGTAAGGTAAGAATAATTATTTTCAAAGCTTCATCAGTAATGATAATAAAACCATCTGAAATGTAATGAGTAATTATTGTGTCCCAGGCACTATACTATACAGCAACTCAGTTATTGTTTTTTCCTTACATCAAACCTATGAGGTGGACATATTAGTTTCTTTTGATAAATAAAGCAAGATAGAGAAGTTAAGAGATGTTTCTTAGGACACACAGCTTACATGTGATGAAGCCTGGATTCATATGACTCCAGATATGTTGCTAATTTGAGCAGATAATAAGAGGAGGAAAAGGCACAAACGCTTTTTTGCGGGGAAGGGTGGGCAGGGAAGGGAGGAAAGAAGAGATTTGCTTTTAAGGGCAGGGAAAGTTGGAAAGATTTTGCTTTTCAAAGAAAAGGATCTATTGGAGAAATAGAAGAATGAAGAGGCAAGGGAGAGAGGATAATTAGAGCAAAGAACTAGAGGAAGTGGGAGCACTGGAAACTAGAAGGGGAGAAGAACTGGCTTATAAATGGAAGAAATAACCTTGAAAATATAAAAGAAACTTCTGTTAAAAGTTACAAAAATGCTACTGAGATATTCACTTATAACTGAGGGACCAACGATTTCCATAATGCAAACTCTGAAAAGTTTAAAAAGAAAAAAAAATCTTTTAAAATATTACTTTCAAATTTCAAATAGACTACAATAAGAAGACTAAAAAAATTAATTTAGTGGCAGGAGCCATGTGTATTGGGGTCCATCTTTTAAGGAAGGGTTTATTGCCTTTATACATATTCTGAGACGTTAAGAGAGAATCGTCTACTATAATTGTGTCAGGGCCCAGAATACAATACCCCAAAATATGGCCCCCTAGCAATTGAGAAAACCCGCAGAAGCAAGGTCACTCTGACCTTCTCCCACCTTTCTGTGTGAAAGCTGGCCATAAAACCCTTTTCCAAAGGGGTCCTGTCCTATACCTGGTGGCCAAGAATAATCTAACAGACAGGACTTGCTGGCTTCCACATCCTTCAACCCTAGGTTTATTACCATTAGATCATACCCCTTTTGTCTAATGTTTCTCTACAACTATCCATGTCTTTCATCAGACTTCGCATAAAAATACAGTTTTTGCTGGTCTTTGGGTCTTAATTTCTGAAGGCTCCTGTGTCATGTAAAACTTTGTTAAATAAATTATGCTTTTCTCTTGTTAATCTGTTTCGTTACAGAGGGTTCAGTCATGACCCTTGCGATGGATGAGGAAAATATGTTACTTTTTCTCCCCTACAACTGCCTCTTATCACTTTAAAGTACTGCTAGTGAAATTCTAAATGTTTTAGTATGTTTAGTGAAATACAAAATGTTTTTGTATAATAACAATATTTCTCATCATTTAAAAATTGAATCCATTAATTCTTTACCAATATTCAAGTGTTCTAAGAGGCAACAAATCTTAGTCTTAGTTATTATTTTTAAATGTTTTTATCTTTCTTTTTTAACCAAGTATCCTATCACTTGCAAACTATGAGCATCCAAGCTGCTGCTTTGCTATTTCTGTCACTTGGAGAATTAAAACGAACAGTTTATACAGCATCTTGTCTCCATAGTAATATGGATGTACTGTCTTGCTTTTTAGTCTTTCATTTAATGAGAAGATTTTAAAGCTTTCCCCCTCTATTTCTCCCCAAACTGTTCCAGCATCAAATAAAAACCTCCCATAGCTAGCATTCTGCCAGCTGTGGATTAACCACAGCCAGCCACAGAATGGTCTACATAAATAGTAACCTGGTCAAATAATTAGGCTTCTCACCAACTTCAGACTGAAAATTTGATCTGTGCTAAAATACATCTGATTGTAATTTAAGGTACAGAACACTGTGCCCCTGGAGTCTAAATCTGGCCCCAATCCAAATGTATGTATGCTGTGTGTGTGTTTTCCTTTAAAATACAACACAAGAGTCTTGTGATATGGATAGTATGATGTCAATTTTGTTAATTTTATAAATATACAAAACTTGTCAACTTTTAAATAAAAGGCAAATTCACTATTTAAATTCTATTTTTGAATGATCTCTTGTTTTTCTTTAAGTAAATATTTAGTATTTAAACAATTTGGGGTTTATGCTCTGTTAGATCGCAAAGACTGTTAAAATTGATGCCATCCATAATTTTTCTTGCTAGATTTATAACCTTTGCTGGGCCACATGTTCCAGACTATAGTATCACCAAAAATAAAAACAGTGCCATTACAAAATTTTTTTTCTACATGTAAGGTTTGCAACAAAATCAAGTCTATAGTTTAGAAAAATATATAACCAATAAAATCTTGTGCTTTACTAATTAGGGATTTCAGTCTGCACAACAGTTAGCTGTTTATCGTTGATCCTATAACCAAAAGCAAAGTAGATGCTAACACTTAGAGGCTGGATAACGTTAATTAGAACTGAGAATGAAGTGGGACTGTTGTATTCATTATAACAGAAAACAAAACAACACAAAGTGGTAGCAGTAGGACAGATAGGGACAGACTAAAATAGAACCAAACAACCGTTTTAGTGGAGCCAGACTTAATGCTTGGAAATCGAAAAAACTTAAACACATTACACAACCACTCTAAGGATTTTTCAGAGTAGTCTAAACGTGAGGGAATGTTAGAAACAACATTGTTTAATATACTAAAGGAAAAAATTGCCCTTTTTGCTCTTTTTTTTTTTACCAGTGTTTACCTTAATTCAAGGTAATCATTTGGGGTTCTTTTAAATTGTCCTTGCCTAAGAACACAACCTCTTTTCATTATTTCTATTACCAATTATGTGAGGAATAGGGGTATGTGTATGTGTATGTGTGCATACACAACTATGTAAATTTCAGTTATTTATAACTCTTGGAAGTATAAGTCTATATTAATTCAAAAGGAAATAAACCTATGTAAAATAACCATGACTATAATTAATCAACTGTGGATACATGGTGATATAGAAAAAAAAAAGACTTTGTTTTTACTGAGAACAATATTCTGATCAGAATATAATAGGGAAGAATATATGATATTATTTTGAAATATTTGAAACAGTAGATTTTAATCTATTTGGGTCCATCTACTTCCTGATTAACTACACATATGCGTAAAACTATGCAGTGGTGGTCAGCAACTATATATAATGAGGCTTTATCTAAAAATAATGGGTAAGCACTGGATTCAACTGAAGGTTAAGAACTTGTAATTTAGTTTATTTTCTCACAATTACATAATCATATATTCCAGTTTGATAAAAACATTTTTTAAAAATACATAGAAAATCTATGATAAAAGAGAAGTAAATATCAAACTTCTAGAGTGGGAAAAACTTTGAAGCTTACAGAGGAAGTATTATCTAAATATTTGCTATAGTAAAAGTAAAGGGTTCAGTTGGTACTCCCAGAAGGAAAAAAACAAACAAATAAACAAAAGATGAGGAAAAACAAGACAAAGCGTTAGTATCTTTAGTCCACAAAGAAATTTAAAAGTAGACTAAAAATTAAACAAACATTAGGACACCAATAGATAAATAAACCATAACATTAAAAAGTATTCCATTGAAAGAGAAATACATAGTAAATAAATATGTAGAGAAATATTCCTCTCTAGTAACTAAAGAAACAATATGGTAACAATGATGAAGAAGGGTTGATTATACTCTTTGACCCAGTAATTCTACTTCTGAGAGTCTACTTTAAGAAAGTAATCCAAAACATGGGAAAATATACATTCATAAACTTATCAGTGTACTTATTTCATTGAAATCAATGTAAAAAAATGACAGAGGAACAGTCAAGAATTGGCTATATACTCTAAAGCTCACTACTGATCACTTAAAATGTGACTAGTGCAAAGAGAGGCTTGAATTTTAAATGTAATTTAAATTTAAATGAAGAAGCTACATGTACATGATGAGCATAAGTAACGTGGCTAGTATGATCGTGAAACTAAATTTTTAATTTACTTTCATTAATTTAAATGTAAAAATTGAAGCATTTCATATTTTTCTGCTGGAGCTTTATTGTTTTGGTAGGACTACATTTTATTTTGACATTGAAAGTTTAGTGACGTAATTCACTGGTATATATGTAAAATAGGTACATTTCAAAGATGTACTATGAAAAGAAGGTTAAAATCTAATAATTTTTATGTCTAATACGGTATATAATTTTTACATGTTGAAACAATAAATATTTTAGATATATTAGATTAAATAAAATCCATTATTAAGCTGTTTCTTTTTACATTTTTCATATGGGTCCTGGAAAATTTTAAATTATATTTCTATTGAATAGCACCACTCCAGAGAATATTTTAAAGATATTACAAATGATGATGATGATGAAAACTAAGTAGTAAAGTAGAAAATGCTTATGGCACATAAATATTCAATTAAATAGAAGACATACAAATAGTGTGTACACAGTATGATTATAACCTACATTAAATCAATAGTAAAAAAGATTATAAGGGAATAAACAAAAGTAAAACTGGTTAAGTTTAGGTACAAAAATTGTGGATAATTCTAATATTTTCTTTGTTTTTCAAAATTTGGTAATATGGTTAGATGTCACTTCTGATAAAAAAGTATTGATTACTCATATCTCTTAAACAATTTTTATCAGGAGAGCCATCTAACTACATCACTGAATTTTGAAAAATAAATTGTAAGAAATATCCGTAAGTTTTCACCCCAATTTAACCATTTTTAGTTTTGGTGTATTTGTGTCTACACAACCAAGAGATGTTTACAAATAGTAAAAAGCTTAACTCAATAAACAGGAGTAAGAGTAGATCATACACAGCTGGGAGTAAGTCTATATTACTTCTTTGAGTAGACAGAAGGCTCAAAAAGGAACAAACTAAATATGAGACTAGAGGCTTTAGAAAGCATAAACCACTATTTATAGAAGAAAAATAAAATAAAGAAGGATGTGTTGTAACAGAAAAATATTTGGACAACCAGAGAGCCCAACCAAGCCTAGACTAGCACTGATGAGGAAAGGGCTAAGACTACCAGATGCTTGTGTCTCAAGATGTATCACTGTCGTCTGTTCTGAAGAACATAATTAGCTTGTTTTCCATGCCATAACTTAGGTGCCATAGTAACACTAGTCAGAGAACAGGGCTGAGAGAATGAATAAATTACAAGTCAAAAATAACAAATATAACAACCATATAGCATGCTTTCTTCCTCTTAATGGGTCCTACATGTTTTGTGGGACTACTCCAAGAAAGTATAAAATACATTTTGTTCTCAGAGTCGATCAAATATGAGTTACAACAAAGCATAGTTCCTATCTGCTTGTAAGAAAAACGTTGGCCCTGACAACGATTAAGATAATGTATAAATCATTTATAATTACAATGTTATAATATGCAGTATTTCACACAAACGACAGCAACAGAATTACTAAAAGAAGAAAGCTAGAACAAATATACTTGTGAATGCCATAAAGGTTATGTTACCAATGACAGAAGGCAATGTAAAGAAATAGAAGAGAATAATTCACTTGGATCTTCTTCCTGTCTATGTGGTTCCTTTTGGAAGCAGAAAATCACATAGTCTGCATATCTTTTACTCTTTTTTTTTTTTTTTTGAGACAGAGACTCGCCCAGTTGCCTAGACTAGAGTGCAGTGGTGCAATCACAGCTCAGTGCACCCTCGACCTCCTGGGCTCAGGTGATCCTCCCACCTCTGCCTCCTAAGTAGCTGGGACTACAGGCATGCACCACGACGCCCAGCTAGTTTTTGTATTTTTAGTAGAAACAGGATTTTGTCATGTTGCCCAGTCTGGTTTCCAACTACTGAGCTCAAGCCATACGCCTCCCTCAGCCTCCTAAAGTGCTGGGGTTACAGGTGTGAGCCACCACACCCAGCTCATTTTAATCTGTTTAAGGATTAAAATACTCCCAACTTCAGGTATGTTATAAATGAAGAAGTCCATTTTTCTTCTATCCCACATAACTCCCTCAAAAAAGGAAGTAAAATGAGGAAAAAGATATAGTAGAAAGAAGATGGGCTTTAAGGGAATACATAGGAGCATATTTATATAGCTCTGTTGAACATAAAGTGTGAGAAATCCTAGAAGTCTATTTCTAGGGGAAAAGATGAGAATGTGGTGAATGCACACTGATATGGTTTGGCTCTGTGTTCCCACCCAAATCTCATCTTTAATTGTGCTCCCACGTGTTGTGGGAGAGACTGGTGGGAGATAATTTGAATCATGAGGGTGGTTTCCCTCATGCTGTTCTCGTGGTAGTGAATAAATCTCACGAGATCTGACGGTTTTCTCAGGGGTTTCTGTTTTTGCCTCCCACCATGATTCTGAGGCCTCCCAAGCCATGTGGACCTGTAAGTCCAATTAAACCTCTTTTTCTTCCCAGTCTCAGGTATGCCTTTATCAGCAGCATGAAAACAGACTAATACACACACTACTATGCAGAGATTAAAAGCAATAAAGGAGTTGGGCACAGTGGCTCCAGCCTATAATCCCAGCACTTTGGGAGGCTGAGGCAGGCGGATCACTTGAGGTCAGGAGTTCAAAACCAGCCTGGCCAACATGGTGAGCTCCCGTCTCTACCAAAAATACAAAAATTAGTTGGGTGTGGTGGTGGGTGCCTGTAGTCCCAGCTACTTGGGAGGCTGAGGCTACTTGGTCGCTTGAACCAAGGAGGTGGAGGTTGCAGTGATCTGAGATCACACCATTGCACTCCAGCCTGGGCAACAGGGCGCGACTCCATCTCAAAAAAAAAAAAAGAAAAGAAAAGAAAAGAAAAGCAATAAAGGAGTAACATCAGCAAGATGGCTGAGTAGGGATACCTGGTGCTTGTCTAACCCACACACAAAAAAAGGATCAAGGCAACAAACAAACAGCTAAGATTTGACTGGAGTGTGAAGGAAGAGTAGTGGGGTGCACTGATAGAATGAAGATGCACCTGTGGTGATTGGAAATCTAGGAAGGCAGCATAGAGGCACTCAAACTCGTGGTCCCATCTTCCCCACCTAGATCAGATCTGCCTGGAGACGGGAGGGAATTGCTATTGCAGGGAAAAAAGTCAGCAGAAGATCCCTACCAGCCTCTTTGCCACCACAAACACATGAAGGCCTTACTACACAAGAATCCCATAGTCCTCACAAGCCCTGAGCCCATTTTGGAGAGCTGCCAGGAATTCATGCAGACGCACTGACCTGGATTAAGAGCACAAGGTGTGTACTCCCCATCCCACCACTGTGAGCCAAACTGCTGTAACATGGCGTCATCTTGAGAATAGCCACCTGTGTAGTATGCCCTCCTCTGGGGGGAAAGTGGCCACTGCACCTCTCCAGAACTGGGGCTCCATCTTCATTATGCCAACTCCAAACAAGTTTCTGAACACCATGATCCAAGCTGGTGAAGGCTGGACCCTGGACTGGCTGTTATTCTGGTCTTGCACAGCAAGAAAACCAAGAACCATGGCCATACCACCAACAGAGAAACCAGTCTGCCAGTCCTACCCACAGCAAGCCTGCTCTTAAGCTGGCCAAACTGCTGGGCTCCCTTCTCTAAGCAGGAGACCTCCCTGAGCCTCTGAGAAGGTGATATGGCCCAGGGCCAGCAGAGTAGGGCTACCTGCAAGCAATCAGAACCTGAGAAACAGACACACAGGTCCCCCATAGGCACGCCCTTGGCCTGCCCAACAGTCCTTTACCCCCAATAATGGCCTGAGAGATAGTCCCGCAGACTGCCCCCGTGCCACAGGGAATATCTCCAAGCCAGCCAAGTGGCCAAAAGCCCACGTCCCCGACCTGAAAGCTGCTCCTGGCAGGCATGTCCCCAGGTTGCCCAAGCAACCTTATACTTGTATTTCTGGTCAGAGTAACAGCCTTGTGGCCCCAGTCTCAGTAAGCCAATCTCACCAACCAAGTTGGCTGACCTACTATGTGCACATACATACCCCAGACCTGAGAAACAGTCTAGTGAGCCCACCCCTGGCAAAGTGGCATCACCATTGCCACAAACTCTCTCAGCCCATGCCACTGAGAAACTCACAAATGCCACTAGAGTGGATTACAGCTGAAGAAATTACTCAGAGACTACAAAACTGTATCTAGAAATAAGGCTAATGTACCCCACCAAACCAACAACCCAAGACTCATTCGTATTCTTTCTTATGAAATCTATTCCATAAAATTAAAAGAGGTGACTTTTCCACCAGATGCATAGAAATCAACACAGGGACACATCAACCGTGAAAAAGCAAGAAAAAGCCTGGGCAACATGGTGAAACCCTGTCTCTACTAAAAACCACAAAAATTAGCAGGGCATATTGGTGAGTGTCTGTAGTTCCAGCTACTTGGGGAGTTGAGGTGGGAGGATCACTCGAGCATACGAGGTAGAGGCTGCAGTGAGCCGAGATTGTGCCACTGCACTCCAGCCTGGGCAACAGAATGAGAACTTGTCTTAAAAGAAGAAGAAGGAAAAAAAGCAAGAAAACATGTAATGTCAAAAGGAAAACAATAATTATCTAGTAACAGACTCCAAACTATAAGGAAATATATGAAATGTGGGAAAAAAATCAAAATAATAATCTTAAAGAAATCCAATAAGATACAAGAGAATACCGATAGATAACTCAACAAAGTCAGGAGAAGAGTTTATGATTTGAAAGAGAAATTCAACAAAGACAGATATCATAAAAAAGAATGAAGCAGAAATCCTAGAGCTGAAGAATTTAATGAATGAAATAAAAAATACAATAAAGAGCTAAACAACAGACTAGACCAAGAAGAAGAATTTCTGAACTTGAAGAATGATCTTTTGAAATAACACAGGCAGACTAACTTTAAAAAAAAAAAGAGAATGAAAAAGCCTAAAGGATTTATGGGATACCATTAAGCAAATAAATATCTCCAGAAGGTGAAGGGAAAGGTGAGAAAAACATATTTAATGAAATAATAACAGAAAGACAGAGAGACATCCAAGTCGAGAAAGCTCAAATATATTCACCTCAAACAGGACCTCTGCAAGGCACATTACAGTTAAATTGTCAAAAGTCAAAGACAAAGAAAGAATTCTAAAAGCAGCAAGATAAAAGCATCAAGTCATATAAGGGAATCCCCATTAGACTAACAGTGAATTTCTCAGCAGAAATCCTATAGTCCAGGAGAGGACAGGATAATATAGTCAAAGTACTAGAAGAAAAAAATTATTAGCCCAAGAATACGCCCAGCAAAGCTAACCTTCAGAAATAAAGGACAAATAAAATATTTCACAGACTAGC
The DNA here is from genome assembly GCF_000001405.40 of Homo sapiens. Lineage (NCBI taxonomy): Eukaryota > Metazoa > Chordata > Mammalia > Primates > Hominidae > Homo > Homo sapiens. The sequence continues at coordinate 74,514,024 of NC_000010.11, read as the reverse complement.
AAAACTAAGGGAATCCATCACCACTAGTCTGGCCTTGCAAGAAATGCTCAAGGGGGTCTTACATGTGGAAATGAAAAACAATAATCACCATCATGAAAATATGTGAAACTATAAAACACACTGATAGAGCTGCTGTACAAAGGAGAAGGAGAAAGGAATCAAACCTTTTCACTAGAGAAAACCATTCAACTGCAAAAATAACACTGAGAGAAAGTAATGAACAAAGGATATACAAACCACCAGAAAACAATCAATAAAATGACAGGAGTAAGTCCTCACCTATCAATAATAACACGATTGTAAATAGATTAAGTTCCACATTTAAAAGATACATACTAGCTGAATGGATTTTAAAAAAACAAGACCCAATTATATGCTATCTACAAGAAACTTGTATCACCTGTATACACACACAGACTGGAAGTGGATGGAAAAAATATTCAGTGCAAATGGAAACTAAAAGCAAACAGGAATAGCTATAATTATACGAGGTAAAACACTCTTCAAGTCAAAAGCTGTAAAAGAAGACAGAGGGCTACTATATAATTATAAAAGGATTGATCCAACAAGAGAATATAACAACTGTAAATATATATGCACCCAATACTGAAGCACCCAGATATGTAAAGCAAATATTATTAGATCTAAAGTGAAATAACAGTTGGGGACTTCAACATCCCACTCTCAACACTGGGCAGATTATGTAGACAAAAAGTCAACAAAGAAACATCAGAGTTAAACTGCACCATAGACTAAATACAACAGATATTTATAGAACATTTCAGCCAACAGTGGCAGAATACACATTCTTTTCATCAGCCCATTCAACAGTCTCAGGATCAATCGTGTGTAAGGACACAATAGAAGTCTCAAAATATTCTTAAAGGATCAAAATATCAAGTACTTATCTGAACACAATGGCGTAAACTTAGATATCTATAACAAGAGAATCATTTAGAAATATACCATTACATGAAAATTAAACAATATGCTCCTGAATGACCAATGGATAAAGAAAGAAATTAAGAATAAAATTTAAAAATTCTTTGACACAAAGGAAAACAGAAACACAACATACCAAAACCTATGGGACACAGCAAAAACAGTATTCAGAGTCAAGTTTATAGGAATAAATGCTTATATCAAAAAACAAGAAAGATTTCAAGTAAACAACTTGATGATAAACCTCAAAGAACTAGAAAAGAATAAACTAAACCCAAAATTAATGGAAGGAAAGAAATAATAATGATCAGTGTAGAAATAAACAAAAATAAGACAAAAAAAATACAAAAGATCAACAAAACAAAAAGCTGGCTTCTAAACAAAATTGACAAACCATTAGCTAGAATAAGAAAAAAGAGAGAAGATCTAAATAATTAAAATAGGAAACAAAAAAGGAGACATCACAAAAGATACTACAGAAATACAAAGGATCACTAGAGACTACCGTGAACAACTATATGCCAACAAATTTGAAAACCTAGAGGAAATGGACACATTCCTGGATACGTAAAACCTACCAAGACTGAAAGAAGAAATAGAAAGCCTAAACAGACCAATGACAAGAAACAAGATTGATTTAATAACAAAAAGTCTTCCAACACCAAAAAAAAAAAAAAAAAGTCCAGAACTGGATGGCTTCACTGTTGAATTAAAACCAATTTGTCCCAAATTATTCCAAAAATGAAGCAGAGGAAATACTTCCTAATTGATTCTATGAAGCCAACATAACCGTGATACCAAAAACAGATAAGGACAAAACAAAAAAAGAAAATGATAGGCCAATATCCCTGATGAACATACATGCAAAAGTCCACAACAAAATACTAGCAAACTGAACCCAACAGTGTCTCAAAAAGATTATGAGCAAGTGAGGATTATCCCAAGAATGCAAAGATGGTCCACCATATGTCACTGAATGAATGTCTTATATCCTATCAATAGAATGAAGGACAAAAATCATATGATCATCTCAATGAAAAGCAGAAAATGCTTTTGATAAAATTTAATATTCCTTCATAAAAACTCTTAATAAATTAGGTATAGAAGGAAAGTACCTCAACATAATAACATGTTGAAATTACCTCAACATGACAAACTCACAGCTAGCATCTTACTGAAACCTGAAAGCATTTCCTCTAAGAACTGGAACAGACAATGATGCCCTCTCTCACCACTCTTATTCAACATAGTACTGGAAGTACTAGCCACAGCAATTAGGCAAGAGAAAGAAATAAACCATATCAAAATTGAGAAGAAGGAAGTTAAATTGTCCCTATTTGCATATGTAATGATTCTACATATTAAAAAGCCTAAAGACTCTACCAAAAAACTCTTAGAACTGATAAATGAATTCCATAAAGTTGCAGGATATAAAATCAACACACAAAAATCAGTAGTGTTTCTGTACATAAACAACAAAGTAGTTGAACAAGAATTCAAAAAGGCAACCTCATTTACAATAGCTAGAAAAGAAAATAAAATCTTGGGAACAAACTGAACCAAGGTGATAAAAGACCTCTACAAGGAAGATTACAAAACACTGATGAAAGAAATTGAAGTGCATACAAATAAATGGAAAGACATCTATAGATTCAGTGCAATCCCTATCAAACTACCAATGACACTTTTCACAGAAATGGAAAAAAATTCTAAAATTTGTATGGAAACATAGAAAACCCTGAATAGCTGAAGCAATCCTGAGTAAAAAGAACAAAGCTGGAGGTACCACACTATCAGACCTCAAAATATATCACAAAGCTATAATAACACAAACAGCATGGTACCAGCATAAAAACAGACATATAGACCAATGGAAAGGCATAGAGAACCCAGAAATTTATCCACATTATCTACAGCAAAATGATTTTTGACAAAAGTGCCAAGAATTGTCATTGGGGAATGAATAGTCTGTTCAATAAATGGTCCTGAGCAAACTGGATAGCCATATGCAGAAGAATGAAACTACACTTCTACCTCTCACTGCATGCAAAAATCAACTCAAAGTGGATCAAAGAGGCTGGGCATGGTGGCTCACACCTGTGATCCCAACATCTTGGGAGGTCAAGGCAGGTGGATCTCTTGAGCCCAGGAGTTTGAGATCAGCCTCGACAACATGGTGAAACCCTATCTCTACAAAAAATATAAAAATTAGCCAGGCATGGTGGCATATGCTTGTAGTCCCAGCTACTCAGCTGGCTGAGGCGGGAGAACTGCCTTAGCCTAGGAGGTCAAGGCTGCAGTGAGTCATTATCGCACCACTGCACTGCAGCCTGGGTGACACAGCAAGACCCTGTCTCAAAAAAATGATCAAAGAACTAAATATATGACCTAAAAGGATAACCCTCCTAGAAGAAAACACAGGTGAAATGCTTTAGGACATTGATCTGGAAAAATATTTTATGAATACAACTTCAAAAGCACAAGCAACAAAAGTAAAAATAAACAAATGAGATTATATCAAACTGAAAATCTTTAGCACAGCAAAGGAAACAATCAATAGAGTGAAAAGACAACCTACAGAATGGGAAAAAATATTTGCAAACTATTCATAACATCAGATAGGGGATTAATACTAAGAATATACAAGGAACTCAAACATCTCAATAGCAAAAAACCAATCTTATTAAAAAATAGGTAAATGATCTGAACAGACATTTCTCAAAAGAGATACAAATGGCCAACAAATATATGAAAAAGTGCCCAACATCACTAATCATCAGAGAAATGCAGATCAAAACCACAATGAGGTATCATCTCACCCCAGTTAGGATGGCTATTATCAAAAAGAAAAAAAAATGTTGGTGAGGATGGAGAAAAGGGAACTCTTAATACATTGTTGGTGGGAATAGCCACTATGGAGAATAGTTGGAGTTTCCTAAAAACCACAAGTAGAACTACTACATGATCCAGCAATCCTACTACTAGGAATTTATCCAAAGGAATGGAAATCATTATATTTAAGGGACATGTGTACCCCTATGCTTATTGCAGCACTATCCACAATAGCCAAGATATGGAACAAACCTAGGTGTCCAACAACAAATGAATGGATAAAGAAAATGTGTAATGTATACACAAAGAAAAACCATTCAGCCATAAAAAAGCATAAAATCCTGTGGTTCATGGCAACATAGATAAAACTGGAGGACATTATGTTAAGTGAAATGTTAGGAACAGAAAGTTAAACATGGTATGTTTTCACTCATAAGTAGAAGATAAAAAAAAGTTGATCTTATAGAAGTAAAAGGTAGAACAGAGGATATTGGAGGCTGGGAAAGTAGGGGGAAAGGAAGGATAGGGAAAAATTTGTTAAAGGATACCAAAATTACAACTAGATAAGAGTAAGTTATAGAATTCTATACCTCTGCAGGATGACTATTTAGTTAACAAAAATATATTAAATAGTTTAAATAGGTAGATGGAGGATATTAAATGTTCTTAACACAAAGAAATGATAAATGTTTGAGATGATGGATATGCTATTTATCCCTGTCTGATTACTATACATTACAGGTATCAAAACATCATTATGGGCCGGGCACGGTGGCTTACGCCTGTAATCCCAGCACTTTGGGAGGCTGAGGCAGGCATATGAAGAGGTCAAGAGATCGAGATCATCCCGGCCAACATGGTGAAACCCCATCTCTACTAAAAATACAAACATTAGCTAGGTATGGTGGTGCACACCTGTAGTCCCAGCTACTCAGGAAGCTGAGGCAGGAGAATCGCTTGAACCCAGGGGGTGGAGGTTGCAGTGAGGCGAGATCGCGCCACTGCACTCCAACCTGGCGACAGAGTGAGACTCCGTCTCAAAAAAAAAAAAAAATCATAATGTATTCCATGAATATGTACAATTATTATTTGTAAATTATTTTTAAAAAAGCAGTAAACTAAGCCAGGCCCAGCTGCATGCACCTGTAGTTCCAGCTATTTAGGAGGCTCAAGTGGGAGGATAGGGTGAGGCCAGGAGTTCAAGGCTATCTGCACAATGATCACACCTGTGAATAACTACTGCATTCTGGTCTTGGTAACATATTAATAGCAAGACCTTGTTTCTTATAAAATAAAAATGTGTGTTTCTTATAAAATAAAAATATAAAAGCAATAGAGTAGAAACATATATATCAAATCAGACAAGCTATAATTTACCCTTTTATATATTATGTATAATTTAAACACATATGCATGCATCTAAAATAACACAATACAGTCTTAAAGGACACATCCAAATGTAAGAGCCATATCAAACACATTAAGAGTACCCATGGTGGGAAGAGATCAGGAGTGATATGAAAAATAAAAAAAGAGAGAAACTATGCCTAAGTCAGATGAAGATAATTTGATAAGACCCAAGGAGAATTAACTCAATTCTCCTTAGTTTAAACCAACTAGTAAACTTATTTTAAAAATTTTTGCTAATCTGTCTACTTATTAACTATGTGACTCTGGACAACATTAACTTTACTAGGCTTTACTGTTCTCACCTGTAAAATGGGAATAATAATGTCTCTCAAGGGTTGTGAGAATTAAATAAATGCTTAATATAGTTCTTGGCCTATAGTATGCATTCCATACATATTTACATTGTATTGATATTATTCCTCTAGAAATAACAAGAAAGTTAGAAAGTCTTCTGCCTCCCATCAGAAAAGTGAGTTTTATGTTACAACTGTTAGTTACAGTGCTGAACAAAAGTATGCTCTTTAAAGATCAACAGTTTGGTGTTTCCTTTGAAATACATATACATAAAGCAAAATCCATCATTCCCTTTTAAAAAGCTATCCCTGCCTCCTTTCTCTCCTTGATTTAATCATCCTATATCTTGCTGACAGATTAATCACCCTAATCACTCTTCTTTTCCTAGTAAATTGAATCCAAATGCCTCACACCCCAGCATTCAAAGTGCTCCACGATAGTACTCCAACTTATAGTAAACCAGCTGTAATCTACATTACTTCATAACATATGTCCTTGCTTCAGTCATATAGAATAATTTGCTTCTCCCAAAATAAATCTTGAGTTTTTATGTTTTTCCTTCTATCTGAAATGTCCACTACCTCTACATGTTAGAATTTACCAACATGTCAATGCCCATTTAAAATCTAACAAATTCTTTCTTCATTCCCACTAACAGATGTACACATTCTTCTTTGAATGCCCATAATATGTGATATTATGAAATAAATGAGGGTAATTATTTTATTTTACTTAATGATATAAGCAACTTGTATTTGTCTTACCACTCTGACCTGACCATAACCTTAAAGGGAAGAGCACTTCTTACTTTTTTTGTTTGATACAGCAAAAAGCACAGAAAATTTTTAAATATGTGATTACATTTTTGTTAAGATGCTACACAAAATCCCATGTCACTAGAATGTGTTTTCAAATTTGTTTTTTTGTTTTTTTTTGAGAGGGGATTTCACTGTCACCAGGCTGGAGTGGAGTGGCACGATCTCGGCTCACTGCAACCTCTGCCTCCTGGGCTCAAGCGATTCTCCCACCTCACAGCCTCCACAGAAGCTGAGACTACAGGTGTGCACCACCACACCTGGTTAATTTTTGGATGTTTTGTAGAGATGGGGTTTTACCATGTTGCCCAGGCTGGTCTCAAACTCCTGGGCTCAAGCGATCTGTCCACCTCAGCCTCCCAAAATGCTGGGATTACAAGTGTGAGCCACTGTGCCCAGTCTAGAAAGCAATTTTGAAAAAAAGAGAAAAAAGAAAGACTGCTGCCTTTTCACATGCTTATGGAAGAATGCATTCATTTTAGAGTTGAACAACTCTCTCAAATTCAGAGAATCTGAAACTTTCCCAGTTTACAGTGTTTTTAGTGTTTTTGTTATTTTTTTCATTTTTTCATGGTATGCTAACAAATGCCTAACAGTCCTGTTTAATGTTAAGTCCAAACAATTTAATAAGTACTAGCTTCAGAATTTAATACTCAGTTAAGAAAAATACATATAAATTGAAAAAAGTTTTTAAAATCTCATTAAAAAATAACTACAATACAGTTGACCCTTGTACAACTTGGGTTTGAACTGCATGGATCCACTTGTGTGTAAAAATTTTTTCAAGAAGTATATCAGAAAATTTTTTGGAAATTTGTGATAGTTTGAAATACTCTACAGACAAACTGTGTAGCCTAGAAATATTGATAAAAATTGTTAAGTATGTCATGAACTCATAAAGTATATGTAGATACTATTTTATCACTATCATAAAACTATAAAAATGTATTATAAAAAGTTAAAATCTATCAAAACTTACACAGGCAAACACTTACAGACCATACACGGCAGCATTTGAGTCAAGAGAAATGTAAACAAATGTAAAAATTCAGTATTAAATCCTAACTGCATAAAATGAACTGCAGTAAATACTGTACTATTGTAACAACGTTGTAACTACCACCTGTTGCTTTTGCAGTGAGCTCAAGTGTTGTATCCATTGAAAATGACATCTGATGCTAATCATCTCTGAGTGAACCCTACATCTTACAGTAAATTGCATATTGCAATAAAAAGTGATCTCTCATGGTTCTTGAATTATTTTTCATCATGTTTAGTGCAATACTGTAAATCTTGAACATCACCATGGGACCCATATGAAATGTCACTAGTGATGCTGGAAGTGCTCCCAAGAAGCAGAGAAAAATCATTACAAAAAAAAGCTGACTTGCTTGATATGTACCGTAGATTGAGGTCTGCAGCTGTGGTTGCCCACCATTTCAAGATAGATGAATCCAGTGTAAGGACCATTGTGGTTGGGGGAGGACTTTGTGGAGCCATCACTGCAGCTACGACAGCAGGCATGAAAACCTTGAAGTTTCTGTAAAATATCTTTTTATCTTATATTTAAAATACAATGTGAGTACAGAATTGCTATAAGAAAGGCATACTCTAGTAAGACTTGAAGTCATTATATGACAACTTAAAGCAAAAGGAAGGTGAAGGATTTAAAGCTGGAGAATTTAATGTCAGCAAAGGATGGCTTGACATTTTTAGAAAGAGGTTTGGCTTCAAAAAATGGATAAGAGGAGAAGTAACTTCTGCTGACAAAGAAGTACCTTGTCAGTAAGGAACTGTCTTTTAAATTTCTTTAGATATTGAACAATGCCCCGGGTCACCCACACCAGGAGTTCAACAACAAAGGTGTCAAAGTGGTCTACTTGCCATCAAACACAATATCTCTAATTCAGATCTAGATTAGGGGGTCATAAGGACCTTTAAAGATCATTACACATGGTAATCTATAGAAAAGATTGTCAATGCTATGGAAGTAGACCTCAACTTAGAGAACACCAAGGATATCTGAAAGAATCAAATCATGGAAAACGCCATTGTTACAAAAGTAGCCATGAAAGCCATCAAGCCCAAAAAAATAAATTGATGCTAGAGAAAAACTGTGTCCAATGGTGTATATGACTTCATAGGATTTACAACAGAGTCAATCAAGGATATCATAAAAGAGACTGTGGATATGGCAAAAAAAAAAAAAAAAAAGTGGGGGGAAGTTGAAGAGTTTCAAGATACGGATCTTGGAGTAATTCAAGAGCTAACAGACACCATATCACAGGAATTAACAGAAGATGACTTGATGGAGATGAGTGCTTCCAAATCAGTGCCAGATGATGAGAAAGAAGATGTAGAATAAGTAGTGCCAGAAACAAATTCATATTAGACCATATAACAGAATGATTCCAGTTATTCAAAAGACTGCTTTTGACTTCTTTTACAACATGGACCCTTCTATGATATGGGCACTGAACCAAAAGCAAAAGGTGGAAGGATAGGTGCCATATAGAAACATTTTTAGAGTAACATTTTTAGGGAAATGAAAAATAAGACAGAAATTACAACGTATTTCTGTAAAGTTACACTGAGTATGCCTACCTCTTCTGCCATCCTTTCCACCTCCTTCATCATTTCCACCCCTGCTACCCCTGAGACAGGAAGACCAGCTCTTCCCCACCCTCCTCTTCAGCCTGCTCAGTGTGAAGACTACTAGGATGAAGATGTTTATGATGATCCACCTCCACTTAATGAACAATAAATGTATTAGTCCGTTTTCACACTCCTATAAAGAACTGCCCAAGACTGACTAATTTATAAAGAAAAGAGGTTTAATTGACTCACAGTTCTGCATGGCTGGGGAGGCCTCAGGAAACACAATCATGGCAGAAGGGGAAGCAGGCATGTCATACATGGCAGCAGGCGAGAGAGGGCACATGAGAGAGGAACTGTCAAACACTTATAAAACTAACAGGTTCCACGAGAACTCACTATCACAAGAACAGCATGGGGGAAATGGCCCCCATGATCTAATGACCTCCTAACAGGTCCCTCCCTTAACATGTGGAGATTATGGGGATTAAAATTCGAGATGAGATTTGAGTGGGGAAGCAGAGCCAAACCATATCAATGAATATATTTTCCTTATGATTTTCTTTTCTCTAGCTTACTGTGTTACAAAAATACACTGTATAATACATATAATATACAAAATACATGTTCATCAATGATTAATGTTACAGGTAAGGCTTCTGGTCAACAGTAGGCTCTTAGTAAAGTTTCTGGGGAGTCAAAAGTTATACATGGATTTTCAACTACCCGGGGGAGGGGAGTGCCTCTAACCCCCGGCACTGTTCAAGGGTTAACTGTATTTACTAAATGAATATGTATGCTTATGGAATACTGCACACTCTTCAAGCCTTGTATTCCAAGTGGATACTGCTACCTTCATTTCCCATTCTGCATTGATTTTTCAGGAGGTACATATTAAAAAAAAAACAACAACAGTAATTATTTTTTAAAAAGACATCATCCAAAAGGAATGTAGCAAAATTTAATTTTGAAACCGATATAAAATATCCTGTAGCACTCTTGTGAGTCTGCTGCAGTACCCTGGGGTGTCAGTGCACAGTTTCGGAACTGTGGCTCTACTTGAATTAAACACCTTGAGATAAGTCTTTTTATTTGAGAGAGCTAAAGCCCTTCTTGAGCATGGTTCAGAGTACTTGGAAAATGGAAGTACTTTATTCTGTATGAGGTAGCGTAAGTAAATCTGTGTATCAGGGTGGGATTCTGGAGAGCAAAGTAAGAGGATTTTATAAAGAGATGGACCCTGACAAGATGATGGCAGCTGGGTGCCCTGGAGATAAAATATGGCGAGTAAAAAATTGCCTGTGCCTGGGATGAGTGAACAACTTCAGTAATGCTGATAACTAGTAATCAGTTTTGTTTCTTATCCTATGTAGTGTTATAATCCTTCTCCATCAACTTAAACCTTCCACAAAAATTAGCTCTTTACTTCCCTAATATGTGTATAAATAATAATTTTTCTGCCCAATGAAGTTTTAATCTTTAAACTATTATCTCTTTGTCTCAAAATGCAGTGTCTAAGGTCCTATCAATTTTAATTATACAGCAACTCCTGGAACTATGTCATCCTTCCTATTAATATAACTTTAGTTGATAACTCTCATTACTTTGTAAACCCTACTGCAACACTTTCCTGCTCTGGCAAAGCTCCTTTGTTCAAAAAACCTTAAATGACTCATTTCCTAAACAATAGTAGCTCAAGTTCCTGAAGTGGCATTAAAAATCCTCTAAATCTGACAGTAATCTATCTTTCCTATATAATCTCTGATGACTCACATCCACAAAACTCTTACTTTGACCATATGGAGTTTCTAGCTAGCCTAAGTATAAATCCTGTACCTTTCTATATCCTTTCCTTTGCTGGTGATATTTATTCACTCTGTAGAATCTGCTCTTCCTTTTCTACTTGGTCAACTAAAGCAAGGACTGGCAAGTGTTTTCTGTAAAATGCCCCAATAAATATTTTAGGTTTGCAGGCCACATGGTATCTGTTGCAACCACTCAACTCTGCTATTGTAGCGTATGGCTCATAGGCCATACTTTGTTGACCTCTGAACTAAAAGGAAAGAAGAAAATACATACTAAGTAGAAATGAAAACAACAACCCAGATAAAAATAACATTGGAGATAAATATTAATAGAAAATCCATTTAGTGTGGTAATGAGAGTGTAGCTTCCTCTTAGTAACGAACTACATAAAGAAATTGAAAACTAAGGCAGATTTAGAGAGAAAGAAACGATATAATTACATTTCCTAAAGTTTTCCCTTAAAATGAGGACATCTGACTATTTTCTGAGGCTAGCACTAAATCAATACAAGTCCTTTACATTTGAGTATAACACCCAATTTCCAGGGGGTAATACATTATCTTGCTTTAATTGCTGCTGCTTTCTATCTCTAACTCCCAACCTGACTCAAATGTTTCTCCCTAGATGCCTCTGAGAATAGTTTCGTTGAAAACAGATCTTCTAGCTTCATCACAAGACAAGGTCATTTATATAATTTTTTTACAATGTGAGTGCTTTCGTCTATTGAAAGAAACAAAAAATTATCAAGTGGTAGAATGTGCTAATAATTATGCAAAAATTATTTTGAAATTTTTTTTAATTTAAAAAAGTGAATTGCAATCATAGAAGGTTGCAGTTCATAAGCCAGGCCAATGTAGACTACATTTAAAATATAGGTGCCTTCTGTGATTGTGAAAGTGCTGCAGGGAATAAACCTCTTCTAATTTAAACTATGGCTTGCTTTTTGGCAAATTACTGCAATAAACACTCTCTATGTCTACATTTCTTATATGTGGCACAAAGGAAGCTATGCTTCTTTTTGTATTTACTTTTATGTTAGTTTACTTTTAAACTAACACTTGTAGTATGTTCCCAGAAAAAAATTTAAAAAAAATAGCAATTGATAATAAAGCAGCATGCAGTAGTTTAAAAAGAAATCACTGGGCTAAAAATCCAGATACTCAAATTCTGGCCTGGGTTTGGACTAGCTACTAGGCAATCTTAGTGATATATAGTATTTAATCTTGATGAGTTTTAGTTTTTTCATTTGTGAAAAACAGGAGATTGGGTTGGATGACCTTGAGAAACACCTTCATTTCAAAAATTCTAGAATTCAGTTAAGTCTTAAATCAACTGATTTCTTTAAAAAATTGAGGTAAAATTCACATAAAATTATATTCACAGTGTTGTGCAACCATGACCTCTATCTACTTCTCAACATTTTTAGCACCCCAAGAAGAAACCCTATCTTCCCATTAAAAAGTTATTCCCCATTCCTCACTCCCCACAAGTCCCTGGCAACTACCAATCTGCTTTTGTTTCTGTGGATTTACCTATTATGGATACTTCATATAAATGGAATCATACAATATGTGATCCTTTATGTCTGGCTTCGTCCATTTTCTTGATATTGAGGTTCACTCACATTCTATCATGCATCAGTACTTTATTCTTTTTTATGAACGAATGATATTCCATTGTATGGATCTATCACAATGTATCTTCCTGCTTGTGGACATTTGGGTTGTTTCCATAACAATTTTTTTGCATAATATTTTCAGAAGCCATAAATAACATAAAAACATGTACACATCAAAGGTGCACTTTTAAAAAAGATTTAAAGGGATATTCTGAATAGGGAGTCCCTTTTATCCAGAAATTGACAAATCTTGGTGAGCCAGAAATGAAACTAATTGTAACTTCTGATTCATGAAACTAATAATTGAGGTTTTAGTGGAAATTTTATAAACACGAAATTTTATATATGATGAAGAAGTTTAAGAAATACATGGATCAGGCTCTGAAAGAGAAGCAGAGAATACAAGTGATCTTGAAGTACCTAATTGAAGATGATTCTTCTTTTTGGCCATATTTTATCATAAAGTGATTTTAACTGTTTTAACTTAACAGAACACAAAACAGTGATTTTTCTCCAGTTACTACCAGACACAGTTGTTTTAAATCTGAGTTAAAAATGGCAAAAATGCAATGATTTTTTTCTGTGTAATTGTTTTGGCTCTCTGAAGTTTGCATTGTTTATTTCTATGAAAGTATCACTTTATAAGTGGAAAATGACTAAGCTGAAAGCTATTGTTTATATCCTTCAGAGTGGTCAGTGTTTCTGTTTTTGATAAAAGCTAAATGTGAAATCATTTTCTGTAACATAGGAAAGAGCCAAACTGTCAGTAAATGCACTTATATTGACCCTGACATTTTCTTCTTAGGTGCTGCCAACATGTCAAAAGGAAAGGATTGCTTTCAGACATCAATAATTTCTTTATTGCTGAAGCAAATCCTGATTGCTGCAGGATTAATATCTATCCATTTGCACCAGTAGCACAAGAAGTCAAAAAGGGATAGATAGCCCTTGACACTAGATAGCAAACATTTCAAACCAGTTTCTCACTTGCTCCATGACATCGGAATATGTCACTTAAATGTTATTTTTCAAAAACCATATATTACTCAGACATTGTTTTCTGAGCTTTATGAAGTTATATGATTTGATGTAATTTTTAAAATAAGAAAAGTGACTAAAATACATTTTTAATACTCACATAGGATAGTAGTTCTCAAAGTATAATTTCTGAATCACTCGGAAAGTTGCTCAAAATGCAATATCTTGGTCATACCCCAGACTTACTGAATCAGAAACCTGTGTGGGTAGGACACAGCAACCTGTGTTTTCCCAAGCCCTCCAGGTGGTTTTGCAAACCACTGACTAAAAAAACACTGAAATATCCATTTATTATCCTTATGATTTTTATCCATCCAGGAAAATTCAGAATCTTCACGAAGATGGCAAAAAGGAGGCCTACTACAAAATGTAAAACTTGACTGGAGTGGGGGAAAAAGTAGAGTAGTCAAGGCTGTAATACAGAACACTGTATTGCAGAAACACTAGAGGTAGTGTTTCTTTGTTCCAAGAGGCAGTTCTAATATGATCTGGATAAAAAATGAGGCTTAGTTTCCCGGCCACTATGGCACTGGCCTGACACAACAGTTCTGCTACTACTTGGCTTCTATTTCGGGCTTCCAAATTATTTCCCATGAAAACAGAGTTCTGCAGCTACAAATATTTGATCTATTAATCCTCTCATTTTGCAGATGAAATTAACAGTGCAGAAAGGTTGTTTAACTCACCCAAGCTCATACAACTAATGATTTGAGGAGGCAACAGCATTCATCTATTGACTTATCTACCTGCTCACTCTTTCATACACATCCCTGCCATTGTTCCATAATTAGTGAGACAACCTAAAAAAAATGATCAGAGAAAACAGAACAGTATAAGATTGGGGAGAAAAAGAAATACATGGCAGAGGCGTCTTGAATTAGCTCTGAATTTGTTTCCAATTTCTTGACAGTGAAAGCAAAAAGTAAGACATGCCTAGTTATCTACTTTTCATGCTTGAAGAGATAAAAATGTCACTTTTTTTTTTTTGAGATGGAGTCTCGCTCTGTCGCCCAGGCTGGAGTGCAGTGGCGCGATCTCTGCTCACTGCAAGCTCCGCCTCCCGGGTTCACGCCATTCTCCTGCCTCAGCCTCCTGAGCAGCTGGGACTACAGGCGCCCGCCACCACGCCTGGCTAATTTTTTGTATTTTTAGTAGAGATGGGGTTTCACCGCTTCAGCCAGGATGGTCTCGATCTCCTGACCTCGTGATCCACCCGCCTCGGCCTCCCAAAGTGCTGGGATTACAGGCGTGAGCCATTGTGCCCGGCCAAAAATGTCACTTTCTTATAAGAAACACGTGATTCTAAAATAAACTTTTCATAGGGTCTTTAATATGTTAAACATTAATACAGAAGACTATGTTGTCCTCAACAACTTCTCAACAGCAAGCTCAGTCTGTTTATTGTGGTATTCCTCAATGAAAGATTAAGGCTTCAATATAAAAAACAACTCAGAATTTAGCCAGGTGTGATGGCACACGCCTGTAGTCCCAACTACTAGGGAGGCTGAGGTAGGAGGATTGCTTGAGCCCCAGAGTTTGAGGTTGCAGTGAGCTATGATCATACCACTGCAATCCAGCCTGGGTGACAGAGTGGGACCCTGTCTCAAAAAACACAAAGCAACAAATCAATACATGTCAGGGTAAAGAGTTTTTCTGTAAACTGTTTTCAAGTAAACAGTTTTTCTGATAGTCCAAGCATAAAATGTAGAGTTTTTTGTCCTTGTGATAGTTTACTGAGAATGATGGTTTCCAGCTTCATCCATGTCCCTACAAAGGACATGAACACATCATTTTTTATGGCTGCATAGTATTCCATGGTGTATATGTGCCACATTTTCTTAATCCAGTCTATCATTGTTGGACATTTGGGTTGGTTCCAAGTCTTTGCTATTGTGAATAGTGTACATGTTCTCACTCATAGGTGGGAATTGAACAATGAGAACACATGGACACAGGAAGGGGAACAACACACACAAGGCCTGTTGTGGGCTGGGGGAAGGGGAGAGGGATAGCATTAGGAGATAAACCTAATGTTAAATGACAAGTTAATGGGTGCAGCACACCAATATGGCACATGTATACATATGTAACTAACCTGCACGTTGTGCACATGTACCCTAAAACTTAAAGTATAATAAAAATAAAAAATAAAGTGTAGAGTTATTAGAGAAAAGGATAGATTATATGTTTCTCAAATAATCTTTTATCAATAGCAGTTCTCTAAAGCAGAATGAGAAGAGTTGAATAGTAGACAGCTTATGGTTTTACTTTCTGTAAAATTCTTCTTATTTGGTATGAATTCCATAACACCACATGCCCATTCTACTACAGAAGTTTTAAAATTAAACAATTTATCATGGAAACCTGATCAGTGGTAAAATCTTAATGATTTACATAAGGTAAATGCTAATATAAAAAGATGTACTTACTATTCTATAACAAAACAAAATTTGCTAATGTAACACTTTTTCAAAGAGGTCTTCCTTGGCCAGGCGCAGTGGCTCATGCCTGTAATTCCAGCACTTTGGGAGGCTGAGGCAAGTGGATCATGAGGTCAGGAGATCAACACCATCCTGGCTAACACGGTGAAATCCCATCCCTACTAAAAATACAAAAAATTAGCCGGGCGTGGTGGCAGGTGCCTGTAGTCCCAGCTACTGGGGAGGCTGAGGCAGGAGAATGGCATGAACCCGGGAGGCGGAGCTTGCAGTGAGCCGAGATCGGGCCATTGCACTCCGGCCTGGGTGACAGAGTGAGACTCCGTCTCAAAAAAAAGAAAAAAAAAAAAGAAAAGGTCTTCCTCAACTCTTGTAGGTAGCACTAGAACTTCCCCAGGTTCTTGATTGATATATCTATACTTTTAGAGACACAGTCTTGTTTTATTGCTCAGGCTGACGTGCAGTGGCTACTCAAACTCCTGGGCTCAAGTGACCATCCTGTCTCTGCCTCCCAAGCAGCTGGGACTACAGGAGTGTACCACTGCACTCATCTTGTTTATTTTTTTAAAACATAGCATTAATCACTACCTAACATTATAGTATATATTCACTTTTTTGTTTTATTCTTTGTCTCTACCACCAGAATATAATATTTATGAGGGCAAAGACATTTGTTCATTACCATATCCCTAGAACCATGCCTGGCACATAGCACTCACTAAACATACTGTGAATGAATGAGTCTGCTTATAATGAAGAGAGAGGTGGGAGAAAAGATGGTATATAAAGTTAAAATAAATTGAGGAATTCCAGACAGCTGAAGCAATGGTTGCCACCTAAGCCCTGTTTCTCTCCAAAAGAATATAGAACAAGGACAGAAAAATAAATCTACAAAAACACCATGCCTTCAGCACAATTTGAAGACAAAAAGAATGCCCAAACTTCAAAACAACTATAAGTGAAAAAAGGAAAAGTACCACATCCCAGTGTAAAACTTCTTACACTCAAGCATCACCCTTACTCCACCATAAAGCCATGTGGAGAGTAATGTACAAATATTATTTTTTGGGACAAAGCAGAAATAATTTAACTAGGGTAAAGAAGATAAGAGAGAGGGGGAGCTAGGCAAGGTGGCGCCCGTAGTCCCTGTAGTCTCTGCTACTTGGGAGGCTGAGCAGGGAGGATCACTTTAGCCCAAGCATTTGAGTCCAACCTGGGCAACACTGTAAGACTCTGTCTCTTAAAAAAGAGAAAAAAAATGAGAGAGGAGGAGAAAGAAAACAGAATAGGTTCTGTTTGGACTGCTGTAAAGGCAATAAATGAGGCTTAAATGATACCAACCAAAACAAATAAACTACACAGTAAAAGGTTAAATAAAATAATAGAGGACTTAGCTATTTTTAAGTACTGACAAATTTTAATGATGGGTCAGTGAATTATGCAGAGTTGATTTTAAGATAGTATTTCTGGCTAGGCATGGTGGTTCACGCCTATAATCCTAGCACTATGGGAGGTGGAAGCAAGAGGATCACTTGAGCCAAGGAGTTTGAGACCAGCCTGGGCAACACAGCAAGATTCTGTGTCTACAAAAAAATTAAAAACATAGTGTGGCATGGTGGCTGTATTCGTCCATTCTCACACTGCTGTGAAGGAATACCTGAGACTGGGTAATTTATAAAGAAAAGAAGTTTAATCAACTCATGGTTCAGCATGGCTGGAAGCCTCAGGAAACTTACAATCATGGCGGAAGGTACCTCTTCACAAGGTGGCAGGAGAGAGAATGAATGCAAGCAGCGGAAATGCCAGATGCTTATTAAACCATCTGATCTTGTGAGATTCATTAATTATCATGAGAACAGCATGGAGGAAACCACCCCCATGATTCAATTACCTCCACCTGGTCCCACCCTTGACATGTGGAGATTATTACAATTCAAGGTGAGATTTGGGTGGGGACACAGAGCAAAACCATAGCAGTGGCACATGCCTGTAGTCCAAGTTACTTGAAAGGCTGAGGCAGGAGGATTGCTTGAGCCCAGGAGGTAGAGGCTGAAGTGAGCTGTGACTGCATTACTGCACTCCAGCCTAGGTAAGACCCCCTCGCCCCCTCCAAAGGTGATATTTCTGATGCCAAAATATAAACATTTCTGCACATTCTCCTATCAAAAATCATCTCAAGACAATAATGAAAAATTACAACTAACCATATTAGTAAAAAAACTAGAAGATACTGATAATCCTGGATTACAATTTCTGAGGTCAGACAGTATATGGAGAAAAGGTAATTAGATTAGCAGGGGGAAGAAAGCTAAAGTATAAAAGCCTACTAAGAGGAGATTCCAACAAAAATCAAGCTGATTCACCCTCCAAACCTTGGAAAATTCAGAAAATGGTGGTACCAGGTAACTAGTAGAGCTGAAAATAGGGAGATAATTAACAGCAGAACTTTCAGACCCCATTCCCACCTCATATAGCCTGACAAGTGTCCTTTTCCTACCTCTGCAGAATAATGGAGGGAAGGTAGGCTAGGAAAGAACTGGAAAGGCTTCAGACTCAGGAACTCCAAGCACAAAGGAAGATAGGGAAATGGGTGAAGTGCTGAACTAAGAACAGGCTGGGCTGGTTATGTGAACACTTACATACCAAATAGCCCTTCTGACCCTTTTCCTGACCAGTACTTAGGCTTAAGTTCACCCAAAAAGAAAATTAGAGAATCCATTTTTCCTTGGAGAAATTAAATAGCCCTGGAGAAGGTGCATGTAAATTACTTCCCCTATGAAAAAGCTGTCTTTTACTCAAATACCCTAAGGAAGTTGAAAGGTCTCATTTTGTACATTGTCTAGTGCATCACTCTTAAATATAAATGCACTACCAGCATTACCAGACACTTGAGAAGAGTATGCAAAAAGCTCAACTTCAATGAAAGAGAAAAAAAAGGAAAAAAAAATCAAAAAGAAAGAAAAAATGAAAAATAGAGGATCAACCCAGGAAGTAAAATTTCATTTAAAAATTCACAGAACTGACTTATTGTCTAAATTTATAGGGAATAATGTATTAATATAATGAATTAATGAAGAGATCTACATCATTATTATTTATCATGAAACTTTAGAAAACCAGAGACAGATCATAAATGCTTCTAGAGAAAAGGCAGATCATATATAAAGGCTTAGGAAAAAAAAGAACCAGACCTCTCAAAAACAATATGTAAGTTTAGAATATAATAGAGCAATGGTTTCAAGAGTCTAAAGAAAATAAATTTTCTCACTAGAATTCCACATGGAGCCCATATATTAATCCAGAGTGAGTAAACAGAGATACTTTGAGACACTTTGGTTCTCAAAATATTTATCTCCCTTGTATTTTTTCTCAGAAAGTTAATGAAGGATGTGAGCCATCAAAAGAACTTGGCCGGGTGTGGTGGCTCACCCCTGTAATCCTAGCTATTTGGGAGGCTGAGGCAGGAGAATCGCTTGAGCCCGGGAGGCAGAGGTTGCAGTGAGCTGAGATCATGCCACTGCACTCCAGCCTGGGCAACAGAGTGAGACTATATCTCAAAAACAAAAAAAGAGAGAGAAAGAAAAAAATAAGAAAAACAAAGCTTTCAGAGCACATGATTTATAATTACCTTTACAAATTAAAACTCACATTTTTAACTATGCACAAAATAAATGTGAGAAGCTATTGGAAGATATGTGTATGGAAGTCACCACAGGTATAAAGAAACCTAAGGAAACAAAAAGATAAGGGAATTCTAAACTCTAGGAGAAACTAAAAGTTGTAAAACACCATAGAATATAATTTGTCTCAGAAATAAATAATACATACATCTGTATAATATTATTTATGCTGAAAACTGATTTATCAAAAACTCTACTGGAGAACTGGAGAGGAGGAGAGGACAGAATGTATGTATATAAGAGAGACAAATATTTATCTTATCATAGTAGGAAGTTGGTAAGTACATAATATCTAACCTGGATAGGTGAGGTGATTAAAAATATGGAGGTAGGTAAAAGAAGAAATAGCTAAAAGGGCTGTCAAAGTACAGGGCAGGGTATTGCTCTTTTCCACAGTATACCCTTAAGGACAAAATCAGTAAACTGTGTACATATATTATTTTAAAATACTAATTTAAAAACTTTTAAAGAATTAAAATGACCATAAATAATTCTATTTCATCATTCAGTATACTAAATCAAAACTTAATTTACCATGTCTCTAAGTTTCTCTCCTATTAAATGACCACATTACAACAAGTATTTAAAGTACTGCATATCATATGAAGTACACTGCAAATATATTTTCTGCATTAAATAACCAAAAACTGTCTCAGGTCAATAAAAAAAATACACATACATATGATGGCTGTTACATCATCTCACTTCTGACCTTACCAAAGATGAGGTAAAACATTCATGGTAGGTACACATAAAATACCTGATATTTTTAACATTTCCTATGACCTTTCAAAGATCTTTAAAATGATCTATTTCTTCAACTGAAAAGTAGATACTAGCATAATAAAAATTATAATATCTAATATTTTAAAGAGTTATGTGCTAAGAATTGTCCCAAATCAATGTATTATTTGGGAGGCTGAGGTGGGTGGATCACTTGAGCCCAGGATTTCGAGACCAACCTGGGCAACATATGGAGACCTCATCTATATATATACAGATGAGATATATATCTATGTCTATCTATATCTATATCTATATCTATATATCTATATCTCTCTCTATATCTATATATCTCTCTATATATATCTCTTCTATATAGATGAGATATATATATATATATAGATGAGGTCTATATATGTAAAGATGTGTGTATGTATGTATGTGTGGATATACATATATATGTATATACACACACACACACATACATGCTGGGTGTGTTGGTGCACACCTGTGGTCTCAACTACTAGGGAGGCCTGAGGTGGGAGGATCACTTGATCCCAGGAGTTCAAGGCTGCAATGAGCCATAATCATGTCACTCACTGCACTCCAGCCTGGGTGACAGACTGAGACTCTGTCTCAGTAAAGTAAAATAAAATAAAATAAAATGCATTATCTTATACCCTACATGATTTGGGTGTTATTAACCAATTTTACATCAATTAGGTTCATTTTACAGATATAAAAATTGAAGCTGAAAGCCAACTAACAAATGCAGAAAAAATGATGGAATGAAAAACAAATCATTATTTGGCAATCTCCATAGTAATAACTGTCTCTAGGAAGAATGGATGTCAAAACTAGCATGTGAACATGTAATGAGAAATAGGATAGTTAGGTACTCTCAGAGTATCTTCCCACAAGAGATCCATTACAAAAGGAAAATGGTAACTTTATGGTAGAGAAATTTGAAAATATAATGTTATGATCAAAGGGTAACATCATCAGCAATAGGATAAAACAGGTATCATGTACCTCCTAATATGGTACATGAAGGATAGGTCATATCCATAGTATTTTATGAAAAGGCATAACCTAAATCTAATCATAAGGAAACATAAAAAAAACTTAAGGTACATTCTACAAAATAAGCAGCCTATACTTTTCAAAAATATCAAAGTCATGAAAGATAAAGTCAGATGTGTTAACGTCACATCATTCATTGCCCAATCATGAAAATTTGTCAGTACTTGCAAATAGCTAAGTCCTCTGTTATTTAACCTTTTACTATTTATCTGTTTTGGTTAGCATCCTTTATGTCACATTTATTGCCTTTATAACAGTCCATGAGCTTATTCTGTTTTCTTCTTCTGTCTCTTTTCTTTTCTTTCTTTTTTTTAAGAGACAGAGTCTTATTATGTTGCCCAGGTCAGACTCGAACTCTTGGGCTCAAGTGATCCTCCCTCCTCAGCCTCCCAAATAGCTAGGACTACCAGCAGTTTCTAGAGATGACAACTAAATGTAACATGTGATCTTGGATTCAACCTAAGAATAAAATAATTTTTCTTTTGCCATGAAGGGTATTAGTGGTATAACTGAAAAAATTTGAATAAGATCTCTAGATAAGACAGTAATACTTTATCCATGTTAATTTCCTGTTTTGGATAAATATACTGTGGTTATGTAACAAAACGTGAATTTTTACTAACCACACCTCAAGTATTTAGAGGTTAAAGAGGCATTATTTTTGCAACTTACTCTCAAACGACTCAGGAAAAAAACTCTACATACATACATACAATAGCTGTGGTAAATATTAACATATGGGAATTCATTAAACTAGTTTTGCTATTTTTCTACAATTATTTCAAAGTTAAAATTAAAAAAACTAAAACAACTCTGAGACTTGTCTTGCCCACATTCAAAAGGTAAAGTAGTAGAACTGAGATTCATACATGTTTTCCCCAACTCCATAGCCCCATACTCCTAACCACAATAACACTACCATTTATAGTTTCTATCGGGGGGGAAAGCAACACACACACACAAATTCAAAGAATTTAAATAAGTAAACCTACACTCCCACTTATCTACTTAGTTACCAAAGATAAATTGAAAATGAAAGGTCATTCATCAAATTATTGGTAAGACAAACCAAAATATAGTCAATTGCTATGAAGATATAACAAAATTTAGCTGCTCTCTATTGGTTTATGTCACAAATTACTACAGCTTTCTTTAAAATACAGAGTAAAAGGCCAGGAGGTCAAGTATTTTAAAGTAAATCATTCAGTGGAGAAATTTCTTTAAAGACTAGATAAAGCAAGTGTGGCAAAATCTTAGTAATTATTGAATCTCAGTAATGGGTAGATGGGGTTCATTACATCGCTTTTGCTACTTGAAAACTTTCATAATAAAATAAAAATTAAAGCCGAACATAGTGACATATCCCTGTAGTCCCAGCTGCTTGAGAGGCTGACGCAGGAGGATTGCTTGGATCTAAAAGTTCAAGTCCAGCTTGGGCAACCTAGTGAGATCCTGACTCAAAGTAAAGTAAAATAAAAAATAATAAATTGTAAGGAAATGGGATGCACCAAGTGAAGATCCTTTATTCACTCAACAAACACTCACTGAGTATCTTCCACCTATAAGACACTGTGAAAAAAGGCACTGTATAGCTTATGTGGTAGTGTTTTTTTGTGTGTCCATTTTAAGCTGATCCGGTATTTAATATTTAATCGACAAATGGCTGTATATAAAACCTAACTATTAGAATTCTATAGGGCTAGTATTTTAGGTGGCTGATCAATGTACTACATTTTTTGAGAATAAAAAGACACATTAAACCCCAGAGAGAAGTACATAATTATTTTTATAAATAACAAGAAAAAGTTAAAATAATCACAGATCCATGAGTACAAATCTGATCTAACACGTGGTACCTAAACATGGACACCATTATTTCCAACCTGAGAAGCCATCTGTGAGTTACTATGGGGAAAAAAAATCAATACAATTTTCAAACTAGAGGAAGCTTCTGCAAACATCTTGTTCAATTCTACCAGGAACAAATTAGGACAAAGATCAGCTGACTGGCTTGTCCGAGGGTAAAAACAAAAACAAAACACTTTGTTATCAGGCAGAGACGAACGGTATTGAAGTATTTGGACTTTGGGCCACTTTCCTTTAGGAGACCTACAATGAGACATGGGTTCAAAAAGTTTTTTTCTCTTATTTACTAGCACTATGGAAATAACCATAACTAGTAAAGCTTAATATAGGCTCCTAAACTCTGTTCTAATTGTGGCAACTTATTCTGGGAGAACATATACTAAAAAGTGATACAGTATTTCTGTTACCCTCTACATATAGAGAATGTAAAAAGACAAAAGACTGCATTTGTAACTACACTTTTCTTCTATATAATTACATTTTTGGTTGTTGGTAAATCCTTGGCAATATTCTGTGGGTTTAACATCGTTCTACATTATCATTAATTGCATAACACATTACCATATGTTGGACCTATTCAAAGTTAGTATATAGGTATTTTTACAAAAAGACATTGATAAAAATCAGTATCACAATGAATACATAAAGAAGTTTTTATTTCCTCAAACATTTTAATCTAATTTTGAAAATCTTTTCTAAAACATTTTAAAAACATGCTTATTTTCTTCCTTATTGAAATTCAGATGTCATGGATTTGGGAAGAAAGAATAAAGGGAAGGAATTTTAAAGCATATAGATTATGACTGGAACCATGGTTCATTTTCAGAAATATTGGTTACATGCTCCAATGCTTTCAAATGATGGGCTCAAACACTATTAAAGATAAAACGGATATATGCTATTTGTGATTTTTAAAAAATCATAGAAACTCTACTTATTTCACATGATTTTAAAGAATCTCTTAAGAGAGCATTGCAAATCCAATTATATTATTCCTACTTACACAAGTTTTTTTCTTCCCCATGGACATTTAATGATTTCAGGAACTAGATATAATAATGTGTCCTAGGTCTTTAAAAATCTGTGCATTCTATTTTAACTGCAGAAAATATAAATTGGTTTAATTTTGTGAGTTATCATTAAGTAGTTTTGTACAGAACTTAAGTTGAGCCATATTATTCCAGTTGGAATAGTAAAAAAAAAAAATTATGACATCCTGCTTTGTATCTGGAACAATAATAGCAGCATTTTCAGGACTAGGTATGTCTGTCTGAAAGAATGCCTTAGGAAACAGAATGCTAGCACACACAGGATACAGGGGGAAAATAAGTTCTTAAAATCAGAATTTAATTGAAATGCAAACATTTCAAAGACTTTTTTTCACATATGTACATACACACATAAATGGTCTAGTCCACTGTGTATACTACATGCATCTGTATCCTTGTTCAAGTCATTGAGCTGTTATTCTATCTGGGAATGTCTCCTTTCCTCACTTCTCTATGTTCTATCCAAACTACATGACATTCCTTTATTTATCCAAATGTCCTGAATTTCTCTAGATAGTATTATTTTGACACTTATATAATCTCTGACAGGTATATTTTTATGTGTGAGGCTGACATTTCCCTTCTACATTGGAGAACTTATTATCTGATTGAAAAGAAGATGAAGCATATAAGCAGAGTGTTCCATATGAACTTTCTTTTAATATAAAAGGCATAATTACCTTGCTTGTGAGTAAAACATCTTCACTACTCAAAGCCTGTCCAGTCTTGTATGCTTACTCATATTTCCTCAGCAAAGATCCACATAATAAGTAGGTATAATTTTTAGAAAATTACTATGTACTTGGCTCTTTCCTAAGTGCTCCAAATATATTAATTCATTTAAGCATTACTACAATCCTAAGAAACTGGTATGTATTATTATTATCCTGTTGAATATTTGAGGAGAATGAGGCACAGATATCTCAAATTACTTGTCCAAGATCACAAAGGTGGTAAGTTGTGGGATCAGGGTTGGAATCTGGACAATCTCAATAGAGCGCCTCTAAGATTAGCTACTCAATCTCATCACCTAAATGTTCAATATATAGCTGTTGAAAAAAGCTAAACATGAAATCCCACAGAGATCAATTAAATGTCTTTAATGTCGTAAAAGTCCAGTTTTCATTAGCATTTAGAGATGAAATGGAAAAACAATTTAGATGTCTCCATTTCTGACATCTGAAATTTAGAAAAGTTTTCTTTAATCCTGCTATCTACATAAATATGATTTTCTGAAGGAAAAAAACTCACAAAAGCTATAAAAAGTTTATCTAGTGTGCTAATTTGTTATTATCATACTTTAAACATATTTTCCCTTAAGGTTTTTCAAATTTCATCTTGAAACCAAGCCTATAGAAAAAATTGAGAGTAGTACAAATGAACACTCCTATGCTATTTACGTATATGTATCAATTAGAACATATTCTTTACACACACACACACACACACACACACACACACGTCTTTTTTCCCCTCAAACCACTGGAAAATAAGTTGCAGACATTATGACCCTATTATGATACATACTGACCAAGGAGATTTTCCTATATAAGCACAAAATGTGGCAGTGATGTAGTATTATCTAATATATAGTCAAGGATCTAATACTACATTTGCTTAAGTCTCTTTAGTCTCCCTTAATCTGAAAGTCTCCTTCCATTCTCCTTACTGTCTTTCATGACAGTGGCATTTTTGAAGAGTCCAGGCCGTTGTCTTGTAGAAATGTTCCACAGTGAAGATATGTCTGAACTTTATGATTAGACTCAGTTAAGTATCTTAGGCAAGAAAGTATACAGACAATGTTTCATACTTCTCATTACATGCCATTTGGACACACATTAAGTCATTATTAGTTAGGATGCTACACTGAATCACTTGGTGAGGGTGGATTATGTCTCCTTCTTAAAAGATTAAATAGAATGACTATAAGTACTGATTGGTTGAAAACATATGATTTTTAGATAAGCCAAATAATGCAGGCTTCAGTATGCTGTTTTTAACTGTTCTAACATTTTTTCTAATTTTCTATTGGCATTTCCCTTATTTTCATTATTTAAAGCCTGATACTTTGCATCTTGGGAGACAGTACAATACTGTGATGTCTTCCCCAAAAGCTCCGATGGAAAGCTGAATACAATATTCTGTTTTGATAAGCAAGCTTTGTGACTTATTTATCCTATATTAAATGTGGTATTTAAGAATAAGTTTAAAAAGACAGTGGGAAGTTTCTACAGGTTACACAATTTCAGGATGTTGAGAAAAATATTACTAAATTCGTTCTCAAAATAAGATGGGTTAAAAAAAAAATAGCCAAAAAATAAACTGGCAAATTCTACCATCCTCATCTCAATTTTAAAGTGCCCAGAAAAAAAACAAAATGAAATATTTCATAAAATAAATAATAAAGATTTTAAGACTGTAACTCTTAAAATCTGTTTAATAAAACATTAAAGCTTTTTCTGTTTAATAAAACATTAATGTAAGTGCTGTATTTCTTAGAGTTGTCCCCTATCAATCATTCATTCTGAACTCAAGCACCAATCCACACACGATTAACAAAATTCTTAATAGCAATTATTAGCAAGTACAAAAATTAGGTTCTATTCACTTAGGTTAATGATAATAGGGTTAACTACAAAATATCTATGGCTAATCCTTTTCTATATTTAACTGCATTATTTTTTAAAAATTAGTGATTTTGGAGGCTTTTAATTTTTCAAAACACTATCATAATCAGTGTTTACAAGACTGCTTTATGAATGCAGGGCAGTAATATGGCTCTTCCAAAACTACAAAAAACTAATCATGATTAGAAAGCCACTTTGAATAAGGAGTTGTACATATTCCAAAAAAGATCCAGTGGCAACCATTACCAAGGATACAATTTGATAACCTTAAATATAACAAATAGTACACATAGATCTGGGAAACATGAATTCTTACCAAGAATAAACAGAAGTTTTGTGTTCCTAAGAAACATAATAACAAATTCCCCTCATCAAGGGAACAGCATGTGCCAGCAGGATTATACTTGTTATGTCAAATTCTCACCATAATT
Organism: Homo sapiens; assembly: GCF_000001405.40. NCBI lineage: Eukaryota > Metazoa > Chordata > Mammalia > Primates > Hominidae > Homo > Homo sapiens. The sequence goes on along the minus strand of NC_000010.11, from coordinate 74,486,777 downwards.
CTGAGAGGTAATTTTATTATCTTGTGTTAAAGATAAAAAAACTAAGAACCACAGACCAGTTGAATACGCTCAAACAGCTAGTAGTATAGGACAAAACTGGGACTGGAACTCACATTTGGATCATTATTTGGGTCAAACTCACATTATAGCCTCAGAGGCCATAATCCATACATCACTTTGCTTCTCAAGTAAATAAATTTTGACTAAAAGTACATATTCATTATAAAGTTTTAAACATCTAATGAAAGGAACAATCAAAATGGAAAACTATACCTGTTGGTGTGTTTTTGGGTTTCCTATTCTGTTCCATTATTTATCACTGCACCAATGTCACAATGTCTTATTATTTTAACTTTATAAGATGACTCAATATCCAGTTGTATTAGTCTGTTCTCACACGGTTATAAAGTACTGCCCAAGACTGGGTATTTTCTAAAGAAAAAAGAGTTAATTGATTCACAGTTCCACATGGCTAGAGTGACCTCAGGAAACTTACAATTATGGCAGAAGGGGAAGACACACGTCTTACATGGTGGCAGGCGAGAGAGAGAGAGAGCGTGCAAGTGTGGAAAAGACAACTACACTTATAATATCATCAGATCTCATGAGAACTCACTTACTATCATGAGACCAGCCTGAAGGATACCGCCCCCATGATCCAATCACCTCCCACCAGGTCTCTCCTTTGACACGTGGGGATTATAGGGATTACAATTCAAGATGAGATTTGGGGATATGGGAGAAAAAGCCTAACCATATCACCAGTAAATTCTCCCATCTTATTTGTCTTGAAGATGGTCTTGGCTATTATTATCCTTTGACTTTCCAAAAACATATAAAAATGAGTTTGTCAATTTACACTCATATACACCCCTACTTGTTAGGATTTTAATCAGAATTGCATTGAAATTACAGACTAAAATGGACAAATATTGCATCTTTACAGTATTGAGTCTTCTAATAAATAAACATCTTTAAAACACACCTCCATTTACATTTTAAGTTCTCACAATTATGTTTTAAGTGTTCTTGGTAGAGGCCTTGTTCATAGTTTATTAGACTAAGTTCTAGATATTGGATATAATTAGTGTCTAAAAGCAATAACATTTTCTGGGGATAGTAGGGAATTTGTATCTTCAAGTGTGTAAGAGTCAGTAATTCTAATTTTATGCAGCATTTGAAATTTTTAGACTTTAAAATTTTTATCAACTGGTATAAAATGATACCTCATTGTGGATTACATTTGAATTTCCCTTATTTTTCAAAGGATTATTTATTTATTTATTTATTTATTTATTTATTTATTTATTTATTTTGAGACAGGGTCTCACTCTGTCACCCAGGCTGGAGTGCAGTGGTAAGATCATACCACACTGCAACCTTGACATCCTGGGCTCAAGCAATACTCCCGTCTCAGCCTCCTGAATTGCTGGGAATACAGGCATGTGCCACCATGCCCGGCTAATGCATTTCCCTAATTAATGATGAGGTAGAACAATTTTTCATTCCTTCAATACACATGTGATTTTCTTCTAAGGTAAATTTCCTGTTGGTATCTTTTGACTATTTTTCTTCTGTGTTGTCTTTTCCATATTGATTACTAAAATTTTGAAAATATATTATGGATATTAATTCTTTCTGGGTTATTTGTGTCACACATGTCTTCTCCTACTCAGTGGCTTGCCTTTTAATCTTTTAAAGGTACCTATTGATAAACAAAGGCTCTTAATTTTAATGTGGTACAACTTATTAGTCTTTGCCTTTATGCTTTTGTGTCCTGCTTAAGAAATTTTTCCACACCCCGAGATCATACAGATATTCTCAAAAGTTACCTTCCAAAAGCTCTGTCATTTTACCTTCATATTTAGATCTATAATTCACCTGAAATTGATTTTTGTGTATAGTATAAAACAGAAATTTGATTTCACTTTTTTGTTATGAAAAAATAATTATCGCAGCACCATTTATTGAATAATCAACCATTTCCTTATGGAAATGAAGGCATCTGTCTCTGTCCTCTCTGTCCCATTACACTGGTCTACCACTGTCCTAATAGCGAACTGCTATATTACAAAAATCACAGAATGTTCAGATATATGGTAGGCTACATCCCACTTTGTTGTCCCTCTTCAGGAGTAGTTTGAATATTCTTGCCGTTTTGCTTTTCCATAGAAATGTATGGTAAAGTTTCACAAAAATCTTGTTTTTTGGTTGGAAAGGCATTGATTCTATGGCTCACTGTAGGGAGAATTGACATTTTAAATAATATTAAAAATTTCAGTTTATAAGCAGAGTATATTGGAAAGCTGAGCTTTGTAATAAAAATAATAAAAATAAAAAATGTAAACACTGATAGGTTTAGATTTGTGTTCCCATCCGAATCACGTGTTTATTTTAATCCCCAGTGTTAGAAGAGGGGCCTAGTGGGGCAGATATCCCTCTTGCTGTTCTTGTGATAATGAGCGAGTTCTCAATGAGATCTGGATGTTAAACAGTGTGTAGCACCTCCCTCTTGTCTCTCTTCCTTCTGCTCCAGCCATTTAAGATGTGCCTGCTTCCCCTTCTGCCATGATTGTAAGTTTCCTGAGGCCTCCCAAGCCATATGTCCTGTAGAGCCTGCGGAACTATGAGCCAATTAAACCTCTTTTCTTTCTAAGGTACCCAGTCTCAGGTAGTTCTTTATAGCAGTACGAGAACAAACTAATACGGAAAAATGGTACCTACGACTGGGGCATGGCTATAAAGATGACTGAAAATGTGGAAGCAACGTTGGAACAGTGTAACACACAGAGGTTGAAACAGTTTGGAGGGCTCATAAGAATATAGTAAGATACGGGTAAGTTTGGAACTTCCTAGAGACTTGTTAAATGGTTGTAACCTAAATGCTGATAGTGCTATGGACAGTCAAGTCCAGACTGAGGAGGTCTCAGATGGAGATGAGGAACTTCTTGGCAAATGGAGTGAAGGTCACTCTTGCTATGCTTTAGCAAAGAGACTAGCAGCATTGTGCTCCTTCTTTAGGGAAATGTGGAACTTTGAACTTGAGAGAGATGATTTATGGTATCTGGGAGAAGAAATATCTAAGCAGCAAAACATTCAAGATGTATCCTGTCTGCTTCTAACAGCATATGCTCATATATGTGAGCAAAGAGATGATCTGAAACTGGAACTTATATTTAAAAGGGAAACAGAATTTGGAAAGTTTGGAAAATGTACAGCCTGACCGTGTGGTAGAAAAGAGAAATTTTCTGGGCAGGAATTTAAGTTGGCTGTAGAAATTTGCATAAGTAAAAATGAGCCAAATGTTAATAGCCGAGACAGTGGGGAAAATGCTGCTAAGGTATTTCAGAGACATTTGCAGCAGCCCCTCCCATCACCAGCCCAGAGTCATAAAAGCGAAGAGTGCTTTCCTAGGCCAGGCTCAGGGACCAGCTGCCCTGTGCAACCTTGATACTGCTCCCTGCGTCCCAGCCATGGAAAAAAGAGCCCCAGATACATCTCAGGCCACTGCTCCAGAGGGTGCAAGCTGTAAGCCTTGGCAGCTTCTACCTAGTGTTTAGCCTGTGGGTATGCAGAGGGCAAGAGATGAGGCTTGGGAGCCTCTGCCTAGATTTCGGAGGACGTATGGAAACACCTGATGTCCAGGCAGAAGTTTGCTGCAGGGGTGAACCCTCATGGAGAACCTCTACTAGGGCAATGCAAAGGAGAAATGTGGGGTTGGAGTCCTCATACAGAGTCCCCACTGGGAAACTGCCTATTGGAATGGTGAGAAGAGGGCCACTGTCCTCCAGACCTCAAAATGGTAGGTCCACCGACAGCTTGCATCATGCACCTGGAAAAGCTGCAGGCATTCAACGCCAGCCCTTGAGAGCTGACATGGGAGCTGAGCCCTGCAGAGCAACAGACGCAGAACTGCCCAAGCCCTTGGGAGCCTACTCGTTGCATCAGTGTGGCTTGAATGTGAGACATAGAGTCAAAGATTATTCTGGAGTTTAAAGATTTAATGACTGCCCTGCTGGGTTTCGGACTTGCATGGGGCCTGTAGCCCCTCTCTTTTGGCTGATTTATCCCTTTTGGAACAGGGATTTACCCAATGCCTGTATCTCCATTGTATCATGGAAGTAACTAACTGTATTTTACAGGCTCAGAGGTGGAAGAGATTGCCTTGTCTCTGATTAGACTTCAGATTGTGGACTTTTGAGTTAATGCTGAGATGAGTTAAGTCTTGGGGGACTGTTGGGAAGGGATGATTCTATTTTGCACTGTAGGAAAGACATGAGATTTGGGAGAAGCCAGGGGCAGAATGATATGGTTTAGTTCTGTGTCCCCACCCAAGCTGCATGTCAAATTGTAATCCCCAATGTTGCAAGAGAGGCCTGGTGGGAGATGATTGGATCATGAGGGTGGATTTTTCCCCTTGCTGTTCTTGTGATAGTGCATGAGTTTTCAATGAGCTATAGTTGTTTAACAGTGTGTAGCGTCTCCCCCTTGTCTCACTTCCTTCTGCTCCAGCCATGTAAGATGTGCCTGCTTCCCCTTCTGCCATGATTGAAAGTTTCCTGAGGCCTCCCCAGCCACATTTCCTGTAGAGCCTGCAGAACCATAAACCAACTAAACTTCTTTTCTTTATAAATTACCCAGTCTCAGGTATTTCTTCATAGTAGTGCAAGAAAGGACTAATACAAACACAGTTTAAGACTGACATTTTTAACAACAGACTTAAAATTTGTTTAAATAACCAAAAGCAGGGCAATTTCCTTAACAGCTGAAAGTGACTAAAAACTACGATGAATCTTCCCTAGATGTCTCCAAGGGTTAAGGAAAAGAAAATCTGATATAAGGTGCTTAGGAATAGTGGTAGGAAACAATAGGTACTATTTGTATTGTCCTGAGTTAAGACCATTAATTGAACTGGCATATGTGCATCATATGGACAATTCTTCATAGTATGAAATACATGTGTAACCCCTTCCTTAATTAAACCTCATGTAAAATAGCTAATGTAGGAAAATACCATATTCGAAGATGAGAAATGAAAAAGGAACCAGAACAGAATTTGTATGAGGACAGAAGAAAAAAAAAGTAGCAAAGTAAATGACACATACAAGACATTTAACAGAAATATATAGTAATGGAACACACATCAATTATAAGCAAATGCATGGACAAAATTCATGAAGCAATTATCCCTATTAAGCAGAGACACTAAAGTATAGAGAAGTTATAATTAAACATATTAACAGATGGTGAAACACAAACTGGCTGGGCTCAAGAGAGTGTGAAAGAAAAATGCAACCATCAAAGAAATGGAGAAAAAAACACTGATAAAAATATAGTAAATAAAATGGAGGTCAGGACTGTGTAAAGCAAGCAAAATGAAATAGGAACTAACAAAGGTAATAAAATAAATTGGTGAGAAAAGGACAGAACAAGAGGAAAAGTGAATCTAAGATAATATAAATGGCATTCCTAAATTAGAGTAACAAAGTAGTAGCACAGAAAAACAGTTCAAAATCTATTTCAGGATAATGGCAATAATCTGAAACCAAATTTATCTTCGTATTCTCTCAATAAGCCACAAGAAGTACAAATAAAACAATATATGACCATGTCTTCAACATTACTAGGACAAAGTAATCAGGGAAGAAATGCAATAAAAGGAAAAAACAATCCCAGAAATAAATTACAAAGTGCACCATGCTGAATACATTAATAAAGTGAAAATCTAAAAAGGTACACTGAAAAAATGAAGGCAAACAACCAAAAGAATGAAAATGAGAGAAGAAAGACATAACAAAGAGAGAAAGTAGATGAAATGGAAGACAGGAAAAGAAGATCCAACATAAACACAGAATCCTTGAGGAAAAAATAACGCAATGGAATAGTATATTTAAAATATAGTCTAAGAAAACTTTCCAGAAATAGATGAAAATTTAAATCTACACATTTAAAAGATGTGCTGCTGGTGTAAAAGCATGTGCAAGGCATGAGCTACCATATTACTCTATAAGCTAGAAACTATATTTCCAGCTTATTATTGCATACCTGGAAAAACTGACCCCAAACAAGAAAGGTCTAAGACACATCCTGGTAAAATTATTAGACCTTAATGATGAAACAGTATTTTCAGGCCTACAGGCAAAAAGATAAAATTAAGAGTAAGAAATTAGAAAAATAAGAATAAGAAAATTAGGCTAGGGACTGGGTGTGGTGGCTCATGCCTATAATCCTAAAACTTTGGGAGGCTGAGGTGGGAGGATCATTTGAGGCTTGGAGTTTGAGAACAGCCTGGGCAACATAGCAGGATCCCTGTCTCTACAAAAAACAAACAAAAACAAAACCAACCAACCAACCAAACAAATAAACAACAAAAAACAACAAATTAGCCAGGTATGGTGGCACATGCCTGTAGTCCCAGCTACTCAGGAGGCTGTGGTTGGATGATTGTTTGAGCTGAGGAGATCAAGGCTGTAGTAAAGTATGATCATACCACACTGCACTCCAGCCTGGGTGACAGAGTGAGACTCTGTCTCTTTAAAAAAAAAAAAAAAGAAAGAAAGAAAGAAAGAAAATTAGGCTGCCTTAGACTTCAAGAGCAAAACACAAAGCAAGACAAAACTAGAACATTATTTCCAAGAAATAAAGTCAAGGATTTTATATGCAGCCAAGCTGTCTTTGTGTAGGAAAAAGTATAAAGTAATAGAAAAAAAAGAACACAGAGGATACTGTACACATACGCCTTTCCTGAGAAATGTATTAGAAGATAAGCTTCATCCAAGCATGATTGGGGGAAAACTCAAACACAGGACTGTTGTTGGTAAACCTCATTACATTTAATAAGATAATTATAATTATAAATTAAAAAGGATGGAAAGAACATAGTTTGTAAGCACTGCATATTCTGACAAAGTAGAAGTAATACAATTTTAAAACAAAGAAGTGAGAGAAAAATGCAGAATAAAATCACTGTTGTATAGATAATAGGTGAGAATCAAAGGATATCATTTAAAACTGATTGGAGAGTAGAATGTTATAAGAAAAATGGGGATTAAGGCCACCATAAAAAGCACACTTAAAAGAAAAGCTAATGGCTAGAAAAGAAATATAAACCTTTCCAAAATGCCAGAATAAAAAATTTAAAAACAGCAGAGATAATAAATCACACAGAAAAACAGTATACATATATATTTAGTAATTATAGAATAACATGACAGGTTTGAGGCCAAATATATCAGCAGCTTATTGACATGAAAGTATATTCAGATTGCCTCAGGAAGCAAAAGAAAATTCTCTGCTGTATGGCAAAGAGACACTAAAACAAACCAATTCAAAGTGGCTAAAAGAGAGGGGTAGGGAGAAAAAAAATGAAAAAAAAAAAAAAACCAACAAAAAACAAAGTGGCTAAAAGAGATAGAGAATGATAAACCAGGCCAGTGGGAATAGTAGAAAACAGAAGCTGCAATCCTAATATAAAGATATGTGAGGCTGGGCACGATGGGTCATGCCTGTAATCCTAGCACTTTTGGAGGCCGAGGTGAGCTCTGCTTAGTCCCGGGTGTTGAGACCAGCCTGGGCAACTGGTGAAACCACGTCTTTACAAAAAATACAAAAACTAGATAGGTGTGGTGGTACGTGCCTGTGGTTCCAGCTACTTGGGAAGTTGAGGTGGGAGGATCACTTGAGACCAGGAGGCAGAGGTCGCAGTGGGCAGAGATCATGCCACTGCACTCCAGCCTGGGAGACAGAGTAAGACCCTGTCTCAAAAAAATATTTTTTAAAAAAAGATACATGTGGAAGAACTTTCTAGAAATAGCACAGAAAAATATAGTTGGAAAGAGCACAACACTGACACACAGTAGTGAAGACCAAGACATATCTGAGTAAAGGCACGGGAATTCAAAATGTGAAACGAATCCTTTTGTAAGCAATCAAACCCATCAAAGTACTTATAAGGATGGAGAATGGGGCAGAATCATGAATTCTGACCTTATTAATTCAATAAATGTGTATTAGCTATATGCTAAGTATTAAACACTAACAAGCTATTTGGAATTCAACAGAGAACAAATCAGACCAAATCCCTTTACTATTGATAGTTGCATTCTATAGATGGAGATGACAGCAAACAAATAATCCAAGGAATATATACACCAGGTGACAGAAAAATAAAGCTAGATAAGGAACTGAGAGTTACTAACAAAGAGGGAAGAAATATATGTGCGTGCTCAGGTTCTTCAAAGTATCATTTAAAGAATTGCTGGGTGTGGTCACTCATGTCTTTAATCCCAGCATTATGGGAGGCCAAGGTGGGAGGACTGCTTGGGGCCAGGACTTCAAGACAAGCCTGGGCAACAGACTGACACTCATCTCTATGAAAATTTTTTTTAAAAATTAGCTAGGTGTGGTGGCACATGCCTGGAGTCCCTGACACTCAGGAGGCTGAGGCAGGAGGATCATTTAATCCTAGGAGGTTGAGGCTGCAATGAGCTGTGATGGCTCCACTGCACTCTAGCCTGGGAGTGATAATGAAACACTGTCTCTAGAAATAAATAAATACAGTTCTAAGATAGGCTGGGTATAGTGGCTAATGCCTATAATCCCAGTGCTTTGGGAGGCTGAGGCAGTAGAATTGGTTGAAGCCAGGAGTTGGAGATCAGCATAGACAACAAAGTGAGACCCTATCTCATTAAAGCAAACAAACCAAAAAACCCTATAATAAAAGAGCAATGTCTATTACCTCCTCAAGGAAAGATAGCCTAGTTAATTTTGTATCTGGTCAAACTACCATGTAAGTATAAATGAAGAGACAAAATTTAGAACATAAAATAATTTGGGAAATATAGTTTCTATGTGACTTTCTGAAGAAACCACCAGAACAAACCTCAGCAAACCAAGAGATAAAATGACTATTATGAAAGGCTTAGCTATAAACATTGATTCTGTTTATTGCCTTTTAACTGTTATGAATAAGATCAAAAATTTGCAGGAGGGAGGAGAATATGTTTGGTTACAGAACAATATAAATGTTATAAATCTCGGGAACAAATATACAAAATAGAGTAATTGGGAGAGGGAAGGTGTGAGACTATGAGGGTAAGAAAGATTTCCTCATCTTTTATAGCCAGGGGTCAAGGAGATCCTGAAAAGCTGATAAATCATGTAATTGAGGTCTAAGTATTCTTAAAAACACTAAGGGAAAGAAAAATCTTCTAGGAAAAGAGAATGAAGAATTCCCCGAAAAAGAATACTTATTATCTTTTAAAAAATCTTGGCTAGGTGCAGTGGTGCACTACTGTAATCTCAGTACTTTGGGAGGCTAAGGCAGGTAGATCACGTGAGCCTAGGAGTTTGAGACCAGCCTGGGCAACATGGAAAAACCCTATCTCTAAAAACATATTGTAAAACAACAGCCAGTCCTGGTGGCATGCACCCGTAAACCCAGCTACTCGGGAGGCTGAGGTGGGAGGATCGCTTGTGCCTGGGAAGTTGCAGCTGCAGTAAGCTGAGATCATGCCACTGTACTCCAGCCTAGGCAACAAAGTGAGACCATGTCTCAAAAGACCTTTTTTTAAATAAAAAAATCTTAATCATGTTACATGAAGTTACAGATCTAAATGTGGTCACTTGAATAAAAATACAAGTCTCACAAATTATTGGAAGAAACATACACACAAACCAAAGTGGGAGGATATGGCAAAAGATAGAAACAAATTAAAAAATCCTCATAGTACAGAAAGCATACCATACAATAACAGAAATCAGCCCCAAAATATCTGGTTTAAACTATATATTTTACATACTAAACACAAACTTGATTCACACAATAAGAATGAATCTTAAATGAATTTTGCTAAGTAAAAAAAAGCCAGAACCACTAGTCTACATATTTTATAATTTCATGTATGTGACATTCTAGAAAATGCCAAACTACAGAGATGAAAAACAGATTAACTTTTCCCATGGTTGGCAGGTGGAAGGGACCAACTACCGTAAAGGAGCAATATTTTAGGTTTCTTTCAGCAAATACTAATTTAAAAATATCAATTAGGATGTTAAGGGAACCCAAGATGGAATGCAAACTGTGATAAATTAGTCTAAATGTATTAAATATGTATGAAATAAACTTACTGAAAGTGGTGGGAATGAAAAGACCCTAAATAACTGTAGCCAACAGTATTTCCTTTACATACTATAGTGCTAAAGACAAAAAGAACTATATATAAGCATTGTATTCTGGTAAATTGGTTTATCACAGAGGTATGATTCAGCAATTTTTTTTTTTTTTGAGATGGAGTTTTGCTCTTGTTACGCAGGCTGGAGTGCAGTGGCACGATCTTGACTCACTGCAACCTCTGCCTCCCAGGTTCAAGCAATTCTCTTGCCTCAGCCTCCCGAGTAGCTGGGATTACAGCATGTGTCACTACGCCCGGCTAATTTTGTATTTTTGTTAGAGACGCAGTTTCTCCATGTTGGTAAGGCTGCTCTCGAACTCCCGACTTCAGGTGATCTGCCCGCCTCAGCCTCCCAAAGTGCTGAGATTACAGGCATGAGCCACTGTACCCAGCCAGCAATTTTTAAACGACTTTATATGTATACTAGGTTTGCATAAATAAGTAAATACATGTCAAATAATCAGAGCCAGCTTTCTCACTATCAGAGAAGGAAGTTAAAATAAGTCAAAGGGAAATGCTAGCATGAACTCTGTGGTACTGAATTAGAGTAAGAGATACCATTATAAACTCACGATTTTATATATATTATAAACACACATAGGTAACAGGATTAAATACAATGTGTGTCTATGTATACATGAGTTAGCAGACATAAGCATATTTCCTAATTCTATCTGCTGAGAGAACCTAGAAGCAATTACTGCCAGTAGCTTACGAGAAAACAGTGCTCAGATGCTGGTTTTGAAACACCTTCCCACCTACCTTCCCTCCCTCCCTCCCTCTCCCTCCTTTTTCTCTCTTCTCTTCTTTCTTTTCTTTCTCTTTCTCCCTCTCTCTCTTTTCTTCTTTTATTTCTCTCTTTCTCTCTTCGCTCTCTCTTTCTCTCTCTTTCTCTGTTTAGAGACAGGGCCTTGCTCTGTCACCTAGGCTGGAGTGCAGTGTCATGATCATGGCTCACACAGGCTCAACCTCCTGGGCTCATGCAATTCTCCTGCCTAAACCTCCCAAGTAGCTAGGTCTCAGGCACATGTCACTATGCCTGGCTAATTTTTTTTTTTAAGAGATGGGGGTCTTACTACATTGTCCAGGCTGGTCTCAAACTCCTGGCCTCATGTGATCCTTCTGTCTCAGCATCCCAAAGTGTTAGGATTAGAGAATTGAGTCACCATGCCTGGTCCTTCTCTTTGATAAAGTGAACCAGTGATCCTTGGAGAAACAAGCTGGGGTACAGAAAGTCTAGATGATCTTGTAGTGCCAGAAAGTAAGAAAGTAATAAAAAGATGACAGGTCTGTCACAATGATACAGAAGCCAATGTGACAAAGCTCTCAATAGTTAAATCTCGAATTTGAGTAGTAAAAGTGACACAGTTTTAGATTATAACCCAAAGAACTAAATAAATATCCATGAGCCCTATTGATATAAATGACAATTAAGGGTTTTTTGTTTTGTTTTTTTTTGTTTGCTTTGTTTTTTGTTTTTTTGAGATGGAGTCTTGCTCTGTTGTCAAGCTGGAGTGCAGTGGCGTGAACTCGGCTCACTGAAACCTCTGCCTCCCGGGTTCAAGCGATTCTCCTGCTTCAGCCTCCCAAGTAGCTGGGATTACAGGTGCGTGCCACCACGCCCAGTTAATTTTGTATTTTTAGTAGAGACGGGGTTTCACCATGTTGGTCAGAATGGTCTCGATCTCCTGACCTCATGATCTGCCTACCTCAGCCTCCCAAAGTGCTGGGATTACAGGCGTGAGCCTCCGCACCAGGCAGAATTTATGAAAAATGGAAACAAACCAGGTGTAGTGGCTCAGGCCTGTAATTCCAGCACTTTGGAAGGGCGAGTTGTGAGGATTGCTTGAGCCTAGAAGGTTCAAGACCAGCCTGGGCAACACAGTGAAATTCCATCTACATACACATGCAAACACACACACACACCCCCACACACATGGGAGCCTAAGGTGGGAGATCAATTAAGCCCAGGATGCTGAGGTTTCAGCGAGCCATGATCTCGCCACTGCACTCCAGCCTGGATGACACAGAGAGAATGAGGGGAGGGGAGGGAGAAAGGAGAGAAAGGAAAGAAAGGAAAGAAAGGGAAGGGAAGGGAAGGAAAGGAGAGGAAAGGGGGAGAGAAAAAGAAAGAAAGAAAATAAAGGAAAAGAAAAGAAAGAAAGAAAAGAAAAGACTACTGAATTTGTAAAAAACGAATACAGAGTAGGTGTGGTGGGTCACACATGTGATCTCAGCACTTTGGGAGGCTGAGGAGGGAAGATCACTTGAGTTCAGGCATTTGAGACTAGGCTCGGTAACACAGTGAGGCCCTGCCTCTTAAAAAAAGAATTAGTTAATTGGGCGTGGTGGCACATGCCTATAGTCCTAGCTACTCAGGTAGATCACTTGAGCCCAGAAGGTTGAGGCAGCAGTGAGTCACGATCACACCACTGCACTCCAACCTGAGATATAGAGTGAGAACCCATCTCGAAAAAAAAATTAAAGAATATTAAAAATGGAAGCAAAGAGACAAATCTTCCTTAAAGAATTTGAATTATTAAATATAGAATAAATGAGGGAAATAGAAAATCACCATTAGAACACCATAGTTGTAATTGGTATAGGCAATATCCACTAATAAATGCTATAAATCAGTGGGTAAAACTTTAAAAAACTAGAATATTTGCATAATTTCATAATATCTCTCCACTAATATTTATTAATTACTGTGGTGGCTATATCCTTCCTCTATGAGGTTTCTAAACACTATTCATTTTGTATTTACCCCCCCACCCCCAAGTGTGGGGTGGATTTAGTGATTCATTTCTAATGAACTGTATATGGAAAGGAACAAATAGACAATGGAGAAACCCAATGGACACCACCTTAACTTGATGTTCAAGGTTCACACTAACAGTAACAGATTGATACTACGTACACCTTGATGTGATACATTGGGAAAGCAAAATCACCTCAGTGGTGGTATTCTCAAAACCCCATAATTTCAGTCTAATTACAAGGAAACAACAGATAAACTCAAATTGAAAGATATCCTACAAACTATCTGACCTCTACTCTTCATAAGTGTCAAGGCCACAAAAGAGAAGGCAAGACAGAGCAACATGACAATGAAATGTCAAGTAGTATCCTCCAACAGATCCTGGAACAGAAAAAGGACATTACTTAAGAAACTGGGAAAATAAACCTGTAGTTTAGTTAATGGTATTGTACCAATGTTAATTTAGCTTTGATGAAGATCCTACAGTTATTTAAGGTGTTAATATTAGGAGAAGCTAGGTGAAGAGTACATGGAACTTATTTTTACTATCTTAGAACATTTCTATAAATCTAAAATTATTTCAAAATAAAACTATTTAGGCCAGGCACAGTGGCTCTCTCTCTATATGTGTGTGTGTGTGTGTGTGTGTGTCTGTGTGTATATGTATGTGTGTGTATATATATATATTTATATTAGGCATGGTGGTGCACACCTGCAGTCCCAGCTACTCAGGAGGTTGAAGTGGGAGAATCACCTGAGCCCAGTAGTTCAAGGTTGCGGTGAGCCATGATCACATCACTGTCTTCCAGCCTGGGTGGCAGAGTGAGACCCTATCTCAAAAAAATGAAAACAAACAAACAAAATCTGCCCCCCAAAACAAACAAAAAACTATTGATGAAAAAATAGCCACAATGAGATATCAATAAATACCCATTAGTATTGGCTAAAATTATGACATCTAAAAATAGCCCCAAATGGTGTTGAGATAGCTGGCATGTGGAAAAAGACAAAATAGAGTATGGAAAAAACACTGTCATATCAGTTCTTTATATGAGACCACTTTCTGCGATGATGGAAATGTTCCTTTTCACTATCCAATATGGTAGCCACTACCCCTATTTGGCTATATGAGCACTTGATAAGTGGCTACAATGGCTGAAAATTTTAAACTTTAATTTTTAAAAATGTACAGGTAAAGAGCCACATGTAGCTAGTAGCTACCAGACGACAATGCATTTCTAGGTCTTATTAGGAAATTAGGTGATAGAGGAACAACACTACAAAAGGAAGCACTGAACCTTGTAGAACATTATATGAGACAAATGTAAGACCTGGCTTCTCTGACAAACCAAAGGAAAGCTAAAAAATGGAGTGGAGGGGAGGAAAATGACTTACAGAAAGAAGAATCTTATCAGACATCACAACTAGATGACATCTCTATTGATGCAGAAAAACTATTTGGCAAAATTCAACATCTTTTTATAATTAAATAAAAAAAAGGCACAGAGGAAATCACCTCAACCCAATAAAGACTGTATATGAAAAGCCGATGGGTAATATAATACTCGATGGTAAAAAACAGAAAGCTTTCCCTCAAAGACAATGAATAAAGCAAGGATGCCCCCCTTGCCACTTTTTTTTACCGACGGGATCTTGCTCTATCACCCAGACTGGAGTGCAGTGGTATGACCACAGCTCACTGTAACCTTGAACTCCTGAACTCGTGATTCTCCTGCCTTAGCCTTCCAAGTATGTAGGACTACAGGAGCATACCACCAGGCCCAACACAGTAGTGCTGGAAGTTGTATCCAGAGCAGTCAGCTAAAGAAAGAAAGAAAGGAAAGAGGAAATAGGAGGCATACAAGTTGGAAACAGAGAAGTAGAATTATTTCTTTAGATAACACAATCTTGTATGTATAAAAAGCCTAGAGACTGCACATACAAAAAAACCTATTAGGAGGAATAAATAAATTCAGCAAAGTTGCAGGACACAAAATAAACATAAAACAATTAATTGTGTTTGAAAATACTAACAATGAACAACCCAAAAAGAAAATTAAGAAAACAAATATATTAATAATAGCATTAAAAATGAATAAAATACTTATGAGTAACCAAGGAGGCACAAGATTTTTACATTGAAAACCACAAAACATTGATGAAAGAAATTAAAGAAGACACCAATAAATGAAAAGACGTCCTGTGTTCATGGATTGGAACTTAATACTGTTAAAATATCCATACTACTGAAAGGAATGTACAGATTCCTTTGCACATGCAATTCCTATACAAATCCCAATGACATTTTTTTGCAGATATAGAAAAAAATTCTAAAATTCATATAAAACTGCAAAGGCCCCCAAATACCATAACAATCTCAAGAAAGAAAAACAAAGATAGAGGCCTCAGAGTTCCTGATTTCAAAACATATTACACAAAGCAACAGCAATCAAAACAGTATAGTACTGATAGGCCAGGCATGGTGGCTCAAGCCTGTAATCCCAGAACTTTGGGAGGCTGAGGCAGGTGGATCACGAGGTCAGGAGATCGAGACCATCCTGGCTAACATGGTGAAACCCAGTCTCTACTAAAAACTGAAAAAATTAGCCAGGCGTGGTGGCAGGTGCTTGTAGTCCCAGCTACTTGGGAGGCTGAGGCAGGAGAATGGCGTGAACCTGGGAGGCGGAGCTTGCAGTGAGCAGAGATCATACCACTGCACTCCAGCCTGGGCAACAGAGTGAGAATCTATCTCAAAAAAAAAAAAAAAAAGAAAAAGTATAGTACTGATAATGCATACAGGATAGTTTCTTTGAGAAATGGTGGTGGGAAAAACAGGATATCCACATGCAAAAGAATAAAGTTAGACCCTTACCTTATTGTGTATATAAAAATAAACTCAAAATGAATTAAACAATTAAATTTAAAACCTAAAACTACACAACTCCAAGAAGAAAACACTGGAGAAAAAAGTTTCACAGCAATGAATTTGGTAATAATTTCTTAGATAAGACACCAAAAGCATGGGCAACAAAAGGAAAAATAAGACAAATGGGACTACCAAACTTACAAACTATTGCACAGCAAAGGAAACAACAGAGTAAAAAGGCAACTTATGAAGTGAGAGAAAATAGTTACAAACCATATATCCAATAAGGGATCAATATTCAGAATATATAAGGAACTCCACAACACCTCACCCCCGAAAGAATCCAAATGAAAAATTGTCAAAGGGCTTGAATAGATATTTTTCAAAGAAGATACAGAATGTGGAGAAATTGAAACGCTTGTGCACTATTGCTGACAATGTTAGATGACAAAGCCACTATGAAAACACTATGAAGTATCCTCAAAAAATTAAAAATGCCAGCAATCTCACTTCTGGAAATATATCCAAAAGATCTGAAAACAAGATGTTGATGAGATATTTGCACACCCATATTCATCGCAGAATTATTCAAAATAGCAAAGAAGTGGAAGCAATCTAAATGTCCATCAGCAGATGAATGTATAAAGAAAATGTGGCTGGGCGCGGTGGCTCACACCTGTAATCCTAGAACTTTGGGAGGCCAAGGAAGGCGGATCACCTGAGGTCAGGAGTTCGAGACCAGCCTGGCCAATGTGGTGAAACCCTGTCTCCACTAAAGATATAAAAATTAGTCAGGTGTGGTTGCGCGCACCTGTAGTCCCAGCTACTCCGGAGGCTGAGGCAGGAGAATTGCTCAAATCCAGGAGGCAGAGGTTGCAGTGAGCTCAGATTGCGCCATTGCATTCCAGCCTGGGTGACACAGCAAGACTCCATCTCAAAAAAAAAAAAAAAAAAGGTGGTATATATACAAAATGGAATATTACTTGGCCTAAAAAAAAGAGAGAAGGAAATCCTGTCATATGCTACAAGATGGATGAACCTTGAGGACATCATGGTAAGGGAAGTGAAATAAGCCAGCCATAAAAAGCCAGCCATAAACCATGATCCTACTTACATGAAATATCTAAAATAGTCAAATTCACGGAATCAGAGTGGAATGGTGGTTGCCTGGGGCTGTATGAAGGGGGCAAAGGGGAATTACTGTTCAATGGCTACAGAGTTTCCGTTTTGCAAGGTGTTTGTACAAGAAATCTATTGCACACAATGTGCATACAATTAACATTACTGTACTTTACACTTAAAAATGGTTAAGATAGACTGGGCACGGTGGCTTATGCCTATAATCCCAGCATTTTGGGAGGCCAAGATAGGAGGATCACTTGAGGCCAGGAGTTTGAGAACAGCCTGGGCAACATGGCAAAACCCCAGCTCTACAAAAAATTTTTAAAATGAGCTGGGTGAGGTGGTGTGTGCCTGTAGTCCTAGCTACTCTGGAGGCTGAAGTAGGAGGATCACTCGAGCCCCAGGAGTTCAAGGTTACAGTGAGCTATGCTATGCACTACTACACTCCAGTTCTGGGTGACACAGTGAGACCCTATCTCTAAAAAATAAATTAAAAGGTTAAAAAATATTTTTCTTTTGAGACAAGGGCTCACTCTATCACCCAGGCTGGAGTGCAGTGGTGCAATCACAGTTCACCGCAGCATCAAACTCCTGGGCTCAGGTGATTTTCTCACCTTAGCCTCCCGAGTAGCTCAGACTACAAGTGCGCACTATCATGCCCGGCTAATTTTCATAATTTTTTGTAGGGATGGGGTTTTGCAACATTGCTCAGGCTGTTCTCAAATTCCTGGGCTCAAGCAATCCTCCTGCCTTGGTCTCCCAGAGTGCTGGGATTACAGGTGTGAGCCACCATGTACAGCCTAAAGTGGGAAATTTTATGATATGTATTTTTGACCATAAGTCTTAAAAACACAACTAGATCTCTCTCTCTCACACACACACACCCACACATGCACATACACACACACCCCTTGTCTAGATTATAATTTGAACAAAACAAAGCAACTAGAAACTATTATTACTGAGATGATATTTTAATATGGACTAGATACTTTAATTGAAATTTTAATATGAACTAGGTATTAGAAGATACTAAGGGGTTACTATTGATAACATATGAGGACAGGTAATGAATACACAGGGATTCATAATGCCATTTATTTTTATTCTATCTTTGTGTGTATGATTAAAAGTTTTCTATAATAAAATAGATCTTTAGATCTGGATAGACTTTAGAGATAACCTATTCATCTTTCCATTTCAGAAGAGGAGAACTGTAGGCCCAGAAAGGTTATTAAACTTGCACATTATACAAATTAGTGGCAAAACTATGCCTAATAATATCTGAGGCCCAATTTGCCATCTAATGCTCTATCCAGCACATCATACTGACTCCTTCATAAGAGGCTCTACTGATCAGCAAAGAGTATATATAATAAATTTTACTGATTCTAACTAGGTAAAATGTTAAAAATCATGCCATTAACAATTATTTAAAGCTGACATGACAGCATGCCATATCTGAAAGGATCACTAGACATTACTTTATGAAGGTTTGGAGAGCACAAACTTATTAAAACTATAAAAGTCAAGGAGGTTTTGGCTTCACCAAATACTTCATCTCAACAACATCAAAAACAATCCCTAATGGGTAGTCTCAAAAATAAGAATGGCAAAAAAGTTAAGGCATAGCCTTTGTCTTTACGAAAACAGTGAGAAGAAAGAGACAAAATTATACATCTATCTACCTTCCTAAGGGCCTTTTAATACTACTTGCTACAACACCATCTTCTCCCTCTTCCCCAGTCAGAATCATTGCTCACCTGGGACCCTTACTGAATAGAAAAGGGCACTTGAGAAGAGAAGTACAGTTGTACTTTAAGAGTGTAATAAAATATAAAAAGTTAAGAGGCGGAAATAGCCATACAGTGTAGTGAGAACTAATGAGGAAATGTGGTATACAGGAAAAGACCTGGGTTTGAGAATTGGCTGTCAGTGACTAATGAGATTTGTGACCTCTACCTAGTTTCATAAAAATGTTTATTAAAATATTTAATAGAAATGAATTGAAACTGCAAAATCAACTACAATAAAAATAACATTTATATTCATTGTGATTCCAAGGCATAAAAAGATCACTTAATGTTTAATATAGAGATTTAAATGAAAATTAATATTTTCCTTATGAATTTTTTTGGGAAAATTAAATAGAGAAAAATAGAGACAAGTCTCCCATAATCTGACTTCTTAGAGATAAACTGAATAGATTTACTATTAATTATCAACTACCATAAAAAAGAAAAGATTTCATTTCATATATTATTCTACTATGAAATTATCTGGATAATTTCCATGAAAACTCTTTATTGTGATGCAGAAATGAATGTATTAAGTAAAAATTTTTTATCTTATTCTTTTGAATTCTAAGTACTAATAACTGGGCAATCTGAACTACGAAATCAAAGACACGAAGCAAGCCCTGGAGATATAAATAATC
Source organism: Homo sapiens (assembly GCF_000001405.40). Classification (NCBI taxonomy): domain Eukaryota; kingdom Metazoa; phylum Chordata; class Mammalia; order Primates; family Hominidae; genus Homo; species Homo sapiens. The sequence goes on along the minus strand of NC_000010.11, from coordinate 74,467,419 downwards.
TATAACTTCACGTTAACATATGTGGTGGCTTTCTGTACTATCAACTCAGGATAGAGATGTCCAGAAATGGCAGTTTATTGTTCTTCATTGCATCAAGTCTGCAGTACCCTAGTAACTCACAGTTTCTTAGATATAGGCTTGCACCAGTAACAACGTGTTAAAATGTTGTTCAAAAGGTAAGAGACCATTAAAAGCATCCATGAATTTTGTTTTAATGCTATTACATGCACGATCTTTTCTTTGAGGTCATTTATCTTCATTGTAATAGTTTAATATAAGAAATAATTTTAAAAAAAGATGGTTATAATTACACTGCTGGATCAATAACCTATACTTTAAAAATACAAAACTTTGATTATTATCTTTTCCTTCTGTATCATACAAAAACATCTAAAATATGTCATTTAAGATACATATATACATGGCAATACAAACATGTATATATACATTAATTTATCATCATGCTGTTCTTGGAAAGATCTGCAATTTCATAAATTTATCTAGATTTGTTAAAGTGGATTGAGATTTTTATTTGTTGTATATAAATACCACTAAATCACTAAATGTCTCAGGTAACAGATATTAAAGGAAGACATGACATTTCAGCTAATGAAGCAAAGCCATTTATCTTGAAATTTTCTTGCTACAGAAAGAGAAACCTTTAAAAATGGCCTTAAGTTTGCAAAAATCAGCAACTTTAATCTACCCACTTTCTTTTGACCTTTACACTCAACCTCAAAAAAATGTTCAGCAACATAAATTTGATCTCAAAAGGCTGCTGCAGATCTCATTTTCTGCTGTTTTTCCATTAGGTATTTATGGGACTTGCGAGTGCTGCAAGGGACTAGTAAAACGCCAGAGTAATCCTGCAGTTCCTGTGTATGAATTCAGCTTTTCCCTTTGAGATGATAACTTTTTCCCAACTCTTGCCAAGGCCTTTTCAGATTCGAATTTAAAACTAAGACTATAGGTGTAATGTTCTTTTCAAGAGGTAGGATAGGTAAGTAGGGACTGAAGGCAGAGGGAAAGAGAATAAAACAGATTTAGTAGTTCAACTATCGAAACAAAATAATTTTTTAAGCTATTAAGGTAACTTGTTATACATTTGTACTATTTGAAATCATAGCATGCTTACACAGGATAGAAACTGAATCCAATGAGTTCTGAAGTTTGAAGAGCTCAGCTGTATGCATTTCTTCTCTTAACTGCATAGGAAACCAGCTGCTTCCATTTATGACATGTATTTTACACACATGCTCCGGTACATCCATGACATAACATGCAACAGTATACTTTCAGACAAGTTTGCCAAGAAGGGGGAAGAGGGATACGAATATATTAGTGAGACAAAAAAACATTATACAGTATATGTTCCTTTTTTGGAATGTTAGTAAGGTAAGAAAATAAATTTTAAGTTGTGTTTTCACTAATATGCCTTAAAATCCATTATAAAATACAAACAATAAAATCAATTAAAAATCCATCTATCATAAACAGAAGTTTATCAAAGTCTAAGTCACAAGTTTGAGACAAAAAAATTATTAAATTAGTAAAACCTATCACTTATACACTATGGAGAACGTACTATGGAATGCTAAACTATGAGACCAAGACTTTCCCCATAATTTATACAAAACTAGACCAAATTATCCCCATTTACCCTCTCTTAGTTAATGAAGCTTCCACCCTTGACTCATTTCTCTCGTAAACTATTCTTCAATTCAACAGCAATTTCTATTAAATCTACCTACACACTATATCCAGAGCCTGATTGTATCTTAACACCTCCATTGCTAATTCTCTAGTCCAAGTCATCATATCTCCCACTGGATTATTGCAATGACCTCCAAAGTGATCTCCCTATTTCTATCTTTGCCCCATTCAGTTTTGTCCATATAACAGTGAGAATAACCCTACTAAAATATAAGTCATGTTATGTTTCTCGTCTGCACAAAACCCTCTAAAGGCTTTTGATCTCATTCAGAGTCAAAACAAAACAAAAACAACAAAGTCTTTATAATGACCTATAAAGTCTTATTTAATATGCCCCTAGACTCTTTCCCAGTGTAATTATATCTCCTACTTACTTTTCCCATTGCTCATTTTACTCTAGCCATATTAATCTCCTGGCTATTCCTTAAACATGCTATGCTCCTGGCATAGAGACTTTATACTTGCTATTTATTCACTGATTGTTTTTCTCCCTAATATGTGCACAACTTGCTTCTTGAAATATTTTTAAACATCACTGTCTTGGGTGAGACTTTCCCTAATGATCAGATTTGAAAGTGTAACCTTTCATGCTAGACCTGAACACTCTTTTCTGTTTTATTTTTCTCCAAGGTTCTTATTACCATCTAATATACTAGATATTTTGTTTAAAGCATTACCCACTGAAAGGTAAGCACCCTGAGGACAGCAATATTTACCTGGTCGCTGCTATAAATTCACCACCTAGAAAAGTGGCAGGAATGTAGTATTCCTTTAATAGGAATAAATTAACCATGCAAAGCAGCCTTTACATTAAGTGCATTTCAAAAAGTGTCCTTTGAATTTCTGCTTCTCTCTCTCTCTCTTTTTTTCTTAAATAGTTGCCCAGGCTGCAGTGCAGTGGCATGATCATAGCTCACTGTAGCATCAAACTGTTGAGCTCAAGTAACCCACCCATCGTGGCTTCCAAAAATGTTGGGATTACAGGCATCAGCCACTGTGCCTGGCCTGCTTCTGTATGTATGTCTTGAATAAAAATAATTAAAAAGTTTTTGGGATATTGGAAGTTATGACAGAAACAAATATACAGTAAAACTATAAAACAACATCATTCCATGAATTGTGTATAGATTCTTATTTTATTTTTTTAAAGACATGGTCTCGCTGTATCACCAAGGCTGGAGTGCAGAGTCATGACTGTGGCTCCCTGCAACCTCGACCTTCCAGGCTCAAGTGATCCTCTTGATCCTCTTGCTTCAGCCTCCCAAGTAGCTGGGACCAAAGATGCATGCCACCATGTCCAGGTAATTTTTTTTTTTAAATTAATAGAGATGGGGGTCTCCCTATGTTGCCCAGGCTGGTCTTGAACTCCTGGGCTCAAATGTTCCTTTTGCCTCAGACTCTCAAGGTATTGTGATTACAGGCATGAGCCACTGTGCTCAGCTAGATTCTTAGAACAAACCTTGAGCACACTCACATGATATCCTTACAAAGATGAAAATTTCTAGAAACTTGAACACAAAGGATATAGACAAAGTTGAGTATCATGTATACGGTATGTCTTATGTGTACTGCTGTAATTTTTCTTGGTGGCCACTGTTTATTTGTAAAAAGACTATACGTATATAGTTTTGGAAAAACACAAGTAACATGTGTACAGGAATCTCTGAGTGTCTATAAGAATACCTCAATTCATATTAGTCATAAAATCAAGAGTACTTTCCAATTCAGTAAATTTCCTGTTAATAAGTTTTGCTTAGGACATTTCTCTTACATTTAGGCTCTGTATGTTTTCAAATAACAATCTAATTTCTTTCTAATAACATTTCCTTGCACCTTATTAATTATATTTACACCTTACCTATTCCCTTACAAGGATTAAGGCAGTTTAGAAAGACGTAAAAAAAAGACAAGATACCATGACAAAAATTTGGTGGTAAAGACGACGAATCTGCACAAGACAAGTTTGTTTTTAGCCTCCTAACAATGAGAAAAAAGAAAAAAGAAATTCAATGACACAATTAGAATTGTATAAAACAAGGGTCCCCAACCCCTCAGACATGGACGGATACAAATCCATGGCCTGTTAGGAACTGGGCCACACAGCAGGAGGTGAGTGCCAGATGTGCAAGTGAAGCTTCATCTGTATTTACAGCCACTCCTCATTGCTCAAATTACTGTCTGACCTCCACCTCCTGTCAGATAACTGGCGGCATTAGATTCTCATTAGAGTGCGAACCCTATTGTGAATTGTGCATGTGAGGGATCTAGCTTATGTGCTCCTTATGAGAATCTAGTGCCTGATGATCTGTCACTGACTCCCATCACCCCCAGATGGGACTGTCTAGTTGCAGGAAAACAAGTTCAGAGCTCCCACTGATTCTACATTATGGTGAGTTGTATAATTATTTCATTATATATTATACTGTAATAATAACAGAAATAAAGTGCACGACAAATGCAATGCACTTGAATAATCCTGAAACCACCCCTCCCCCACCCTGCCCTGTGGAAAATGATCTTCCACGAAACAGTCCTTGGTGCCAAAAAGGTTGGGGACCCCCAGTATAAAACACTGGTGAATCTAATAAATAGTAAAGATTTTTTATTTTAAAACTAGAAAAAAAATAAAATAATCACTTATTAGATAGCAATTTCTCAAGAACTTTAGCTTATTTTTCCATATTTACTGATAAAATTTGAGTCATCACAATGTTGGAATTCCAGGAGACAGGCTTGAGACCTTCATAAAGCCTAAATCCCTAAAGTCTGGACATGCTAAAACTTTCATGTTTATTCTAAATTTTATATGAGAGTCATCTTTATGTGTATCTCTAAATTTAATCAATAGCCTATCCTTAATATAGATTTCTGTCCTCATTTAGAGGGTATTTTTCATAAAAAGCCCAAGTTCTTATCATTCCAGAGGGTAACTGTTTATTTGATAAGTTGTAGGTAACAACAAACACATGTCACATTGGACGCTAGATAGTTAACAAGAATAATTCACTACCTAACATCACAGCAAATATGAGTTAAAGTATGCTAAATTTTTGAATGCCAAGAGACTATCTTGTTCTTTCATTTTGAAGCTGATGATTCCACTGTGACTAAACTGTAAGACTCTACCTGATGGTCAAAACACAAAAATTCTATGGATTTTAAAAACCAGATATGAAATATATATCTTATTGAATCACTTTCAGAAATTTCAGTAGTGAGTTCTAGGAGAAAATGTGGCTTGTGTACACACACACACATATACACACAAATATTTCAAAATACTTTCTATACTTTTTTTCTCTGTAGGTTGATTTACAAAATTTTAGAAAATTTCCTAAAATATACTCTTAGAAAGAGGTTTTAGTTTTCCTGGGAGTACCAAAATATAAAGTTTTTTTCTTAATACTCCGTATAACTTCTAATTTTTCTAAATTTTTCCATGTTCCCTATAATAGGTCAATAATTCAGAGAAACTATCTAATATAAAAATCTATTAATGATATTATAAAACTATCCTAAGCAATGTTTTAAATTTACTGCTGCTTAGGACATGGTGCTCTGGTATAAAAACAAAACAACAAACAAGAAAGACATACAAAAAGACTGCTCTCAAAACCTGCAAGGAATTTGTATAAGATTTAAAACAGACATATGCTTTTAAAGAACTTTTGAATGCAATAGTTAATGCACATAATAACTCAACAACCAACATAGATTCAAAGCTCTAACAGATACCATATGCAACCTGTAATAGAACCTGAGTCAAGATATTTCAGGCAACAGGATAATTTCATTTTCCATTTTAAATATCCACTTATTTTTAGTTAACTGGCCATAACATAGCACATGAAAATGCTGTCATTATTGTATAACAAAACTCTAGTACAGATAAGATATTTCATTACTAGTCAAGAAACTAAAATTTGGGGAGCACTATTACAAAAATGTTTTTCTATGTTTACTACAGAAGATATGCATACTGAATTTACCATTAGTTCTATAAAGTCTAGTACCTGTAAAGATAAATCTAGCTTAGGAAGTAGGTGAAACAGTAGGAGAGTTATACTTAGCCTACAAAATGTATGAATTCCAAACCATCAATTATATTAAATATCTACTATGTGGAAAGCTCTACGTCAGTTATAAAGGAAATAAATGTTTGTAAGATGTAATGCTATTGTAGTGGAAATACAACATATTAGTATTAGTACTGAGATAGGGAAGGATCAGAGATGTATCTAACATAAGTCACATTTCAAATCAGAATGAAACAATTAATTGAAATGCAAATACTATTACCAGGCTTTTTTCCTTGCCAAAATAATCAAACCCTTTGTTCTGACAATTATAACAGTATTAGGCTACACAAGCCATTCAGACTAGTAAGGTAAGAAAGTTTTAAGATGGAAGCAATGTGCAGATAAAATCAGATGTTAGCTGAGTAAAGCAAGAACTATATTTATTGCTTTCTGCTAACGTTTTTGAGACAAAGGAACAAATGTCTAGCAGCTGAACCAAGACAAGTTAGGGACTTAAATGGCATTGTTTAAAAAAAAAAAATTCTATTTCCGGTTTCTTAAGTTTATAGTTGGTTTACTCTAAGGACTTGCTCTAAGTATTCCTTACTTTAATCACAGAAGATGTCCTGTAAATTTAAGAACAGAAAACTGGCAACCTCCATTAGCAGTATTTCAATATTACAACAGTGTCTTTTATTAGAAAACTCAGTACTCCCTATTCATTCATCTGCTAGACAGAACTTCCTGGCTAACAGTCCATAGTGATGACATAATTTCTGACAGAGACATTCTGAATAAAATGGAGACTACCAGGACTAATCATTATAGCTTTACTTTAAACATTTTCTTAAGCTATTTGTAATTCATGAATAAAAGAAGCACTTTACTAGAACACATCTATCGTATGCTGTCATCCTAAAAGGAAAACTTCAGAGGAGAGGACACAAACAAAAACAACCTTTCAAGTCTCATATTTGTTAAGGACAATCTTACATATACTACAGTTAAATGCAGTATTTAAATTGTCATGGTAGGGGGTCAAGGTAAATAGGATAATCTGGCCCCAGAGAGACAAAATCATTTACATTGAATATAAAATCATAACTGAATTATTAGAAAAAGCTAAGTATCCTTCAATAGGAATCTCTCCATCATTTGAATTGTAAAAAATTAATGAAGTTAATATACACCTGAAAAATGACAATCTTTTTATATTCATACAAGGTATTACAAGCAATAATACTACACATGTGTGTGTAATAAAAAATAAAATCCACAAATTGAACATGTCTGAAATCTCACAGTTGCAGAATAGCAGGCTCATAAGCACAAGAAATGACCCCCAACTCTGCAACCCAAATGAAGATAATTTGTGTTTGTCTGTGTCATTAGGATAACACAGTTTATGTCAAGAGGATGTTTTGGTATACAGAGAAATCACAACAAGAAGTTTTTGTTTATTTTTGATTTCAAAAATGTCTTACCTATCTAGGGTACTATTGGGAGAATAACGCTCAAAGCACGCTCAATAGCAGGTGCCCTTTTGCCGTTAGGGTGAAGAAACAGTTTCACATCTTGGAGCCGAGAAACAGTTGGATAGCCAGAGACAGAAACAAGCTTCCAAACCCAAATCACTTTCTAATTTGAAATTTGAAAATAAAGTATAATGGCTCCTACTTCTTAAAGTGTGAGTATAATTATAGGGAGAAATACCCTTACAGGGAAGCAAAAAAACAAAGAAGTGATCACAGGCTTGGGTTGGGGTGGGAACACATTTGGATACTTTTTTCTTTTTTAACTCATTGGGAGACAGGAAAGAACCAATAAAAGTTGGCATGGCAATTAAGCAAGGAAAAAAAATAATGCCTTATTTTAGCAGTAAAAATGTTTGACTTTTGACTACAGAGAGCCTGATTTTTTTCTTTTTTCTCCTTTCTTTTTTTTCTTTTTTTTTTTTTTTGAGATGGAGTCTTGCTCTATTGCCAGGCTGGAGTGCAGTGGCACCATCTAGGCTTACTGCAATCTCTGCCTCCCTGGTTCAAGCGATTTTCCTGCCTCAGCCTCCCGAGCAGGTGGGACTACAGGCGTGTGCTACCACGCCCAGGTAATTTTTGTATTTTTAGTAGAGACGAGGTTTCACCATGTTGGCCAGGATGGTCTCGATCTCTTGACCTCGTGATCTGCCCACCTCAGCCTCCCAAAGTGCTGGGATTACAGACATGAGCCACCGCACCCGGCTGAGCCTAACTTTTTATACTAATATTTACCAAACTGTGTCCTGCTGAACTCTAATGTCCTCTGAAATGTAAAAAGGTGTTCTAGGAAAAACCCACATTAAAGAAATCTGTTAAATTTTTGCATATTCTTACATTTTCCAACTGATTGGAAATAAATTTTTTTTTTTTTTGAGATGAGGTCTCGTTCTGTTGCCCAGGCTGGAGTGCAATGGTGTGATCTCAGCTCACTGCAACCTCTGCCTCCTGGGTTCAAGCGATTCTCCCTGCCTCAGCCTCCCAAGTAGCTAGGATTACAGGCACCCACCACCGTGCCCAGCTAATTTTTTGTATTTTTAGTAGAGACGGGGTTTTGCCATGTTGGCCAGGCTGGTCTCAAGCTCCTGACATCAGGTGATCCACCCGCCTCAGCCTCCAAAGTGCTGGGATTATAGGCATAAGTCACCGTGCCTGGCCAAAATTTTTTTTTCATAGAATATATTTTAGGAAAAATTGCTTTTCACCATATGTTAAGGTAGAGTATATATGTGTATGTTTTTAAAATATTTTGGTCAAGTTTTAAATGATTATTTCTTTTTATTTTCCATATTAAACCTTATCTGATCAAAAGAACTCTCTCGTAAGGGAAGAGCTACTAGGTGGGTCTATGGGATAGTATTAAAGGTAAGGCAGATTAGTACTATTTCAGAAAGAAACGGCATAGAAAAGAAAGCTATTTTCTTTTATTTATTTGTTTTGGGAGCTGTGAAAAGTGAAAGCTGATAGTACCGGTGTAGTGTATAGAATGGTTTGTATCAAACTAGATCTACATTACTTTACTAGAAATATAGGGCAATAATAAAATTTCCAAAGCCAAACTGAACGATAATATATATTTCTTTAGAAAGTCTCAGAAAACCCATTCCTGAATGACAAAACGGAGAGATAACTTACAACTAGGTGATATCTGAAGTTAAATTTTCTTGGTTATCTATTTCAAAAATTCACAACTATTCTGCACTAAAATGTTTCACTGGGTCAGGCACAGTGGCTCATGCCTGTAATCCCAACACGTTGGCAACCTGAGGCAAGAGGATTGCTTGAGGCTGGGAGTTAGAAAACAGCCTGAGTAACATAGAAAACCCCCTGTCTCTGCAAAAAAAAAAAAAAAAAAACAAAACCTGGGAGTGGTGGTGCACGCCTTTGAGTCCAGATACTTGGAGCCTGAAGTGAGAGGATCACTTGGGCCTGTGAGGCTGAGGCCACAGTGAGCGGTGATCATACCGCTGCACTCCAGCCAGGGCAACAGAGTGAGACCTTCTCCCCCCAAAAAAAAAAAAAAAAAAAAAAAAAAAGTTTTAATGCACATTAAAAAAGATTATTTTCCCCCAGTTTTACATTCAAGAAGATGTGAAATACCCAATCTTTTTCTTTTTAAAATTTTATTATTATTTTTTAATTGTACTTTAAGTTCTGGGATACATGTGCAGAACACGCAGGTTTGTTACATAGGTATACACATGCCATGGTGGTTTGCTGTACCCATCAACCCGTCATCTACATTAGGTATTTCTCCTAATGCTATCTCTCACCTAGTCCCCTACCCCCTGACAGGCCCCAGTATGTGATGCTCCCCTCCCTGTGTTCATGTGTTCTCATTGTTCAACCCCCACTTATGAGTGAGAACATGCAGTGTTTGGTTTTCTGTTCTTGTGTTAGTTTACTGAGAATGATGGTTTCCAGATTTATCCATGTCCCTGCAAAGGACATGAACTCATCCTTTTTTATGGCTGCATAGTATTCCATGGTGGTTATGTGCCACATTTTCTTTATCCCGTCTATCACTGATGGGCATTTGGGTTGGTTCCAAGTCTTTGCTATTGTGAACAGTGCTGTAATAAACATGTGTGCATGTGTCTTCATAGCACCATGATTTATAATCCTTTGGGTATATACCCAGTAATGGGATTGCTGGGCCAAATGGTATTTCTGGTTCTAGTTCCTTGAGGAATCGCCACACTGTCTTCCACAATGATTGAACTAATTTACACTCCCACCAACAGCTCCTCTTTGTACCTCTGATAGAATTCAGTTGTGAATCCATCTGGTCCTGGGCTTTTTTTGGTTGGTAGGCTATTAATTACTGCCTCAATTTCAGAACTTGTTATTGGTCTATTCAGGGATTCACTTCCTCCTGGTTTAGTCTTGGGAGGGGGTATCTGACCAGCAATGTATCCATTTCTTCTAGATTTTCTAGTTTATTTGCGTAGAGGTGTCTATAGTATTCTCTGATGGTAGTTTGTACTTCTGTGGGATCAGTAGTGATATCCCCTTTATCATTTTTTATTGTGTCTATTTGATTCTTTTCTCTTTTCTTCTTAAGTAGTCTGTCTAGCAGTCTATCTATTTTGTTAATCTTTTCAAAAAACCAGCTCCTGGATTCACTGATTTTTGGAAGGGTTTTTCGTGTCTCTATCTCCTTCACTTCTGCTCTGATCTTAGTTATTTCTTGTCTTCTGCTAGCTTTTGAATTTGTTTGCTCTTGCTTCTCTAGATCTTTTCATCGTGATGTTAGTGTGTCCATTTTAGATCTTTCCAGTTTTCTCCTGAGGGCATTTAGTGCTATAAATTTCCTTCTAAACACTGCTTTAGCTGTGTCCAAGAGATTCTGGTATATTGTGTCTTTGTTCTCAATGGTTCCAAAGAACTGCTTTATTTCTGTCTTAATTTCATTATTTACCTAATATTCATTCAGGAGCAGTGGTTGGGTGGTTTTCAGTGAGGTTTTTTTTTTTTTTTTTTTTTTTTGAGATGGAGTCTCGCTCTGTCGCCCAAGCTGGAGTGCAGTGGCGCGATCTCGGCTCACTGCAAGCTCCGCCTCCCGGGTTCACGCCATTCTCCTGCCTCAGCCTCCCGAGTAGCTGGGACTACAGGCACCCGCCATCACGCCCGGCTAATTTTTCTATTTTTAGTAGAGTTTCACCATGTTAGCCAGGATGGTCTCGATCTCCTGACCTTGTGATCCGCCCGCCTCGGCCTCTCAAAGTGCTGGGATTACAGGCGTGAACCACCGCGCCCAGCCTTGAGTGACTTTCTTAATCCTGAGTTCTAATTTGATCGCACTGTGGTCTGAGAAAGTGTTTTTTATGATTTCTATTATTTTGCTTGTGCTGAGGAGTGTTTTACTTCCAATTATGTGGTCAATTTTAGAGTAAGGGCGATGTGGTGCGGAGAAGAATGTATATTCTGTTGATTTGGGGTGGAGAGTTCTGTAGATGTCTATTAGATCTGCTTGGTCCAGAGCTGAGTTCAAGTCCTGAATATCCTTGTTAATTTTCTGTCTCGTTGATCTGTCTAATATTAACAGTGGGGTGTTAAAGTCTCCCACTATTATTGTGTGGGAGGCTAAGACTCTTTGTAGGTCTCTAAGAACTTGCTTTATGAATCTGGGTGCTCCTGTATTGGGTGCATACATATCGAGAAGAACAACCCCCAGACACAATGTAATCGTCAGATTCACAAAGGTTGAAATGAAGGAAAAAATGTTAAGCGCAGCCAAAGAGAAAGGTTGGGTTACCCACAAAGTGAAGCCCATGGGACTAACAGCAGATCTCTCTGCAGAAACCCTATAAGCCAGAAGAGAGTGGGAGCCAATATTCAATATTCTTAAAGAAAAGAATTTTCACGCCTGTAATCCTAGCACTTTGGGAGGCCGAGGGCGGGAGGATCACGAGGTCAAGAGATCAAGACCATCCTGGCCAACATGGTGAAACCCTGTCTCTAATAAAAATACAAAAATTAGCTGGGCGTGGTGGCGCACACCTGTAGTCCCAGCTACTAGGGCAGCTGAGGCAGGAGAATTGCTTGAACCAGGGAAGCAGAGGTTGCACTGAGCCGAGATCATGCCACTGCACTTCAGCCTGGTGACGGAGTGAGACTCTGTCTCAAAAAAAAAGAAAAGAATTTTCAACCCAGAATTTCATATCCAGCCAAACTAAGCTTCATAAGTCAAGGGGATATAAAATCCTTTACAGACAAGCATGATCTTCCTGAGGATCAATTGTGATCCTCCTGCCTTGGCCTCCCAAGTAATTAGGACTATAGGCATGGGTAATTTTTATTTTTTATTTTTTTTAAGAGATGGGGTCTTGCTATGTTGCCCAAGCTGGTCTTGAACTCCTGGCTCCAAGTGATCCTCCCACCTCAGCCTCGTAAAGTGTTGGGATTATAGGCATGAACCACCATGGAAGGTCGAAAATATCTTTATAGCAAACATTTTGTGAGTGTTTATTGTGGTTCATGCACTGTTCCATACAATTTATACATATTGTCTCATTTTATCCTTATAAAGTAGATATTATTATCATCATTCCTATAGGCACGGTTCAGGATATACTACCCCAAAATATAGCACCTTGATATATTGAAAATTTTAAGGTGAAGGAATGTGAGAAAATGGCAGAAGCAGGAAGGTCTCTCTGACTGTCCCCTGCCCTTTTCTCTAGAAACAGATCATAAAACCTGGTAACTGTTTTTTGACCTTTCCCTTAAGTAGGTCACAAGACCCTTATGTGAATGGTACCCTCTCTATAAAGGAGCATCTTTTCTCCAAAGACAAAGAGACAGAGGGGAATCCAAACAAAAAGGCCTTGCCAAGTTTCACCCAGTTTACTACATTTACTTCATACCCTATCATTTCACCATTGAACCTAATATAAAAAACACTCAGATTTAGCTGTTTCTTTGGGTCTTCATTTCCTTATGAAGGCTCCCATGTCATGTAAAACTTACACTTAAATTATAGTATACTTTTCTCTTGTTAATCTGTTTTTGTTATAGAGGCCCCAGTCATGTACATATCAGGAGGGAAAGATATTTTTTTTCCTCTCCTATACCATTTTGCACATAAAGAGAGATTCAGAAGTTAACTGCTTAAGAAGTGAACTAGTAAGCAGCGCAACTTGGATTTATACCCTGCCTTCAGGGTATATCCTCTTATTCAATATACTATTCTTGCCTTAGTATGGCATAAAGTTACATTCTTACTAAATATTTGCTATTATTGTTATATATTTTTTAAAATAAAAAGTATAAAAACACCAATATTTTTTGCATAAATGAGTAACACATTCCATATACTCACTGCAATACTTCAAAACTTTTGCTAGTTATTTCAAATCCTCTCCAGTGATCATTTCTTCAAATTTACCAAGCACACCAATGAAACAAACTGGATCAAGTACTGTAACAAAGTATGCCACCAACAAACAGTAGGAAAACAACTGAAACAATTTTTTAAATGGGGAAAGAAAAAAGATATGTCAATGAAGTCAAAGGATTTTAATCTAATCAATGTTGTCACATTCCTTAAGATTTAGTGGCCGTTATTTAACATTCTTACTTATGACCTGCTGGAGAATGGTCCATTGACTGTAAAAGTTAAGGAAGCAAAAATATCATGGACATCTGTTAGCTACGAGAAAACTTTAAGATGTTAATGAAACTGCAATTTAGAAAAAGTTCTGTCTCATATACACAAAGTTTACACTATGTGCTTTTTGAATTTTTTAGCAATTACTAATAATTTTTAGATTCAATTCTTATTATTCTCCAAATTATGGCTTCTATCATGAATATTTATATGCTTAAAACAAAGCAGCTTTTGAAAACACAAAACCAAAAATTTCATTAGTCCTTTAAAAATTGTGGTAATTAAAATATTAAGCTATTGAATTATAAGTTTATAAATTATTACTTTTAATGAAATCAATGAAATAGTTGTTTCAATCCTTTACTATAGAATTTTATAGCATGGGGAGAGTAGAGAAAAGAGAAGGAAAGGAAATAATCATAAAATGATGAAGTAATTTTTAAAAGCAAAATCACTGAAAGGCCACTAATAACTTCAAGTGAAATGCCATATAAAAGCTTTTAATTGCCTTAAATTTGTGAAAACCTACCCAGGAGATCAACAAATTCACATCAATGAACTGCATTATACTAATAAGAGACCCCTGGCCTCAAGCCAGGGAGAACAAACAAAATGAACCATTCTCACATGGCTGCAAATTATCTGAAAAGAAGAGGAAGAGACAAAGTCAAAGTAACATGTTTGCATGGTGGGAAAAAGATCAAATATTGATCAGTCCAAGCTGAGGTAATTAGAGCCATTGTCAAGGAGATAGGATGCATGTTCTTAGTAACACAGAAATACATCTTTGTCTTACGTGTTGAGTAAATTAGCCATTCATTAGGTGGACTTTTATTTTAGAAATTCAATAAAACATCTGGATGGCATCAGGTATATATACATTTTAAATTTAGTAAATTCTTAACTGTTTTAAAAAAATCTCATTTGTGAGATTTTTCAGAAAGAGTTAAAAGAATGTGCTTGAATTTCTGTTAAATATTTTACTATCACCACGGTTTGCACAAATGAGCAAAATGTAAAATTACTGCAAAATGAGGATAATTTAAAAATTAGTACATTTGATTGTATATCCATACAAATCTATAAAGTGTGGAGCTTATATAAGTTGTTCTTATTTTTATTATAGTAAAGCCTACACATTTCCTTTTTTGAGTATACTGCCACTAATCATTGTTGAAAATTTCAGAGATTAAAGTAACATTTAAAAAGTGTTAAACTCTTAATACTCTATGGCAGAAAGCAAACCAGAAATGTGTTTTATTACTTGTTCACGAAAAATCCTGGAGCTATGCAAGTTATAACCACAAAGTACATCTGGTAGTCCAATAGGGAAATGTTCACCCACAATTAACTTGCCATGAGAAATTCTTAAAAACACCTGAATATTACAGATGACTTGAACCTTTGGTAAAAATAAGAAAGAAAAATAAATTAAAAAACAACAAAAACCAAAGGGAAAAAATCACCTGAATATATTTCTAATTATCACATTTCTGGAGCAAAATAAAGCTCCCATTTATAAATTTCCTAATACAGATCCAAAGGATTGTGTTTTTATATCAATTTACAAATTCATGGCTTCAATGATGTTTAAATGAAAAAGAAAGCTTGTATGCTTAATCTCATTTCTTCCCACTACATTCATATGTGTCAATCAATTAGAGACAGACTTCCAAAATTCAGAAAAAGCAAATCATTGAGCTCTGAAGGCAGCACCACAAAGCCTCATTCCATAAATTTAGTACTACAGAAGCTGTAGGTGAGTAGAATAAATGCCTATTTTCATGTTCTAGCTAATGAAATAATCCGAGTTTAGATAAAATTCTGGGCTACTCTGAAAATTCAAAATTCATTTATTTAAAAGATCTTTCATATTTTTGTTAATCAAGCCTATTTTCTCTGTTACAAATTTACTAAAATAACTGTTATTTGTTCAAGGGAGATATATCTTTCTTCTAGTCATGCATTATTATACATGGCTTAATTTCTGTGTAATTTTGTGTACATCATATCTATACACCGAGAAGTTATAGTTTGTCTAACATGAGCAAACACAACAGGCAAGTGAAAATTGAAATGTTTCATCAATGTATCCACTGTTTTTCAAGCCCACTTTCCCAAAATACCAAATACAGGAAAAAGTGAGCAAATAATTATTAATGTAATCATTATTTTTACATTGAGTTCTGCTACTATTCTATCAAAAAATACAAATTTTGTTTTCTTTCACTTTCTGGTATTTTGTTCCTTCATTTTAGGATGATTTTGTTCTATCATTTACTTCTTTGTAAAAAGAGAATGAATTACATCCATTTATGCCAAATTCTTTATCCCACTGAATCTTTTGACAGATGGAATGAAATACTCAAATAGTCACTTTAGTAGCTTAGCTACATATATGCTTTCCCACCTCCACCTTTCTTTCTGAATTGCTGGCAGAAGTGAATCAGGTGTGATGAAAATGAACCACAAATGTGGATGTCACTTCAGAAAGATAGGTTTCATTTCCAACTTTTTAGTCACATTTCAAAGAATATAAATTATTCTCATCTTTCATCATTAGCATTTTCCAAAATATAATCATTTAATACGGGCTACCAGTGCTCCCTAGGAAAGAACTCAGCAAATTGTTCCACTGGAACCCTGCTTTTATCATACCTTTGGGAAAAAGTGGAAAAGTAAATACACTGCTTTGCATTTTGTTACCTACTTTGCAGACAATTTTACTGGCTAAAATAACAAGGCAATGTTTATCTTTCTAGTAATAAAATCACTAAAAAGCAATCAGGGCAGAATACTTTTTGCTCTCTCCCTCTCCTCACAGCAAAATCTCTGCATGTCATCACTTGACTAGATATTATAAAATCAGAACAACTTGAAAAAAAAATCATGAAATAAAAACTATTGTTTTATTTTTTTCATAGAATCTCAGGCCAAATTCATCTAACTACAAAAAAAAAAAAAAAAAAAAAAAAAGGCAGCAGAGCCACAATTTTTATAAATTTTAAAAGCATGAAAACCAGAAAGGAAGCTCAGTTGTATTGTTTTTCCTTGGGCATTTTTCTAATATTTAATTAAGAAATGGAAAGATAGCAGGAAACAGAGCAATTTATATATATTAACAGACCAATGGCCTACAGATAAGATAGGAAAGTAAAAAGATAGTATAGTTAATTAATTAATCTTTAAGCCATTTATCTAATAAATCTTTAATTCCCCAACAAATATTTGTACTCAGTAGGATAAAACTACAGCTGCTTTCTTTCATATTCAACAGAAAAGCTATTAATATGCCTTGCTCTACAGAAAAGCTATTAATATGTCTTGTTCACTGGAAGATAAAGCAGAGAATTTTTATAAAGATTTTAAAACAAAATAACTAAACATTAACTTCAAATACATAAAAACAGGAACATTAAAAATCAGTTTACTGTTCCTTATTCAATTAAATGATGTATTTCAAATATTCTGGTTTTCTTATTATTCTCAGAGGTGATTTATTACAAAATTAAATTTGGATCTCTTCTGTATGCTGTTTTTAATTAATTCATCAAGCAGTATTTATTATCTTTTTAATGCAAGGCAATAAAACATTGAAGAGCAGACAAAACTGCATAATTCTTACTCTCAAAGAGTTTACAATCTAGTGGAGGAACAGAGAGAGACGAAATAGAAAATGACTTTCTCCAATTTAGAAATTGGGGCTGTATTGCTGTATTGATTCTTTTATTTGAGAAAAAGTCTCACTCTGTCACACAGGCTGAAGTGCAGAGATACGATCACAGATCACTGCAGCTTCCACCTCTAGATTCAAGTGATCCTCCACCTGAGCTTCCCAAGTAGCTAGGACTACAGGCACATGCCACCATGTCCGGCTAATTTTTATTTTTTTAATTTTTTGTGGAGACAGAGTTTTTCGCTATGTTGCCCAGGCTGGTCTCAAACTCCTGGCCTCAACTGACCTCCCACCTCAGCCTCCTGAAGTGCTGGGATTACAGATGTGAGACAATGTGCCTGGCCCTGAGTCTTAATATTAATTTAGATACAGTGATTTCGACTCCAAGTATAATCAGATCTGAATACATATAACAGATCACACTTCAATACAGATAGCTTTTAAGTTACGTTTTTGCTCATTCCTTAATCAACCTAAACAACAAACCATTGTTGAACTTTTTCAATTACTGTGCCAGGCCATGGCAATACAAGGATAAATAACACACGATACCAGCTTTTAGAAAGCTCACAGTCTAGTATTCTCGAGATCATCATTTCTTACTCTCTTAGTCACCACACATACTCCTGCCTCAATCTAAAGCATATGCATCATCCATGTTCCACTTCTTCTAACAATACTTAATCAATGAATTCAGGGAAAATGCTTGAAACAACTTTAAGATGTTAAGATTTGAAAAAAACATTAAGATACCTTTGTTTCCTTTATAATCTTGGCAAAATACTAGGCACTAAACAGATTCTCAAAAATTTAAAATAAAAAGATATAATAGGCACAATACACAAAAATAATGACCAAAATGCCCTGAACTTTCTATTTCTTTTTTCAAAAAACTTTATCCCAAGATGGTTTTTTTGAGGTGACAACTTGACTAGGCTACAGACTCTAGTTATTCAATCAAATTCCAATCTAGGTGTTGCTATACAGGTATTTTTCAGATGTAATTAAAACTCCCAGTCAGTTGACTTCTATTACTGGAGTATCCTGGATAATCTGGAGGGGCCTGATTCAATCAGTTGAAAGTAAAAGCCTGCACGTTGTGCACATGTACCCTAAAACTTAAAGTATAATAATAATAAAATTTAAAAAGAAAAGCATGGCTTAAGTTTCCTTGACAGAGAGAATAAATTCCACCTATGAATGACAGCTTCTGCCCATGCCTAAGAAGTTCAAGGCTTTCTCCCCTTCCTGGTTGCCTGCCCTATGGTTTTGGACTACTTAGCCAGTCTCCACAATGACATAGGCCAATTCCTCAAAATCGATCAACCAACAAATAAATCTTATTCTCACTCTATCTTCCCTAATGGGTCTGTTTCTGTGGCTGAATCCTATTAATACAATCTCATTATTTCAAATTATACTAATACATTTGGAAAGAATGTGTGCCTCTGCTTTTTAATTTGAAAAGTGGGCATTTTTTTTTTTAAAAAAGGCAGTATACTATCTGTTATGGGATGAGAGGGAAAAAAAGAAAGCCAGTATATATTATTGTATGTGTGTAAATAACATGTATACACAAGTATACATCTTGTATATAAGCGAGAACTGGTATAAACCTAAATAGGAATTCCTAACAATTCTTGGCCTAAATGTCAGCTTTCAATTAAAGAAGCCCAGATGTAGAAAAAAGCAGTCTGTCAACATTTTACTTTAGTTTTTTGTGTAGCCAGAGTTCTTCATTAAGCATTGAGGAGTGTCATAAAGGAAAAAGAGAACATGGCTTAATGTAAAAGTCACTTATCTTCCTGGGGCAAGGTTAGAGTCTAGAAAGTCTACATAAAAGATGAAATTGCATGTAATAAATACTTATTATATACAAGATACTATATGTATATATGCGTATATATATACACATATATACATGCTGCTTCATTTAATCCTCATAACAATCTAATGAGGTAAAAATGATTCTTATTGCATAGATGGGAAAGTTGAGGCTTACAGTTGTCCAAGGTCATACGGCTAATAGGTGGCATAATCAGCACTGGGAACACTCCCATCCTTTTTAAGAGATGGAGTGGAGGGAAGTGTTCACTAGGTTGCCCCGGCTGGACTTGAACTCCTGGGCTCAAGAGACCCTCCCACTTCACCCTCCCAAGTAGCTGGGATTAAACCTAACTCTTATTTATTTTTTTGAGACAGAGTCTCACTCTGTTGCCTAGGCTGGAGTGCAGTGGCGTGATCTCGACTCACTGCAGCCTCTGCCTCCAGGGTTCAAGCAATTCTCCTGCCTCAACCTTCCAAATAGCTGAGATTACAGGCATGCATCACCACGTCTGCCATTTTTTGTATTTTTAGTAGAGATGCGGTTTCACCACATTGGCCAGACTGGTCTCGAACTCCTGACCTCAGGTGATCCACCCCCCTCAGCCTCCCAAAATGCTGGGATTACAGGCGTGATACACCACACCCAGCCAAACCTAAATCTTAAGCTCCAACTTTTTCTTTTGTACTTTGTACTCTTAGAGGGAAATGACTCCTTAACAGTATATACATTATTCATTGAGAATTTACTATGTGTCAGACCACTTTATTAAGCATTTTTTGGTGCTTTTTTAATTGACTTCTTATCATTTTTTGAGGTAAGTGCTATCATGATCTCCATTTTACAGATGAGAAAACTAAGATAGGAAATTGACAAAGAGTAGTAGATTATTAGCGAAGCCTTCAGAATTATCTTAACTCAGTACCCTGGTATTAGAGAGTAGTCTATAGTGAAGGGGATCAGAGTATGACACCCTCAAATATGCCACTTCAGCATAAGGATTATTTTGAACTACAGGCAATTAAAACAGCAAACATAGGAGGAGCTCTCTGCCCTCCCCTTTACTTCCTAAAAATAGGGCATAAATTTCCCTTTTGTAAAGGAAATTCATATTTGTAATGGCGTCCTCCTCTCCAGTACCAGGAAGAGAAGAAGCAGACTCTTCTCACTTGACTCTGCCTAATAAACCTTACTAAACAACCCTTATTTACCACTCATTCCTTAGTCACCTATCATTAATGCCCACCCTCACCCCACCAGAAGTCTAAACCCCCATTTTGTCTAGTCTCTTCTCCATACTTTATCACTCTTTCTTAAAATGATATGTAAGCCCCTTGGTCTCATTGGTTTTTTGGGGTTTTCAATTCTTTTCTGTGAGGCTTCTCACGTGCATACAAAATAATCCTTTTATCCTCCTAATTTTTTGTCAGTTTAATTTGCAAGCACCAACTACTGAACATAAGAGGGTAGAGGAAAAGTTTTTCCTCCTATAGTACCTGCTCTACGTAGTGGAGAGATGTTTAAGTAAATATAGCAAATAGTACAGCAGATATCAAAATATATTTGACAAAAACTATTACTGGAGAGTAGAAGATTTAAAATGCTTTGGGTAAAGCATTATAAAAACAAAACAACCCCCCAAAGCCTCCTAAGTGAAAATCAATGAATGAGAACCATGCAGTGATTTATAGACTAATAATATATTTTGGATTTTAAAATCAATGTTAACAGTTTGCTCAAAATCACTGTACTATCTAAATAGGAGGAAATACAATTGATGGAACTAGTTTACATGTCTTTTTAACATATTTCCAAGCTCTAAAACCAATAAGAAATGAGAATAGTTGAAGATGTTTGTCTCCTATATTTCATTCACTGTATGTACATGGGAATTATTAGCATAAAGGAATAAAATCAAATGTACAATTATCCACCTTCTCACTATTCTTTCAAATTAGTCTTATATCACAATACTTCTTAAAAGGATTTTATGGTTCCCAGCTGCTTATCGTATACAGTTTATACTCCTAAGCATGGAATGTAAGGTTCTTCTGACCCCATCCTATCTTCTTTCCTATCGTCGTCTCTCACTATACTTCCACAGGCAACCTAGTTTAGTATTTCACAATTTGATCCATAGGAGAGGTTAATAAGCTCTCTTTGAAAAATGGCTTGACTGGAAAATAGGTTTTTTAAAGTTGCATATCATATCTCCCTCTTGGAAATCCAAAATGAACATCAGTGTATTAAGGTGGAGAGGGGGAAGGTTGGAAGGGTTCCTGAAAGAGTAAATTAAACAAGGGTTACACAATTAGTGACAAGATTGCCCCCTCTCCTCCAACAAAAAGGGTCAAATAATTAGAATAAGTAAAGAGATAAATTATCAGTCTTAAATCAGTATGAAAGAAAAAATTAAAGCCCTTTAAAGTATATACTATTCATTTCAGCATTCAACTAGCAGAATCTATTCCCAATTTATTTATTGGGTTTTAGCTAACCAACTGTTTATTTTTTCCCAACTATTTAAATGTAATAAAATATGTTTAAGCTGTAGCTTCAATTAATTCTGAATTACTACTGAAGTAATTAAAATCAAAATATAACATCCATTTATGTATTTAAATTTAAATAGCTCATTTAAAAAGAGTTAGATTCATGACAGAAATTCAATGTGGAACAGCAATTCTTTTCAAAGGGGAAAACAGTTATAACTGTTTCATTCATACTTGATGTTTTCCATTAGCCTTTCTTAGATTTCTCAGTAAACAATTACTTGCACTCACTTTATGATTTAGGTAAGGCTCAACAGCCACTTCCTTTAAATAAGGAAGCCAAGGTTAAGAGAGGTTAAATGCCTCAGTGCAGATCAGAGGTTGAACTACCTATATAATTGTGGGGTTTTCAGGAAATACTTTACTCTTTCCTTCAAGCAGGTGTAAATATACTAACACATTTGTTATTACAGACATTCCAAGTAGCTTCTTTTACATTTCAACCACTTCTCTTCACTTAAAGGCACTTAAAAAGTATTATATAACAGTAAAGGAATATATAAAGGAATGAGTATAAAAGTATGTTATAAGGAATGTAGGAATTACTATTAATAACATCAGATACAATTTATTGCTCCATTATATAAAAATGATATAATAATTGCCACTTAGTTATAAATGGAAAAATCCTTCATTTGAGGAATGAATAATAAGAAACATAAGGTGTTAATACTGAAATTAATTATAGGAACATTAATGACATTCACACTTGTTATTAACATGTTAATCACTAAGAACTCAAGATATGTCAAGCTAAGGGCAGCTGATTTTAACAGAAGGTCTTTTCAACAGAGGCTGTATATAATGTCTATAAATTTTGTTTGAGAATAGGGCGAGAAAATTTTTTTTGGTAAGAAATCTGGGCAAGTATGTAAAAATAAGTGTGCATGTAATGAATTAATTCTTTATTAAAATATTGAATAAACTATTTACAACCCATTGTTTATATTTGTTTTTCTAAATTAGTTATTATGACATTAAAGAAATAAATTCTACCATGTTTTTATTCTCAATGCCTTCTTACTGCTTCTTTTCTAACCTACACCTTTAATCTTCTGCATGTATGTGCCACTAAAATCAGATGTTGTGAAAATTATTATACTGTCACAGGAAAAATGGATTTTGTGATTTCTGGTGGGAAATAAAGCAGTCAGACAAATGAACCATTATGGGAAAAAAAATCTTATCTTTTAGGAAAAGTAATGGATCAAGATATTAATGACCATCACCCCTGAACTCACTGCTAGATGCTAAAGAAAAAGAATTTAAACTCCTTAACTCTGAAATAAAAAGAAATGGCTTTATTAAAAGATCAAACCCTCTTTTCCCACATTATAAATTATATGTTTACACTATACTTATAAGAAAGATAAGCTGTCAGAGAGAAGCTGCCTTAGAGTATACTCCCCCAACCCCTTGCTACAAAATAGTGTCTATCCATGTTTACTTATTTAAATAAACACTTCGAAATACTCTAGAGAAGTAGGAACATTTAACTTGTAACAGGGAAGGCTACAGAAAAATTTAAAGATATTTACTCTTTCAAGAAAAAGGTTCACATTCGTGAAAAGATCAGTATAAAACAGGAGATGGGCAAGTCTACTTACTCCCAAGTATGTGTTTAATAGAAAACAGACAACTCTGCCCCATTAAAATCCAAAACCTTGGGTCAGGATCTAGCCCTAGGAAAGACTTTTCTTCCTCTCTCGCTGCAGGTACTGGGTTTCCTACCTAATTAAGCCTTTATGAAAGAGTAATAATCAATTAGCCAGCATTTGCACAGGATATTAATTTCTGTGAAGAAATGCATTTTGCAAATACAGTTTGGACATATTACTCATTTGGGCATAGTGGATGGTCTGACTGATGAAGCACCATAGAGTTAATACTCTGAACAGGTAGGCCAGTTGCATATACCTGAAATGGAGGGACAGGAGATAGAACTGGTGATCTATAAAGCTCTGGTATGATTCTTTCTCACTGGCTTACTAACACATGAGTTTTATTCTAAATACTATAATGTATTTATCCAATAGGGGTTACAGTGGAATGAATAATACTATCACAGTGTTTGATTAAAATAAGAAATAAAATAGCAATAATAACACTTTTACATTATATATTTCTTCAAGAGGTTACATGCCCCCATCTAAATTCATGCCTTTCATATTATAATGTACGTTTAAATATTAATCTCCTTGGATGCTTTGTTGTTAGGTGTGCCAAGTGGTCACAGTAGTCTAAAAGTTTTGTTAATACCATCTATTTTTTAAAATAAAAGCTTTATTGAGATCTAATTCACATATAAATTGCATTTAAAGCATACAATTCGTGATTTTTAGTATATTGACGGAGATGTGTAACCATCACCACAGTCAATTTTAGATTAGTTGTCTAACTCCCAAAGAAATCCTGTATCTATTAGGAGTGTAGCATTGTCCCACAACACTTTCAGCCTAAGACAACCACCAATATACCTTCTGTCTTTATTGATTTACCTATTTAAGACTTTTCATGAATGAGATCATACAATAGACAGCCTTTTATAAATGGCTTCTTTCACTTAGCACAATGTTTTAAAGGTTTATCTATGTTGCAGCATGGATGAAAGTACTTCATCCTGCTTATTACTAAATAATATTTCACTGTGTGGATATAATACATTTTTCTTTCAATTTTCTTGAGTTATAACTGACAAAAATTACATTTATTCACAGTATAAAATATGATGTTTTGATATATGTGTATGTTGTGAAATGACACCACTATCAAGCCAATTAACATATCCATGAACTTACAAATTTATCTTTTTTTGTGTGTGGTAGAAGACTTAAGAGCTACTTTCTTAACAAATTTCAAGTATACAATACATAATTATAAACTATAGTTACCATGTTTTACATTAGGTCTCCAGAACGTATTCATCCTATAACTAAAAGTTTACACCCCACGACCAAAATCTCCCCATCATTCCACTACCCTTCTTCCCTCCCCCAACCACACTTTCTACCCTGTTTCTATGAGGTTGACTTTTTAAGATTTCATATATAAATGAGATCACACAGTATCTATATTTTTGTGTCTGGCCTATTTCACTTAGCATAATGTCCTGCAGGTTCACCTATGTTGTTGCAAATGGCAGGATTTCCTTCTTTTTTAAGGTTGAACAGTACTCCACTGTTTATATATACATATACTTTCTTTATCCATTCATCTGTTGACAGACTCCTAGGGTATTTCCCTATTTTGACTATTGTGAATAATGCAGCTGAACACGGGAGTACAAATATCTCTTCAACATACTGATTTCATTTCCGTTTATTTAATTATTTATTTATTTCTTTAGAGATAGAGTCTCACTCTGTCGCCCAGGCTGGAGTGCAGTGGCATGTTCTCAGCTCGCTGCAACCTCCACCTCCTGGGTTTGAGCGATTCTCCTGCCGCAGCTTCCCAAGTAGCTGGGATTACAGGCATGTGCTACCACGCCCAGCTAATTTTTATATTTTTAGTACAGATGGGGTTTCATCATGTTGGCCAGGCCAGTCTCCAACTCCTGTCCTCAAGTGATCCGCCCACTTCGGCCTTCCACAGTGCTGGGATTACGGGCATGAGCCACCATGCCCGGCCGATCTCCTTTAGATTTATATCCAAAAATGAGATTGTTGGATTATATAGTAGTTCTGTTTTTAAAGGAACTTTCGTATTGTTTTTCATAATCTCTGTGCCAATTTACATTCCCGCTAACAAGGGATCCCTTTTTTCCACATGATTTTGACTTTTTGATAACAGTCACAAATTTAAGGTAGTATCTCATTGTGAGGGAGAGGAAAGTGGGGGTGGGGGAGTAATTTTTTTTTTCTTTTTTTAAAGAGATAGGGTCTTCCTATGTTGCCTAGGCTGGCCTTGAACCCCTGGGCTCAACTGATCCTCCTATCTCAGTCTCCTAAGTAGCTGGCACTATAGGTACGCACCACCACCACTGAACCCAGCTTCACTGTGGTCTTTTGATTTGTATTTCTTTGATGATTAGGGACACTGCACATGTTTTCATATACCTGGGTCATTTGTATGTCTTCTATGGAAAATGTCTATTCAGGTCCTGGGCTCATTTTTTAATCGGGTTTTCTGCTATTGAGTTGTATGAGTTCCTTACATATTTTGGATAATTAACCTTTTATCATATATGGGGTTTACAAATATTTTCTCCCATTCTGTGAGTTGCCTTTTCTTTTGTTGTCTCCTTTGCTGTGCAGAAACTTTTTGGTTTGATATAGATACAATTTTGTTTAATTTTGCTTTTGCTGCCTGTGCTTTTAGTGTCATACATAAAAAGTCATTGCAAGACCAGTGTCACGGAGCTTTTCTAATATGTTTTCTTCTGAGTTTTAAGGTCTCAGGTTTTATGTTTAAATCTTTAATCTGTTTTGAGTTCATTTTTGTGTCTCATGTAAAATAACAATCTAATTTTATTTATCCATTCAGCAGTTGATGAACATTTCAGTCATTTCTACCTTTTGACTATTATAATTAATGCTGCCATAAACATTCATATACACATTTTTGTGTAAACACAGGTTTTCATTTTTCTTTGGTATATATCTAAAAGTGGAATTGCTGGGTCATATGGTAACTCTGTGTTTAGCCTTTTGAGGAACTGCCAATATTTCCACCAGTGGTGCATGAGGGTTCCAAGTTCTCCACATCCTTGTCAACACTTGGTATTATGTCTTCTTGATTATAGACATCCTAGTGGGTGTTAAGATAAAGCTCACATGGTTATGCCACTGTCTGATGGCTAAGATTAGCATCTTTTCAAGTGCTTATTAAAACTCCTTGCTTTGTGTATATGTGTTTTCATAAAGTGGAGGTAAGGTCCTGAGTTCATAAAAACTAAGGTGGTGTTCATAAAATACTAAGGTGGTGAAATTACAGTTAGCTTGTTACTTTTTGGAACTTAGCTGAGGAGACCTTCACATATACTAAGGACTCATCACTCTTGTTTATATTACAATAGATCTTATTCTTCCTAGAAGATGGGTAGTTCACTAAAGACAGCACCCATGTTTTCTTCATCTTTGTATTGGTCACATTGCTTCACAGGATACGTATAGTAGGCAGCCTCAATGAATGCTGGTTAAATAAGTAAGTTTAACATCTGATGTCATATTACCTTTATAATGCCTCCCTAAGATATACAATGGAAGAATACTATTCAACCCTCTTTGGAAAAATGATAAGCATATACAATTATGCGCTGAATTGGTAGGGCCATTTGAAAACTCCAAATTTTCCAATCCCAAGTTTAGTTCTCAGTGTGCCTTTGACTAGGCCAGAGATTTTTCATGTTTAGATGATCTAAGTTTTAAAACATTAACATCTATAATAAAACAATATCTTTATTTTTATTTATGAACATAATGGTAGATCATTTATTTTAAACAAATAATAAGATATCTCATTAGGGTATGATAAAGCCTAACTTAATTTATTAATTGTAAAATAAGCATTCAGTGGAATCTTTTGTTCTTTTCAAGTATAAAAGGCACAACTGGGAATAACCTTATTTCTATAATCCTACAGTATGGGCTATGAATATAGGCTCTGGTATTAGAGGACCTGAGTTCCAGCCCAAATCTGTCACTTATCAGCCAGGTGAATTTTAGCCAATTATTTAACCTCTCTAACCTTGAGTTCCTGCATTTTTCAAATGGATAACAGAATTTAACTCAGAAGGCTACTGAGAGAACTAAATATGTAATGTATTACTATGTGGTAAGCTATTATTATTCAAGGAAATATTGTAAATATGTCCAATATGGAATCAATTTTCAAATAAAAAATTATTTAAACAATACTAAGCCACTAGGATTAGTCTAAATGCCTTAGCTTAGAGAGGAACCAGGAAATAGGGATAGGAAAAATATATTATAGCTTTTGAATTATATATTATTTGTATGTACTATATACTTAAAATAATCAACTAAGTTTAATTATTAACTATTAAGAGAAATACCTTATTATAAGAAAACTATTTCTACATTATAAGTTGTAAGGAGAAATTATATAACCTAATAACAGGGGCTTCTAAAATGAAGCATATATGCCTACTAGAAATTATGTTAGTCTATATGTTAAAATTAAACCAAGTTGGTTTATAAGGAAAATCTGTGATTATTTCAAATTGAGACAATAATTTAAACATTAAAATAACATAAAATGATTTAACATTAGATATTTAATTATATGTGATATCCCTAGAATGTTTGCTTGATTTATCGTATATTATAAAATGTATATTCAGGAAAATATTTGCTGATTTAACTAATCATTTTCAATATAAAGGTGAACTTTCTTTTGGAAGCCAAGACAGATTATAATCCATTAATATATCTTTCAACAAAAAGGATGAAATCTTCCACTGGGTAGGCTGATAAACTCTTTTGTGTCAAAACTAAGCCTCTTTATCATGATAACCCAGAATAATGGTCGGCTGCTCTAGGCACTTTATCTACTTTACAGATGAAAAATCAGTTCTACTTTCATGGAATTAGATTAATGCCATAACAGGAAATACTTCTGGGGCTGAACTTGCTTCATGTCTTCAAAGCTGCCTGTAAATTTAAAGTACTTCCTGAACTCAAAAGATAAGACAGGGAAGGAAAAAGAAAAACAGTACAGTGACCCTTTTACTGAAGGAAAATATTGCTTCCTGAAAAAGATGTTGAAAGCTACTTGCTAAGGGCATTATGCTCTAGAAAGCCTAGGGCAAGTCTCTTTCAGTGGAACATAAGGGTTCTGGTCATATATCAGACAGTTGCTATAAATCTGTTCTTTCTATAATCCTTTTTGATAAACTTTAAGTCTTCCCAGTGAAAGCTAAAGTAATAACTTTCTCACCTTTTAGTACACACAGAATTGCTTACTCTTTTACATATGACATTTTATGAAGGATTACAGTTTTACACATTTGGAAAAACGCTGACTACAAACTCTAGAATTAAATTTTGGTTCAGAATGTAGATAAAGGCAGCCAATTCAGTTGACACCTTATCAGGTAGTCTAACGTAAAAAATAGGCCACATTATCTAGAACATATAAAAGAGTTTTTTGAATGGTGATGATACTGAAGATGATATATATAATAGATAATTAGGAGGAAAAGAATATTAACTGTCTGTATGCATTGAAACATGTCCATATAAAATCAGAGATGAAAATAAAACTAATGATTATACAACCTAAAAAGAGGGGGTAAAGGAGGAAATGAACCCACCATGAAAACAATAAAGAAAATTTAGAGAGAGAACACCATCAATGAATTTATACATATCGGGTTGCTTACAACATGCTCATCACTATAGAGTATACAAAATAATAATATTCAACAGATGCATACTGAGCACAATAAATACCAGGCACTATGCTGGTTGCCAGAGGTAATATGGTTATTAAGAGAGGCAAGGCCGGGGGCAGTGGCTCATGCCTGTAATCCCAGTACTTTGGGAGGCTGAGGCGGAGGGATCACGAGGTCAGGAGTTCGAGACCACTCTGGCTAACACGGTAAAACCCCATCTCTACTAAAGATAAAAAAAAAAAAAATTAGCCGGATGTGGTGACAGGCACCTGTAATCCCAGCTACTTGGGAGGCTGAGGCAGGAGAATTGCTTGAACTCGGGAGGTGGAGGTTGCAGTGAGCCGAGATGGCGTCATTGCACTCCAGCCTGGGTGACAGGGGAGACTGTCTCAAAAAAAAAAAAAGAGAGAGAGAGGCAAGGACCTTACCTTCTTATTAGCTGGCATTCTAGGAGGATTTAAACAAGTTAATTACAAATGGAGATAACTGCAACAAAGGAGACAAGCATGGTTATATAAGGTGGGGGTTGGGGGTTGGAGGGATATTATGACAACAGCTCATGGAGGAACAGGGAAAGCTACTTTAGATAGCTAACCAGAAAATGACTCTCTAAGAGGATGGCATTTGAGTTGAATGTTGAAGGTTATACATGAGTCAGCCCTTAGAAAACAGTGAAGAGCATTCCAGGAAGGAGGAGTAAGAGTGAAGGACTTTTGAAGGAAAAGGGCTTGGTTGTTAAAGGAATAATCAATGAGAAAGAACTAGAATAAGATGATATTAGACAGGTAGGAGGAAAGCCATGTAAGACATGTAGGGCTTTATACACCATGGCAGAAAGTTTGGAGTTTATTCTATGAGCAATCATTGGCAGCCATGAGAGGGATTTAAACATCAAAATGTTTTATGCTGGTTTGCATTTTTAAAAGGCCACTCCAGCTATTCTGTGGAGAATGGTTTGAAAGGGTTAAAAAGTAGAAGGAGATCAGTCAGGAGACTATAGCAGTAGGGCAGGAGAAAAATACTAATGGTCTGTAATAGAATGGTAATTGCTGATAAAAGAAGAGTAAATGGGTTCCAGATATAAAGATAGGGACTTATTGAAGGAAAAGAAAAAATCAAGGATGACTCCTAGGGTTTGGCTAGGGCACATGAGTCAAACCCTGCAGTGGTACCATATACAGAGATGTATTAAACATAAGAGAAACAGGATTGACACTGTATATTAAGAAGTCTATTTGCATATAATAATCTAAATAACCAGTTGGTCATTAAGTTTGGAGATCAGAAAAGAGGTATGTGCTAAAAATATACATTTGGAAATAGTTTTTTGGATGGTACTTTTGGCCATGAATCTAACTAAGAAACCTATGACAATAAATACATAAATACCAAAAATATATAAACAAATTAGAGAACTTCAGATTTTTGTCAAACTTTTATTGGTCCAAATTTCTTAGAATTGTTTATGATTAAACATTGTTTTTCACTTATAATATTGCTTCTATCTTTTCTTTTTTCACTTGCTTAGTGTTATGACCACTTTGATTATTTTGTTAATTTTATTTAAAAAGGCTTTAGATTTAATTCTATTTTCTTGTTTTCTATTTCATTACTTTCTGTTTTTGCATTTATCACTACCTGTCCTCCTTTATTTTTCTTAGTGGATTCCTTAAGATTTTCTATATGCAAAATGTCATCTACAAATAAGAGTAGTTTCACTTCTTTCCAACCTTAATGACATTTCTTTCTATTTATTGCTTATTTGCTGTGGCTACTAAAATTTTCAGTAGAAATTTGATTACCCCTAGATTCTGAGATTGTCTCCTATGTTTTTCATAAAAGTTTCATCGTTTTACATTTAAGGCTGTGATCCATTTACTCGATTTTTGTATCAGGTCAAGGTTCACTTTTTGGTCTTTTGGCCACTTTTCACTTTTGACGTCATGTTGCCACAGCAACATTTTGAAAAGGCTATCTTTTCACCAATTAGTTGGCTTTATACCTTTGTCAAAAATCAGTTAAGCATATTATAGGGGCATTTTAATAATTTTTAACTAGAATTTTTTGTTATTTTCTCATCAGTTGCCCTAAGGGTTACAATATACATCTTAATTTATGATAATCTACTGAAGAGTCATGGAAACTTTTTTTTTTTTTTGGAGACAGTAAATGAAGACTAAGAGGATGAAGACCTTTATGATGATTCAATTCCACTTAATGAATAGTAAATATATTTTCTATTCCTTATGATTTCCAGGCTGGAGCGTAGTGGCATGATCTTGGCTCACTGCAACCTCCGCCTCCCAGGTTCAAGCGATTCTCCTGCCTCAGCCTCCCAAGTAGCTAGGACTACAAGCATTTAAAGAGTTTATTATATTAATCTTCTTATTTACCATTCTGGTTTTCTTCATTTCATCTTGTGAATTTAGTTTACCATCTGGTGTCCTTTTCTTACTCACTCCAATAGAGCTTTGTTGCCATGCACCTCCTTTCTGCTGTTATCATCATATACATTACATTCTAATAAGTCATAGGGCCTAAATACAATTATACACAAATTGCTGTATGCATTTGCTTTTAAATGAGTTGAGAGAATAGTGAAGAAATATGTCATTATACTGTCTTTTGTAATTACTTACATAATTACCTTTATTGATGCTCTTTGTTTTTTGTGTATAGATTTAAATTGCTATCTGTTGTCATTTAATTTCAGCTTAAAGAATTTTCTTTAGTATTTCTTGGTAAGGCAGATGTTCCAGCAATGAACACTCTTAGACTTGCTTATCTAGGAAAATATTTCATTTTATTTTTGACATATTTTTGCTGGACATAAGGTTATTTGCTGATGATTTTTTTCTTTCAGCACTTTAAATATGTTATCTCATTACCTTCTGGCTTCATTGGTACCGGTGAGAAGTAAGCTGTTAATTTTGTGTTCCCCTGTTGTGATTTGCTGAGTTTAAGATTTTCCTTTTGTCCTTGTCAAATAGTCAAGATTTTGCTATTATGAGGCCAGGTGTGCATCTCTTTGCATTTATTGTACTTGGTGTTCAAAGAGCTTCCTAGATGTATAAACAAATGTTTTTCAATAAATTTGGGCGGTTTTTTGCCATTTTTTCTTCAAGTATTTTTTTCTGCCTTTATTTTCAGACATAATAGTAGTTATAGCATAGAACTGGGCATGAAAATATCTCCCCATTTACTAACCACATGACTGTGGATAACACACAACATTTTTTGTGTCTCAATTTTCTTAAATGTAAAGGCGGATGAATTATACCAACCATATGTCACCTAATTCATTGGATTACTGTGAGGCTCAAGTTACATAATATCTAATTTAAAAACTAAACATTAAATAAATGTAAATGTATTTTTCCAAGGATAAAGTCTTCATCTATAAACCTTTGATCTCAATTCCATCTAGCAGTTATCACTCTTCCACACTGCATTATCAGTCTTCTGTTCTATCATATCTTCCTTAGACAATATACAAACTCAAATCTCTTATATCTTTAAGCAAACCTTCCCTCTCACCCAACAGTCTTCACTCGATGTAATGTGCCTACTACTACCATCTTTCTGGTGGCATAGTGATTCTTAAACTCTCTGAGGTGAAGGCCAAGTTATTTTTTATCCTCTAGTCCAACATAGACCCATATATAGTGCTACTGTGCATAACTAGTTTACAGATTATATATAAACAACTCACCACAGGTGCTCTCCAACATTCAAAGTCATCCATTCCCTGTTCAATGAGAAATCTGATGATCGTGCACCAGGATGTTGGCAGTGTTAAACAAAATGTATAGGATCCCATTAGTTTGGACTAAGCTCCTGCACTAGGCCCACCAGACCAAACCAAAATGGAGTCACTCAAGCTGAAGTTCCACATCACTAAGCTAAAACATAGTTGTTTATCTTACTTTCCAAGAAATCAGGAGAAACAGATAATAGCCAGATCCCCAAACAGACCAGTTTTAGCTGGTATAAGGAAGTCCCCTCTGCTTTAACCTTTATAAGAAAAGTAATTTTGGAAATACCAATCCACATTTTGTTTTCTGTTTTTGCTTTCCTCAGCCCTTTTCTGTCTATAAAGTCAACTTCCTCTGCTCAGCTTACTGGAATATTCATTCTATTTAATAGAATGAGGTTGTTGTCCGATTTTAGAATTGCAAATAAAAACCAATTAACATCTTTAAATTTGTTGTAATTTTGTATTTGCTGGAAGGGGGTGTAAACTTGTTAAACAGTTTCCAAATAGTCTCAAATTTTATATTTCATTCATTACAGACTAAGATCAAATAGTTCTCAGACTACACTTTTCTCTAATAATTTTTTTTCTATCACCAGTGGTGTAATCAAAATCCATCAGTCATTTTAGACAGCGATGACCTCCTATCTTTCATAACCATCCTTTTCTGTCTCTTCTGTTGATACTAATTTCTTTCTTCACTATTTAGGAAGAATTCCTTAAGATGTTATTTTTGGCATTCTTCCTGTATTCCAAACTCATTATATATATAGAAAATCATTTCTCCCTCTGGATTTACTAAATGAGCCATGATTCTCTCAAGTCATGTAAAAGGGTAACCTCTACCTCATTTTACTTCACCACACACAAATATTCATTTCCAAGGGCTTTTGCATCCTTTCCTACTTTCTTACTTATATCAGCCTCAACCTAGACTAATATAACACCTTTCTAATTAATGTATCTGTAACTAATCTTCCTCACCTCCAATTTAAAGACACATGGTCAAATTAATGTATCCAGCATAGTTTTGATCATAGTAATTCCCTGTGTACTCAAAGTATTTCGTTTTAGCAATCCATACCAGTTTCAGATTTTAACACTGTTACTCTCATATGAATCAACTTTGACAAGTCAACAATTCCTTTAATATAGCTGGCAACTGTAAACATTGGTAAATAGTTACTGAATGACTGACTTAAATGATTATTGGATTCAAATAATTTTGAAAATAAAAAAATCACTCTATACTGTTTATATTATGACTATATACCTTTATATTACTATCCTTACTTTACAAAACTAATCCCATAACCAATGCTATTTTCACATGTCTAATAATACTGCTGCTAGTTTTACTGTTGGATGAACTACATTCTAGCCTCCTGCTGCTACTGAGAAATGCATTAAAGTAGGTCACGTGGTTTTCTTCATGTCAACAAATGATGGCTCAATTAGGCAGATAAGTATCTACAGCCCTCAGCAGAATCTTCAGTCCATTCTTAGCAGTTTAGAAAAGCACTTTGGTTAGCATTAGAGCCAAGGAAAGGAACACTTGTAATTCTTTAAGCATTCAATTAAATTTTTTAAATTCAAGACTGGCTATTGAATGTTTCCAAACAAACAGTGTGGAAGTAGACATTCATCATGAATGAGCACTCTAAAATCTGGTGTGTATGTAAATTTCTTAATGAATGAGATTATGACATTTCTGATACACTGTTTGCAGTATAAACACTTATGGATGATCCATTTTGGTAATTTTGTCATCAACAGATGATTCTATGTTGGTTTGCTAATTAATGGGCAGTGTGTGCATGCATAGAGCCAAAGGCATTTCCAACTAAAAGATACATAGAGCTACTGCTGAGTCACTTAGTAAAGTAAAGCCTTCCAGTTCATGAAAGGAAATCTCAGGAATGCAAAGTAAAAAAGAAAAATCATGAAGCAAAAAGGTTCCAGAATAGACAAATACCTAAATATTTAGACATCAGTTTATCTACTCTTTTCTAAAAATTCAATCTACTGAATTAGATTTTTCCCACCCTAAGAAATTAGAAGGAATTTAAAAAGGAAGTTGAAGATGACACACCACCAGCTCCAGGGCTAGTAAAATTATTAAAATGTATATATAAGTACTCAAAATATATAACAATTTGAGTAACTTAAAATAAAAGCAAATACATGTATACACTTGAAGAGACTCATAGAATAGTCCTATAAGTAACAGACGTTATAGATGATGATCCCGTGTCATGAAGAAAATTGAATTGTATGCATGGAACTGATGAAGAAAGAAAGAACTACATCAATATTTGGAAGAGGAAAATTTAAAGAAGGGTTCACTTCAGCAATAAATGATTATAGATAAATGATACATTCCTAAACTAAGTTTCAATAATACTAAGAGCAGTGCTAAATTTATCTAAATGAAAAAAATACTATCACCATTTATTTCTATTGCCAATACAAGGATGATCAATGTGAGATATCCCTCAATAGCATGGAAATAACAGATATTAATACTGCCTTTTAGCCAACCATCAAACCACTAAGTAGGATCAGATATGGAATATGGCCTGTCTGAATATATTAACAAATCTACAAAAGGATTATGTTGGGGGTTAGGGTAGTGTTGGTGCATTATGAAAGAGAAACAAAAGCAAATGTTTGTGCTACTTTTATTTTAAATAAAAATAAAAATTCTGTTGCTCAGGCTGGAGTGCAGTGGTGCAACCATGGATCACTGCAGGCTTGACCTCCTGGGCTCAAGGGATCCTCCCACCTCAGCGTCTCGAGTAGCTGGGACCTCAGGCACAAGCCACCATGTCTAAATATTATTATTATTATTTTGGTAGAGACAGGGACTTGTTATGTTGACCAGGCTCGTCTTAAATTCTTGGCCTCAGGGATCCTCCCGCCTTGGCCTCCTAAAGTGCTGGAATTATAAGCATGAGCCACTGCATCTGCCAACACTACTTATTAAAGAAGAGCTCAGAAAGCCTTTTGTCTATGGAATTTAATTTTTTCAGGTCCCTACTAAAGAGATAAATGTATCTTATTGATTGACTGAGATAGAGTCTTGCTCTGTTGTCCAGGCTGGAGTGAAATGTATCTTACTGATTGATTGATTGATTGATTGGAGACAGAGTCTTGCTCTGTTGCCCAGGCTGGAGCACAGTGGCACAATCTAGGCTCACTGCAACCTCCGCCTCCCAGGTTCAAGCAATTATCGTGCCTCAGCCTCCCGAGCAACTGAGATTACAGGTGCCAGCTACCACACCTGGCTAATTTTCGTAGTTTTAGTGGAGATAAGATTTCACCATGTTGGGCATGCTGGTCTCAAACTCCTGACCTCAAGTGATCTGCCCACCTCGGCCTCCCAAAGTGTTGGGATTACAGGCATGAGCCACCATGCCCGGCCTCAGATGCATTTAAAGACTGATTTATTCAAGTCCCCTTATCCTGATTCTGCAGTCGCCATTACATTCCAATGCAAGTTTGCCTAAAGAAACAGATATGCGGATTAAGCAGACACAAACATTTGGGCCGATGTGATAACTACATTTCCTACTATAAATAAATAAGGCAATCTATTGGTTTCTGTAATCATTCTCTTGGAACCTGGTAAATGGAATCATTCTTGCCTCCTTTCCTTTTCTCATATCCAACTGTCAGCCCATCAGAAAAATTTTTGTGAGCTCTTCTTCAAAACATATCTAGAATCTGAACCATCTTTAACACTTCCACCATAAGTCTAAGCTACCATCATCTCTCACATGGGCAGCCTCTTTTTTTTTTTTTTTTTTTTTTTTTGAGACGGAGTCTCGCTCTGTCGCCCAGGCTGGAGTGCAGTGGCGGGATCTCGGCTCACTGCAAGCTCCGATGGGCAGCCTCTTAATAGTTCCCCATGCTTCAACACTTGCCCAACCACCATCTATTTTCTATATAGCAGCCACATCTTATAGACCTGGCTCATAGCTGCCTTGTAGAACTCATCTCCTTCCAGCCGCCTTGCTCTGTCTCAAACACTCTAGGCATATTTCCTTCTCAAGGCCTCTGTGCTTGTTCCCTCTGCTTGAAATGTGCTTTCCCCAAACAGCTGTATGGCTTTTTTCTTCACTTCCTTCAGGCCTCTTCTGAATGTCAACTTAACCATCAAGTCATTCTCTACTATTTATTCCCTACTATATATTGAGAGGTGGTAGAATGTAAGAATTAAAAGCTTAGAGGCAGTCTAAAGTAATGAAAATTGATGTTCCTTTTAAAAAATAATTTTTTATTTTTATAAAATGAGATGGGGTCTTGCTACGTTGACCAGGCTGGTCATGAACTTCTGGCCTCAAGCAATTCTCTCATCTCGGCCTCCTAAAATGCTGGGATTACAGGTGTGAGCCATTACGCCCAGCCAAAAATTGGTGTTCATACAAAAACTTATGTGCAAATATTCACAGCAGCTTTATCTGTAATAGCTCCAAACTGGAAACAACCAAGATGTCTTTCAATAGGTGAACAGAGGGAAGTGGGTGGGCAACATGAAGGATCATTGTGGTGACAGATATATTTGGAGCCTTGACTATATCAGTGTCAATATGATGGTTATGATATGGTTCTATAGTTTTGTAAGAAGTTACCTCGAGAAACTGAGTAAAAAGTACATGAGATCTCTCTGTATTATATTACAACTGCATGTGAATCTACAAATTATGTCAAAATAAAAAAAATTAATTAAAAAAAGCTTGGACACAAGCCAGTCTGATGGATTCAAAATCCTGGGTCTGCTACTTTTAGCTGTGAAACCTGGAGAAAGTTAACACCTCCGTGCCTCTGTTTCTTCATCAATAAAATAGAGGTAATAATAGTACCAATCTAATAAGGTTGTTTGAGGTAAAGGAATTACTATATGTAAAGATCTTAGAATGGTATGTGGCCCAGAGTAAGTATCATATGAGTATTAGCTACTATTGTTAATAATTTTAGAGAATAATGTCTACTATATTGTCTATTTTAACATATGCTCCCGATTCACAGTATAACACTATCTGGTACATAATAGGCACTGGATAAATATTTGTTGAATGAAAACATGAAAGCTCCTGATAGATGAATTTGCTTTTAGTGTACTGACAGAATCACTCTTCTGGATATCCAAGTTTGAGAGTATCACTAGTCAAACATTTTTTCCTTTTATATTTGTATAACTGATTATGGTATACCATAAACATTTTCTATGTTAGACAGTTCCTGCTCCTCTTCTGGTCATGAAAACTTTCTTAGCTCAAAGTCTATTAATATTATACCTAACTTGATTGAAAGAACTGATAGATATTTTTTAAATCTCTTTCTTCCCTACTCCCACAACAGATATGAATTATGGTAATAAGACCACTTGACTAAAGAATATGCAAGTGTCTGCAAATAATTCTAACCATCTTTTTCATGCATATAAAAATTGCTCAGAATTAATTCTTAAAATTGGGATAGTTTGTTGCAAGTTATGACTTCACTGTATTAAACTACTATCATGTGTTGAATCTCAAATTGATCCTAGGTAACATAATTTAATGTTGTAAGAGACATAAAGTCAATGCAATAATGCATTTCATAATTAGCACAAAATCAGTTCCCTGACTGAATAGTTTGAATAATATTCAACTAAGAAGATTTGCCAAGTGTCTTTTATGACTCTCCACTATTAGTCTACTTTAAGATGTTTTTCCCTGCAAGTTCTCTGTAACTTTAGGACAATTTATCTAAACTTTTCCATTGGCAATCATTTCAATGTACAAAAAGTTCCAAAAATAAAAACACAGAAAATACCTTTATCCATTTTCATCTGTTGTCACATTTTTACCTCATTTTCTTTATCATCTATGTTCAGTTGTATTCTTTCTTTTTCTGTATGTATGCATAATATTCTCTTGTGATTGAGTTGAGATGCATTCTGGGCCAGAAACTGCATAGATGATGTTGTGTACTTCTCAGGGACAGATAAACACATAAGGAGGCAAACAATGTTCATTTGACTCTCACTGGAGGTGATACTTGTGATCACCCTGTCAATGTGTTGTCTGATTTCTCCACTGCATTGTTGCTGTTTTTCTCTTCTCCCATACAACATTTCAAGACCATGTAAATATTCTGTTCTTCATCAACATGTCTGTCCTCTTAGATGTTACAACCATTGATGATTTTTGCCTGATCTAATCTTTAACATGATGACTGCAAAATGAGGTTTCCTTGTTTTGTTTTTTCCCAACTCTAGCACAACCTCCACATTTGCTGGTCAACTTTCAGCATGCCACTGTAAGTAAAATATCTTCATTTTCTATCCATCCACCCATTAGTGATTGGAATGGTCTTATAAAGTTCTTTATTTCCAACAGCTTATAATTCATTACTGTATTTAATTATTTGATGCTCAAATTGCCCTAGATTTGACCAGTGGGGAACTCTTCAAGCTAGATTCTGTATACTTAACAAACAACTTATCTTACTTTTTAGCATTTCCTTACTTTTTGGCATTACAACATGTTCTAGGTTCATCTTGTACCTACCCTGCCCCAGACTGAAGCCAGTCATTTGAGTGAAGAGCTTTAGTTTTAGTAGGCATTAGGGACTGAACTGTGCTCCTCAAAAAGTCATAATCAGGTACTAACCCTGTGAATGTGAGCTTATTTAGAAACGGGGTCTTTGGAAGTTAAGATAAAGTCACAGTGAATTAGAGTCGGCCCTAATGAGTGGATTACTCTGATAAAAAGAGTAAAATTTGGACAGGTAAACATAGGGTGAATG
This sequence comes from Homo sapiens, assembly GCF_000001405.40. Taxonomy (NCBI): domain Eukaryota; kingdom Metazoa; phylum Chordata; class Mammalia; order Primates; family Hominidae; genus Homo; species Homo sapiens. Next base: position 74,428,087 of record NC_000010.11, on the reverse strand, counting down.
TCATATGACAATGAAGGCAGGAATTGAAGTTATAATGTCACAAACCATCAAGCTCCAAGGATTATGCACAACCACCAGAAGCTAGGAGAGAGGTATGGATAGGTTCTCCCTCTGCCTCCCCAAGAAGGAACCAACCCCACAAACACCTTCGGTTTGGAGCTCTGGCCGCCTGAACTATGAAAGAATAAATTTCTGTTAAGTTTACGGTAATTTATTACAGCAGCCTTAGGAAACTAACAGTGGGAAATAACGCTAGGTGTGTCACTACTATTGTGACTTCGCTCCTTTGCTCTTTCAGCAATAGAGCTAAGAAATATATGAATGTCTCTTCACACACACACACACACACACACACACACATACATATACATATACAAAAATACATGCACACACATCAACAGATACATACACACACAGAAATGTCCATATGTACACAGACACCTCCAATCCAATTCCTCTACACAGAATTCTTACCTGTCTTCCTCCTGTCTATATGTTTGTCCCTTCTTCCATAGTGAGAAACCAGGCTCACTCATTTGCTCAAAATAGTCTCTGATTTAGTTTGCCCATACCATTAAAATAAACCTATAGGCCGGGCACGGTGGCTCACACCTGTAATCCCAGCACTTTGGGAAGCCAAGGCAGGTGGATCACAAGGTCAAGAGATCGAGACCATCCTGGCTAACACGGTGAAACCCCGTCTCTACTAAAAATACAAAAAATTAGCCAGGCGTGGTGGTGGGCACCTATAGTCCCAGCTACTCGGGAAGCTGAGGCAGGAGAATGGCGTGAACCCAGGAGGTCGAGCTTGCAGTGAGCGGAGATCACGCCACTGCACTCCAACCTGGGCGACAGAGCCAGACTCCACCTCAAAAAAATAAAATAAAATAAAATAAACCTACAAAAGTGAGTTCAGGATTTGTTTGCAATTCTTCATTTCTCTCCCACCCACCCCAAGCTAAGGACATATAGTTGAATCTGGTGTTCATAAATCTGTCCTCCCTTCTTCCTTCATTTCTTTCTTCTTTATCCCCTTTCGGTATGGATATAGTATTCATTTTACTTTAAAATTAACTTTATCAATGAGAACACATGGACACACGGAAGGGAACATAACACACAGGGGCCTGTTGAGGCTTGGGGGGTTAGGGGAGGGATAGCATTAGGTGAAATACCTAATGTAGGTGATAGTTGATGGGTGCAGCAAACCACCATGGCACATGTATACCTATGTAACAAACCTGTACATTCTGCACATGTATCCCAGAACTTAAAGTATAATAATAAAAAAATAAGAAAAAAAAATGAATTAAGTTCACTTGTTTGTTTACAATTTTAGGTCCCTGTCCCAGTGATATCATTTTTATTTAACTGTTTGAATATGTTGGACATTAACATGCTTTCAAAAGTTGAAACTATGCCAAGAAAGTATACCCCAATATCCAAGTCTCACTCCCTCCCACATCCCTTCCACCTCACTCTCCCTTCTACCTCTTGTAACTAATTTTACTGTTTTCTGCTTTATCCTTCCTGAACATACACATTCTTTAATTCTCCCTTTTTCTTGTATGACAAGTAGCACTATGGGTATTTGTTTCTGCTTTTTGTTTCATGTAATATTTCCTGGAAATTACTCCATATATTTATAAAAACAGATAGCTTTTATAAACATAGTAGTCTATTGTATGTTCCAGAGTATATTCAACCAATCTTCTAGAACTGGTCATTTATATGGTTTCCAATATTTTGCAATTATTAATAATGCTGCATGAATAACCTTCACAAAATTATTTCCAAATGCAATACAGACTAAATTTCTGAATTATACTAACTCCTATGTGTGCAGCATTTTATGTTTAGTCTCATATATAATGGGGGCTGTTTTAAAGGAATAGTTAACGGCATGAGCAAACATTCATTATATATTAACAAAAATCATATACTGAAATAGTAGATATAATGCAAATTATATAAAAATGTATAGAGACATACATGCACATAAAATGAACATATATGATAGGATTATGGGTGTTTTAATATTCTCTGTACTTTTCTCTATTTCTCAAAAAAGAAAAATACATTAAATTTACAAACAAGAACAGAGACTTCTATTTCTTTCTATATTTCCCCAAAAAGAAAAATAATACATTATACTTACAAACAAGCACAGAGACTTCTATTTCTGACTAAATAGGTACCCTAACACAGGACTTTTGCTAAAAACAACAACAAATGCTGGGTTAAAATAAAAAGAAAACAAAAGAATCTTTTTTTGAAGTATATTGCTGAGTTGACACAGAATACTCAAAAGGTTAAAACAAAGTAAAAATGGAAATCCAGAGGGGTAGGCAAACACTCAGATTCTTTCATTCTGAGGGATATGCCAAGCCCTGTGCATTGAGCTTCAGTTTTCACAGCCATGTACAGAACTGGCAGTGATACACTGGAGTTGAGAAAGCTAACTGTACATATCTTTTCCCAACTCCACGTTCAATGACTTCAGGCTGGTATCGTGAAATCAGCCATAGTGTGAAATAGAAAAATGTGAGAAATTAGGATTTTTTTTTTTTTGCCCTGGACAGCCAGCTTTAAAATATTTACCAGGACACTACTGAACCCAAGGTTTAGGGGATAAATTCTAGGGTACATTAACGATACGAAGTCTAATTAGACTCTCCACATAAAGTTGGGATCCTAAAGAGCTACATACATGTTTAGTGTAAGAGTTGAATAGAATGATGTCTACCCTACAGAAGGAATAAACAAGGAAATTAACCTCTTTCAAACTTGATGCTGGGTGCAGGTAAATACATCTTCCCTGAAAATTTAACCACAAGCCCACCCTCATGAAGGTTTATGGATCTGGAACTCATGTTACCTATGCAGCCCACAAAACTTTAAGCCCAACATTTATTTGAATGTGTTCCCAGGTTGACAGTATCCCCAGGCTTTTGGCAGATTCAAATGTAAATACTCTCTTTGGAAACGTATCTTCATCTCAGTCTCAGAAATCACCACAAATAATGAATACAAGCTAACACACAGGAAAATAAGGCAGTTTGAGTAACAGCCAGCAGAAACAACAGACAGCAAAATCAGAACTGCATAAGCTTTAAATATTAGGCTAGGCACAAAATAGAAAATAAGTTTAATATATTTAAATAAACAAGAGGATTGTATATATGAGAATGAAATGAGTTTATCAAAATGATAAAGTAAACTGATTTCAGGGGAAGAAATGAAAATGGAAGTAATGATTATTACATAAAATTCAATGTCAGGTAAAACAGAATATGAGACACTGCTGAAGATACAATTACCAATATCGGAAGATAGATCTGAAGAAATTATCCAGAACACAGCAAATATGACAAAAAAGGGAAACTATATAAGAGGTTATGAGATATGGTAGAACAGTTAGTGATACATGTATGGCTATCCTATAAAGAAAAGCATGTGAATAATAATAATAAAATTTAGGATAATGGTTACCCTCTGGGGTGGAGAGAGGCAGGGGAATTTTTTTTTTTTTTTTTTTTTTTTTTTTTTTTTGAGACGGAGTTTTGCTCTTGTTGCCCAGGCTGGAGTGCAGTGGCGGGGATCTTGGCTCACCGCAACCTCCACCTCCCAGGTTCAAGCAATTCTCCTGCCTCAGCCTCCTGAGTAGCTGGGATTACAGGCATGTGCTGCCATGCCCGGCTAATTTTGTATTTTTAGTAGAGGCAGGGTTTCTCCATGTTGGTCAGGCTGGTCATGAACTCCTGACCTCAGGTGATCCTCCTGCCTCGGCCTCTGTGCTGGGATTACAGGCATGAGCCACCATGCCCGGCCATATTTTATTTCTTTAGACAAGTGTTTAAGTACATATATGGTCTCTGCGTTTAAGTAAAATTTTTATATGGAGATACCACCAGGGGTGGGGGGAGAGAAGCGGAGCCTGTGTGAGCCCCAGCCCCAAGTAATACTACTGCCCTTGCGTCATTTTGGAGACCCCCTTCCCAACTAAGTGCCTCTTTGCATAGCAATGGCTCCCGTCCCCATGCTCTCTGGTATCACAACAGCTGGACGGGTAGTGGCGGGTCGGCAAGGCACAGCACACGACCTGGTGGACCAGCCACTGGGAACAATGAGTCTATGGTGGCCAAATCCAGCCTTGTCCTCCACTTTGTCAAGGGACAATTTCAAGAGTACCAGGAGAGCATAATCAGAGCAGCCTTCCTTACACAGACTGTCTGCTTAGACGACACAATAGTCAAGTTTGAGATCTGGGGCAGCGCTGGACAGGAGCGGTATCATAGCCCAGCCCCCATGTACTATGAAATCACCAAAAAAGATACATTTGCACCAGCCAAGAAATGGGTGAAGGAGCTAGAGAGGCAGGCCAGCCCCAACATTGTCACTGTACTTGTGGGTAACAAGGCAGACCTGGCCAGCAAGAAAGCCCCAGAATTCCACGAAGCACAGGACTATGCAGACGACGACAGTTGACTATGGAGACATCAGTAAAGACTGCAATGAACGTGAATGAAGTTTACACGGCGAGAGCTAAGAAGATTCCTAATAAGCCCCAGAGTGCACCTGGTGCTCCAGGCCAAAACTGAGGTACGGACCTCCAGAAGAACCACCCAGCCAGCAAGAGCCAGTGCTGCAGCAACTGAGCCCCTCTTGCCTGCCCACTGCAACTACTTCCTCTGCCTGAACGACTAGACTGGAATCCATTCTAACTAATCACACTCAGCAACTGGTGCCACCACTGGGGACAGAGGAAGGGGCCCACCATGATTTCTCCATATAATTTTGATCACAGGCCAGAGTGAGTTATTCCACCTGCATCTTTCTGTACAAATACTAATTCAATTTTAAGTCTTAGGTCACTTTTTAAATAATATTGATTTTCTGCTCTTCCCATTTCCTCCCCTTTCTATTGCTCTCCTACTTTTCCTTTGCTGGTAGCAGCCACATGCTTCTGTTCCCCTCACCCTTGTATATGAGGACGGCGTGTTTGGAGCAGCTACCCTTTCTTTCCCTCTTGCGGAACAGACTCAGCAAGAGCATCTACATCCATATCTTGTTTGGCGTGGTCTTGGGTTCAGGTGATGAGCAGCTAGGGAAGGGAGAGGTAGCTCTTCCTTCAGCTGGCTGTCATCAGGCTGCAGCCCCCTCCCCACTCCTAACTCCCAGCTGGGAAACCATAGAATTGCCACAGCATTATTGTGACAGCCATGAACCCATTGCTCACAACTCCTCCACCCTCAGTCACCCTGACCTCTGGCACTAAACCCTGTTCTGACTAAATCACAATGATGAGTACTGGGGAGCAGGTAGGTAAAGGGGGAGTGGGAAGGGATGGAACTGACTTTTTCTCTATTTTATATTGTATGTTTTCTTCAACATGTAACCTATCAGTATCTTGTCAATATAGTCAGCCCATTGATCAACCTCAAATAAATTTATTTTATATTTGGGAACTTAGATATACAGAAAAATTGCAAGTTTAATATACAGACTTCCTATGTACCCCTCATCCAATTTGTTCTAATGTCACTATCTTAGCATCTTACATTACTGTGGTACATTTGGCCAAACCAAGAAACCAATGTTGGTGGATTATTGACTAAAGTCAAGACTTTATTTAGATTTCACCAGTTTTTACACTAATATCCTATTTCTATTCTGGACCTGATCCAGGAAACTATGTAACATTTAGTTGTCATGACTCTGTAGTCTCTTCTTGTCAGTGAGATGTTCATAGTCTTTCTTCATTGTTCACAACCTTGACAGTTTTCAGGAATGCTCAACTTATGTGGTAGAATGTCCATCAGTTGGGATTTGTCTGATGTTTTCCTAATGATTAGATTGAGGCTACAGGTTTAGGGAAAGAATATCAGAGAGATGAAGTTTCCACCTCTTCACATCAGCATGACTTCCCATTTGTGATGTTAACCTTGATCACTTAGTTAACATAGTTGTTTACCAGCTTTCTCCAATGGAAATAGTCAAGTCAGTATTTCGCTGTCTTCCAAACTCAATTTTTGGATATGACTCACTCAATCCAGCTCATACTCTCAAGGAGAAGGGAAGTAGGATCCCCCTTCTGGAGGGGGCAATATGTTATTTGGAATTCTTCTGTCAGGGAGATTTATCTCTTCTCCTCCATTTACTTATTTATACAATTTATACATAACACTGTGAACTCATGTATATTTACTCAATAATTTATCCTTAATCCAATGCTACATGTTTTATTTTGTTGCTCTAATTATTCCAGCTACGGCCACTCGGAGTTCTTTCACATTGGCTCATGTGTCCCTTTTGGCATGCTTAATCTTTATTATTTTTAAGAAATCTCTTGCCTTCTGGCACTACAAGATATTCCATGCTTATGTTGTATTTTCCCATCACCAGCCCCAGAATCAGTCATATTTAAAAGGAGTCCTGGATCCTTTTATTGGAGAATAGGATTTACAAACCAGGATGTGAGCGTTAGATGTGTTTGTGGCTACTGGGATATCACTGCTTCTAGGCCTTCTCAGTAAACACAGCTAGGAAACATATGCATGTATACTAATCCACATATACACATGCATCTATAATTATTTCTGCATCTATCCATCTGCATATATTAAGCTAAACATGAGTAAATACTTATATCTCCAACTCTAATCCAGTACCACAGGTTTCATTCTGGCTCTCCCCTCTTGTTTATTTATCTGTAACATCCCTTCCTGACAGTGAGAAACCTAGCTTCCACCATTCATCATCCATTTACTTATTTGTTCAACCCCAGGATACATGTAAAGAGGTTCAGAACTGTTCACCCATACCGTTATGAGAAACAAATTTACCAACTAGAATAGAGTGTTTCTATAGTGTTCCTTAGTCTTTAGCTTTACATTGTCCAATCAAAACACCATTTTCCAAAGTTACTTAGGTCAGCTCCTTTTCCCCCACCCATTCAGTGAAGTTATGCCATACATTTGTAATACAATTAGATTCATTTGTTACAGCTTGCATTCTATCCTGAAATCCCTAACATTTAAAAAACCTGCATACATTAAAATTAACCCTTTGTGATGTACAGTTCTTTGGGCTTTAACAAATGCATAGTATCATGTATCCACCACCACAGTACCATACAGAACAGTACATCGCCCTAAAAATTGCCTTTTGTATCCCCTTTTTAGTCAACCACTTTTCTTTCCCGTCGTTTGTAATTTCAATACCTGAAATAACTGAAAAATTAAGATGCAAAAATTAAAAATCATGAGTCTTCACAGAATAAAACCTAAAACTGTCAGAAGAGTTACTGTTTAACAGTTAAACTGTAGGGAGAGTTACTACTTAAAAGTTATTGAGTTCTAGACAGGAGAACAAACATCTAAATTCTTTAATTAACTTTTTCGTGGTATTATTCCACAACATGCAAGATTATGAGATCAACTTTTAAGTTGTTCATGGTAAACAGAGTTGGATTCCAATCCTAAGCAACTATTTTCTGCATTTATAAAATATTTTCCAGGGATAGAACCTACAAGCTTTGGTCATAAAAATATTTTGAATTTTTAATTGTTTAAAATAAAGCCAAAACTATTTATTAAAAACAAAACCACAGTGTAGTAACAAAAAATAGAAAACTACCTTACAGTCTATTCATTTTGCTACATTAATTATGTGATTATTAGATCTTAATAGATGTGCTATGATAGCTGCCCAGTTTCATAGATCTAAAGCACTCACTTTCAAGGATAGCTCTTCAAGTAGACTAACAGATAAGAGAAAAACAATAAAAATGTCCAGGTTGCTTATTTGTACTTCCTCTTTCCCCTTCCTGACCCCAACCACCAGAGTACGAAAGTTTCCATTTTATTTACAATTAATAGTGTGCTAAGTCTACAGGTATCACATATTACAGGTTGTGAGAATCATGTCCCAAAAGGCGGTATTATCTGGAGGAAGTAGTTAACTATGTAGGGCTAAGCAATATAATCTACCTACTGGCAGTATCATCATCAGTTAAGAACTTTAAGATTTTAGCTTCCTCCCCCTGGTGGCAGTGTCTGGGGTGATAACTTTTTAAAAATATTCAGATAGCATCTTAAGGTTTATAGCTGCTCTAGTCAATTATAAGTAAGTAATTTGGGGATAGAAGTAGATTTAAATGAAACAGAAGCAGATTTAAAAACTCTTCTAATGGAAGCACTTGCCTCCTATAGTTCTTTTTTTCTAAAATGCAATTACAACCATTACATCATTGTAAATTACATGCTGGGGTTATCTCAGTAGGTATCTGCCAAATGTAAAACTTACAGAAGGTCTTCAATGTAATAACGATGTTTTATCATTTTAATTACAAACTCTTTAAAAAACTCCCTAAAATGTACCAATTGGGGTGGTCTAAATTAACAGTATCTTGGTAGCCCAAGGGTAGCAAAAATAGATTGAACTACAAAATTTCATCATACTTATAGCAGCTGTCTTCCTGCCTCTAGGAAGCTAAGTATTTAACAAAGCAGACAGCTTGGCATTGGCATCTGATTAGCAGTGTGTGCATTGTCAGATAGAATGTGCTTGGCTCTTTTGTTCCAGGGTTTGATTAGAAATCTGGAGAGCAGAGGCATCATGTAACTTTATTTTTAAAGCTTCTGAAAGGTAAATAAACTGTGATGGTTCCTCTGGTATTGTACCTGAAAGACCGATTGATGCTTTTCTAGTAATATGCTTTATCACACCCTAAAAAATTTAAATAAGGGATTTTTGGGGGGGGGAAATACTTCAAAGACTGAAATAGGCCAATCTTAAAATCACTTTAAATATTGTACATACCAAAAATATTTTTGCAATAGAGTGCTTTGCATATTGAGTCTTGCACTAAAATACTGTTGTTGGGGAGGAAGAATGGTCATTTTAGAGTGTAAATACAAGACTCTATTCCTAAATATATGAATAGTCCAAATGAAGATTCAGAAATTTTTTCTAAAACCACGTGAAAAGCTTACTGGAAAAATAACACTGTCTTATAAGAATTATATTATTTTGATGGAGGTGCCAAACATTAAACTATAAAAGGGTGACTCTCATTACCTTTTCCTCACAAATTTCTTTGAAAATTTATTACAAATGATTGTGCTTACTGGCAGAGTTCACAATCAGTAGAGTCCATGCAAACAATCTACTTCAATGAGAAGTACATTCTTTTACTCTATCAAATCCATCGGAGGTAATCAGACTGGATGTTTTATTCAACAGGGCTGAAGAAAATTGTTCTACAATAGGTTAATTCAAAATGGCAGCATAGAAAATGCATCTGTCAGTGGGGATCAAATTACAGGGCAAGCTCCTCTCAATGCTTAGAAAAACAAGTCTGCAGTTCTACAGATTATGTGCCTGTGTGTGTTTAAAGGGGTGGGAAAGGAGCTAAATATCTGAGCTAACCTCCAATTAAAGTCAATCATAAAAACAGCCAATTTAATGAGTGCGGATTTCTTTGGGTAATTATAACACCAACCACTTTTTTCTCTTTTAAATCTGTAATTCTGCCTTCTTGTTATTGCTTGCTTTGTCATTAATCGCCTCAGGACCTTGATTTCCTAGCAACAGACTGCCACCAAACATTTGGCTCCTGTTCAACATTTTCTTTGTGAAAAATGGCACTGCTGTTGCCGCCTGGGCTGCTGCAGCTAGACTGGCTGTGTAAGTGCTCTAATAATGTATTCCACTGGAAAAAAAAATCACATGATACAGGGTGCAATGACTGAGCTCAGTTAATTACTGAGCTGGGAAGTTTATCGACAATCTAAAAGCTGTGTTGGGGGAAAGGGGACTAAGGATTGAAAAGGTGTTCCTTCCATTATCAATAACTTGCAGGTAACAATATACAAAGAAACATTTTATTTTGGGGAGTACAAGTTTCTGTTTATTTAGGAAAGAGTACAAAAGGCCAATGTTCCCAAAATGTTGCTTGATGAAATTTTCCTCTACAAACAGCCCCAAACACACAAAAGATTCACAGAATAGTTTGCTAAAATTTTAAAAAGCAAAATAACCTATGTATCTTTTAGCTGTTTCTTTCCTACTTAAGGCAAAAATTATTTGTATATATAAATATGCTATGAGATAACAGAATGAGGTTTTCATTCACAACATGAACACCCAACACTAAGAATATAGAATTCAAAATATGTTTTGATATATTGTGCACGTGAGTAAATATTTAATAATCTATAAGAGAAAAAATATGCTTATCACTATTTTTGAAATTATTTAAGTGGGAATGAAGCAGTCAGGGCTCGTGAATGGAAACCCAGTAATAAAACAGATATTTTGCTTTTTTTTTTTTTAAAGTAGATTTACTGAGATTCTCCATGCCTTAGAAATCCTACCACCTCCCAGAAATGATAGTTATGGAAATTAACATGGCATGTCAGATATGGTTCGCTGATGCCTTGCTTTAGTTCTCAGAAATAAGGCTTTAAAAGACTGGCATGTTTCAGGATTGCTGTCAGGAAATGATAATTTAAAATACCCAAGAGTACACTAAGAATTATGGAAGCATCTGTGAAACTAATAAGCCAGTGGACATACTGATTTTTACCAATGTGTCTACATACTATATTAAAAAACTTCCTACAAAGTATTGTCCCAATTCAGTTCATCTGAGGATGTGAAAACACTACAGTGTACCTTAAAACATCACATTCACAACCCTGACAGACTGAAATAAAAATGAAATTAGGGAATATCTATAAAGGAAAACTAAGCCTTAAAAAGTCTTCCGTTATATTAATGTAGTTAAAATGTACAGTTTTTGAAAAAGACAACAAGGGAATTAAAGATATTTGAATGATTTTAAATAATTCTGCTTATTGCTGGCACTAAGTCTACAACATTTCACCTTGAGTCTGATTCCCCACTTTATTTTTATAAAAACAAATTCTCAGTTAATATAAGAAAGGAAATACATATTTACAATGAGAAAAGTTTTAGAAATGGGCTCAAAACTTGCAAATGATTAAAAGCTACCACAAGAAGCCTATCAATCTACCAGGAAAACATCAGTTGACTTTAGTAAGTAAAATATTTTTAAAATTTAATTTAGTTTATTGTAGTTTTCACATTAAAAAAGGTAAACTTACAAGAAGCAACATACCTGTGAAAAATATATTATTGAGGATTAATAATAAAATATATAATGCTCATTTACTTTATTATATGTGTACCTCTCTGGAAAAGATGAAATAAAATATTTTTGGTGGACTATTCTACATTTGATATTTTATTTGATTTTTACTATTTCTGTAATACAAAATAACCTTAAATAATCTTGTTACTTATAGAATGAAGACAGAAACAAATACTTTGAAAGATGAATACAAAAAATGATTAGTTAGGACAGCAGAGCTGAAAAGAGTTGAGAGACTGGACAGAAATTAGATGTTTGCAGTGACGGTGTGATAAGGGAAAATGGGAAAGTTATAGAGAAAAGCATCCATGGACTTACCACAATTGACAAAAAAAAAACAGAAACAAAAACAAAAACAAAAACCAACCTTGTGCCAGAAATCCGTATAGAGAACAAGATAAATAAATTTTTAAAAAGCAGCAATATATCTTTCAGAACGTCTTCAACTATTTAGGATTTACTAATATCCCTAACTAGTAAACCAGGACAATGTTAGTTAATATGAATGTGCTCTAGAAGTCTGGGGCTTCAAGAAGCTATTTCCAAGGTGAAGAAAGAAAACACATGATAGATTTAAGAGGTTAGAGTCAAAAGATCCCTATTATATAGATGAGAAACCAATATTGGTCTGAAAATGGGTAACAGGAAATATGGGTTCATACAAGAACTTGCCTTCCTGCTAAGTACCAGAAAGGAAAAACGTTGTCCTCTCATTTTTTCATACCAATTTACCAAATTTTTTTTTAAGCTTCACGTACCATGTCATCCACCTAAATCAGAAAAAAACTGGTATTTCAAAAAACTGACCCTCATGACCCTCAAACACGGTAGCATTACATATATGTGTGTGTGTGTGTGTGTGTGTGTGTGTGTGTATATATGTATGTGTGTGTATATATAAATGTATGTATATATATATTTATATATATGAGCAAAAGCTTAAAAGACTCTTTATAACACTTGCAATAGAGAAATAGGTAAGAGCAAGAGATCAAAGCAGACTTATTATGTCTTCCATTACATGCCAACAATAAAGACATAAATACATTATTTGTGTAATCAGGAACAATTGCATCATTTGTAGTCATAATAACTAGATACCACTGAAACTATTATGAGAGATGTGGATATAAGATTAAATCCAGGGGGTATGGAGCATTACTACTGATGGGTATAACATTTCCTTCTGTGGTGATGTGAATGTTCTAACATTAGATTACAGTGATGGTAGCAGAACTCTGTAAATACACTAACAGCCACTGAATGATATTTTTTAAGTGGGTGAACTCAATGGTTCATAAATACCTCAATAAAAGCTGATAAGAAAGATTAAATTCAACTTTATCTGAAAAGATAGCAACAACAGAACATGTGGGGTAAATCATATTAAACTATAAAGATTCTATAATATCTTCAGTAAATATATTGGAAGACAGATACCATTCTGTAGACACTTGATTGTTTATGTCCAGTTTACATACAATTTCAAAGATATGACAACTAGCACTTAAAAATGTACACTGCCATCTGAATGTTTATAAGTTTTTCCTCTCTTAAACATGTTTATTAAAGAGATTTAGTAAACATTTCATTTTCTCAAGCAACTGCTGATTGGTCTAAAATACATAAAGTAAACAGAAGTGAAAATATTTCAGTAGATGATTTGTTAATTCATTTGGGGCTCTGCATAAGTGCCTACTGTCTTAACAACTAAATGCTATACATATGCTTATTTTCTTACCATTCTGAGGCAATTAGCACATAGTGTGGTTTCCAATCTCACATAAAATTCCCAGACTTTGTTACAGTGCCACAAGTCCACAACACAAAATCTTCCAATCTTTATCTTTAGGGCTCCTAAGCTCCCATAACCAATACTATCCCAATTCTTCTTAGTAAAAAGGTTAGTCCGTGTAATGAAAAATAACATTACTTAATATTCCCAAAGATTTCTTCTCTGTCTTGGTAGAGAGTTTTACTTTTGGTAGCTGCCAAAAATAAGAGTTAAGAAAAATTACAGGAATAAAAGAGTACATTCTCCAATTTGGAGAAAGTCTTTCTGTATAAAAATCACAGTGTTACTCAAAAAAAACTGGTATTAGAATTTTATTTATTGAAGAAAACAAATTCTAGAGAAATTAAAAATAAACACAAATAGGATCTCTGTAATCACACTTTTCTTTCTTTTCTTTTTTTTTGAGATGGAGTCTCACTCTGTCACCTAGGCAGGAGTGCAACCTCTGCCTCCCAGGTTCAAGCCATTCTCCTGCCTCAGCTTCTCAAGTGCTGGGATTACAGGCATGCGCCACCACGCCCGGCTAATTTTTGTATTTTTAGTAGAGAGGGGGTTTCACCATGTTGGCCAGGCTGGTCTCCAACTCCTGACCTCAAGTGATCTGCCCACCTCGGCCTCCCAAAATGCTGGGATTACAGGCGTGAGCCACCACGTCCAGCCTATAATCACACTCTTGTTTGAAAATTTATCCAGCAAAAATCAAAGATTCTCCCTACTAAGGTGGAAGTAACAACAGTAAATAATTTGTGTAACTCACTGAACATCAATAACATATGGAAAATGAAAAACATTAGAAACTGAACTCTAACACTAATGGTAAGAAATAGCATAATTAAGTCTGTTTTGGTATAAGCATACCTTATTTTATTGCACTTCACAGATACCTTTTTATTATTTTTTTTTACAAATCGAAGGTTTATGGCAAGCCTGCCTTGAGTATGGTGTCATTATTTTCCAACAGAATGTGCTCGCTTGGATCTCTGTCATATTTTGGTAATTCTTTCAATATTTCAAACTTTTATATCTTTTATAGTGATCACTGATCTATGATATTATTATTGTAATTGTTTTGGGATGCCACAAACCACACCCATAGAAGATGGTGAACTTAACTGATAAATGCTGTGTTTTCACTGCTCTACCAGCTGGCCATTACCCCATCTCTCTACCTCTCCTAAGGCCTCCCTATTTCTTGAGACACAACAATAGTGACATTAGGCCAATTAATAATCCTACAGTGGTCTCTAAGTGTTCAAGTGAAAGGAGGAGTTGCATGTCTCTCACTTTAAGTCAAAAGCTAGAAATGATTGAGTTTAGTGAGGAAGGCATATCGAAAGGTGAGACAGGCTGAAAGTTTGACCTCTCACAACAAACAGGCAAGTTCTCAATGCAAAGAAAAAGTTCTTGAAGAAAATTAAAAGTGCTACTCCAGTGAACGCATGAATAAGAGAGTGAAATAAGCTTATTGCTGACATGGAGAAAGTTTTACTGGTCTGTATAGAACATCAAACCAGCATAGCATTCTCTTAGGTCAAAGCTTAATCCCGAGCACAACCTTAACTCTTTTCAATTCTGTTAAAGCTGAGAGGTGAGGATGCTGTGCAAGAAAAGTCTGAAGCTAAGAGAGGCTAATTTGTGAGGTTGAAAGAAAGAAGCAATCTCCATATCATAAAAGTGCAAGGTAAAATAGCAGGTGCTGAAGAGTTACCCAGATCTTGCCAACATCATTGATGAAGGTGGCTGCACTGAACAACAGGTTTTCAACATAGACAAAAGAGTCTTCTACTGGCAGAAGATGCTATTGAAGACTTTTACAGCTAAAAAGAAGTAAATGCTTGGCTTCGAAGCTTCAAAGGATAGGACGACTCTTTTTTTTTTAGGGGCTAATGCAGCTGGTGACTTTCAGTTGAAGTCAATGCTCATTTACCATTCTAAAAATCCTAGAGCCCTTAAGAGTTATGTTAAATCTGCTCTGCCTGTGTTCTATAAATGAAATAACAAAGCCTGGATGAACACATACCTGTTTGAGTATGGTATGCTGAATTTTTTTTTTTTTGGGGACAGTTTCACTCTTGTCACCCAGGCTGGAGTGCAATGGCGCAATCTTGGCTCACCGCAACCTCCGCCTCCAGGGTTCAAGCAATTCTCCTGCTTCAGCCTCCTGAGTAGCTGGGATTACAGGTGTGCACCACCATGCCCAGCTCATTTTTGTATTATTAGTAGAGATGTGGTTTCACCATGTCGACCAGGCTGGTCTCGAATTCCTGACCTCAGGTGATCCTCCCGCCTTGGCCTCCTAAAGTGCTGGGATTACAGGCATAAGCCACTGTGCCCAGCTGGTATACTGAATATTTTAAGCCCACTGTTGAGATCTACTGCTCAGAAAAAAAGATTCCCTTTAAAATATTACTGCTCATTAACAATGCATCTGGTAACCCAAGGGCTCTGATGGAGACGTATAAGAAGATGAATGTTGTTTTCACGGCTGCTAAAACAACATTCATTCTGCAGCCCATGGATCAATGAGTAATTTTGACTTTCAAATCTTATTTAAGTAATATATTTCATAAGGCTATAGCTGCCATAGTGACTCATCTGATGGGTTTGGGCAGAGTAAATTGAAAACCTCCTGAAAATAATTCATCATTCCAGTTGTCATTAAGAACATTCATGGGCTGGGCATGGTGGCTCACACCTGCAATCCCAGCGCTTTGGGAGGCCGCAGTGGGAGGATCACTTAAGCCCAGCAGTTCGAGACCAGCCTGGCCAATATGGTGAGACCTCGTCTCTACAAAAATAAAATAAATGATGAGGTGGGAGGATTGCTTGAGCTTGCCTGGGAGATTGAGACTGCAATGTGCAGTGATTGTTACTGCACTTCCCTGCCTGAGTGACAGGAGTAAAACCCTGTTTAAAAAAAAAAGAACATTCACGATTCATGTGAGGTGGTCAAAATATTAACATTAATAGGAGTTTGGAATAAGTGGATTCCAACCCTCATGGATGACTTTGAGGGCTTCAAGACTTCAGTGGAAGAAGTCAATGCACATGTGATGGAAATAGCAAGAGAACTAGTATTAGAAGTGAAGCCTGAAGATAGGACTGAATTGCTGCAATCACATGATAAAACTTGAATGGATGAGAAATTGCTTCTTATAGATGAACACAGAGAGTGGTTTCTTGACATGGAATCTACTCCTGGTGAACACGCTATGAATGCTGTTGAAATGACAACGAAAAATTCAGAATACTGCATAAACATAACTGTTAAAGCAACAACAGAGTTAGAGAGGGCTGACTCCAATTTCAAAGAAGTTCTACTGTAGGTAAATGCTATCAAACAACATTGTATGCTACAGAGAAATCTTTTATGAAAGAAGAGTCAATTGATGTGGCAAACTTCATTGCTGTCTTATTTTAAGAAATCGTCACAGCTACCCCAACCTTCAGAAGCCACCACTCTGAGCAGTCAGCAGCCATCAACACTGGTGCAAGACCCTCCAACAGCAAAAAGATTATTACTCGCTAAAGGCTCAGATGATCACTAGCATTTTTTAGCAACAAAGTATTTTTAATTAAAGTATGTTTATTTTTAAAGATGTAATGCTACCACACACTTGAGAGTACCATATAGTGTAAACATAACTTTTATATGAATTCAGAAACCAAAATATTCATGTGACTTGCTTTATTGTGATATTTGCTTTATTGTTAAGCAAAGATGTCTTTGCTTAACTCAAATGTTAACACAGTTTGGGCTTTACTTGAAGTGACTCTCAAATAAAATTATTAAACATGAATGAAAAAGATTCATATGTGTTAAGTGTCAGGAATTTTACACCAACATGAAAAGCTCCAAATAGAACAAACAACTCTACAGATTTTTTTTTCATTTTATTCTCTGTGTTTATAAATGAAACAGTTAAGGACACCTGCAAGGACATTGTAAAATAAAGGCTTAAACATTCATAGTTAATCCCTAATGAAGTTAATGAAGCAGTCCAGAATAGGATAGTTAAAAATTTGAGGCAAAAATGCAGGAATAAAGTCATATGGTGATCATCGATTTGACCAATATAATGGGAGTTCTAACACATACGAGTTCAAAACTGCACTTGGAACAATGATAAAAGGTGAGAAAAAGTTTAGCTATCCCACCTCTTTAATAATCACAGAAGAATATTATAAATTAATAAATTCCAAAAATACTTTGAACTCTATTTAATGCTATATATAAAGAGCTGTGACATTATTTAATCAACTGTCATTCACAGACTAGCTTAAATTATAAAAAAAAATCATTAGTTCACTTACTCTGCCAAAGTGTACTTATTGTAACAGTATAGATTATGTTACAAAGGCTTGTTCCATGGTCGAATAAGGTTTAAAGCTATCACTTTAAGTAAGTTTTTGTTTGTTTGTTTGTTTGTTTTCAGACAGAGTCTCACTCTGTCAGCCAGGCTGGAGTGTAGTGGCGCGATCTTGGCTCACCGCAACCTCTGCCTCCTGGGTTTGAGCGATTCTCCTACCTCAGCCTCCCCAGCAGCTGGGACTAAGGAATGCACCACCATGATTGGCTAATTTTTGTATTTTTAGTAGAGATGGTCTGGTCTCTACCAAAAATTTTGGCCAGGCTGGTCTCAAACTCTTGATCTTAGGTGATCCACCCACTTCAGCCTCCCGAAGGGCTGGAATTTCAGGCTTGAGCCACTGTGCCTGGCCTAAATAATACTTACCTTTTTTAAAAAAAAATTACTTCAATTTCCATTAGGTTACCATTACAAAACAACTTAATTCACTTTCACTGAAACTTTCTCAAATCTTTTCATGACAGAGCAAAGAATACTAGATGGCACGTTCTAAATTCTGAGCATGAAATTTTGAGCAATCTTTTTAAATTTCTAGTCACGTTTTAGTGTAACCATGTCTTTTGGTAAATACTGCCAAAAGATAACCAAATCCTAAAAAAATAGAAATTATTTATTTAATTATAAATTCATTCTAACTTGTTAATTCAATGGACACAAACCACATTACTGACACGTAAAATTTCAAACATATGATTTCTTAGATGAGATTTCTTATAATTTATCACACTACCTCATTTTAAGGGCTTTATTGCTTTTAGATTACTGATAAAGATATTTAATTGTAACTGAGTATAAATGAAAGTTTTACTAAGAAAAATTGTTACTCATGGCATAGGTATGAAAAACCTATAGGGCAAACAAAGCAGGAGATGTAAAATGTAAACATTTGGTAGTGATTCTTACTTGCCTTTAATATACATATACTTCTGTTTCTTTGTAAGTATGAATTCTATTGCTTACCACCAAGGCTGTACATTTCTTCATACCATGTTTCTTCTACTGACCTATAATCATACTTCCCTTATTCCAGAAGCAAACATTAGTGACATTTGAAAACTCTACCCTCACAAAAACCACATTCTCCAAAGTAGTAAAATTCTAGACCGAAAACAGATATAAGTGGTCAAGACAGAGTTATAAATAAATGAAGAGAGGAAAAGAGAAGACCTGTAATAAGACATAGGAACTGAAAAAATAATTTAAAAAAGAAAATAGGCATGAGTGCTAAAGGAAAACTCACCACAAGTCTCATACTCTCACAAAATTATTGACAAGATATGACTTATTATTCTTTCACTTATAGTGTTTAATTTCTAATCCATGAAACAGGGTACAAATTTGGCTGACCTTGTTTACGCAGGGTAAGTCACAAGGTACTGAAAGTTTGTTAAAATCTATTTCTTAAAAATCTTTTTAATACCTAAAGTTTAAAAATTTCCCCATAATAAGCCTAAACTTGCATGGTGATTAGTTCTTCACAGTGTTATTTCAAACTTGGAACCTTTTTTCCTATCATAAAGAGATGTTATTTGAAATAACGCATAGATTTCTAAACAAAATCCTACTGTACTCACAATGTAATCCAAACACTATGCAGAGGTGACTAAGAAATTACAAAAAATTACAAAACTAGTAATTACACATAGATGAACAACTATATCTTAGCTGAGAGCTTTCACATTTATTTTTAAGCGATAAAATGGTATCTAGAACATTTTATAGAATCTAGAATAATATTTGAGGGAATTTTGACACTAAATCAACCTGAAGATGAATTTAAGATTACAACTGATACTATAACAATATGAATTTGAACTGTGCAGGTCAACCTATACATAGATTTTCTTCTGCCTCTGCCAACCTCTGAGACATGAAGGCCAACCACTCCTCCTCTTCTTCCCCTCCTCAGCCCACTCAACATGAAGATGACTAAGATAAAGACCTTTATGATGATCCATTTCCACTTAATGAATAATAATATATTTTCATTCCATATGATATTATAGCATTTTTTCTTTAGCTTAATTTATTGTAAGAATACAGAATATAATACATATACAAAATACGTGTTAATCAACTATTTACGTTATCAGTAAGGCTTCCAATTAACTACTATTAGTAGTTAAGTTTTTGAGGAGGTAAACATTGTATGTGGATTTTCGAAGGGGTCAGTGCCCAGAACCCTCACATTGTTCAAGGTTCTACTGTACTTTCTCACCACAACTTGGAATTTCTGCTTTTACTCTAATATTCCCCATAACACATTTATCAGTGATGGTTATGATCATTTTCTGACACTCCAATAGGTCAAGTAAAGGAGAAACAATATTTGGGGACAAGAAAGTTAACTGGGAATGAAATCTACAGTTTAAAATGAATACATTGTTCGAGGAAAACTCAATACAGAATTCGCATAGAGATAAATCATAGTTATTATCAAATTCAAATTCAGGCTGGGGGCAGTGGCTCATGCCTGTAATACCAGCACATTGGGAGTCCAAGGCGGGTGGATCACTTGAGGTCAGGAGTTCAAGACCAGCCTAGCCAAAATGGTGAAACCTCATCTCAACTAAAAAAAAAAAAAAAAAATACAAAACTCAGCCAGGCATGGTGGTAGGTGCCTATAATCCCAGCTACTGGGTAGACTGACGCAGGAGAATCGTTCAAACCCAGGAGATGGAGGTTGCAGTGAGCCGAGATTGTGTCACTGCACTCCAGCCTGGGCAACAGACTGAGACTCAAATTCAAATAAAAAAATTAGGCATTCTTGAAAAAAAAAGCGAGTTACCTGAAAAAGGGAAAAACCAAAATCAACCTAGAGATTTGCACTTCCAGCCACTATGAAGGACCAGGGAGCAGATTTATATTCCCATCTTAAACAACTAACAATGAACAAAATACATGAAAACACAATTTTCAGGCATTGGATAATAATCAAAGAAGGGGCAGAATAAGGTAAGCGCTACAATTACTCAAACTTACACCTTGAATAGAGTTCCCAGGCTGCAGAGCGGGAAGGAAGAACCTAAATAGAGTCAAGTAGTTTCCATTCAGGGAGGCCAAGCTGGCTACCACATGCTGGGGCAGAGTACTGGAGAGGACAGAGCTGCTTGGAGAAGAAAGAGGTGGAAAGTGAGAACTCGAGATATGCAAGGGATTCCTTTGGAGTCTTCAGTACACATGTATGAGGAAACAATGAATACCCAGGTAATCAGGAAAAACCAATACCAAGGTAATCAGATTAAAAAAAAGTGACAGAATTAGTAGACATGAATATTAAAACAATTGTTATAACAACATTCCGAAAGCACATGACAACATAAGCATACTATGTAGAGATATGGCATGAGTAAAAGAGGTCCAAATCAAAGTTCAAGAGATGAAAACTATAATGTCAGAGATAAAATGTCAACTGGATGAGATTAATGGCAGATTAAACATTGTAGATGAAATAATTAGTAAACTTCAGAGTAATAGAAATTATTCAATGCTGGACATGGCGGCTCATGCCTGCAATCCCAGCAATTTGGGAGGTCGAGACAGGCAGATAAGTTGAGTTCAGGAGTTTGAGACCAGCCTGAGCAACACAGCAAAACCTGTCTCTAGAGAAAATACAAAAACTAGCCAGGCATGGTGGTGCACTCCTGCAGTTCCAGTTACTTGGGAGGCTGAGGTGGGGGTTGCATTGACCCAATATTGTGCCACTGCACTCCAGCTTGGGCGACGGAACGAGAACTTGTCTGAAAAAAAAAAAAAAAAGAAAGAGGCCAGGCACAGTGGCCCACGCCTGTAATCCCAGCACTTTGGGAGGCCGAGGCAAGCAGATCATGAGGTCAGGAGTTCAGGACCAGCCGAAACAATATGGTGAAAACCCACCTCTACTAAAAATACAAAAATTAGCCGGGTGTGGTGAGGCGTGCCTGTAGTCCCAGCTACTCAGGAGGCTGAGGCAGGAGAATCACTTGAACCCAGGAGGCGGGGGTTGCAGTGAGCCAAGATTGCACCACTGCACTCCAGCCTGGGTGACAGAGCAAGACTCCATCTCAAAAAATAAAAATAAAAATAAAAAAGAAAAGACAAAATAGGGGAGAGAGTAATTATTCAAAATGAAGAACAGATAGAAAAACAAAAATATTGAAAACAGAATCACTGAGACATGGGTCAACTACAAGTGGCTTCTTCTTCTTCTTCTTCTTCTTCTTCTTCTTCTTCTTCTTATTATTATTATTATTATTATTTTAATCGGAGTCCCAAAGGTAGATGGAGGTGGAAAGAGAAAACTTATTGTTAAATAATTTCCAAAGTGAATGAAACTATAAAAAACCCCAACCACACAAAATATAAAACTATGCCAAGGTACATCATAATAAAATTGTTTAAAATCAGTGATAAACATCTTAAAAGCAGATAAAGGAGGTTAAAAGACATATTAGGTAAGAGGGAACAATGATAGGAATGGCAGCAGGCTTCCTTTCAAAAACAATGCAAAGCAGAAGACAGTAGAGGAACAGAAACTAGATTTACTCCCTATCATGAAACAACAATAGCAAAACTAGAAACAATGGTTTTTAATACACTGGACATCAAGAATAAAAAATACGTATCTCTGAGAGATGGGAAACAATGGAGGTCAGCCATATGACTACAGCAGTTTATTGCAAGAGTTTCCAGAATATGGTATAAGGAGAACTGTAGTAGATGCCAGTGAGTTGAGGAAATACAACTGAGAGTCTGGGAATTTCAGAGCAGTTAAGAGTTGAAAGACCACAATATCAGAGAACAGAAAGATTTACAGAGAAACCTGGAATTCTGTAGAGGGTCTTTTCTTAAGGTCAGTACCTGGGAAAGAAACATCCAAAAGTATTAAGAGGAAAAAAAAATAGAAGGAACAGTACCTGAGGCACATACACATTTGGAAATAGTGGCTGTTTCAAAGACCTAGAGCAGAAAAACTCATCATTTTTTTCATCAAAGTCTCCAACGTTTTTGGCACCAGGGACTAGTTTTGTGGAAGACAATTTTTCCACGGACGGGTAGGAGGCGTGGTTTCAGGATGAAACTGTTGCACCTCAGATCATCAGGCATTAGTTAGATTCTCATAAGACGTATACAACCTAGATCCCTCGCTTGTGCAGTTCAAAATAGGATTTGCACCCCTATAAGAATCCTCTGCTGGGTGCAGCACACCAACATGGCACATGTATACATATGTAACAAACCTGCATGTTGTGCACGTGTACCCTAAAACTTAAAGTATAATAATAAAATCTAAAAAAAAAGAATGGGAAAGGTTTCATTAAGAGTCCAGAGTGTATAGCTATACATTAATCTAAACTGAATAAAATTAGATTTTTCACATTTGAAAAAAAAAAAAAAAGAATCCTCCGCTGATGTGACAGGAGGTGGAGCTCAGGTGGTAATGCTTGGTGGCCTGCTACTCACCTCCTGCTGTGTGGCCTGGTTCCTAACAGGAACTGATATAGTTGCAGTACCAGAGATTAGGGACCCCTTAGTGCTCTGTGCCATGGAGTACTAAGAAAAGTCTTCCCCCAGTAGTAAGAAATATTTAGCTTTATTTATTTGATGAGATTAATAACAGTTCAGGTATTACAGAAGAAAATATTAGTGAAATGGAAGGCACAGCAAAGGAGGTATCCAAAATAAAACATAGAGAAAGAAACAAAATAAAAAAAGAGTGTCAGTGAGCTATGAGACAACTTCAAGTGGCATAAAAGGGTCAGAAAACCAATTTGAAGATGTATAATGGCTGCAAATATTCCAAACATAATAAAAACTAAAAACCGATAGCTCTAAGAAGTTAAACAAAACCCAAGCACAAGAAACATGAAGAAGAATACACTAAGGCCCATCATAACTAAACTGATCAAAATGAGTAATTTTCTCTGTGTGTATTTTTTGTAAGGATGGGGTCTCACTATGTTGCCTAGGCTAATCTTGATCTCCATGCCTCAAAAGCCATCCTCCCATCTTGACCTCCCAAAGCACTGGGATTACAGGTGTGAGCCACCGCACCTGGTCTCATATGAAAAATCTTAAAAGCAGCAAAATTTGGGGAATGGGGGTTGTGAAACATTGAAGAACAAAAGAATGTCAGATTTCTTATCAAGAACTATGCAAGTAAGATGGCAATGGGGTAACATTTTTCATGTACTGAAAAACTGTCAAACTAGAACTATATATCTGGCACAAATGTCTTTCAAAAATGAAGGTGAAATAAAGATGTTTTCAAACATACAAAAGCTGAAAGAATTTATTACTGACAGATCCAAATACAAGAGATGTTAAAGAATGCCCTCTAGGCAGAAGGAAAATGATACCAGATGGAAATCTAATTCTAACCAAAAGGAATAAAGAGAACTAGAAATGATAAATACCTGAGTAAAAATATGAATTTTTTCTTATTAAGTCTTTTAAAATATATATTTGACAATTTAAACAAAAATAGCAGCAAGGTTACGATGTTTATAATATATATGTAGAAGTAAAATGTATGTATTGTAAGTTGTGAGACATATATTAACAAAGCTGATTAAAAAAAAAAAAAACAATTAGGCTGGGTGTGGTGGCTCATGCCTGTAATCCCAGAACTTTGGGAGGCCAAAGCGTGTGGATCATGAGGTCAGGAGATCGAGACCATCCTGGCTAACATGGTGAAACCCCGTCTCTACTAAAAATACAAAAAATTAGCCGGGCATGGTGGCAGGCACGTGCAGTCCCAGCTACTTGGGAGGCTAAGGCAAGGAGAATGGTGTGAACCCAGGAGGCGGAGGTTGCAGTGGGCAGAGATTGTGCCACTGCACTCCAGCCTGGATGACACAGCAAGACTCCATCTCAAAACAAAACAAAACAAAACAAAAAAAGGAATAGGAACAGCTCCATTCTACAGCTCCCAGCGTGAGTGATGCAGAAGACGGGTGATTTCTGCATTTCCAACTGAGGTACCAGGTTCATCTCACTGGGGCTTGTCGGACAGTGGATGCAGCCCACAGAGTGTGAGCCAAAGCAGGGCGGGGCATCGCTTCACCTGGGAAGCGCAAGGGGTTGGGGAATTCCATTTCCTAGCCAAGGGAAGCCATGACAGACGGTACCTGGAAAATCAGGACACTCTCACCCTAATACTGCGCTTTTCCAATGGCCTTAGCAAACGGCACACCAGGAGATTATATCCCACGCATGGCTCGGAGGGTCCCATGCCCATGGAACCTTGCTCACTGCTAGCACAGCAGTCCGCTATCAGATCAACTGCAGGGAAGCAGTGAGGCTGGGGGAGGGGTGCCCGCCATTGCTGAGGCTTGAGTAGGTAAACAAAGCGGCCAGGAAGCTCGAACTAGGTAGAGCCCACAGCAGCTCAAGGAGGCCTGCCTGCCTCTGTAGACTCCATCTCTGGGGGCAGGGCATAGCTGAATAAAAGGCAATAGAAACTTCTATAGATTTAAATGTCCCTGTCTGACAGCTTTGGAGAGAGTAGTGGTTCTCCCAGCACAAAGTTTGAGATCTGAGAATGGACAGACTGCCTCCTCAAGTGGGTCCCTGATCCCTGAGTAACCTAACTGGGAGATACCTCCCAGTAGGGGCCAACAGACACCTCATACAACTGGGCGCCCCTCTGAGACAAAGCTTCCAGAGGACGGATCAGGCAGCAACATTTGCTGTTCTGCAATATTTGGCAGCCTCTGCTGGTGATAGCCAGGCAAACAGGGTCTGGAGTGGACCTCCAGCAAACTCCAACAGACCTGCAGCTGAGGATCCTGACTATTAGAAGGAAAAGTAACAAACAGAAAGGACATCCACACCAAAACCCTATCTGTAGGTCACCATCATCAAAGACCAAAGTAGATAAAACCACAAAGATGGGGAGAAACCAGAGGAGAAAAGCTGACAATTCTAAAAATCAGAGCGTCTCTTCTCCTCCAAAGGAACACAGCTCCTCGCCAGCAATAGAACACAGCTGGATGGAGAATGACTTTGACGAGTTGAGAGAAGAAGGCTTCAAAAGATAGGTAATAACAAACTTCTCCGAGCTAAAGGAGGATGTTCGAACCCATCTAAAAGAAGCTAAAAACCTTCAAAAAAGATTAGACGACAGGCTAACTAGAATAAACAGCATGGATAAGACCTTAAATGACCTGATGGAGCTGAAAACCATGGCACGAGAACTACGTGACACATGCACAAGCTTCAGTAGCTGATTCGATCAAGTGGAAGAAAGGGTATCAGTGATTGAAGATCAAATGAATGAAATGAAGCAAGAAGAGTAGTTTAGAGAAAAAAAAAGAGTAAAAAGAAACGCACAAAGCCTCCAAGAAATATGGGACTATGTGAAAAGACCAAATCTACATCTGATTGGTATATCTGAAAGTGACAGGGAGAATGGAACCAAGTTGGAAAACACTCTGCAGGATATTATTCAGGAGAATGTCCCCAACCTAGCAAGGCAGGCCAACATTCAAATTTGGGAAATACAGAGAACACCACAAAGATACTCCTCGAGAAGAGCAACACCAAGACACATAATTGTCAGATTCACCAAAGTTGAAATGAAGGAAAAAATGTTAAGGGCAGCCAGAGAGAAAGGTTGGGTTACTCACAAAGGGAAGCCCATCAGAATAACAGCAGATCTCTCTGCAGACACTCTACAAGCCAAAAGAGAGTGGGGGCCAATATTCAACATTCTTAAAGAATAGAATTTTCAACCCAGAAATTCATATCGAGCCAAACTAAGCTTCATAAGTGAAGGAGAAATAAAATCCTTTACAGACAAGCAAATGCTGAGAGATTTTGTCACCACCAGGCCTGCCTTACAAGAGCTCCTGAAGGAAGCACTAAACATGGAAAGAACAACGGGTACCAGCCACTGCAAAAACATGCTACATTGTAAAGACCATCAAGGCTAGGAAGAAACTGCATCAACTAACGAGCAAAATAACCAGCTAACATCATAATGACAGGATCAACTTCACACATAACAATATTAACCTTAAATGTAAATGGGCTAAACGCCCCAATTAAAAGACACAGACTGGCAAATTGGATAGAGTCAAGATCCATCAGTGTACTGTATTCAGGAGACCCATCTCACATGCAGAGACACACATAGGCTCAAAATAAAGGGATGGAGGAAGATCTACCAAGCAAATGGAAAACAAAAAAAAAAAGCAGGGGTTGCAATCCTAGTCTCTGATAAAACAGACTTTAAACCAACAAAGATCAAAAGAGATAAAGAAGGCCATTACATAATGGTAAAGGGATCAATGCAACAAGAAGAGCTAACTATCCTAAATATATATGCACCCAATACAGGAGCACCCAGATTCATAAAGCACCCAATACAGGAGCACCCAGATTCATAAAGCAAGTCCTTAGAGACCTACTTGTTGCCCAAGCTGGACTCGATCTCCTGACCAAAAGCAATCCACTGGCTTTGGCCTCCCAAAGCACTGGGACTACAGGCATAAACCACTATGCCAGGAAATATTATTTCTTAAGTGAGAAAAAACAGATATATCCCAATCTGATTCTAAGGTGAAGAGAACCTGAGACTTATGTTTTCAAAAACATAATTACCTAGTCACCATAGCCAGTAGTCCCTAATTACCTGCTAACAAAGAATCTGAGAAGCTGGTTTAAACATGGAAAAACTGAGTTTACGTGGCATAAAATGAGACATTTATTATGAAAGGTAAAAAATAAATTTTAAAAGATCTTGGCACTGTATTTAAACCAAAAGAGGATGCTGGTGTATCCATATTCAATTTTAGCTTTTCAGTCAGGAAGGTTTCCAGTGTGAACTTACTCAGTAAATTATATGGTGAAGAAAATGAAGAAGAAGGTTTGGAATTTTCTTAATATTCATGAAACACTGCTAGTTTGGAGAATAGTGTGAAGAAGCAGAGCTGAGTATGTAGATCTGGTTTAGCTTATGTGATGCAGACAGATGTTTTAGTTACGGATATTTGTTGAATAGATAAACTGCGTTGCTTCCTTAGATCAAAAACATTTTAGAATTAAAGAGCCCCCAGAACTTTAATTTCTTAAACCTCATTAGTTTATGATGATAATGTAATGAGACTGTTGACCTCATAGAACCAGAAAGTATGGGGCAGCCCACTTAATTTATGGTTTGACCATATGCTAAGAAAAAACTAGACTAGACTACACATCATTTCGGAATGCTCTGAAATCAAAGGGAATTACAGATTTGCAAAACCTGCAGTGTCTTTGTGGAAATAACATTGTATTTCAAAAGGAAGTTTACAGATTTCAATAAATACGAATTATGCTCTTAGTTATTCACCAAGTAAATATTTGTTGAATGTTCACTAAGAATATACAGCGTCCCAGGTATCCAATATGAGTCTACTATTTTCAGAACTATTTTGGAATAAGCCAAGCTAGGAGAAGAGTACAGATTTACCTGGCAATGTAAGAGATCATTCTTTTTATGAAACTGCTGAAACAGAAGCTACAAGCTAACACTTGTATCACAGATAACAACTGAAATCCATTTTGTTATTTCTTCTGGCTGAATACACCACCCAAATCTCAAAAATAATATCATTTGCCTTATTAATTTCACCAAAAGCTGATCACTTTATGCTGTACAAAATTGCACGTAAGTATAAATATTTAATACTACTGTAAAACTCCATTCACCCAAATATGGCTAGATACAATATAGTGCATAAATGCTAAAACTATGAGTTGTCTGCAAGTTGAATCTACACTTTCATAAAAGTTCCATTCACCCAAAGTTGGCTAGACATGTTATACTGTATAATCATTACAACTATGAGTTGTTTGCAAGTTGGCTCACAATTCAGGATTGAACAACTATATATTGAAACATAGAAGACTGTAATTGTCAAGTTAAATATACTTTTTCATCAGAATACACTGTCTTATTTCATAGTCAACAAGTATATATAAATTATGCCAAATTCTAAACATGGTGCTTTTTGAAAATCAGACTTTCAAGTGTAAGATGGTTTGAAATAGTACATAAATCCCCTCTAAAGAATCACACTACAAGAAATACAGTATCAAGATTTGAAAAATGGAAAGAACATGAGACCAATTTGAGAAATAAAATGAAATGGAAATAATAAAGGGGTAAAATATTTAATTCTTGAAATGTTTTTCTCACATACTGGCAGAAAAGATAGCATAACTTTCCATTATATAATCTTCTCAATGTAAGCATTTATTTGACAGTTATAAAGGGATAGGATTTGGTATACAGAGGAATCAATAACAATGTTGTAAAGCCTAGAACAGTGCACACAAACATGCTGTAGGAGACATTAACATTAGACTGAAAGAAATAATTATATTTTCAATAAACATGTTCCTCCTAGTAGGGTAATCAATTTTTTACACATCTTACCAGCTATTTCACAGAGCTCAGGTAATGAAATGGCAGCAGCTGTTATACCAAAACCATATATTACATGCATACGAGATGCTTTTTTCATAGGTATCTACTTATTTGTGTAAAGCCACATTTAACACATATTAAATAAAAACAAGGTAATCATGGGGTGATTAATTCAGAATTTTTAGTACCATCCTATTTTAGAAATAAATTCTTAACCAATTATTTTTGTGTCAGAAGACTTAATAATTCAAATTACACCCTGCCCTTGTTCCCAGATTTAAGAGATTTGTCACGATCAATGTTTCTGAAATATTAAATTAAGAGGTGTCATGGTAATTACTATGGAATAAATAGCAATTAAGTTTTTTAAGCAATTCAGCTCAAACTATTTGCAGTGAATATTTATACTACTAATATTTTTCTGCACAATGCAAGTTGCCTACAAATGTAAGATGTAAGTTTGTAGAATTATTTTAAAATATATTTGGAAACTGATTTAATATAG
Organism: Homo sapiens; assembly: GCF_000001405.40. Lineage (NCBI taxonomy): Eukaryota > Metazoa > Chordata > Mammalia > Primates > Hominidae > Homo > Homo sapiens. The sequence continues at coordinate 74,398,843 of NC_000010.11, read as the reverse complement.
AATTCTGCGCTTGGTTGGCAAGCACCTATGCATAATGTATCCAAAAATAGGTAGACCTGAAGATAAATAATACAAATTATGTTACCCATAGAAAGATAATGATTTCTGTTCTATTTTCACAATAGTGAATCTAACATATGCTTTGAGAGAGATAAATAATTTGCAGGGTAAATAAAAGATAATTATTTTAAAATATATATCAGACAACAACTATAATCCATCATGTAAATATGTACTAGAGATTTGAATTAGGTAAGTACTTACTGCTATATAACAAACTCTTGCTTTTTCTACCAACATCCAGTTTTTCTCCAGATCAAGATGTTTTTCCTTTTTATAACAATTGGCAGCAGCAAGATTAGCTATGAGGGACCTAAAACAACCAAAGAATAAGCAAGTAATATTATAGTCAAACTTAGCATATGTTTCAATAGATAATTACCAATATTTTTTGCAAAGTTTAAAATTTACATTTTAATTAATTCTTCAAAACTAATGTTATTGATTTTTAAATAAATATAAATAATAATTTTGTTTTGAGAACTTTCTGAGGCATCTATGATAATTTTTGTTCTAAACAACACCTGGTATTTTGAGAAAGAAATTGGCATTTAAGTTGCCTTTTGATAGTAAAATAGGACCTACTTTTTACACCTTAATAGTTCAAAATGCAGTTAAGAAATAAGGCTAACTCATTATATAAAAAGAAATCTATGCAACTAAAAACATTTTTTAAGTAGAAAAATATCTTTATAAAAATAAATATCAACATACTATAATTGTCTATTTAATCGAAGCCTTTAAAAGCCAAATATGGAATTAATTTCGTAAAAGACACTTATAAATGTAGACCATATTCGCTAAGAGGAATTAATTTGTAAACCATTACATTCTAAGGGCTGAAATCAATTAGAATTGTTTTCTATAGTTGAAAAGTCCCCTGACTGGTCCAATTTTAGAAATGGAATATCTAAGCAGGATACTGCATTTAAAATCTTGCTGCAGGTTGGGTGCAGTAGCTCAAAGCTGAAATCCCAGCTCTTTCAGAGGCCAAGGTGGGAGGATTGCTTGATGCCAGGAGTTTGAGGTCAGCCTGGGCAACACAGCCAGATCCCATCTCTACAAAATAATTTTAAAAATTAGCTGGGGGTAGTGGTGCACACTTATAGTCCTAGGGACTCAGGAAGCTGAGGTGGGAGGATTGCTTGAGCCCAGGAGTTTGAGGCTGCAATGAGCTATGATCATGCCACTGCACTCCAGCCTAGGCAACAAGGCAAAACCACATCTCTAAAAAATAAATAAATAAATAAATAAAATCCTGCTACAAGTGTCACTTGGCTTGTTTAATTAAAAATAAATACAATAATTATTTACATTATAAATAAAAATACTTTCCTTCCTCATACTGCTCCAGAATTTAAAAAATTACTTGCCAATTTTTCTCTTTTTCTAATTAAATTGTAACAGTTATAGCTTACAAAAAAAATCTTATCATTTCAGACTTTGGTAATATGTTCGATTACACTGTTAAAAAAAAAAACCTCAATTCTCTTCCAAAACGTATTTCCACTCATCCATCTGCCAATTTACTACTAAAGGATACATCTGTTTATGTTCAAGTAAATGAAGGAAAGAAAGAGTAATATGCATCAACATATTCATATACAAAATAACTATATTACAAACTTAAGAAAATTTAGACCTAATTTATAAAAATATTTTAGTAATTATGACTTTAGGAAAATTTTGACAAAATGGCTACCAAATAAAAGCAAACATTTCTGGTACCAGATACTAAACTCTATTCTGATAATAAAACTACTTTTTGATGGGAAACTACAGTTTCTCCAAAAGAAAAATAAAAGTATTCTTTTTTTTTTTTTTCCAGATGAAGTTTCGTTCTTGTTGCCCAGGCTAGAGAAGAGCAATGGCTCCGTCTTGGCTCACTGCAACCTCCGCCTCCGGGTTCAAGCAATTTCCTTGCCTCAGTCTCCCAAGTAGCTGGGATTACAAGTGCCCGCCATGATGCTCGGCTAATTTTTTTGTATTTTTAGTAGAGGTGGAGTTTCACCATGTTGGCCAGGCTGGTCTCAAACTCCTGGCCTCAAATGATCCACCCGCCTCGGCCTCCCAAAGTGCTGGGATTACAGGCATGAGCTGCCATGCCCGACCAGAAAAATATGAGTATTCTTATTATCCCAACGTATTTGATTCTGACTTTGAAGAGGAAGAACCTGGATCAAGAAAGATACTGCATTACCCAAACACTTCAATTTCTGAAATTTTTTGTTTTGTTTTTTGTTTTTTAGACAGGGGCTCACTCTTTTGCCCAGACTGAAGTGCAGTGGGCAGCACGACCCCAGTCCACTGCAGCCTCAACCTCCTGGGCTCAAGCAATCCTTCCACCTCAGCCTCCCAAGCAGCGGGGACCACAGGTACATGCCACCATCCCCAGCTAATTTTTGTATTTTTTGTAGAGATGGAGTTTCGCCATGTTGGCCAGGCTGGCCTTAAACTCCTGAGCTCGAGTGATCAGCCTACTTCGGTCTCCTAAAGTGTTAGGATTACAAGGTGTGACCACCACACCCGGCCAATTTCTGAGTTTTTGATAGTGGCAGCAAAGGTTACTGGACCTATCCAAAACAATTGATCCAACTGTATTAGCTTCCAGAATTTAGATAATGATTTAGATACTGAAGATTTCTCCCCAATTTTTGAGTCCCATATCATCTCAACAATATCACTATAACCATAAAATTAGTATAAAAGTTAAGTTTTTGACATCCAGAAGATCTAATATTATCATAACTGTTCTCTCTCTCTCTTTGGTTTTGAGACAGAATCTTGCTCTGTTGCCCAGGCTGGAGCGCAATAGCACAATCTCGGCTCACTGCAACCTCCACCTCCTAGGTTCAAGCAATTCTCCTACTTTCGTCTCCCGAGTAGCTGGGATTACAGGTGCACACCTGGCTAATTTTTACATTTTTAGTAGAGACGGAGTTTCACCATGTTGGCCAGGCTGGTCTCGAACTCCTGACCTCAGGTGATCCACCTGACTCGGCCTCCCAAAGTGCTGGGATTACAGGCGTGAGCCACTGCACCCAACCATAACTGTTCTTTAGGACAGCAATTTAGCATACTAAAACAATTTAGTAATTTTACTGTAGCCTAAGTGATATCAGAAGAAAATCTGACCTACTTCTCACTAATGGGAAAACTTTGCACCTACAGATTAAGGCTGGTCTTGGGAAAACTAAGGGCAAAGGTCTAAACAAACATATTTCAACATTTTTAGTTGTTTTTTTTTAAAATCCCTGAATCCCATATTTCAATGTTTACTGTAATCTTAAAACCATAAAGTTCTCCTGTATATAAAAAACAAAATTAAAGGAAAGATCTGAAAATGCCTTTCATACCCTAATAATTTTTGAATATTGTATTTTGGTTATTTAGTAAATACTGTGCTTATTGATCCCCAGTCTCTAGAATAGTCCATTCCTTAATATACCTCTGCTGAAGGTCAAGTAGTGAGCAATAAAGTGGGTAAATAGAAGAAATGGAGCAAGGTCGTGGTGGAGAGGGGGAAGAAAATAAAGGAGGATGAAAAGGGAAAAAAAGAAAGGAAGAGAAGATGGGAAAAGAAAGGAGATAGGGAATGGAGGAGGACAGACTACATATTTCCAACTATAAGTAATGCAAAATTTCTAGTGAATCACTATTTAAAAAGAGGTCATCTTTGATTATCCCAACAATATAATAGCTAGGGCAGTTATTTTGTTTTTCCCTTGCAAAGGGGAAAAAAGCCTGTGCTGATATGGTAATAACGTTAGCAGTGCATGAATACACTGAAGGAGTATCTCCATGTGGGTACAAAAGAACAACCAACCAATATATGGAGGGGCCTGAGAGAGATATTTCAAGTTCATATTAAGAATACTTTTCTAATAAGTAAGGGTGTATAGAAATATACTTGGTTGTTTTGTTAGTGGTATACTACCCACGACTGAGTTTATTCAATATGAATGAATTACTATTTGCCAGAAATGGTTTAGATGACCATTTAGATGACTAAGTCTTACGAGCCTGAATGTAATGTTGTATTTTATATACATAAAATACACACACACACTCTCTCTCTGTCTCTCTGTCTCTCTCTCTCGTATTCCAACCTCAGGATATGGTGAAAAGAACATTGTTTCTAATTCAAGTTTTGCAACAAATTAGCTACAAGGTGTTGAGCAAGCTACAAGGCATTGAGCAAGCTATCAGCCTTTTCTGATTCTAATTATAAAAAGTAGAGACTGGACTAAATAACCTCAAACTTTTATTCCATTATGCCTCATGAATTCAACTGCATGTTTAACAAAAGTAAATTTAAAAACAATACAGGAAAACTGATATAAGGAATAAGCATTTATCAAACATTAAAAGGAATTATAAAGTCAAAATTCCAAATTCACATTGGAATTCATATTTTACCAGTGTTAAAATAGCCAATTAGTATAGTGGTTCCCTTGGAATTACACTGACCTGTTGTCACCAGTGATGCATGCAGCACAAGTTCCTGTTGGCTGCTCATTCTGCTCGTAGTAATGAGCATCCACATGGGCTTCAGCAGCTTTTCTCTTCAGGATCTCCCCAAATTTATCTATCCCAATGCATCCAAAAAATGTTGCTGCTTTGTGTGGCTGTTGAATCATCCACTGTAAAACAGGAACATAAATAATTTAATGGGGCAAAAAAATGGTACACATAGTTTAATATTCTGCCACAGATAGTGATGTGACAAGAATGCTTTGTGAGAAACTGTAGCTGTTATGAATGGGATTTCAATTCTGTGCTATCACTTACGATTAAAAAAACTTAATATAACAACCATGTAATATCTTATACTGCTTTGGGGAGAGAAATAAAGTACATAAAGTTGTTAAGGACTCAGCAGCTAAAATCATACAGACCTTAAGACAAATGCTGGCCTGATATAGGAAAATAATAGTGGGTCCCAATATAAGAAGTCTAGCATTGTCATAAAAAGAGCAGAATCCATCTTGATTGAAGACTCTCTGGGTTCAAATCTTGCTTCTGCCACTTACTAGCTGCATGAGTTAGAGCATGTTAGAGCATATCTCTTAACATTTCTCATTTCACTCATGTTTAAAGTGGAGATATAATTACAAATACATCTCATAAGGTCGTTGAGGACTAATTGAAATGATGTAAATTAATGTACTTGCATTGCTGAGCATGGTACCCAGCACATAGTCAACAACATATATTAGCTGTGGCTGTTACTATGATTGTCATACTTATTGTAGTAATTCATATATAAATTAAGCTAAAACATGCTCATATCTAAAAAAATTCTTTTAAAAATTCAGAAATAGTGTTACAGTTCTAGTTACAAATATCTCATTTTTTCATTGAAGTAATTATTATAAGCTTTAATGGATTTCTTGTAAGATGCATATGTTTCACAGATTTGAACTTTTTACCTTTTATAATTAGCTCAAATCCCTGAGGGTTCTAATATTCTATAGTGATTCTATAGGTAACACCTGTTTAGTTTCAAAGACTTACAGGTAGCAAAATAACCTACAAATAATCTACATACAAAGTCAAAAGATATCAAAATAGATTTTGATAAAATCTGTTCTCAAATATTTGGAATAGAAAAGAAATACATGCATATTTGAGAGGTAAAAGGATGAGGAGAGGAAAAAGTAACAAAGACAGAACTGTAAGAATGAGACATAGTAACAGCTTAATGACCAGCAATCCCACTTCTACAGACTCATCCACAATATAAAACAACACATATATAAGTATTGAGATGTTATTTGTAATGGCAAAATGTTGGAAATAAACTAGAAGTCCACCTGTAGAAGATCAGTCGATTAAATTATGATATATCCACACAATGGAATACCACACAGCCATTCAAAAATCCCAGCAAAACAACACAAAAAAAGGAAAAGCTCTGTGGAACACTCCTTCTATACAAAGTAATTTCCAGGATATTTTGTTAACTTCAAAAAAAAATCAAGTCTCAAAGGTAAAAAGCTTTGTTTAAAAAATAAAACTTAATAATATATATTATTTTCAAATATGGGGGACAGCTTCAGGACATTGGATTTAGCAATGATTTCATAAATATGGAACAAAAGCACAGGCAACAAAAGCAAAAATAGATAAATGTGATTATATCAAGCTTAACTTCTGCATGGCAAAGGAGGCAATCAACAGAGTGAAAAGGCAACTTATTTCCAAACCATATATCCAATGAAAGGTTAATATCCAGAATATATAACAAACTTCTAAATGAACAATAAAAATACAAATAACATGATCTTAAAATGGGCAAAGGACTTGAATAGACATTTCTCCAAAAATGATATATAAATGGCCAATAAGCACAAGAAAAGATGTTCAACATCAGTAATCATCAGGGAAATCAAAACCACAATGAGATATCACTTCACACTGATCAGGATGGTTACTACCGAAAACACAGAAAACAAAAAATGCTGGCAAAATGTGGAGAAGTGAATGAACCCTTGTGCAGTGTTGGTGGAAATGTAACATGGTACAGCCACTACTAAAATGGTATGGAAGTTCCTGAAAGAAATATTAAAAATTAAATTAACATATAATCAAGCAACCTCACTTCTGGGTATACAGTCAAAAGAATTCAAAGCAGGATCTCAAAGATATATTTGCATGTCCATGTTCACTGCAGCAATATTCATGATAGCCAAGAAGTACAAGCAACCCAGACATCTATCAACAATTAAAGGATAAAGAAACAAAAGAAGGAAATCCTGTCACATGCTACAACATAGATGAACATCAAGAACTTGCTAAGTTATATAAGGTCTGTCACAAAAAAGACACATATTGTATGATTCCATTCATAGGAAGTATCTGAAGTAGTCAAAATCATAGAAACATAAGTAGAATGTTGGTTGCCAAGGACGTCAGGGAGGGAAGTCAGAGAATTAAGAGTTTAATGGGTACAGAGTTTCAGTGTTGCAAGATGAAAAATTTCTAGAGGTTGACTATGTAACAACATGCGTATACTAATTGGTACATTTAAAAATGGTTAAGATGGTAGAGTTAATGTTATGGTTTTTATTACATAAAAGAGAATGTGTGTGTGTGTGTGTGTGTGTGTGTGTGTGTGTGTGTGTGTGTATATTCTTGCCTCGAACTCCTGAATTCAACAGATCCTCCCAGCTCAGTCTTCTGAGTAGTTGGGACTATAGGTGCAAGCCACCTCACTCAACCATATATATTCTTTTAGTATAGATACTATACTATATACATATATTAGAATGTATATATAATTTTGTGTTTGCTAATTTTATAAAAAGAAACACAGAAAGAATAAACTAGAAATGAAAAATGCTTTTCTATGAGAGTGAGTGGGAAAGGAGTAGAGGAATAGGAATAGAAGAGTTCTCTGAATATAGCATTCCATACAAATTTGACTTCTGAAACATGTTAAAATTTTGCATTTTCAAATAATAAAATTTAATTTTAATTTCAAATTCCATTAGAAGAAAAACAAATTATGAAGTTGAGTATAACAAGAATGAAAAATCAAAGAAGGTATCAAATTGTAACATAAGCACATAGAAAAAATAATGCAAATAATTTTTCAGTATGCTCTTATGACAATACAGTCTTAATGGAATAATTATAAGGAACAAAAACAACAAATAAATCAAACTTTATTTAGTAGGTTTATTGTTGGTTATGTTATTGGTGAAACTATTTTGTGCGTATTGTAGGATAGAGCAAATGAATATAAAGTTGATGCTGTTGGGAACTAGGTTTGCTGAACAGGATAAGGAAAACACAAACATGGAATGGGGAAAGGGAAGAAGGTTCTAAGCAAAAAATCTGAGGGATGCTATCTTAACCATTATCAATTAGCATTATCAATAAAGCCATAAACCTTACGATGTGATGCAATGGGAAATACACAGTGTCACTTACGTACTATTATTGCCTAAAATCATGAGATTAAGTCCACAAGGTGGCACATATTACAATCAACTGGGTTGGACTCTTGAAGAAAATGCCTTAACCAAAAAGGTGGGAGGAAAGTATATTAAAGAAATAGTACTAATACATGTAATGTGTGATTCTTATTGGATCCTGGACTGAGAATAAAATTAAACAGCTATCAAGGACACTACCAGAATAACTGTGACATCTGGAATCTTGATCACACATCAGAAAACAGTATCAATGCTTAATTTCTTGAATAAGGAATAAATACTTCAGAATGGTTCTGAGGAAAATACACACACATACATTTATTTAAAGAGAGAACACAAATGTGTTGAAATGTTAACAATTGGTGGATCAATGTGAAAGGTATAGAAAAGTTCATTTTACTATTCTGTAAGTTAGAAAATGTTCAAAATTAAAAGGTGGGACAAACATACTGTAGCTAAATCATTCCTTTAAAGAATAACAATAATTTAAACTTAATTTATTCCATTTTGGATATTATCACTCCATTTATCAAAATGAGTAAATAACATGAAGCAGTTAATATCATAAAATGTCTCAGTATAAATGCCTAACTTAAAATACTTTATTCTACAATTAGTGAAAGTATAAATTTAACAGAGAATTTCTATTGTTATTAAATTTAGTGAAAGTATAAATTTAGCAGAAAATTTCTGTGTTATTCTATAACTTACTTTTATTTATCTATAAGGCATGATTAAATGATCAACCATGTCTACTATATATAGCAAAATAAATAAAACCCAGAGCCAATAGCAACTTTTACTATGATTACTTAAATAATTTGTCATCAAAATAATAGCAAACTTTGTTCAGTGAAAATAAAGTCATTATTATATAATTTAGCCTAGTTATAATCAGAGAGTCTACATGTTCAAACTACAGTCTGAAATAAGAGCTATATCAACTCACTGTCAGGCTTAAACCTGATTTACTAACTACTCCATAATCAGGATTTAAATGAATTGAAATATTTCCACTACAAATAAATATTATTTGAACCTGCAAGGCAAAAATTGATAAACAGTAGAAATATTCAGCAACTTTGCTATCCTTTTACTATCGAATATTTCAACATGGGAAACTGCCTGACATTCTATTTCTGACATTCAGATATTGACAAAATGTGAGAACTTTGCTTTTGATCAGTGATTTCCACTCAAAAGTCATTCTAAAACCAGAGTTTAACAAGCCTAAAAATTCAGTTTTTTTACAGCCATTAAAAAAAAAAGCCACGTTAACTGCTTCAAAGCACTTAATAATCTCAGTAAAGATGTTATAATTGAGAATGAAATAGATTTTTAAAAATCAGTTTAGGAAAATTTAACAAGTAATTTGCAAAGATTTCTGTTAAAATTTTAGTACATCTGTAAGCATCTAAAACACAATGTTTCACCAACATCCAACTAATCTATTTCCTATCATTTTGATACTCAATCAACAAACATTTAATGCATGTCTGCCAGGGAATAAAAAGATAAAAATGATGATGTTCCTAATACAAAGTCACAACTACTAGATTTTGATTCTCCAGGATGGAGATTCAACCTTGTTTATAACCTTTGATTATGCTCCTTCTTTTAGCTAAAATAAACTGCCTACCTTCCCTTGGTTCACATATGTACAGTATACCTTAAAAACTTTAACTTCTGCTCTGGCCATGAGTGAGTAGCAGGCTCTAGAATTACTGTTGTGCTGTAAACCAGAAAACCAAAAGGAAACACCTACAGAATTTTCAGACATTGAATAACAGGCATGGTAGGACTGTGATCTCTGATAGGAAAGAAACAAGGTGTGCCCTGACATCATGCAGGTACTCTGCCAGGAGGCAAGTTCCACACCATGGAGAGGGAGAAAGAAGGCAAATAGAGCCTGGCATTTTCACTAAAATGAGGAGAAAGAGATGTGTTCAAGGAGAGCCAGGAGACTAGAAATTGTGAAAAAGATTTTCAGAGAAGAATGAGTTGAAATCTACAGAGTAACCCTTGAGGCTATGGCTAGATACCAACCTGTGCATGTTTAAGGAATATATGTAAAATCATAAGGAATCCACATAAATGCTCTAGAATTAAAAGTAAGTCAATCAAGGTCTCAGACTTTAAGATCAATATATAAAAATCTAATGTATTTCTATAAATTTTCAAAGAAGAGTTGAAAATTAAAATTAAGAAAACAATATTTACAATACCACCAAAATTGAAACATGTAGGAACACATTTAACCAAATATGTGCAAGACATATATGTAGAACACTACAAAAGACTGCTGAGGAAAAAAAAACAACTTATATAAACGAAGAGCTATATTATGTACATGGATTTGAAAACTCAATATTCTTAAGACATTAATTCTCCCCAAATTGATTCATAAGTTCAATGCAATCCCAACCAAACTCTCAATGGATTTTTGAGGATATCAAAAAGTTGATTCTATAATCAATATTAAAGGAAAAGGAACTAGAATAGCTAAAGGTCAGGAGGTATGTGGGTGTGAGAAAAACTAACACTGCTAAACGTCAATTTCTTCAAATATAAAATGTGGATAACATAACCTATGATCTTTTAAGGATGTTGTAAGAATTAGAAATTGACAAACAAGGCCGTGTGCAGTGGCTCACGCCTGTAATCCCGACACTTTGGGAAGCCGAGGCAGGCAGATCACCTGAGGTTGGGAGTTCAAGACCAGCCAAACCAACATGGAAAAACTCCATCTCTAAAAATACAAAAAATTAACCAGGCATAGTGGCGCATGCCTGTAATCCCAGCTACTCAGGAGGCTGAGGTAAGGAGAATCGCTTGAACCCAGGAGGTGGAGGTTGCAGTGGGCCGAGATTGCGCCATTGCATTCCAGCCTGGGCAATAAGAGTGGAACTCCTCTCAAAAAAAAAGAAAAAAGAAAAAAAAGAAATAAAAAGAAATTGACTAACAACCTACGCAGTTTAGTACAGTATAGGGTTTCTATTATTATATTTGTATCACCTTTATACAAAGAAGGAAAGGGCTCTTGTTATACTTTAAGTAATTATACCTAACTGGAGGAATAGGAAAACCACGGCCACTATTGGTAACTTCAAATAAATACTTCAATTAGTTTAACTTAAACAGCAATAGTAAAAAAGCAGCATATTACTGGAAAATACCCATGAGAGAGATCAACTGCAGTGGAGGGGATCAGGAAAGGCCTCCAAAGACAGGTAGCAGTATCAATTGGTCTTTGAAGGATGGGTATGATCTTCCAAAATGGTTACAAACTAGAAAGAAAAAAGAGTCATACAGCATATAGCACATGCCTCCTTTCCTATGTTAGAAATTTTATCATGGTGCCCCTAGGATGAAAGAAATTCCATTTATTAAATAATTCGTTTCAGCCAAAAGTGTTTATTTCCTAATGATTTTCTACCTGTTAGGCACTGCAAAATTCTCAAATCTTGGAATCAGACTGGTAACCATCACCCTCATTTGTTTCACACTGATTTGCTTTTTATCACAGAAACCGTCAAAGATTCAGTTTCGCACAGTATAATGCCACCAAAAGGAATGTAGTAATCTAATGTTAAAACTGAAATACCAGGCCAGGCGCAGTGGCTCACGCCTGTAATCCCAGCACTTTGGAAGGCTGAGGCAGGCGGATCACGAGGTCAGGAGTTCAAGAACAGCCTGACCAACATGGTGAAACACCGTCTCTACTAAAAATGCAATAATTACCCAGGCGTGGTGGCACATGCCTGTAATCCCAGCTACTCAGGAGGCTGAGGCAGGAGAATCGCTTGAACTCAGGAGGTGGAGGCTGCAGTGAGCCAAGATCCCGCCACTGCGCTACAGCCTGGGTGACACAGCAAGTCTCCATCTCAAAAAAAAAAAAACTGAAATATCTGGAGCTAGTGGTTCATGCTGTGTCTGATAGACGTCACTGTGTTTACCTTGAAATTTTGAAATACCCTGAAGACTCTCTGTGGGTTTGCTACAGCACCCCAAGGGGACTTAGTGCACAGATTGGGAAACAAGAATATAATATTAACAAAAACAATGAAAAACAGAAATAAAAGACTATTAGGAGTATACCGACAAAGCAACTATGTGGGAAGGAAGAGACTAATGGGAAAGGTAGATGTAGGCCAGATCAGTAAATACCACTTCAAGAAATTTAGGCAACATCCTGAGGGTAGAAAGCAACACATGAAGGTTTTCGAGCAAAGAGTATGATGATAAGAGATGACAGTTCACTAAGGTAAGGAGCCAGAAGGAAAAAATTTACAACTGAATTTAAATAAGGCCTAAATAAATGGCATATTAAACTTCATAACAAGAGTCTTTAACAACATATGGAAAGATTTCTATTAATATTAACTTTACCTTCAAGGAAGATTTCCTTTTTATTACCTAAATGCAATATTTAGGACAATATAACTGACAATGATGCCCAAGAGGCAGTCACTTCTGAAATAATGCCATATGCTTTAATTCAATTCATAATAGAATGATGAAGAATGACACCTAGGTACTAAAAGAGTTGCAAGATAAGCCAAAGATATGAAATTTTATACAGAAAACTCAATGAGGCATCTCAGAAAAACTGTAAAGCACAACTAAAAGAAATTAAATGTCAAAACTGAGAAACAGCAACAAGCAGACTGCAAAGGATGATGAGGAAATCAAAACTGAAATAGATTGATAAGGAAAATAGCATATATCACATAACTTATAGGATAGATTCTCAGATGATTACAATACCACCAAGTGAGACAGGGCAAAACACAAGATTTTCATAAATATTAAGAATCTATTCTAACTGAATAACTAGTATGTTATGCTTCTTTCCTTAAAAAACTGCTCCATTGCCCCTGCCAGCAAGCATCCTATTAATAAAAATCAATTTCTAATAATCCTGTTCTTTCCCTGAAATAGTTCTATTGTTATTTTTGTTAGTAAATATCTGTTAACATTCTCAGAACAGATTCGGGGAATATTAGGCCTAGTAGAAAAAATAAACTTTAGACTCAGATATATAAGTTCATCCAGCCATGTGATGGTAAACAAGCTACTATTTCAGAGACTATGTTTCTTGTGGAATTATTGTGATGATTGAATAGGATAATGTAAGCAAAGTGTTCAAGGCAGTGCCTATTACAGAGTACAGCTGACGATGACAACAGTGCCCTGAGACTGTGATAAAATGCAGAATTTTTAGTGTATATTCATTCAATTCATTCCACCAATATTTGTTGATCACCTATTATTTGTTGGACATTATTGTAATTAATAATGGATAAAGAAGTCTTCTCTATCTCTTTTGTAGGCTTCTTTCCTTCTCCCCATTCCTTAGCATTTCTCAGGCCTGGATTCCCAGGTTACCTACAATTCTTACCGTATATACTTTCTCTGGATATGATCTAATCTACTCTCATGGTTTCAATTATCATCTATATGCTGAGACCCCCTCATTTTTAGCTTATACTTGTTTTCAAATGACTGCTCTGAATATCCAAATACCTACTCAACCCTATTTTGCCTATTAAATTGACACACTTTTACTCCTGCCTCTATTAACACCACTTTAGTACAGGCCACCATCTACTCTCAATTAGACTACTATAAAAGTCTCTTTTAAAAAAATTTATTGAGATATATTCATATAACCATACAATTTGCCACTTTAAAATATACAATTCAGTTGTTTCCTGTTTATTCACATAGCTGTGCAACCATCACATTTTCATTATCTCAAAAAGAAACCTCTACCCATTGGATGTCATTTCCCATTCTCTCTGTCACTCCATCCTCCCAACCATGCAACCATTTGCAAAAGCTTCTTAGATCATCTCCCTGCCTTTAGTTCTGTTTTTCTCCAATCCACTGCATTTTGAGTGCTCTTCCTAAAATGTCCTTCAATCGTTACCCAAGTATCTTAAGCAAGTTCAACATAAACAACTTTATGATTGAACCATTAACTTCCTCTCCAAGTTAATCCTAAGCATTAACACTCTTGAATGCAATGTTCCAGTACACTGAATACTTCATTCTGTTTCTGTTTGTTCTTTCTAGCTTCCTACTTAGGTTTCAGGTTTCACTTACTGAGACAATGTTGTCCTAAATTCTGTTCTATATACCCATTGTTATTTATTTTTTATTTTTTTGAGACGGAGTCTTGCTCTGTCACCCAGGCTGGAGAGCAGTGGTGCGATCTTGACTCACCGCAAACCTCTGCCTTCCAGGTTCGAGCAATTCTCCTACCCCAGCCTCCTGAGTAGCTGGGATTACAGGTGCACGCCACCATGCCCAGCTAATATTTGCATTTTTAATAGAGGTGGGGTTCCACCATGTTGGCCAGGCTGGTCTTGAACTCCTGACCTCAAGTGATCCATCCACCTCGGCCTCCCAAAGTGCTGGGATTACAGGTGTGAGCAACCGTGCCCAGCCTATATGCCTGCATTTTATGTTGCCGCAACAAACTGTATCATTCCTATCATAGAATTAATTCCACTTAATTGTAATTTGCTGTTCAAGACTGTTTTCTTGGCTTTTTTAAAAGAGTTGTAGGGTGTGTTTCCAAATCTAGAAGAGTGCCTGCTACATTCTATGCAATTAAATAATTGTCAAATAAGTGAACAGGAAAGCCAGGATTGTATCTTCTTAAAACTTACAATTTAAGGGTACATAAAGCTTACATACAAGATATGTTACTATTTATTTTAAGAGATGATATATATATAATAGGAGTTGTTGCAGAACATGCAAGTAGCACCTTAGTCTTTGCAGAGTGGCCAAAGAAGATTTCCTAAGATAAATATGAGAAACTGTGTCCAAGCTGACACTTAACTATGATGGAGATCAGGACACACTACCCCCAAAATATGGCACTTGACATACTGAAAATTTTAAGCTGAAGGAATTTGAGAACAGCAGGTGCAGGAAGGACTTTCTGATTTCCTCTGAAGCAAATCATAAGACCATCCATGTGAGAGGATGTTTACTATATGCAGAAAAAAAGAACATCCTTATCTCAGAAGATGTAAGGACATGAGATGAATCTAAACAAACAGGTCTTGCTAAGGTCCCCTCAGTTTACTACTCTTAGTTCATACCCCTTTTTGTCCTATTGCCTTTCCCTTCCACTCTTCATAAAACCTAATGTAAAAACACCAGGTTTAATTGTTTCTTCAAGTCTTCATTTCCCTCTATGTTACATAAAACTTAGAATATAAATTAGTGTACTTAACTTTTGTTAATCTGTCTTTTGTTACAAGAATCTTACAGCAGAGAACTTAGAAGGAAAATATTTTTCCTCCCTCACAACTACAAATAGGAATTAGGGGATATATGAGGCTTACGTGGGATAGCTAATTTTCAGAAGAAGATGAATGGCAGAGAGGCCGAGAAAGAGAGAGAGAGAGAGAGACAGAGACAGAGACAGAGACAGACAGACTGACTACTGGAATCAGAAAACTAAAAGTTCAGTATTCCAAAAAGTCTTAGAATCAAAATGCTTATAATCTCTTACTCAAATCTGTATTCTAAAGATATAGTATTTCCTAAAGTACAGAATAAAAGTATGCTGCATATACTCTATCTAGAGGTATCATTAACAATATAACCAGTAATACAGGTTAAAGGTTCAGCATAGAATCTGGCATAAGGTTGGCAGAAAGTAAATTTTAATTATTATTATTATTATTACTGTTGTAATTATTGTAGCAGTATCACTAATACTATTGTTATTGTTACTTCTAAGTCAAATTGTTATATATCTAGAATACTAAGAAGGAGTATGAATCTTATTTTCTAAGCTTTGTTAGTCTGCTTGAAGTCCAGGGGCCCCTATCATTGCAGGGTATGTGTGAGAGGAGGGGGGGAAAATCCAATAAACATCCTGAAATTGTAAGGAAACTTTGCTGTGTTTTTCAAGAGAGGATTCACAGATTTCATTAGGTGACTAACACGGTCTAGGCCACCTACACCAAGGGGAAGTGAGGGAAGAGTGTAGGCAGAACCCAGATATAGCCAGTGAGGAAGCCTTTTTCTTTTCAAGAAAAAGAGCAAAAAGGTTACAGAACTGAGTCAAATTCATCAAATTAAACAAGAAACTCATTTAATCCAAAGCTATTTACCAAAATTTTAAAATACTGTATCTTATAATTTTAAAAAAATTGTGTTACTGAAACTTTCACTCAATTTCTTAAGATTAACAAAAATGGATTACAAAATAGCATGGATTTATCTCCAAAGGTCTCCAAAACTAGGGATAAAAAAATAACACAGCACCTGGTATGGTGTTACAATAGGTGTCAAGTTTTAATTCAATGTGACTTTCATCAGAACAAAAGAATAGGCTGTATATAAAATAAGAAAGAAAAACCACCAAGGAAGTTTATTGTGGTAAATTAAAACCAGGACAAAACGGTGAGAAAGGGCCAGGTGCGGTGGCTCACACCTGCAATCCCAGCATTTTGGGAGGCTGAGGCCGGCAGATGGCTTGAGCTCAGAAGTTCGAGACCAGCCTAGGCAATGTGGTAAAACCCCATCTCTAGAAAAAATACAAAAATTAGCCAGGCATGGTGGTGTGCACCTGTAGTTCTAGCTACTCAGGAGGCTGAGGTGAGAGGATCGCCTGAGCCTGGGAGGTAGAGGCTGCAGTGAGCCAAGATTACATCACTTGCACTCCAGCCTGAGTGACAGAGTGAGACCATGTCTCGAGAAAAGAAAAAGGAAGGTGAGGAAAGGAAGAAACCTTTAGAGAAACACCACAGTGATCTTTAGACATAAGAATGTCACTCAAATGCATCTGCCCAGAAATTCTACAAAATCCACAGAGAAGCATGCCAACTAATAACCAAAGAATAAGAAAAGAATTGAGAAAATCCTTCTCCTTTACTTTTTCTAGTATACACTTTATAAAAAGCAAAATCCCTCAAGGCAGTAAACATCTGCCCAACAACACTTAACAGCAGCAACATCAAAAACGTAAGGCAAAGGTCAAGTCAAAGTTTATTGACAATGATGAACTATGACAGCCTCTATTAAATTACCCCTTCCTTCAAGGTGTATGTGATCAAAGCAGCAAAGATATTTTCACTCAGTCACATAACAAGCCATTTGCTGAGATTGAAACATCTGGTCAATATCTCCTAACACTGCAATTTCATGCACAGTTAGCATTAGGGCACATTTCTTCTACTCTTCTTACAGGGTCCATAAGGGTGGCACATATGGCTGATCATTTCATTCAAAAAGGATTCAATTCAAGGCATTACACACAATCGTCTGTGCTTTATGGTGTTTTAAGTCTACCTGCCACAGTTTTCCATCATCATTGCTGACTGCTGTTCTCTTCCACTATAAAAGCCTGCAAATATGACAAAGCACTTAAAGCTTAACAGCTTTCCTCTACCTGAGTTAGTAAGCATTTAAGGCAAAGGAATCTATAAAGTGGCAGGTCATTTTCTATTGTCAAGAACTCCCAATACATGAAACTATTTACCATTTTATTTACCATTTAGCAAAAATCTAATACAGATTAGAAAAGTAATTTTTAATGTCAAATCAAATACTTAACTTTCTGCTTGACAGATCTACGAAAGTACACTCTTTTGGCTATGATTTTAAGTTATAATAAACAATTAGAAAACAATATCATAAAACATTTAAAAATTTAATTTTAACATATATTAACAGATTTTTTTTAACTTGACAAAGAACAATTCTATACCAGAGAAAATCAGAATGTTACAATTTTATCAGTCCCATACACTGAAAATTTTCCACATGAAATTCATGCATTTGTTGTCATGGTAACAGAGCCCTTTCTTAAACACTTACAGTAGTAAACTTGAACTCACACCATAGATTTCTCTTTTTCCCTTTCTTCCTTTAGTATAATACCTTCAAAAGAAAAACAGGGTGAGGGTGCGGGACAACTTTAAAGCTATTGTTTCATATTTCCTTTGACACATTTCCCTGACAGGTAGTATGACTATATGAGTATAATTATTTTCTGAAATTTAAGATTTTGCCTAGAAGCTAATAGCTAAATAAAAAAATGTGTTTTTTTTTGAGACAGGGTCTCACTCTGTCGCCCAGGCTGGAGTGCAGTGGCACGATCTCGATTCACTGCAACCTCTGCCTCCCAGGTTCAAGCGATTGTCCTGCCTCAGCCTCCCAAGTAGCTGGGACTACAGGTGCATGCCACCACACCCAGCTAATTTTTTGCATTTTTAGTAGAGATGGGGTTTTACCATGTTAACCAGGATGGTCTCAATCTCCTGACCTTGTGATCCGCCCGTCTCAGCCTCCCCAAAGTGCTGGGATTACAGATGTGAGCCACTGCGCCCGGAGAAGAACTATTCTTCTCATGATAAAGAAAAACAACCACCTTACAATAAGGAACATGCAATGACTGATTAAGGGAAGCGAGTATCAAAATAACAAGGTTAAATTAAAATCTAAATTAGATACAATGTCCAGGACTGCTACTTCAGCATATAATGATTTATTTTGTTTGTTCATTTGTTCATTAATTGAGTCAGTCAATCCAATCTAATGATATTTATAAAGATAGTTCTAAGGGCCAGGTACCATCCTGTTACTTGACCACAAACTTGAACAAGTCAGGCTGGTCCTTATTTTCATGGAGATTCCACACAATATAAAATGCAAAGCATAGCAAACAAAAACATTACACAGAAATAAAATGCATAATTGTAAGAAATGCTATGAAGAAAAAAATGTTTGAGAAAGACAAAGAGTGGGAGGCAGGCAAAGAAGGAACCAATTATTTATTTTTTTAGAGATGGAGTCTCACTCTGTCACTCAGACTGGAGTGCAGTGGTACAATCATAGCTCACTGTAACCTTGAACTCTTGGGCTCAAGTGATCCTCCCTGCCTCAGCCTCCTGTGTAGCTAGAACTACATGTGCAAGCCATCAAACCCAGCTAATTCTTCAATTTTTCAGAGACCAGGTCTCTCTATGTTGCCCAGGCTGGTCTCTATCTCCTGGCCTCAAGTTATCCTCCTGCCTCAGCCTCCCAAGTAGCTGGGATTAAAGGCACTCAGCTAAAATATATTTTAAATAGACAAAAGGACATTTAAACTGAGACGTGAAACATGCAAATGAGCTGATTGGGTAAAGAGTGACCTTACGGTTAGGGGAAGTTTCCAGAGGGAGGAGCAATGCAAAGCATCTGAGGCAGGAAAAACTTTGGCATATTAAAACAATTTAACACCTGTATGGCTGGAGCTCAGGGAGATGAAAACGGTTAGAAAAATATGCAGTTCTAGATTATGTGGGCCTTGTTGGTTATATTAAGAAGGATAAATTTTATTCAGTGTAATAGTATGTCACTGAAGGATTTTAATCAAGAAGGTGAAATTATCAAATGTAAAGTAAGATCATTTTTGCTACTGTGTATAACTGGATTGGAGAGGCAACAAGACCAGTGAGAAGAGTGTTATTCACACACCACATCCAGTCCATTTGAAAAGCCTGTTCTCAAACTATTTCCAGATTTCAACCACTTTTCATTAACTCCACGCTACCACCCATCCAAGTTACCATAACTGCTTGCCTAGACTGTTGCGATGATTTCCTAACCTCTCTGCTTCCATCCTTGACTCCACGCACATAGAGCTGTCCTTTTTAAATGCAAGCCAAAGTATGTCATTCCTTTGTTCAAAACCCTGTAATGCTTCCAACAACACTCACTAAAAAGCAAAAATCTTTACAATAGTCTATGAGGCCCTACAGGTTCAAGCCACTTCCCTTTACCTCTCATTGCCTCTCTAACTCCATTGTCTACTATTCTCCATTACTCTGCTCCAACCACTCTGAACTCTCTACAGGATTTTAAACAATTTTTTAAATTTTTATTTTATTTTAGAGATGGGATCTTGCTATGTTGTCCAGGCTAGATCTGAACTCCTGGGCTCAAGCAATCCTCCCACCTTAGCCTCCTGAGCAGCTAGGACTCCAGAAGCACACCACCACACCCGGCTCCCTACTGGATTTTGAAACACACCAAACATGCCCTCCTTTAGCAAATGCCAACCCCTCCACTGAACTGGATTTCCCCCAGAAACCCATATGGATCCTCACTCATCTTGAAAGTCTTTACCCAAATCTCACCTTCTCAATAAAACTATTTAACATTGTAAAGTGTTGCTTCTGTTCCAACATTCCCTATGCCACAAACACTCTTCTAATGCATTCTGGAACCTGGCATCATAAGTATTGGATAAACTGTATCTTAAAAGATCAATGTAAAGAAATTATAGTATTATTTTAATAGATACCAAAAATTTATTCTGGTGATATTCAAAACATACTACTAAAACAACATAATTATACAAGAAGAAAATTATACTAAAATAAATATTAGCTATTCATGTTATTGTAGGATGCATGTTATCACTGCTATTTTTTAACTGTTATGGCCTATATAATTACATCCTAAAATTAAAGGCCTAAAATATGAAAAAAAGGGAAAGCACAATATCACAATCTGCAAAAGATATGGAAAAATTAAAAAACAAACATCTGCTTTCTTTTTTTGAAACAGAATCTCACTCTGAGTGCTTTGGCATGCTCATAACTCACTATAACCTCAAACTCCTGGGCTCAAGGGGCTGGGATTACAGGTGTGAGCCTCTGCTCCCAGCCCAAATATGTAGTTTCTGATTATTATGGGAAGTGATTCAATCTTCATTATAAACCTATGAGGTAGACACATGATCTCCATTTCATAGATTAAAAAAAAAAAAAACTGAGGCACAGAAAGACTAAATAACCATCCTAGGGTTTAATTTGAGACACCTCATCTCCAAAGCTCAAGTGTGACAATTCTATACTAGTCACTGAAGAGGATCACCCAAAAATTTTATTAGATATTTGTGAGATAAAGTAAAATCCTAAGTGCCCCAACCTACTGAACAGATGTCTGTGGGCTAAGGAGGCCCCAGAAAAACTTTAAAAACGAAGTTTCCCGGCCTTGATGAGATAGGAGGTTGGTCACGTCTCAGTATACACTCTTCCTCACTACCTGTCATTAGACTATTTTTCCTAAGAGTTAAACAAACACCAGCCCTGGAAAAGAAAGAATGGAAAATTCTTCCACTGACCAACTGCCTGATGTTGTGGCCAGATTCCCCTCCCTTTTCATGGTTTTGACATGACTGCTGACCAACTTACAAAGCAATCCTTCCTGATAAACGACAATTGACCATGGACTGGTCAGTTTACAGAGAATGTGCACAAAGCACCTTTGAGTCCTAAGTTTCACCTTTGATGTATAGAGTCTGATTTTACCACATTTTTAATGTTAAGTCTCCATTCCAAAGCGAACATGGGACATATGTAACATGTTATGTTTGCTTATCATACATACATGTAACCCCTTTCATGAATACTCATAGCTCCTCCTATAACCTGTTAAATATGTATGTTCAGCTAACCCATTTAGTGTAAAACTCCTCTCTCACCCATCGTCTTTGAAATGGCTACTTTTGATCTAATCCAGAGGCTGTGCTTCCCAGCCTACAGGTTGTAACCCTTCTCAGAAATAAAGTTCTCTTTTCCAGATTTACAGATCTCATGATTTTTAAGTTGACACAGTAATGAGAGTTTGGTCAGATGTCCAGTTACTAAAACACATGCTTTAAAAATCTTCTCAGATACCAATAATAACCTACTAGAAAAACAGTAAGGAAAATGTTCTATATACAATAGCAGAAAGAAAACCAGACAAACAAAAAACCTACACCTGAACATATTGATTAATCTCAGCATCATTAAAAGTGGAACCACCAGATATGATGGCTCACAGATGAGATAAAATGGAAATGATGGAGCATCACTTTAAGAAGATTCTTGCCTAAAGAAATAAAACCTGAGTTTAACCAAATCTCTAGCTCAAATTCTCAGCAAATACTAAATATGAAGCAACTAACCAAATTCAGAAAGTGAGATATTCTCCTGGAAAAATAACACAGTTTCTCTTTTAAAAAAAGGTCAATGACAGTATTAAAAAAAAAAAAAAAAGACGAGAGAGAGAAAAGCAGTAATAATAAAAGACACAAGGTACAAATATAGTGTTTGAATTCTTTAGATGCTGATTCAAATAAACTTACTGTAAAAGGCTATTTTTGAAACAATTATGAAATGCAAATCTAAATTGGATATTAAATAGCAGTAAGAAATTACCATTGTGAATAATATGATGGTGGGTTTTTTGAGACCATTCTCAGGCAATCTAGAGCATTTGAGGATGAAATGATAAGACATCTGGGACTTGCTTCATAGGAGAGGTACTTAAATCAGGTTTGGCAAATGTAAATAATTACTGAAGCTAGATAGAGAATAGAAACGTGGAGCTCATTATACCTACTATTCTTTCTCTGTGTATGTTTGAAACTTTCGATAATAAAAAGCTATGAAATAAATAATTAAAATGAAAAACTTGATATATGATAAGAAAACAAAAATGTACCCTAAAATGTTATTTCTTCCTAAAGAACCTACAAATTCCAATGTGATATTTTGAAAATATCAATATGATTTTTAAATTCATGTGGAAGAATAATAAGAAAGTACCTTCTGAAATAGATGAGTAATAATGATGGGATTAAGGGAGCAGTTTACTACCAGGTATTAAAATGTATTATTTGTTAATTGCTTTAGAAACAATTTGGTACTAATATACAGATCAACAGAAAAATACAGAGTTCAAACACGGATCCAAGTACCTATGGCAATATAGTATTAAAATAAAGGTGATTTTTTTTTTAGACGGAAATGAGGGAATTAGTACATTAAGCTGGCATAAAAACAGAACCATTTTCAGGGAAAAAAAGAAAAGTTTTTCCTGTCACACTTTAACCAAAAGTGTAAAAACAACAACAGCAGCAACAACAAAAACCCCACACAAATGAAAAAACAAACCAAAACAAAACAGAACCCATAAAGGTATTAGAAAATTCAGCCACTTATTTTAATAACCAAGACAGAGAAAGATTTTCTAACTTTGGCACATACACCAACTACTACAAAGAAAAATACTGATAGCTTAGACTTTGACATAAAGTGAAGATACCATAAAATCTTTGAAGAAGCCCCCTTTGCCACTCTCCTGGTGCTGCTGAGGTAGGACCAGCAGTTTAAAAAAAAAAATGGCTCTTGCCATTCTGGCCCCCCTTGACTGACTCTAATAAGAGGCTACAGCTTTGAGCCTGCCTATCAGCCAAGTGTAAATAGGTAGTAACAACTGTATCACGGTCCAAAATGCTGATTGTGAAGACAGGTAAATCAAATGACAATTTCCCAGGCATATCCACATCTCTGGAGAGTCCATATTTTAGCCTGCCTACATCCATTCTTGCACAACTACAATTTTTTTAAAGGGCAATGATATAAACACTAACAAACAATAGACATATATATTCTCTAGCACAGTAACCAAAGAATGGCAAATGAAAATAATGAGAAAACATTTTTTATAATTTGACAGGCAAAGTTGTCATTTTTATATTAAAAAAAGCAAAAGGCAATTATCATTTATGGGGATGGTAATGCATCATTTTTTAAAAATCTGGCAACAGACATCTACAAACAATATTGGTAATTAAGTTTTTATAGGATAATTAAAATGTATAGAATTCTTTTACAAAAAAGATTTATATGCAGAAAGTGTAAGGGGAGTCTGATTCATACCTCAATTATAACATCATCAAAATAAAAATGTTACTGAGCACCCACAATAAAATTAGGAACTCATTAATCCAAGAGACTCTTATTATATCTAAAGTACTCTGTGAGGGAATAGAAGCACAAATAAAGTCATGAGAAGTTCATAGCTCTACTGGAGGAGTAAGCATGAAAACAACATACGAGGAGTGTTATAATAAAGGTACGAACAAAAAACTTGGAAAGCACCAAGGAATATGGGGTATAATGAAAAGGTCAAAGAGTAAATAACAGATATGCTGTTTCTTGAAGTTTGAAGATTTTACCAGGCGAAAAGAAGAAAAATAAACTAAAGTGAATTATACATAGAGAAACTCATACACACAAAAAACACAGAGAGACATGGGCATGCTTTCTCTGAATTTAGTAAAAGATGGGGTCCATAATAGCATATTTTATGAAGGACTAACCATGCATGACAATGACAAGCAGGCTGGGATCAGAGAGTTACCTGATCAATCTGTATTTCAGAAAGATAATTAGGCAACAGTGTACAGAAAACTAATCAAAAAATGGGAGATAATTCTCCCTGGGTCTCTGAAAATTATGATCGTGTAAAACTCATATCCACCAGTGAGGTTCCCAATGCTTAAAGACTATTTTCTTGTTTAGTAGTGATATTGACAAATAAGACATTTTACATTTGTAAGATATGCATAATTTAAGGAACAAAAACTCTGGCAAATGATTAATGTATCATGGTAAAAACATCACATATGGGTAAAATCCATTCAAAGGGTAAAACAGACCAATAAATATATATTCTTTATCAGCTCCTTAAGATATAATTCACATACTATGCAATTCATCCCTTTGAAGTGTACAGTTCAATGGTGTTTAGTATATTTGGAGTTGTATAGGCATCACCACATCAATTTTAGAACATTTTTCAACACCCCCCAAAAAAACCAGTTCACTCTTGAGTCATCACTTCCGAAAACCTCATCTTCACAAGTCCCAGGCAAACACTAATTTATTTTCTGTCTCTAAAAATATGCATGTTCAGGCCACTTCTCAGACATGGAATCATAAAACATGTGTACTTTTATGACTGGCTTCCTTCATTTAGCACGATATTTTCAAAATTTGCCCATGTTGTAGCATGTATCAGTACTTCATTTCTTTTTTGTCAAATAATATTCTATTGCATGGATATTCCAAATTTTGTTTATTCATTTATCAGTAACACACTTGGGTTGTTTCCATGTTTAGGCTATTATACATAATGCTGCTATAAACATTTGTGCAAACATTTTCATTTGTCTTGTGTATATACCTAGGAGCAGAATTGCTGGATATGGTAACTCTATGTTAAAATATTTAAGGAATTGCAAGACTCTTTTCCAAAAAGGCTGCACTATTTAACATTCCCACCAGCAATGCCTTAGGGTTCTCCAAATCCTTGCCAAAACTCTGTCCTTCTGATTATACCCATCATCCTAGCAGGAGTGAAATGGTATCTCATTGTAGTTTTGACTTTAATATACCTGATAGCTAATTATGTTGAGCATCTTTTTATGTGCTCCTTAGTCATTTGTATATCTTCTTTTGGGAAACTGCCTACTCAGATATTCTGCCCATTTTTTAAAGTGAGTTATTTGTCTTTTCATCATTATTGAGTCTAAATAATTCTTTATATATTCAAGATAAAATAGATATGTGAGTGCAATTTTCTCCCATTCTGTGGGTTGTCTTTTCACTTTCTTGATGGTGTCCTTTAAAGCACAAAACTTTCAAAACTTGATGAAATCTAATTTATTTATTCTTTTCTCTTATTGCTCATGCTTTTGGTGACCTATCTAAGAATCATTTGCCAGCTCATATCCCATGCCCAGTCATAAACATGTATCCCTATGTCTTCTAACGGTTGCAGTTTTAGTTCTTACATTTAAGTCTTTAATTCATTTTGAGTTAATTTTTGCATATGAGATAGGGGTCCAGCTTTTTTTTTTTCCCATATGGATGGGCAGGTGTTCTAGTACCCTTCATTGAAAAGACTATTCTTTATGCCATGGCACACTTATAGAAAGACAGGTTACCATAAATGTGAAGACTTATTTCTGTTCTCAATTCTATACCATTAATAGATATGTCTATCATTATGCCAGAACTACATATTGGTATGGCTTCATCATACGTTTTTTAATTGGGAAGTGAGAAACACAATTTTGGTCTTTTTCAAGATTGTTTTGGCTATACTGGGTCCCTTGAATTTCCATATTAATTTTAAGAGCAGCTTGTCAAATTGTGCAAAGAATTTAGCTGTGATTTTAGTAGGAAATTTATTTTAGATCAATTTGGGGGAGAACTGCCATCCTAAAAATATTAAATCTTTTCAAAATATCAACATTTAATGTCTTTCCATTTAGTTTCCTTTAATGTCTTTCAATGTTATGTAGTTTTTAGAGTATAAGTTCCACACTTCTGTTGTTATATTTATACTTAAGTACATTATTTCTTTTTAAGATATTTAAATGAAATTGTTTCATAACTTCATTTTCAATTTGCCCATTAATATTGCTCAAAAATCCAATATATTTTTCTATCTTGATATTTTATCTGTCAACCTTGCTGAATGCATTACTTTTTTTTTTTTAAACTGACATTTATTTTCCGTCAACCTTATTTCCATGTTGCTTAAGAGCGTGTGCAATAACAGCTTAAGACCTTTCAGTGTTTGCTCCTACCCATTCAATGGCCTGAGCATTGGGAGCTGTGGACCAGCCTTCCGTGGCAGGCTCAGCACTCCAGTCTTCAGTAGGGAACTGATGAATAGGCGCAGAGGGCACCTGCACACCTTCAGACCAGTCTGCAACCTCAGGCTGAGTAGCAGTTAACTCAGGAGCTGGAGCAGTCCATTCACCCTGAAATTCCTCCTTGGTCACAGCCTTTTCAGCAGCAGGCTGCTCTGCTTTTTCAGTCTCTTTAGGATCTCTGTAGAGATCAGGCATGAATTCCCATGGGTGTTCATGGGAAATGGTGCCACACGCGCGCAAACCTTCCCGGGCTGGCATCCACCACATCAAACCCATTGAGTGAGCTCCCTTATTGTTGCATAGAATGGCAATGTCCACAAAGTGCAGAGGAGAATCTGTGTTACACAAAGCAACGGTAGATAGGTTAACGTAAGATGCCTCTGTGAGAGGCTGGTGGTCAGCCCTGGGGTCAGTAACCACAAGAAGCCGTGGCTCTTGGAAGGCTGCCTGGATGTGGTTAGTGAAGGTTCCAGGAGTGAAGTGGCCAACAATTGGAGTGGCTCCAGTGGCAGCAGCAAACTTCAGCACAGCCCTTTGGCCAATATTCCTGGAGGATATAACACTGACATCAGCAGGGTTTTCAATGGCAACAATGGCACAAGCTGCCAGCAGAAGCTTCTCCCAGGTCCTCTTCAGATTTACGATGTGGATGCCATCACTTTTCCTTATAGAGATGTACTGTTCCATCTGGAAGTCAAGATTGGTACCACCTAAGCAGGTTCCTGCTGCAAGGAACTTAAGGACATCCTCCTCCTTCATTTGCAGGACATCAAGGGCTCCAGACATGGTGAAAAGTTTCGCTTTAAGCTACGATGGGAATCCAGAAAGAACGCCGTATGGACGTCTATGTGGGTAGTGTGAAAAGCCATTTATTACTTCTAATAGATCTGTAGGGGACTGCTTAAGATTTTTGTTTGGTATATAAGATCATGTTATCTACAAACAGATACAGTTTTACTATTTCCTTTCCAATATAAATGCCTTTTATTTATCCAGTTAAAGCATATGATTCAATGATTTTAGGTATAATCATACTTCTGTAACCATTACCACAAATCATTGTAGAACATTTTCTCACCCTAAGAAGAAACCTTGTACCCATTAGCAGTTACTCCTAAATCTTCCCATCTCCTTCCAATCCTAGACTGATTTTTCTAACATGTTTCCAACATGTAAACATAACACACTTTAATTTTTCCTTTCCAAACCCCAAAGTTGCAATAGCTAGTATATACTTATAAATGATTTCATTGAAAATTGATCTTTCATCATAATGTGTTGTTTGAAAAGGAAACATCATGATTAAAAACACAGGAGATGATCAGTACAGATATCCTGAAACTAACAGTATAAATACATCTCCACAATAAAAATTGCAAAACCCTACTTTGAACTCACCATAAAATTATTCTACATAATCAAAAATATTTATCAAAAGTTTACCCTAGCCTGGGTGCAGTGGCTCACATCTATAATCCCAGCACTTTTGGAGGCCAAGGCAGAAGGATCACTTGAGCCCAGGAGTTCAAGACCTGGGCAACATAGTATGATCCCCATCTCTAAATTGTATTTTTTTAAAAGAAGAAAATTTATATAATAAAAAATTGATCAAATATTTATAATAAAATATTTTAAATACTCTATCATAATCACACATATTTCAAACTGCCAGCAATGATCTAGAGGGCCAACTATATATCAGAAAGCCTGTAGAAATCTGGCAAAAAGGTAAAAAAGATGTTGCTTTCTCAAATTTTAGAGGGCTAACTGAAAACATTAAGTTAGTAGTCAAATGTATTTAACAAGGAAAGCAGATGGTCAATGTTATGATTATTTAAGCTAGTTCTGATTTCCTAATAACAATAATTGCTATATATGAGGTTATGGGAGAAAACATACACCATATTCATAACTTTTCAGAGATGTTCAGTACTTTTTAGAGATGGATTCATCTTAGGATTAAAAATTGAGGTGAGTTCAGACAACTCATTCACTGTCATATGAACATAAATTCCTTTAGTTTGTTTTTCTAATTTGTTTTAACAGTAGTATAGGGATTTGAATTAACAAAATTAACTGTACATATTTAAGGTGTACAATTGTTTAAGTTTTGGCTTATGTATATAGCTGATGCACAATTAATCAATTTTAAACAGATCATTCTATTAGTATCATATGTAAAGAATCTGCACACTTATTTTCATTCAGTAATGTTTTTACAGTTTTCAGAGTAAAGGTCTTCCAGATCTTTTGTCAGATTTGTCCCCAAGTATAGCCTATTATTTATGTGATAGAAAATATTTCTTCTATTAAATTTTAATTTCAAATTTTTGTTCCTAGTACAGAAAACTACATGAGTTTTAAATACTGATCTTATATTCTGCAAGCATGCTAAACTCAATTATTCATTCTAGTACCTTTTTGTAGATTCTATAGAATAATATACATAGATGATCATATCACTGAAGTATAATGATTGATTTACTTCTGTTTTTTAATCTAGAAGCACTTCTTTTTCTTAACTAATTGCACTGGCTAGAACCTGCAGTACAGTATCGAACAGAAGTAGTGAAAGTAGACATCCTTGTCTTATTCCTGATCTTAGTGAGAAAGCATTCAGACATTCACCAGTAAATATAATATTACCATTGGTTCCTTATAGATGCTAATTATCAGGTTGAGGAAGTTCCTCTCTATCACCAGTTTCAGGAGTGATTTTATGAGGAATGGATGTTGGATTTTATCAAATGCTTGTTCTGTGTCTTAAGAAATAAACACACAAATTTTCTTTAATCATTATTTTAGGTGAAGGATAAGTACAGTACTTGTTACTTCATCTTATCGAAAGCAGAGAGCCCCAACTTCCTTTAGATTTAATGAATAAAAAAATACTTAGACTTCATGAATGCAATCAACTATGCAAATATACAACTCATATTTGTTAGATAAAGAACTCTTCTAACTCTTTTTGTGGTACTGCTCTGTCTCTGAGGCTGGAGCACAGCGGCACAATCATGGCTCATTGCAGCCTCTACCTCCCGGTCTCAAATAATCCTCCCACCTCAGCTTCCTCAGTAGCTGGGACTACAGGCATGCACCACCACACCTGGCTAATATTTGTAATTTTTGTAGAAATAAAATTTGCCATGTTGTCTTGGCTGGTCTTGAGCTCCTAGACTCGAGCGATCCACCTGCCTTGGCCTCCCACAAAGAGCTGGGATTACAGGCATGCTCCACCATGCCAAAGTAGTAACTCTTTATCTACAGTGAATTAGTAGACTCTTAAGTAAAATGGCTAAACTCAGCATAAATGGTTACCAACACCCTGGAGAAAAATACAGTACTGTAGCCCAATATACTGTATGATGAACAATAAGAATATTTCAGACAGAGGCAGGATGCGGTGGCTCGTGTCTGTTAATCCTAGCACTTTGGGAGGCTAAGGCAGGCAGATCACTTGAGGTCAGGAGTTTGAGACCAGCCTGGCCAACATGGTGAAACTCCATGTTTACTAAAAATATAATTAGTTGGGTGTGGTGGCGTGTGCCTGTAAGTCCCAGCTACTTGGGAAGCTGAGGCAGGAGAATCACTTGAACACAGGAGGCAGAGTTTGCAGTGATCTGAAATGGGGCCACGGCACTCCAGCCTGGGCAACAAAGTGAGACTCTGTATCAAAAAAAAAAAAAGAATATTTCAGACAGAAACTTGAAGTAGATTAGTGAATTCTGGTAGAGCTGGAGTGTAAATAAGACCATGAAACCACTAACATTTATCATGATTATGTTAGAAGTATCTGATGTGTGATACCATGAAGAGGTAAATGACACACAGCCTCTACGTAGTAAATGTTTACCCTAGAAGAAATTTAGAAACATTAAGTTAAAAAAAAAAACACTGCAAAAGGTTAACTATAGCTGGGCATGGAGGCTCACATCTCTAATCTCAGTACTTTGTGGGGCCAAGATGGGAGGATTGTTTGAGCCCAGAAATTCAAGACCAGTCTGGGCAAGAAAAACCCTGTCTCTACAAAAAATACAAAAATTACCAGGCATGGTGACATGTGCCTGTAGCCTGAACTACTTGGGAAGCTGGGGCAGAAGAAGCACAGGAGGTCAAAACTGCAGTGAGCCATGTTCATGCCACTGTACTCCAACCTAGACAACAGGTTCTGCCTCCTGCAGAATTATTGTTCCTGGGAAAAAGACAGGGTTAGTTTCCTGAAAACCTCTCCAAACATCATCTTGGTCAACCAATGCCAATACATAATTTCTAAAATGTATGTTTCTGTTTAAAGATTCCGTATTTTAACAATTTATATTTACATCTATATATAATTATATTTAACTATTTATACAGATATTGATACTTCATATTTGATTTATTAACAATAAACTCACAGTCAACAGCAGTGTAACTCATGCCTGAACCAAGTTTGTCTATTACAGATTTTTATTCTCTCAGGTGTATCACAGCCTTCTTATGCTTAGAAACACTAGACAGCATATCTGCACTATGCTTGGGAACCATTTTAAACAGAAAAATCAACAACAAAAAATGTGATTAATATGGCACTAAATACGCATTGAAAAGGACACTTGTTTACAGTATGACAGCTGAAACAAGGCAAACCATCACCTTCTTTGACCTCAGAGAGGAATGAACACATAAGGTAACTCAAAATTTTTGCTTCTCCAAATATGTTTACAAATGACTGCAAAAGCACCGAGTACTGGTTTTGGATTTACAAGTACATTTTAGTGAGTAGGTAAACTCACACATGCAAAGCTTCTGAAGAATGAGAATCAATGACCATGGCCTTTATCAACATTTTATTTAAGTGTCTCTTAACCATTTTTGAGTTTTAGATTCTTTTGAGAGTATGATAAAAATCATGTATCCTCAGAAAAATTCATGTTAAAAAACTGTAATTTCATGGACTTATGGACCTCCTGAAGTCCATTCCAACTGACAATCCATGAAACATAGTTTTAAAGTGCCAGCTTTAAAGACTCTAGGCAAAGAAGTTTTTTAAAGCATTCTTCAAAAATCATTTTAGATATAAACCATTGCTGAATGTGCTGAATATGAACTCTTCATATTTACAAAATAGTCACTGCTATACATTTTCTGAGTGTATAGTGCAACAATGATCAGGGTTTAGCAACTAAATTAAAGCTGGTTTCATGGAGGATATAATGCATTTGCAGTTTTTATGCTTTCTATAGCAAATTTTTCTTATGGAGTACTAAAGAATCTACAGAACATAAGAAGAAAAGCAAGACATAAACTAATTTAGAGCGCTTCTTAAAATGCTCCAATTTGTGGGAATGAACACATACAATGTGTGGTTTCATAGCACATTGATATTTGGGCGTTTTTGTTTTGCTTTCTGAGACAGGGTCTCGCTCTGTTACCTAGGCTGGAGTGCAGAGGCACAATCTTGGCTCACTGTAACCTCTGCCTACCAAGCTCAAACAATCCGCCCACCTCAGCCTCCCAAACAGCTGGGACTACAGGTGTGTACCACCATGCTTGGCTAATTTTTGTATTTTTTATAGAGATGGGGTTTCACCATGTTGCCCAGGCTAATCTCGAACTCCTAGACTCAAGTGATCCACCTGCCTCAGCCTCCCAAAATGCTGAGATTACAGGCATGAGCCACCATGCCTGTATGGCACACTGATATTTATATCAGATTTATAATTTTTTTTTGGTTCTCTATGTATGACATATCTACAAATGTTGATTGTAATCCAGGATCTCTTTAGTCTCAACGAAAATTTTATTTGAAAGACTGCTAAAAACAATTTTATTTCAGATTTGCAACTGACAAATTAACCTAGCAATTGTTTGGAAGTGTTAAAAAGAAAGCAAAAAATATTTTTTTTAAAAAGTAAACATCACAGAAATAAGTATCAGCAATTTGTTCAATATCAACCAATGAAGGCTACTTAATTGGCAGAGGAAATGACACCCTTTTATTAATTGCATTTTAGGTTATAAAGAAATGCTAAGCAGAGTGTTCTATATTAAAACTTTCAAGACGTACTATTTTAGTATAAAGACTTAAAATACTTTACTATGTTTTAACTACAAAGGATCTAGAGATGCTGATAATATTCAAGTAATTATGAATAACAAGACTATAATAATAGATAACATCAAAAGTCAAAATATGGCTCTGCTTTGATAATCATTAAACCTGGCAAGGTTCCAGGTCTGATCACTTAAAAGGTATTTCTTGGTTAAAAATAAAACTCAAATAAAAAACGGGAAAGTAAGTTGAATATACATTTCTCCCAAAAAGATGTATGCATGGGCAACAGGCACATGAAAACATTTACAATATCATTAGTCATTAGGAAAAGGCAAATCATAAATACAATGAGATATAACTTTATACCCACTGAGTTAGATATTAATAGTATTTAAAACTGGAAAATAAAATAACAAGAGTTAGTGAGGATGTACACAAACTGGAACCCTCATAAGTTGCTGGTGAAAATTTATCTTATTGTAGATGTTGTAGTAGACAGTTTGGCAT
This sequence comes from Homo sapiens, assembly GCF_000001405.40. Taxonomy (NCBI): domain Eukaryota; kingdom Metazoa; phylum Chordata; class Mammalia; order Primates; family Hominidae; genus Homo; species Homo sapiens. Next base: position 74,365,776 of record NC_000010.11, on the reverse strand, counting down.
TTCCTTAAAAAGTTAAATATAGAATTACCATATGACCCAGCAATTAAACACTCTTCCCAGGTATTTGCCCAAAATGAATCAGCCAAAGCATTTAGGTAAGACAAAGAAATAAAGGGCATCCAAATTGAAAAAGAGGAAATTAAATTAGCCTTGTTCCCAGACGAAATGATCTTATACTTAGGAAAACCTAAGGACTCTACAAAAATGAATCAAAATCAGGCATTCAAAAGGCAGAAACAACTCGAATGTCCATCAATTGATGAATGAATAACAAATGTGGTATAGCTATACAATGGAACATTATTCAATCAAAAAAATGAAGTGCTAATATATGCAACAAAATGGGATGCACCTCCACGACATTATTCTAAGTAAAAGACCAGACAGAAAAGGTCACATATAGTGATGATTTCATGTATATGAAACCTCCAGAATAGGTAAACCCACGGACACAGAAAGCTGATTAATGGATGAACGGGGCTAGCTGGAGGGGAGAATGACAAATGACTGCTTGATGGGTATGGAGTTTCCCTTTGGGGTGATGAAAACTTAGAATTATTTAGAAATTATGGTTGTGGTTGTGCAGCATTGTGAATGCAGTAAATGCCACTGAATTGTATACTTTAAAATGATTTCACATTATATAAATTTTAAATCAGTTTAAAAGTTTTCTTAATGATAAGGCTGTTTTTAACCTAAATGTTAACATTAATTACTGAAGCATTGTAAGGAAATGGTATTACAAAATTTGTTTCTTAGTAGGGTTTTCAGTAGCTCTATGGAACACAGACTGGAGGACAGCCAGGCTGGATGTACGGAGAACAGAGGAAAATTGTCCTGTAATCTAAAAGAGAAGTGAATAAACTGGAGAAAGGGAGAAAGAAAGTGTCAGGAAAAGACTGTGGGAAGTAGTGATCACTACTGTAGATTCTGTAAAACTCCCAGGAAGATAAAAGAGAAGAAATCACAAGTAGTACCTGACACTCCAGCTTAGTGTTAGAATCCATTGGAATTCATTTGAAAGAGGTTGCTAGAACACACACACACACACACACACACACACACACACACACACACACACACACACACCATAGCCTTTGCCTAAAGATAAAGGAAAGGAAAGGAAAACATTAGAAGAGCTGTAAGAGTAGGAATTGCCAGCTGTGGAAAAGGAAGAAGAGGAGCCAGAAAAGAAGAAAAACCTGAGGGAAAAGGTATCACATAAGCTAAGCAAGACAGGAAAAGTTTCAGAGTTATGGTAAGGTCAACACTGATAAATGCCAGAGATAAGTCAGACAAGAACTGAAAAGTGTTCACTGGATTTGGCAACTAAAAGGTCATGGGTGACTCGTGCCCACTGGATTTTAAAAACGTGGTGAGAGCAGCTGAATGCATCAGAGATAAAGAAGTGTGAACTACACTGTCAAGAAATTCAGCTGAAATGAGGATAGATAAGGCGAATGTTGGAGAGTTTGCCTGTTTGTTTCAATAGTGGGATAGGAGCACATTTACAACAAAGTTAGCAAAGATCAAGAAGAGAACAAGGTTTGAGATTAGACTCAAGGCATGAGAAGAAAATATAGATAAAAGGTTTTAAATATAGAAGGAAAGAAGGGAAAGACCTATTCCTCAAATATGGGTAGCAATAAGAAGGTACAGGTATGAATTGTAATTAAGTGTGGTTATGTATAATACACCAAAAATACTTAATGATTCAAATGATTGCTTACTAGAAGTTGAAAAGTTATCTCCTGTGGGTGTGTCTCTGAGTCAATGAGACAAGGGGCTCCAGACTCCATGCCACAGATCCCAAGGGAGGCCCCAGACTCAGCCTCAGCTCCTCCTGCTGCAGTAGGGGATGCATCCTATCTGTGCAGAAACAGGAACCTGCTGGGAGATGGGTGCCCATTTGAGCTAATGAGACAGGCACGCCAACCTCCATCCCACAGCAGATCCTCAGGTGGTCCATTCTCAGCTCTGACCCTTCTTGCTGTGGTCTGAAAATAATTCTGTGCAGAGATCTGCTGGAAGAGGGGTATCTGTCCGGGCAAACAAGACAGGCTCTCCAGATTCTGCAACACAGGAGATCCTGAGGGAGCCCAGTCTCAGCTCCAGCCTTTCCTGCTGCAACCAGGAAACTATCTTGTCTACAGGGTCTACTGGTGAGATGCATGCTCAGACCAGGTTCTCCAGCCACCATCCCACAGCAGATCCTGAGAGGGTCCAGTCTCAGATCCAGACCCTCCTCCTGCTGTTAGGGAACCCTCCTGTCTATGCAGAGACCTGCTGGGAGACATACGCCCATCTGAGCCAACATGACAAGCACATCAACCTCCATCCAACAGCAGATCCCAGGGTGGTGCAGTTTCAGCTTTGGCTCGTCTCACTGCAGTTGGGGAAATATCCTGTATGTGCAGGAACATTCAGGGCGATGCACACCCCTCTGAGCCAAGACCAGGCTCTCAATCCTCTGTCCCACAGCAAATCCCAAGGGGGCACAGTCACACCTCCAGCCTCTCCTGCTGTAGTCAGGGAATCATTCCATCTATGGAGGGACTTGCTGGGAGACACACGCCCAACTGGATCCATGTGACAGGCATATCCATAGTAGATACTGAAGGGGCCCAGTCTTGGCTCCAAGCCCTCTTGCTGCAGTCAAGAAACTGCCCAGATACTGGGACCTGTTGGGTGATGCATGCTAATCTGAGCCAATGAGGTGAGCCAATCAGCCTCCTTTCCACAGTAGATTCCAAAGACGCACAGTCTCAACTCCAGCCACTCTCTTTGTAGTCAGGGACCTATCCCATCTGTGCAGAGATTTGTTGGGAGGCATACCTATCAGGACCACTAGGAGAGTCTTCTGGCTTCAGGTGTCTGGACAGCATTCCCAGGCAGCCCAACTACCTCCCTTGGGTCTTCCCGAGGTCCATCTGGGCCAGAAAGCTGTGTCAACCTTGGTGCCCTTGCAGGACTCAGAAAACCTGGGCTTAAAGCATACTCTAGTGCTGAGATGGCTGTAATTGGTCAGAGGCTCAGAGAATGCAATAGTAAGTCAGCTTTAGAATCCCTGGAAGGCCTCTTGAAGAAGGACAGGCACAAACAAAGCCAGGCTGGGAAGACTAAAATAAATTACAAATCCCTCAATGCTCAGACATCATCACACTTCTAAAGCATTGAGAACATTTAGGGAAATACATCACACCAAAAGAACAAAATAAGGTACCACAGACTAACCTGAAAGTGACCGAGATATGTGATCTCTCCAAAAATTCAAAATACCTGTTTGAAGACAGCTCAAAGAACTTAAAGAAAACATGAAGAATCAATTCAGAAAATTATGAAAGAAATATAAGAGACTCAAATAACTTTTTTAAAAAACCAGAAATCCTGCAACTAAAAAAAAAAAATTAATGAAGCGAAAATCTCAATAGAGAGCAACAGAAGCAGAATTAACCAAATAAAAGAATCAGTGAGTTCAAAGAAAAATGATTAAAAATATGGTGAGAAGAGAAAAAAAAAGAAAAGGAAGCAAGCAAGCTTACAAAATCTATGGGACAACATCAAAAGGGCAAATATTCAGGTTACTGAAGTCAAAGAAGGACTGAGAAAGACAAAGGGGTAGAAAACTTATACAAGGAAATGATAACAGAAAACTTTCCATACCTGAAAAAAGATATAAATATTCAGGTAGACTAAGGTCAAAGATCACTAATTAGATTAAACACAAAGAAGACTACTCTAGGACACATTATAATCAAACTCACAAAGGTCAAAGGCACAAAGAAAAACTTCTGAAATCACTGAAAGGAAAGAAGTAAATAACATGCAAGGAAGATCCAATATGCCTGGTAGCAGACTTATCAGCAGAAACCTTATAAGCCAGGAAAATGTGGAAGAATATATTTGGAATGCTGGTGGAGAAGAAACTGTCAACCAAGATTACTGTGCTCAGCACAATTATCCTTCAAAACTGAAGGAGAAATAAAGACTTTCTTAGACAAACAAAAGCTGAGGGAATTTACCATAATCAGACTTGTCCAATAAGAAATGCTTTAAAAACTTCTTCAAACTGGAAGAAACACTAAAATGAGTGTTATATTAATATTGTATTTGCAGTGTTTAAAACACTAATATCTGTAGTAAGACGACTAAAAGACAAAACTATTAAAAATAATAACTACAACAATTTGTTACAAGATAGGCAATATAAAAATGTGAACTGTGACATCAGAAATTCAAAATGAAGGGGGAGAAGGAAGTTAATGTTCACTTTTGTGTGTTTTTTTTCCAATCAAAGTTAAGTTGATTATCAGTTTTAAATACTTGCTATAACTACAGGATGTTTATTTATAAGCCTCTTGGTAACCACAGAGCAAAAATGGATAAAAAGCAATAAATTAAAATGTACTCTTAAGAGAAAATCACCTAACCACAAAGAAAGACAGTAAGAAAAGAAGCAGAAGAAAAGTTAAAAACAACTAGAAAACAAGTAACAAAATAAGAGTAGTAAAACCTTATCTATCAATAATACTGAATATAAATGAACTAAATGCTCCAATTAAGACACAGGATAGGCCGGGCGCAGTGGCTCACGCCTGTAATCCCAACACTTTGGGAGGCCGAGGCGGGTGGATCATGAGGTCCGGAGTTTGAGACCAGCCTGGCCAACATAGTGAAACCGTCTCTACTAAAAATACAAAAATTAGCCAGGCATGGTGGTGCACGCCTGTAGTCCCAGCTACTTGGGAGGCTGAGGCAGAAGAATCGCTTGAACCAGGGAGTTGGAGGTTGCAGTGAGCCGAGATCACACCACTGCACTCCAGCATGGGGGACAGAGTGAGGCTCCATCTCAAATAAAACCCAAATAAAGACACAGGGTGGGTGAATGGATTTTAAAAACAAGACCCAGATACATGCTGCCTACAAGAAACTCATTTCACCTATAAAGACACATAGATGCTGAAAGTGAAGGGATGCAGAAAGATATTCTATTCAAATAAAAACCAGAAAAGGGCAGGAATACCTATAATTACATTAGGCAAAATAGACTTTAAGTCAAAAACTGTAAAAAGGGACAAAGGAGATCATAATATAATGATAAAGGGGTCAATTCAGCAAAAGGATATAACAATAGTAAATATATATGCACCCAACATTGGTGTACCCAAATATATAAAGCAAATATTATTAGATACAAAGGGAAAGAGAGAGAGAGAGAGCATGAGAGAGAGCAAGTGTGAATACATAAGAGCAAGAGCAAGAGATAAATACAATAATAGTAGGGGATTTCAATTTCCTACTTTCGGCAATGGACAGATCATCCCAACAGAAAATCAACAAACACTGAAGTAAAAAACTATACTCTAGACCAAATAAACCTAAGACATTTACAGAACATTTCATCCAACTGCTACAGAATACACATTCTTTTCATCAGGACATGGAACATTCTCCAGGACAAATCTTATATTTTTAGTTTAATAATACATTATTAGACTAGAAATATAAAAACATCAGTGTTCTTATACATAAGAAACATAAAATGTTCTTATAAGAAATGTAAGAACATCAGTGTTTAACTTCAAACAGTGAAGCTAAACTATACTCTAGACCAAATAAACCTAACAGACCTTTACAGAACATTTCATCCAACTGCCACAGAATACACATTCTTCTCATCGGTACATGGAACATTCTCCAGGAGAGATCTTATACTTCTAGTCTAATATATTAATTAGACCATATTATATTAGAACTGGTAAGTGAATTTATTAAGTTGTCAGATACAAAATCGACATACAAAAGTCAGTAGAATTTCTATACACTAAGAGCAACCAACCTGAAAAAGAAATCAAGAAAGCAAACCATTTACAATAGCTACAAAAAAATAAAATAACCAGGAAATAAATTTAACCAAGCAGATGAAAGATCTATACAAGGAAAATTATAAAACACTGATGAAAGAAACTGAAGAGAAAAGGAAAAAAAGACATCCCATGTTTTGGAATTGAAAGACTGTTGTTAAAATGTTTTTTTCCTTTAATTACACTTCTTTTTCTTTTACACAGAGATAAGATCTCTCTCTGTTGCTCAGGCTAGAGTGCAGTGGCATGATTATAGCTCACTGCAGCCTTGACCACCTGGGCCCAAAGGATCCTCCTGCTTCAGCCTCCCAAGTAGACAGGACTACAAGTGTATGCTACCATGCCTAGCTAATTAAAAAAATATTTTTTTGTAGGGACGGTCACGCCATGTTGCCTAGGCTGGTCTTGAATCCCTGGCCTCAAGCAATCCTCCCACTTCAGCCTCCCAAAGAGCTAGATTACAGGCATGAGCCACCATGCTCGGCCTTGTTAAAATATCTTTACTAACCAAAGTGAGCTACAGATTAAATGCAATCTCTATGAAAATACCAAAGGCATTCTTCACAGAAATAGAAAAAACAAATCCTAAAATTCATATGGAACCACAGAAGACCCCAAATAGCTAAAATAATCCTGAGCAAAAAGAGAAAGCTGCGGCATCACACTACACAAATTCAAATTATATTACCAAGCTACAGTAACCAAAACAGCATGGTACTGTCATATAAATAAATATATAGACCAAAGATATCCATATGGAGAAGAATCAAACTAGATCCTCATCTTATACCATGTATAAAAATCAACTCAAAATGGATGAAAGACTTAAATGTTAAGACCTGAAACTACAAAAGGAAGGCAGAGACAGGAGGATTGCTTGAAGCCAGGAGTCAAGGTTACAGTGAGCTATGATTGCACCAATGCACTCCAGACTGGGCACCACAGAGACTCCCCAATCTCTTAAAAAAACCTATGATTTTAGTCACTGTAACTTATTCTGCTATTATCCTAGTTTCTTCTAGCATTATGTACAATTTGAAATAATTATGACTCAGAGTATCATTTAAAAAACGATTCAATATTTACAAATTATGTATGTTACTAAAAATTTTTCTCACTTAACTATGTTCGATTCATCTGCACTTCCAAAATGTTGCTATATTTATGAATGGAGCTGGAGAGATGTAGTATTTGTTGATGATAGCTTATTTAAAATTCTAATACCTTTGTCTTTCCCTTGTGGCCAAACACAAGAATTCCTAGCTCTGAGGATGAAAAGTTTTGTCAGTTTTCTACATCACTATGAGAATATATCTACTTACGTGGGTATGGAGGAGTTTTTAGTATAAAACTGCATTCATAAAGAAATAATCCATATGCTTTTGCATAAACTTTATTCTAGATTTTCAAAACAGAATCAGTTATATTACTTTGGTCACAAACTTCTTCACACATAATCTAGTAGGTACCTTTGAGAATAAAATTTGAAATAAGTAAGTGGACCACAGTTATTTTGTATTAGACACAGACAACATTAAATCAAATGTTCTACATCACAGTAAATTTTAGAAGTCTATATTAATGCTAAGTTAATGCATTTCCCTTAAAAGTTCCACAAGGTTAACTTACAAAGTTAATTATATATTACAAGGGTAATAATATCAAAAATGCTGCAAAAAGCCTGTCACTTGACATAAATATTTTTGGATATGAGGTAATTTCATAACGAGTATAAAGATATGAAATAATTTTGCATCTGTTGCAATTATGAGGTAAATTTAGAATTTTTGAAACTTTATTATTGTAACTAAATTGTTCATTAAGTCCATTTCTTTAGTTTGCATGACAATCAAAAGTACTGAGAAAAATGATTAGTTAAAAAATTCTAGAAGCATTTCTTTCCTGTGGGCATTATTAAATGGAGTTTTTAAGTGAATATTTCATTTTTATCAAGGTCATTACACTTTTATTTTTCAATATATTCTGAAATATGTATGTATATACACAAACTCTGTTCAAATAAATATAATTTCGCCACCAGATATCCCAGCCTCAATCTATAACTTTTTTTTAGTTTAACTTATGAGGATGGAGGGAAAAATATTCAGACTGCTCATTGATCACAGATTATAAGCATGCAAATGTGATACAAAACATTTATCTACTTATACCAAATACTAGTCATTAGCACCATATTTTCTACTTATTTTATCGGTCTATGTAAGGAAGAAAGCATAGAAAGCGCTTCAGGTTTACAAACAGACCTACAGTTAAATTGTGTGAGCCAGAGTTAAGTTAAAAAAATCACAAAGGGCTAGGCATGGTGGCTTATGCCCGTAACCCCAGCACTTTGGGAGGCTGAGGTGGGTGGATTGCTTGAGCCCAAGAGTTTGAGACCAGCCTCGGCAACATGACAAAACCCTGTCTCTTAAAAAAAAAAAAAAAAAAAAAATCACTGGGTATGGTGGGGTGTGCCTTCAGTACCAGCTGGGAGGGTCACCTGAGCCCATGGAGTTTGAAAGTTCGAAGGCTGAAATGAGCCTTGCGCCACTGCACACCAGACTGGGTAACACAGCAAAATTCTGTCTCAACACCATAATCACCACCACCACACTACAAAGGTCTGATATTCAACTGCTCTTCAATCTGCCGCATTCGTTCTCCTGCATACACATATGCACACACACACAATGACATAAGGACACAAGAACTGTGGATCAGAAACAAAGACAATTTATTACTCGTAGCAAAAGCAGCACCTAGAACAATATATTTAGACCAGTTCCCTGAGCTCCAATCTCCATGAGGCAATGCAGTAAGGGATGGATGTTACTAGTGCATACAGTAGAGAGCATCACAGGAGAGTAACCCCCAAATGAAGGAACTCTGATCTTCTATTGGTTTGCCACCCTGCTCTGCCCAGAAAGATTGCTCATTACACTCAAATATAAGCAAATCTCCTCTGGGAAGGGGAAGAGAAGGTCTTTTATTTTTATTATCCTTGGACGTCTCCAGGGAGGGACATGTCAGTAGTTTTACTGTCCTGAAATTTCTCCTTATACAATTGGCACTGTAAATGCCTCTCCTTAGAACACTTAGACTGTGCAGGAACATGAGAAATCCATGACCTGTCTCCCAACACTCTGGTTCCCATCTGTAAATGGGATTAATAATGTTTACATAGAAGTTATACTGAAGCACTGTAACGTTTAGGTGTAAGGGTGACTAAAGTATAGAAAAATTAATTATTTGAGACATTGGATGTTGAAATAGGCTTGCTAGAGATGTACTGAACAGGAGTGTTTTTTATTCTCTTGGTACAAAATGAAGAAAGGAAAAATCCTACTATCCATTTATAACATACCATCCAATTTATAAAATGGGTATTTTATAAAATAATCCAATAATATCTACTGTACAAACAGAATGAAAAAAGAACACTTCATTTATTCTAATTAATCTATTTCACGGTGATTTTAATGCTGCAGAGTGTGATCCACTAGTGAAAAATGTGAACTGTAGTTGGTCACAACCATCATTTAAAAAGCTAACAGAATATCAAGATATGGTTGAGGTATTAACAATATGAATTATTGGCCGGGCGCGGTGGCTCACGCCTGTAATCCCAGCACTTTGGGAGGCCGAGGCGGGTGGATCATGAGGTCAGGAGATCGAGACCATCCTGGCTAACAAGGTGAAACCCCGTCTCTACTAAAAATACAAAAAATTAGCCGGGCGCGGTGGCGGGCGCCTGTAGTCCCAGCTACTCGGGAGGCTGAGGCAGGAGAATGGCGTGAACCCGGGAAGGGGAGCTTGCAGTGAGCCGAGATTGCGCCACTGCAGTCCGCAGTCCGGCCTGGGCGACAGAGCGAGACTCCGTCTCAAAAAAAAAAAAAAAAAAAAAAAAAAATGAATTATTTAGTGAAATATTTCAGATACATACACACACATACACACACACAGAGGTATCCTTGGTAGGAACTTAAATTGTGTTTCTTACCGTGGATTGATTGGCAAATATGCTCATTTGCTTATATAAATAACATGGATAAGTAGCACTATGCCTGAGAATTGAAAACTTAAAAATAGCACCTAATGTTTACCAACAAACACATAAGGAAAGAGGAAACCTAAGTCTTTATATATAATGAAAATTAGAAAAGATACAGACCAATTGTCCAAATTTCAACTGTAAACAAGATAATAGAAATAAATAACAACAGGAAAATAAAAGCAAATGGTCCTGAATAAAAGTTAGACACTTTTAAAATTTTTCCAAATGACAATATGCTTTTCTGTTCAGTCTCTGAAAATGCTATCTGTAAATCTTCCCCAACTCTTATGATCCCACAGACTACATTTCTAGCAGATACTAAGCATTAAAGAAGATAAAAGTTATGTGGAACAACCACTATCCCAAAAGGGCTTATAACGAAATAAAGTTAAATATTACTCCATACACATTATATCATTAATTCTTGATTGCACAAGGCTAAGTATATACGTTATGTACTATCTGAAATATTTTGCTTCTATCCCTTTGGGTCATTTCATTATTCCTCCAGGCAGCAGAGAAGTTTTTAAAAAGTTAACTTATACATACATACATACTCTCTTAACAATTCCAAGTAATCTTGATTAGGAAGCAAGTATCTTTACTAATAGTTGGTTTATCTCACAAGAACATTAGCAGAAAAGCTGGGTTTTAACACTTCATGATACCTACCTTGCCATGTGAGCTTAGCCAAATAATAAACTCTTCAGATAGACAAATAAAACTAGAAAAGAGCAGGTGCAGTGTCTCATGCCCGTAGTTCTAGCACATTGGGAGACCAAGACAGGAGGAGACAGAGCAAGACCCTGTCTTTAAAAAGAAGAAGAAGGGGAAAAAAACTGACCCCAGTACAGACAAATGTATGGAATGAATATTTGTAATGAAGTTTTACTGATATACCACACTGTACTTAATGCATTATAAATGCATACAGCTCCAACAATCATTACCCAAATAGTGGAAGCAGTGAGTGGAAGTGAGAAAAAATAAAATATTCAGCAACTCAAATTTAATATAAGTGCTAATTGATCTTTCTGTTTAACTTTTTTAAGATAGATAATACATTAAAGTGGAGTGATGCCATGAAATATTGGAGCTATAACAGACCTTAGGAATCATGTAACAGATCAAGTCAGCTGAATCATTTGCCCAAAATGACTTAGTTACTTGGTTGGCAGAACATGGAGTAGACCCTTCACATCATGAGTTCCCACCAAACCTGGTGGTCGCTGGTTATGACTGTTTCTATCATCTAATATGTTGACAAGGTTTTCCTTAAGACTATAACAAATAGATATATTCCTCTAAATAATCATAAAGGAGTTGGAGTTTATCATGGTTTCCTTAAGCAGTATTCCAAAGCTGGTACGTATTCAAAACCAATACTTGTTGTAATAATTATTTAAGGACTTCATAAATAATTATCGAAGAATGTTAAGGTTAAAGGAAAGGTTTCATGGGGGAAATTTCTACTGTTTATGAAGGAATTGTGTAGGGGTAACAGATGCCAATTTTTCTAGGAAAAAATTCAAAGAGTTACTGGAATACTTCCGTGAGAGTCAATGAGGCTGTGCAGGTGATTCTTATCAGGGCAGCATAGGATCTGCTATACTGAAAATAAGATAAAAATTGCTATCTGGCCTCAGACAAGAACTAATTCCACATGCTCAAGACAATGAGTTCACCTTCTCCTATTCTTACACACAACTTCTGTTCAACAGTAGTAATCAGTAGAGAGACTAATCAAAGTCAGTGATTTAGTTGCTTGTGTTATAATTCGTATACCAATTTGTTGAATACTTGTTTTTAAATGCTGTTTTAAATTGATGCTTATTCTGGACAAAGGAAACCCTTTTTCTTAATTCAGAGTGATCTAGAGCATTTTAAAGCTACACTTCTAATCTATGACTTTCTGTAATTCAGAAAGGATGATTTAAATTCTCAAAGAACTCTATAAGCAAAATCAAGTAAACTGAAGTTTTTTTTTCTTTGAAACAGAGTCTCGCTCTGTCGCCAGAGCTGGAGTGCAGTGGCGCAATCTCAGCTCACTGCAAGCTCCACCTCCTGTGTTCATGCCATTCTCCTGCCTCAGCCTCCCAAGTAGCTGGGACTACAGATGCCCGCCACCACGCCTGGCTAATTTTTTGTATTTTTAGTAGAAACAGGGTTTCACCATTTTAGCCAGGATGGTCTCGATCTCCTGACCTTGTGATCCACCTGCCTCAGCCTCCCAAAGTGCTGGGATTACAGGCGTGAGCCACTGCGCCTGGCTTTTTTTTTTTTTTTTTAACTTTAAGTTCTGGGATATATGTGCAGAACGTGCAGGTTTGTTACGTTGGTATACATGTGCCATGGTGGTTTGGTGCACCTATCAACCCATCATCTAAGTTTTAAGCTCTGCATGCAATAGGTATTTGTCCTAATCCTCTCCCTCCCCTTGACCCCTACCCACCAGCTGGCCCAGGTATGTTATGCTCCATTCCCTGTGTCCATGTGTTCTCATTGTTCAACTCCCACTTATTAATGAGAACATGTGGTGTTTGGTTTTCTGTTTCTGTGTTACTTTGCTAAAAATGATGGTTTCCAGCTTCATCATGTCCCTGCAAAGGACATGAACTCATCCTTTTTTATGGCTGCATAGTATTCCATGGTGTCTCTGTGCAACATTTTCTCTATCTATCATTGACGGGCATCAGGTTGGTTCTAAGCCTTTGCTATTGTAAATAGCGCTACAATAAACACATGTGTGCATGTGTCTTTATAGGAGAATGATTTATAATCCCTTGGGTACATACCCAGTAATGGGATTGCTCGGTCAAATGGTATGTCTGGTTCTAGATCCTTGAGGAATTGCTACACTGTCTTCTACAGCGGTTGAACTAATTTACACTCCCACCAACAGTGTAAAAGCATTCCTATTGCTCCACAACCTCAACAGCAACTGTTGTTTCCTGACTTTTTAATGATCGCCATTCTAACTGGCATGAGATGGTATCTCATTGTGGTTTTGATTTGCATTTCTCTAATGACCAATGATGATGAGCAATTTTTCATGTTTGTTGGTTGCACGTCTTCTTTTGAGAAGTGTCCATTCATATCCTTTGCCCAATTTTTGATAGGGTTGTTATTTTCTTGCAAATTTGTTTAAGTTCCTGTAGATTCTGGATATTAGACCTTTGTCAGATGGATAGATTGCAAAAATTTTCTCCCATTCTGTATGCTGCCTGTTCACTCTGATGATAGTTTCTTTCGCTGTGTAGAAGCTCTTTAGTTTAATTAGATCCCATTTGTCAATTTTGGCTTTTGCTGCAATTGCATTGGGTGTTTTAGTCATGAAGTCTTTGCCCATGCCTATGTCCTGAATGGTATTGCCTAGGTTTTCTTCTAGGGTTTTTATGGTTTTCGGTTTTACATTTAAGTCCTTAATCCATCTTGGTTACTTTTTGTATAATGTGTAAGGCAGTGATCCAGGTTCAATTTTCTGCATATGGCTAGCCAGTTTTCCCAACACCATTTATTAAACAGGGAATCCTTTCCCCATTGCTTGTTTTTGTCAGATTTGTCAAAGATCAGATGGTTGTAGATGTGTGGTATTATTTCTGAGGCCTCTGTTCTGTTTCATTGGTCTATATATCTGTTTTGGTACCAGTACCATGCTGTTTGGTTATTGTTGCCTTGTAGTACAGTTTGAAGTCAGGTAGCATGATGCCTCCAGCTTTGTTATTTTTGCTTAGGATTGTCTTAGCTACACAGGCTCCTTTTTGGTTCCATATGAAATTTAAGGTTTGTTTCTTTTTTTTTTTTAACTCTGCGAAGAAAGTCAATGGAAGCTTGATGGGAATAGCATTGGATCTATACATTATTTTGGGCAATATGGCCATTTTCACAATATTGATTCTTCCTATCCATGAACACTGAATTTTTTTTCCATTTGTTTGCATCCTCTCTTATTTTCTTGGGCAGTGGTTTCTGGTTCTCCTTGAAGAGGTCCTTCACATCCCTTATAAGTTGTATTCCTAGGTATTTTATTCTCTTGTAGCAATTGTGAATGGGAGTTCACTCATGATTTGGCTCTCTGCTTGTCTATTATTGATGTATAGAAATGCTTGTGATTTCTGCATATTGATTTTGTATCCTGAGACTGCTGAAGCTGCTTATCAGCTTAAGGAGGTTTTGGGCTGAGACGATGGGGTTTTCTAAATATACAATCATGTCATCTGCAAACAGAGACAATCTGACTTCCTCTATTCCTATTTAAATACGCTTTATTTCTTTCTCTTGCCAGATTGCTCTAGTCAGAACTTCCAAAACTATGTTGAATAGGAGTGGTGAGAGAGGGCATCCTTGTCTGTGCTGGTTTTCAAAGGGAATGCTTCCAGCTTTTGCCTGTTCAGTATGATATTGGCTATGGATTTGTCATAAATAGCCCTTATATTTTGAGATATGTTCCATCAATACCTAGTTTTTTGAGAGTTTTTAGCATGAAGGATGTTTAATTTTATCAAAGGACTTCTCTGCATCTATTGAGATAATCATATGGTTTTTGTCATTGGTTCTGTTTATGTGATAGATTACGTTTATTGATTTGCGTATGTTGAACCAGCCTTACATGTCAAGCCGACTTGATTGTGGTGGATAAGCTTTTTGACATGTCGCTGGATTCGTTTGCCAGCATTTTATTGAGGATTTTCACATGGATGTTCATCAGGGATATTGGCCTGAAATTTTCTTTTTTTGTTGTGTCTCTGTCAAGTTTTGGAATCAGGATGATGCTGGCTTCATAAAATGAGTTAGGGAGGACTCCCTCTTTTTCAATTGTTTGGAATAGTTTCAGAAGGAATGGTACCAGCTCCTCTTTGAACCTCTGGTAGAATTCGGATGTGAATCTGTATGGTCCTGGGCTTTTTTTGGTTGGTAGACTATTAATTACTGCCTCAATTTCAGAACTTGTTATTGGTCTATTCAGGGATTCAACTTCTCCCTGGATTAGTCTTGGGAGGGTGTATGTGTCCAGGAATGTATCCAGGAATGTATCCATTTCTTCTAGATTTTCTGGTTTATTTGCATAGAGGTGTTTATAGTATTCTCTGTTGGTAGTTTGTATTTCTCTGAGAATAGTGGTGATATCCACTTTATAATTTTTTATTGTGTCCATTTGATTCTTCTCTCTTTTCTTCTTTAATAGTCTAGCTAGTAGTCTATCTATTTGGTTAATCTTTTCAAAAAACCACCTCCTGGATTCACTGATTTTTTTCAAGGGTTTTTCATGTCTGTACCTCCTTCAGTTCTGCTGTGATCTTAGTTATTTCTTGTCTTCTGCTAGCTTTTGAATTTGTTTGCTGTTGCTTCTCTAGTTCTTTTAATTGTGATGTTGGGGTGTTGATTTCAGATCTTTCCAGCTGTCTGAAGTGGGCACTTAGTGCTATAAATATCCCTCTTAACACTGCTTTTGGTGTGTCCTAGATTTTGGTACGTTTTCTCTTTGTTCTCATTGGTTTCAAATAACTTCTTTATTTCTGCCTTAATTTCATTATTTACCCAATATTCATTCAGGAGCAGGTTGTTGAATTTCCATGTAGTTGGGTGGTTTTGAGTGAGTTTCTTAATCCTCAGTTCTAATTTGATTGCACTGTGGTCTGAGAGACTGTTTGTTATGATTTCCATTCTTTTGCATTTGCTGAGGAGTGTTTTACTTTGAATTATGTGGTTGATTTGAGAATAAGTGCCATGTGCTGCTGAGAAGAATGTATATTCTGTTGATTTGGGGTAGACAGTTCTGTAGCAACCCCATGTCTATTAGGTCCGCTTGGTCCAGAGCTTAGTTCAAGTCCTGAATAACCTTGTTAATTTTCTGTCTCATTGATCTCATATTGACAGTGGGGTGTTAAAGTCTCCCACTATTATTGTGTGGAAGTCTAAGTATCTTTGTAGGTCTCTGAGAACTTGTTTTATGAATCTGGGTGCTCCTGTAGTGGGTGCATATATATTTACGATAGCTCTTCTTGTTGCATTGATCCCTTTACCATTATGTAATGCCCTTCTTTGTCTTTTTTGATCTTTGTTAGTTTAAAGCCTGTTTTATCAGAGACTAGAAGTGCAACCCCTGCTTTTTTTTTTGCTTTCCATTTGCTTGGTAAACATTCCTCCATCCCTTTATTTTGAGCCTATGTGTGTCTTTGCAAGTGAGATGGGTCTCCTGAATACAGCACACCGATGGATCTTGACTCTTCATCCAATTTGCCAGTCCGTGTCTTTTAATTGGGGCATTTAGGCCATGTACAGCTAAGGTTAATATTATTATACATGAATTTGATCCTGTCATCATGATGTTAGCAGGTTATTTTACACACTAATTGAAGCAGTTTCTTCATAGTGTCATTGGTCTTTATATTTTGGTGTGTTTGTGCAGTGGCTAGTACCACTTTTTCCTTTCCACATTTAGTGCTTCCTTCAGGAGCTCTTGTAAGGCAGGCCTGGTGGTGACAAAATCCCTCAGCATTTCCTTCTCTGAAAAGGATTTTATTTCTCCTTAGCTTATGAAGCTTAGTTTGGCTGGATATGAAATTCTGGGTTGAAAATTCTTTTCTTTAAGAATGTTGAATAATGGCCCCCACTCTCTTCTGGCTTGTAGGGTTTCTGCAGAGAGATCTGCTATTGGTCTGATGGGCTTCCTTTTGTAGGTAACCTGACCTTTCTCTATGGCTGCCCTTAACATTTTTTCCTTCATTTCAACCTTGGAGAATCTGATGATTAGGTGTCTTGGGGTTGCTCTTCTCAAGGAGTATCTTTGCAGTGTTCTCCATATTTCCCAAATTTGAGTGTTGGCCTGTCTTGCTAGGTTGGGGAAGTTCTCCTGGATAATATCCTGAAGTGTGTTTTCCAACTTGGTTCCATTCTCCCTGTCACTTTCAGGTACACCAATCAATCATAGGTTTGGTCTTTTCACATAGTCTCATATGTCTTGGAGGTTTTGTTCATTCCATTTTATTTTTTTTTTCTCTAATCTTGTCTTCACACTTTATTTCAATAAGTTGATATTCAATCTGTGATAGCCTTTCTTCTGCTTGATCGATTTGGCTATTGATACTTGTGTATGCTTCATGAAGTGCTCGTGCTGTGTTTTTCAGCCCCATCAGGTCATTTATGTTCCTCTCTAAACTGGTTATTCTAGTTAGCAGTTCCTATAACCTTTTATCAAGGTTCTTAGCTTCCTTGCACTGGGTTAGAACATGGTCCTTCAGCTCAGAGGAGAATCTGACTATTAGGTGTCTTGGGGTTGCTCCGTCCAGTTTTGTGCCCTTGCTGGAGAGGAGCTGCAATTATTTGGAGGCAAAGAGGCATTCTGGTTTTTGGAATTTTCACCGTTTTTGCGCTGGTTTTTCCTCATCATCATGGATTTATCTACCTTTGATCTTTGAGGCTGATGACCTTTGGATGGGGTTTTTGTGTGGGGGTCCTTTTTGTTGATGTTGAGTTTGTTGCTTTCTGTTTGCTAGTTTTTCTCCTAACAGTCAGGCACCTCTTCTGCAGGTCTGCTGCAGTTTGCTTTAAGTCCACTCCAGACCCTGTTTGCCTGAGTATCACCAATGGAGGCTGCAGAACAGCAAAGATTGTTGCCTGGTCCTTCCTCTAGAAGCTTCGTCCCAGAGGGGCACCAGCCTGATGCCAGCCAGAGCTCTCCTGTTTGAGGTGTCTGTTGGCCCCTGTTGGCAGTTCTCTCCCAGTGAGAAGGCACGGAGTCTCCTCAACTCACTTGAGGAGGCAGTCTGTCCCTAAGCAGAGCTCAAGCACTGTTCTGGGAGAATCCTCCTTGTCAGTATCAGCTGTTCTCTTCAGAGCCACCAGGCAGGAAAGTTTATGTCCTCTGAAGCTGCGCCCACAGCCGCCCCTTCCCTCAGGTGCTCTGTCCCAGGGAGATGGGAGTTTTATCCATAAGCCCCTGACTAGGTCTGCTACCTTTCTTTCACAAATACCCTGTCCAGTGAGGAGGAATCTAGACAGGGAGTCTGGCCACAGCTGCTTTGCTGCACTGTGGTGAATTCCACCTGGTTCAAACCTCCCCGCCACCTTAGTACTGTCAGGGAAAAACCACCTACTCAAGCCTCAGTAATTGCAGATGCCCCTCCCCCTACCAAGCCCAATGGTCCAAGGTCAATTTCAGACTGTTGTGCTGGCAGTGAGAATGTTAAGCCAGTGGTTCTTAGCTTACTGGGCTCCGTGGGAGTGGGACCCTCTAAGCAAGACCACGTGGCTCCCTGGCTTCAGCCCCCTTTCCAGGGGAGTTAACAGTTCTGTCTCGCTGGGGTTCCGGGTGCCACTGGGGTACGAAAAAAAACTCCTGCAACTAGCTAAGTGTCTGCCTAAACAGCCGCCCAGTTTTGTGTTTGAAACCCAAGGCCCTGGTGGTGTAGGCACACGACGGAATCTCCTGATCTGCGGATTGCAAAAACCATAGGAAAATCATGGTATCTGGGCCAGATAGCACAGTCCCTCATGGCTTCCCTTGGCTGGGGGAAGGAGGTCCCCCAGCTCCTTGCACCTCCCAGGTGAGGTGATACCCCACCCTGCTTCTGCTCACCCTCTGTGGGCTGCAACCACTGCCTAATTAGTCCCAATGAGATGAACTGGGTACCTTAGTTGGAAATGCAGAAATCACCCACCTTCTGTGTTGGTCTTGCTGGGAGCTGCAGACTGGAGCTCTTCCTATTCGGCCATCTTTTTTTTTTTTTTTTTTTTTTTTTTTTTTTTTTTTGAGACAGAGTGTCGCTCTGTCGCCCAGGCTGGAGTGCAGTGGTGCGATCTCTGCTCATTGCAAGCTCCACCTCCCGGGTTCACACCATTCTCCTGCCTCAGCCTCCTGAGTAGCTGGGACTACAGGTGCCCACCATGCCCGGCTAATTTTTTGTATTTTTAGTAGAGACAGGGTTTCACCGTGTTAGCCAGGATGGTCTCAATCTCCTGACCTCGTGATCCACCTGCCTCAGCCTCCCAAAGCACTGCTGGAATTACAGGCTCAGCCATCTTAAGTATCGAAAATAAATGGTTTTTCTCTTCACCAGTTGTCTTTAATTTGTGAGGCTCCTGACTCCACTGCTTCTCTTCTTCAATTCATTCCTGTTATGGAACTGTCGTGGCACTCTAAAGTCTGTGTCCTTACTAGCCACCTTCAGGGCTAAAACAGCCTGTAAGTGCAAGGGGAAAAAAAACCTCAGGTATTTCCCAAATCGGTAGCTGCAGAGCTACTCGATCCTTACTGTAAACTGAACATTTCAAAAACAAGATTGCTCTTTTACATTATGAAACCCTTTCAATCTTGCATTTAATTGATTCTAGTGTTGTCTTTCTGGTTTTAAAATTTATAGAAAAAAATCAAAATATAAGAAATGTAACTCAAAAGCCCAAATGTTAAAACTGAAAATATGAAAATTTAGATTAGCTTACATAATTACAAGCTAATTAATTAATTACAAAGGATGAGGCCTACCTACATTGCAAGTATACTGTACTATAAGTGTAAAACCCTGATCGATATAGCCATTCTATCAATAATATTAAAATTCAGTGTTCACTGAAGCAAAATCACTACTTTTTTTGGTGATGATATGTACCATGGCATTGGGAAGAAAAAAAAACATGAACTTTGGATTCATTAAAAAACAGAAATTTTGGCCAGGCGCAGTGGCTCATACTTGTACTTCCAGCACTTTGGGAGGCTGAGTCAGGTAGATCACCTGAGGTCAGGAGTTTGAGACCAGCTTGCCCAACAGGGCGAAACCCCATCTCTACTAAAAATACAAAATTAGCCAGGTCGTGGCATGTACCTGCAGTCCCAGTTACTCAGGGGGCTGAGGCACAAGAATCATTTGAACCTGGGAGGTAGAGGTTGCAGTGAGCCAAGATCACACCACTGCACTTCAGCCTGGGCAACAGAGAGAGACTGCATCTCAAAACAACAACAACAACAACAACAAAAACCCAGAAATTTTAAATGCAACAAAATGTAAGCTCATTCAAATGTTTTTCTCAAAAGCCATGAAAAACAAACTATTCTAAACTATAAACTAGAATACATTTTATGAAATAGTCTACTGATTCCACTCAAATAAGATAATGGGACTATACTTTCACATTTTCTTATCAATAGTTCTAATAACTATACATAAAAGACAGTTATGTGGGTCAACAGGAGACACACTGTAGATAGAAAGTTACTAACAGATTGAAAGTACGGGTGGAAAAATATATCATGCAGGCTGGATGTGGTGGCTCACATCTGTAAACCCAGCACTTTGAGATGCCAAGGCAGGGGTTTCACTTTGAGCCAGGAGTTCAAGACCAGCCTGGACAATACAGTGAGACCTCGTCTCTGCAAAAAATTTAAAAATTAGCCAAGCATGATGGTATGCACCTGTAATCCCAGCTACTCAGGAGACTGAGGTGGGAGGATCACTTAAACCTGGGAATCAGAGGTTCCAGTGAGTGGCAACCTCTGCTTGCCAGTGCACTCCAGCCTGGGCAACAAAGCAAGACCCTGTCTGGGAAAAAAAAAAAAGATACGTGATGCAAACAACACCCACAAGAAAGACAAAGTGGCTATATTAATGTCAGAAAGAATAGCCATTAAACAAATTAGATTATTTATTAGATGAAATGGACAAATACTTAGAAAGGCACAAATGACTAAAAAAATTTCAAGAAAAAATAGGTAACTTGAACAGACCTATATAACAAGAGATTAAATTAGTAATCAAGAAACTACCCACAAAGAAAAGCCTAGCCCTGAATGGCTTCACTATTGAATTCTAATGAACGTTTAAAGAAGAATTAGATAAAGCGGCTGCAATGCTTGCCCTGATCCTGATCCTCCATCCTCAGACTCGACTGGCAGTGTAGGCCTCCAGCCTTGTACTGACGTCAGATGTGAGAGCCTGTGCTTAGGTAAGAAATCACGTCTCACTGAAGACATTCAAACAAAGGTTGGAACACTACTTTACAAGAACAGAAAGGAAACTCATGCATCAGAGAAGATGACTAATAAATGTACCAAAAGAATATGGGTGCACAAATACCAGAATCTGATCAGATTAAACAGTTGAAGGAATTTCTTGGGACTGACAATAAACTTGCAGAAATCTGCTTTTTGGACTGTGTTAAGACTGCACAACAGATGTAAAACCTGAAGAGACCAGCCTGTTCAGAACACTTTATGGAAATATTTTTAAATGACAAAAAGAATATCCATGAGACTTCAGGAATGTAATATTCAGCAGAATGAAGCTCTGGCAGCCAAAGCAGGACTACTTGGCCAACCATGATAGAGAAGTCCTAGATTGCCAACAGCTGCTGCACTGGAAATGAGTATGCATCTGATACAATCCCCTGAAAGCAGGTGCCACCTTGTTAAGTCATCTGTCATGAGTTTTTGGCAAGTGGAAACCACTGGAGAAACCAGTGATTATTCCTATTTACCGGGAATAATCAGAATAGAAGGTCTTATTGTTCAATGAAATAATAAGGTGCAACATTTGTTGAGGCCTTAAGATTCAGCAGCATAGACACCTGATTAGAAAAATAAGCAATTGCTGCTTCTTTTAAAAAAATTAATACCAATTCTCCACAAACTCTTCTAAAAATTAGAAGAGGGAAGACATCTCCCAATTCATGTTATGAGGCCAGTATTACTATGATACTCTAAAATCAGACAAAGTCACAAGAAAATAAAACTACAGACTGATACTCATATGAGAATGATGCAAAAATCCTCAACAAAATACTAGCAAAACAAATCCAGCAACATTTAAAAATTATATATAACATAACCAAGTGGAGTTTGTCTCAGGAATGCAAGGTTGGTTTAAGATCCAAAAATCAATTAATTCAATGCATCATATCAATAGAATAGAAAACAAAATTACATGATCATCTCAACACACATAGAAAAAGCATCTGGCAGCCAGGCATGGTTGCTCACGCCTGTAATCTCGCATTTTGGGAGGCCAAGGCGGGTGGATCACAAGAGGTCAGGAATTAGAGACCAGCCTGGCCAACATGGTGAAACCCCATCTCTACTAAAAATACAAAAATAAGTTAGGCGTGGTGCTGGGCACCTGAAATCCCAGCTACTCAGGAGGCTGAGGCAGGAGAATTGCTTGAACCTGGGAGGCAGAAGTTGCAGTGAGCCAAGATCATGCCATTGCACGCTAACCTGGGCAACAAGAGCGAAACTCCGTCTCAAAAAACAAACAAACAAAAAGCATTTGGCAAAATCCACTACAATTGACTCCAGAACAACACTGGTTTGAACTTCACAAATCCACTTACACCAGTATTTTCTTCCACCTCTGCCACCCTTAAGACAGCAAAACCAGTTCCTCCTCTGCCTCCTCAGCCAACCCAACATGAAGACAATGATGACTTTTCTCACGAAACATTTCCACTTAATAAATAGTACATACATTTTCTCTCATGATTTTCTTAATAATATATTCTTTATATGATACATATATAAAATATGTGGTAATTGACTTTATGTTACTGGTAAGGCTTCTGGTTAACAGTAGGCTATTAATTGACAAGTTTTGGGAGAATCAAAAGTTATACATGGATTTTAGACTATGCAGTGGGTCAGCACCCACAATCGCCATGTTGTGCAAGGGTCAACTGTACTGTTTCAAGATAAAAACGCTAAAAAAAAACAGAAATAGAAAGTAACTTCCTCAATCTGATAAAGGGCATCTAAGAAAACTGCAGAGAAACATCAAACTTAATGGTGAATGATTAGATATTTTCCCCCTATATGAGAAACAAGACTAGGGACATCTCTTCTTGCCACTTCTGTTCACTGTTACATTACAACTACTAGTCACAGCAATTAAGGAAGGGGGAAAATAGTTAAAGGCTTCCAAATTAGAAAGAAAGAAGGAAACACAACTATAGTCACAGATGACATGGTTTTGTTTATAGAAAATCATAAAGAACCCACTAAAAAATATTAGAGCTAAGTAAGTTCAGAAAGGCTGTAGGATACAAGATCAATATTAAAACACACACACACACACACACACACACACACACACACAAACTGAGCTAGGCACAGCGGCTCATGCCTATAATCCCAAAACTTTGGGAGGCTAAGGCCAGAGGATTGCTTGAGCCCAAGAGTTCGAGACCAGCCTGGGCAACATGGCAAGACTCTGTCTCTACAAAAAAAATTAAAAATTAGCCAGGCATGGTGGTGCATGTCTAGTGGTCTCAGCTACTTGGGAGGCTGAGGGAGGAGAATCAGGTGGGCCTAGGAGATTGTGGCTGCAGTGAGCCATGTTTGTGCCACTGCACTTCAGCCTGGGCAACAGAGCATGAGCCTGTCTCAAAAACAAAACAACAAAAACCACACACAATTGTATCTCTAAGCCATCTGCAATGAATAATCTGAACATAAAATTAAGAAAAGAATTCCACTTACAATAGCATCAAAAAGAAAATAATATTTGGGAATAAGTTTTCTTTACAGTGTAAAATTTATACTCTGAAAACTACAAAACATTGTTGCAACAAATTAAAGATGATCCAAATAAATGGAAAAACATCCCACATTCATGGAAAATTTTATTAAGATTGGCAATATTACCCATTATGGATGTAGAGATTCAACACAATCCCTATCAGAATCCAAGCTATACTCATTGTGTAAATTGACAAACTGACTCTAAAATTCACTTGGAATTGCAATGGACCCAAAATAGCCAAGGAGGGATAATTGAGTGGGTGAGAGCTAATGTATATGGGCTCTTTTTGAGGTGATAAAAATGCTCTAAATTTGATTTATCTCAATAAAGCTTTTTTTTCATGCTACTTAGCATGAAAACAAAGAACAATTTAATTTCCTTATGGGAAGAAGGACTCACAGAAAGGTACCAAGAAGTGATATCATTTGTGCTAAGTATATGTTTTACTATTCTCTAAGTCTTTAAAAATTTGAAAATACACACATAGCAATAACTAACCAGAATAGTACAAATTTGAGCATGCTGGTTTTGAATTACATATTGCTGTACTAATGATGTTCATAAATGAATTGTCAAGACAATTTTCAATACAATGGCAGCCAAATAAATAAATACACAAAACACCAAGAACAGGGATTTATATTATACAAGCAAGTACATGAAATGGAAAACTACCATGAGAGCCAACATACACTGGATTTAGGATTAAGGAGTGTAAATATACTAGAAATCTTTGAAGAAGTTAAGAAGGACAGCCAAAGACAATAAAAACAGACAGCAAGAAGTAAGTTAATGATTGCAAAAATCCTTTTTTTTTTTTTTTTTTGAGACGGAGTCTCGCTCTTGTTGTCCAGGCTGCAGTGCAGTGGCAGGATCTCGGCTCACTGCAACCTCCACCTTCCCAGGTTCAAGTGATTCTCCTGCCTCAGCCTCCCGAGTAGCTAGGATTACAGGCACCCGCCAACACACCCAGCTAATTTTTTTTTTTTGTATTTTTAGTAGAGACAGGGTTTCACCATGTTGGCCAGGCTGGTCTCAAACTCCTGACCTCATAATCCACCTGCCTGGGCCTCCCTAATTGCTGGGATTAACAGGAGTAAGCCACCGCACAGATATACTATGGCAAGTGTAAGAAACCTTAGTATAAACATTGTAAAAATGCAAGTCTAAATGTGAAGGAAACAAATCTAGAGCATCACTTTGAATATACTTATTATAGTATACTATCAAGGAGAAGAAAAATAACTTTAACTTTGAATGTTAACTATAGCACAATGAAATGAGAACAAGTGTTCTTCAATCAAGCTAATAAGATTTCACTCTAAGTTTCTGACATAAAGGATAATGATAGATGTCTAATGAATAGAGTTAATATTGAAATCATTAAGAAGTATTTTCATATTTTATGAGGTTTTTAAAAAAGTATTTCAGACACAATGTTCCAATGTTCCAATAACATTCTACATATTGTACTATGCCTGATATAAATGTACTTTGCAAATGGGCAATAAATTTGCCAGCCATTTTAATCTTTCAAAATTAAGTATTTAAAATTGGTAATATGCAGCATGCTATATAGACAATTAAAACAGTAAAAAAAAGTATACTGAGTGAAAAATAAGTCTCTCACAAACAGCAATTCCTCAGTTTTCCTCCACTGGTTTCCAGTTTCATATGTGTTCTTACTGAATTTCTATTTATGTTATTTCTTGACTCTATTCTGATGCCCAGATCTGTCAATATATAAACACATAATATATATACACTGAAATATACACTGAATTTTCCAAAACAGTCTAGGTTTCTATTCTTTTTAATCAAAGCAAATGCTATGTATGGCTTCATTTTAATTTCTACTTGCTTACAAGTTTCAATAGTAATATTCAGAGTTGTCAAATTAGGAAGCAAGATATATCACCTGAAACCTGGTTTAGACAACATTTTAAAAATTAAAAGTCATCAGGTATATAAATGAAGATTGTCATACTACTCAAAAATTATATGGGAATATAAGGAAACAACTGACTTTTTCTCATACAAACAATACTAAATGCAGACACACAATGAAACAATAAACACAGTACTTTAGATTTTTAACTGGAATTTCACACCTTTTCCTTACCCCTACATCCAAAATACTATTTTTCTGATCAGAGTTGAATACTAAAATTAAATGTAAATTAATATGCTATTTTAAAATCAAACTAAAACCAATTTATAGTAATAGAATATGTTAATATTAACTCAAACAGTTTAAATTCCCTCCTATGTACATGAAAAATGGCCCTTCAAAATGGAAGGGAATTTCATCATCTGGTTTAAAAATAACAATGAAATAAAGAGCAGCACAAACAAGACTACTTTTGGCCTCTGGCTTCTTTCAGTATAGAAGTATTATAAAGAAAAGAGTAAGCCAGTGTTGATATAGTAAAGAAACCTCCACTTTAATAAATCATTTTTTCAGGAAAAGAAGTAGTCTGCAAAATCTGTGAAAGTGATTTATCTTCAGGTGAATAAAATGAACAGTAATTGATCTTGTACCTAGGGAGTGATTCTTCTTCCACCAGTTACAAACATATCTCTGTTAAATATCACTAGAATAGGTTAGGTAATCTCATGTTTTGAATAATTTATTTGCACACTTAAGATTTAGGATTTATTCTAAAGTTTATGTCCAACACCACAGTTTCAGTTGGGCCATTAACTTGTTCATTATTTCATCACTTTTTGCATCTGTAAAATGAGTCCAGCTTTGTATGGGACCATCATAGAAATGACACCAAACACAGATTTGGTGGGTGAAAGAGTTATGTCAGAGGTAAGATGATCATGAAAAAGGGATATAGGCTGAGATACGTGAAATGGGCACAAATTGGTAAAGTGAAGGAAAAGAATGTTACATGCAGAGGAATCTGTATGTTTATGTCAACAAGATATATGATTACCAAACGTTTCACTTCACAGCAAAGAATTTTGAAGAAATCAAGACTGTCTTTTAATTTAGTGTATAAAGTGGATCATTTTAAAAATAACATCTACTTTACTTATATTGGTTATCCTAGAAATTCTGTGAAGAGGCTAAAAAAGGAATTTAGGCCAGGGCAGTGGCTCACCCCTGTAATCCCAGCACTTTAGAAGGCCAAGGCAGAAGGACTGCTTGAAGCCAGGAGACTGAGACCAGCCTGGGCAACATGGTGAGACCCCCATCTCTACAAAAAATAAAAATAAAAAAATTAGCGAGCCATGGTGGCATGCACCTATAGTCCTAGCTACCTGGGAGGCTGGAAGCAGGAGAATCCCTTGAGCCCAGGTGTTTGAGGCTACAGTGAGCTATGATTGTGCCACTGCACTCCAGCCTGGGAAATGGAACAAGACACTGTCTCTTAAAAGAAATTTTTTTAAAAAAAGCTCCCCAAAGTAGACATTACATGCATTGTTCTTAGTGTGTGTGTACTATTCTATAAAATCTTATCAGCTGTAAAGATTCATGTACTCACCAGCACAATTAAGACACAGAACTATTCCATCACCACAAAGAAGCCCTCTCCTGCAACTCCCTTATAGTCATACCTATCCCCTTCTCCCACATTATCTCTAACTCCTGGAATGACAGGTTAATTTTCCAACACTAATTTTTTTTCATTTAAGTAATACTATATAATTGGAATCATACAGTATGTAACACTTTGAGTTTAGCTTTTTTTTTACTTCGTGTGATGAACTTAAGATCTACGGAAACTGTTGACTGTACCAGTAATTTATTCTTTTACAAAGCTTGGTATTCCATTCGATAGATATATCACAGTTTGTTTATCTATTCACCTGTTGAAAGTTATCTGGATTCTTTCCAGTTTGAGGCAATTACAAATTAAGCTGATGTAAATATTTGTGTAGCAAGTTTTTACATATACATAAATTTCCATTTTTCTATGTTAAATACTCAGGAATATGATTGCTGAGTCATATGGAATATTTATCTTTAATTTTATTAAAAATGCCAAACTGTTTTCCAGAGTGGCTGTGTCATTTTCCTATCAGCAACAGATGAGAAATCCATTCATTCTGTATTCTCACCAGTTTTTACTTTCGCTATCCACATATGTATGCAGCAGTATCTTATAGTTTTAATTTGCACTTCTCTAATGGCTAAGAATATTGAAAATATTTTACATGGCTTACTTGCTATTTTATATATTCATTTTTATCATTTAAGTTTTTGTTGTTGTTGTTGTTGTTGTTATCCTAGAAATTCTGTATAGAGGCTAGAAAAGGAATTTAGGCCAGGGGTAGTGGCTCATGCCTGTAATCCCAGCACTTTAGGAAGCTGAGGCAGGAGGACTGCTTGAAGCCAGGGTCTCGCTCTGTCACCCAGACTGGAGTGTAGTGGTGCAATCACAGCTCATTTAAGATTCTTAAATACATTTGTAGCCCAGCGTGGTGGCAGGTGCCTGTAATCCCAGTTACTCGGGAGGCTGAGGCATGACAATCACTTGAACCCGGGAGGCGGAGGCTGCGGTGAGCCGAGATTGCATCACTGCACTCCAGCCTGGGCTACAAGAGCAAGACTCTGACTCAAAAAAAAAAAAAAAAAAATCATCCGAAGAGGGAATATACAATATCTTCAAGCTCACAGTTAGTAAGCTCTTCTAGCTAATAGTAGGACAACACAGATTAATATACAAAAAGCTAATGAAGCCAGCTGTAGTAATAAAAAGTAGAGGAGTGTAAGTATAGAAAATTTACTTAGAAATGTCTTTATAGAGATGATTTGATTAAAGCTATTCACTTTGATAACCCAGGAAAGGCACTTAAAATTCACAAGGCATGAGTCAGATAATGTCAGTGTCTGTACAGTATCCTTTGGACCTAACCCTTTCCCACCATTCCAAATTACTTCCAATAGCCAGTATCTTCCTCTGTATCCCTCAGGGCTTTCCTCTGAATGGCTGAATGCTACTCTGCCCACCACAGCACCAGGCAGGTGCAATGTCTTCTGTATGGCAGTCCACAACCAGTAACAGGAAATATACTCACTCTCTCACACTTCAGGTGAGTTAGTCCCGAAACTAAATTTGACACTGACTTTCCCAGAATTATCCCACAAGATAAAGCTCCAGCAACCTATTGTGTTAGTTTAGTTAGTAAGTCTTCATTAGCTGCCTTGCTTTCCTTGCATCAATTCTTGCCTGTTACATACGTCTCCAAAGTAGACTTTGTTCTAAAATCCTTGCTTCAGGGTTCTGCTGCTGGGAAAACTTATGTATGTTAAACCACCCACCACAACAAAATAACTCTCATTAAAAATAAAAAATACTTGGAAGCAAAAGGTAGTGACAATAAATAAGACATATATATAGGCCCACCATATCCATGGGATCTGCATCTGCAGACCAACCAACCAACAGCAGATCAAAAATACTTGGAAGTGGGGGAAATGGATAGTTGTTGAGTCTGTACTGAACAGGTACAGACTTTTTTCTTGTCATTATTCCCTAAATAACACAGTATAACAAGTATTTACTTAGCATTTATAGTGTATTAGGTATTATAAGCAATCTGGGGATTATTTAAAGTATATGGGAGGATATGCATAGGTTATGTGCAAATATTATGCCATTTAAGGGACTTGAGTATCCATGGATTTGGTATCCACAGAGGGTCCTAGAACCAATCCCTTATGGGCACTAAGGGATGACTGTACTTTCCTTTCTCTATTTACTTTTTCTATTTATTATTATTTCATAACTCTCTTCAATTGTAAATTAACAGCATTTCCCCTGCATATTGAAAACCTAATTTCTAATATGTCCATTACATTAAAATTAACAGTGCAAAATTACAGACGTCTACAACTACAAAAAATATTGACCTGTAAAATGCAATAAATTCAACTTCCATGATTAGACAGCAAAAAAAACAAACACATTAAGCTACAGTAATCAGAGAAGTATGATATTGGAGAAAGAAGAGACATATAGATCAATGAAACAGAATATGGAACATAGATATACAACCACATAATTGATTTTCAAAAAAGTACAATGGCAATTAAAGAGATTTAAATAGACTTCAGGGAAGAGTAATGGATCAATTGGATATCCATATGCCAAAGCAAAAAACAATAGCAAAAAACAATAATCAAAAACTCTGTTACAGACCTCACCCAATATACACAAAACTTAACTCAAAATGGATCACAGATCTACATGTAAAAAGTAAAACTATGAAATTTCTAGTAGAAAATATAGGAGTAAATCTTTCTCACCCTGGATTAGGCAAAGAGTTCTTATATGACACAAAAGCATAATCCATTTTAAAAGTACATAAATTTGTAAGAACTTCTGCTCACTGAAAGACATTGTTAGGAAAATGAAAACACAAGCCACTCACTAGGAGAAAATATTTGCAAATCACACATCTGATAAGTCTTGTCTGCAGAACAGATAAAGAATTCTCAAAACTCTGTAACAAAAATAAACACAATTTTTTTTAAAAAAAAGGCAAAGAGTTTGAAGAGATACTTCTTCAAAGAACATATACAGATAGCAAATAAGCATATAAAAATGTGCTTCACATAATTAGGGAAGTAGAAACAAACAATGAGATGCTCCTCTCCCCCTTACAATTGATGTAGTAATAAAAGCTGACAATATCAAGTGCTGAAAGGATGTGAAACCACTAGACCTCTCATATATTACTAGTGGGAATGTGAAATGGCACAGCCACTTTGGAAAGGAGTTTGGCAATACATCTAGTAAAATGAAAATTTATGTTAACACAAAAACGTATAAATATTTTTAGCAGCTTTATTCATAATCACCAGAAACAATTCAAATATCCCTCTAGAGTGGATAGAGACACAAGGTGCAGTACATCACGATGATAGAAAACTACTCAGCCATTAAAATTTAAAAACTATTGACAAAGCAAATGGATGAATCTAAGATGAACTTACGTCAACTGAAGAAAGTCAGATTCAAAGGCTATGCACAACATGATTCCATTTGTGTGTATCAGTACCTCAGGAGAGCTGGAGAAAGCTGGGCTGCCACGTTTTGGCACAGCCAATGGCAACAAGCCAAAAAAATAAATAAATAAAATAAAATAAAATAAAGAATAGGTCTGTAATCACTGTGACAGTATAAGAGGCTAAATTGGAGAAAGTGCCAGCTACCCCCCATTCCATTTTCCCCTGTGGCATGGCACATTGGTCACAGGGCAGGTAGACCAGCACAAATGTGAGGGTTGCATCATTGCCAAAGGGAACCCCCAACAAAAGATTCTGGCAGTTTTACAGACCCAGGAGTCGAGTGAAGGCTAGAGAGGGAAGGGTTAGAAACAGAAAAGTACAAGTCATAGTAGAGAAAGAGTTGGTAAGTGTCTTCCCCTCTTTTCCCCAATAAAGTCTTGACAGAGACACTTAAGGAAAGCCTCCCCAAAAGCCCCACATAAAGAGGCCTCTGAATGAAGGCACCTAGGCTAGGAACGCAGATATGTATAAGAGGATGGCTGGGTCCTTGACTGCAATTCCCCTCAGAGACTATAAAAGCTTTGCACCAAGTCTGCTCTGGAGACCAGCCCTCCCCCTATGAAGCCTGCCAGGAAAACCTCTGTAAATGCCTTATGATCAGACCTAAAAAATCACTCATAGGTTGTTGGCCAGAAGCAGGAACCCTCAATACAAGTCACCGGAAAAGGCAAAACTATACAAACAGAAAATTATGGAGACTGGGATTTGATTTTACCCTATTTAATAAAAGCTAACACAAAAGCCTCTTAACTAATTCATGGATGCAGGCAGAAGACACAAGACTCCTCAGTCAAAGAAAAAACACTTCATTACTTATGACAAAACAGAAGAACATCAGCACATTTGCATCAGTTCCCTTCATCCCAAGTCCTTTGGGGATGCTCAGATGGATGCTATGCTTGTAGTGAGTTTGCATCAGCAAATGAGAAGCACTGAACTCAGGGAATCCACCAATTTTATAGCAAGCAGTAAATAAGCTTGCTTTTTGTCTGGGAACAGATGTTATCTCATGTCTCAAGTTTATCAGCTGCATATATAACCCTGAGAAATGTCCCAGGAAAAAGGGCAGTCAGAACCTTACAGTCTTCACAAACAAGTGAGGAGAACTGTCTCTGTCAACAAAAACAGAGCAGGGATTGCCAAGGGCTGAAGTAGGGGAAAGGAAGACTACAAAGGGGACACAGGGAAAGTTTTGAGGTGATGAAACTATTCTCTATCTTATTTCTGATACTGGTTGCTAGACTGTGCATGTGTCATAACTTGCAGAAACATACACTACAAAGATCACTTTTTTGTATATAAATTATAACTTAATTTTAAAATGGAAAAAATACTTTTGAAAAAAAGTATTTTTTGAAAAATAAATTTATTTGAAAAGAATTTCTTTTCTAGAAAAAAGTAAATCTTCCCTTAAAAAAACAAAAATATACCCAGGACCCTGTGGTACCATCCCTGGTGTCCCTTTCTGCATACGTCTACTTTCAGTTGCCAACTACTTAATGTTTACAGTATTCATTTGAGGTTAATTAATTATACTTTCAGATATGCTTCAATACCTATTCAAGCATTAAATCAGGACTTATAATTTTGAAATCTTTTTTTCTTACAACAGTTTTTGAGAAAAAAATAGATTAAATTTGCAAAACAATAAATTAAAAATTAGTATAGCTTACTGTTGCCTTTCAGCTCTCTCAATCAAGATATCAAAAATAAAATAACATTTGGCAGGCATCCCTTCATACTCCCCACCATGGATATTAACTCACAAATAAGATAAACCCTCAAAATTATTAAATTGCCATTGTTCATGTTTCTCCTATTGACCAATGATCTAAACTCTCATTTTAGTAAGGTTCTAATAGAATGGAACATCTGTTTTATGTTACATGGGAGGCAGCAAAATTCTTCCTCTCTGACTGGATTACTAATGCTCATGCCTTCTATGGCGTTATACTTCTCATTCGTATCCCTGCACTAGTTCTCTAAATAAAGTACAACATACCCCCTCCTAATGTAATACATTTTCCTTTGTACAATACTGTAGATGCCATATTTTTAATGTGACATGCTGGTATTTCTTTTTTAAAACCACAAATGCATTTCTTATTCTCAATCACAAATTTAAATTTCTTGTGTATTCCCAGCCCACTAGGCATTTTTCTTTTAAAATAGCTGAAAAAATAGACGATTTCAATTTTTTGATTTGTCATCTCATTTTTTATAGACTCCAAGTAACTGTTAGAATGGAAAGTGAAAAGATATTTAGTTTTTTTTTCCTTTTTCTATAAAATCAATTTAAGCTTAAGAAAGACTGTAAAATATTTCTGCTTCTTAAGAGGAACAGTAGTAAGTCCATGCCACATCTAAAATGATCTAAAATAATACATTCATATTCAATTTAAGAAAAATAACCTTAATAAGACATTCTTCCAGTGTTCAAGCTTAAAATTATTTTAACATGAGTGTTTTCATTTTTAAAAGTCATCAAAATTTGACATATATTCCTTATGTTATTTCAGAGATTTACACAAATACTTAGCTGACACCATCTTACATTTCATTGGTTAAATTAAGATAAAGTAATACTCTTCAAATGGAGTTATATTTCTAATACCTTCAGTTTTTCTTGTTGTGCAATATTTTGTTCATTATGAACAGATTCTGACAAAATTGACACAAATTGCATCACTACTGATGACTCTCAATTAGGTCTTCAGTTCATTTCCCTTGCCTAACTCTAAAAAAGCTACATATGGTTTAAACCACTGGTACTTTTTACTTTCTGCCAATACACAAACCATGCTTTTCTGTGTTGAAAACATTCCCATGAATAATTATACTAGTCTCCAAAGAGACCAGATGGTAATAAATTCTAGAGCAGATCTGGAAGCTTTCTCTAAATTTACCTTTTTATAGTCTCACCATCACAATACAGTTCTTTGTGCTATGGCTTAGAATAGCTATGGCTAGACATAGAAATGTGAGTAAACTTTGTACAGAAATAAAAAAATACAATCATTTCAGGGTCTTTCATAACTACATACATCTCTCATCTAATATTATCATCAACAACTTTTAAGAGAGCATCACCTTGATAGAGTCTGACATTACTAATCAAATTATAAAATTTTTACATTTGCAAAATGTTACTATGAAAGTAAAATTTGTCTGGGCACAGTGGCCCATGGCCATAATCCCAGCACTTTGGGAGGCCTAGGTGGGTGGATCACTTGAGGTCAGGAGTTTAATACCAGCCTGGTCAACAGGGTGAAATTCTGTCTCTACAAAAAATACAAAAAAAAATTTGTTGGGCATGGTGGCAGAAGCCTGTAATCCCAGCTACTCAGGAGACTGAAGCAGGAGGATTCCTTGAACCCAGAAGGCAGAGTTTGCAGTGAGCCAAGATCGCAAACACTGAGCTTCAGCCTGGGTGACAAAGCGTGACTTTGTCTCAAAAATAAATAAATAAAGTAAAATTTAAGAAATATGATCCAGCTAACTACAGCAAATGATATGAAGTTAAAGAAATATAAATGTTGGCTGGGTGCAGTGGCTCACGCCTATAATCCCTGCACTTTGGGAGGCCAAGGCAGGTGGATCACCTGAAGTCAGGAGTTTGAGACCAACCTTGCCAACATGATGAAATCCCGTCTCTATTAAAAATACAAAGAATTAGCTGGGTGTGGTGGCAGGCGCCTGTAATACCAGCTACTTGGGAGGCCTGAAGCAGGAGAATCACTTGAACCCAGGAGGCGGAAGTTGCAGTGAGCTGAGATCGTGCCACTGCACTCCAGCCTGGGTAAAAAGGCAAAACTCCGTCTAAAAAAATAAATAAATAAATAGAAATGTAGACTAATGTTTACTAGTATTGCCACTGATTCTATTTTATTATTCTTCTGGAAAACATGATTAAATTATTCTGGCCTTGCTATTTCAATTGAAGTAAAATAACTTGCATAATCTTCATTATTTCTATTAATCATAAATCACTCTATTTTACTTAAGAATATCGTGTTTGTGAGAAAAAAAAATCAAAACAGGTTTTCAAAACCAGAAAATTATTCAAAACTTTCAAAACACATTGTGGTATATAAAATTAAATTTTAGGCATTTCCTTCCATCTGTAAGAAGCAAAACACAGCCATAGTAGTTTATTATCTAGTTTTATACCAGTATACTGGTTACAATACGGGTGTAAAATATTAGCTGCATAATTTTTGGCATAAATTATTCTTATAGCTCAAAACGATTATGTATAAAAGAAATGAAAACAAAAAAGAAAAAAGTTCAAATAGAAACAGGAAATATAAATTGGGGTGGGAAAGTACAGGGACTACAGAAAAGAGGGATTAAAAACAATGTCTGAAAGTTATTTTATTATTTTAATAGTCATTGTTGCTTCAAAACATGGTGGCTATAAATAAGAAATACTATCTCACATAGTTTTGGTGGGTCAGGAATTTGGGAGCAGCTTAGTGGAACAGTTCTCTCTTGGGGTGTCTCATCAGGTTGTAGTCGGTTAAGTAAGGCAGGGCTCCAGTAATCTGGTGATTTGACTGGAGCTGGCTGCACTCACAAGGCCAACATATTGGTGCTGGTTGCCGCTGGAAGGCTTATGTTCCTGCCCATGTGGGTGTCTTCAAAGGCTGACTGCGTATCCTCAAGAACATAGCAGTTGAATTCCCCATTATGGGTGTCCCAAGAAAAAATAATATGGAAGTAATGATGCCTTTAATGATCTAGCCTCAGAAATAGCACACCATCATTACATACATTCTACTTATTAGAAACAAGTCGCTAAGTCTGGGCCATATTCAAGAGAAGGGAAATTAGGTTCTACCTTTTCAATGGAGAAGTATTAAAGAACTTGTGAACATGCTTTAAAAAAAAATTTTTTTTAAGAGACAGGATGCCACTGTGTTTCCCAGGATAGAGTAAAATGGCTATTCACAGGAGCAATCATAGCATACTGCAACCTCAAACTCCTGGCCTCAAGTGATCTTCCCATCTCAACCTCCTGAGTAGCAGGGACTACAGGTATGCACCACCACACCTGGCTTTCTTCTCATTTTTCATATTGGAGTAGGTGACAACTGTAACATAAAGCAAAAACCCACATTAGATAATAAATATTTAAAAAATTATTATTTGGTTTTGAGACAGGGTCTAGCTCTGTTGCCTAGGCTGGAATGCAGTGGCAGAATCATGGCTCACTACAGCTTCAACCTCCCAGGCTCAAGCAATTCTTGCACCTCAGCTTCCTGACTAGCTGGGATGACAGGCATGTACCACCGTGCCTGGCTAATTTTTTTTTTTTTATTATTTGTAGAGACAGGGTTTTGTCATGTTGCCCAGGCTGGTCTTGAACTCCTGAGCTCAACTGATCCTCTGGCCTTGGCTTCTCAAAGTGCTGGGATTATAAGCGTGAGCCATCACATCTGGCCTATTATTCTTAAAAGAACAAAAAATTTATCTGATCTATTTAATGATACATATAATTGTTCATACATACATAAATCATATGCCATCTTCATAAAGTCATTAGTACTGCTTTTATAAAATTAAATCTAAGTTTTTCTCTTATTTTGACAGAGCTCTAATTTCTAAAATGCTCATAAATTTTCAGTTTTCTGCTACATGTATTAAAATACATGCCACCTGCAACCTACCAGCTACTCGTTCTAAAACCATAGTTTCCCAGTGGTCACCTAACATCCATCCATCCAACCAATCTTCTTCCTTATTTGAAAACTCCACTGCATAACTGCTAATTTTTATGTAGAGATTTTTAAATGAAAATTCTGGTTAATAGATAGGTGGGCAACAGTAACTACCAAGTGAAGTCTATAAGCCAAGGTGTATGGACCTCTACATAGTGGGTTGTAAATGCTTGATATGGAAAGAATTAAATAAGGAGAAAAGAATGAGACAGAGTTTGGTGACAGTCCCAAGTTCATACTTGCCCAGCTTGGCTTAATTCTACTGCACATCCTTCTTGCCCCAAATCACTGTGGTATGTTACAATCTAGACTATTTGGTTTTTTACTTTGTTATCCCAAGAATCTCAGCAGCAAAAGTACCAAAGAACACAAATACTCTAAAAACATTATTCTTTAAAAAATATGGCAGAGTGATGCTTGCAAAATGGAAGGGTAGGAATTGTTGTCTGGTTCTCCACACCCTATAGAATTTCTTTTTTTTTTTTTTTTTTTTTTTTGCCTGCACAGAAGATTAGATTTTATTTTATTTTTATTTTATTTTATTATTATTATACTTTAAGTTCTAGGGTACATGTACACAATGTGCAGGTTAGTTACATATGTATACATGTGCCATGCTGGTGTGCTGCACCCATTAACTTGTCACAATTAGTATCTTCTCAGTGGCAAGACGACTACCCTGGATCTCTTGGAACTCAGGATGGTGTCTCATTGTACCACAGAGCTGAGAAAAATCTGAGAACAGTGTATTAGTCCATTTTCACGCTGCTATAAAGAAATATCCAAGACTGAGTAATTTATAAAGAAAAGAGGTTTAACTGACTCACAGTTCTGTATGACTGGGGAGGCCTTGGAAAACTTACAATCACGCTGGAACGCAAAGGGGAAGTAAAGACCTTCTTCACATGGTGGCAGGAGAAAAAGACAGAGAGTGAAGGAGGAACTGCCAAACACTTATAAAACCATCAGATTTGTAAGAACTTACTCACTATCATGAGAACAGCATGGGGGAAACCACCCCCATGATCCAATCACCTCCCACCAGATCCCTCCCTCAACATGTGGGGATTATGGGGATTACAACTAGAGATGAGGTTTGGGTGGGGACACAGAGCCAAACCATATCAGACAGTAAGGGAAATGGTGCTTTGACTGCAACACCCTTCCCCTAAGCCCACATATGCAGAAGTCCCCTGGATGCAAGTTTTCTATGGTGGAAAAAATGAGTGGGAAGTGGCTATTCGGCCTATTGTAAGCATAGTATGTAAACCTCTTATATCTTTAATATGAAGATTAAAGATAAAACTATTAAAAATAATTATAACTACAACAATTGATAGTGGGATATGCAGTTTTAAAAGTTGTAAGTTGTAACATCAAAAATTCAAAATATGTGGCTGGACAAGTTGGCTCATGCTTATAATCCCAGCACTTCGGGAGGCCGAGGCAGGCAGATCACTTGAGGTCAGGAGTTCAAGACCAGCCTGGGCAACATGGTGAAACCCCGTCTCTACTAAAAATACAAAAATTGCCTGAGCAAGGTGGTGCACACCTGTAATCCCAGCTACTTGGGTGGCTGAGGCATGAGAATCGCTTGAACCCGGGAGGTGGAGGTTGCAGTGAGCTGAGATCATACCACTGCACTCCAGCCTGGGTGACAGAGTGAGACTGTATCTCAGAAAAAAATTCAAAATGTGAGAGAAAAAGAGGAGTTAAAGTACACAGTGTTTATTAAACATTTTTAGCAATCAAAGTTAAGTTGTTACTAGATTAAAATAACCTGATATAAGCAAATATCAATAAATCTAAAGGGAAAGATAGAGTACAAAACAATCATAGTAGACAACTTTTTTTTTTAACTTTTATTTTAGGTTCAGCGGTACATGTGCAGGTTTGTTACATGTACAGGTTGTGTCATGGGGGTTTGTTGTACAGATTATTTCATCACCCAGATACTAAGCTGAGTATGTAATATTTATTTTTTCTGATCCTCTACCTAGTAGGAAACTTCAGCACCCCACTTAAGCAACAGAAACATTATCCAGACAGAAAACCAAAAAAGAAACATTAGGTTTAAACTGCACTCTTGACCAAATAGGCCTAACAGACATTTACAGAACATTCTATCCAGCGGCTGAAGATTACACATTCTTCTCAATTGAACATGAAACATGCTTCAGGATAGAGTACATATTAAGCCACAACATAAGTCTTAACAAGTTTCAGTTCAAAATCATAGATTATATTTTCCGATCACAATGGCATAAACTAGAAGTCAATAATAAGAGGAAAATCAAAAACTCTACAAATACATGGAAATTAAACAACATGGTCAATGAAAAAATTAAAGAGAAACAAAAAGATTTTTTGAAACAATGCCAATGGAAAAAAAGCATAACCTATCAGATACAGCAAAAGCAGGTCTAAAAGTGATGTTTATAGTAATTAACACATAAATCCCCAAAGAGGAAAGATATAAACCTAATGTTGCGCCTCAAGGGACTAGAAAAACAAGAACAAGCCAAACTCCAAATTAGCAGAAAAAAATAAATAATAAAGAGAAGAAATAAATGAAATAGAGACCTAAAAAACATACAAAAGATAAATACAACAAAGAATTAGGTTTTTGAAAAGATAGCCAAAAGCAACAAACCTTTAGCTAGACTAAGAAAAAAAGGAGAAGACACAAATAATAAAGTGAGAAACAAAAAAGGAGACACTACAATTGATCCCAGAGAAATATAAAGAATTATAAGAGACTCTCATTAACAATTATACACCAACAAACTAGAAAACCTAGAAGAAATAAGTTTCTGAATATATATAATCTACCAAAATTTAATTACGAAGATATAGAAAATTAGAACAGACCAATAAGTAAAGAGATTAAATCAGTGATAAAAAGTCTCCCATCAAAGAAAAAAGAAAAAATGCCTAGGACCTGATGGCTTCACTGCTGTATTTTACCAAAATTTTTGTTCTGTTTTTTTAAAGAGACAGGGTCTTGCTCTGTTGCCCAGGCTGGAGTACAGTGGCATGATCATAGTTCACTGCAGCCTCCACCTCCTAAGCTCAAGCAATCCTCCTGCCTCAGCCTCCCAAGAGGCCTCCCAAGTAGCTCAGACTACAGGTGTGTACCACCACACCAAGCTAATTTTTTTTTTTTTTTTTTGTAGAAACAAGGTCTCACTATGTTGTCCAGGTTGACCTCAAATTCCTGGCCTCTTGAAGTTCTGCCTCAGCCTCCCAAAGTGCTGGGGTACTGGCGTAAGCCAACACACCCTACCAAATATTCAAAGCGAAACTAATACGAATTCTTCTCAAATTATTTTTAAAAAATAAAGAGGAAAGAATTCTTCTAAACTCATTCTACAAAATCAGCATTACCCTGATACCAAAACCTAACAAGGACACAACAAAAATAAGAAAACTATAGGCCAATGTCTCCGATGAACATAGAAGAAAAATCCTGAACAAAATACCAGCAAACCAAATTCAATAGCACATTAATTTTGGGAGGCCAAGTAAATAACTTGAAGTCAGGAGTTCAAGACCACCCTGGCCAACATGGTGAAACCCCTCTCTACTAAAAATACAAAAATTAGCCAGGCATGGTGGTTGGTGCCTGTAATCCCAGCTACTAGGGAGGCTGAGGCGGAAGAATCACTTGAATCCAGGAGGTAGAGCACCTCTGCACCTCAGCCTGGGTGACAGAGAGAGACTCT
Organism: Homo sapiens; assembly: GCF_000001405.40. Classification (NCBI taxonomy): domain Eukaryota; kingdom Metazoa; phylum Chordata; class Mammalia; order Primates; family Hominidae; genus Homo; species Homo sapiens. Next base: position 74,325,878 of record NC_000010.11, on the reverse strand, counting down.
GTCTTAAAAAAGAAAAAAAAAAGCCAGCACATTAACAAGATAATTCACCAGGATCAAGTGGATTCATCCCATGGATATATGAATGGTTCAACATACACAAATCAATAACTGTGATATATCACATTAAATGCAGGAAAAAACCATATTTCAATAGATGCAGAAAATGCATTTGACAAAATTCAACATTCTTTCATGTTAGAAATTATCAACAAATTGGGTATAGAAGGAATGCAGCTCAGCACAATAAAGGCCATATATGAAAAATCCAAAGCTATTATTCTGAATGGGGAAAAATTGAAAGCTTTTCCTCTGAAATCTGGAACAAGACAAGGATGTATACTTTCACCATTTCTATTCATCATAGTCTAGAAGACCCAGCCAGAACAATTAGGCAAGAGAAAGAAATAAAAGGCATACAAATTGGAAAGGTAGAAATTAAATTGTTCTTGTTTGAAGACAACAAGATCTCATACACAGAAAACCCTAAAGAATGTACCAAAATACTGTCAGAACTAATAATCACATTCAGTAAAGTTGTAGGACACAAAATAAACATACAAAAGCATTTCTATATATCAACCACAAACTATCTGAAAAAAACAAAAATCAAGTAAACAATTCCTCTTAAAATAGCTATAAAAATAGCTAAAATACCTAGTGATAAATTCAACCAAGGAGATAAAAGATCTCTAAGATGAAAAGTATAAAACGCTGATGAAAGAAATTAAAGAAGACACAAATAAAAGACAGCCTGCATTCATGTAATTAAAGAATATCATTAAAATGCCCATACTATCCAAAGTGATCTACAGATTCAAAGTAAACCCTCTCAAATGACAATGATAATCTTCATAGAAATAGAAAAAAAATTCTAAAATTCATATAGAACCACAAAAGATCCCAAATAGCAAAAGCAATCTTGAGCAAAAATGACAAAGACACATCATGCTATCTGACTTCAAAATATATTACAAAAGGCTATAGTACCCGAAATATTAAGGGAACCCTGTACACTGCTGATGGGAATGTAAACTAGCACAGCCATTATGGAAAACAGGTATGGAGGTTCCTTAAGAAATTAACGGTACAACATGTGATCCAGCAATCCCACTTCTGGGTACATATTCAGTGGAAATGATTAAGATATATCTGCACGTCCATATTTACTGCTTCATTATTCACAACAGCCAAGATATGTAATCAACCTAAGAGTTTATCAGGCAATGAATGAATGAATAAATAAAATGCGATATATATACACAATGGAATACTATTCATCCACAAAAAAAAGGAACAAAATCTTCTCATTTGTGATAACATGGAGGAACCTGGAGAATAACTTGTTAACAGAAATAATCCAGGTACAAAAAGACAAATGCTACATAATCTCAACTCATATGTGAACTATAACAAAGCTGATCTCATAGAAGGAGAAAGTAAAATGGTGTTTATCAGAGGCTTGGGTAATTAGAGGGGTAGAAGGATGGAGAGATGTTGGTCAAAGAATCTACAATCACATACATGAATAAGTTTTTGACAATTGGTGAAAGGCTGTGCACAGTGGCTCACAACTGTAATCCCAGCACTTTGGGAGGCAGAGGCAGGAGGGTTGCTTGAGGTCAGGAATTCAACATCAGCCTGTGCAACAAAGCAAGATTCCATTTCCACAGAAAATTTAAAAGTTAAAAATTAGCTGAGCATGGTGGCACATACCTATAGACCCAGCTACTCGGGAGGCAGAGGTGGGAGGATCACTTGTGCCTAGGAGTTGGAAGCTGCAGTGAGCCATGATTGTGCCACTGCACTCCAGCCTCGAAGACAGAGCAAGATGCCATCTCCAAAAATAAAAATAATTGTCTAGAATAGGCAAACCTATAGAAACAAAACTGGATAAGTGACTGTCTGGGGCCAAGGGGTTGAATGGACAGAAGATGAGGGGGTGAGAGAGAAATGGGGAATGACTACTAATGGTTATAGAGTTTCTTCATTTGATAATGAAAATATTGTGGGGCCGGGAGCGGTGGCTCACACCTGTAATCCCAGCACTTTGGGAGGCCAAGGCGGGCGGATCACAAGGTCAGGAGATAGAGACCATCCTGGCTAACACGGTGAAACCTCGTCTCTACTAAAAATGCAAAAAATTAGCCGGGTGCAGTGGCGGGTGCCTGTAGTCCCAGCTACTCGGGAGGCTGAGGCAGGAGAATGGTGTGACCCCGGGAGGTGGAGATTACAGTGAGCCAAGATCGCGCCACTGCACTCCAGCCTGGACGACAGTGCGAGACTCCATCTCAAAAAAAAAAAAAAGAAAAGAAAAGAAAATATTGTGAAACTGACTGTGGTGATGGTTGCACAGCTAGCTAGATCTGTGAACACACTAAAAGCCACAAGATTATACATTTTAAACAGGTGAATTGTACGTGAACTATATTCCAATAAAGTTGCTTAAAGAAGAAGGAAATGTGTATTAATTCGAACGTAAGTCAGAAAATCAATACAATTAAATATTTTCTTTGCTTTCAAGAACAATGACAGCTGACAGTACCACTGTATCATTTAAATGGCAAAGACCATCCTTGTCAACCAATTAACAAATGAGACTCTTTCAGAAAAGTCTGAGTTCAATTTTCATTTCAAATAAGTGAATATACCATCCATAGGACCAAAAAAAAATGTTTCTGAATTCCAATTCCAAAATAGAATAAAAAGGAATAGAGTTTTATCCCCTTGATGAAATTAGGTCCCACTGCTTGTAGTATTTCTTGATGAAGCTTTGTTTTGCTTTTAGACAGAAAAATACAATTTCAAATTGTACCCATGTTTAATGTCATACCCAGAAACACTGCATGACATTAAGGCCCACAAGAGTAGAGATATGTCATTCTTTTATGAAGTGGATAACTGTGATATGTGTAGATTTATCCTGGAGAGCACAACCATAACTGCTAAGACAGAACTAAAAGCATGTTATCACTAATAGCAGTAAAACAATTTCTTAACATAATGCATAAAACAAAGTAGGAAGAAAGGAAGAAGAGGGGAGGGAAGAGGAAGGGTAGGAGGAGAAGGGAAAGAGATGTGAGGAAGGGAGGAGGAGGAGAAAGAAGGGAAGGGGAGAGGAGGGGTAAAGGGAAGAAGAGAGAGAAAGGAAAGGAGAGAGACAAGGAAAGGAGAGAGGGAGAAAAGGGAGGAAAGGAAAAAATGAAATACTGATTTTTCTTTAAAGAATCTGATCTAAGTTATAATAATTTCACAAACACATCAAAAATATAATTGAGGACAGCAAGCCACTGCTTCCTTCATCTTATTTTAGCTATGAAAACTTAACAACCTAATTTGAAAAGGAAAGAGAACAGAAAGGCAAAGAGGAGTATTAATTCATATTTAAACTTTAAAAACTATAATGAGGTATCACAATTTGAACAGTCAACCTTATTCGTAGGGCCTGTGTTACTTAAAATTATTCATTAATCATAAAATTGGCAGAATTAATACTTACTACTTTCTTCAATGACACAAAGAATTGACGAGACGGTGTTGCATCACCATCTGCCACATCCTGCTATAATTATAAATACAGTTGTGCTACTGACATTTCTACAACTGCTCCAGGTGAAAGCATTTGAACACAGAATTCTCTTTGATCACTTCATTGTCATTTCTTCTTTTTAAATTTACATCTGGACTGTTCCGATGCACAGAAGTATGTCTCATAAAAAACCTTTTAACCTCTAACTAGCTTTTCTAGGTAAAATAGGTCACAAGAGATAATCAGATTTTTTTAATACAGAAAAACTTTAAAGATTAACTTTTTTCAAAAAAGGATTCAAAATAGATAAACAACATGAGTCCTTTGATTTACATCAGTTTTAACTTCTAAATACTGTAACTCAATTAGTAATGTTACACTAATTGGTAGTTCTTGAAATATCAGCTTTACAATTTTGAGTTCAATGTTTCTATTTCATTCAAACATAATTCCTAAAACTTCTTTTGTTTAGTGTTTTTAGAAACTCATTTTACATAGAATTTTGGAAAGCTTTAAAATACAATTATGAACACTAGTTTATTATGTGATGTTTTACATCAAGAAAACACTTAAAAGCATGCCCCGAGATGTATACAACATAAACACACTGGCATTTAGGCAGTCCTCTTAAATTTTAATTAAAAATGAAACAACATGGTTAAAATTTTACTGGAAGTTAAATACAAATATGGAGGCTTATCTAATTGGAAGAGACATGAAAAACTGGAAGATTGAATGTAAGTCAATAATTATAAAAGCAGATTAGAAATTATAAGACAGAAATAAGGATCTGCTAATTTGAGAAGAGACCAAGCTAATGTCTTGAGGATCATTTGAGCCCAGGAGTTCAAGACCAGCCCGGTTAATATGGCAAAACCCAATCTCTACAAAAAAGTTAAAAATAAGGTGGGTGTGGTGGTGTGCACCTATAGTCCCAACTACTCAGGAGGCTGAGGCAGGAGAATTCCTTGAGCCCAGGAGGTCAAGGATGCAGTGAGCTGTGATCGCACCACTGCACTCCAGCCTGGGTGACAGAGCAAGACTCTGCCTCAAATTAAAAAAAGAAAAAAAAATCCATATAGCCTCAATGTTATAATAATTACAGGAAAAAAAATGATTCAAATGATTACCTGCTTATATTCCAGTTAACAAAGGATAAGATGGTATTTAAAATTTTTGAGATGCCTAGAATATACCCCAAGATGGCATTTTTAAAATAAATTTAAAAATACTATAGGTAAGTTAAATTGCAGGAAGCTTAAAAACAAGCGAACTTACAACTTAAATAGAAATACCTCACGAAGCTCACCATCAGGCTTCTGAAAAATTCAATGAGTCACATAATACTATGAATCTCCAAGGAACAAAAAGGTATCTAGGCACCAAGGAAAACTGTCATCTCTGGGAAGCATGAATGAAAGAGTCCATTTACTGATAACTGTATTTAAAGTGATGCATATTCGACACTCTCTCTGACAACCTACAATTACTCCCAAATTGAAGAAGACAGTAAGAAGTGAAGAAAGCATGTGAAACACTACTCAAAATCTCTAACATTTAGAGAAGTAAAAATTGAAGTTTTCTCAGGATGAGAGAAAAATCTCCGGTAAAAAAAGCAAGCTGAGGTTACTAGTTAAAACAGTGGGGTTCTATTTCTGCTTTGCTTACTCACCATGGTGTTTTTTTCTATCTTATTTAATCAGAATCCTTATCACTAAACAATCACCACAGACCAACATATTAATTATGAGAATGCCAGAAGGAAAACAAAGAGAAAATAAAAGAAAAAAATTTTTGAAGATATAATGGTCCAAAACTTCCTGACTTTCATAAAATGAATGAATCTACACATCCAAGCATGAACTTGAAGCATGAATTTAATAAGCTCTAAACATGATAAACACAAAAAGATTCACACCAAGACACATTATAGTCAAACTGCTGAAAGACAAAGACAAGGAAAGAATTTTGAAATCAGTGAGAGAAAAGCAACTGGTCACAAGTCAGGATTCTCAGTAAGAATAAGAACTAATTCTCATCAGAAACCATGTAGGCCAAAAAGCAGTGAGTTGACATATTTAACATACTAAAAGAAAAGCACCGTTAACCAAGAATTCTATATCCAACAAAACTATCCTATAATAAAGGGGCTATTTAAGACATTCCCAGATAAACACAAGCTAAGACAGTTTGTTAACAATAGACCTGCCCTACACAAAATGCTAAAGAGAGTCCTTCAGGCTGAAATGAAAGGACATTTGATAGTAACCAGAAGCCATATGAAGAAGTAAAGAACTCTGGTAAAAGTAGCTACATAGTAAATATAAATGCCACTATCACTGAACTTTTGGTTTGTAATTCCTTTTATTTTTATATGATTTAAAAGACAAATGAATAAAAGAATAGTTACAAATCTATGTTAATGGGCATGCAATATATAAAGACGTAATCAATGAGCGTAATAATATATAAGAAGAGGATGGAGATGTAAAGGAGCAGAGTGTTTGTATATTATTGAAACTACATTGGTATTATTCAAATTAGGTTGTTATGAGTTTAGAATGTTCATTGTAATTCAAATGGTAAATAATAAAAGTAACTAAAACATATACAGGAAAGAAAAGGAAGAAGGTATCAAAAAAGAACACTACCAAAAATTAACTTATTCATGTTTTATTACTTAGACACAAAAATTTAAAAACACATAGTTGTTATCGGCTGAATTATAAACACCCCTCCACAGACCCTCCTGCCACTATGCATATGTTGAAGCCCTAAACCCCAGTATCTCACAATGTGACTACATTTGAAGATAGGGTCTTTAACAAGGTAATTAAATTAATGAGGGCAGTAAGGTAGGCCTTAATCCAATCTGACTGGTGTCCTTATAAGAAGACATTAGGACACACAGAGACACTCCAGAGGTACATATGTACACAGAAACCACCACGCAAAGAGGCAGAAAGAGGGTAGCCATCTGCAGGCTAAGAAGCGAGGCCTCTGAAGGAATCAAGGTGTCAACACTTTGATCTGGGACTCCAACACTGTGAGAAAATAAATCTTTGTTGTTTAAGCCACCTAGTCTCTGAAATTGCTAAGACTGCCCTAGCAAACTAATATTGAACTTATTCAAAATCATATATTATTCTGTTGTTTATTTCTATCACACTTTTTAAAAAAATAACGTAACCACAGTTGGATTAAACATTTTACCAATATTTAATTAAAAAGAATAAAGGCATGCTTCTTTTTGCCTAAGAAATAATAAAATATTTTTACTTTTATGTTTCCTTTCTATACTTGACTAGAGCCATTAGGTCAATCCTTCTTGTATGTGTGGTAAAACGTAATACAGTCAAAGGTAAAATTCACTGTGACTTATACCTCTGATGCATCAAGCCCACATTCTTGATGTCAGTCCAGTGCAATGACATTAAGCTAAATATCCTCTCAACAAAAGCATGTAAACATAGAATACTTAGGATTTTAATTACTATCAATAATAGGTGTTTAGATATAGGAATTAGTTTATAGTTCTATAAAAATATCCATCTATCTTTTAGCTAAATGCAGGTTTTGGCATTCCAGCTCTTTATGAATCATATCCCTTGTGTTTACAGATTCATTATATAGGCTTATCAATGTTCAAAATGTCCATCACTTTAAAACACTCTGAAAGACATTGGCTATCATCCTAACTTAAATTTCTTTCTTGCAGAAATGGTTTTAAAACACCTGAATTTGAATTTCTGATGTCAAAACTGGATTCCAAGTAAGTTACAGTTTTAGTAAAGAAACTGAAAAAAAGTTTTATTTAACCTCATTGCTCTTTTCTGTGACTTTTTTACTTGAGTTCTGAAGCACTCTTAATATATAAAAATGAGCCATTTGAGCCAGGTAAAATGGTTCGCACCTGTAATCCTCGCACTTTGGGAGGCCAACACAGGAGAATCACTTGAGGCCAAAAGTTCAAGACCAATCTGAGCAACACACAGAGACCCTGTCTCTACAACAAATAAATTAGCCAGGTATGGTAGGGTGTGCCTGTAGTCCTAGGAGATGGAGGTGGAGATGGAGGAAGGAGGACCCTGTGAGCGCAGCAGTTCAAGGCTGGAGTGAGCTATGATCACACCACTACATTCCAGTCTAGGCAACAGAGCAAGAGATTCTGTCTCAAAAAAATTAATAAATAATGAACAAATAAAATTATTTGAGTATTTTTTTGGTATGTGTTTTTTCTAGCCCACTTGTGGCCTCTTCAAAAACAGAAACAGGCCAGGCACGGTGGCTCATGCCTGTAATCCCAGCACTTTGGGAAGCCGAGGCGGGTGGATCACAAGGTCAAGAGATCAAGACCATCCTGGCCAACATGGTGAAACCCCATCTCTACTAAAAATACAAAAATTAGCTGGGCTTTGTGGCATACACCTATAGTCCCAGCTACTTGGGAGGCTGAGGCAAAAGAATCACTTGAACCCGGGAGGCAGAGGTTGCAGTGAGCAGAGATCGCGCCACTGCACTCCAGCCTGGCAACAGAGTGAGACTCCGTCTTGAAACAAACAAACAAACAAAAAAACCAGAAACAGCATAAAAATATTTGTTTTACTATAATCTTCTTTTTCCATTCTCATTCTCAATGTACTGCCAAATCAGAGATGGGCATTCCTTTGGTCCCATATTTTGTTAATATTGTACTGCAGGGCATCTATGTCCAGCAACAATAATAGCCATCTTTTAGGCACATATCCAAGGAAGTCATTTTCTTCCATTTCTTTTTTTTTTTTTTTTTCCTAGAGACAGGGTCTCACTATGTTGTCCAGGCTGGTCTCAAACTACTGGACTCAAGCGATTCTCCTAACTTAGCCTCTCAAAATGCTGGGATTACAGGCATGAGTCACAATGCCAACGTTTTTCCATTTCTTTCAAGTCAAAACTCACATTAAGTGCTTCTACAAATTTTTTAAAAACTGACAAAGTAACCAAAAGTGTTCATTAAGAAAGCATCAATTATCAAACTTAAGCAAGTTATACCCCTTTTTAGCAGTGTTATATACATGCTGTGCAGGATATTGAGCAGATAAGAACTTTTCACTTTCATTAGGAAGAAGTTCAGACCAAATGAAATTTACCAAAATTTACATTTGTGCTGTGTATCAAATAAATCTAGAATTGTGTTTGGACAAGATATCAACCATACTTGTTTTTGTTGCCTATGGTTTCATTAAAATCTTCAAAAACATGATTTGACATATCAAAATACCTAAGAGCTTTGGGGACATTTTCTTGTTGACATAATTTGCCATATCACTTGATACATGAAAGTATGATTACTAGTAAGATCTGACAGAATAAGTTACCCAAAGCTTCAAATTCCTTTTATTACCTTGCTAAAGACAGGAACAAATAAACCACTACTAGAATACGTTGTTAGAATGAATGTGAAATATTGTAAAAAAAAAAGTGCAAAAGAATAAAAGTAGGCAATGACTGTTTTATTATGAGACTAATATCAGGGAGAAAGCTGAGGGAGAACTTAATTATATAATTAATAAACTTTTAGAAGGCAGAAACTGATGAAGATCCCCAAGAAAGGAGACAATTTATTAGTGAACAGCTAATAGCCTCCCGGTATTAGTTCATTTTCACACTACTGTAAAGAACTGCCTGAGACTGGGTAATTTATAAAGAAAAAAGTTTTAGTTGACTCACAGTTCAGCATGTCTGGAAAGGCCTCTGAAAACTTATAATCATGGCAGAAGGCAAAGGAGAAGAAAGGCATCTTCTTTACAAGGCAGCAAGAATGGGAAATGCCGAGCAAAGGGGTAAGAGCCCCTTATAAAGCCATCAGATCTTGTGAGAACTCACTCACTATCAGGAGAATAGCATGAAGGAAACTGCACCCATGACTCAATTACCTCCACCTGGTCTCTTCCTTGGCATGTGGGGATTATACAGATTACAATTCAAGATTAGATTTGGGTGGGGACACAAAGCCTAACCATATCACCCCCAGTTCTAGCAGGAGAAAAGACTGAAAACTGCAAAATGCAAAACGTGCCTTGATAAATTAAGGCTTAAGTAAATCATCCTTTTTTTCTCTCTTTTTTTTTTTTGAGATGGAGTCTCACTCTGTTGCCCAGGCTGGAGTGCAGTGGCATGATCTCAGCTCACTGCAACCTATACCGCCCAGGTTCAACCGATTCTCTGGCCTCAGCCTCCCAAGTAGCTGGGATTAGAGACATATGCCACCACACCTGGCTAATTTTTGTATTTTTTTAGGAGAGACGGGGTTTCACCATGTTGGCCAGGCTGATCTGGATCTCCTGACCTCAAGTGATCCGTCCACCTCGGCTTCCCAAAGTGCTGGGATTACAGGCGTGAGCCACCGTGCCTGGCCGTAAATCATCCTTTTTCTATTACTCTGGAAGTTCATAAAGTGACCACCAGGATGTTTTACCAAAAACAATACAAATCAATTGACCAATACAAAGACTCAGGCCACTTCATATTAATGACCGCCTTAAAGATTCATTTTTACAAAATATTTGAAAACTATGATTAAATCTGAGCTTGGAAGTATGTGGAATAATCATACTATATGTCTCAATCAACTAAGAGTTACTTGAAAAGAAATCATTCTGGATTTTATTTGTCAATTTTCCACTTCCCCAGTTCTTGAAGTTAATCAGAATTCAAGGGGAAAGCATTAATCAATAAAAAAGAAAAAGAAATCTAGTGTAGGCAGAACTGACACATGATTGCAATGAGCAGAATTTTGAGTTAACTTCAAACTGCAGAGGTAAGAACCAGAGGTATGTAAAACTTGTTCATATCTTTCAAAGCTGGAAGATTAAACAGATCACTAACTCTCTCAATCAAGATTAGGTTAAGCTGGTAACTCAAAGAGTATATGCCTAATGGGTTTATTCAATTACTCATTGGAAGATATGGGAATAGAGACAGATATATAGATTTATAAAAGATATACACCGGTATAGATATATAGATGCATATACATATCTACCAACATATATGTCTATACATAGATATTTAGGTATGAATATATGAATGTACATTTATGTATATAGATATCTATATATAATACAGAGCAATTTCTACTATCTTGTGGCAGAAACGTCCTTCGTAAGGGGGACATGCAGGAAATGAAGAAGCCATAAAGTTTAATTACGTTAAAAACTTTGAAAGTTACATTAAGAACTAAGGCACAGTAAAAGACACTGTAAGAGTTAATGTACACATAACAAAAAATAAATACTTTCAACTTATAAAATAAAAAGGAATACTATCTATAAAATATGAAGTTTCTACAAATCTGTAACATGAAAAATTATAAAATGATAGTGAAAGGAAACAATTTAAGAAGAAACACAAATGAACAATAAACATTAAAAGTTCAAGCTTACCAATAACCAAAGAAATACCAATTAAAATAACTTTTGATTAGATGTGCAATGACTACTAAAATCCCAATTCAAATGAACAAAACTATTCTACAGCAACACAATATAAAAGGAAACAATTATGCAAAATAGACATGGGTCTAGAATCATTTTGAATCCTTTTAACTTTTAAAATAATTAACCAACCTGAGCCACTTTAATTGAATTCTGGGTAGAGCCACCAGCATGATATTCGACTTTGAATTTTTTCACAAGTTCATCAAACCTATAAGGAAATCACAGTAGAAAAAAGTAAGTTACCTTCTGTGAGTTGCAACAAAGTAAACTTTTCTGAGCAGAAGAGTATTAAAACACAAATAGTAAAATGTTTTTATTGTTTAAGTATGTTGAATAAATGAATTGAAATATCTTATAACAAAAATACTAAATTTCCACATTTAAGAAATGTTTTCCATAAGTGTACAACTATAAGAATTTAAGAATTTAAAACAGACTGTCCATAATTGGCCATTAAACTAAACAGAAAGTAAAAGTAATAATTAATAGATTGCCAAATGGAGGTCACGTGGCAAACTGGTTAAGTCAAAATCAGAATCCCAGTCTCAGAATCACTTGTTACTACAAACATACAGAAATCAGCATGTATTTCTCCTCATTCCAGACAACTAACAGAGTTTTCTATAGAAACTAAACAAAATTTCACTTAATGTTACCCTTGGAATCAGTTCAAGAAGTATGAAAATTATAAGACCTTACACTTCAAAAGAGATGAAGTATATGTTCATTTCCTCTTCCACATCTTACTAAACGTCAAAAAATATGTTTTATGTATAAAAATAAACAAAAGTATAACAGTACTGCCTGTAAAGCAAGGAAAGAAAGATGCCACAAACAGACCTATCTAATTATATGAAAAGATGCAGCTAGAGAATGACACAGTTTCTGTACACTAACAATTATTGAAAAATTTTTGAAAAATCAATAGTTGGATGGATTACCTGAGCAATCAAAATATGCATGGGTAAAAACTAAGATAAAAATAGAAAAGTTGAAATTTTTAAAAAGACCAAAAAAGTAGATAGAAAATATAAGAAATTAAAAATATGAAATAAAAATTAAAAGGTGTAGAGAATTTATTAGGTGGTCTGAGATCTGTTTAACAGGAAATACAGAAAGGGAAAATAGAGATTATGAAGAGTAAGAGAGAAATGTTGGAAAAAAAAAAGGTGAAACATAAATATGGTCAGATTTTTCCAAACATCAAGCAGTTTTACAAGGGATTAGGGACTAGGACCCCATACTTGGACACATCTTGTTTAATCTCTCATATTAAGATAAAACCTTTAAAGCATATAATGTGAAAAATAATAATTACCTTAAAAGGAATAAAAATCAGACTAATACTTAACTTCTCAAAGAATACCGGATGCTAAAAATATAATGGAGTAATGTATTCTATGCTGAGAAGGGAGGAAATTTTTGAAACTAGAAATTTTCAATATGTACTCAAATTATCAGGTTAATAAGGCAAAGTAATATTTAATAATCCTTTTTCCTATGTGGAAAAAATTACTAAGGAGATGTTCCAACCTCTCCCCCCCAAAAAAAACAGAAGAAAGATGGAATTAGGTTAAAAGAAAAGTAAAGTGGTGTATGACTTTGAAAAAGAAAGCCATAAAAAAGTTAAAAGTGCCCATCATACACTATTGCATGCAAAATTCTCCCTTTCATGGAGAAGACTCCATAAATATCTCAAATGTTAAAAATCAAGTTTTTAAAAAGGTTTTAAATATATTGTTGAAGTCATAAAGTCAATCAATAAAAAATCAAACTAAAGCAAATATAAGGAAGAATAAAAAGGCAAAACAGTGTAAGTGCACTACATTCTTCATCTTCCAGTATAGAGTTTACAGACATTGTATAAGTTTGTTAATTAAAAATAAGCACAAATTCATTATTTAGACTTATAATGGTAAGCTAAAAACATTAACTTTTTTTTTTTTTTTTTTTTTTTTTTGGAGACAGAATCTTCCTTTTTCATCCAGGCTGGAGTGCAGTGGTGCAAACATAGCTCAATGCAGCCTCCACCTCCTGGGCTCAAGGGATCCTCCCGCCTCAGTCTCCTAAATAGCTGGGAATACAGGCATGCACCACCACACTTGGCTAATTTTTTTTGTATTTTTTTTTTTTTTAGAGACAGGCTTCACCATGTTGCCCAGCAGATCTCGAACTCCTGAGCTCAGGCGATCCTCCCACCTCAGCCTCCCAAAGTGCTAGGATTACAGGTGCAAGCCATGGAGCCAGGCCCCTGAAAACATTAACTGTTAACAGTATTTGCATCTCTATGGAGTTAATATAAAAGGATTTTTTTAACTGGTGTTTATAGTTTACTTTTGTTTTTTATAAATTTCTCTAGGATAAGTAAAATAAATGTGCAATTTTTAAAAAATGAATGTCTTGGTGCTATAAATTCTTAGAAACTTTCTGTTCTAAAAAAAAAAAAAAAGTGAATGTCTGTGTAACCACTACCCAGGTTAAGAAAAAACACACTGGACTGACTTAGAAACCCCAGTATCTTATAACTATCTCTCATATATAATATATATACACACATATATATACATACACACACACACACTCTATCTACAAGTGTCCTTACCCTGTTGTTCTTCATGAGTGCTTTGGCCGTTCTTGGTTTTTTGCACTCCATATAAATTTACAACTAGTTGTCAAACTCCAAAAACCAACTTGTTAGGATTCTTTTTTTGAGACAGAATCTCGCTCTGTTGCCAGGCTGGAGTGCACTGGCGCGATCTCGGCTCACTGCAGCCTCTGACTCCCTGGTTCAAGTGATTCTCCTGCCTCAGCCTCCCAAGTAGCTGGGACTACAGGCGCATCCCACCATGCCCAGCTAATTTTTCTATTTTTAGTAGAGATGGGGTTTCACCATGTTGGCCAGGATGGTCTCCATCTCTTGACCTCGTGATCTGCCTGCCTCGGACTCCCAAAGTGCTGGTATTACAGGTGTGAGCCACCATGCCCAGCCCAACTTGTTAGGATTTTAACAGTGATTGCACTACTTATCTATATCTATGCTGGGAAAAGTGATATATTTCCAATATTAAATCATCTAATCCATGATTACAGTATCTCTCAAAGTTTCATAATGTTTGCCACAAAGCCTCCACATCTTTTATTCTGATCACTACTTCATACTTCCTATGTTTTAATACTATTATGATATTGTTTAATCTTTATTTGTGGCTGATATTTAGAAACATTCTTTATATCAATTTTTTCCAGCCAAGTTTCTAATATTTAATTAACTCCAATGATTTATGTGTTTTTAATAAATTAAACATAATTATCATTTGTGAATAAGGACAATTTTTTTCTTCCCCTTTCTTGTGTTAGTACAGAGCCTACAAGCTCTAGCATAATATAAAGAAAGAATAAATAATAGTAGGTGGAAATGGGCAAATTTAGCCTTGTTCTGAATTTTGGCCTGAGAAATCCTGAAGAATAGCAGAATTAGTCAATTTCCCAAAATTAGAAGTCTTCAAATAAGCGTTTAATTTTCCACCTTGATGTAGTTTTACTATGTGTATGTGTTGCTTCTACTTAAGTGTTAAACATTTTTAAATGTTACAGATTTAAAATAGATTTACATCTATTGATAGGTATTTTCCATGTTATTTCAAATGAGAAGTGCTAATTTATGAAAACTGATGCACAATGTAATCTTTTTGTGTAAACAAAATTACCCAATATACATGTCTACTGAAAAGAACCTGGAAGAATACAACCAAGGTATTAACAGTAGTTATCGCCAAATTAGGAACAATTATGGCTCTTTTATACATCTGTTTAGATTGTGCAATAAGCATATAAACTGTTTTGTAATGAAAAATCAACTTCATTTTATAATAAAAGAACATAGCAATTTTCCATACAATTATTTTTAAAGAACCATATATAGAACAAAGCTGAATAAAAAACAAGAGCAAAGAAAGAAGTGATTCTGAATGAAAAAGGCAGGGAAAGTTTAACATCTGAATTGAAATTTGACACTTAAGGGAGAAAAAAAAAATTCAGGGTTGAGGCTAAAACAATAAACATGACGTATTCAGAAAAACCAGTTAAACACAGACTAAAATGCAGGTCAAAATCAAAGTAGTAAAAACTGACAAAGAAAAGGTAACTATCAGGCTAATAAGTGTAGACATTATTCTGAAGGCTACTAGAAATTATTAAACTCTATTTAGCAACAGTGTGAAAAGCAGACTTTTTAAAAATGATGATAACACTGGACAGAGTAAAGAGAAGCAGACCACCTGCCTTTAGAATAGCTCATACGAAAGACAGGATAGAGAGACGAGACCAAAGTAAGGAATCATTCCGAAGTTGAAGACACAGGATGTGATAAAGAAATGTAAGATGTGGAAGAGGGATGAAAATTCTGAGGTTGCTAGTTTGGATAACCAGTTGGATGGTGTTAGAAAAGAAATACAGGAGAGAAGAAAACTCATAAGAAGGAAAAGGAACTCCTAAGTAGCCAACTAACAAACCAAGAAATATTTATCTTTAGGGAACTGATTGTGCTGTGGCAAGACTAACAGGTGTTTAAGGATGAAAGAGTTTATGATATTATTACATTTTACGGGAAACTTCTATATATTTTCCTTACATGACTTTTTCCATAGGAAATAAAGTATGGGAATTTTAGTAATTTATAGATTCCTTCTTACTTTCTCCTTTTGGTTGACATTCTTTGTCTGAACGGGGTGGCCATATAAACACCTCAATCAAAAGCCTGACAGAATTGGAAGGACAGTACCTGATCCATTTTTCCACCACAAGCCTACTATATTAATTATCATTGGAAGAAATTTAATAAACTTTGTAATATTATAATTATTTATGTTACATTATTACAGGAAAAAATTACAACAAAGATGAATATAGTAATATTAAACAAATGTACAAAAATGGCATTAAAAATAACAGAAGCAAATTAAGATAAAGTTGAAAGAACACAAAATATAAGACATAAACACTTATAGTTTATGAAAGCTGAAATATAATACGGGATGTCCTTATACTAACTGTTCAACAAAATGATCAATAAATTCATTCAATATAATTATTTTGTCTTTAAAAATTAATTTACTGTCCTCCCACCTGTCTAAAACACAGGTCTAGGACCTCTGTTGGACTTTTTCTTTTCAAGAGTGATGGTGTTTGTTACTGATCTACACTTCATACACCCCTCTCCCTTTTTTCAGTCTCTTAAACCTCCCTGCTACCTCTGCTCTCCAAATGTACAGACAAAGCAGCAGAATCAATATTGGAATATGATGTTTATAACTCTGCTTATAAGAGATTTGAATTCTTACTATGTTCTGTCTCCTAGCAATTCTGAAGGTACAGCTTATTTGTGACTTTAATTGTATCTGTTGTTTTGAGGAAGATAAGAAAATTTAGATTCATTATCCTCTAAGTCCAGTTTAAATGGCTTTTGATGGTATAAGTGGCAGCCTAAAAACTAGAAGATCAACACAGTAATCAAGGATATATTAAGATCATGTAAAATAAAAATAGAAATATGTAGAATTAAACACTTTGTGGTTGGAAACTAAATGTATTACTTTTAAATAAAAGGCAACTATTGTAAGTTATATTTAGGATGCATTTAGAAAATGTATCCTGAAAAGCTAGAAAAACAATAGAAAAAGTGAAGAGAACAATAAGGAATACAAAAGCGACAGAAGAAATTTTAAAACACAAATAGCACTGTAATTTTTAATGTGTCATTTTTCTCCTTATCTAACACGAAAAAATAAAAAAGACTTCATGATTATACCCTTCAACATAGAATCATTTATTCCTATATGAATAAAAGTACTTATAAATAAGATATAACAAGAATTATGAACAGGAAAATGTCCACAAAACCAACACTTTACAATTTCCAGTTCTACCTAAGGGCAATTGCTTTCCATTTTCAAAGAAACTAAAGCCACTAACTTATTTCAAACTCAGGGGTGGGAGGGAAGGAGAGAGAGAGAGAGCGAGTGAGCATATGAGAGTGTGTGTGCGCTCAGCATATTATCAGGAGAAGAAAGAAGACCTCACGTTGTGTTAACATCAGCACAGCATAAAAACAACATTAACAATTTTTGAACATTTATAGATTGATGTATGAAGAATAGGACATGTGATTAAAATCTTTACAGTGAAATTCCAAAAATTTAACTTCCTTAAGAAAGCATTCATAACTGCCAAGTAGAATTTCTGATGAAGTTATTCCTTAAACTTCTCATCTAAACAAATAATTAAAAACATAAGTCATTCTAAACAGGTTATACTTATTAAGATCAAATGTTAATAGAATAACACAGGGGGGGAATCGACAGGCAAATTGTAAAATTCAAAGCTTTGAAATCTTTTACCACAAATGTTTAGTGAGGTTTTAAAAAACTCAAATGTCAGTTTGCTAAAAGCCAAAATAACATTTTCGACATGCGTTTATTTTTAAGCATCTTTTTAAAAGACGGAAAAAGTAACAGTTATTCAAAACTAAGGTTAAGCTATTAGTTCATAAGGATTGTAATTTAAAGACACTTCTTGAACCTCCAATTTTATTTTTTTGATAAGAAAGCAATTTTAAGCATGTATTGCTTAGATAAGCCCTTATTCAACTCTAATATGTTTAAAGGTTTAATTATTCCCATTTATAACTCTGAACATGAAGATCATTGTACCTAAGATAATCAAATATACTGCTGAAAAGCATTTTGTATATAAGTATAGATGATTAAAATAAAATGAATTATTCCTAAATTTAGATGCATGATAAGTGCATTAGGTTTCTACCCATTGTAAGAACACAACAAAATTTCACTAAACCAATTTATGATTTTCATTAAATAGTAACTGGTTGACATTTAGTTTTAAATCATAAAAAGAAAAAGTCATATGTAAGCAAAAGAAAAATACTGCAGGACAGTGGTTCTCAAAATTAGATGAGTAATCTCATGGTAAACCTAGAGCATCACCCCCAAGTCCACCGGCAGGTACTTCCAAAACACAAATTATACACTCCACCTCCCTTACTGGTTTGCTTTCAGCTTCTATTTCTACCAGAGTCCATGGTTTATAATGGGCCTGAGTTTCTCTGACCATAGAAATATTCCAGAAACATATGTAATAGATATGGAGAGAGAGTAGTTAAGCAATAACTAGCTAATTATTTCTCTCTAGCAAACTTCAAAAAATGTCACTCATCAGAAATACTCAAACACCTAAAATCTCTTATCAAAACATAATATATGGAACTTCCGATTCTGGGTAGCATATACTGCATCACAGCCAACATTCCTACTGATGACACCTAGGAAGGCCATATAAATCATAAGTCACATTGTTAATGGTACCAAAGAGCTCTGAAGCAACAAGGACAAAGTGGATAAATTTCCGGAGAGGTGAGACCTGTTCACAGGGGCAGGCCAGAACTGGCAGCTTTTTGTTCCACCTGCCAACATTTGCAGCCAGAAGCATGAAGACAGAGAAACAAAATTTGACATTTCCCAAACCTAAAACACACAGCTAGTTTGCCCCAAAACACATTTGCTGAATTCTGAAACTGAATGCTAAGTTAAAGAGGTTAACCAAAATAGTTCCAAAAGCAGAAAGTTCTCTGACTCTAGCTGTGCTTACAAAGACAGAACAAGAAAAGAGCAACTAAAAACATAATAGGCAAGAAATGAAAGCCCTAGAAGGAGTGGAGAATAAAAATAAGGATCCGTGGCACATTTCCACTGGGGTTTGGGGGGAAGGATATACTTATACTGGTTACATGTGGAACCTGAAAATTCACACTTTGTGCTTAGCAGAAGATAATGATAAGGAAGGGGGCAATAGGGGGAAAACAGTAGGGATTTTAGCAATTACATAAGGCTGAAGTAGTAACATTGGAAACTGAAAACCTAAAACAAAAGATCATTTTCCCCTTTGACATAATTGCCAAATTTTGAAGGCAGAAAGAAATTAAGCTAGAAACCTCTGCATTAACCTGGAAACCTCTGAGGTCAGTTTGGTACCCTCATTCTGGTGGACTGTTTCAGAGCGGAGACCACTGGTATCAATTAAAAGTCCTAGAGGTTCAGGCTCTAGGAACAGAAGCAAACAGGCTCAACTGAACTGTCAACACTGAAAAATCAACTTTGACCTAGCTTAACCCTTAATTTTTATTAAGGTAATAAGCTCTCCCCTCACTCCGTATCAGCCTCATACAGAAAAGAGTGAACACTCTGGTAGAAGATACAATCTGAATAATCTACAATTTGCATATAAAGTGTTGGTAAATAATAATAAACAAAGTTATAATAAGAGGTAAAATAATTTGACTAAAACACAAGAAAGAAAAAAGCAAGAGAAGAGTATCTGCCTACTACTTAGACCCAGACATGGTTACAGTCACAGGAAGTATGTGCAGAGCTGAGAAAATAAAGCCCCAGTTCTCTGGCTGGATTACCAAGGCGGAGAGCTCCAGGGAACCACAAACTACTAGGACTCTTCAGACAGCTAGAAAAAGTGAAAAGACTCAGCAAAGAAACAGAAGATAAAGAAGATAAAATAAAAATATTAGAATTTAAAAATTCAATAACTAGAAATTTAAAACTAACTAGATGGGCTTAATAGTAAAATGAAGAAGACTGTTAATCAGTATACTTAAAAATAAATCAATAAAAATTTTCCAATCTGCAGGACAGAAAAAGGATTTTTTTAAAAAATGAAAAAAGACTCAGACCTATAGGACAATACTAAAAGATCTAAATTTGTGCATGAGTAACAGAAGAAAAGAAGTGCGGTGCAGAAAAAAAAAAATTGAAAAAATAATGGCTTGACCAGGCATGGTGGCTCACAACTATAATCTCAGCATTTTGGGAGGCCAAAGCAGGAGGACTGCTTGAACCCACGAGTTTGAAACCAGCCTGGGCAACATAGTGAGACCCTACTTCTACAAAAAAATAAAAATAGCCAGGCATAGTGATGCATGCCTGTAGTCCCAGCTACTCAGGAGGTTGAGGCAGGACGATCACTTCAGTCCAAGAGTTTGATGCTGTAGTGAACTGAGATTGTGCCACTGCACTGCAGCCTGAACCACAAAGCAAGAACCTGCTTCTAAAAAAGGAAAAGGAAAGGAAAGAAAGAAAAAAAAATGGCTTAAAAATTTCCAAATTTGATTAATGACATACTCTTAACAGATTCAAGCTCAGAAACTCCACACAGGATAAGCAAACACAAAATCCACACTCATACACAAGAGAAGAACACAGAGAGTGGAACCAAGGGATATACCAAAATTTAAGTGGAGAAGGTGCCAGCAAACAGGGATGGAAACAGCCACCTGTCAGAAAAAAGAGCTAAGGGAGGGGTGAAGCTGTGGGGGTAAGGGAGGAAGAAAGGAGAGGAGCAAGGAGGGAAGGGGATAGGTCCAACATGGCCAAGTTCCTCACTACAGACATATAAGATCAATTTGATATCAATATATGATTTCCTATAGTAGAGTCATCAGGGTAGGCAACATTCCTCAATGGTTAGAAGCAAACGCTCTGTCAGACGGACCTGGCTTTAATTCTATATTCATCTAATTATATGACATGGGGCAAGTACGGCTGGCCCTCCATATCCGTATGTTCCACATCCATGGATTCAACCAACCACAGATTGAAAATATTTGGAAAAATATGTACTGAACATGTAAAGAGTGTTTTTCCTTGACATTATTCCCTAAACAAGAGAGTATAACAACTACTTACACAGCATTTACATTATATTAGGTATTATAAGTAATCTAGAAATTAAAGTACATGGGAGGATATGCATATGTTATATACAAATACCACAGAATTTTATATCAGGGACTTGAGAATCCTTGGATTTTGGTATCTGAGGAAGTTCCCGGAACCAATCCCCCATGAATACCAAAGGACAACTGTAATTTAAGTTCTCCGAGATTAGGTTTCCTCATTTGTAAAACACAGCATTAAAGACTATTTCTTTTTGTGTTCCACGATATTTAAGCATAGTGCCTGATGAATAATGGGTACACAGAAAAAAAAATTGATGAATGAATGGTTGAATGGACACACTAAAGAAAGATTAAATAAGAATTGCTGCTGCTATTGTTCTTGGATTTTTAAGAACATGCACACTACCAACCTATACAAATTTTAACAAAACTAGATTTCCCTTGAATATTTTTAAAATAATTAAACATTGATTTGGTTTGTGCTTGTATCCCTGTTACAAGCACAATTTTATCCATTGTAAAAAAGAATTTCTATTCTCTGATGAAATTATTTATCTTGTATCCCTGTCACCTACTGCTTTTTAGAGAAATTCCACTCTAAGTCATAAATTTTCGATTAACACAGATATGTTACCCAGCAAGAAAAAACAAAATCAAATTTCTAAACAAGTGAGATGAAATAAGGTGTTTATACTTGCTTCCCTTGAGTGTGTGCGTGTATAATGCACTATTCCACTCTTTCATTTCATTTACCTTGAACGTAGTAAGCACTCAATAAATGCCATCAACTAAGTTTATAATTGTGGAAAAATAACTTAGTTACTGATTTTGCAGAAAATTTTCAATTGGGCTACCACCTTAAAAAAAAAAAGAAGTAAATGACTGACATCTTTAATATTTTTAATTCGAACTTCCCAATACTTGTAAGACACTTGATACAAAGCATTCTCAATCCCCACTGTACTAAGTAATGAAGAAAATAATCTATTCAATAACCCACTAAACAATTAACCAAATGTTACAGCTATACAAAACAAATATGAATCACATAACAATGTAAATTCAAAAGTATACAGACATACAATATTACTTTTACATTACTGCTAATACAACTCTCATTTTGACAATACCTTTTTTTTTTTTTGAGACAAGAGTTTCACTCTTGTTGCCCAGGCTGGAGTGCAATGGTGCGATCTCAGCTCACTGCAACCTCCACCTCCCGGGTTCAAGCGATTCTCCTGCCTCAGCCTCCCTAATAGCTGAGATTACAGGCACCAGCCACCACACCCAGCTAATTTTTTATATTTTTAGTAGAGACGGGTTTTCACTATGTTGGCCAGGCTGGTCTCGAACTCCTGACTTCAGGTGATCCACCCGCCTCAGCCTCCCAAAGTGCTGGGATTACAGGCGTTAGCCACTGCACCCAGCTTGATATTTTAAAAGCAAGGACTTTGAAAATTTATCAGTGTAGAAGCTTTATCTTGTGCATGCCTTTCTAGCAAAAAAAAAAAAAAAAAAAAAAAAAACAACATTAAAACCAATATGAAAAGTGTTTAGATACTGGAGATACTTTCTTTCATCTTCCAAATACTACAAATAAAGAAAACCACAAGTTTGCTGAAGTTTAAAACATCTGGGGAATATCTTAATATACTCATTTTTAAGAGCTCCATATTAAAGAATAGCCTGAAGGGTAGATGATAAATCTGCTCTAAAACTGAAAGTGTGTTTTTAATCCTATTGAATAGAAACAGGTTTCTTTCTTAAATGGGGGAACTATAATCCAGATGCAAAGTGCCAAAAGACAAAATATTCCATAAAAGGAAACTTTAAAAATATAGACTAGCGTTCAATTTTAAAATAAGCACAAGAGTATGTTTTTACTGAGATATTAACAACTATAAGTGTCAATAATCCTTTTGTAACTGCTAACTGAAAAATACATAGGTGATTATCTCATTATTGTGTTTCATATCTTCTGAACAGGTTATAAATATACTTTTGTAAAAGATGTCCCCAGCTGTAAACTCTCATAGGACAAACAAAAAACTGAAGATGCATCTTTATTATGCATAAAGTTAATATTAATGCAAAAGTATGTTTCATAACAATATCATTTGCCAAAATATACATTACAGAGAAATGATTATCAAGGCATGGTACATGAGATCCTTAAATTCATATTTCCCACAGAATTTAAAATAAAACTGCCTGCCATGCTTATGAATTTGAAGAAATTATTCCTGGGTTGTTTTTTTTTAAACAAAAACTCACACTAGACTCAGTAAAATGTGGAATATAAATTCGTTTCCTTTTTTTGAGACAGGCTCTCCCTCTGTAATGGAGGCTGGAGTGCAGTGGCACGATTTGGGTTCACTGCAACTTCCGCCTCCCAGGCTCAAGCCAACCTCCTACCTCAGTGCCACAAGTAGCTGGGACCATAGGCATGCAGCACTATAACCAGCTCATTTTAAAATATTTTTGTTAAGAGACGAGGTTTTGCCAAGTTGCTCCGGCTGGTTTTGAACTCCTGGACTCAAGTGAGCCATCTGCCTTGGCCTCCCAAAGTGCTGAGATTATAGGCATGAGCCACTGTGCCCAGCCTGGAATATAAATTCTTTCCAGTACAAACTGGACTTCAAAAGTAAAGCACTCTGAGAAAACCATCAACAGTCCATTTGAAAGCAAAAACAGGCTGGGGGCAGTGGCTCATGCCTATAATCCTAGCACTTTGGGAGGCTGAGGTGGGCTGATTGCCTGAGCTCAGGAGTTTGAAACTAGCCCAGGGAACATGGTGAAACCCCATCTCTACTAAAATACAAAAAATTAGCCAGGCATGGTGGTCCCACCTGTAACTACTCAGGAGGCTGAGGTGGAAGAATCGCTTGAACCCGGGAGGTAGGGGTTGCAGCGAGCCAAGATCACGCCACTGCACCCCAGCCTGGTCGACAGAGCAAGACTCCATCTCAAAAAAAAAAAAAAAAAAAAAAAAAAAAAAAAAAAAACAAACAAACAAAAAAAAAACAGAAAAGAAAAGAAAGCAAAAATAAGCTTTAAAAAAAGGTAAAAATACAAAGCCCTGAATTCCAAAGTCATTCAGTTACTATAGGAGAAAAGTGTTGCAGGATAAGGGTACAGGACACACTCTGCTGATATTTAATTGCAGGTGAATCTCTTTTGTAACACTTCAAACATTTAAATTACATTATGAAGACAACTAACTTTTCTAAATTTGAGTATTTTTAGTATTTTCGAAATGCAAGAACTTTAAAATGCTAATAAAGGATACTCAACCCAATGCATAACTGGTTTCTAATTAGACATCTATTATTCTTTTAGAAGAAGATGAGGGTCAGAAAGCTTTCTTTGTAAAAGGCCAGGTAGTAAATAGTTTGGGCTCTATGGGTAATGAGAAAAAAACCAAGGACATTATCTAGGTACTTATAAAACAAAAAACTTTTACTGACAAATTTAGGAATATTAATAACAATAAAATTTTTTGTTTATCAGGTTTAGTAATGAGAAGAATGTAATTCTTTTAGGGGAAATAACATTTCATTTAATTGGTGTTTAAAGTTACTTTTTTTTTTTTTTTTTTTTTGAGACAGAGTCTCATTCTGTCACCCAGGCTGGAGTGCAGTGGTGCAATCTGGGCTCACCGCAACCTCCGCCTCCCGGGTTCAAGCGTTTCTCCTGTCTTAGCCTCCCGAGAAGCTGAGACTACAGGCGCACGCCACCACGCCCAGCTAATTTTTTGTATTTTTAGTAGAGATGGGGATTAACCATATTGGCCAGACTGGTCTTGAACTCCTGACCTCATGATCCACCTGCCTCGGCCTCCCAAAGTGCTGAGATTACAGGTGTGAGCCACTGTGCCTGGCCAAAGTTACTGTTATCAATCAAAATTGATCGCAAATATTCATCTGTTAACATTGATCTATAATAATTTCACATATTTCAACTTTGAATGTCTCTATATACAAATAGATACTCCCAAATACTGATATAAATCCAATAGCATATGATTTAAATTAAGCATATTTATCACTTAGAAAGCATTTATAGAATTCTATCAGAGCTTTTTCTTGATATTTCCCCTTTAGCATGTAGATTGCAGATTAATCACTTCTAATGTAACATAAGGTAGAAGCTCCGTGATTGCAGTGTTAGATGGATTTTGAAATAAAGAAGTTATCTCTGCTCTGGCATCAATATTGCTAAAACTATAGTTTGAGCCCACAAACATCTGCTACAAATGTGTGTGGAAATAGAAGTATCACTTCTTGTTTTAACTTTTGACAGAATGGGACATTGTATATAAAGCAGCTTGACATTACTTGTGATTCAAACTACATTAGCTGCTGTCAAATAACTTTACCATAGTATAAGTTTTACATATAAGCACTGGTATGCCTCAAAATTAAGAAACCATATAAAGGCTGCCACAGTGGCTCACACCTGTAATCCCAGCACTATGGGAAGCCAAAGTGAGTGGATAGCTTGACATTAGGAGTTTGAGACCAGGCTGGTCAACATGGTGAAATCCTGTCTCTACTAAAAATACAAAAAGCTTAGCTGGGCATGGTGGCATGAGGCTGTAGTCCCAGCTACTTGGGAGGCTGAGGTAGGAGAATTGCTTGAACCAGGGAGGTGGAAGTTGCAGTGAGCCAAGACAGCACCACCGCACTCCAGCCTGCGTGACAGAGTGAAACCCTGTTGAGAAAAGAGAAAAGAGACAAAGAAGAAAGAAAGAAAGGAAGGAAGGAAGGAAGGAAGGAAGGAAGGAAGGAAGGAAGGAAGGAAAGAAGGAAGGAAGGAAGGAAGGAAGGAAGGAAGGAAGGAAGGAAGGAAGGAAACAAGGAGAGAGAGAGAGAGAGAAAGAAAGAAACAAACAACAACAATATCAGTATCATTAAGAAATAATGTATTAGCCAGGGACATGATGGCTCACACCTATAATCCCAACACTTTGGGAGCTTGAGGCAGGAGGATCACATGAGTCCAGGAGTTCAAGACCAACCTGGAGAACATAGCAAGATCCTGTTTCTAAAAAAAAAAAAAAGAAGACGAAGAAGAAGAAAGAAAAGAAACAATATAAAGTCTTCAGTAAAAGCTAATTTTCAAAGCCATTTCATATGCAATAACAGTAGTTGAAGGAGCTTCTCCTTGTTTAGAAAAATTTGAATCTTGACCATAAGCTCAAACAACTGCAGTAATCAAACTGATGGGTGGTCAGGCAAGTCAAATATACAGCTTAAATTTCTGATAAAAACTTACAGAACTATCTCTTCATACAGCAAATGAAGTTCACTGTTGATAATACTGGTTCAATAATAAATGATATTCAAATAATAAATCATAGATTCAAATGTTGTCTACAAAATAGCTGCTAATAAATAATACAATGAATAGCCATAGGCTTTACAACCTTATAGTTTCACAAACTTTGTAGATTTCTCCAATTAACCCTTTTTTCTGATCCATATATATGTATAATGTATATTTAAAATATATATGGAGCAAAAAGGTTAAGTGGAGAAATCTACAAAGTTTATGATATAAATATGTATTTTAATATATTTTATATATATATATATATTTCTTTTTTTTTTTTTGAGACAGAGTCTTGCTGTGTCACCCAGGCTGGAGTGCAATGGCATCATCTCAGCTCACTGTATCCTCCACCTCCCAGGTTCGAGCAGTTCTCCTGCCTCAGCCTCCTAAAGTAGCTGGAATTACAGGCATATGCCACCACACGCTGCTAATTTTTTTTTTTTTTTTTAAGTAGAGATGGGGTTTCACCATGTTGGCCAGGCTGGTCTCGAACTCCTGACCTCAAGTGATCTGCCCACCTCAGCCTCCCAAAGTGCTGGGATTACAGGCTTGAGCCACTGTGCCCGGCCTCCACATATATTTTTACTACTATCAGTAGCAACACATCTTAACAGATTCTACTTCAGATTATGCTGAATTAGTGTTTTCTCAAATTTTTTGAAAATATTCACGTCTGCAGATGTTTCATCGACTTTTCATGAAAGCTAATTTTTCAGTCACTTCAAACTCAGCATTGGCTCTTTGAATAACTGATCAGTGTCAGTAACATCTGTTGGTTCATCAGAGCCAAGTAAAACCACTATCTTCTTTAACTGACTACCGATGTTACACCCAATGTCCTCAATTCACTTTTTTGTTTTTATTTTAGAGATGGGGTCTTGCTATGCTCCCCAGGCTGAACTCAAACTCCTGGGATCAAACGGATCCTCCCATCTCAGCCTCCCAAGAAGCTAAGACTACAAGTGCACACCACCATGCCTGGCTAATGTCCTCAATTCTGGTTTGTTTTTGTTTTTGTTTTTTTGGGGGGTTTTTTTGGTAGAGATAGGGTCTTGCCATTTGTCCAGGCTGAATTTAAACTCCAGGGCTCAAGTGGATTCTCCCACCTTCACCTCTCAAAGTGCTGAGATTACAGGCATGAGCCACCACACCTGGCCTAAAATCCTCAATACTCTTTTTATTTTTATTTTTGAAAAGATAGGGTCTCACTATGTTGCGCAGGCTGGTCTTGAACGCCTGGGCTCATGTGATCCTCTTGCTTCAGACTCCCAAAATGCTGGGGTTACAGGTGTGAGCCACTGCAACGAGCCTAATGTCCTCAATTCTTAAAGCAACTATGGTCACCAAATGGCTAATGATATTTTTAAAAATGTAATTTTTTTCTGAAAATATTCTTTAGCTGCTACAATGAAAATTTACTAACTTACCATTAGTAAATAGCTCTCCTTGCTTTGCTAACAAATGGGTCATTCAAAATCTTATATTAAGTCCAGCCTCCTTTTCAGTGTGAGAGTGAGTGAGAGAAAAAGTGAGTGCATGAAAAATTCTGCTGTTGTAACATATTACATTTCAAATTTTTGAATTTTTATGAGAATTATGTTCCTATGAATTTGGAACACTGTAAGTGCTTAGCCTGGTAATGGCAATATATATTCTATTTCTTTAGAAGGGCATAATAAACCTAATGCTTTACCATCTAATTGGATAAAATAATCCCCAGTCCACTGTGCTTTAAAACCATGAGATTTTCTCCTTTTCTTGTTTTGACATATAGGTATGCCCTAGTAATAAAAAAAAAATACAGTGTTATAGCACAGCAATACATATGGCACTTGAAACACTGTTGAATTATAACTGCATTACTGAGATGTGTAGTATGCCAAGCAGCAGTGTGAAGCAATGAAAATGCCAACTCCAATCTGTGTTGCAACGACTCAATTCTGCCATAGTGGTGGGAAGGCAGCCATAGACAATACATAAAGGAATATGCATCAGTGTCTTCTAATAAACTTTAATTATGAACACTAAAATTTAAATTTCATATAACATTCATGTGTCATAAAATATGCTTTCTTCTCCCAAACATTAAAACATATAAAAACCTTTCTTAACTTCTAGGCCATAAAGAACAAGAGGTGGGACAAATTTAGCCCACAGCTCATAGTTTGCCAACCCCTACTTTAAATAACTCACTTATTCACTTGGGCTCAGTTCGCCCTATGGTAACATATGAATAAATTAATGAGTATTATACCTATCTACTACAGAGAGCTACAATACAGCTCACCAAAGATAATGTGAACAGGTTCTGAAACTGGAAAACAAATATTTAGTGTTAAATTTGTTCTTAAATTGTTTTTTAAAAACCAAGTCTGTTTCACACTCAATATACTATGCTAGGCAATGTGGAGAAAATTATGAAGCATAAAACACAGTCCATATCTTCCATTTTCTATGAGCTTACAATATAAGTGAGAAAACGAAACATAACCTAAAGTGATACTGAATAGTAAATACCAGATGTTGTAAATCCAACTCCATAAATACAACACTCAAATTTACCTAGTGAGATACACAAAGTTATGCACTTCAGAAACTTACTATGCACACACAAAATACAAACACTTCACCCACAAACTCGTTTAATAAAATGTGTATTTCTGCAAAAAAACTTTCCTGGAGCTTGTTCTGTAACAACCAGTACCAACAGTCTATTGCCTTTTAGTGGCTACATAGTTTTCCATTGGGTAGCTACAACCTAGTCTCTAGAATAAACATTTAGGTTATGTCTAGTTTTTTGGCTTTTATAGGTAATATGGAAATAAACATCTTTATACACATAGTTCGTGAATTAAAGAATACTTAAGGGCCGGGCGCGATGACTCACGCCTGTAATCCCAGCACTTTGGGAGGCCGAGAGGGGCGGTTAATGAGGTCAGGAGATCAAGACCATCCTGGCTAACACGGAGAAACCCCGTCTCTACTAAAAATACAAAAAAAAATTAGCCCAGCGTGGTGACGGGAGCCTCTAGTCCCAGCTACTCCGGAGGCTGAGGCAGGCGAATGGTGTGAACCTGGGAGGCGGGGCTTGCAGTGAGCCAAGATGGCGCCACTGCACTCCAGCCTGGGTGACAGAGCAAGACTCCATCTCAAAAAAAAAGAAAAAAAAAAAAAAGAATACTTAAAATTTTGATAAATAATGTAAACTTCTCCTTCAAAGAGGTTGTAGCAATTTATATCCTTATGATAGCTTATGAAAGCGCCTATTCTCTATAACTTTGCCCATACTACTTATTACTGATTTTTAAAATACTTGCCAATTTAATAATAGAAGGTTTATTTTGAATTCCTCATGAGACGATGAACATCCTTTCATATGTTTTACTGCCATTAATATTAACTTTTCTACACATCAACTCTTCACAAACATTGCTCATTTTTAATACATAATTATTTCCTTCTTATTGACTTTTAGAAACTCACTACATATTAAAGAAGTAGGCCTTGGACTTTGATGTAATTGGTATTAAATAATTTTTTTACAAGTTTGTAATTTGTCTTCTGACTTTATGCAAACTTCTTGCCATGCATAAAAAAAATTTTTTATATGGTCCTGTATCCATCTCAAGAATCTTTTTTTAAAAACAACTGTAGGGTTAGGGTAAGGAAAAAAACTGCAAATGAAACCCAAAGAAAGTAAAAAAAAAAAAAAAAGGAGCTAAATACGTGGAAATAGAAAACATACATCATGATCTACAGAGAACCAACAAAGCCAAAGTTAGTTCTTTGAAACGCTAATAAAATTGATGAACTCTTACAAAGAAGGCACAAATAATCATTAGCAGAAATGATAGGTCATATGCATATTTAAAAATCACAGAAAGATACTGTAGGGAAAAGGTTATGCTAACGCATTTTAACACTTAAGACAAAATGTACAAATACTTAGAAAAAGAAATTTTACCAAAGTTGATTTAAGAAGTGAAAAAAAATCTAAAAAGCCCTTTAAGTATTTTTTTTTTAATGGAACATTCCTACAAAGAAAACTCCAGGCTTCAAGGGTATCACCAGTGAATTCCACCAAACATTTAAGAAATAAAACCAATAGAAGTAAAACCAATCATAGACAATATCTTCTGAAAACTAAAAAAAGGGAGGAACACCAAAAAGAGGGTCCATATTAAAATGAAGAACATCGGTTCATCAAAGACACCATTTAAAGAATGAAAGAACAAGTCCAAAAAGACATATGCCAACCAAAAAGTGTCATAGCCCTGAGTACAGAGATTTTTCATTTAAAAAAATTTTTTTTTTTTTTGAGACAGAGTCTTGCTCTTGTCGCCCAGTCTGGAGTGCAATAAAGTGATCTTGGCTCACTGCCACCTCCGCCTCTCAGGTTCAAGTGATTCTCCCACCTCAGCCTCCCAAGCAGCTGGGATTACAAGCACGTGCCACCATGCCCGGCTAATTTTTGTATTTTTAGTAGAAACGGGGTTTCACCATGTTGGCCAGGCTGGTCTCGAACTCCTGACCTCAGGTGATCTGCCCGCTTTGGCCTCCCAAAGTGCTGGGATTACGGGTGTGAGCCACCACATCCAGCCAAATTCATTAAAAATTCTTAAACAGGCCGGACGTGGTGGCTTGCAGATGAATACCAGAACTTTGGGAGGCTGAGGCACGCAGATCACCTGAGTTCAGGAGTTCGAGACCAGCATGGCCAACAGGGTGAAACCCCAGCTCTATCAAAAAATACAAAAATCAGCCAGGCATGATGGCATACGCCTGTAGTCCTAGCTGCTGAGGAGGCTGAGGTGGGAGAATCACTTGAACCCAGGAGGCGGAGGCTGCAGTGAGCCGAGATCACATCACTGCACTCCAGCCTGAGCAACGGAGCAAGACCCTGTCTCAAAAATAAATACATAAATAAATATAAAATATTCTTAAACACCCAATAGAAAACTGGGTAAAAAACTTAAGTAATTCACAAAGAAGTATATCTAATTGATCAACATATAAATAAATTTTTAAAAGCTTAACTTTATTAGTGGTCATGGTCAAGGAAATACAATTAAAACTACAATGATATACCACTGCCAGTTTACCAGTATAACTAAACAGTTGTTTGTCTGAAGATAGAAAATAACAGTGGAAAAACTGGAACTCCCATTTCTGCTGTTCTAAAGATAACACTTTGGGCCAGGGGTGGTGGCTCACACCTATAATTCCAGTACTTTGGGAGGCCAAGGCAGGCAGATCACCTGAGGTCAGGAGTTCAAGACTAGCCTGGCCAACACGGTGAAACCCCATTTCTACCAGAAATACAAAAATTATCTGGGCATGGTGGCGTGTGCCTGTAATCCCAGCTACTTGGGAGGCTGAGATAGGAGAATCACTTGAACCCGGGAGGTGGAGGTTGCAATGAGCCGAGACTGTGCCATTGCACTCCAGCCTGGGCAACAAGAGCAAGACTTCATCTCAAAAAAAAAAAAAAAGAAAGAAAAGAAATATGTGCATATGAGCACCAAAAGACACACCCAAGAATGTTCACATACCAACATTATTTGTAATATGGCCAAACTAGTAACAACCCAAATATTCATCATCAACAGTAGAATATAAAAATAAACTGAGATAAATTCATATGATGGAATAGGACATGGAAAAGAAAATGAACAAAAGCACTGCTATGTTCAACAATGTGGATAAAGCTTATAATGATGAGCCAAAGAAGCCAGAGACAAAAAGTACACACTATATGATTCCATATATTTAAAGTTTAAAACAGCAAAGGTAATCTCCAATGTTAGAAGTCAGGACAGAAGATACCTTTGGGGAAGAAGGTGGGGGTGAGGGGTGCTTCTGGGCTGCTGGCCAAGTTCTATTTCTAGAACTAAATGGTAGTTAAGCAAGTATGTTTACTTTGCAGTAATTCTTTCAGCTGTACACTTATGATTTTTATACCTTTCTATGTATGTTATACTTTAATTCACAAAAAGTTAATAAAAGAATCAATGATGAATTTTGGCAAATGCTCTTCTAGCATCTATGAAAATAATATAAAAATTTATCCAAAAACCTACTAATATGGTACATTAGTCTTTTCTAATCAAAAGATATAAATCACAGAGTAAGGTAAACAGAAGTTTAACATAAAGAAGTATTTTAACTCTAATAAAAGAGTAACTATAAGATATAAGAAAGCTCTATATAGTACCCCAAGGCAGATTAAAAGAGTATGCAATGTTAAAGACTCAGACTCATTGGAGAAGGTGTAGTTCAATAACAAGTTAAGAGAGTAGTTCATTAGTACTAGTGGGTCTGCAGTCACTGAGTGAACAACAGAAACCCTCTGAGAAGCATCGTAAATTATGTTAATAGATACCCTAATTTTGAACAACTCAGCTTAGAATAAACCCCACTCATGTTTCATTCTTTTTATATTGCTGTTAACATAATTTGTAATTTGTGGCTTTTTTAAACATACAAAAGTATAAAAAATATATTTGTGTGTATCAATTCTGTAACTACCTGCCACTTAAATGTTCTTGTTTCTAAATACAACCATTTCACCTGCAAATAATATTTCCTTTTTTTTTTTTTTTTTTTTTTTTTTTTGAGACAGGGTTTCAATCAGTCACGGGGGCTGGAGTGAAGTGATACAATCACAGCTCACTGCAGCCTCAACCTTCCAGGTTCAATCAATCTTCCTGCCTCAGCCTCCTGAGTAGCTGACCACAAGCATGCACCACCACACTCAGCTAGTTTTGTAGAGATGGTGTTTCACCATGTTGTCCAGGCTTCCTATCTTTACTATTTTTAAACCTTTCTCATTTTTATTAGAGTGTCATTATCTGACTTACGTTTTTAAAATGTCCGCCAATCTGTTGTGCTGACAAGATATTGAAGGCAGCAAAGGTGGAAAGAAAGTAACTAAGAAGCTACTGCAAAAATCTAGGCAAAGGATGATGGTGGCACAAAAGAGAGGTGGGGGTACAGATGACTTTAGCGATTTAGATGGTATAAGTGATCAGATTTCAGGATATATTTCACAAGTGGTGCCAGTATAATTTCCTTAAGGATTAGATGTGGGATATAAGAGAAAGAGGAAAAACAAGAATGAGTCTCAGGTTTTTATCCTGAATAACGAGAAGGATAAAACTGCCATCAAGTGAAATAGAGAGGGCTGCAGGTGGAACAGGTTTTAGAGGAAAGATTAGGAGTTCAGTGTTGGGACACATTAGGATATCAAAAATACAAGCAGATTCATTAAATAGATGCTGAAAGAACAAGTCCCCTAACTTCTCAAACATGATTAACTCTCCAATCCTCCAATATTGCTATGACTAAGGACACAGAGTGCTATACTACAGGGCACACTCTACTTCACTGCAAAGAAATGATTCCTTGACATACAAAAAGGATAGAGATTTGACAAAAGGTGTCATCTTCCCATCACAGAAACAGGCCTATACACCGACTACCACATGCAGGGAAAAACAAAATGGGCTCTTCTAACACAGAACCAAAAGACCTAAATTCCCCTCCAGTATATTCCATATGATCTTTGTAATGCAAAAAAATGAGTAAAGGACTGGTATTCTTGGTATAGTAGACAATACTGAGCTCCCAAAAGTTTCACAACAGAGGTAAGTAGGTAGGTAGGCAGGTAGGTAAGTAGAGAGGGAGAGAGATGTTAAATAAATACATTTGAGAAAAAGAAAAAAACAATCCCACGGGCTCATGATTCTAGTGATGCAGTCATTCTGTGTCCCAGGGAGACCTGACAAATTTACCTCAAAAATGACATCTTGGATTTAAAATCTGAACTCTAGGACTTTAAAATTTCCTGTTTTACAATATGATACACTTTTTTCTTTGTTCCATGCTACCTCCTTTCATTCCTGCAAGAAAAGTCACGAAGAACAAAATACTGTACAGATGAGAAAACTGAAGCGTGAAATCATTATGATACACATAATACAAAGGTAGCCAAAATTAGAATCAATATCACATCCTTTGCCAACTGTCTACCCCTCATAGAATATCTAGTATGGTAAAGCTATCATACTAAAGTAGATATAAAACAAGATTATAAAAAGTTACCACATGTAATATAAAAATATTTGAAAAAAAATCAATACTTCAATAATCACAATATTCTCCCCAGTTACTGACAATTATCATTAAGATTTGACCACTGCTGTACATCCTGCATATAAAATAATTTCATATGGTTTATGCTTGCTTTCCACTTACCTATAACTCATAACAATCTATATAATGTTTTGGTAGAAAATGCTTTCTTTTTGTTATATGTGACATTAGGGTTTTGTTGTTATTGTTGTTGTTGTTGTTGTTGTTTTTGAGACGGAGTCTCACTCTGTCACCCAGGCTGGAGTGCAATGGTGCGGTCTCAGCTCACTGCAAGCTCCACCTCCTGGGTTCACGCCATTCTCCTGCCTCAGCCTCCCGAGTAGCTGGGACTACAGGTGCCTGCCACCACACCCGGCTAATTTTTTGTATTTTTTATTAGAGACAGGGTTTCACCGTGTTAGCCAGGATGGTCTTGATTTCCTGACCTCGTGATCCGCCCACCTCAGCCTCCCAAAGTGCTGGATTACAGGCGTGAGCCACCGCACCCAGCCTCTTTTGTTTATTTTTATGAGCTAAAGATAATAATGAGCCAAAAACTCCTATATTCTTTAGTACGTATTTTACATATGGGCAATAAAATATATTACAAAACATTTTCCATTTTAAATTATTTGGCAAAAAATCTCCCATAGCACTTATTATTATTATTTGCTACAGACTCTTCCTAAAAGCAAGAAGCAGCCCATTTTCTCCAGATGACTCATAAACTAAAGGCACAGTAGAATGAAGTGCTCCAACTTAAAATACCAATGGCTAAATATAACCTCTTCCACAAGATTAGAAAATTCAGTGTCTCTCTTTATTCTATAAGAGCCATCTTAAAGGGTCACCTTTAAAAAACATAATTAGCAAGCATGGGGAAGGGACAGGAAAAATTAAATTTAAACATTTAAAAAGTAACACAATTAGTTCCTAGGGTGATAAGCAAGAAGAAAAACCTAAAACAACATAAACTTTTTTTCTTTAAGCACTCAGCAAAAAAGGAGAAAACTTCACAAAAAATTAGGGTTTTTTTTTTCTCATTCTTTAGGTAAAACACTTGTCTCTTTCATAAAAGCATTTAACATCTTACTAGATGAATACTGGTCACAAATAACAAAAGTTATCAATGGTTTGTAGAGTAATTGGAAGACTTCTTCAGTCATTAAACAAATGAGAATCCAGTTCCAGTTGTTTCATTTGAGATTACCCTTTAGAGAAAGACTAGGGAAATACTTAGTAAATATTTTTAAAATATCACGGATACTTATTTTGCATACAAAATTAAAATATAAAAACATCTGAAATTACTAATCAGAAGTACTGATAGTTTTTCCAAATGAGCAATAAGAAAAACTAACCCAAGATAATTATAAACACAGTAAGTCAGAGTGAAAAACAGGAAGAGTATAAAGAAGCAGGCTGACAAAGTGAAGCTAACTCTCAGAGACAAAGAACGAACCGAAGGAAAAAAACTGACAGCTTTTGAGACCTTAGATTTAGCCATTCCTAAGGCCCAATTGAACCCCTATGTGAGTGTGTGTGAGTGTGTGTGTGTGTGTGTGTGTGCGCGTGAGTAGTTTAGTGACTTGAGTCCCTAAATTCCTTTTTTTAACCTAGCATAGCACTAGTTTGGTTTCCCATCACTTGTAACAAAGAATCCTAATTTACTATAAAAATATTATCTTGAGAAAGAGTAAACTAATTGTGTATATGGCTAAGAAAAGGTATGGATTTTCAGGTGTACTACAATATACATTCCATCCTCCCTCCTTTTTCTACAAAGGAGAATTTTCTTTCCTTTTTTTTTTTTTGGCCCACTAAAAAAGAAAAACTCATCAAAATTGGATTTACTATAGTAGTCAACGTCAGAGCCAACTCTTCAGAAAAGCACACGATTAAGAAAGTAAACTGAGAGAAATTTTCTTAAAGTAGTCAGCTTTTTCAAAAACATAGTGCCACTTTTAAGAGAAAAATTAGTTGGAAGGGAATACAAAATGATAAGAGGAGTATTATATTCATGGTGAAATTACTGATCATCTCTATATTTTTCATTTTGGTTTTATGTAATTTCCAATTTTTCAACAAAAACATAACACTCCAAATCAGAAAGAAACATGCTACTTTTTAAATAAGGGTACATTTTTTTTAAGTGTTTTAGCTTTCTTCATGGTCCCAGGCTATCTTTGCTTAAGCCAAATATTCACATAGTTTTGAGAGGTGAAATGTTTATTTAGCCCAATTCAGCAGAGTACCTACTGCGTTTAAAGCAGAGTACCATATCAAAAATGTAGTTCCTTCAGCCAGGTACGGTGGCTCATGCCTGTAATCCCAGCACTTTCAGAGGCGGGCTGATCACTTGAGCCCAGGAGTTCAAGACCAGCCTGGGCAACAAAGTGAGACCTTGTCTCTACAAAAAACAATATTAAAATAAACAAATAAATAAATTGTAGTTCCTAGAAGAAGCTATAGACAGACTTCAGTGAATTTATTTGTTGATATAGTTTTTAAAAATTTCTTTCTGGTGGGATGTTTGAATTGCAATAAAGTTTAACCAGGCATTATGCTTCATTATGGCCCAATTCAACAATATTGAGAATAAACTCTGAAGTGTGTGAGCTGCTTCATTCTGTTATTTTTATTTCCTATCTACTGACAATTTTCAAAGTAGCCACTCATTCTCCAAATCAGCTGCAATACAGTTTTATAAAATATTACTTACTTTTCATATACTCTCCAAAAATAATTTCGGCAAAATACCTTCCATGAATATTAAGAAAGCAAAGTGAAATAATGAACTTACCCATTTTAGATCCTATTTTCTACTGTAATAAACAGTTATCAAAGTTCCATTCCAGAGGTACATAAAGAGATACCTCTAATATAGCTCAACTTCACTGAAATATTTTAAAAGTTTATAAATTTTGGCCAGAAAAACGTAATAAGACTTTTTACTCTGTAATGAAGTTTTAAAAGTTTATGTTCACTTTTCTTTTTGAGATGGAGTCTCGCTCTTGTCACCCAGGCTGGAGTGCAGTGGTGTGATCTCGGCTCACTACAATCTCCACCTCCCGGGTTCAAGCTATTCTCCTGCCTCAGCCTCCAGAGTAGCTGGGATTATAGGTGCCCGCCACCACGCCTGGCTAATTTTTGTATTTTTGGTAGAGATGGGGTTTCGCTATGTTGGCCAGGCTGGTCTCGAACTCCTGATCTCAGCTGATCCGCCTGCCTCAGCCTCCCGAAGTGCTGGGATTACAGGCATGAGCCACTGCGCTCAGCCTATGTTCACTTTTCTTTAACATCAACACAGATTTACATGATCTCTACTAAAAGTATCATTTAAGATTCCAATAGGCAACTACCTTGTCTCATCTTCATACATTTTCTGAGTCATGATTCACTGTACTTCAAGTTGATGTAACAATTTGAATATTGAATTTTATATGTTCCCTCCCCAAATAATGTAAGCCAAACCTTCCGCATTAATTTTATTGCCCGTTATTTACAAATATGCTTTACACTCATGTCTCCTAATTCTTAAAAAAAGAGCCATACTGTCTTTGCCCAGGGTTTCTGTATATAAAGACACATAACATGGCATTTGAAAGGTTCTAAGTAAAAAAGTACTTAAAAATTTTTTTTTCTCTTTTTTTTTTTTTTTTTTTGAGACAGGGTCTCAGTACATCGCCCCAGGCAGGAGTGTAGTGGCACCATTATGGCTCACTGCAGCCTCAACCTCCCGGGCTCAAGTGATCCTCCCACTATAGCTTCCTGAGTAGCTGGGATTACAAGCATGTACCACCATGCCCAGCTAATTTTTTGTAGAGATGGAGTTTCATCATGTTGCCCAGGCTGGTCTTGAACTCCTGAGCTCTCCCACCTCACCCTCCCAAAATGCTGGGATTACAGGCAACGTCAATGCAAACAACAATCTGGTATTCGAGTTTTATACAGAATATATTTTATAACAGATATATTTTTATATTTTCTTTTCCCTTCAGTTAATAACACTGATATGTTTTCCATTTATATTTCTGCTTCAGGTAATAGGACATAACATCCCCCTCTCTCATGATTACTTCCTAATTTTCCTTTATGACTTGTTTTTCTGGCCAGTCCATTAACGTAGATTTCCTTAAATCCTAAGTCTAGTTTTCTCATCCAAGAGATTTTTTTTTTTTTTTGAGACGGAGTCTCACTCTATCACCCAGGCTGGAGTGCAGTGGCGCAATCTTGGCTCACTGCAACCTCCGCCTCCTGGGTTCAAGTGATTCTCGTGCCTCAGCCTCCTGAGTAGCTGGGATTACAGGCGTGCACCACCACGCCCCACTAATTTTTTGTATTTTTAGTAGACAGGGGGTTTCACCATGTTAGCCAGGATGGTCTTGATCTCCTGACCACGTGATCTGCCCGCCTCAGTCTCCCAAAGTGCTGGGATTACAGGTGTGAGCCACTGCGCCCGGCCAAGAGATTTATCTTGAGCGATCATATCCACTCACTCCATTTATATGTTCATAATTCTTGTATTGCTATCTTGAACTTCAGGATAAATTAGACCAGCTAGATTCAAATCTCATCTTTTCAATTCCTACTTGTGTCACCATAAGCAGGTCTCTGTGCCTCAGTTTTCTCATCTGTAAAACAGCGATAATAATGATAAAGACCACTCGCGGTGGCTCATGCTTGTAATCCCAGAACTTTAAGAGGCTGAGGTGGGAGGATCACTTGAGCCCAGGGGTTCGAGACAAGCCTGGGCAACATAGTGAGACCCAGTCTCCTTAAAAAATAAAAAAATTTGTTTTAAATATTAACTATTTCATGGTAGTATTCTTGTGAGCATTAAGTGTGATAATACATGCGAATCATTTGCCACAATGCATTAAATGGTAGCTCTGAGGTCTGGTGTTGACTGGCCTTTTCCTACATTATATAAGAACCATACTCCTGCCCTGGGGCAAGTTAACTTCAAATATCATTGTCTATAAACCACAATGAATAATTCCTTCCTCAAGAGTCTGTTGTGTCTAGCAAGATTATCAGCTTGTTGTCAATACTAGAGAACGTGAAAACTGGAAGTTCAGAAACTGCCAAAAAATAAATTGTTACACAGTTGTAAAATGAGTAAATCTGTTTAAACTGA
Source organism: Homo sapiens (assembly GCF_000001405.40). Lineage (NCBI taxonomy): Eukaryota > Metazoa > Chordata > Mammalia > Primates > Hominidae > Homo > Homo sapiens. Next base: position 74,286,507 of record NC_000010.11, on the reverse strand, counting down.
AGATATTTAACTAGATAGCTAAGTCCTAGAACTTCCACTGTGCTCCCTCTTCCAGGACTTAGAATGTGCCTGGGCCCTTGAGCACTCAGTAAAGCCTTGATAAATTGATGTCTCAATGCTCACAGTTGGCCAGGATGTTTTAAAAAACACTCCTCAAGCCAGCCATGGTGACTCGCACCTGCAGTCCCACTGCTTTGGGAGGCAGGGACTGAAGGATCGCTTTAGGCCAGGAGTTTGAGACCAGTCTGAGCAACATAGCAAGAGTCTGTTTCTGCAAAAATTAAAAAATGAGCCAGGTGTGGTGGCACACACTTGTAGTCCTAGCTGCTTGGGAAGCTGAGGCAGGAGAATCACTTGAACCCAAGAGTGTGAGGTTACAGTAAGCTATGATCATGCTCCTGCACTCTAGCCTGGGCAACATAGTGAGATTCAGTCTCTAAATAGATATATAAAAACACCAGTAAATAAATGGGAAATCATTTAGGAAGCAGCTTATACCAATATTTATTCAGAGACTATTAAGACCTTAAGGATATGATCTTAAGAATATTTAAGGGTATATGTCAATCTGAAATAAAGGATATTAACAATAATACATAGTACAGTACAGTAAATTAAAAAAATAAAGGATTAATACATAGTCCCAACCTGACTATAACCTCTCACTCACTTTTTAAACCACTAAGTCTGTTGATTGCACCTACCAGATAACCTTCAATTCCACCTCTCTCCTCTTTAATCCCACTGACACGTTTCAAGGCCTCCTGATTTCTTATTTGGACTATTCCAGCAGTCTAACTGGGTTTTTGTTTTGTTTTGTTTTGTTTGAGACAGGGTCTCACTCTGTCACCCAGGCTGGAGTGCAATGGTGCAATCTCGGCTCAGTGGAGCCTTGATCTCCCAGGCTCAGGCGATCCTCCCACCTCAGCCTCCTTAGTAGCTGGGACCACAGATGCATATAGATATAGATATATAGATATAGATGTATAAATATATAAAATACAACCTAGTTTAATGTCTTTATATCTAAACCACTCTAAATTCCCCATCTCACATACTATGCTTCAGTCATATTGAGCTGTTCTCCAACTTTAGTATATGTGTTGCCTAAGTGAGCACCAGGTGTTCTCATAAAATGCTTCTCTTATATCTCTGTACAAAGACTATTCACAAATATAACCATGCCACACACTCATTTTCCAATCTATCATTTTGTCTAAGTTCCTACTTGTCTTTAAATACTCAGCTTAATACATCATCTTCTCTGTGAAGCCTATTCTGTTAATCTTCCAACTCTAAACTAGATATCCCTCCTCTATGCTCTTAGAGGTCCCTTTCAAGTATTTATCATAAAGCTTATCACTTGCCTAATGAATTACTATGTGAGTCCTCAGAATTCTGAGAATGGCTGCTCATCTGTACAGTGGCTAATAATATCTACACTGAAGGACTATTATAAGGATAAATACATGAAGTGCCTAGCACTTAAAAAAGTTCCAGTAAATGATGGCTATACTATATTATTAGCATTTTTCTCAAAAGTAAGCACCCTAATATTCACTTTACTAACTCCAGTAGCTATCCCAATACTTGGCAAAAAATAAGTTGTTACACAGTTGTAAAATGAGTAAATCTATGTTTGACAAAGATGACTCCTATAGCATTGTAAAAGACGAATTTGAGGAAGTCCTGCAAAAGACCCTTTAGGACCTCAGAAGAGAATCACTTTTAGAATTTTTTTAAAACCAAATACACATTCCATACAGACCAAGATTTGGCACCTCATTTGAGAATTACTACTAAAGGGAGTTTCTGTTAATTTATGTGGTAGTAGGAGTAGGGAGTTGGAGAGATGGAAGGGGACCCAATCCCTCATGTGCTGTTGGGATAGAAGAAACAGAGCCACAGAGGTGAGTGCTATGGCACCTAATGTAAGAGATGAAGGGCTGGGAGCAGTGGCTCACGCCTGTAATCCCAGCACTTGGCGAGGCCGAAGCAGACAGATCATCTGAGGTTGGGAGTTCCAGGCCAGCCTGACCAACGTGGAGAAACCCCGTCTCTACTAAAAATACAAAATTAGCCGGGCATGGTGACACACGTCTGTAATCCCAGCTACTTGGGAGGCTGAGGCAGGAGACTCACTTGAACCTGGGAGGGAGAGGCCACGGTGAGCCGAGATCGTGCCATTGCACAGCCTAGGCAGCAAGAGCAAAATTCCGTCTCAAAAAAAAAAAAAAAAAATAGAATTTGCCAGGCGTGGTGGCTCATGCCTGTAATCCTAGCACTTTGGGAGGCCAAGACTGGCGGATCACCTGAGTTCGGGAGTTCGAGACCAGCCTGGCCAACATGGAGAAACCCTGTCTCTACTAAAAATACAAAAAATTAGCCGGGCATGGTGGCACACGCCTGTAATGCCAACTACTCAGAAGGCTGAAGCAGGAGAATCTCTTGAACGCAGGAGGCGGAGGTTGCAGTGAGCCAAGATCAAACCATTGCACTCCAGCCTGGGCAACAAGAAAACAAGAGCGAGCTGGGCGCAGTGGCTCATGCCTGTAATCCCAGCACTTTGGGAGGCCTAGGCAGGCGGATCACAAGGTCAGGAGATCAAGACTATCCAGGCTAACACGGTGAAACCCCATCTCTACTAAAAATACAAAAAATTAGCCAGGCGTGGTGGCGGGCACCTGTAGTCCCAGCTACTCAGGAGGCTGAGGCAGGAGAATGGCGTGAACTCAGGAGGCGGATCTTGCAGTGAGCAGAGATGGCGCCACTGCACTCCAGCCTGGGCAAGAGCGAGACTCTGTCTCAAAAAAAAAAAAAAAAGAAAGAAAGAAAACAAGAGCGAAACTCCGTCTCATTAAAAAAAAAAAAAAGATGAAGATGAGGGCAACAAACATAAAAGTCAAAAAGAGGGGTAAGATTTGAGAGTCATTTCAAAGGATAATAAGAGTTGGTGAGCAACCTGGGGATCAAAGATGGCTGAAAACATCTAGTATGACAAAATAAGTTAATTGTAATATCAAGTCAAGAAGCAAGGCACACAAATTGACCCAGATTTAGAAACCAGCAAGGTCAAAAGGGAGAGAGAACTGAGTAATGGTAAGATGTAGCTGAAATAACCGAGCATGCCACTCAGGCTGTATATAGAGAGTAAAGTCAAACTAGGAAGAAGCCAAACAGGAAGCTAACATAGATTACTTTTTTTAAAGCAGTCCTGGGTAGGAAGTAGGTTCAGAACATAGTCCTAAAAAACAGTTGATCAAATGGAATGGAGATAAAGGTCGTTATAAAAGAGGAGTCCAAGAAAGTGTGGTAATTAGTATTAGAAACGTCATCTACATGAGAACTAATTAGATAGCAGAAAACAGAATATTTGTTAAACAGGGAGGTACCAAAATTTTCAAAGAACTTGAAGAGATCTAAAACAGTGACACAGATGAGAACTCCAAAAGCTTCCCAACAATTTTTCCTTAGGCTAATCTAGTGTTTACCTATGACTAAAGTGGCTAACTGAAGCTTGCTTCTACGTCAGTAAATCAGAACCTACCATTGTCATCCAGAACAACTACTCTCATGGTATTTTTTCAATAGATTCTTGACAGTTTCTTATGGCAGGAAAAATACATTCTACACCAGGTGATTTTCATATACTATAAGACAAAATTAACAGCAAAAGAAAAATATGATTTTACACTAAACAATGCTCATTTCATAATCTTATACTAGAAGATATCATTAAACCTTTCATTCTAAAGGTTCTGGTAAGGGAATGACTCAGATGGGAACAAGGAAAAGCTTCATATATATATTTGTCACAACCAAGAACATTTCTGAAGAAATACATGTTTTCTGGGAAGCTTCCAGTGTTCTCATCATCATGGTTATTCTCATTACTATGCATAGTTCCAAAAGCAACAAAACAATTTCTTATTAAAGTAGTTAAATCCAACAAAGAAATAAAACTAAATCTTACCACTCTTAAAAGCTTCAGGGAATTATTATATTTTATGGCTATTCGTAATATTTTAGTACATTTTAAATGATCCAACTACAGTGTCTTTTCATAAGTACTTCGGTATCACCATGCAATTTTAATCCATATGCTTAAACCCCTTTCACAGTTTACAGGAACAAAGCGGTTTTGATTCACAACAATGCCCTGCAGTCAAATACGCTCATGAGGTATTAATTTACAACTTCATCTGTGATCAGTTAAACTGCATGTGAAATCTTAAACATCCTTAAAAAGTTCACCACAAATAGTTCAATAAGAGATTTTTTGGTAACATTACTTTAACAAAAAACATGTAAGATTAAACTCTATTGTAAAATAAAACCAAATGCCACTTGCTTTTAAGGATAACCCACTAATAAAACAATCTTTTAAACTGTCACCTTTTACATCTAAAATATTAATTAAAAATGTAACACTGCTATCAAAAGCATGTGCCTTGTAAGCTTTTGCAAGAAAAGTCACACATAAAAAAGAAAACCAATTTCATGAAGAAAATGTGCATATTTCAACAAATAAAATGTCTCTTTAATCAGTCCTAGGAGCCAGATGTATTAAAATGTCAGGTCAACCTGAATCATACCAAAACAAAAGATTAAAATTACCAATTTTTCCAAACAACTAAAATGTCAGGTCCATAAAAGTTATGGACAAAGACAGCAATAATTTTTTAAAAAGAAAATAAATTTCCAATGCAGCTCATATTAGTAAAAAACAATAATAACTAACTTCTCAGAAAACTTGCAGTTTTGATCTTCATATTTATGTAATCTGAACCTTATGGTATTTACTCAGATTTTTTTTCTTAGCTAGCTAAAATAATAGTTATTTTGATTGGTATTCTAAGTCAATCTGAGGAATTATTATCTCATATAACAAAAAGTCCAGAGCTACAGCAGCTCCAGGGATAGGTAATTTATGATGCCTCATCAAGATCATGGACCTAAGTTCTTTCCTTGTTTTTCCTGTGTCATCTTTAGTGTGATGACTTTTTGTCCCCTAACGGTTTCAAAGTAGCTACACTAGTTGCAAGTAACAATTTAATGTCTAGGATCATAAGAGAGACTGCCTTCCCCTTGCTTATGTTTCTTTACCAAAAAAGTGGGGAACTTCCCCCAATGAACTGGCTCTCAAGGCCACTCACTATCAAATCAATGGGAGAGGGCATAAAATTACCATTACTGATTTGGATTAATTCGGGCTCAGCCCATGAGCATAAGAAGAACTCAACTTCCCATAAAGCACATGGGTATCTGTTAAGTGATCAAAACCAGGGCATCAGATCAACATTATCAAAAGTAAAGCATCAAATCAACACTATCTTCACATTTGTGTATAACACATAACAGCCATTATTTCCTTTACATGCTTCAAATGAATATTATCCAAGTTGAGTATACCTTATTCAAAATTTCTTTTGAGTCTCTTGTCGGCTCACAAAATGTTTCAGATTTTGGAGCATTATGAATTTCAAATTTTCAAATTATGGATACTTAACCTGTATATAAACCAGTGTGGTAAACCTTTTTGTAACCCTTAATATCTCAACTTGATTAACTGAGTATCTCACTAGACAACTTAATTTTGCATCTAAATTAGGAAAGACAAAATAACTACAATTCAAAATATGTGTCAAACTTTCAGTAAAACCAAAGGACTTAATACATGCATGAACTTCTGATTCCTCCTGAAACCTCACTAAAACTCTGAAAGACAAGAAAAACAAAAAAATAATGGTGACAAAATTTTGGACAGTGGAAAGCAGAGTGAGGTGCAGTGATCAACTCAATAGACCCAAGAAAGCTGAATTATAAACAGCAGTGAGAAAACCAAATTTACACTGCCATAGCCCCAAAAGCATTACACTGGGTGGCATTAGGAATCTCTACAAATAGAAGTGATGGTTGGCATTAAAACTTATTTAGAGCTGGGCATAGGGGTAAACACCCATAATCCAAACTATCTGGAAGGCCAAGGTGGGAGAAATACTTGAGGCCAGAAGTTAGACACCAGCCTGGGCTACAAGGCAAGCCCCAACTCTAAAAAACGTGTGTGTGTGTGTGTGTGTGTGTGTGTGTGTTTAAACTTGTTTAAGGCCGGGCGCGGTGGCTCACACCTGTAATCCCAGCACTTTGGGAGGCCAAGGCGGGTAGATCACAAGGTCAGGAGATCCATACCATCCTGGCTAACACAGTGAAACCCCATCTCTACTAAAAATACAAAAAATTAGCCGGGCATGGTGGCACATGCCTGTAGTCCCAGCTACTTGGGAGGCTGAGGCAGGAGAATCGCTTGAGGAAGGTGGAGGTTGCAGTGAGCAAGACCCTGGCTCCAAAACAAAAAACAAAAAACAAAAAAACACAGATATCACTAAAAAGACACAATCCCACCAAAAAAATAAGTGTGGTAGAGACGATATGAACAGACATTTTACAGAAAAGAGAAAAGTAAACTTTTTGTTTGTTTTAAGAGATCTAGTCTAACTCTGTCACCCAGGTTGGGTGCAGTGGTGCAATAATAACTCATTGCAGCCTTAAACTCCTGGGCTCAAGTGATCCTCCTCCCTGAGCCTTCTGAATAGCTGGGACTACAAGTACATAATACCACACCAGTTTAATTTTTCTTTTTTAGAGACGGGGTCTCCCTACATTGCCTGGGCTGATCTCAAATTCCTGGTTTCAAGCAATCCTCTGCCTCAGCCTCCCAACTTGCTGGGATTACAGACCTGAGCACTTCACTTGGCCACAAATGTTTTTAAACAAGATGCTCAACTTCACTCATGAAAAAAAAAAATTCGAGGTAAGATGAAACATCACTATTTAGTGATCAAACTGGCAAAAAAAGAAAAAATCAAAAGTTTGGCAATTCTGTTGGTGAGGCTCTGGGTAAAAGGCACTCAATTTTTTTTTTTTTTTTTGAGATGAAGTCTCACTCTGTCACCCAAGCTGGAGTGCAGTGGTACGATCTCGGCTCACTGCAACCTCCGGGTTCAAGTGATTCTCTGGCCTTAGCCTCCCAAGTAGCTGGGACTACAGGCATGAGCCACCATGCCCAGCTAATTTTTGTATTTTTAGTAGAGACGGGGTTTCACTATATTGGCCAGACTGGTCTCAAACTCCTGACCATGATCCACCCACCTCAGCCTCCCAAAGTGCTGGGATTACAGGCGTGAGCCACTGCACCTGGCCTCAATTTTTATTTTTTGTTTATTTTTTTAAGATGGAGTCTCGCTCTGTCACCCATGCTGGAATGCAGTGGCGCAATCTCGGATCACTGCAACCTCCGCCTCCCAGATTCAAGCAAATCTCCCTGCCTCAGCCTCCCGAGTAGCTGGGATTACAGGCGCCCACCACTACGCCCGGCTAATTTTTGTATTTTTAGGAGAGATGAGGTTTCACCATCTTGGCCATGCTGGTCTTGAATTCCTGATCTCGTGATCCACCTGCCTCAGCCTCCCAAAGTGCTGGGATTACAGGCGTGAGCCACCGCGCCCAGCTGGCCTCAATTTTTTTTATGAAGCCAAGAACAAGAGGGATGAACAAAAATCAAAAATCATTATGTTAAAAAATAAAGATTATAAGATTAAAGAATCCAACTAATGGCTATTATAAAAGACATATAAAAAGCAAAAGGACTCCTAATGTATAAATGTGAAAGAAGCTGAGTGTGATGGCTAACATCTGTAGTCCCAGCTACTCAGGAGGCTAAGACGGGAAGATCGCTTGAGGCCACAAGTTAGAGGATGTAGTGTGCTATCATCATGCCTATAAACAGTCACTGTACTTCTGCCTGGGCAATATATCCAGACCCCAACTCTAAAAATAAAAATAAAAAAAGTGAAAGAAGGAAAAAGGACATATTGGTCAAATGTTGACCAAAAGAAAGAAGTTTAACTACATGTAATTGTTATCAGATAAACTTTAAACTAAAAGATGATCAACTAGGAAAGAAAGGATCATAACAAAATTATTTAAGTTCACATTACCAGTAAGACAAAGTAATTTTAAAAGTATGTGCATCTAATAAAATAGTCTCAAAATATATCAAGCCAAAAAAATCTGGAAAAAAATGGACAAACCTAACATCACAGTAGATTTGTTTTAGGGTTGTTTTTTTTTTTTTTTTTTTTAATTTTTTTTTTTGAGATGGGGTCTCACTCTGTCACCCAGACTGGAGTGCAGTGGTGCAATCTCAGCTCACTGCAACTTCCACCTCTCAGGATCACGCAGTTCTCCTGTCTCAGCCTCCCGAGTAGCTGGGTTTACAGGTGCCTGCCACTAAGCCTGGCTAATTTTTGTATTTTTAGTAGAGATGGGGTTTTGCCATATTGCCCAGGCTGGTCTCAAACTCCTGAGCTCAAGCAGACCACCCACCTCAGCCTCCCAAAGTGCTGGGATTACAGGGGTGAGCTACGTCGCCACCCCTCCCAGTAGATTTTGACACAACATTTTTCTATTACTGACCAGTCAAGCATATAAATAAACAAAGATTATATTCAGGAAATAATAATTAACAAGCTTGAATATGTATGGATCATATAATGATATATGGAATATATGAATTTCTGCATCCAATAATTAGATAATCTATATTTTTATCAAATATACATAAAACATTACAAAAGTAGTCATGTACTGGCAAAATATAAATCTAAAAAATTTCTAAGCATAGATATCACATGGAACTTATTCTCTGACCACAATGTACAATCAAAGAAAAAATAGCTTTTTAAAAACCCGTATTTCTAAACAATTCCCAAACAATCAACAGGTCAAAAAGAAACCATAAAAGAAATTTAGCTGGGCGCGGTGGCTCACACCTGTAATCCCAGCACTTTGGGAGGCCGAGGCAGGTGGATCACGAGGTCAGGAGATCGAGACCATCCGGGCTAACATGGTGAAACCCCGTCACTACTAAAAATACAAAAAAATATTACCCAGGCATGGTGGCGGGTGCCTGTAGTCCCAGCTACTTGGGAGGCTGAGGCAGGAGAATGGCGTGAACCCGGGAGGGGGAGCTTGCAGTGAGCCGAGATCACACCACTGCACTCCAGCCTGGGCGACAGAGTGAGAACTCCATCTCAAAAAAACAAAACAAAACAAAACAAAACAAAAGAAATTTAAAACACTTCAAAATGAAAAAGTAAAAAACTATCTCACACAGTCCAGGTCACACAAAAAAGGTATTCTGAGAAAAATGTATAGACTTAAGTGCTCATCTTAGAAATGAAAAAAGGCTGTAAATGAATGAGCTAAGTATTCTTATTAAGATATTTAAAGGCTGGGTGTAGTGGCTCATGCCTGTAATCCCAGCATTTTGGGAGGCTGAGGAGGGCGGATCACCCGAGGTCAAGAGTTCGAGATCAGCCTGGCCAAATGGTGAAACCCTGTCTCTAACTAAAAACAGGAAAATTAGCTGGGTGTGGTGGCAGGCGCCTGTAATCCCAGCTACTCCGGAGGCTGAGGCAGGAGAATCGCTTGAACTGGGGAAGTGGAGTTTGCAGTGAGCTGAGATCGTTCCACTGTACTGCAGTCTGTGCAACAGACTGAGACTCCGTCTCAAAAAAAAAAAGATATTTGAAAAGGAACAATAGATAAACCCAAAGAAAGTAAAAGGAGATGAAAAAGAACAAAAATCAAAGGAATAGAAAGGAAAGGTACAAAAGAGATCAATTTAAAACACACAATCCCATATAACTACACATACCACTGAGATTAAACAGGTAAACACCACTGAGATTAAACAGGTAAACACCACTTCCCAAAAAGCCAGCAAGTAAATGGGAACCTCAGTCCTACAACTGCAAGTAACTGAATTCAGCTAACAACCAGAAAGAGCTTGGAAACATTCACCCCTAGAGCCTCCAGAAAGGAACATACACTATCCTCCCAGCATCTTGATTTCTGCCTTGTAAAACCTGGAGCTGAGAACCAGCTGAGTGAGACACACTGTATCAGATTTCTGGCCTATAGAACTATAAGATAATAAAAGGGTATTGTTTTAAAGCTGCTAAATTTGTGTCAATTTGTTATCTGAAAAACAGAAAATTAATACACCCTTCTCCTTGCTTACAATGGTTAAGTGCTGCTTCCCAGTGTTGGGGCCCAGAAAGCAATACCCCTGTCATCCAAAAGATAACCAGAAGCTACGTAGTAGAAAGGAGAGCTTTACTGGGAATATGGGTTTGCAACCAGCGAAGAAAAAGTCTCCAGTGCAAACCAAAGGTGCTCTGTCTTCAAACAGGGGAAGGATAGGTTGGGTTTTATGCCTCACAGGGCCCATATTACACAACAGAATCATATATATTCAGCAGATTTAGGGGAAAGCTATTCATATTTACGAGAAGAGCTGAGCGCACGTGCAATGGGTAAACATATGTGTAATATACATCCTATGCTCACTTTGGGGTGGGGCTTTAGCATTAAAATAAGGTGGAATTTGGCTCTTTACATCAAAAGATAAAAACTATACGATGCAAAGACAATTTGTGCCCAGCCTCTAAAGCTGGTTGAAACTCAAGGTCTATAAAGCTTATCAGAAAAGAATGTTTCTAAGGGCTGGGTACAGTGGTTCATGCCTGTAATCCCAGTACTTTGGAAGGCTGAGGCAGGCAGATCACCTGAGGTCAGGAGTTAAAGAACAGCCTGGCCAACATAGCGAAACCCCATCTCCACTAAAAATACAAAAATTACCCAGGCATAGTGGTCCGCACTGGAGGCTGAGGCTGGAGAATTTCTTGAACATGGGAGGTGGAGGTTGTAGTAAGCCAAGATTGTGCCACTGCACTCCAGCCTGGGTGACAGAGTGAGACTCTGTCTCAAAGAAGAAAAAAAAGAAAAGAAAAGAATGTTTCTAAGTTGGGAATTCTGTCCAGAGTTGTAGTAGTCTGGGCTGTAAATCAGAATTGTGATAATTTGTCTGAAAGCTCCTATTGTTAGAGAGTTTAATAAGAGTGATTTTTCTTGTAGCCATAGGAATTTAGAAATTTGCCACACCAGCAGGGCCCTGAACTTTCTACCGATAGGTAACTTTGTTTCCTTAACCTTAAGATCTGTCCTAGTTAATAAAGGGGCATCTATTTTGGTCTCTCAAACCACACCCCCAAAGACTGGCACTTAGACATGCTTAAAGGCCTTAGAAGCTGCCTCACAATCAAGATCCCTCTAACTTGTCGTGTCCCCCACCCCAGCGCAGAGAGGGGCTCTCTCTGGTATTTCCTTATCAGCCCAAAAAAGCTTCTTTCCAAAAGAAATGCAATTGTCTTAAACTCCCTTCCTAGGGATCTCATCAAATGATCAGGAAAGGTCGACTACATGAGAAGAAGCTGGAAGTCATGATCATTACTGCCCAGAAAGACTTCATCTATTCTTCCCAGGGCAGCTCCAACAGATTACCCAGGGGGCCTTCATCTGCATGGTAAGACAACCTGCAGCTTCACCTCTCACCTTCCCACAATGTCTGCCTCCCACCTAAATGATTTACTGGCCCTCAAAAGAACTGTCTACATTCTCCATTTCCCCACTTCCCTATAAAAAAAAGGGGGTGTATAAGCTTCTGTACTGCACTCAGTTCTCTGAGTACCATATCAAAAACGTAGTTCCTCCAGTCAGGTACGGTGTCTCATGCTGGTAATCCCAGCACTTTAGGAGGCAGGCTGATCACTTGAGCCCAGGAGTTCAAGACCAGCCTGGGCAACAAAGTAAGACCCTGTCTCTACAAAAAATTATATATATATAATGTGTGTGTGTATATATATATATATACACACATTAAAATTTTTCTCCTACTAATCACCTCTGCCCCCTCTTAAAAAGCAACCCCTCCTCCTCCTTAGCCTACTCAATATGAAGATGACAAGGATAAAGATCTTTATGATGATCCACTTCCACTCAATGAATAATAAACAGGTTTTCTCTTATGACTTTTTTTTTAAGACAGAGTCTTGCTCTTGTCGCCCAGGCTGGAGCTGCAATGGCGCAATTTCAGGCTCACTGCAACCTCTGCCTCCCAGGTTCAAGCGATTCTCCCGCCTCAGCCTCCTGAGTAGCTGGAATTACAGGCGCCTGCCACCACCACGAGCTAATTTTTGTATTTTTAGTAGAGACAGGGTTTTACCATGTTGGCCAGGCTGGCCTCAAACTCCTGACCTCAGGTGATCCACCCACCTCGGCCTCCCAAAGTGCTGGGATTACAGGTGTGAGCTACCACGCCCGGCCATGATTTTCTTAATAACACTTTGTTTTCTCTAGCTTTATTGTAAGAATACAGTGTTTAATACATATACAAAATATGTGTTTATAGACTATGTTACTGGTAGGACTTCTGGTACACAGTAGATTATTAATAGTTAAGTTTTGGGAGAGTAAAAAGTCGTATGTCAATTTTCAACTGTGCAAAGGGTCAGCACTACTAACCCCCATATTGTTCAATGGCCAAGTGTATTTAGTTTGATCTTGAGTCAAAAAAAAAATGTTTAAGCCTTTCCTTCTTAAGTCCTTGATGAGAAAAACCTTTAATTTTCAAGTCTATCTTAAAGAAGATAATGGAAGCCACAGACCTCCTAAGAAAAATGCAAATTCACAAAAAAAATTGCATAGAACTTTACGTAAGGTTTAGGACAACATGAAGCCGATACGCCTGCCTGTTGCAAGCTGGATTCTCTGAAAATGGACACTGAAGTAGTTTTGGGTATATGATGTTTATTAGCAGTCAATCCCTGTGAAAGAAATTCGGGGAGAGGCCGGGCGCAGTGGCTCACGCCTGTAATCCCAGCACTTTGGGAGGCCGAGGCGGGTGGATCACCTGAGGTCAGGAGTTCGAGACCAGCCTGGCCAACATGGTGAAACCTCATCTCTACTAAAAATACAAAAATTAGCCAGGGGTGGTAGCACCCACCTGTAATCCCAGCTACTCAGGGGACCAAGGCAGGAGAATTGCTTGAACTTGGGAGGCAGAGGTTGCAGTGAGCCAAGATCATGCCATCACACTCCAGCCTGGGGAACAAGAGCAAGACTTCATCTCAAAGAAAAAAAAAAAGAAGAAGAAGAGATTTGGGGAAGAAAGCCGAATTGGGCAGAGGGAAAAATCAAATTGCAATTCAGGCCCAACAAAGCCTCAAGCAACCTGGCAGATCTCTGGTGGTATATCACCTGTCAGAGTTGTCTCAGGCCTGAACAAAATGGCTGGGCCTTTAAACATGTCTTGCTTGATTGCAGGATAAGTGCTGCCCTGGAAAGGATGTGACCTTAAGCAAGGAGGCTCTCCGCAACTGAGGTAGAGCCTGAAGGAGCTGACAGCTTAAGGCAATTTTTTTTTTTTTTCTGGCTGTCCTCTGTAGGCCAGACAGCTGAAGGTTTTCTGATGACTGACCTCCCCACAACTGGGCCACAATTCTTCCTTGAAGGAGGATCAGGGCTGCACATCTCCATATCCACCACACTCAAACTTCACAACTCCTGTTTCAACCATTTTTAAATCCTCTCATCTCTTATTATTCACCCTTTCTCTTCTTTTCTACTTCTTCTAATTACACCAGTGTGCTTAAGGCAAAAGCCCAAGCATCTGCAGCAGAGAGGATCTGCAGTATAAGGACCTTGTGAGAGGTATACTATAGACCATGGGCTGACTGAAGTTGAACAGGGGTAGAAGGAGCCCCCACTCAGAGCAACAGGAAGCCCTACAGACTGAACTTTCTTTGTAAATTGCTGGCCAAAGCTATAAATCAGATAAGTTCATGTGAACAACTGAGAAATTAACAGCAAATTTCTGTAAACAGACTTGCCACCAAACCAGTTAAACACATATGTCTTATAATTTATCCATCACAATAAGGAGCAATACAATATCACTATTTGGAGGTTATAAAATTAAGCATTTATAATACTATCCTTTAATTTATAATCAGAGGTAGAAAATGAAGCATATTGGCTGTGGTGGCTCATGCCTGTAATCCCAGAACTTTGGGAGGCTGAGGCAGGAGGATTGCTTGCATCCAGGAGTTTGAGACCAGCCTGGGCAACATAGTGAGACCCCATCTCTACAAAAAGTCAAAAGTTAACCCGGCATGGTAGTGCGCGCCTGTAGTCCCAAACACTCAGGAAGCTGAGGTGGGAGGACTGCCTGAGCCCAGGAGGTTGACATGCAGGGAGCCATGATTATGCCACTGCACTCAGCCTAGATGACAGAGTGAGACCCTGTCTCAAAAAAAAAAAGAGAGCAAGAACATATCTGTAATGTTTTCATCACACAGTATTTAAATAAATTAAATCTACATTTTCAAAGAAATAGATGAGAATAAACAGAAATGAGGAGTAAAAAAATTTCTCACATCCCTTACAAGGAAAATTAATTTTATATATAACATTAAGTAATGCAAAATATATTAGCAACACTTCCCTTTTATGCAAATAACTACACATATTTTGACTCAGTCACATTAAAGACAGTAAACAAATCATCTACACATCATAACATAAGTATATTCAGAATAATTAAGGTTTCCCTACATGTTAAATCCCTGCAATTAATTTACTATCAATGGGGTTTGCAGTACAGTTGGTTTCTACTCAGAAAAAAACTAAGTATTTATTTGCTTGACATATCAATGGAAAGTTCAAGCTAATATGAAAATATGAAGCAGCTTTGTCATATCAAATAATTACATTTTTGTAAGTACTATTAAAGAAAAAAGATATACTTAAAAACTGCCTTAAAATATACCTGAATATATACTATGCAGCCATAAAAAATGATGAGTTCATGTCCTTTATAGGGACATGGATGAAATTGGAAATCATCATTCTCAGTAAACTATCACAAGGACAAAAAACCAAACACCGCATGTTCTCACTCATAGATGGGAATTGAACAATGAGAACACATGGACACAGGAAGGGGAACATCACACTCTGGGGACTGTTGTGGGGTGGGGGGAGGGGGGAGGGATAGTCATTAGGAGATATACTAATGCTAAATGATGAGTTAATGGGTGCAGCACACCAGCATGGCACATGTATACATGTGTAACTAACCCGCACATTGTGCACATGTACCCTAAAACTTAAAGTATAATAATAATAAGAAAAAACAACAACAACAACAAAAATATATATATACCTGAATATAAATGTAAAGTAGACATACTTTTAATCCCTAAGCATAAAAATGTAAATAAGTTAAATGCTTAATCAACAAGGTTAGAGCAAAAATTCCAACATTAGAACTGACAATTATTGCCAAATATTAATCAAGGTCTGTCCTATCTCCAAGTTTCAGCTGAATAACTGTCAATTTGGGGGTATCAAAAACCCCCACAACTTGATACTAAGGTGAATATATGTTATACTAAGAAAAATTCTCAATACAGAAGCCTCTGTTTATAAGTAGGTTAAGTTTTATTTGTTCTTTAATCTAAAGTGACCATCCCTATATATATTCCTGCCAAATAGAAGACTACATTACCGCTATATGCATTCTATTAAGACATTTTTCTCCAAAATATTCCAGTTTTGTCTACACTAAAAATTGGTTGTGAGAAATAATTCCTCTCTTCTTAATGATCTATGTACAAATGCCGTAAAAAACTTTTTAGCAGCTATGGAATCCAAATTGCTGCCTTGCCACTTACTTGGACATTATCTGGATTTAAAGGGCCTTAAGCCTACAGAACTATCTGGCTATGAAAAGTCTGATCAGCAGGACCTATAATGTTTTAGCCTTTAAATTCTCAAACTCTTAGTCTTTTAATAAAAGATCAATAGACATCTAATATTGATGCCCAGACTCTACTGTAAATTCAAAAGCATTTCTACCAATGTCTCCTACTGTACTTACGTTCAATTGCTAAGGCCAGCAGTTCTCAAAGCATAGTCTAAGGACTACAAGGGTCCCACAAAATCTTTTCAGGGAACCAACAAGGTTAAAACTATTTGCTTTGCTGGGTGCAGTGGCTCACACCTGTAATCCTAGCTCTTTGGGAGGCCGAGGTGGAACAATGGCTTGAGACCAGGAGTTCTGGATCAGTTCAATATATTACAACAGATGGCAGGCAGAAGCAGATGAAAATCCAGCTGTCTTCTACTAAGTCAGACATTAAAGAGATTTGCAAAAAGCAATACCATTCTTTTAACTATTTTTTTCTGGTTTAGAAAATATCATTATTTTCCAGAAAAATGTGTTTATGCTAGCAAATACTGGGTTTATTACAGTTATCTTTAAATGTATTGAATATTTTCAACCGTTTCCATTTTAATTTCTAATATTGTAATTATCAATAGATATAACCCACTAAGCAATAGCACTTTGGGGCATAGGCACATTACTTTTCACATGTTTAATCACTTGCTTTATTCTTCAAAATAACTCCTATTGTTGAACAAACCAATTCTTCACCATTTAGTTTATTTAAAACTTTCTCTGCTTTTAATTACCATCGGACTAATATCTCTCCCTATTAACATGTCACATTCTTATCACTTTTATTTATTTATTTATTTTTTTGAAATGAAGTCTGGCTGTGTTGCCCAGGCTGGAGTGGAGTGGCATGACCTTGGCTCACTGCAATTTCCACCTCCTGGGTTCAAGCGATTCTCCTGCCTCAGCCTCCCGAGTAGCTGGGACTACTGGCACGTGCCACCACGCCCAGCTAATTTTTTGTATTTTTAGTAGACACAGGGTTTCCCCATGTTGGCCAGGCTGGTCTTGAACTCCTGAGCTCAAGTGATCCACCTGCCTTAGCCTCCCAAAGTGCTGGGATTACAAAAGATATACTTGAACTCCTGAGCTCAAGTGATCTGCCTGCCTTGGCCTCCCAAAGTGCTGGGATTACAGTGAGCCACCATACCTGGCACATTCTTATCACTTTTACACCTATATAACACAATATTCTTAAAAATAAATAGCAACTAAAGCACAAATACAACAAACATAGTACAGAATAATAAACACAATAACCAACCATAAAATGACCAGCCAGGTCAGTATACACTATTTTTGGTCTCATGTGGTTTGTGTCTATAAAATATGGTGAAAATTAGTAAAAATAAGTTCTTTATATGTTACACTGATACTTCTCAAATCTGAATAAAAGACACCAGTATAAAGCTGCTTGTAGCTAACCAGAGTTAAATATGCCATAAGTCAAATAATGATGTATCACTATATTATAAGGAAATGATTAGTTCTATTCCATCACTATCAAGAGTTTCATATGTATTGTTAGTTATTGGAAATGTAGGTTACTAAATCTCTAGTGTTCAAACAGTTTAAAAACAATTAAGGAGGCTCTTTTCTTGAGACTACACACGCATTAACCCAAATAGATTATAAGAGTGTTATAGTTGGTGGGGAAAAAAATTATGATAAATACAAGCAATATTTTCTAATAAAGATGAATGTTAATAGAAAAATTAATGTTACATTTAAATATAATTTGAATATTGTGTACAACAATGAAGCACTTTAATTAAAAAACAAGTTTAAGCCATACTTAATCATTCATCTTTCTCCCTTGCTGCCAACTTCCTTTTATTCTTCAAACACATGAAGCAGTTGATATTATTTCCCCAAACAATAAAACCATTTATCATAATTTCACTACACTTACTGCTACTCCTTAAAGATAATTTATATTTCCCCACATAGATTAATTGTAAAAATCTTACAGAAGCTAAATCTGCACATTAAGTACTAGGATAAAAATACTGGCAAGTCATGAATTGGACAATATCTACCAACTGTCATTTTCAGCACTGAAAGCGGTAATCAATAAATCAAACTGATAATCTGAAAATTGATCATTCTACAACATCTGTGATACTTACAGATTATAGGCTAATTTAAAACATATAGCAAAGACTGATAAAATCCAAACATGTCTGGGTAATAACCATGCTTACAAGTGGACTAACATTTCTGTAATATCTAATATATGCCAGGCACTAGGCTAGGTATTTCACACACATTATCTTATTTTATCATCACCATAACTATATCAATAGTTGTATCAACAATTTTGCCAGTGAGGAAATGGACTCTGAGAAGTCACACAACTAATAAGTAGCACAAATGAGATTAAAGTAAAAACAAATTCTAGTGAAATAAAATCAATAGTGTAAGAACAGCTTAGCCAAAAAAAAAAAAAAGTTTTTCATGTGTTGGGGGGTGTTGCTGTTTCTTAAAGATATGGTGACTTGCTCTGTTGCTTAGGCTGGAGTGCAGTGGCGCAATCGAGCTGCAGCCTCGAACTCCTGGGCTCAAGCAATCCTCCTGCCTCAGTCTCCTGGGTAGCTAGAACTACAGGTTCATGCCACTATCTCTGGCTAACTTTTAAATATTTTGTAGAAATGGGATCTCATTATGCTGCCCAGAGCGGTCTCAAACTCCTGGCTTCAAGTGAACCTCCCACCACAGCCTCCCAAAGTGCTGGGATTACAGGTGTGAGCCACCATACCTGGCAAAGAAAAACAGCTTTAAGATGACTTCCTTAAAGAAATAAGTGCAATTTTACAACCATTCTTTATTTCCCTAATAAGATCCAAATTTTCTTTGGGGAATCATCCCTTCAACACTCTTAATCCATAAATTTCCAGCAGTGTTAACTCTATCTCCAGTTGCAGAGTAGATATGGAACCCAAACAAGCCAAAGAGGCCTAATATGACATAATCCTACACCTGTTTTTAGAGCCACTAAAACAGACAGACAGACACACACACACACACACACACACACACACACACACACAAATAAGGATATAAGCCAATAGCTGATGGCAGTACCCTACCTCTAGAAGATGAGGTGAAGAGGGTCCAAATAAAATTATTTGAACCTCTGCATCAAGCTTCACCTAAAATCAGCCATACCAACATCTTTTTAGATATGTGATCCAATAATTTCCATTTACTTAAGCCAGTATGAGTTAGGGTTTCTGTCACCTGCACGATACACATATCAACAAAAATTTAATGGTGTAACTCATCTCCAGAAATCAAATAATGCACTTAATTATTCCCAATCTGGAATCTTAAAAAAAAATGTAACAGGAATCAAGGAATCATCTTCAATACAGTCATTCCTCAGTATCTTTGAGGGATCCAGGACCCAACTTGGATACCAAAATGCACACATACTAAAGTACCACAGTTGGCCCTGTTGAACCCATAGATCCAAAAAGTTGGCCCTTCTCTCCATATACACAACTTTCACATTCCTTGAATACTGTATTTTCCATCCATTTTTGCTTGTAGATGCCAAACCAACCCATATAGAGGGCCAACTGTATTTACTGGAAAAAAACTAATATAAGTAGGTGCATGCAGTTCAAACCTGTGCTGTTTGAGGGTCAACTGTATTTGCATATAACCTGCATACATCCTCCCCAAACTTTAAATCATCTCTAGATTACTAACAATATCTAATACAATGGAAATGTATGTAAACTTTTGTCATATTGTTTAGGGAATATTGACAAGGAAAAATGTGTACATGCTCTGTACACAGGCAATTTCTTTTTCCCTAATATTTTCTTTCCACGGTTTAATCCACCAATGTGGAACCCATGGATATGTATTTCAAAAAAATTCAGTGGAATTGTACATTGACCTAGGAAAAGGCCACTAAAGCTTATTAAAACACCAAGTTCCTTCTGATTATATAATTTCAATATGAAAATTTCAATTATCTTTTTTAATATGAATTTTAAATGAAAATACCTTTTTATATACAACCTTTAAAATTAGAAAGAAATGAACTATTACTTTTAAAACACAGTTTATTTGGTGGACAAACTTCTTTACAATGCAAATTCCAGAAAATTTTTCAAAATGATCACTGGAGAAGAAAATATCAAGAACTATAATATACTATGGGTTATACTCAATAAGACAATTCGCTCATTTACTATACAAGCAGTGCCTTTTTTTTTCTTCTTTTTTTCTTTTTTTTGAAGCAGAGTCCTGCTCTGTCACCCAGGCTGGAGTGCAGTGGCGCGATCTCCGATCACAGCAACCTCTCCTTCCCCGGTTCAAGCAATTCTCTGCCTCAGCCTCCTGAGTAGCTGGGATTACAGGTGCCCGCCACCACGCCAGGCTAATTTTTGTATTTTTAGTAGAGACGGGGTTTCATCATGTTGGCCGGGCTGGTCTTGAATTGCTGACCTCGTGATCCACCCACCTCGGCCTCCCAAGGTGCTGAGATTACAGGCGTGAGCCACTGTGCCCGGCCGCCTTTCGATCTTTCTATTCTGAGGTTACTGAGCCTCCAGAGACTTCAAATAAGCAGTCTAAGACTAATGGCACCACCTAGCGTCCTGTACTGGTCACTATCTGACTCACTGTCTTCTACTTCCTTTTGCTGCTGGACATAGGCTAGTCTTCTTCTATTGCTGTTTTTCTTTAGTAATCCTTCCAAAAGTCATTTATGTCTCATTTATATATACATACACATCAACACATCATCCTTAAGTCTCCTTCTCTCATCCCTCTCTCTGCAATTGTCCCATTACTTTAGGAACAACTATTTAGTATGCCCTTGATCTTTCCCAGGTACTTGGTCCTTAACCTATATTATCATCACAAGCACTTTATAAACCTAATAGAACCTCTACTCACATGCCCTAGATCCCCTAAATCTCAGATAATTGAACAGGTACTGCAAATCTAAAACCAATTTGCCTGATTACTACCCATATGACCCATATACTTTTTTAAAAAAATATTTTCATACAATGGCCAAACTACAAATCCAATTTATAAAAATTGGTGGTAAATGAATCAGTTATATCTCAAAAGAAAACAAATGGCATTAAAAGTGAAAATTAGATTTTAAGTGAGGCTCAATTCACCACTTGAAAGTGTATAGAAGTTCTGACTTTGATAAAGTGATTGTTTTTCACTCTTTTGTAATTAAGTTGCGCTTTTCTCAAATATCATCACAGAAAAAAATGTTATTGTTCACATCTGCTGGTTATAATATCATTTTCTAGGCCAGGCACGGTGGCTCACGCCTGTAATCTCAGCCAGCACTTTTGGAGGCCAAGGCAGGTGGATCACGAGGTCAGGAGATTGAGACCATCTTGGCCAACATGGTGAAACCCCGTCTCTACTAAAATAAAAACAATTAGCTGGGCGTGGTGGTGCGCACCTGTAGTCCTAGCTACTCAGGAGGCTGAAGCAGGGGAATCGCTTGAACCCAGGAAGCAGAGGTTGCAGTGAGCTGAGATTGTACCACTGCACTCCAGCCTGGTGACAGAGCAAGACTCCGTCTCAAAAAAAAAAAAAAATTGTAGTATTTTATATTATAAATTCCAATATTATAGCTTATCATCAGCTAAATCAATTTTGGGAAGAGGGCTTGGACCTAAATTATCACTGTTATTTTCATTTTAAGAAAATTTGGCCAGGTGTGGTTGCTCACAACTGTAATCCCAGCACTTTGGAAAGCCAAGGCAGGAGAATCATTTGATGTTCAAGACCAGTCTACCCAACAAAGCAAGACCCTGTCTCTACAAAAAATAAAGAAAAAAATAGGTACTTTGACAAAAAGGAAAATTCAACTGAAACATTGGTATAGGGACAAATAGACCAATGGAACAGAATTAGAACCCAGAAATTGACCCCCATGCAAACAAAAAACTATTAAGGCAATGAAGTTTTCAGAAAATTATACAAAGATAATTGGTTATCCATATGCAAAAAAACTCAAGTCTCCAACTCTACCTCACACCATACACAAAAATTACATACTACCAGATGAAAGATCTACCTCTGCAAAGCACATATGGGAAACTCTGACCTTAGAGTAGGAAGTAATTTCTTAAATAAGGCATAAGAAGATAAAGCATTTTTAAAAATTGATAATGTGATTACATTTCATTTTAAAACTTGTGTGAGGCAAAAGACACCACAAAATGAAAGACAAGTCACATACTAGGCACAGATATATGGCAAATATAATCAAAGAATTTGTATCCATAAAATACAAAAAAAACTCATGCAAATCAGTAATTTAAAATATCTCAAAAGAAAAAATGAGTAAAGGACATTAAGAGGCAATCACAAGATGAGAACTGTAAAAGGTAAACACATGTATAAGAAAAAAGGCTCAGCCTCACTATATATTTTCAAAATTCAATTAAAACCACAATGAGATACAGTTCACACCTACAAAACAGAAATTAGAATTTCTGTTTATACCAATTCTTAGCAAGACAATTGAGAAAGGGAATGCTCAGATACCACTGGAAAGAACAACTCAGCAACATCTACTGAAGTGCAACATGTGCAAGCCCAGTGACACAACAATTCCACACACAGGTATAAACCCCAAGGAGCACTAGCCTATAAAACTTTTTATGATAATGGAATGATTCCATATCCACAATATCCAATACATTACTCACTAGTTACATGTGGCTATTAAACACTTTAAATGTTGCTAGTGTAACTGAGGAACTGAGTTAATTTTAATTAATTGAAATTTAAACATCCACATATTTAAAATACAGTCCTCAAGAATCTTTCACATATGCATAAACAGATCAGTACAAGAACCTTAAACACAGTAGTGTTTCTAATACTGAAAAACCTGTAATTCCTCAACCAAAGAATAAATTGTGATGTATTCATACAAGTCTATACAGGTGAAAATAAATTACATATAAATTACGTGCATTAACAGGGAAAAATCTAAAAATTCAATGTTACACGAAAAAGCGAGCCGAAGGAGAGGCACTGTAAAATATGTTTTAGAACACGCAAATCAATACTTCATATTGCTTATGAATATATACACATATATTTTAAGCACTAAGAAAAGCATTACAGCTAAAAACAAAACTGGAACACCAGTGAACTTTGAAATAAGACAGAAAATGGGCTGAAGACAGGTATACAGAGAACCCCAGATGTACTTGTAATGTATTCCCCTTTTACCATTTGGGTGGAAGACTCTGCCCACCCAAATCTTCAACAAATCTAAGTGTTGACAGATTGGGTACATGGGTGTTTGTTTTAGTACTGCTAGTTTGTTCTACATAAAGTATTTCATAAGGAAAAACTAAAAGTAAGAAAATTCATGCTACAAACTGTAGAACATCACTAGCAAGTTTGAGAGGTTCCTGTTTATTCTTTAATTTCTCTCCATCTCACACAGCTTACTAACATCCATCACTAAGTACAATGAAATCAAATTTGTGAAGGCCTAAAACACCCAACCGTATTTTCATGATGAAGCATAGCCTGTCACTAAAAATGTTTTCTATTTCCTAGTAAAAGCAGTAAAAAGCAAAGTTTCTCTTTTTCTTATGGCTTTCGACATCAAATTCAATTCCCCTGTGCAGTATATGTGGAAATCAAATATTTGGGGTGGGAGACGAGGCAGGGAGAAAACTTTGCTATTACCTGTGGGATAATTCATGGATTCCTAAACCAGGCCATTTAGCCATGAGGTCAATATAACATATGTTTTAAATAACATTTAATCTACTCTGCTGAACTCTTTAGTAAATGTTTATGTTTTGCAACAATTGAAGAATTCAGAGGATTACATATTAGGTATTTCTGCCACAACAAGACACTCTGTTCTCTCCTAATATAAAAAATCAAAAGCTAGTAAATGTATTCATGAAAACATAAACAAGCAAGCATCACAGTCCATTCAAAGAAAGCCTGTCTCCAAAAGTTTTCTTGAGTTAGTCAATATTACTATTGAAAAGCACAAATACATGTTTTATCAATTACACTCCTACTTATCCCTAGAATTGTAAATCCCATGACAGCAAGTACAGTATCACCTTTGTATTCCCAAAGAGTATCACAACATGACTGAATGAATAAATGAATACATGAATGAAGCTACCTGTTTATTCATCAGTATGAAATGGGTTCTATGTTGGTTTGTTGTGCTTCATGACTAAGACAAAAATAATATGAAAAACTAGAAATAAACATGCTTGATAAAGCCATTCTAACTCAATATTGAGGTATCACACCAGAATCTGAAGTTCAGGTAGGAGAATCTCAAAGCTTCTTCCTCTCCTTGCCTTCCCTGCCCCACCCTCTACCTCTCAGAGAAAGTAATAAGATAAAAGCCATGTATATCTTACAGAAGAACTGGCACAATTATATAAAAGTACATGCAAAAAAGATAATATATGTGAGGAGTTTTTTTGTTTTTTTTTTTTTTTTTGAGATGAAGTCTCACTCTTGTCATCCAGGCTGGAGTGCAATGGCGTGATCACAGCAACCTCTGCCTCCCAGGTTCAAGCGATTCTCCTGCCTGAGCCTCCCACGTGGCTGGGATTTACAGGCACCTGCCACCATACCCAGCTAATTTTTGTACTTTTAGTAGACACAGGGTTTCGCCATGTTGGCCAGGCTGGTCTTGAACTCCTGACCTCAGGTGATCCACACACCTCGGCCTCCCAAAGCACTGGGATTACAGGTGTGAGCCACCACACCCGGCCCATGAGTGTTTTTTGTGGTGGAAAACTTGAAAAATCCAGTGTCTATTAATAGAAAACTGGCTAATAAAAATAACTCATAGCTCTAAAGAAAATAGTAGAGAAGAAATTTCAAAAACCTGCATGAATGGCAGGAAGAACATTTAAGTCTCTGGACTATAAGGGCCCATTACATGCTCAGAACAATGAAAAAAAAAAGCCATAATAAGAAAAATCACATTGAGAAATGCCAGAATACCAGGAGGAAAGAGGAGATTCTAAGAATGTCCAAAGAGAAAAAAATAGGTCACATATAAAGAATCAGCAATCAGTGTGGCATCAAACTTCACATAGGAAACACTGGTTGCTAATGGAGCAAGGCCTTCAAGTTTCTGAGGAATAATTATTTTCAATCTGCATTTCCAGACTTAATTGAAATACCAACCTATGTAAAGGTAGAATAAAGACATTTTAGACCTACATGTATGGAAAAATTTTATTTCTCACATATTCTTTTCTCAGGAAGCTCTGGAGAATGTGCTTGAGCAAAACAAGGGCATAAACTAATAAGACTAAAAACAATCAAAAAGCAAATTGTCCCCCAAAAGAGCAACAAAGGGAAGTCCCAGGATCAGAGCTGAAAAGAGTAAGACAACTCCTTGGTAAAGTAGAATAGAGGGCTGAAGGAGAGAAACTTCCAGGAAAAAAAATTATTGAGTTTCGAACCTATGATAAACAAAGAAAAATTAATGGGAGGTGCTGGAGAGATCTGCTGAAACACTGAGGGGGGAGATTAGCAAATTAGCCAATAGGAAACCAAGCAAATGAATAAACAAGGCTATAAATAATGTGGTGGGAAAGGGGGACCAAATATTTGTTTAAGCAAATGAATGTAATGTGCTATATTACAGCACTCAATACTTACATAGTCACTATAATATAAATAACGATTATAGACTGCTTATAGATTGAACCAAAATTATTATATAACTTTTCAGAACTGGGTGCACAGGTATATAATATGATCTGTATCCCAGGCCCCAATAAAAAGGTCAATAGATAACATCTAAAATTGGTTAATCAGAAAAGCTGAATACACATATTATTTAGGAATAAGCTAGTATCAGAAAGAACAAACTAACAGTATTATAAGTTGCCGCTTCTGGAGAACCCAGGGTAGGATAGGAGACTGTTATATTTTATTGTAAACTTTTGGCACTAATCAGTTTTTATCCACATGTGAGAATTACCTTAACACAAACAAGTTCTTAGCATTATCAACTTCGATGATATTTAAATTAATGGAAGAAACAGTAAGCAGGGAACACAGTTAACAAAACATAAAATATAAATTTACCTGAATTATTTGAAGTTTAAAAATAACCAATTTAGGAACGAAAACAGTGATCACAACTTGGAAGGATGGAGAAAAGGTAGAAGTGGTGTGAGATAAAGAGTCACCTAATCACAGAACACAGAAGAGCAAAAGCATTGAGAAATAATTTCTAAGGCTGGGCACAGTGGCTCACGCCTATAATCACAGGCCAAGGCAGGAGGATCACTTGAGGCCAGGCATTCAAGGGACAACACAGCAAAACCCTGTTTCTACAAAAAAATTAAAAAATTAGCTGGGTGGAGTGGTGCATGCCTGTAGTCCCAGCTGCACAGGAAGCTGAGGCAGGAGGATGGCTTGAGCCCAGGAGTTCAAGGCTTCAGTGAGCTGTGATCACACCAATGTACTCCAACCTGGTGAGAGGGCAAGAACTTGTCTCTAATTTAAAAAGCAAAACAAACAAACAAACAAAAGAATCTATAATTCTACTACAGGTTGAGACAACCACAATAAGCACTGAAAACAGAATCAGTTACAAGTGGCTGATTTTGGGGGGAGTGGGAACAGAGAAACATAGGGCAAGATTTTTCTTGTTTTTCATTATTAGACAGACCATCTGTTCTATTTGATTGTTAACCATGTACACATATTACCTTTGAAGGTTTTTTTTTTTAAATGGCCAAAGCTATAATGGGTCAGAGTCCTAGGGGTTCCCTGAAACTTGTTACTAAAACTCTCTCAAAAGGGTAAAATGCACTTAACATACATAGTCTTCAAAACTTAGAATATCCCTATCTAGAACATTCTTATAAAGGAATACAAGACGAGTGAGCAAAGAATTACTAATTTATTGGAAAGAAAGCTGAGCAGGACAAGAAGTGTTTCCAATAATATGAACATGTATAGAAAGAATGAGTAATGAAATTCAATCTGAGTCATTTAATTCAATGAGCAGATAATTGAGAAAAATGGGCCGGGCAGGGTGGCTCACGCCTGTAATCCTAGCACTTTGGGAGGCGAAGGCAGACGGATCACGAGGTCAGGAGATCGAGACCATCCTGGCTAACATGGTGAAACCCCGTCTCTACTAAAAATACAAAAAAAATAGCCAGGCATGGTGGCGGGTGCCTGTAGTCCCAGCTACTTGGGAGGCTGAGGCAGGAGAATGGCATGAACCCAGGAGGTGGAGCTTGCGGTGAGCCGAGATCGCGCCACTGCACTCCAGCCTGGGTGACAGAGCAAGACTCCGTCTCAAAAAAAAAAAAAAAAAAGGAAAAGAAAAATGATTACATCGAGTTTATAACACATCCCCAAGAATTCTAAGGCAAATTTGTCACCACCTCAATCACAGAAAACAAAGATCATTTTGCTAAAGATTTTTGAGTTAATTATATCTAATCATCTTATTTAACATAATTCTGAAAAAAATACATTTGTGCACATGCTTACATGTTCAAAACAAACTACTAGTAAATATTCTATATGCCAGGCACAGTGGCTCACACCTGTAATCCCAACACTTTGGGAGGCTGAGGCAGGCAGATCACTTGAGGCCAGGAGTTCGAAATCAGCCTGGCCAACATGGCGAAACCTCTTCTCTACTAAAAATACAAAAATTAGCTAGGCCACATGCCTGTAATCCCAGCTACTTGGGAGGCTAAGGCACGAGAATCGCTTGAACCCAGGATGGAGAGGTTGCAATGAGCCGAGATCATGCCACTGCACTCCAGCCTGGGCGACACAGGGAGACTCCGTCTCAAAAAAAAAAAAAAAAAAAAAACACAAAAACAAACAACAACAACAAAAAAGATATTCACTCAAGGAATTCTTATATTATGTATACGTTAAACAATCATGTTACAGAAAACAACCCATTTAGTAACATGAATAACAATTTAAAGAAAAAGGTAGAGCACAAAACTATTATGCTATTAACATCTAAAGATATTATATAATCACAGCTTCAGCCCATGGCACTCAACAGTAAACATAACAGCTACATTCCTTCATTTTTAGCAAAGAATCTTTGATTTTTATCAGAATTGATATGTGAATTACTAGATTATGACCCTTCATTTTTTTCCCAGCTAAATAAAATGCTTCAATTTTGATTACTTCTAAATCTGTTGTATTAAGTCTAAAACTGATTAATGATGTACCGTATCCTGCTAAGTAGAATTAAATTAGTGTATAATTGATTAGTGTATAATTGAAGCAGTTGTAGATTTACCAACTTTAATTAAGGTGGCTTATTACAGATAATTTATACTATAAGAGAGAAAATAGAAGCAACAAGTTCATCAAAACTTTAAATTAAGATCAAAGATACAATATTAAAGATTAGAAAAAAGGCTATAGGCTAATACTGAGTACTTTGAAAGTAAATCATCTTAGTACAAATCCTTTTAGAGGAGAAAACCAATTATTAATATTGACCTTTTAGGCTAGATTTTCCAAGAAATTACACTATTAGTGGTCATTTACTATAGTAAGTGATGCCAACTTATGTAAGCAAATAAAAGAATACATCTAATAATATTTTGTCTACTTACAACACTAAACTACACTAAAAAAATACTTAAATATTTCTCATAACTCCTTTAAAAAGGTATTCAAGCAAGAGGAAAAGCTCATAATTCTCACTATAAAAATAAATAAAAACTAATTTATTAAGAAGGAAGCAAGTGAGGAAAAAGAACATTTCTGAAACAAAACACAGAAGTAGTGTCTGCAGTTCTCTCAATACCCTTGTGGGTGGTAACTACAGCCCAGAAACTTTTACACATAAATTGCTAACTCCCCTGAGTTTAAAGCCATGGTAATTAGGCTCATTATCTTACATGTTAATGACACAGAGACAATAAGTTTGCAGTGAATAATTCATAAACTATCAGCTCTCACTGTAATGTTCATTGCTAATCGTTTATTTACAGTACAAGTTACACTGCATTTTTTTCTATAGTTTAAATTTATTGCCTAAACAGAAATCATTTCATGTCAAAATCTAATTTACTATCAATAAATAATAATTTCAAGCATATATTGGCTTGTATAGTTGTATAATTTTTACTCATTATTCATAGTTATGATAATCAATAAACCACCATAAGAATGTCATATAGAAAGACTAAAGTATCTATAGATTATGTATAGATGATTATTCTAAATTAAATTTCAAAAACAATATGCTCAATTGATATAAAATTATAAATTGCTTTATTAACTCATATTTTTCATTTAAGTATTAATATCACCACACTCACTTTAAAACATACATATAGATTATTATGAAACTTTGAATATCAAAGTACCATTTAGATTTCCTTATTATGCAAATACTGACTATAAAATACAGTTGACCCTTGAATGAAGTGGGTTTGAACTGCGCAAGTCCACCTACAGGCTGAAATTTTTCAACCAAATGTGGATTGAAAATACAGAATTCACAGGATACGAAACTTGCGCATACAGAGAGCCAACTTTTCCTTTATGTAGGTTTCACAGCACCCACTGTGGGACTTAACATATTTGTAGACTTGGGTCCTGGAACCACCCGCCCATGTATACTGAAGGATGACTGTAATATCATGTAAAATATAAAGTTCAGTAACCTATAAAATTGCAGTTGTCTTCAATTTTTACCCATTTTTGTAATGGATTTAATATCACACTTTTATTTAACAAATTAAAGATAAGTCAATTTTAGTCTCTTTCAAAATGACTCTTAGTTGCAGTAACTCATTTTGGTTTACACATATTATGAGAACTTTTATGTTACTATGTTACCTAAGTTATTGTGCTTTCAAAAATTTCTCTAAATCAGAGAGGTAAAAAATTTTCTATAAATGTCTGTACTTCTACAATGATTCCTTCAAAAATACTGTTTTGATATATGGTTGCATCAATAAAAACACGTTAGGTTCATGTACCATTTATCAGGTAAGAACTGCAAAATATCAGTGGCTTAAAACAATAAGGTCATTTTCTTGCTTACACTAGCTGTTCATCATAAGTCATTTGAGGACTCCACCCCACATCTTTTCATCTCAGTACCCAAGATGATGGAGCAATCACCATCTCACATTTTACCAGTTATCATGGTAAATGGAAAGAGTAGTCTGGACAGTCTTGCACTGGTAATTAAATGCTCTGGCCTGTAAAAACATTATTTTACTTCTGCTCACAACTAAGCATAATTATCTGAGAAAGTTTACCCTTCAAAAAGTTTAAATCTTTACAATTTCAAAAAAAAAATGTTTACCTCACTAAGAAGGCCATGAAGATAGGTTACATAATGTTCACTAAAGACGAAGAGCATTCCAGGTTCCTTTTTGTATTAAATGACTATCAAATCATAACAATCAGTTCTTGCCAAATCTGCTAAACATATAACCAGGATAATGTTAAGTACTCTTTCAAAACTGCAAATTTGACCACATCACTTGCTTAAAATCCTCTAATCTTCTCAGCATGGCGCTCCATGAAATGATCCCTGACTGCCTTTCTGTCAACTCTGAATACTCAATAAAATTTACAAAATGCTCCAAGGGAGACAAAACTAATAAATATGCTGCACGCAGGCTTTCCTGCCTTTTCACATGTCAGAATGCTTTCTCTGCCACCTCCACTTGAAAGCTTCCTCTTCCTTCAACTAAGCTTAAGCCTATCGCCACTGTGAAGCTTTTCTTGACTCTGATTACAACACCCAAAGGATTTTGTACTCCCTCAACACTGATTCCAGATCTGCACTGTGACTGTTCGTTGACTACCCAGTTATGAGCTTCTCAAAGGCAGACACTATTATTTACAAATATGAGTCCCTGGTATGAGACATTTAGTGGCTAACAAATGTCTAGAAAATGACTAAAGTTCCACAGTGCCAAAGAATGGTCTTAAAGAACAGCAGTATGTTTTAGAAATGAAGAATACCTGTTCTGACTGTCCATGGAGAGATAACTGCAAAAGTAAGTTTGCTTAACAAATTCCTTTTAGTATCTAAATGCTAGAGCTAATTTTGTTGGTGGCAATTCTAATAAATTAACTTAAAGTTATAGGACATTGAACTAATTTTTCTTTCATTCATTCCCCAGACTTTTATTTATTCAACTCAGATGTACCAAATGCCAGGATCTATGAGAAATTCTAAGAATGGCATTCATGTTAGTGGAGCTGTTGTCATCATTATACATATTGGACTGTCAAATTATGCCCCCAGTTAATTGACAAGATAGACTCCTTGTGGCTCAAAGGTAAAAGCAGAACCAAGAGGCAATGACAGGGTAAGGGAGCAATTATACCCTGTGTCCTTAAAAGTGTTGCAAAACCTGTTTTTCTGCCACCAAGTCAAAGAACAGTTCCTTTTGGTGATCATTTGGAAATTCCCCAAATGATCACCAAAAGACCACCTGGTGCCAACTGACCAACCACCTGGAAACAACCAACTAAGACACACTGGTGATTTGGGGATTAAAGGTCATCTAATCAAGACTTTATTCCTTACTTCCTTGACCCCACCTCCCCTGTCCTACAATTTTTGCCTTTATAATTTCTAACTCTCCAACCCCCAACTAGGACCTCATTTTCATTTTACACCACAGGCTGCATATCCCCAACCTACTATTGTTTTCTATAGAAAAATAAAGCTGTCCTTTTTTCCTCCATGGATCTCATGGTCTTTTGTTACATGACAAAAATAGGCTGTTTAATATTTTACTCATCTAAATTTTTAATATCTGATGTTCACTTTGACCATCAACATAACAAGAAAATACTGTACAGCATAATTTTATATTAACACAATTCACTGTAGTTATTAAAAAGTTTGAACAATGATTATCCACTAGCCATAAAACTCTCAACAGTTTAATAGCAAATAAACAAAGGAAGGTATCACACTTGGCAAATACAAAATGACTATTTGTCCATTGTGTCTGTGCAACTAAAACAGATTTAGGTTCCCCATTGGTACAAAAGGAAAAACACACAAAAAAAGAAGGAGATTCCTTTTAAACACAGAGCTCTTTGCTCCAAACTTGTAACAATTTTTTTTTCTTTTTACATTCACTACACAAACTCTGTGATTAGATAAGAAAAGTAACAAGGGCTATTCTTTTTTTTTTAACTGTCAACTTTTTGAAGTGTGTTATTGAATAATATTTTTCAGGTATACAATTTTAATATGAAACATTTTAATCAAAAGCAATCTGACATTAAAATACATAATTTTCTTTTTAGAAGAAAAAATGAGGAAATAAAAAAAAGAGGCATATCTAGATCCAGCAACCGAACCTGAAAGGTAAATATTAAAAATACTGCATTTGGTGTTTTTGGTGAGCTAATTCCTTTTTTACAATTTGTGGGACTCTATTTAAGGAAAGGAATACAAAATTAGGTGTGAAGTAAATATCTGGAATGAGAAAATAAATTACAACTAAACACTAACTTTAAAAGGCTAACAAATGCCAAAAACATGAATTTCAAAAAGAAGAGCATATCTTTATTAATTGCCTAATCTATCTCTATAATGCTCTTATTTTCTTACATTTCTGGCTGCATTTCTTGATTTCCTCTTCATATAACAATTTTGCAACATTAAGAGAATAGAAAGATAATTTTATCTTTTTACTACTGTGTTTGATCAATTTTTAGTACTGACAGTGTAGGCCAGGCACGGTGTCTCACACCTGTAATCCCAGCACTTTGGGAGGCTGAGGCGGGCGGATCACTTGAGGTCAGCAGTTCGTGACCAGCCCGGCCAACATGGTGAAACCCCATCTCTACTAAAAATACAAAAATTTGTTAGGCATGATGGTGCGTGCCTGTAGTCTCAGCTGCTCAGGAGGCTGAGGCAAAAGAATCACCTGAACCTGGGAGGCAGAGGTTGCAGTGAGCAGAGATCACACCCCTGCACTCCAGCCTGGGTGACAGAGGAGACTCCATCTTAAAAAAAAAAAAAAAAAAAGGCAGTGTAGAGAGTTTATATCAGCTTTATAACTTCTTTATAACTTATTACTGATAATGTCATATACATTCTTAGGAATATTATCAAATTTACGAAAACCACAATCAAGTTCCAAGATTTAGAAAAATTTTCCAGACTAGTTTCTCACTCTAAACACTTAAACGATGTTTCTCTTCCTCTACCTCTACCACAAAGAACATATTTATAATGCTCTAAGACCCTTGCCCCTACTGAGTTAGGAGGCAGGACTTGACTCTAGAGACAGGTTCAGACACCCAATTAAATTGAGGACTAGCTGAAAGATGATTAGGCAGAAGAAGCTTTCCATCAGACACACCCACCAGTGTGCCATGTCAACACTGCTATGAGAACACCCAGGAGTTACCACCACTTTCCATGGCAATGACCCAATGACCCAAAAGTTACTATCCCTTCCCTAGAAATTTCTGCATAAACCACTCCTTAATCTGCATGTTATTAAAAAAGGGTATTAATAACTGCCCTGAACTGCTACTCTCTGCCTACGGGGTAGCCCTGCTCTGCAGGAGCAGTCACCGAGCTATAACACCACCAGAGCTGTAACACTGCCTGTTCAATAAATCTATTTTCTTCTACCTCTGGCTTGCCCTTGAATTCTTTTCTGGGCAAAGCCAAGAACCCTCACGGGCTGAGCCCCACTTTGGGGCTCACCTGCCCTGCAAAACTACATCTATGTATCACAAGGCCAGGGAAGTAGACACAGTGGACAGTAATAACATTCCTGGAAGTAATGCCTACAAAATAACTGGACACATAAACAACTGCTAACCATATACTATCTCTAAATGTATCCTCTACTCAATTTTCCCTTAGCTCAGGCCACTCTAATGCCACCCAATATGAGGGTATGATACAGGGAAAGTCTAAGTGAAAAGGAATAGCAGTTTTAATGGATTAAATACCTAACTTTTGCAAATCTTACCCCGCCTCACCCAAAATATTATGTTAACACATTGCTTGAGATTCTTCCAGAGTCTTGGAAGGACCCTGAAACGTAGGTTAACTGTCTACAAACTAAATCCATTTCTATTTCCTAACCTAATCTGAACACTTACTTTCTATTCCTTTTACCTACAGAAACTGTCAGAATAATCAGACTCATTTCCTCAATGACACTTTGCTACCTTTAACATATATAAGATCTGTTTTCTAGAGCATGATCATCTCCAACTTCTACACCAATTAAATTAGGTGCAGTGACACAAAAATTGTCTTCTATTCCTGTTTTAATTGTGTCTCAACAGTAATGCAAGCCCTACAGTGCCTTTCTATTTACTTCAGACAAAGATAAACACTGCAGATCCCAGTTAGGTTTCTTTCAGTGATAAGTATCGTTTAAAAGAAAAAAACTGTTAGTAGCCTTAAAAAGTCCTTGTTTCACACAGCCTAATAAATTCCCTCTAATTTCATGTAAGACCTAGTCCTGAGGCACAATAGCTTTAGGAATGGGTAATTTAGAAGTTCAACAAGATCATTAAGGATCCAAGTTCTCACCATCTTTTCACTGTGCCATCCAGTGTTTTGGTTTTATCCTGACCTAGGCCCCAAATAATTCCAAGATAGCTCTCACAATTCCAAGAACCCATCTAGATAGAAACATCCAAAAATGAGGGGAGAGGAGGTGTTACCTTTCCAAGAAGCCCCTCCACCAAACCTCCCCTCATGTCTCATTGGCCACAAATGAGTTATTGGTCAGATATCAGTCCTATGTTCAGGTCTTAATTAATGACTAGCAAGAAAAATGGGATAATCATGAGTGGCCTAGACTATACAGAATTTACTCACATCACACGGTAAAGAGGTGAGTCGACAAAAAAAAAAAAAAAAAAAAAAGTATCTGCCACAAGGAAAACAGCAGTAATGAATGGCTGTGGAGTAAGCTTCTTATTAAGTAAATTGGATAGCTAATTTTGACATTAATTACAGACCTTAGCTATGACATAAATCTGATTACAGGAAAGGGCTAGATGATGTTTTAGATTCATTACAACTCTTATGTTCTACAAGACAGGCAAATAATATAGTGGTTAAAAGCTTGAGTTTTAATGTCAGATTGTCCTGGGTTTGAATACCCATCCACCACTTATTTGCTGTAACAATCTTGGTCAAGTTATCTTCCCTTTTCTGAAAATCCAGATAGTAATAATATTTAACTCATATTGCTAGGAGAATTAAATGGATGATGAATGCAAAATGCTTAGCATTTTACCTAAACTTCACAGGAAGTAATCAATAAATATTATCATCAGTCTATAACATATAAACTATAATTATTATAATTTTTGTACTACTAATTTAGAATTTGTGATAACTAAAACACAGGTTATTTCAAAACCAGAAAAATTATTGATTCTACCTCCAATATATGATAAATAACAAACTGAGGATTTGAGAGGTTTAATGACACACTGAACAGCTATCTCTTCCCCCTACTCCTCCTCCTTTCTCTTGAATAGGCATCTCCTCCACTTAGAATTTAAATGCCTCCAACATTCCCTTAGGTTTACTCCTGCCCTCAATATTACAAAACCAAATTCATTGCTTCCCTCAACCATATTGCTTTTCCTTTTGAAGTTAATAGTACCAGCATTTAATTATGCAGACACTAAACACAAAACTTCAAAATCTTTTTCAACGCCCTCTCTCCATATGGATCACTCACTAAATCCTGTCAGTTCTAACTCTGGACCAGGCATGGTGGCTCATGCTTGTAATCCTAGCAATTTGGGAGACTGAGATGGAAGAATCGCTTGAGCTCAGGATTTTAAGACCAGCCTGGGCAACATAATGAGACCTTGTCTCTACCAAAAATAAAAATAAAAATAAAAAATTGGCCAGCCATGGTGGCACACATCTGTAGCCCTAGCTGCAGTGAGCTGTGATCATGTCACTGCACTCCAGCATGGGTGACAGAGCAAGACCCTGTCTCAAAAAAATGAAGCAAAACAAAAATACCTCTGAATTTGATTTTTAATCCATCCCTGTGTTCTAAAGTCACTACTACTACTACCCTATAAGAGACCCTCATTATTTCATTCATATCTATTATGAAGTTTTCAAACTGGTATACCTGCCTTTCCATAGCCTCAACTTCTCACTACTTCATCCTGTATTCTATCAACTATCTTTGTAAACTGCAGACTAAGTATGTTTGCCTGCTGAAAAATCTTCCACAGGTCCCCAACTAACTGTAAAATAAAAAGCCAACTTTAACCTTGTATATAAAACTTTTCACAATTCGGCCTGAACCTACGTTGTAGCTTCTTCTTTTACCTCTCCCTCCATGACATACCCAGTGTTTTACCCAAACTACACAATATCTCACCATTCTCCAAACAGACCTTGCCTACTTCTGTGTGTTCATGAAGAACCCTCTATTTGGGGAATAGGAGTAACTTCTCCTTTGATCTCCCTATACCCGACTATTTCTACTCATCCTCAAATATTAGTTCTCTATGATAGCTTCTTGCATACCTCACAGCTAGAGAAAATTACTGTTCTTGCAGAATATTATTTGTAATTATATCATAGCCATCATCACACTATATAATAGCTAGTTACTGCCTGTCTATAACTCCAAATAGACTGAATTTTTTTCAGGGCCAGGTTGTATCTTACTCATCTCTGCATTTCTAGTACATAGAGTAAGCATTCAGTAACAACTGGTAAATGGATGAATAGGGAGAGAGTGGCGCAATAAGTCTTCAGAAGCTCTTGTACTTCACATATTACTAAAAATACTTATTGAATAGGAAATTTAAAGCTCAATTCTACATTCTCTATTAGAGTATAAACTATGAGTGCAGGAAAATTACTGTCTGGCACTGTATTCAGTGTCTAAAATAGGGCTTTACACATAGTATAAAACTAACAAATATTAGTTAAATGAATAAATACATGAATTGATAAATTGAAGAACTGAATGATCTGGTAATTTGCGTATGACAGGATAACGGGAAAACCCTTTCATTCATTTCTGGTTGAATTTCTCAACTATTTAAACATCACACATATCTGTGTATCTAAGAGCAAGATTCTACGATGCCACATATCTTATTTGGAAGAAGGTGATAATCTATCAATCAGTATTTATTGCTTCAAATTGGCTCATTTTACCATTCATTTCCTACTTAAGCCCTATAGTAATTGAACTTTGTAAGACCTATGTCAGGCCTTAAATATATGATGAACAAATAAAACTGTGTGTGTGTGTGTGTGTGTGTGTGTGTGTATGCATGTACATGCATATACAATAAAACAACATAACATCTCAATTTCTTTCTGAAAGTCTTAAGGATATAAACTATATACAGAGAAAAATAGAAGCATAGACACAGTGACACACGAATGCCCCACTCACAAATGAAAACAAAACAAATATTTTGCAATGATCCATTTACTTCTAGTGTTTTGGGCTTTCAACTCTATAGTCATAAAAAATGTTCAAAACTAATAGTAAGAACACTATTTTCCTCTAGCATGCCTAAAAAACATTAAAGAAAATAAGAAAAGCTAGAGCCTTCCTCCCACTAAATACTTTGTTAAATTAAGAAGAAATATGTTTTAGTGTAGTCATCATTTCAGTAATTATATTCCAAAGAACCCTATAACTTGTAAAACCAGCAACAACCGAAGAGAATTTCACACAAATTTTGGCCATGGAATACTTTATTGGAAGACATGAAAAATAGATAGTGGCAAAAAGCAGCAGAAAATATTTATAATCATAAAGCAATGAGAAAATATACACCAAAATATCATCAATTCATTTATGTCTTCCAGTGGGCTTTATCCTCCTTTCTAATGTTTATCATCCTTTTCTCTGCCAAATTTCTGCTACCAATCTATCATCTCTTCAAATGGTTTGCAATAAAATGAACAAACAAAACTCATCCTCCTTCAAGGAGAATTGATGTCAGTGATCATGGTGAGACCACAGATCCATAAAATCTTTAGGTTAACAGAGCAGCTGATATAAAAGTAGAATACATCTGCTAAACCAACTGCCTTTTTATACTTGTTTAAAAAGTTATTTTGAACAAGTATACTCAAACACTTAATAAAAGAATTTGAAGGCTGGGCACGGTGGATCATGCCTGTAGTCCCAGCACTTTGGGAGGCCAAGGCAGGCAAATCATGAGGTCAGTAGATCAAGACCACCCTGGCCAACATGATGAAACCCCGTCTCTACTAAAAATACAAAAAATTAGGTGTGGTGGCACGTGCCTGTAATCCCAGCTACTCGGGAGGCAAAGGCATGAGAATCGCTTGAACCCAGGAGGCGGAGGTGGCAGTGAGCTGAGATTGCACCACTGCACTCTAGCCTGGTGACAAGCGAGACTCCACCTCAAAAAAAAAAGCAATCTGAAAGGTCATGTAACCCAATTAACCCTCCATCTACTGATTCATTTGCTAGTACTCCTACTAACAGTCAATAATCTGGTCTATGCTTTAATGCCTCATAAGAAAGGGAACTCACTACTTCCAAACAAGCTGATTCTATTTTTGTATTTCTTTACTACTAGAAAGTTTTCCTTTATTGAGCAAAAATCACTCAGTCCATGTCTTCTACACGAAGGAAGCCCCTCAAAGGAAGAGGGATATTATGTATATCCTAATTATCTTTCTTTGAATTAAAATTACGCAGTTTCTTTATGACATAGTTTTAAATTCATTCAACAATTAAAAGGAGGGGGTTAGAATCTACCACCCCCACCATGAGGCTCAACCTGAGAAATAATACATATCCATCAAAAAAGCAGCATATGTGTAATTATTATCCTCTTGATAAAATTTTTAAAATTTTAAAACAGAACACTTGTTCTTCTGTAGGTGGGCTGCCATAAATGCCCAGGGAAGCTTGTAACCAATGTTTTGTTGTTGAAGAAGGGGGGAAAAAAAGGAAAAAAGACAGTAAAAGAGTCTCTAAAACACAAGAACCTATTTCTTTGCCCTCAACATTATTCTTTCTGACGCTAAGGTTACACTGTTTCATATATCAATTCCCTTTTTCTAGACATTTTTTGAGTTTAAAAAAACACCATTTTATTGTTGTTGAAAAAGTAGGTCAATATTCCTAATTTACTCATGTACTTAATAAAGTTAGTTAAAATATCAAATGAAGAAACTGTTAAAGGAGCTGATGGTTGGTATTAGGTTGAAGAATATCTAAACAGCAAAACTGCTAATAAAATATATCAGGCCAGGCAAGGTGGCTCATCCCAACATTTTGGGAGGTCAAGGCTAGCTGATCACTTAAGCCCAAGAGTTTGAGACCAGCCTGGGCAACAAAAAATACCCTTCTCTACAAAAAACACAAAAATTAGCCAGGCATGGTGGCACGTGCCTGTAGTCCCAGGTACTCAGGAGGCTGAGGTGGGAGGATCACTTGAGCCCAGGCAGTGAAGGCTGCAGTGAGCCATGACTGCACCACTGCACTCCAGCCCCCGAGCCTAGCTGACACAGCAAGACTCTGTCTCAAAAAAAAAAAAAAAAAAAAAAAACTTAAAAAAAAAAAAATCAAAAAAAGCCAGATGTCAGTGATCCAAGAATCAGCTAAGCCAAAAACTGGATGAGTGTACTTAACTAAACTAACCTCTCTGGGCTCATAGTATTCTCATCTATGAAATGAGGATAAAGAATTAGGATCATAAGTTCTCAGACACTTTCATCTCAGGACCACTTTACACTTTAAAAAGAGTATCGAGTAATTCAAGGAGCTTTAATATCTAGCCCTAGTTATCATATTAGAAGTTAAAATATAACTTTTTTAAATATTTATTATTTTAAGAATAAATTCATTAAATGTTAATGTAACATTTTATGAAAATAACTATTTCCAAACTAAAAAACATCTTAGTGACAAGAGAAGCACTGTTTTATAATCTTTGCAAATCTCTTTAATGTCTGGCTTATGAAGCCAAAATTATAGGCCACTGTTTTGAACAAAACTCCTACACTAGGCTCCAAAAGAAGACCAGACTAAAAATCAAAATGGAGTCACCCATGCTCACCAAACCCAAACTGAGTTGTTATCTTGACTTTCTAAAAAATCAGGAGAGACAGATAACAGCCTAATATCCCAAACAGGACAATTTTCAATATTCAATGCACATGATAATGAAGTATTCAATGGGCATGATAATGAAGTTTCCTCTGTTTTAATCCCTAATCTGAAGTAACCTGATATTAACCAGTCTTTCTATTGTCCTGTCTCCCCATCCAGACCTTACAAGAGAATTCACTTTGAAATGACCAATCTGCTTTCTTCAGCCCTTTCTGTCTATAAAACCAACCATCTGCTCAACTCATTAGAACACACACTCTACTTTATGGAATGAAGTATTGCCTGATTCTAGAATCACAATAAAGCTGACTGAGATCTTTAAACTAAATTTGTTGTAACTTTGTCTTTTGACAGAACTGCTAGAGTTTCATATAACTTGTACATTCAATCAGTATGGCATGGTATGCAACCTCTAGAAAACTCCACCTATGCTCATGAGAGAATGAGAATGAAAAGGGTAAACACAGTCTTAGTATTACTTTGAATATAGTTCTGCCCTCACAGAACTTCTGTCAAGGTCTTAAGGACCCCTGACCCCCCCCTCCCACAAGAGGCCCTTGAATCACAATCTGAGAACTCCTGGACCAGACAATCTCTAATACTGATGCAGGCTGACAATAATATTTTGATTTTTTTTAACCTGAATATACACTTATCCTCATCATGACAGAATGCATCATAACTGTGATATGAGATTCCAATGAGATGATCCTTTTAAACCCAACTATAAAAAGTCATTTCAGAAAAGCATAAGATAAAAAACTGTAGAACAGAGACCAGGTGCAGTAGCTTATGCCTGTAATCCCACTTTGGGAGGCTGAGGTGAGTGGATCACCTGAGGTCAGGAGTTCAAGACCAGCCTGACCAATATGGTGAAACCCCATCTCTACTAAAATTACAAAAATTAGCCAGGCGTGATGGTGCATGCCTGTAATCCCAGCTACTAAGAAGGCTGACACAGGAGAATTGCTTGAACCTGGGAGGCAGACATTGCAGTGAGCTGAAATTCTGCCACTGCACTCCACCCTGGGTGACAGAGTAAGACTCTGTCTCAAAAAAAAAAAAAACAAAAACAAAAACTATGGAATGAGGAATACTTGTTGTCACTAATACTAATATCAATACTTGGCATGACAAAACTATTCATTTATATAAAAAATATATAGGGTCATCTACTACATGTAAAGTATTGTGATAAGTGGAATGAGAGAAAGCATGAAGAACTTTATGTTTTTGTAGGAGGGATCTGATTTATATTCCAAAACTATAATCCAAAGTTAAAAAAGACAAATGCTATGAAACAAGTTCAAATAAAGCATTATAGTAGGTCCTAATCTTAAGGGTATGTATGAGGATTATGTTAATATAATTAGTAAAATATTCATTCAAAAACAGTACAGGAATACAATAAAATCTACTATATATATTTACTGGCCTATAGAGAGATGCTTCATTCTGTTACCAATAATTGAACATTAAATTGAAAGTTATACATGTACCCTTCCAGAAGAAAAATTCAAATGCAAGATTTAAAAGCAAGTTTAATCTCTAATTTCACACATGCCAATAAAATCACTGACAATGATGACTTTGGCAAATACTTATAACAAGCATCTACATGACTTTTATGGTTCAATCTCATGACCAGAGAAGAATACAGAGTGATAATAAAATCAGCGGGAAAAAGACTACATTAAAATCCTAGAAACACTTTTAAGAGCTGGCTAAATCTTTCCAGCTTTACTGAAAAGTGTATTTCATTAGCTAACTAACCATTTTGACTCTAATGGATCGTCATTCAATGGCTGCATCTAAGTGAACACTGTACCACATAGTTTGCCCTCTTCCTAATACAAAAATTAATTTAGAAGAGTCATCTCTTTCCTTTGTAAAAATAGTGAATTCAAGCCTAAGTTTCTGGGTAATAATTACAAACACATAAAAAAATCAAAATGTTTCCCTTAATTTGTAAATCACAATGTAACTCAAATGAGATAGTAATATTGTTTACTTAACAATATAAAGAAATCTTGAAACAAATTTTGGTAACACATATCTAATAAATAATTTCATTTTTCATGCATATACAGCTATGAAGTTAATAAAATTTGCATATAGGTCAACTTTTCAAAAAATCTACTTAACATTTAGACTAAATAAAAGGTTATCTGGCATATTAACTCTGGGAATTCATCTTTACCTTTATCAAGATAAACATACAGTACTAAACACAAGTTTAGAATATTTGAATGCTTCCTTCCACTGAGCTCATCTACACCCAAAATACAATGCCCAAATATTCTAGATCTTCCATACACTTTTTTGAAGTTCTATATTCATTTTTCCTACTTATTGTCGCAGATAAAACAGGCGAAATAGCACCATCTGGTGGGCATCACTTTCGTTTTAAAATAATTTTCTAAATTTACCTTATGAATACTTCTTTGAAAAAACTGCATAACAATTCTAAATCATTTATAAAGTACTATAAATAGTGAAGTAGCTTGGTTACCAAGAAAAATATATTTGAATATTGAACCAAGGTTGCAACATTGCTTTGGTTTTTAATTATTGAGAAGTTAAACATTATTGTAACAATGTAATTATTGTAAAGCTGAAATCTCCTCAGAGCTTAACCTTGTGGTGGTATTAGTTTTTTTTTAAGGTGTCGATTTTTAATACAAAAAAATTTACATTCTTTATATACAGGTAATACATCTATACAGTTCAATGGAGAGAATGAAATGTGAACATAATCTTCAAAAAAGATAGTGTGGTCTTTATTTATGTTTAAAAAAAATTTTTTTTGAGACGTAATCTCACTCAGGCTGGAATGCAGTGTGGCGTGATGGCTCACTGCAACCTCTGACTCCTGGGTTCAAGCGATTTCCGTGCCTCAGAGTCCCAAGTAGCTGGGACCACAAGTGTGCACCACCATGCCCAGCTAACTTTTGTATTGTTAGTAGAGACGGGATTTCACCATATTGCCCAGGCTGGTCTCGAACTCCTGGCCTCAACCTCCCAAAGTGCTGGGATTACAGGCAGGAGCCACTGCGCCCAGCCTTAAAATGTGATTTATTTCGATGTGTCTAAATAAGCAACTGAAATTAGTCCTGAGTACTAACAGTGTGCTGAATAATGGTCAAAATATAAATTAGGCCACAATTTTATGAACTAAAACAGACACATAATACCTATGGAAAGGAATATAAACAAACTGAAAACAAAATCAGAAGAAATAAGATGATGTTACTTAATTTGGTACATTTCATATCAGTGATGCAGGATTTTTCTTGGTCCCTTCATTGGACTTGCAACAAGGGCGACAGTTTACTCACGCCACAGCGCTCAACCCCCTGCAGGAGGGAGCATGTTAGCAAGAGAGTGCAGGACCTGGCCGGCTGCTCCAGGAGCCAGCGAGAGAAAGCTCCATGCAGGTCCCACAGCAGCACCCAGGTGAGGGTGCCCACGACCCCAAAACCCCAGAGAAAGTGTTACAGTGGTCTTTTAGCTCTGCCGTCTGTCTGTGTGCATGTTAACAGCTCAGTTGGTCCCTTACCACATTGCGTGGGGTGGCTGCCCTCCGCCAGCGAGGGCAAAGGGCCAGTATGACAGCCTTTTTGGGTACCTGCACTCCGTGGGTTCTGAGTTCTTGTCCAGTATCCAAGAAGAAGGAAGTGATGCAGACACTTGAAGGATGGTGAAGGTGGAGAATTTTACTGAGCGGTGGAAATGGCTCTCAGTGGAGAGGGGAGCTGGAGAGGGGACGGGAAGAGTAGGTGGTCTTCCCTGAAGTACAGCAGTAGTCTCTTCCCCGAAGTCAAGCCATCTCTTTTCCCGAAAGTCTGGCAGAATCTCTCCTCTCTACCTACTGAGTCCGGGGCTTTACAGGCACAGGATGCGGGTGGGGCAGGCCATAGGTAGCTTTGGAAAAGGCAACATTCAATTGGTAAAAAGACATTATTCAGAAAGAACCAATCAGGACAGTGCAGGCAAACAGGAATAGAAGTTCTCACTTTGGGCTGCTGGTTTCAAGCTTTTCACCTTGGAGGTGGGGTTTCACCAGGGACCCACCCCTATTTGCCTATAATTTCTCTGCCTCCTGCTTCTATCATCAGCATTTTAAAGCTGATTAATAAAGCCAAACAAAAAGGTTGCATATTTCCTAAATGTACTTTTAATTATCTAAAATAACACACTAAAATATATTTTTCCAATAACTGTTGGTTAATCACATACTGTGTTACCCCGTGCTAGGCACTGAGTGTACAATGGAAAACAAACACAAATAAACAAAGATATAAGCCCATTCCCTTATGGAAATTACACTGCAGCTGTTTTGGTTGTTTTTTTCTCCCCAAACTGTCTGAACACCTTCCAGATAACAGCAATTCTCCCTTCTAATTATGATGCTTTTTCTTAAAGTAAAGGAATTAAACATCTCAACTTGTACAACTTTTATATTTAAAAAACATGCTTGCCATTAGCATACTTCAACACAAAAGAGTTAAAGCAAAGTTCATCTCTGCTTCTTGCCCTAAAATTACGATGTACTCATAAGAACAATATGTTTGGTGGAAAATGTTCATAATATGTTGAAGGCTTTAAAGCAACAGAAACAAGGATAGCTGAACCAGCATATAAGAGAAAATCAAAAACCAAAGGCTCAGAAGGAAGGGAAGGCAGAAATAAGAAGCAAACAGGTTTATTTGCAGAACCACCATAAAAACTCAGAAATTTCTAAAGGTATGAACTATACATCTATACTTTAGA
The DNA here is from genome assembly GCF_000001405.40 of Homo sapiens. NCBI lineage: Eukaryota > Metazoa > Chordata > Mammalia > Primates > Hominidae > Homo > Homo sapiens. The sequence goes on along the minus strand of NC_000010.11, from coordinate 74,241,888 downwards.
AGAGACAGATTAAATAAGAGACTTCTGGGAGCAGTAGCACAAGCTATAGTCCCAACTACTCAAGAGGCTCAGGCAGGAGGATCACTTGAGGCCAGGAGCTGCAGGCTGCTGTGAACTATGATTGCATCACTGCACTCCAGCCTGGGAGACAGAGCAAGGCCTTGTCTCAATCAATCAATTAATCTTGTTCTAAGAGTTTTATCGGCTGGGCGCAGTGTCTCATGCCTGTAATCCCAGCACTTTGGGAGGCCGAGGCGGGTGGATCACTTGAGGTCAGGAGTTTGAAACCAGCCTGACCAATATGGTGAAACCCCGTCTCTACTAAAAATACAAAAATTTGCCGGTCATGGTAGCGTGTGCCTGTAGTCCCAGCTACTCAGGAGGCTGAGACAAGAGAATTGCTTGAACCCGGGAGATAGAGGTTGCAGTGAGCTGAGATCTCGCCACTGCACTCCAGCCTGGGCAACAGAGAGAGACTCCGTCTCCCCTCCCCAAAAAATAGTTTTATTTGGATGTGTCAATATTGGTTCATCAATTGTATCAAATGTACCACTCTGGTGGGGGATGCTGAAAATGGGGGAGGCTATTCATGTGTGAGGGCAGGAGGATTATGGGAAATCTCTGTATCTTTGCTCAATTTTGCTGTGAATGAACCTAAAACAGCTCTAAAAAGTAAACTTTACTAAGAAAAAGTTTAAAATAAAATTCCCACAGATTGATATTACACCGTATGCTGAATCATCTCAGGAATTAAACTTAAATAATGGCTTCTTTTATTCTGCTTTACAAATACTGACAATGGATAATTATTGACAGTGATAATGCTGTCAAACAATATGAATTCCAAATCAGTCTTACTGATAAGTTTTGTTTTATAGTATCAATAAAACATTCCAGATAAAACAAAGAAGACAGTTAACAGACCTATGTCTCCACACCGGAGTTTCCCAGATAGTGAAACCTGAAATCAGCAATAAAAAGAAGTGCTTCATATCATATAATACTAATTTTTCCAAATAACTGACAATGGGTTTTAAAGGTTAAGATGTTACAGTTTTAAAATAAATATTTTTCCCAGGCCCAGACAAAACATGAAAATGCATATAATTTTCAAATATACTTTATAAGACCACAAGTATATAGTGGTCTAAGGTAAGAACAATTAAAAAGACCCTCAATTATATAAGTTGACAGAAACAGTGACACGTTATCACACACTAGGTTCTCAGTCAAATCAGTCAGTCAACAAATACAATGGCCTACAAGTCTTAGGAATATAAATGACAGTTTCTACCTCTAAAAAATATTTGCTAATTTCCAAGTATTTGATGAAGTTTCCTTTAAAAAACATAATTTTATACTGTCTTAACTCCTGAGAGCATAATTAGGACCAAAAAAGAGAAAGAAATAAGACATACATCATAGTAACAGTTTAAAGGGAAAATTTCAGCATCTGGGAGAATGTACTAAAACACACACACACACAGACACACACACACACACACACACACACACAAAATAAAAGGAAAACACTGACAGGCTGACAAATACCTACTTCCCAGGAATATTTTGATAGGATTATATATCATCTTTAAGAAATGACAGCATTATTACTGTTATATTACAAGTCTCACACATCAACAACAAAATGCTGTGCACCAGCCTGGACAACATGGCGAAACCCTGTCTCTGCTAAAAATACAAAAATTAACCAGGTATGGTGTTGCACACCTGTAATCCCAGCTACTTGGGAGGCTGATGGACAAGAATCACTTGAACCTGGGAGGTAGAGGTTGCAGTGAGCTCAGATCGTGCCACTATACTCCAGCCTGAGTGACAGAGTGAGACTCTGTCTTAGAGGAAAAAAAAAAAAAGCTGTGCAAAGAAATGAAAAGCATAAATATATGCTCACATTCAGATTTATGAAAGTTAAGGCAGGACTTTCTATTTTAAAAGATTTTTACATACAAAGCAAATTGAATTTTTGTGGTTTGGTTATTACAAACTGGTTCAAAGATAACTAAATAGAATATTTTATTAATAATTATACCCACTAATATACTAAACATCCTTACATATTGAGTATTAGAACATGACAGCCTATTTTGTTTTTTCCAGAGATTATACAATTTTACTTTTATTGTGTCTTTTTTTTTTTTTTTTTTTTTTTTTTGAGACAAGGTCTCACTTTCTCACCCAGGCTGGAGTCCAGTGGCGCAATCATGGCTCACTGCATGCAGACTCAACCTCCCCAGGTCAAGAGATCCTCCCACCTCAGCCTCCTGATAGCTAGTACCAGAGGTACACACCACCATGCCCTGGCTAATTTTCAAATTTTTTGTAGAGAGGGGGCTCTCACTATGTTGCCGAGTTTGGTCTCGAACTGCTGGGCTCAAGTGATCCACTGGCTTCGACCACCCCAAAGTGGTGGGATTACAGGCATGAGCCACTGTGCCTAGCCTATTCTTTCTACAAGGTTGACTGACCCCATAGCCATTGTCTTCATCCAGAGCTAACCAATGTCTCTTTGCATAAGAGATAATACTTTTCATCTAACGGAGATCTAATCTTACCTTTGCTGAGTGACTGAGTAAAACAACTCCAAACATCAAGTAACAATTTATACTACTCCATAACATGTGTTGATAGTTACATTCGATTATAACTGAATCTAAAATTCTCAGAACTACCAAGCCTTAAAGCAAAAAGAAAAAAAAAATAAGTAACTGCAGGAGAAAAAAGAAACAATATTATATTCAGAAGAAAGTAGAAGTATGACTACTGTCCCCACTGTGATTTCCTAAAACTTTACAGCATCTCTTCTCAGTTAAAAAGTACTCTCTACTAAAAATATGAAAAAATTAGCTGGGCATGGTGGCTGGCCCCTGTAATCCCAGCTACTCAGGAGGCTGAGGCATAAGTATCATTTGAAACTGGAAGGTGGAGGTTGCAGTGAGCTGAGATCGCACCACTACACTCCAGCCTGGAACAGAGCGAGACTCCGTCTTAAAAAAAAAAAAAAAAAAAAAAAAGCACTAGCTAAAGTGGCAGTTTTCAATGTATACTATTCTCCTGAATGTATTTTTCTATCTTCTTTGGTTTAGAGACAGTAATTTTGTTTGTTTCTTTTTAAAGGTGCCCTGCTGGGTTGCTTAGAATAAAACCAAAGAGCCTGAAAATTATGTCAAGGCAAAAAGAAACAATATTTCCCATGAGACCATAACTTTGCAGGTTCCCTTTCAAGTCTGAGGGTAACACAAATCTTCCATGCTTTAAAATATATTCACTCAATTTTACACATTTTTATATCTTGGTTACTGTCAGGAAATGTGTTTAAAATTCTAAATTTAAAATTTTTAAATTTTTTTAGTGCACAAGGTAATTAGGAATAATTACGATACCAGAAAATAGTTTTAGAAAACCTCTTACTGAGGCCGTTTCTAAGTCTGGCCCTGGTTCCTGTGTTCCCAGGAAATCTGACAGGCCATTTCACTTAAACATTGTGAGCAATTCACTATTAGTTGCCAAGTCAACAGCCATTTCCGCGTTGCCAGTGGAGCTCTAATTTTTGTTCAGTTATAAGGAAGCATGTACTTCAGAATATGCTAATTAATCATGATAATTCTATTTTCTTTGCCAGTAACTGGTTTAGGAATGTGTGTGTGATAAGAATCTACCAGAGTACTTCTGGGAAACCTTTTCTTGCTCTTAAAAAAGAAGACGGGCGGACAGACAGGCGCGGTGGCTCATGCCTGTAATCCTGGCACTTTGGGAGGCTAGGCTTTTATTTTTTTGAGATGGAGTTTCACTCTTGTTGCCCAGGCTGGAGTGCAATGGTGCAATCTTGGCTCACCATGACCTCCGCCTCCTGGGTTCAAGCGATTCTCCTACCTCAGCCTCCCGAGTAGCTGGGATTACAGGCATGCACTGCCACACCTAATTTTCTATTCTTAGTAGAGACGGGGTTTCTCCCTGTTGGTCAGGCTGGTCTCGAACTCCCGACCTCAGGTGATCTGCCTGCCTCAGTCTCCCAAAGTCCTGGAATTACAGACATGAGCCACCATGCCTGGCCCCTTTTAAAATATTTCTGCTCATTGATGATGCACCCAGTCACCCAAGTGCTCTGATGGAGATGTATAAGGAGATGAATGCTGTTTTCATGGCTGCTAATACAACATTCATTCTGCAACCCCCAAATCAAGAAGTAATTTTGACTTTCAAGTCTTATTATTTAAGAAATATATTTTGCAAGACTATAGCTGCCATAGACCGTGATTCCTCTGATGGATCAGACAAACTAAAATGAAAACCTCCTGCAACGTATTCATCATTCTAGATGCCATTAAGAACATTCGTGATTCATGGGAGGAGGTCAAAACATCAACATTAACAGGAGTTTGGAAGAAGTGAATTCCAGCCCTTGTGGATGACTTTGAGCGCTTCAAGACTTCAGGGAAGAAGTCACTGCAGATGTGGTAGAAATAGCAAGAGAACTAGAATTGGAAGTGGAGCCTGAAGATGGATACTGAAATGTTGCAATCTCATGATAAAACTTGAATGGACAGGGAGTTGCTTCTTATAGATGAGCAAAAAAAGTGGTTTCCTAAGATGGAATGTACTCCTGGTGAAGATGCTGTGAACACTGCTGAAATGACAACAAAGAATTTTGAATATTCCATAAACTTAAGTTGATAAAGTAACAGCATGGTTTGAGAGGACTGACTCCAATTTTCCAAATTCTACTGTGGGTAACATGCTATCAGACAGCATTGCATATTACAGAGAAATTTTTCATGAAAGGAAGGCTCTGACACAGCAAACTTCATTATTGTCTTATTTTAAGAAATTGCCACAGACACTCCAACCTTCAGCAACCAACATCCTGATCAGTCAGTAGCCATCAACACTGAGGCAAGACCCTCCACCAGCAAAATGATTGTAACTTGCTAAAGGCTCAGATGATTGTTAGCATTTTCATCCATAAAGTATTTTTATGGATTAAGGAATATACATTTTTATATACAATGTTATTGTATACAATAGATTACATTAAATTAAGGCATATACATTTTTTATACACAATGTTATTGTATACAATAGATTACAGTGTGATATCACCACAACTTTTATATGCACTGGGGAATATAATCTTCATGTATTTCTCTTTATTGTGATATTCACTTTATTGTGATAGTCTAGAACCAAACCCCCAATATCTCCAAGGTGTGCCTGTATAGGAAAACCAGATTACTATATAAGTGGTTTATGGATAATGAAGGGTAGATTTGTTATACCAATAAAATTGGCCTATCCTTTAAAGCAATTATCTGGTATCAAATTTAGTCAAGGCCAACAAACAAAAAGAATAAGAATCATTCTTGAATTTCTTTGTGCCACAATACACACTGTACGTCTGTTTGAATAAACTGTATTATAACAGAATAAAGATGTTTAGTACTAACAAAGGCTTCAAAGATAATTATCCACACAAAATTGTTTAAAAGCCTACTCAAGCATAATCCTAAGAACATCCTTCAATCTACTTAGAAGAAAATACAGTTAAATTTTTAGAAACTGAAAGAGCATATGTACTTCAGTTCTTTCTTATCCTCATTTGTATGTTTTAGTCCCTAGCTTTATGGTTGAAATCAGTTCGCTCATTTTTCTAAATTCCATGTTGCAAGTCAATCATATTTCCTCTGCCTTCATTGAGCTTACATTATGTCTGAGAAAACATCTTTGAAGAGCTAATTATACAACTTACAATTTAATATAAAATGGTTTAGGGGAGTGTCTTAGTTTGATTGCTACGGCTTTTAACAGAAACCTGAGATTGGGTAATTTATAAAGGAAAGAAACATTAATATGTTTCTCAGTTCTGAAGGCTGGGAAGTCCTAGAGTATGGTGCCAGCTTCTGCTCAGCAACTTCTTGCTGCATTATCCCATGGCAGAAGGCAAACAGCAAGCAAGTGCTTGAGGGGCCAGACTCACTTTATAACAACCCTCTAAGAGATAACTAACCCACTCCTGCATTAATGCACTCATGAAGGTAGAGCCCCATGATCTAATCACCTCTTAAAGGCCTCCACCTCTTATTACTGTTACAATGGCAATTAAATTTCAACATTAGTTTTGGAGGGGACAAACATTCAAACCATAGCAGAAAGAAAGGAGAAAAAGTGGTGGTAAAATAAGTAAGCTCACTCCCACACAGGAAAATTGGTAGACTTTGATAACAAAGGATTTTCCAACAACAGCATAAACTCATAGAACTCATATATGTGAGCAGGGTGCAGTGGCTCACGCCCGTAATCCTAACACTTTGGGAGGCTGAGGTAGGCAGACCACTTGAGTCCAGGAGCTCAAGACCAGCCTGGGCAACATGGCAAAACCCCATCTCTACTAAAAATACAAAAAGGAGCCAGGCGTGGTGGCACATACCTGTAGTCCCAGCTACTTAGGAGGCTGAGGTGGAACGATCACTATGATCATGCCACTCAACTCCAGTCTAGGCGACAGAGTGAGACCACCTCTTAAGAAAAAAAGAAAAAGGAAAATTTTTTTAAACCGTAAATGTCAAGAATGTTTTCCTGCAATTCTCCACTAAATTTCTGGATCTTGCTAAGATTTTCTCTTTGCTCTTTCTACCTGTTGTAGAAGTTTGCTTTCCCCTTCTCTACAAGATAAAAAAAAAAAATCCCTTATGAACATTTTCCCACCCAAGTCAAACCGGAAAGTTTCAGAAAAAAAAAAAAAAAAGGGATAATTTCAAGTATCCAGCTAAACGTCAAAATTTATTTTTCCCCTAGGGCTTCCATCAGGCTTTACTCAACACAGACCTACAGACCTAGAAATCACACCTCTCTCTAGCCTTCCTAAATAAAAAAGCATTAAAGTTATAGGAATGTTTGAAGAAAGTTTTATTTTGTATATGTTATTAAAACTTTGTGTGTACAAAGTGAAACATTTTTATAAATGTTACATTTATACTTTTAAAAACCCACTTGCAACTGATTAGAATACAAAGTAAAATTTTACAGGGAAATGTTATAGATAATGTTTAGATCACTTTTCTAAATTATTGAAAAAGTCCAGTTGCAATCTTATTGAAGTTCTACAGAGGGAGCTAGTATCACAAAGAATAAAGTTATAATACATGAACTTCAAAAAAAGACCTAGTCTGTTGGAAATATCAGATTACCATTCATCAATATGAGCTCACTTTATCCTCTAAAGTTTTACCTTAACAATTAGCCAACTCAAAATAAAACACAGTATTACCTACAAATTGTGACGTATTTCTAGTGAACCATACTAAAACTTATAAAATATAATTTCCATGAAAAATACCTTTAAATACTTTTCAAGTAGGTATGTTCATAATGAACAATATCACTCCTCCAAAGAAGTTTTTTAAAAAAGGTTCCTAAGTCACTGAACTTATACAAAATGGAAAGCAATCAAAAAGATCTAAACAGTTCTATCCTTTTCTTATATAAACCAAGTTACGAAGTCTCTTCCTCATCTGTAAAATGGGAATGATTACAATATCTGCTTCACAGAGTTGCTGTGGGGATTAAATTAGATCACAAAATAATTAAAACAATGCCCTTCTTCCTTGTTCTTTAACATGTATTATTTAATTGTTCAACACTTTCCAAAAAGAAATCAACATAGAGTTTTCAAGGTTAGATTGGCTGCTAATAAATACTAAAAGTTCACTCAAGACCCCCAAGTCTATATCATTCCCAAAAGGTCTGACTCAACCCTTAAGGGGAAATAGTGTTGGCATAACTCTTACATTAAAATCTGCCATAGCTACATTCTCAAAATATTTCTGTTTGTTGTAGACCAAGAAGAAAGAGAATTCATCACACCAGCAGTTTCTCTCTCCATTCTGTTACCCTCAATAAATTTCATCCCATAAATATATCTTGTCAAGTAAATTGCAGTTAAGGATCAATGAACTACACTTTGACTAAAGTGCTCTGAATAAAGTTTCTAGGAAACACCTTATCCTTCCCCCTAAAAATTGACAGGAAAGATCATTATCCTTTTTTGTTATTGTTGAAGAGTTTTATGCTAGAAATTCAGAAGCTATACCCAGAGGGATCACTGAACAGACTAAAAGAGAAGTAGGTAATGAAAGAAATCATTTGTTTAATGGACAATGACAGAAAAGCACTAATCTAAACCCAAAATGATATCGGAGGAACTTAAGTTTGGAAGACTAAGTGATTAAACAAAGTTAAGGTATTAAACTATGTCAAGAAGGAGTACACTTCCCCTAATTTCCTCTCCTATATGGTTTCAGCTTAAGATATGTCACAAGAGAAATTTGCAAAAAATTTAGGGGATGCAATTGAAGCAGTAGCCATTACATTCCAAAGGCAGTCATTGGTTAGAGGCAGGAAGGACAGACACAAAGGTATGGGCAGAACTGTAATCTGTCCTTACTCATCCCCACTCTACCTTACGTCCACAACTACCAGGACCAAGCCTATCACCAGATTTTTCACTAAAGGCCCATAAAGGTGGTAGTTGCAAAGAGCCCACAACACACGAACCTCCTTCACAGTTTCCCTATTAACAGAACACGCAATTCATTAACCTACATCAAAAGGCAGTTTAGCGATTTTTCTCTCACATTTTAGGGACCTTAATATCCCCAGTTTTTCTCATGATTGAATAAGATTTAATTCCTGTAATAAATTTCTTAATATCATAGTGGCATTGAATTCTAACTAATACCCCAAGACTACAGCCTATGGCAAAACTCATACATAAACTAAGTTTCTTCTAATGCTAAGTCCAGGGCACCATATAGTGCTTCATAAGTAGAAGGTAGCAATTTAAATTAATTCTTTAAGGATTTTAAGATTTTACCACCAATAACACACATTTTTCATTCACCTATCGTTCATGAATATAAGACCATGTTTAATCACAAAATTATTCCTTATAGGCCAGACGCGGTGGCTTACGCCTGTAATCTCAGCACTTTGGGAGGGCAAGGCGGGTGGATCACGAGGTCAGGAGTTCGAGACTAGCCTCACCAACACAGTGAAACCCTGCCTCTACTAAAAATAGAAAAATCAGCCGGGTGTGGCGGCGTGCGCCTATAGTCCCAGCTACTTGGGAAGCTGAGGCAGGAGAATGGCGTGAACCCGGGAGGTGGAGCTTGCAGTGAGCTAAGATTGTGCCACTGCACTTCAGCCTGGGTGACAGAGCAAGACTCCGTCTCAAAAAAAAATTTTTTTTTTAAATCCTTATAATGAGTTACCTTCCTTGATGACAGTGTTAATTATTTTCTGTTTGTTTTTTTTTGGGGGGGGGGGGTGCGGGGGGGTTGTTTGTTTGTTTTTTGAGACGGGTTCTCACTCTATTGCCCAGGCTGGAGTGCAGTTGTGCAATCTTTGCTCACTGCAGCCTCAACTTCCTGGGCTCAAGCAATCCTCTCACCTCAGCCTCCTGAGTAGCTGGGACTGCAGGTGAGTGCCACCATGCCCAGCTAATTTTTTTTATACTTTTAGTAGAGACAGGGTTTCGCCACGTTGCCAAGGCTGGTTTCAAACTCCTGAGCTCAACTGATCTACCTGCCTCAGCCTCCCAAAATGCTGGGACTACAGGCGTGAGCTACCACACTCGGCCAATTATTTTCTTTTAAGCAACAAAATATTTAAGCAAATCTTTCCGAAGTTTTATAATCCAGGTATAAAAATTTCATAGAAGTTATGAGATCCTAGAATTTTACAGTAAGATCACAATTAAAAGTTCAGCAAAAGAGGTGAACTCAGATCTCAATTGGTTGAGAATCATTTGTAGATTATGTATAAGCCTGAAATGATCTCAATCAACTCTAGTTTTGGATCCTTACGGAAGTAACCTGACCACCTGACCATATCAGTAAAAGAAAAAAAAAAAGACAAACAAAAAAAAGCAGCAAAGAAATCTAACACAGATTTAGTACTTACTCCTGGAGATGCAGCCTTATAAGCACAAACGGTAACTCTTATTACAATGAACTATTTAAACCTTAGTTTAAAAAGCAATACAGTGAAAAGGTTACCTTACAAGTATTATGACTACATACAAAAATAAACTTTAAAAAAAACTTTTCTTGGCCAGGCATGGTGGCTCACACCTGTAATCCCAGCCCTTTGGGAGGCCAAGGCAGACATATCACTTGAGCCCAGGAGCTCAAGACCAGCCTGGACAACATGGCAAGACCCCATCTCAACAAAAAATACAAAAATTAGCCAGGTGTGGTGGTGCACAGTGGTAGTCCCAGATACTCAGGAGGCTGATGGGAGGATTGCTTAAGCCCACAAGGTCAAGGCTGCAGTGAGTCATGATCACGCCACTGCACTCCAACCTGGGCAACAGAGTTAGATCTTGTCTCAAAAAAAAAACAAAAAAAAAACTTTTCTTACATGAGAGGCATTTATAGCTCAGGATAAAATTTCCAGCGAAAATATCATACATAGAAAGAGGCTGATGTGTTCTAGAGAAAAGGGCTCCAATGATGACAAAGTTGCTAATGATGAAGATTCTGAATAAGACTGTTCAAAGAAATGGGAAGGAAAAAGAAAAAACTAATTCTATTTAATATGTGGTTGTAAAATGTATACATTTGACTTACTTCATGAGCACACCTAAGAGCTTTTGTATCAAGCTGACCAAATAGCTTTGTGTTGCATCCTCTCCTTAGAAGAATGTAAAGTGCCTTGTATTTGGAAGTAATTAATTCTTTTCAACTCACTCAATATTGGTTATAGGTCTGAAGTGATTTCCAAAACCAAAACACAATACTGTGAAACTGATTTAATTAACTAATGAGTTCTCTGTGATCCGTTACCAAGTCTTGCAATGGATATTAATCCCTTTAAAAAAAAAAATTACTGGCGGCCAGGCGCGGTGGCTCACGCCTATAATCCCAGCACTTTGGGAGGCTGAGGCAGGCGGATCACCTGAGGTCAGGAGTTTGAGACCAGCCTGACCAATATGGTGAAACCCTGTCTCTACTAAAAATATAAAAATTAGCCAGACGTGGTGGCAGGCACCTGTAGTCCCAGCTACTCAGGAGGCTGAGGCAGGGGAATCACTTGAACCTGGGAGGCGGAGATTGCAGTGAGCCAAGATCGCGCCACTGTACTCCAGCCTGGCAACAGAGTGAGACTCCGTCTCAAAAAAAAAAAAAAAAGTTACTGGCTGGGTGCAGTAGATCATGCCTGTAATCATAACACTTTGGGAGCAGAGGCAGGAGGACTGCTTGAGGTCAGGAGTTTGAGACCAACCTGAGCAACATAAGGAGACCTCATCTCTAAAAACAAGACTGTAGTGAGCCATGATCATGCAACTGTTTTCTAGCCTGGGTGACAAAGCGAGACCCTGTTTCAAAAAAAAAAAAAAGACTATATACTTAGAGAACTGCTTGGTGTGACAAAAACAGCACTTAAATGGGACTCAGGAGACTTGGTTTCTGGTCTAGTACTGTCCTTAAGTAGCAATGTAAACTATAGCAAGTCATTTTATCAATGTTACTCTCACCTTATTCATGATAAAATACGGATATTGGTTCAAGGGTTCATTTCTAGAATCAAAATACTATAATTTTAAAGATACAAAAAAAACCGGGCCCTGAGAATAGGATCATAAAAATGTTTATGATATTTTTAAAACTGTACCTTATTTATGAACACTAAAAAAAAATAAGCATTTAACCTTGCTGTCGGTCCTAGCTTATTTCAATTTTGACTTTTTGCTTCACAGGATTTTTTTCTATTAGCTTTACAGATATCCAGTTCTTAGCTCATTCTTACCAAAAAAAAAAAAAAAAAAGATTCTTTTAACAGGGTCTCATTCTGTCACCCAGGCTGGAGCACAGTGGCACGGATCATAGCTCACTGCAGCCTGGACCTCCTGGTCTCAAGCAATCCTCCCACCTCAGTCTCCCAAGTAGCTGGGACTACAGGCAGGCACCACCACATCCGGCTACTTTTGTTAACTTTTTGTAGAGACAAGAGTCTCACTATATTGTCCAGGCTGGTCTCCAACTCGTAGACTCAAGCAATCCTCCTGCCTCAGCCTCCCAAAGTGCTGGGATTATAGGCACAAGCCCAGTCTATGATCTTGATGATTTCAAAGAACTGCTAAGTCACAGCATTAACAATTAATTTAAGAGCATACCAGACCGGGCGCGGTGGCTCACGCCCGTAATCCCAGCACTTTGGGAGGCCAAGACGGGCAGATCACGAGGTCAGGAGATCAAGACCATCCTGGCTAACACGGCAAAACCCTTTCTCTACTAGGAATACAAAAAATTAGCCGGGCGTGGTGGTGGGCGCCTGTAGTCCCAGCTACTCTGGAGGCTGAGGCAGGAGAATGGCGTGAACCCAGGAGGCGGAGCTTGCAGTGAGCCGAGATCACGCCACTGCACTCCAGCCTGGGCGACAGAGCGAGACTCCATCTCACCAAAAAAAAAAAAAAAAAAAAAGCATACCAGATGTTATTGTCTCTAACTTCCCTGACATATCCCTACACATTCCATTTAAATACTTATAACTTTCCTGCTGGTTTGGAAATTGACCTATTCACTAAGAAATTACATTTTTACACTGCACCAAAGATCATATCCTGAGCACGTCCTAATACCCTTGAAGGTTCATGCCTATTGCATAATTTATTTATTTTCTTCCATCTCATCATAATCGTAAATTGGCAAGCATTTAAATATCACAATATAATTAACTTTTATAAGACAACATTTAAAAATTTAAGGGGTTATTCTGACAAAATAATTTAATTTTTGACATTAAAAAATCATAATGGAATTCATTCACTATCAGAAGGGAAAATACACTTCATATTTAGAACAGTATACACTGCTTACAAAAGTTCACTGTTTACCTTGGTAGCTATCTTAAAAAGCCAAGTAAATAAATGTGAATCCCTTTTAAAGAGATTTTCCCCTTGCCTTATAGCAAACAAAAAAAAAATCTTCAGATACCAGGTTACTCTGTGTTAAGTAGTATGGATACTTCTGAATTTATTTATATTTGCATTTGGAATTCACCCCTAACTCCAGACAACTTTTAACTTTCCTTACCTAAATCTATATGATCAGATCTCATAATCCAAGGTAATACAAAATTTATATATTCATAAAATAGATATTCATGGAAACAAAATGGTTCTATTTTCAATAACTGCAGATGTGTCCAAAGATTTTGAAAAGCCACTATTGGAGAGTAAGATTCCATTTATAAATAAAATCAGTATCTTTTACTTTTTCTTAAACCGCTTTATTGAAGTATAATTGACATATAAAAAGCTGCACACTATCTTTTCTTTAATGCCTAGCACAATGGAAAGTAGGTGAAAAAATACTTAGTAAAATAGTGATGTTTTCCTAATTTATTTTAAATTATTCCATTTACAAAACTAAAACTGAAAAAAACTAGAAAGCTAATGAAACCAGTTGATTACTGGATCATGTATAGAACAAACTATAAATCCTATAGTTTTAGATAAATCACATCACAACTTGAATTGCTCAGCTTTCTCTACTTAAAATCATCCCCCAAGGTCTTCAGTATGTAGAATAATGAAAAACAGGAAGTTGAGAAAAACCACTTTGCTTAGAAAAACAAGTGTCACTGCTGACCAATATTTCCCTGTTTTCCCATGCCAATCTTCCTCAGACAGAGAAACAAGTATACTCGTGAAGCATCAGTGACTAAGTGTATATGAAATCTGAATCACAAAATTTCAGGAACTAAAAATGTTTTAATGAAAACATACTTAATATTCATTAATATCAAGATAATTAGAACTATCATTGTACTCTCTTATTGGTATTCTTTTTTTATTTTTTTAAAGGCAAGGTCTCACTCTGCTGTCCAGTCCAGAGCTCAGTGGAATGATCATGGTTCACTGCAGCCTTGATCTCCTAGGCCCAAGAGATCTACCTGCCTCAGCTTCCTGAGCAGCTGGGACTGCAGGCACACACCACCTCATCAGGCTAATTTTTTTTTCTTTTTTTTGAGACAGAGTCTCGCCCTGTCACCCAGGCTGGAGTGCAGTAGCGTGATCTTGGCTCACTGCAACTTTTCCTCCCAGATTCAAGCAATTCTCCTGCCTCAGCCTCCTGAGTAGCTGGGATTACAGGCACCCACAACCATGCCTGGCTAATTTTTGTATTTTTAGTAGAGACAGGGTTTCACCATCTTGGCCAGGCTGGTCTTGAACTCCTGACCTCAGGTGATCCACCCACCTCGGCCTCCCAAAGTGCTGGGATTACAGGCGTGAGCCACCGTGCCCGGCCTTTTTTAAGTTTTTCGTAGAGATGGGGTCTCACTATGTTTCCCAGGCTGGTCTTGTACTGCTGGCCTCAAGCAATCCTTCCACCTCAGCCTCTCAAAGTGTTGGGATTACACATGTGAACCACCATGCCAGGCCACTCTTTATTTATTAATATCAAGATAATTAGAGCTATCACTGTACTCTCTTATTGGTACTCTTATAGAATTAGGGTTAATTTTCAAAGAGCAGGTCAATGTGATGGTGCCAACACATTTTTACAATTTTATAATTAATCAAGCTTTAACAGACTGAAATTAAGAAGTTGTAATAATGTTTTATGAGAATAAAGCATGGAATTACTGATTAGATAAAATTTTGTTTTATATCCATATCTCTTATATTGTTTAAAGCTTAGTCTTGAACACAAAAAGATTTTTTTGTTTTTAATACAGCAGGTGAGTTGTTATACACTCCTTAGCAGACTCTGACTTCCATGACCACCACCCTACCAAGATTTTGGCTATTTGAGTTGCAAAGACACAAATGAGATTATTTATAAACAGCTTTCATAATTCATGAAATTCATTAATTCAATAACTGTTTTAATTTTTTAAAATTAATACTCTGCTTTTATGGTGCCATATTCAACTGAAAGTTTTCTTTGGTATGTAGGTCAAAAACTACAAGGAAGAGAGCCAGCAGCCAAAAATATCAAGACCATCAATAATGACAAATCAAACAAGTGGCAATACTTAGCAATAATAGAACAAATAAACAACAGAATGTTAATCTGCAAAAATGAAAAGGAATTAACTGATATATGCAACAACACTGATGAATTTCAAAAACACAGGGAGTGACAGAAGCCTTATACAAAATAGGACATATATATGACTCAGTTTATAAGAAATTTTAGAACAGGTGAAACTAAAAAAAAAAAACTTTGAAATATAAAACTCTAGTTAATGGTATATGTGTTGAAATATTTAGAGAGAAGCATATTGATGTCTACAATTTACTTCGAAATGCATCCAAAAAACAGATGAAGTAATGCACGAACAGAAGAATAAATAGATAAAACAAGTGCAGTAATATGTTAATGATAAAACCTTGGTGGTAAATATATGGGTGAACACATAACATATGTTTAAAACTTTTCGTAATAAAATGTAGGGGCTGGGCACGGTGGCTCAAGCCTGTGATAATCCCAGCACTTTGGGAGGCTGAGGTGGGTGGATCGCTTGAGGTCAGGAATTCAAGACCAGCCTGGCCAACATGGCGAAACCCCATCTCTACTAAAATATAAAAATTAGCTGGGCATGGTGGCGGGTGCCTGTAATCCCTGCTACTCAGGACGCTGAGGCAGGAGAATCGCTTGAACCCAGGAAGCAGAGGTTGCAGTGAGCCAAGATCATGCCACCACACTCCAGCCTAGGTGACGGAGCAAGAGTCTGTCTCAAAAAAACAAAAAAAAAGGTAAGAAAAAAGTATCAGTTCGCCAAGTTATACCCATAGAGATGAATTATATCTTGGACAGTTAAAAAAACTTTCAAATGAATTAAAACATTAAAATGGGTTACATATTAAATAACATATTCTTTAAAAGCAGATTTCTGGTATTTTTAATATTGGTCATAGTCTAAGGACTAAAGGAACTTTTAAGGCTCACCAACTACTTAATTCCCAAAGCAAAAGAAGCTCTGTTACCAGACCTATAAATAATAACCAACCAATGCTACAGTAACAATCACCGGCCCTCACTGACTATACTAGGAAATAAAGAAAGAGCAAAAAAATTTCTTGACAATATATATATTTGAGAACCCACTATGGAGATTATACTCAAATAAGGATAGGCCAAATATAAAAATACTGATGAAAGGTTAGCATAATAGTGGAATGTGTAAACGGTAAGAACGCATAAGAAAATCCTTTCCCTGAACATTGGTCCTGCCATTTTATAATTAACAATTTATGTTACCTTAAATAGGAGAGAAGAAAATAATTTACAAAAGGTTCAAGACAGTTTTTAAAAAGCAGTTTAAAAGTACTTGGAAAAAAATTATTACTTAATCTCAAGAAGAAAATAATAGTCTTGAAGTCCTCTACGAAAAAAAATTACTGTCCCTATAAATGAGTACAAGTGAAGGTTACATTAAACTAAACCAAGAGCGACCTGAGTTAGATGTGAAAATAAAATGTCTTCAGCCAGGCATAGTGGCTCACACCTGTAATCCCAGCACTTTGGGAGGCCAAGGCAGGCAGATCACCTGAGGTCAGGAGTCTGAGACCAGCCTGGCCAACATGGCAAAACCCCATCTCTACTTAAAATACAAAATTTAGCCAGGCATGGTGGCGGGCACCTGTAATCCCAGCTACCTGGGAGGCTAAGGCAGGGGAATTGCTTGAACCCAGGAATGAGAGGTTGCAATGAGCCGAGATTGCGCCTCCAGCCTGGGCAGCAGAACAAGACTCTGTTTCAAAAAAATAAAAATAAAATAAAGTGTTTTACCTTGTACCAAACAATTGACATTTACTTTTGCATAAACCAGTGACAGAAACAAAATTATATTTGTCTATCATTACCATGAAGGTGGGTGATCCACCGGAGTAAGACCCAAAAATTAAGAGTGACAATTTATTTTTATTTTTTACTTTTTTCTGGTAGAGCAGTCAGAAAGAAAATAGGAACAATTTAATATTTTATCTGGAAAGAGAAAATAGCATGACATATTTCCCAGTAAGACTTTAGTCTAGATGATGGAATACAACACTACATCTTTTAATGTGAATACAGGAGAAATTATGTCCTGTGTAAACTTTATGTAGTGTAAATTATATAGTGTAGGTTATCATAATTGTTAGGATTAAGGTCATAGTGTTAATTATACTTTGTCATTATATAATTTTGAAAATCAGATAATTTACATATACATATATCAAGTTCATAGACAGAGTAAACTATTTACAACCAATGGTTTAATGCACTTACAGTTCCTTGTGTTTGTCTTCAGCCAAGATTTGGTCATTTGGTTTCAGAGAATACCTGTATAACAGAAACGAAAATTACACTCTTCATACACACACAGTGTCAACGTAAGTTAGCTGACCTCTTCAAAACAAGCACTCCAACACTGTTATAGGTCTCTGACTTAATTGATAAAACACCAAGAATGCCCAAGTAGACGGTTTTTTGCTGTTCTATTAGTCATTTCCAGGAACACCACTCCAGGAACTGAAAGGAGATCACCTTAACAATGCTTTGAAGATCTTCAATATTCTTCTGTAGTGAATCATCTGTAATGTCACACTTATTCAGCAGTTCAAAACTGATGGAACAACTACAACGTTAAGTATTTTGGACTTCACAAATAATATGTAAATCATTCATTAAATATATAGTAATCATATACTGTGAACCAGGCTATGTACTAAGTAGCATGACACAGGAGGGAAAGAAAAGCTTTGGAGGGTTTGTGTGTTTTTTGTTTGTTTGTTTATTTGTTGAGATAGAGTCTCACTCTGTCACCAAGGCTGGAGTGCAGTGGCACGATCTTGACTCAGTGCAACCTGTTCAAGCGATTCTCCTGTCTCAGCCTCCCCAGAAGCTGGGATTACAGGCACGCACCACCATGCCTGGCTAATTTTTGTATTTTTAGTAGAGAAGGGGTTTTAACATGTTGGCCAGGCTGCTCTGGAACTCCTGACCACAAGTGATCCAACCACCTCAGCCTCCCAAATTGCTGGGATTACTGGCATGAGTCACCGTACCCGGCCTCAAGTTTTGGAGTTTTTGATTGACCATTTACTAGCTAAGTGACCATAGGCAAGTACTCTACATCTTTAAGTCTCAGTTTCTCTGGTCATAAAATACAGGTTGCTATAAATACTAGATCAGGGATCTTTCACAGTACCATATATTTGTACTGCTGAAGGTAAACAGACTTTCTGAAGGGTACACAGAAATAGATAAACAACAATGGACAACAATTCCCAGGTCTTCAATTCTCATTCATACTCAACCCTTTCATAAAATTTAAAATTAATCTGCCTGAAAATGGATCATAGGTCCATTTGAAAGGTCATGTTGATTTTCCTCTCTGGTCTCCTCTTTCACAAGTACCTTTAAACCCACTGCTATGGTTTGAATATTTGACCCCCCTCAAATCTCATGTTGAAATTTAATCCCCAACGGGGCAATATTGAGAGCTGGGGCCTTTAAGAAGTAATTGGATCATGAGAGCTCCACCTTCATAAATGGATTAATCCATTCATGGATTAATGGGTTATCATGGGAGGGGAGCTGGTGGCTTTAAAAGAAGAGAAGAGACCTGAGCTACCATTAGCAGGTTCAGGCCCCTTGCCATGTGATACCCTGCACCACCTCAGGAATCTGTAGAGTCACTATCAGCAAGAAGGTTCTCACCAAGTGCAGCCCTTTGACCTTGGACTTCTCAACCTCCATAACTGTAAGAAATAAATTCCTTTTCTTATAAAATACCCAGTTTCAGGTATTCTAAGTAACAGAAAATGGCCTAAAATTCACTTTTTATTTATTTTTATTTTTTTATTATTATACTTTAAGTTTTAGGGTACATGTGCACATTGTGCAGGTTAGTTGCATATGTATGCATGTGACATGCTGGTGTGCTGCACCCACTAACTCGTCATCTAGCATTAGGTATATCTCCCAATGCTATCGCTCCCCCCTCCCCCCACCCCACAACAGTCCCCAGAGTGTGATGTTCCCCTTCCTGTGTCCATGTGTTCTCATTGTTCAATTCCCACCTATGAGTGAGAATATGCGGTGTTTGGTTTTTTGTTCTTGTGATAGTTTACTGAGAATGATGATTTCCAATTTCATCCATGTCCCTAAAAAGGACATAAACTCATCATTTTTTATGGCTGCATAGTATTCCATAGTGTATATGTGCCACATTTTCTTAATCCAGTCTATCATTGTTGGACATTTGGGTTGGTTCCAAGTCTTTGCTATTGTTAATAGCGCCGCAATAAACAAACGTGTGCATGTGTCTTTATAGCAGCATGATTTATAGTCCTTTGGGTATACACCCAGTAATGGGATGGCTGGGTCAAATGGTATTTCTAGTTCTAGATCCCTGAGGAATCGCCACACTGACTTCCACAATGGTTGAACTAGTTTACAGTCCCACCAACAGTGTAAAAGTGTTCCTATTTCTCCACATCCTCTCCAGCACCTGTTGTTTCCTGACTTTTTAATGATTGCCATTCTAACTGGTGTGAGATGATATCTCACTGTGGTTTTGATTTGCATTTCTCTGATGGCCAGTGATGGTGAGCATTTTTTCATGTGTTTCTTGGCTGCATAAATGTCTTCTTTTGAGAAGTGTCTGTTCATGTCCTTCACCCACTTTTTGATGGGGTTGTTTGTTTTTTCTTGTAAATTTGTTTGAGTTCATTGTAGATTCTGGATATTAGCCCTTTGTCAGATGAGTAGGTTGCAAAAATTTTCTCCCATTTTGTGGGTTGCCTGTTCACTCTGATGGTAGTTTCTTTTGCTGTGCAGAAGCTCTTTAGTTTAATTCGTCAATTTTGGCTTTTGTTGCCATTGCTTTTGGTGTTTTAGTCATGAAGTCCTTGCCCATGCCTATGTCCTGAATAGTAATGCCTAGGTTTTCCTCTAGGGTTTTTATGGTTTTAGGTCTAACGTTTAAGTCTTTAATCCATCTTGAATTGATTTTTGTATAAGGTGTAAGGAAGGGATCCAGTTTCAGCTTTCTCCATATGGCTAGCCAGTTTTCCCAGCACCATTTATTAAACAGGGAATCCTTTCCCCATTGCTTGTTTTTCTCAGGTTTGTCAAAGATCAGATAGTTGTAGATATGCGGCGTTATTTCTGAGGGCTCTGTTCTGTTCCATTGATCTATATCTCTGTTTTGGTACCAGTACCATGCTGTTTTGGTTACTGTAGCCTTGTAGTATAGTTTGAAGTCAGGTAGCGTGATGCCTCCAGCTTTGTTCTTTTGGCTTAAGATTGACTTGGCGATGTGAGCTCTTTTTTGGTTCCATATGAACTTTAAAGTAGTTTTTTCCAATTCTGTGAAGAAACTCATTGGTAGCTTGATGGGGATGGCATTAAATCTCTAAATTACCTTGGGCAGTATGGCCATTTTCACGATATTGATTCTTCCTACCCATGAGCATGGAATGTTCTTCCATTTGTTTGTATCCTCTTTTATTTCATTGAGCAGTGGTTTGTAGTTCTCCTTGAAGAGGTCCTTCACATCCCTTGTAAGGTGGATTCCTAGGTATTTTATTCTCTTTGAAGCAATTGTGAATGGGAGTTCACTCATGATTTGGCTCTCTGTTTGTCTGTTATTGGTGTATAAAAATGCTTGTGATTTTTGTACATTGATTTTGTATCCTGAGACTTTGCTGAAGTTGCTTATCAGCTTAAGGAGATTTTGGGCTGAGACAATGGGGTTTTCTAGATATACAATCATGTCGTCTGCAAACAGGGACAATTTGACTTCCTCTTTTCCTAATTGAATACCCTTTATTTCCTTCTCCTGCCTGATTGCCCTGGCCAGAACTTCCAACACTATGTTGAATAGGAGTGGTGAGAGAGGGCATCCCTGTCTTGTGCCAGTTTTCAAAGGGAATGCTTCCAGTTTTTGCCCATTCAGTATGATACTGGCTATGGGTTTGTCATAGATAGCTCTTATTATTTTGAGATATGTCCCATCAATACCTAATTTATTGAGAATTTTTAGCATGAAGGGTTGTTAAATTTTGTTAAAGGCCTTTTCTGCATCTACTGAGATAATCATGTGGTTTTTGTTTTTGGTTCTGTTTATATGCTGGATTACATTTATTGATTTGCGTATGTTGAACCAGCCTTGCATCCAGGGATGAAGCCCACTTGATCATGGTGGATAAGCTTTTTGATGTGCTGCTGGATTCGGTTTGCCAGTATTTTATTGAGGATTTTTGCATTAATGTTCATCAAGGGTATTGGTCTAAAATTCTCTTTTTTGGTTGTGTCTCTGCCAGGCTTTGGTATCAGGATGATGCTGGCCTCATAAAATGAGTTAGGGAGGATTCCCTCTTTTTCTATTGATTGGAATAGTTTCAGAAGGAATGGTACCAGTTCCTCCTTGTACCTCTGGTAGAATTCGGCTGTGAATCCATCTGGTCCTGGACTCTTTTTGGTTGGTAAGCTATTGATTATTGCCACAATTTCAGAGCCTGTTATTGGTCTGTTCAGAGATTCAACTTCTTCCTGGTTTAGTCTTGGGAGGGTGTATGTATCAAGGAATTTATCCATTTCTTCTAGATTTTCTACTTTATTTGCGTAGAGGTATTTGTAGTATTCTCTGATGGTAGTTTGTATTTCTGTGGGATCAGTGGTGATATCCCCTTTATCATTTTTTATTGCGTCTATTTGATTCTTCTTTCTTTTTTTCTTTATTAGTCTTGCTAGTGGTCTATCAATTTTGTTGATCCTTTCAAAAAACCAGCTCCTGGATTCATTAATTTTTTGAACGGTTTTTTGTGTCTCTATTTCCTTCAGTTCTGCTCTGATTTTAGTTATTTCTTGCCTTCTGCTAGCTTTTGAATGTGTTTGCTCTTGCTTTTCTAGTTCTTTTAATTGTGATGTTAGGGTGTAAATTTTGGATCTTTCCTGCTTTCTCTTGTGGGCATTTAGTGCTATAAATTTCCCTCTACACACTATTTTGAATGTGTCCCAGAGATTCTGGTATGTTGTGTCTTTGTTCTCGTTGGTTTCAAAGAACATCTTTATTTCTGCCTTCATTTCGTTATGTACCCAGTAGTCATTCAGGAGCAGGTTGTTCAGTTTCCATGTAGTTGAGCGGTTTTGAGTGAGTTTCTTAATCCTGAGTTCTAGTTTGATTGCACTGTGGTCTGAGAGACAGTTTGTTATAATTTCTGTTCTTTTACATTTGCTGAGGAGAGCTTTACTTCCAACTATGTGTTCAATTTTGGAATAGGTGTGGTGTGGTGCTGAAAAAAATGTATATTCTATTGATTTGCGGTGGAGAGTTCTGTAGATGTCTATTAGGTCTGCTTGGTGCAGAGCTGAGTTCAATTCCTGGGTATCCTTGTTGACTTTCTGTCTCATTGATCTGTCTAATGTTGATAGTGGGGTGTTAAAGTCTCCCATTATTAATGTGTGGGAGTCTAAGTCTCTTTGTAGGTCACTCAGGACTTGCTTTATGAATCTGGGTGCTTCTGTATTGGGTGCATATATATTTAGGATAGTTAGCTCTTCTTGTTGAATTGATCCCTTTACCATTATGTAATGGCCTTCTTTGTCTCTTTTGATCTTTGTTGGTTTAAAGTCTGTTTTATCAGAGACTAGGATTGCAAGCCCTGCCTTTTTTTGTTTTCCATTCGCTTGGTAGATCTTCCTCCATCCTTTTATTTTGAGCCTATGTGTGTCTCTGCATGTGAGATGAGTTTCCTGAATACAACACACTGATGGGTCTTGACTCTTTATCCAATTTGCCAGTCTGTGTCTTTTAATTGGAGCATTTAGTCCATTTACATTTAAAGTTAATATTGTTATGTGTGAATTTGAACCTGTCATTATGATGTTAGCTGGTTATTTTGCTCGTTAGTTGATGCAGTTTCTTCCTAGTCTTGATGGTCTTTACATTTTGGCATGATTTTGCAGCAGCTGGTACCGGTTGTTCCTTTCCTTGTTTAGTGCTTCCTTCAGGAGCTCTTTTAGGGCAGGCCTGGTGGTGACAAAATCTCTTAGCATTTGCTTGTCTGTAAAGTATTTTATTTCTCCTTCACTTATGAAGCTTAGTTCGGCTGGATATGAAATTCTGTGTTGAAAATTCTTTTCTTTAAGAATGTTGAATATTGGCCCCCACTCTCTTCTGGCTTGTAGAGTTTTTGCCGAGAGATCCGCTGTTAGTCTGATGGGCTTCCCTTTGTGGGTAACCCGACCTTTCTCTCTGGCTGCCCTTAACATTTTTTCCTTCATTTCAACTTTGGTGAATCTGACAATTATGTGTCTTGGTGTTGGTCTTCTCAAGGAGTATCTTTGTGGCGTTCTCTGTATTTCCTGAATCTGAATGTTGGCTGCCTTGCTAGATTGCAGAAGTTCTCCTGGATAATATCCTGCAGAGTGTTTTCCAACTTGGTTCCATTCTCCCCGTCACTTTCAGGTACACCAATCAGACGTAGATTTGGTCTTTTCACATAGTCCCATATTTCTTGGAAGCTTTGATTGTTTCTTTTTATTCTTTTTTCTCTAAACTTCCCTTCTCGCTTCATTTCACTCATTTCATCTTCCATTGCTGATACCCTTTCTTCCAGTTGATCACATCGGCTCCTGAGGCTTCTGCATTCTTCACGTAGTTCTCGGGCCTTGGCTTTCAGCTCCATCAGCTCCTTTAAGCACTTCTCTGTATTGGTTATTCTAGTTATACATTCGTTTAAATTTTTTTCAAAGTTTTTAACTTCTTTGCCTTTGGTTTGAATTTCCTCCCGTAGCTCGTAGTTTGATCGTCTGAAGCCTTCTTCTTTCAACTCGTCAAAGTCATTCTCCGTCCAGCTTTGTTCCATTGCTGGTGAGGAACTGCGATCCTTTGGAGGAGGAGAGGTGCTCTGCTTTTTAGAGTTTCCAGTTTTTCTGCTCTGTTTTTTCCCCATCTTTGTGGTTTTATCTACTTTTGGTCTTTGATGATGGTGATGTACAGATGGGTTTTTGGTGTGGATGTCCTTTCTGTTTGTTAGTTTTCCTTCTAACAGACAGGACCCTCAGCTGCAGGTCTGTTGGAGTTTGCTAGAGGTCCACTCCAGACCCTGTTTGCCTGGGTATCAGCAGCGGTGGCTGCAGAACAGTGGTTTTTCGTGAACCGCGAATGCTGCTGTCTGATCGTTCCTCTGGAAGTTTTGTCTCAGAGGAGTACCCGGCCATGTGAGTTGTCAGTCTGCTCCTACTGGGGGGTGCCTCCCAGTTAGGCTGCTCAGGGGTCAGGGGTCAGGGACCCACTTGAGGAGGCAGTCTGCCCGTTCTCAGATCTCCAGCTGCGTGCTGGGAGAACCACTGCTCTCTTCAAAGCTGTCAGACAGGGACATATAAGTCTGCAGAGGTTACTGCTGTCTTTTTGTTTGTCTGTGCCCTGCCCCCAGAGGTGCAACCTACAGAGGCAGGAAGGCCTCCTTGAGCTGTGGTGGGCTCCACCCAGTTGGAGCTTCCCGGCTGCTTTGTTTAGCTAAGCAAGCCTGGGCAATGGCGGGCGCCCCTCTCCCAGCCTCGCTGCCGCCTTGCAGTTTGATCTGAGACTGCTGTGCTAGCAATCAGCAAGACTCCGTGGGCGTAGGACCCTCCGAGCCAGGTGCAGGATATAATCTCCTGGTGTGCCGTTTTTTAAGCCCGTCGGAAAAGTGCAGTATTCGGGTGGGAATGACCCGATTTTCCAGGTGCCATCTGTCACCCCTTTCTTTGACTAGGAAAGGGAACTCCCTGACCCCTTGTGCTTCCCGAGTGAGGCAATGCCTCGCCCTGCTTCGGCTCATGCACGGTGCGCTGCACGCACTGACCTGCGCCCACTGTCTGGCACTCTCTAGTGAGATGAACCCAGTACCTCAGATGGAAATGCAGAAATCACCCGTCTTCTGCATCGCTCACGCTGGGAGCTGTAGACCGGAGCTGTTCCTATTCGGCCATCTGGGCTCCTCTCACTTTTTATTAATATAAAAAGGATGACATACTCCTCACCTATTGTGAATGAAACTATACACTATTCTATTGCCTGAGTATAAAAACCTTTTAAGTGTTAAACAAGGAATGATTCATATTTTGTCTGTGAAACTTTTTTTTTTTTATTTTTTTTTTTGAGACAGAGTTTCACTCTGTCACCCAGGCTGAAGTACAGTGGCATGATTGTGGCTCACCGCAACCTCTGCCTGCTGGGTTCAAGCAATTCTCGTGCCTCAGTCCCCAAAATAGCTGGGACTACAGGCATGCACCCCCACGCCCGGCTAATTTTCGTATTTTAAGTAGAAACGAAGTTTCACCACGTTGGCCAGGCTGGTCACCAACTCCTCACCTCAAGTGATCCGCCCACCTTGTCCTCCC
This sequence comes from Homo sapiens, assembly GCF_000001405.40. NCBI lineage: Eukaryota > Metazoa > Chordata > Mammalia > Primates > Hominidae > Homo > Homo sapiens. Next base: position 74,216,482 of record NC_000010.11, on the reverse strand, counting down.
AAAGTACTAGGATTACAGGTGCGAGCCACTGCACCTGGCCTATTTTCTTCTGTTTAATAATGTACCAACATTTTGAAGGCAGAGAAGCAACATTTTGAAGGCAGAGAAGGAGAAAAAAAATTTTTTTAATAAATAAAAAATAATTTAGCAACATTTTAATACATTTGTTATTTTACCGTGTGCTAATTACAATTTAATGACTAAGAGATATTTTAAAATTTACACATTTTGGCTGGCTGCAAAGACATATAATAGGGTAATCAATATGCATGAAAGACTGTAATGCATAAAAATATACTACCTTCATAATGTATGCATGTTACAGGCAAAATATAACTTATGCATAAAATACATCATATAAGAATAGAATCTGGTGTGAAAAGTATAACAGAAATGCAAATTCAAGACAGAAAGGACTATAAAATTTTTAAACATCAAAAAAGGAAGCTGTTTATGTATTTTTATAAATGAATAAAAGGGGTATCAAATCACAGTGGTATTTAGAGTCCACTAAAAAGAGTGATTTAGGCCAGGCGCGGTGGCTCACGCCTGTAATCCCAGCACTTTGGGAGGCCGAGACGGGCGGATCACAAGGTCAGGAGATCGAGACCATCCTGGTTAACATGGTGAAACCCCGTCTCTACTAAAAAAAATACAAAAAAATTAGCCAGGCATTGTAGTCCCAGCTGCTTGGGAGGCTGAGGCAGGAGAATGGGGTGAACCCAGGAGGCAGAGCTTGCAGTGAGCCGAGATCGAGCCACTGCACTCTAGCCTGGGTGACAGAGCAAGACTCTGTCTTAAAAAAAAAAAAAAAAAAGAGTGATTTATCAGTATTATATAAAGTTATTAAAAATCATTAGCTGGGCGCAGTGGCTCATGCTTATAATCCCAGCACTTTGGGAGGCCAAGGCAGGCAGATCACTTGAGGTCAGGAGTTTGAGACCAGCCTGGCCAACACAGCGAAACCCCATCAGCAAAACCCCATCTCTACTAAAAATACAAAAATTAGCCAGGCGTGGTGGCAGGCGCCTGTGGTCCCAGCTACTGGGGAGGCTGAGGCAGGAGAATCACTTGAACCTGGGAGATGGAGGTTGTAAGTGAGCCAAGATTGTGCCACTGCACTCCAACCTAGGCGACAGAGCCTACTTTCAACTTAGTAGAAAGCTATAACCCAACTTCCCACCATGGCTTTCATAGAATGATGCAAAGCACAGCCTATATTTTGGATGTTTTGTTTTCTAATGGCATAGATAGGTATTCTTTTATAATCAATTCTTACCATGAACATAGTTCCTAAAAATCAGAGACAACAAAATGGTACAGTGGTAGTCCTCAACATTTTTTTCTGCCCTAAATTACTGGAGAAAAATGACATACACTCCAAAGAATAGAAGACGGGGAAGCAAGAGGGAGCACAGGGAAGGGGCCTCTTTATTCTGCCTCTAGCCCCTACAAAGAGAACAACTGAGTGAAAAAAATCACTAGATACAAATCAAAAAACCTGCAATATCATCCTGATTCTGACATTAACTTGTTTTCTGAACTGGGCAAGCCACTTAATTTCTCTAATGAGGATAAACCTGCCTATGTCACAGGGTTGCTATCCAGATCAAATAACATTACACAAAAAGTGTCCAGCGCATTATTTAACAATTATGATAAATACTCATCCCTGCCCCCTCTTCCTGGAATCTTCTACCCCTATAAAATGAAGAATTCAATTAGCTCAAAAAGGGAGGAAAGGGCACTTTTAAATGTTCATAACTTTTATAAGAGCCTTTTAATGAGACTGAAACAAACACTTTTTATTCAAATGTGCTCCTCCTCTGAAGATCAGCATAGCACAGAGCTTAGTGCCTTGAAAGGCGCAGGAACAGACTGTGAAGTTCTGAAATAGGACAGTCATAAGAGAGGTGCCATGCCTAATGTTGCACAGTTAATGTCAAGTTAAGACTTGGTACATAGCAGATGACAATAAAATATTCTATAAATACTTGGAACTAAAATTGCCTTCCAAGAATTAAATCAGTAAAATTTCTATAAATCTACAAATATTGCCACATAGTCCAAAGAATCCCAACAGTATCAAGTAAAGTTTTACAGAATTGGCAAAACCAATCAGGTAGACAGTGTGGATATGGCAAGATTTTAAACAACATATTTAATTGGCTCTTCCAATTTAAAAAAAAGTTGATTAAAATATATTACAAAGGAAGAAAATGGGGGGGCAAAACCATTAATCACTACAACAATGTTTGAGACTAAAGCTGGACTGAAATTTAAGAAGCTTATAAAGAAATAGATTAAGAGTAAATCACAGGGTTAGAATAAAAAAGCAAAAAGTTACAAGGTTTATGAAAATAATATTTTTAAATCTCATTAGCAAAGTAAACGAGGATTAAAACTCAATTAGAGAAAGCTGAAAGAATTAAACTAGATTTAAACCTAAATACCTAAAATAGAACTATACTCTTTGTATTCTTAATTTTTCTTATGCTTTTTATTTTAAAAATTTTACTGATAATTGTTCAAAATGACTAGCCACATATTTTATTAAAGGACATTTTAAAATTTGGAATTGGAAGATATTGATATCACTGCTTAGCTCTTGGGTCACATCAGCAAAACCGGCCCATGTTATATCAACCTCCCATTTATTTGCTAATACATTTTATTTCTGGCTTCTGTCTCCATATTTGCACTGTGATTTGCCTGGCAGAGGGCGCCACTGACATCCCATTCAAATACAGGGGACCCTTTTAGGCATTACTTTACTAGATATCTCTGTTGCATCAGGTATTATTGACTATTCTTATATAAACTCATCATACTTCATCAGAGCTTGTCTTAGTTCTGCTTTTTCTTAATCTCATTCTATACTCATTCTTTATCTATCCATCTATTAAATGTTCTAGCTTCCAGCCCACTCCTTTTACTTTTTACTCTTTCTTTTTTTTTAGAAAGTTTCATCTACTGGTTGCTTTAAATACCAGCCACATAATAATAAAAATAGTGCTAGTAATAGCTACCATTTATTGAATAATATTGCGTCAAACTATGTAAAATTAAATACAATTAAAGAGTCCAGGCAAGGCACTGTAGCTCACATGTGTAATCCCAGCACTTTGAGAGAATGAGGTCAGAGGATTCCAAGACCAGCCTGGGCAACATAGTGAGACCCATCTCTAAAAAACAAATTTTTTTTTAATTAGCTGGGCATGGTAGGGCACATGCCTGTAGTCCCAGCTACTCGGGAGGCTGAGGTAAGAGAATCGCTTAAGCCTGGGAGGCTACAGGGAGGCATGACAGCACCACTCACTGCACTCCAGACTGGGCAACACAGCAAGACCCTGTCTCCAGAAACAAAAGGAGTCCAGCCATGACTCTTCTACCCACCAAAAACATAAATCCAACTGTCTCCTGAATATGCCTGCCTGGATATCATAGTCATCTCAAGCTTGAACAAAACTCAATTCAATCTTTCAAGCCCCTCTTCCATATCCTCCTCCTATACTCCCTAACTCATTTGTAAATACCACCATCAGTCACCAAAACCAAAAATTCAAATGTTATCTCTAACTCCTTTTACCCTCTTCATTAAATCAATCAAGTCTTACCTTGATAACACGAAAAGTATTACTGCACTCTCTTCCCAACCATTCTATCATAACTAAAGTGATCAAGTCATCATCTCGCAACAGGTTTATCACTATAGCCTCCTCAAATCTATTGATCCACTACAGACAAAGCAATTCACATAATCCTAAAATATGAATCCAACCATGTCATCTGCCTGCTTAAATCTCTCAAGTGCTCTCCATTGCCAATAATAGAGGCACGAGAGATTTCAAGCTCAGTAGCCAGTAATATTAGCTAACATATGCCAAACATTCAAATAATCTCATTCAATCCTCACAAGAACCCTAATAACCTTATTTTACTCACAAGGAAACTGAGCTTCCATAGATAACCAAGGTCACACAGCTCCAGAGCACACTCTTAACCTCTATTCTATAATGCCACTGTGAAGAAGTAAGTGATTTCTTTCCACATCTGTCTCCTCAATTAGATTACAAGCTGCTTAAAGGCAAAACAGTTATTTAATATTGTATTCCCAGTATTTGGCAAAAGAGTAACCATAAAACATATGCTCCAAAAAGTGTGTGTTGAGCTGTGAAATGAACTGTTAAAAAAGAATCTATGTTTACTTATCCTTAGAAGTACCATTTCCTTCAATATTCAAAGTTAAGTTTGAACATCAAAGAACCCAAAGAACAGCATCTATTTGGGCAAAATGAAGGAAAGTAGTCTGTGTTCATTTAGTATCCATAATTTAGGTTGTTTTTTGAGGAAGCCCCAGAGCAACTCAGGACCAATCACTCAATATGTGAAATGACATAAAGATTCAAATAGCAGTTTATTTCAAATTCTAAGAATTTAGAATTTTGAAGGAGAGAAGCAGAATAACCAAAGACTATCTGTTAATGTAGGTCACAAGGTAGTCAAATAAGAGAAAATATTCAAACTTAAGAAGCATTTCCAAACACCACCAATAATCTAGAATATGTTGTAGAAAAATATATCATATACACAATAGATACAACTTTTTTTGAAGATACCTTTAAAAAATATAAACATATAAAAAGAAATGTAAAATTTTACAATAAACCTAAGCTGTACTGGTTAATATCATATATGCTAATTATATCTATTAAAATTTAATTAACATGAAATAAAATGTTGAAATTCATCAGTTGCACTAGCCACACTTCAAATGATCAAAGCCAAATGTGACTAGTGGTTACCATGTTGGATAGCACAGATACACAACATTTCCATAATCATGAAACATTCTAGTGGACAGCACACACTGCTGCAAAGATACTGACCCCAGATTTCATTTGTACTTTATTGACTTCTACATGGTCTGAATTTTTTTCTAAAAAGCATTTACTTTTAGAATTTTTGAATCTAACAGATTTAGCAAATGATCACTACCATAAGATGTATACGTTTTTTAAAAAAATCAGCCTAACCATTTTGTAACCCATATTAAATGTATTTAAATTTTACATGTTATTAAAAGATAATAGAAGAATACCTAAAATACAGAAAGAAATATTTGTAAGGATAAGAAAATTTGTTGGTAAAGATCTCTTTTTTCCAAATTAATCCATAAATACTAAACAAAATCCCAGACAGAATATTCAGGTCAATTAAAGACCTAAATATACAAAACATAATGTTGAAAGCTGTAGAAAAAAATATGGCAATAGCTTTATAAAGAATTAATTAAAAGACCGGGCACGGTAGCTCACACCTGTAATCCCAGCACTTTGGGAGGCTGAGGTGGGTGGATCACTTGAGGTCAGGAGTTAAAGACCAGCCTGGTCAACATGGTGAAACCCCGTCTGTATTAAAAATACAAAAATTAGCCAGGCATGGTGGCACATGCCTGTAATCTCAGCTACTCAGGAGACTGAGGCATAAGAATAGCTTGAACCCGGGAGGCAGAGGTTGCAGTGAGCTGAGATCATGCCACTGCACTCCAGCCTGAGCGACAGTGAAACTTCATCTCAAAGAAAAAAAAAATTAACTACAAAAGTGTCAGAGCAGTTTACAATTCATTTTAAAGCAAAACAATTAAATGTCTAGCTTTTAACCTAACACATGCAGTCTCACTTGACACTAAATATTTTTTTCACTTTCAAAGCTAACATACACCCATTTGTAGAAGAAATAAATTTTTATTTATAGAAATAATTCAGTTGTAAATTATTGGCACTGAATAATCAGCACTAAAATTTATGGCCAATTACTTTGAGCATTTTCCTTTTTTTAATTTTTAGAGACAGGGTCTCACTATATTGCCTAGGATGGAGTGCAGTGGCTATTCACAGGCATAATCATGATGCACTACAGCTAAAGCCTCCCAAGTAGCTGGCACTACAGGCAAGCACCACCACAGCCAGCTACTTCGGGCATTTTAGGTTTGAACATTAAGTAACATCTTTCATGCATACTCAGATTAATAAAAACTCATGTAAGGTTTGTATGTTTATTAAAGGTTTAGATCTGTAAGAAAAACACGTCTCCTCAACTACTCCTGTCATAAAACTGAGTATTTTCTATTTTTTTTTTTTTTTTTTTTTCCTGAGATGGAGTCTCACTCTGTCGCCCAGGCTGGAGTGCAGTGGCGCAATCTCGGTTCACTGCAACCTCCGCTCCTGGGTTCAAGCGATTCTCCTGCCTCAGCCTCCTGAGTAGCTGGGACTGCAGGCGTGTGCCACCACACCCAGCTAATTTTTTATTTTCAATAGAGATGGGGTTTCACCTTGTTAGCCAGGCTGGTCTCTAACTCCTGACCTCAGGTGATCCGTTCACCTCGGCCTCCCAAAGTGCTGGGATTACAGGTGTGAGCCACCGCGCCCAGCCAAAACTGAGTATTTTCATTTCTACTGATGGTTTTCCTTTCTCAATTACCATTTCATTCATTCTCTCATTCCTCTTACTTTCATATTTATCTAGTGTCAGGAAAAACCAAGGCAAACCTACCTTACACATTCCTTCCCTGCCTTTTTCATCCCTATTAATACATACCTCCATAATTACAGACCAGGGCTCAACTGGAGGTATTCATATGTTCCACATTTCCTATCCCCTCATGCCCACTGTGTCCCTACAGTTTACTAGAAAAGATTCTTTTCAATAATGTACTTTCTGCCACAGGTGTTCCTAATAACTTTCAATTCTTTTTTTGGTGGGAGGGACAGGAGTTTGAGGCTGCAGTGAGTGACTAGGCTATGATTGTGCTACTGCACTCCAGTCTGGGAAACAGAAAAACTTGTCTCTAAAAAAAAAAAAATCAGAATCAGAAAAATATTTTATCAAATGAATTTTGACAATTAGAACTCACTTTCACAGTGTAAGATACTAATCAGTATATATCTCATTCATTTGGTATATGTCTTGGTCCCCTTGTGCTGCTATAACAAAAATACCACAGACCAGGCTATTTATTTATTTACTTACTTATGTTTTGTTGTTGTTTTATTTTTCTTATTTTGTTTGGGGTAATTTGTAAACAATAGAAATATATTTCTCACATTCCTGGAGGCTGGGAAATCCACGGTTAAGGCACCAGCAAGATTGGTGTCTGGCGAGGCTTTTCTCTGCTTCTAACATGGAACCTTGTTGCTGCATCCTCCAGAGGGGAGGAACACTGTGTCCTCACATGACAGAAGGAATGTAAAGGCAGGAGAGCTCTCCCTTCAACCTTGAGTCCTTTCACAAGTGTGCTAACCCCATTCATAAGAGCAGAGCCTTCATAACTTGGTCAACCCCCAAGAGTCACACTTCTTATACTGCTACACTGGGGATAAGTTTCAACATGAATTTTTGGAGAGGATACCATCATTCAAACCATAGCAATATACCACTTATCTATGCTGGGTGCGGTGGCTCATGCCTGTAATCCCAGCACTTTGGGAGACCGAGGTGGGCAGATCACCAGAGGTCAGGAGTTCGAGACCACCCTGGCCAACATGGTGAAACCCTGTCTCTACTAAAACTGCAAAAATTAGCCGGGCATGGTGGCACATGCCTGTAGTTCCAGCTACTCGGGAAGCTGAGGCAAGAGGATCGCTTGAACCTGGGAGGCAGAGGTTGCAGTGAGCTGAGATTGCGCCACTGCACTGCAGCTTGGGTGACAGAGCAAGACTCCAACTCAAAAATAAAAAATAAAAAAATAAAAAAATAAAAAATATATATATACATAGTACTTATCTAAATACTTATCTAATGGTGGCTCAAAATGTAGGCTAAACACGATTCGTTTATATCATAAGGTAAGTTTTTAAATATATTTGGAAGAAATAGCCAGGAGTAACAATAGAGAAGACTCTTTTATTGTTAGGGTCCAAAGACTTGTTTTTTATCTTCAAGTACTTATTTGAAAATCAAAGTTAAAGATTAAAACCTTCCAAATATAAAATAGAACTTCAGCTAGCCACTTAGGACCAGCTGCTAGTAAAACATGTAAAACAAAGAAGTTACTCGAGCTCCCAGCAGCGTCATTGATGGCAGCAGCAGGCTGTCTAGAGCAGCTGCTGCAAAGACACTGGCTACAATTGGGGAGATGCAGCCAGGGCTGCATGCTCCACAGAGCCCATGGGAGCTGGGAACAGGTGGGAGCCACACCCACTTCCAAGTTGGCAGGGCTGGAGCCCCACCCTCCTGAGTGCAGCTGCAGCCACCCAGCCATGGCTGTGGACCCAGGTATCCCTGCACTCTCTGGGGCCCGGGAAGTCCCCCTTTCCCCTGCAGACTCAGAAGTGCCTGTTCCCATGCCTGGCCTCTCCTCGATCCCAGCACCTGCTCCAGGGTGGAGCAAAGTCGTGGCCAAGCCCAGGCACTGTCACAACCCAGCAGGTGTGCATGTGCTCGGGGCAGCACTGACATACCAGCCCCCTGCCCCCTCAGCCCCCTCTGGACTTTAGGTGCAGAGAAGCATGGGAAGGAGGCCAAGGTGGGACTGAGGGCAGCTCAATGGGGCCAGCAAGTACCCTCATCACCAACAGCCTGCACACTGTGGACAACATGATTGATGGCAGCAGGAGGCAGACACTCTCCTGGGAAAAAAGGGGTGGGTTCAGGTGAAGCCCTGCCTTCAAGCCAGGGACAGCCTGAAGCATGGGGGCCAGGCTATCAGTTCCAGGTGGGGTCCACTGAGGGGAGTGAGACTCATGGTGCTTTTTCCAGACCCACCCATAGCCGCCCATGGACCAATCAGCACACACTTCTCCCTTGTGAAGCCCATTAAAAACCCTGGACTCAGCCAGACTTACAGAAGAGACCTGGGACTACCAACTGTGGAAAGGAGTTACCCCCTCGGGGTCTCATCTCACTGAGAGGTGAACACTTGTCAGGACGACCTGCCTGCAGAAAGGAGCTACCCACTTCGGGTCTCCTGAGAGCTGTTCTGTTGCTCAATGAAGCTCCTCTCCACCTTGCTCACCCTCCAGTTGTCCCCATACCTCACTGTTCATGGATGCAGGATAAGAAGACCCACCAAGTGGCAGGACTGAAACAGCTGTAACACAAACAGAGCTAAAATATGCCTCACCCCACTCAGCACCTTGCAGGCAACAAGAAGGAAAGAAGAGCTGCAGCCCTTCTGAGAGCCCAGACCTAGGGGGTTCCCAATCCAGGGCTGTGACACTCTCTTTGGGGCTCTGTGGTTTCTGGTGTCTCCAAGCTTCTGGGCACCACCATATTATCCTCGTCCAGACGTGGGTTCCTACAGTGGAAGCCACTTGAGATGCATCAGATCCAGCCGCAAGCTTGCATGAAGCCAGCACCTGTGCCAGTGCCTGGAGATGCCCACCCCACCACAGCAGCCAGCATGAGTGGCTGTACACAGTGGCCAGATCCCATATTCGCTTGCTCACACACTCTTTGCCACGCCACTCTGCACCTGGCTCGCCCTTGGCAGGTGTGGGATCCAGGCTGGTAGCATGAGCCGAACGCAGCCTGCCAGGCCAAACAAGCAGAACAAGCCTGGCAGGCACAAGCAAACCTCAGGCAAAGGCTCCACCAACCACAGTGGCTTCTGGCTGGAAAAGCGACACCCTAAGGATCCTGTGACATCATCACACAGCTGCCAAGTCATAATCACTCTGATCACATTTGCCTGAAATTTTAAAAACAGTGATCCAAAAACATAATGTTGAGTGAAAAACAGCATACTAACAAAGACTACACATAGTATTAGCCCATAAACATTCATCTTCAGGTTATATATGCCTAACAAACATCTGGAGGCATGTTCACCAAAATAACAACACTGATTATATATGTGTGAAAGCTAATCATATAAATTGGGTCATTCTTGTCATATCTGACTAAAACAGGTGACAGGCTGGGGGGAAGAGCACTCAGCACACATAACATTGCTCCAAGAAGGTAATTCTCTGCAAGCCTGGCTGCTGAAACTGCCTGTTGTCATCTGAAAACAGTTTTATCCAGTAGCTACTGAAACAATGAGCTGTGACTCTAAAAGACTAGTTCTACTCACTGCAGTCACTCACCAATCAAAGCTTGCCACCTCCCCAAAACTAGTGCCAATGAGCTTTCTTTCAAAACAATACAAAACATTTCACCTTTTTATAAAACTTCCAATCTTATCTTTCTTCTTCAGACATAGCAAAGACCACCTGGTCTGTGTGTATATCCCAAATTTCAATTCTTGCTTCCCATATAAAATGTTCTACATTTATGGGTTTGTCTCTATACTTTATTTTACTTTTGAAATACACGATAAAATTTCAAATTTTTAAGTTGCTCTTTACTTTTATACATCATGATTTTTTTAAAATAGTGACCATGAATTAGTTGACTTCCTGAACAAAATATCTCACACTACACAAACAAAAGAGATCTAATTTTAAACCCATGAATTCATGTCCAACTGATTTTATTTTCTGTTTATTACAGCCTTTGATATATAACTGACATACAATAAACTGTAGACATTTAAAGTATACAATTTGATACGTTATATACCCATATAAGCATCACACTACCAGTTTTCCCCTAACGTAACCTTTATAGGGTTAAGAAAGTTATCGACATAGTTACCTAGGTTGCTTTAAGTTATTTTTTTTCATCAGGAATAGATATTAGATTTTGTCAAAAGGTTTTTCTTTGTCTATTGAGATAATTATATGGAGTTTTCTTAGACTGTTATGTTAGTTTCTTACTATAGTGAATTACTCTAATTACATTTCTTTTTTTTTTTTTTTTTTTTGAGACAGATTCTCAGGCTGTCACACTGGCTGGAGTGCAGTGGTGCAATCTCAGCTTACTGCAACCTCCGCCTCCCAGGTTCACCCGATTCTCCTGCCTCAGCCTCCCGAGTATCTGGGATTACAGGCACACACCACCATGCCCAGTTAATTTTTGTATTTTTAATAGAGACGGAATTTTGCCCTATTGGCCAGGCTGGTCTCAAACTCCTGACCTCAAGTGATCCATCCACCTCAGCCTCCCAAAGTGCTGGGATTACAGGCGTGAGCCACCACGCCCAGTCTTCTAATTACATTTCAAATGTTAACCTGCTCTACATTCCTGGTACACTACTTAATTCTGCAATAAATGATACACAGAGTGATAATGTGGGTAAGTCATTTTCAACTTTCATTATGAATTTGTATTCAAAGTTGGGAAAACAATTATAGATAGATAACAGAATGAAAACATCAACCTTAAAAACACAGTTAATAGAATAGAAAGATAGAAGAAGTAGCATAGGAAAGAATAGGGGCACCAGTAATCTCGTTCTCCATAATGAGAAGTCAATGGATTCCATTGAAATTTGGGTTTTTTTGTTTTGGTGTGGTTTGGCTTGGTTTAATTTTTTTTTTTTTTTTTTTTTTTTTTTTTGAGACAGAGTGTCAACTCTGTCACCCAGGTTGGAGTGCAATGGTGCAATTTCAGCTCACTGCAACCTCTGCCTCCCGGGTTCAAGCAATTCTCCTGCCTCAGCCACCCGAGTAACTGGGACTACAGGTGCGTGCCATCACACCTGGCTAATTTTTGGTATTTTTAGTAGACACAGGGTTTTGCCATGTTGGCATGACTTGAACTCCTGACCTCAAGTGATTCACCTGCCTCAGCCTCCAAAAGTGCTGGAATTACAGGCGTGAGCCACCACGCCCAGCCTGAAATTTGACAGAAAAAGAAATTTTAAGAAATGTAAGTATAGTATATTATTTAAAAGTACAAGGTAACCAAAAGAACTAAAATCATTAAAGTAACTGTATATAGTAGTATTTTCTGACTGGGAAAGTGTGTTTTAAAGTTTCTATCTGAATGTCTTAGGATAAAACACATCTCCCAGTTTATCCTAGACCCCCAGCACATTTCCTATTATATTACCGTAAGTCAAATTTACACATTTATAAATTCTTGCCTTACCCTTTGACATTTGAGTTTAGCCAAATATACTTACAGGGGTAATCCCCAGGATATAAAAAAAAGTTTCAAAAAAATTATTGTCCCCCATAATTACTTATATTTCTACATACTATCAATGAACAATAAGAAAATAAAACAATCCCAATTTACAATGGCATCAAAAATAATAAAATTAAATTTAACCAAAGAAGTATAAGACTTATGCACTGAAAACCTACTAAACACTGCTAAAATTATTTTAAAAAGACCTAAGGCTAGGCACAGTGGCTTACACCTATAATCCCATAACTTTGGGAGGCCAAGACGGGTGGATCACAAGGTCAGGAGTTTGAGACAAGCCTGACCAACATGGTGAAACCCTGTCTCTACTAAAAATACAAAAATTAGCCAGGCATGATGGCACACACCTGTAATCCCAGCTACTCAGGAGGCTGAGGCAGTAGAATCGCTTCAACCCGGGAAATGGAGATTGCAGTGAGCTGAGATCATGCCACTGCACTCCAGCCTGGACAACAGAGCAAGATTCTGTCTCCAAAAAAAAAAAAAAAAAAAAAAGACCTAAATAAATGGAAAGACATTCTGTCTTCATAACTCGGAAGACTTAATCATGTATTTATCTATACATTCAATGTAATTCCAATCAAAATTCCAACTGCCTTTTTTACAGAAATGAAAAAGCTATCCCCAAAAATTCATATGGAATTGTGAGGGATCTCAAATTAAAAATTAATAATAATAATAATAATAATCTTGAAAAACAAAGTTGGAGGACTGACACTTCCTGACTTCAAAATTTACTACAAAGCTACAGTAATCAAAACAGTGTCGTACAGGCCAGGTATGGTGGCTAATGCCTATAATCCCAGCACTTTGGGAGGCCAAGGTGGGAAGACAACTTGGGCCTAGGATCAAGCCAGACTTGAGTTTGAGACCAGCCTGGGCATCATAAGGAGACCCTGTTTATACAAAAAAAAATTTAAAATAGCTAGGGATGGTGGTACCTGCATATAGTCTCAGTTACTTGGGAGGCTGAAATAGAAGGATCACTTGAACCCAGGAGTTCAAGGTTTCAGTGAGCTATGATTGCATCACTGCACCCCATCCTGGGTGACAGAGCAAGACCCTGTCTCCAAAAAAAAAACAAAAAACAAAACACACATACACAAAAACACCAATGTCATACTGGCATAAGGACAGACATATGTATCAATGGAATAGAATGGAGTCCAGAAATTTACCCATATATCTATGGTCACCTGATTTTGTCAAGAGTATCAAGATCATTCAGTGGGGAAAAGAATAGTCTCTTCAACAAATGATGTTGAGACAATTGGATTTCCACACACAAAAGAATAAAGTTGAACCCTTATTTCATACCTTATACAAAAATTAACTCAAAATTGATCAAATGCCTAAATCTAAGACCTTAAACTACAAAACTCTTAGAAGAAAACACAGGCACAAATCTTTGTGATCCTGGATTTAACAATAGATTCTTACATATGACAGCAAAAGCATAAGCAACAAAAGAAAAATAAAATGGACATCATCAAAATTTAAAACTTTTGTGCATCAAAGGATACTATCAAAAAATTAAAGTAAATCCCCAGAATGGGAGAAAATGTTTGCAAATCATATGCTAGCTGATAGGGTCTAGTATCCAGAATATAAAAAGAACTTTTACAACTTAACAAAAAGACAACGACCCAATTAAAAAATGGGCAAAGAGCTTCAACATTTTCCCAAAGATATACAAATATCCAATAAGCATATGAAAAGATGCTAACATCAAAAGTTTTCAATAGAAAAATGCAAATCAAAATCACAATGAGACATCATTTCACACCCACTCATATGGCTATAATTTAAAAAATAAAAAATAAGCTTTGGCAAAGACGTAGAGAAACTGGAACACTTATGCACTGCCGGTAGGAATGCAAAACAGTGCAGCTGCTTTGGAAAACAGTTTGGTGGTTTCTCTAGAAGTTAAACACAGAATTACCATGTGACCCAGCAGTTCCACTCCTATGTGTATACCCAAGAGAAATGAAAACACATTCCTACACAAAAGCTTATACATGAATATTCATAAGAAGCATTGTTCCTAATAGACAAAAAATAAAAACAACATAAGTGTCCATCAACCAATGAATGGATAAACAAAATGTGGTCTATCCACACAATGGAATAGTCCACTATTAAAAGGAATGAAGGACTGATACATGCTACAACATGGATGAACCTTGAAAGCATTACATAAGTAAAATAAGCCCAAACACAAAAGGTCATATATATAAACACAAAAGATCATATATTATTATATGATTCCATTTCTATAAAATGCTCAGAATAGACAAATTCATAGAAAAACTAAGTATACTAGTAGTTCCCAGGAGACTGGGTTAGAGGAGGGAATAGCGAATGACTACTTACTGGGTATGGGATTTCATTTTGGGGTGATGAAAATGTCCTGAATTAGATAGTGGTGATGGTTGTACAACTTTGTGAATATACTGGCAGTCACTGAATTGTATACTTTATAATGGTTAAAACGATCAATTTTATGCGATATAAATTTTGCCTCAATTTTTTAAAAAGTAATTACTCTTGGGTACAGAAATCAGGGTGTGTGAGGAGAGGGGGGATCTTGCTTTCTCATCATTAATCTTTTTTACTACTTAAATTTGCCATATAGTAGTGCCCCCGTTATCCGAGGTAGATGCATTGTAAGATGACCAGTGGGTATCTGAAACCATGGATAGTACTGAACCATATATAGATAGATAGATAGATAGATAGATAGATAGATAGATAGATAGATAGATAGATACATACATACATACATACATACATACATACATATACACACACACACAAACACACACACACTGTTTTTCCTACACATACATACCTACACATCATACTATGATAAAGTTTCATTTATAAATTAGGCACAATAAGAGATTAACAACAACTAACTAAAAATAGAACAACTATTAAAATATACTGTAATAAAAGTTATGTGGACGTGGTGCATGTCTCTCTCTCAAAATGTCTTATTACACTGTCCTATGGGTAACTGAGACCTCAGAAACTGAAAACAAGGACACAAGTGGGGACTATTGTACGAAATGGCCTCAAATACTTAGGTAAATAAACAAACTGATTTCTCAGCTAAGTTGAAACATTGGAAGTTACTAATAAAGCGGAAACAGCAGAGCTTCATATCCTCTGAATTATATCCTGCACGTTCTCTTGTCTTCTCTAATCATCTTTCTTCTCCCATTATAGCTTCTGAGAGGAAACCAGACTGGGCACATTCGGGGTAGAATGTCTGTAGATTATGATACCATTATAGACGTAGCTCACTGACAGTAGTTTAAAAGTTGGGGAATTAAATAATTAGGTAAATTATATAAACTTTTCTCCTTCCAAATAATAAGCAAAAAAGTTTTAAGTAAAAATAGCAATGTATATAAGTTTTCCCAAGGAAAACTGTACTCAGTTATTCAATAGTTAATGATAGCACACTTGCTATCACCAAACTTAAATTTCCTGAGTTTTCCTTTAATTGAAGACATTCGGTGGTAAATTCACTTCTAAAGTTTTCATCCATTCTTCTTCAAATGTAAGTTCCACATAGTGCATATGAAGAGTTTAATACTTACTTATCAAGGAAATCTTTGTCCACTACAGCAGAGATGTCAAGCAGAGGATTTCCCATTCCAAAGAGAATATTTTCTCTAAAAAAACACAAAACACAAGTTAGAAATACTTCTAAAAGTAAGTTGATATGTAAAAGGTACACAAAATAAAAATAACTATCTTCATTTCAACCTGAAAATAAACCTAACACACCAGTTTATTAAACATTTGATTTGCCTATTATACGTAGAACATTTTAGAGGTAGCATAAAGACATTTAGAAAAAAAGATGATTATCAGAGAAAGATGCAAATCAAAACTACAATGAGACACCATCTCACACCAATGAGAATACCTATTTTTTTTTTTTTTTTTTGGACACGGAGTTTCGCTCTTGTCGCCCAGGCCGGAGTGCAATGGTGCAATCTCAGCTCACTGCAACCTCCACCTCCCAGGTTCAAGTGATTCTCCTGCCTCAGCCTCCTGAGTAGCTGGGATTAAAGGTGCCTGCCACCATGCCTGGCTAATTTTTGTATTTTTAGTAGAGATGGGGTTTCACCATGTTGGCCAGGCTGGTCTCGAACTCCTGACCTCAGCACATCCACCTGCCTTAGCCTCCCAAAATGCTGGGATTACAGGTGTGAGCCACTGTGCCCAGCCCAGAATAACTATTACTAAAGAGTCAAAAAAAAAAAAAAAAAAAAACAGATGGTGTCAAGGTTGCAGAGAAAAGGTAATACTTATAAACTGCTGATGGGAATGCAAATTAGGTTAGCCCCTGTGAAAAGAAGTTTAAAGATCTCTCAAAAAACTTAAAATATAATTACCATCCGACCCAGCAATCTCATTATGGGTATATACCCAAAGAAAAATGAATCATTCTAGGCTGGGCACGGTGGTTCACACCTGTAATCCCAGCACTTTGGGAGGCCGAGGTGGGTGGATCATGAGGTCAGCAGATCAAGACCATCCTGACCAACAAGGTGAAACCCCATCTGTATAAAAAATACAAAAATTAGCCAGGTGTAGTGGCGAGCACCTGTAGTCCCAGCTACTCAGGAGGCTGATGCAGGAGAATCACTTGAACCCAGGAGGTGGAGGTTGCAGTGAGTCGAGATCGTGCCACTGCGCTCCAGCCTGGGCGACAGAGCGAGACTCTGCCTAAAAAATAAAAAAAATGAAAAAAAATGAATCATTCTACCAAAAAGGGATATGTTTATTACAGCACTCTTCACAATAGCAAAGACATGGAATCAACTTAGGTGCCCATCAATGGTAGAATGGATAAAGAAAATTCAATACATATACACCATGGAATACTATGCAGCCATAAAAAAAGAACGAAATCATGTCCTTTACAGCAATATGGATGCAGCTGAATTATCCTAAGTGAATTAACATAGAAACAGAAAGCCAAATATCACATGTTTTCACTTATAAGTGGAAGCTAAACACTGGGTACGCAGAGACACAAAGATGTCGGGACAAAAGACACTGGAGATTCCAAAATCAGGGAGGGAGACAGGAAAGCAAGGGCTCAAAAACTACCTATTGGTTACTATGTTCACTACTTAGACGATGGGGATCATTACAAAACCAAACTTCAGTATCATATGATATACCCATGTAACAAACCTGCACATGCACTCCCCTGAATGTTATTAGGGAGCCCGTGGCACATCCTGGAAGAGTACAAGCAAGAGCCCTATCTACCCTTCACAAAAAAATGACTGTGGTAGGGTCTTCACAATGGATATCAGAAGTGATATAATTCTCTTATTATGTATCCAAAAAATTTAAATATATGCTAACTTTTTATAGAACGATTTGTAACTTTTACAAATTTAAATGCACATCTTTTCATCTAAAAATGTCTAGCTAAAACTTTTATTCATGTCTTATGTTTCCTATACTTCTTATATTCATGTCTTCTCATACATATACTTGTATGTTATATATATAAGGATTCATTTCAGATGCCTATAACATGAAATAAAGCAAAACAAAAACAAACAAATCAACAAGAAACGATATAATTTTAAATTATATTTAACAGACTTGGAGGAAGTCTGTTTTCCATAAGAGATCACAGTATGGTTCCAATCCAAATAAAAGAAAGAACTCCACCACAAGTGATGCCTTAAACAGAAGCTCATCTAGCAGCAAGAAATGGGCCAGTGAATACTGTTGGATCAGTCTCAATAAGAGACATTCATCTAGTTTATCCAAAAAGATTTGTTTCTGTGTAATTTTTTATTGGTCTCCAGTTTACTGATGATTCCCCCTCCCTTTCAGTTGCCTCCAAACCAGTTACCATTCTCACCATTTGGCAACTATCAGTAATATCAATGGACTAACATGCCAATATTTCTTTAAGAGAATGAGGTACAGCCTATAATTATAATCTGTAATGATTTTTAGAAGATAAAATTACAGTCTCTTATTAACACCATAGATTGAGCAACTATGGCTGAATATGCAATAAAGAGATATTTGTCCCTTTTCTATTTAAAGAAAGCTGAGTGGAGGAGGGAAAGATAATACACTTACTTATTCACACTTAAATTGCATATGTGATCAAAGCAAGTCTAATAAAAAAGTATTTTAAGTGCTTAGAAGGTGAAGGATCAACAGACAAATACAGTAAAATCTAACCATGATTTCACTGGGACTACTCTGCCTGATTTATATATTCTTATTCAAACAAAAACTCCTAGAACTTGTTATTTAAAAAACAAAACAAAACAAAAAAACAAGGATGAGCAGTGTTATTGGGCTACTTGGTTTTTTATTTTCCTTCACCCTTTTTATCACCGTTTGTAAGCATCCAGTTCAATGTATACAGTCATATAACCACAAAACTATGGAACATTTTCATCACAATAACAACAAAAAAGTATCCTCCTGCCCCCACATCAATCCCTCTACCCTCAATTGGTCCCCTCTCAGTTTTAAGGAATATAATTGTTACACCTCTTTTTAAGAAGTCAAACCTTTGAACATCTACCGCATTCCCAAAAGAGTTTATTATACTCCGTTTAAAAACTCAGTAAAGACAGTCTTACAGAGAGGCCAATAATTGATTCTAAGAATGAAGTACAATTCAAGAGTCAAATAATTCACTTCTGAGTCTCAGTTCTTTTTTTTTTTCTTTTTTTTTTTTTTAGACGGAGTCTCTCTCTGTCACCCAGGCTGGAGTGCAATGGCATGATCTCTGCTCACTGCAACCTCTGCCTCATGGGCTCAAGCAATTCCTTCCTCAGCCTGCTGAGTAGCTGGGATTACAGGTGCCCACCACCACGCCTGGCTAATTTTTATATTTGTAGTAGAAATGGGGTTTCACCATGTTGGCCAGGCTGGTTTCGAACCCCTGGCTTCAAATGATCCACCCGCCTTGGGCCTCCCAAAGTGCTGGGATTACAGGTGTGAGCTACCACGCCCAGCCCAAGTCTCAGTTCTTGAGGTAGCTTGCTGGGAGACTTAAGCAAGCCATCTACCATCTCTGGGCCTAAATGTTAATAATGTTTGACTTGTTCCCAAATAATATTACAATTCAGTTAAGGTCATTTGAAGTCATTCTTATAATAAACTGGAATTGTGTGTCTGTCATCTTTTCCTTGCTATCCTCCCTCTTTTACCCCAAATTTCCTCACTCAAGAATGGAATTTGGGTGGAATTGATCCCTGGGGCAAACCTAAGCCAATCAGCACAATATATTTCTCTAGCCTTAGTAATCAGTTCAGAGACTGGCATGTAACCTAAGCCAGGAAAATCAGAATGAACCCAAGATTTTTTTCTATGATGCTCAGATACAGAACATATTTTTCCCTAATAGATATAAATGAAGAAGGTGCTAGAAGCCTTAAAAACCTAATGGCTTCAATGTGGCTGCCTTGGGATAAATTTAACACCACAGAAAGCAGAGTGCGAAAACTGAAAGAAACCAGGTCATTAATGAAGTTGTTGGACCACCTAATAAAGCTTTACCTGAAACCTATACTCCATCTGAACTTTTCTGTTGTTTTGTTTTGCTTTTTTAAGTAAAGGGGTACAAGTGCAGGTCTGTTACATAGGTAAACTTGTGTCATGGGGGTTTGTTGTACAGGTTATTTCATCACCCAGGTATCTGGACTTTTCAATTACATATGTCGGTAGTTTTGTTTATTTCCATTTGAGGCTGGTTTTTAGTTACTTACAACTGAAAGTATAGGGACAGACGTAAATTGTCATTAGTTCACTTTGTGAATCTGTTTAATATGTAATGCATTTTTATTATAAAACTGTAATATAGAAAAGATTATTAGTGCTCATTTTCTTTTTTTTGAGACAGAATCTCGCTCTGTCACCAGGCTGGAATGCAGTAGCGCAATCTCGGTTCACTGCAAACTCCGCCTCCCAGGTTCAAGCGATTCTCCTGCCTCAGCCTCCCAAGTAGCTGGGATTACAGGCACGCACCACTATGCCCAGCTAATTTCTGTATTTTTAGTAGAGATGGGGTTTTACCATGTTGGCCAGGATGGTCTCCATCTCTTGACCTCGTGATCTGCCCTCCTTGGCCTCCCAAAGTGCTGGGATTACAGGTGTGAGCCACCGCACCCAGCCTAATCTTAACATTACAGTTCCCCAAGGGAGAACGTATGCAACATAGACCCTGATGAGTGATGCTGTTAGGCTGCAATTGTCCAAAGCCCACATGAAACTGGTTGCAGAAGTTGTGGCTAGTACAGCAGTGAGGAGAAAATAATTTAAATTAGCACAGGCTGGACGTGGTGGCTCACACCTGTAATCCCAGCACTTTGGGAGGCTGAGGCATGTAGATGGTTTGAGTCCAGGAGTTCAAGGCCAGCCAGGGCAACATGCCAAAACTCCATCTCTACAAAAAATTGGCTGGGCACAGTGGCTCACACCTGTAATCTCAGCACTTTGGGAGGCTGAGGCGGGCGCATTGCCTCTGCACAGGAGTTCAAGACCAGCCTGGGCAACATGGCGAGACTCCATCTCTACAAAAAATACAAAAATTAGCCGCGTGTGGTGGCATGTGCCTATAGCCCCAGTTACTAGGGAAGCTGAGGTGGAAGAATCCTTGAGCCCAGGAGGTTGAGGCTACAGTGAGCCATGAGTATGCTACTACCTCAAAAAAAAAAAAAAAAAAAAGAAAGAAAAGAAAAAGAAAGAAAGAAAGAAAGAAAGAAAAAGAAAAATATAAAAAATTGAGCCAGGCATGGTGGTGCACACCCATAATCCCAGCTACCAGGGAGGCTGAGGTGGGAGGATCGCTTAAGCCTGGAAGGTCGAGGTTGCAGTAAGCTGTAATTGCACCATTGCACTCCAGCCCTGGGTGACAGAATAAGACCCTGTCTTAAAAACAAATTAATTAAATAAAGTAGCATATAAAAGATATCTTGAAATAGTAAGTTAAGTAAAAAAGATACAATTATTTTCAAAAGCAAATAAAACTTTGCTCATGTCACGTTTCTCTCTCCTTCACTGCACATAATTGAGATTATAATGGCTAGTTTCTTAAATACAAACACATATAAACTAGTGTCCAGGCCAGTAAATACTATGACCTTCTTAAATGATGAACATACTATATGAATAAGCATTTGTTTTTATCTTGTTCTACTAGAATGTGAACAAGATGAGGTTTAGTCTATAGCCAAAAACTATGACTAACCCGTACTGGGATTACTTTTTATTCCAAATGTTAGCAATATCTTTTTCTTGGAATGGATGCTAGGATGAGAGATTCTGAACAATCTTTTTTTTTTGGGGGGGGGAGCGGTCAGTAATTTTATAAATGTCTCATAATTTAGGCTTGCAGCCAACATAAACCTACACTATAATTATTATTTTATTGGACAGTCAACAAATTTTATACTGACATATATTTTACAGTAAGAGTTCCTGAGAAAATCTTTTCTTGGCTATTGATATATTAATGTTTGAATGTTGATTAGCCCTCTCAGTAATAGAAACATTTAATTATGATGCCAGAATAAACACTAACAATGACTGCCTTTAACTGTTACACCAGTCATCTTCTCTTTAAATCCAGAAACCTCAGCTTTATATGACTCTTCTCTCTACGTCAACTAGCCCCATCTTACTAGTAACGACATCATCTTGGTTTTATCAAACGCTTCCTGTACCTGGATTTCCCACAATACACCCACTAGCACTAGGCCCTCTGCAGACATTGCCTGAATTTCTACATTGTTAGCAATTGTTTTAGCCACAATAAATCCTGCACAATATCACCAAAATCATATTATTTTAAACAATTCTAGACATAATATTTTTCTACTTAAAATCTACCTAGCTTCTGATTATTAATAGGATAAAATCCAAAAGCATAACTTAAAGGACATTGAATCTACTCAAACTTACCATATTTCATCATATCTAAGATGCCATTATTCATAAAATAATCCCAATTTCCAATGGTGATGCAAAACACAATCAGTTGTAAGATGTATGCCAATTTCAGAGTTGTTAAAATGGGAAGAAATGTGCACACTAAGATAATCAAAATTCAGTAATTCTTTAACCTTACCTCTCACCATTCTAATATATACAAACTATTTTAATCATAATGCCTTACTGTTCTTTGAATAAGACTCTGCTTGTAAAGTTCTTCTCCTGCTTCCTTTGCCTGGCAAACTCCCATTCATCTTTTTAAAATTCCCTGTATGCTACCTGTCTTGGGAAGTTTTTCCTGATCGACTCCTACCCAAGGGCTTCCACATAAGATATACAAGCTGCCACCAACATCACTCAAGAGTGCTGTTAACAATGTAGAAAATGGCTCCTGGTACTGTATATCAAGGCACTGCATCCCTCCCTCCCAAAGATTTATTCATTCCCTCCTGCTCAGTTCTAAAAGTCCTTTGATGAACTTTTTAGTTGATTTTAGGGGTTGCTTTGAACTTTATCTCAATCAACTGATCTTAACCACCTAGACAACAAAGGGTAAAGATTTTTTTGAAATCTCATTTACATTTGTATTCCCAATGGCTAGCATATGATAATTCCATGGGTTTTCAGTGATTCTGTGATTATAGGTTCTGATCTTTTGTTTCTTTCTTTTTTTGAGACAGGCTCCTGTTCTGTTGCCCAGGCTGGAGGGCAGTGGTGCAATCACAGCTCACTGCAGGCTCAACCTCCCAAGCTCTCCCACCTCAGCCTCCCAATAAGTTGGGACTATAGCCACCATACCCAGTTAATTTTTTTCTTTTTAATAGAGACTGGGTCTCCCTCTGTTGCCCAGGCTCATCTCAAACTCTTGGGCTCAAGCTATACTTCTGCCTCAGCCTCCCTAGGTTCTAGGATTACAGGCATGAGCCAGCATGCCTAGCACAAGATACACTTTTATAAAGACAAAGAAGTTTTGAAAATAAAAAGTTAGCAAAAAGACACACCATGAAAACACTAATCACACTGGGGTGGGGGGAGGCGGGAGGAGGGAGGGATAGCATTAGGAGATATACCTAATGTTAAATGACGAGTTAATGGGTGCAGCACACCAACATGGCACATGTATACATATGTAACAAACCTGCATGTTGTGCACATGTACCTTAAAACTTAAAGTATAATAAAAAAAAGAAAAAAAAAGAAAACACTAATCATAAATTACAGTGGCTATATTAAGACACTATATAGACACTATACAGTGGCTATATTAAGACACAGACAAGGTAAGCTTTAAAATACAGAGTATCACCAGATACAAAGGGATTTCATGAAAATAGGTCAAATCATCAAGAAAAGAAATGCTAAAGGTAACAATACAAAATATGTACACACCAAATAAAATGGCTTCAAAATACTTTTTTAAAAACTTAGAAACAAAAGAAATAGGCAAATACATAATCTTAGTTTAGCACCCTTCTTTCAGTAATTAGTAAAACAGGCAGACACACCAAAAATTAAAGAATCACACTACACAGCATTTATCCCAGAGGAAGAAAAACTTAAGTACACAGAGAAATCTGTACACAAATGTTCCTAACAGATTTATTTGTAAAACACTAGGCCAGCCATGGTGGCTCACACCTGTAATCCCAGCACTTTGGGAGGCTGAGGTAGGAGGATCACTTGAGGCCAGAGCTCAAGACCAGCCTGGGCAACATAGTAAGACCTCATCTCTACAAAAATTAAAATTACTAGCTGGGTGCAGTTGTGCATGTCTCTACTCCTAGTTCCTCAGGAAGCTGAGGTGGGAGAATTCTTTAAGCCCAGGAGGACTGTAGTGTGCAATGATCATGCCAATACACTCTGGCCTGAGTGACAGAGAGAGCAAAACCATATCTGTTTGAAAAAAAAAAAAAATGGGCCAGGTGCAGTGGCTCACGCCTGTAATCCCAGCACTTTGGGAGGCCGAGGCGGGCGGATCACAAGGTCAGGAGTTCGAGACTAGCCTGACCAACATAGTGAAAACTTGCTTCTACTAAAAACAGAAAAATTAGCTGGGTGTGGTAGTGTGCGCCTGTAATCCCAGCTACTCAGGAGGCTGAGGCAGAAAAATCACTTGAACCCGGGAGGCGGAGGTTGTGGTGAGCCAAGATCGCGGCACTGCACTCCAGCCTGGGTGACAGAGCAAGACTCTGTCTCAAAAAAAACAAATAAAAGAAAGAAAAAGAAAAAAAAATGGTAAAAATCTGGAAACATAATAAATGTCCTTCAACAAGTAAATAGGTAAACAAACTATGGTACACCCATAAAAGAGAAACAATAAAAAGGAATGAACTATGACACACACAACAACTTAAACGGATCTCAAAGGCATTGTGCTAAGTGAGAAAAAAGCCGTATCTACGGGTTACCTACTATATGATTCCATTTATATAACACTCTCGAAGTTACAAAATTACAGTGATGGAAATCAGATCAGTAGTTGCCAGGGGTTAGGGTTCAGAGAAAAGCATAACCATAAAGAAATAATATGAAGAAATTTCTTTGTGGTAACAGAATAGTTTAATACCCTGAATGTGGTAATAGCTACATGAATCTGGACATGATAAAACTTTATAGAACTATACACCACCACCTCCTCAATTAAAAACAGTATATACAAAAACCCGTGAAATTCTAATAACGTCTATAGTTAATTTAATACTATTGTATAACACCGAAATCAGCTTCCTGGTTTTGGTAACACACTATAGTTATAAAAGATATATCATTGGGGGAAGTTGAGTGAATGGTGCACAGGAACTTTCTGTACTATTTTTGCAATTTCTGTGAGTTGTATTTCAAAAGAAAAGGGAGGAACAGGATATAAAAACAGATATATTAAAAATGTTTAGGCCAGGTGTGGTGGCTCACACCTGTAGTCTCAGCACTTTGGGAGGCCAAGGCAGGACAATCACTTGAGCCCAAGAGTTCGAGACCAGCCTGGGCGAGACCCTGTCTTTTTAATTGACATAGTGAGACCCTGTCTTTATATTTTAAAATAATTTTTTTTAATGCTTAAAAAACAAATTGGGTGACATCATTGGGAATGGCAGAGTAAGGACCTCCAAAAATCCTCTCTTCCATAAAACCAACAAGAACACTGGCAAAAAAATGTCAAGACTTGGGCCGGGCATAGTGGCTCACACCTGTAATCCCAGCACTTTGGAAGGCCAAGGCGGGCAGATCACAAGGTCAGGAGTTCGAGACCAGCCTGGCCAACCTGGTGAAACCCCGTCGCTACTAAAAATACAAAAATTAGCTGGGCATGGTGGCAGGTGCCTATAATCCCAGATACTCCAGAGGCTGAAGCAGGGGAATCGTTTGAACCTGGGAGGCAGAGGTTGCAGTGAGCCAAAATTACACCATTGCACTTCAGCCTGGGCGACAATGCAAGACTGCATCTCAAAAAAAAAAAAAAAAAGTCAAAAATAGCCTTTTTCAGAACTCTGAATATTAACCAAAAAGTTTGCAACAATCCAAGGAGCATTTATTCAAAAAAAGATGGCTGCATCTCAGTAAGAATAGCAAGCTTTGTGGCATTTTAACATGCCTTATTCCCATGCCCCTCTTCCCAGCTCCAGGCTAGCCCTGAAAAGCAGCAAACCACAATCTGTGGAATCCTGGAGCCTAGCAGCCAGTGGAGGTGACAGAACAGGGCTAGAGTTCCTTCAAAGTCCCATTTTCAGAGTACAGTTATTATTTGAGCTGACTAGCAATTCCCTGAAAAACCCCACTCCCAAGACTTCCTAATATTTAACCTGATTCAGAGCTTGCCCATTGCTAACAGGCTTTTCCCCCAAGGTATTTATTTGTCAAAAACAATCAGCTACAATTGCTTAACATTTCAGCTCCCTGAAGCAGCTGGGGCAAACAAGCTAACCAAAAAACACAAAAGGAAAAGTAGGAGAATGAGATGTCCATAGGGAGTTTTGAAAAGTTCTGAAATTCCTAAGACCCTGGAAGATGAAAACAGTGTGCCCAGGCCTATGGGCATACTCAAGAAAGACCTGAGAAGGCCCTAAGCAATCACCACTGACTGAGCATGAAGCTCGGCAAAACAGGAAGTCAAGGCTATGGATGAACTGAAAGCCTGGTTGAGTGCTGAAAGTGTGCTCCAACAAGCACACAGAGCCTCTCAGCGAAGACTAGAACAGTAACAAGTATTGACAAGAATGTGGAGAAACTGGAATCTTCATACATTGCTGTTGCAAATTATAAAGTGATTCAGCCGCTTTGGAAAATAGTTTGGCAGTTGCTCAAAAAGTAAACATAAAATTACCACATGCCCCAGCAATTCTACCCTTAGGGGAAATAGAAAAATAGAACACCACAAAAACTTGTAGATGAATGTTTATAGCACCATTATTCATAGCAGCCCAAAAGTGAAAATAACCCATATATCTCTCAAGTGATAAATGGATAAATTGGGGCATATCTATACAATGAAATATTATTTCAGTCATAAGAAAGAATGAAATACTGATACACGCTACAACATGTATGAACTTTGAAAACATACTTAGTTAAAAAAAAAAGCCAGCTACAAAAGGCCAAATATTATATGATTCCACTTAGGAAATGTTCAGAATAGGCAAATTTGTAGGGACAAGGTAGATTAGTGGTTGCCAGGGGTTAGAGGTTAGGGAGACATGAAGAGTAACTGCTAACGGGTATGGGTTTTCATTTTGGGGGACAAAAACGTTCTGGAATTAAATAGTGCCGATGGCTGTACAACCTTGTGAATATACTGAAAACTACTGAGCTGTGCAATTTTTAAGTGGTGCATTTTACAGTAGCTGAATTATATCTCAGTTATATAGTAACAAACACATAAAACTATCTGACCTAATTGATAAATTATAGAACACTAAATTCAATAACTGCAGTATACACCGTATTTAATAAAAGATACATAAAATATCTACACTGAAAACCTCAAAATATTGCAGAGCGGAATTAGAGACACAGGTAACATTCACCAAAACAGACCACCACAGGGTAGGCCTTAAAACTAATCTCAGTAGCTATCAAAGGATTAAAATGATAAACAACTTATCATTTACAGATATATGGTACAGATATGTACACAATATGTCAACAACGCATTCCCTGAACACCATGTAAAATTGAAAATAGCTAAAAAATCCCCAAATATTAAGAAACAATAAACTTCTAAATGACCTGTGGACCAGAAAAATCACAATGGAAATAGAAATTTGAATTGAACACATCGAAATTGTATGCTGCAGCTAAAGGAGTACTTAGAAGAAAATGTTAATTATATAAGAAATGTACATTAGAATGACTACTAGGGGTTAGCAAAGAAAAAATAATAATAATGAAAGAAATGTGGCTGGGAGCGGTGGCACTTTGGGGGGCCAAGGTGGGCGGATCACGAGGTCAGGAGTTAGAGACCAGCCTGGCCAACATGGTAAAACCCCGTCTCTACTAAAAATACAAAAATCAGCCTGGCGTGGTGGTGCACGCCTATAGTCCCAGCTACTCGGGAGCCTGAGGCAGAAGAATCGCTTGAACCTGGGAGGCGAAGGTTGCAGTAAACGAAGATCGTACCACTGCACTCCAGCCTGGGCAACAGAGCAAGACTCCGTCTCTGAATGAATGTATGAATGAATGAATGAAATGAAATGCACATTAGAAAACAAGAAAGGTTTAAAAACAATAATCTAAACTTCTAACTCAAAAAAGGTAGAAAAAAGAGAGCAAATCAAATCCACAAGAGGAGAGCAAGGTGGCCGGGCGCAGTGGCTCATGCCCCTAATACCAGCACTTTGAGAGGCCGAGGCAGGCAGGTCACGAGGTCAGGAGATGGAGACCATCCTGGCTAACACGGTGAAACCCCGTCTCTGCTAAAAACACACAAAAAAAATTAGCCGGGTGTGGTGGCGGGTGCCGGTAGTCCCTGCTACTCGGGAGGCTGAGGCAGGAGAATGGTGTGAACCCGGGAGGCGGAGCTTGCAGTGAGCCAAGATCGCGCCACTGCACTCCAGCCTGGGTGACAAAGCAAGACCCCGTCTCAAAAAAAAAAAAAAAAAAAAAAATTAAAAATACATGTCCAAAATAGAAATTCAACAAAACAAAATCTGGGTTTTTGAAAAGATTAATTGCTAAACCCCTAGCAAAACTGATCCAAAAATTCAAAAGAAGTACCAACATCAAGAATGCAAATGGAGACATACAGCAGTTCATACAGGCAATAACAGAATATTAGGAAATTTTATGAACTTTATAACAACTCAACAATTGAGAATAAATTCATTTAAAAATTCAACTTCTTAAAACTGCCACAGGAAAAAGTGAAGAACCTGAATGCTTATATATCAGCTAAAGTAATTAAACCTGTAAAAGTAATTACACTAATTTAAAACCTTCTGCTTTTTCCCACAAAAACACTCCAGGCCCACACGGCTGCACTGATTAATTCTATCAAAATTTAAAGTAACAATACCAATCTTATAAAGCTACAATAATTAAGACAGTGTGGCATTGACATAAGAAGATACAAATAAATCAACAGAATAGAACAAATCCAAGAAAAGACCCACAGCTATCTAATCAATTAATTGAAAATCCTTTTGAGAAACCCTTACATGATAGCAAAAGAGTAGTTTAAGATAGATCATAGGCCTAAATACAAAAGACAAAAACATAAAGCTTCTAGAAAAAAACCATGAGAGAATAGTTTCACAAGCCTAGCAGAGAGTAAGGAAAGACTTCTTAGAACAGAAAAGGTAATACCATAAAATAAAATAAATCAACAAATTCAACTTGCTCAAAACTTAAAAGTTCTGCTCTCAAAAGGCATTAAGAAAATGCAACAACATAGCTCAGACCAGGAGAAAATATTTAGAGAGAGAGAGAGAAAGAGTGTGTGTGTGTGTGTATGTGCGTGTAAAATCTGAGAAACCTGGCAAATAACCTGCATTCAGATATAAAGAGAACTCCTACAAATCAGCAACAAAAAGACAACCCAATAAAATAGGGTTGCACATAAAAGTTTAATAAAAACTTGTACATAAATGTTTATAGCACCATTGTTCATAATAGCCCAAAAGTGAAAATAATCCAAATATCTATCAAGTGATAAATGGATAAATTGTGGCATATCTATACAATGAAATATTATTCAGTGATAATATTTCAGAAATGAATTGACACTTCAAAATAAAAGATAAGCAAATGGCCAATAATCACATATTAGCCATCAAGGAAATATAAACAAAAACCATGATGAAATACAAGTACACACTCAGGAGAATGCCTAAATTTTAAAATGCCAAACATTGTGAAGAATGTGGAAAACTGAACTCTCATAAAAAAAAAACTGGTGGGAATGTAAAAAGTGTTAAATTTTCCATTTTGGAAAAGTTTAGTGGTTTCTAAAGTTAAACATAAATCTACCCTAGTACACAGCAATTTCACTCCTAGATATTTACCCAAGTCCACATAAAGATATATACAAAAATGTTCATAGCAACTTTACTCATAGTAACCAAAAACTGGAAATAACCCAAAGCCCATCAATAGAAGACTTGTTGCTACATACATATAATGGAATATTACTTCACAATAAAAGGGAAAAACTACTGATACACACACCAAAATGGGTGAATCTAAAAAATATTATATTGAACAAAAGTAATCAGACACAAAATACTCCTTGCTGTATGATTCCATTTATGTGAAGTTCTAGAACAGGCAGAACTAACATCTATAGTAAAAGAAGTCCAAAAGTGGTTGCCTGGGTGAGAAGGGGGACAGAATTAATTAAAAAGAGGCTGGATCAGGCACAGTGGCTCACACCTGTAATCCCAGCACTTTGGAAGGCCGAGGTGGGTGGATCACTTGGGCTCAGGAGTTCAAGACCACCCTGGGCAACATAGCAAGACCCCACCCCCACCCCACTCCCCCGGCATTGTTACAAAAAATACAAAAAAAATAGCCAGGCGTGGTGGTGCACACCTGTAGCCCCAGCTACTTGGGGGACTGAGGCAAGTAGATGGCTTGGGCTGGGGAGGTCAAGGTTGCAGTGAGACGTGTTTGCCCCATTGCACTCAAGCCCGGGCGACAAAGTAAGACCCTGTGGAAAGGAAAGGAGAAGGGAAAGGGGAGAAGGGAGAAGGGAAAGGGGAAAGGCGGAAGGGGAAGGGAAAGGAGGGGAAGGGAAAGGAAGGGAAGGGAAGGGAAGGGAAGGAAAGGGAAGGCTGATTTGACTTTAGGTAAATTATACTGAGAGAGCCAGGCACAGTGGCTAACGCCTGTAATCCCAGCACTTTGGGAGGCCGAGGTAGGCAGATCACTTGAGGTCAGGAGTTCCAGAGCAGCCTGGCCGACATGGTGAAACTCCATCTCTACAAAAATATACAAAAATTAGCCTGGCACGGTGGGGCGCACCTGTAATCCCAGCTACTCAGGGGGCTGAGGCAGAAGAATCCCTTGACCCCAGGAGAGGTAGGTTGCAGTGAGCCGAGATCGGGCAGCTGCACTCCAGCCTGGGCAACAGAGGGAGGATCTGTTTCTTTTTTTTTTTTTTTTTTTTTTTCTTTTTGAGACGGAGTCTCGCTTTGTCGCCCAGGCTGCACTGCACTGGCACGATCTCGGCTCACTTGCAAGCTCCGCCTCCCGGGTTCACGGCATTCTCCTGCCTCAGCCTCCCGAGTAGCTGGGACTACAGGCGCCCGCTACCACGCCTGGCTAATTTTTTTTTTGTATTTTTAGTAGAGACGGGGTTTCACTGTGTTAGCCAGGATAGTCTCGATCTCCTGACCTCGTGATCTACCCGCCTCGGCCTCCCAAAGTGCTGGGATTACAGGCGTGAGCCACCGCGCCCGGCCGACGACTCTGCTTCAAAAAAAAAAAAAAATTATATTGTTGGCATTTTTTTTTAAAGTGAACAGACTAGGGAAATGTGTTTCTTGGTTACGTAAAGCCAATCCTTCCATATGTATTCTAGATTCTATCCTTCTTTCCTACTCAACATTGATTTCTTCCTTCTGTCAAGCATCATCTATTTTTTCTGCTTTCTATTGGACCACTCTTTTCAGCACACAAATGTGAAAATTTCAAAACCTCCCCGCAGAAAACCTTAGCCCAGCATGTACTTCCAACTACCATTATTTCCCTGCTCTCCTTTACAGCAAAACACTACCAGTGCTCTATCAAATAGTAAGTTCCCCAAACTAGGTAAAATTATTCATTTTAAATTCAATTGCAGAAAGGCACATGTGTGACATGACTAACACTTATATAACAATTTTCAACTTAAAATGCATTTTTTGGTATGTCACCTCTTTAATATCTTCAAAACACCCATGTAGGATAGGTATCGCTATTATCTCTTTTTAACGGATGAGGAAACAAGAGGTTCCTCAAGGTTATGTAACCTCCCAAAAGTAAGATAACAAATAATCCCTAATTTCAAATCATGTGCATTACTATTTAATATACATTTGTACACTCAGAACTCTCCATACAATAAAAATGTCTGACCAATGAAAAACATCCAAATGTACCCAAAATAGGCCAAAATTCCATTATCTTATGGTCCTAGTTCAAATAACATTTCAACAAACAAAACCTAGTACAACAAAATGATTGTAATGCATATGTAGGTGACCAGATAATTTATTATCCAAATGGGACACTTTTGAGAGTAAATGAGACACATTTATGTGTCTATTAATAATTGTGTCAGGATAGCCGGGGACAATGGCTCATGCCTATAATCCCAGCACTTTAGGTGGCTGAGGCGGGAGGATCACTTGACCAAGAGTTTGAGGCCAGGAGGTTCAAGACCAGCCTGGGCAACATGGCAAGACCCCATCTTTACCCACCCCCCTGACACACACACACACACACACACACACACACACACACACACACAAAATATAGCCAGGCATGGTGGTGTGTGTTTATAGTCCCAGCCTCTCTGGAGGGCTGAGGTGGGAGGATCACTTGAGCCCAGGATTTCAAGGTTACAGTGAGCCATGATTGCACTACTGCACTCCAGCTGGGCAGCAGAGCAAGACCCTGTGTCTACAAAAGAAAAAATAATAATAAATAATAATGTCAGGATAACAGGCATGATCCAGAATTGTCCTGGGCAAACTGGAACATATGGTCATCCTGTTCATAACCTAGCTTTGCCATTTAAAAAATAAAAATCTCTGCCGGGCACAGTGGCTCACACCTGTAGTCCCAGCATTTTGGGAGGCCAAGGTGGGTGGATCACCTGAGGTCAGGAGTTCAAGACCAGCCTTGCCAACATTGTGAAACCCCGTCTCTACTAAAAATACAAAAATTGGCAGGGCGTGGTGGTGGGCACCTGTAATCCCAGCTACTCGGGAGGCTGAGGCAGGGAGAATTGCTTGAATCCGGGAGGCGGAGGTTGCGGTGAGCTGAGATTGTGCCACTGCACTCCAGCCTGGGTGACAGAGCGAGACTCTGTCTCGAATAAAATAAAAATAAAATAAAATAATCTCAGACCAGAATGCCAGCTAAAAAAGTAAAAAGTAAAAAATAAAAATGTTTATTTATGTTTTATCACAGTATTTTATTTTATTAGTAGTATATTTCATGGCCAGGCGTGGTGGCTTGTGCCTATAATCCCAGCACTTTGGGAGGCCGAGGTGGGTGGGTAAGCTGAGGCTGGGTTCGAGACCAGCCTGACCAACATGGAGAAACCCCATCTCTACTAAAAATGCAAAATCAGCCAGGTGTGGTGGCACACGCTTGTAATCCCAGCTACTAGGGAGGCTGTGTCAGGTGAATTGCTTGAACCTGGGAAGTGGAGGTTGCGGTGAGCCAAGATGGCGCCACTGCACTCCAGCCTGGGCAGCAAGAGCAAAACTCCATCTCAAAAAAAAAAAAATAGTATATTTCATTACAGGATCAAGGGATCCTCCTGACTCAGCTTCTGAAGTAGCTGGGACTACAGGCACAATACCATCATACCCTGCAAATTTTCGTATTTTTTGTAGAGACGGGGTTTTATCATATTGCCCAGGCTGGCCTTGAACTCCTGGCCTCAAAGTGATCCTCCCACCTCGGCCTCCCGGAGTGCTGAGATTATAGGCATGTGCCACCGTGCCCAGCAACAGTATTTTTTAAATAACAATTTAAAACCAAGGATGTGGCTGGGCACAGCGGCTCATGCCTGTAATCCCAGCATTTTGGGAGGCCCAGCACTTTGTGAGGTCAAAGCAGGTGGATCACTTGAGCTCAGGAGTTCAAAGCCAGCCTGGACAATATGGTTAAACCCCATCTCTACAAAAAATACAAAGGTGGGACTACAGGACTACAGGTGGGACTGTAGGGACTACAAGTGGGACTACTCCCAGCTGCTCAGGAGGCTGAGGTGGTAGGATCACTTAAGCCCAGAGGTTGACGTTGCAGTGAACTGTGTTCATGCCACCACACTCCAGCAAGGGCAACAGGGCAAGACCGTGCCTCAAAAAATAAAAATAATAAAATAAAACCAAGGAGGTATGAAGAGGTAGGGAGACGTGACTGTTAACCAATATTGCAGGAAAGGGTTAACATTCAAACAGTCTAGAAAATCACTTTGGTTCAAGTTTTATCTTTGACAGTTCTGCTTAACGTAGCAATATTGTGGCTGGAAAGATTTGGAGTTAGAAAACCTTGTACGCTTTTTTCAAACAAAGGTGACCTATTCATAAATAGGAGCATTAACAGCTGACAACGTTGCACATAAAAGATTCCTGGCCGGCACGGTAGCTCATGCCTGTGAGCACTTTGGGAGGCCAAGGCAGGAGAATCACCTGAGGTCAGAAGTTCGAGGCCAGCCTGACCAATACGATGAAACCCCATCTCTACTAAAAATACAAAAATTAGCCGGGCATGGTGGCATGTGCCTGTAATTCCAGCTACTCAGGAGGCTGAGAGAGGATAATTGCTTGAACCCGGGAGGCGGAGGTTGCAGTGAGCAGATATTGTGCCATTGCACTCCAGCCTGGGCAATAAGAGTATAACTGTGTCTCAAAAATAAATAAATAAATAAATAAATAAATAAATAAAAAGATTTCTGTTTTACTTCTTCAAAATATTCCATAAATGAAACAATTTTAGTTTAAAAGCTCACTTACCTCTCTAAAAACATCCCACAGCATAAAAAAAATTGTGCAGTAATGTGAATTTACAATTCGTATTTTAAAAACACAGGTAAAAATGAGTTTGAAAACTTTAAGGCTCTAAAGAAACCAACTCAACAAAGACAGTTTCAATCTTAGCCAGATTTTAGTCTCCATATGAATGTTCTGAGTGGCTTGGCAGATTCTATTGGACATACCTCAAAAAGTTTCGAGTGTTAGAAGGAAAATACCCCACGACCCCACCCACTGCCCACATAAATTTTCCAATGTAGGCTTAACCCACAAAAGTGGGTTCCAGAATCATCATGTAGGGCACAGTGATGTCCAGAGTCCCAGAATAGTTTTAGACCAAACCTGACCTATCTGGGCAGACCAAAGAATAGGGCTCATTAGCTCTACAACAAATATTCCCCAACTCCATTTCCTAGTCTTCCCTGGCGCAAACCCAAGCTGTAAGCGATGCCCAAAACCAGACTAGACACTGATGTTAGGAAAACAAGGCAATATTCAGAGGGGAATTTTGAAATAGTGTTGCTCAGTGAAAAATACATAAATTAGGAGTCAGAAGGTCTAAATTCTATCTTAGGCTCTACCACTAGGTCTAAGTAGGACATTTCACTTTACTTTGGACACAAGATCCAGTATAGAAAAGGAAAAAAAGTAAAATGCTAAGATCCTCTTTGAATCCTGACATTCTGCATCTTCCTCTGTCTCCTGAACTTAACTCAGGCGCCAACTTAACTATTGGGCCAATTTAAAATGACAAAAGCATCAATTTATCAAATATGTTCTATCATTTCCCAAATGAAGACCAGTAGGAATCTGATATACATAACAAAGGATATAAGTTGTTCCCCAAGGATATCTGGTTTCAGAGGCTGTAAATTTAGACTCTTAATCAGTAATTAAGTAGAATAGAATACAAATGATGAAATACTAACTCCAGCCAAATTCAAAGATCTTAAGTTAAAAAAAAAGAAAAGTTTTCATTTAAAATTATTATTTAGGAATTCCTAAAGAGACCCCCCCCAAAAAAAAATCATTATTTAGGAATTCCTCAGAGTTGAATGCTATACTAGAAAGGGAACTGAACAAGGTATCTAGAGATCTCATATCTAGTTCAAGATATGTAACTGTGTGAACTTGAACATGTCACACTATCTCTGGGCTTTAATTCAACTGTAAAATGAGAAAATTAGATAGGTAAATTTGTTTCCTGTCTAAAAATTTAAGATTTAAACATTTTTTTCCTCAGATGACACCATTCTCTAGAGGGCTCAAAGTGCTTTTATTCTATTTTTAAAATGCTTTAAAATTTAAAAGCACTTTTACACTTATCCAACAACACTGGTAGGATGCATATTAGTATCTCTGCTACTGAGTTATTTCATTAAACAAATGTCCAGAATAGAAAAGAGAAATGGGGCTGGGGGCGGTGGCTCACGCCTGTAATCCCAGCACTTTGGGAGGCCGAAGTGGGGGGATCACGACGTCAGGAATTCAAGACTAGCATGGCCAGCCGGGCACGGTTGCTCACGCCTGTAATCCCAGTACTTTGGGAGGCTGAGGCGGGCAGATCATGAGGTCAGGAGATCGAGACCATCCTGGCTAACACGGTGAAACCCCGTCTCTACTAAAAATACAAAAAATTAGCTGGGCGTGGTGGCGGGCGCCTGTAGTCCCAGCTACTAGAGAGGCTGAGGCAGGAGAATGGCATGAACCCAGGAGGCGGAGCTTCAAGTGAGCCGGATCGCACCACTGCACTCCAGCCTGGGTGACAGAGCGAGACTCCGTCTCAAAAAAAAAAAAAAAAAAAAAGACTAGCCTGGCCAACATGATGAAACTCCGTCTCTACCAAAAATAGAAAAAAATTAGCTGGGCGTGAGGCAGGCGTCTGTAAACCCAGCTACTCGGGAGGCTGAGGCAGGAGAATGGCTTCAACCCAGGAGGTGGAGGTTGCAATGAGCCGAGATCGCGCCACTGCACTCCAGCCTGGGCGACAGAGCAAGACACTGTCTCAAAATAATAATTAATAATAACAATAATAATAATAATAATAATAATAAAAAGAAAAGAGAAATGGAAGCTCAGTAACTCAGAAAAGGCCCTCAGTGGGGCCCAAGATATTCTGACCATTGGTCCTCATTGATTTCCAATCCTGTATTCTTTCATAGCCATTGCTATGAAAAGAGTCACATACTACTATATTTAGCAACAATTAAGGGTGGTATAAAACAAGAACATTGGACACAAAGTCAGAGTTGGATATCTTGTAATCATTCAGCTTATCAGTAAAAGGGGGTCAATAATACCTACCTTTTAGGCTACTGTTAGACTGAGCACAAAATGGGAATGTTAACAGAAAGGGGTCCCGATCTAGACCCCAAGAGGGTTCTTAGACATCATGCAAGAAAGAATTCAAGGCAAGTCCATAAAGTGAAAGCAAGTTTATTAGAGAAATAAAGAAACAAAAGGATGACGATTCCAAAGACAGAGCACGGGTATGGGCTGCTCAACTAAGTATCTTGTTATTTCTTGATTGTATGCTAAACAAGGGGTGGATTAATCATGAGTTTTCCAGGAAAGGAAGAAATCAGTTCTGATATCTCAGAACTGAAGGTCTCTCACCTTTTTAGACTATATAGGGTAAGGTCTGAACGTTGCCATGGCATTTGTAAACTGTCAATGGCACTGGTGGGAGTGTATTTTAGCATGCTAATACATTATAATTAGTGTATAATAAGCAGTGAGGATGACCAGAAGTCACTCTCATCACCATCTTGGTTTTGGTGAGTTTTTGCTGGCTTCTTTACTGCATCCTGTTGTAGGGTCTTTGTGACCTGTATCTTCTGACTATCTCCTATCTCATCCTGTGACTAAGAATGCCTAACCTCCTAGGAATGCACCCTGGTAGGTCTCAGCCTTATTTTACCCAGACCCTATTCAAGATGGAGTCGCTCTGGCTCAAATGCCTCTGATAGGAACATGTCTGACATCATTATTGCAAAAACTAAAGATATGACATAATTGTATTAAATGTAGTGTTCACCAGGAAATGGCTGGTATCTGTAGGATGACCAACTCATTCAAAACTATCACCATACAGAGTCACTTCACTTTCAATGGCCTCCCTGCACTTCCCAACACCCAGTAGTTGTGTTCTCTTGGCTAACCCTGCCTACTTCTAAACCCCAGTTATCAAGTTCGTTGCAGGATAAGAAGAAAGCAAAAGAGTTACTATAGTTGTCTCTCATGATACTTTACAATTTCTGTCCACAGAAACAGCTTTTTCAGGAAGTTTAAATAGTATATTGTTTCTACAAAGGCACCATGCAGAGCACTAAATCATGGAAATCTGGATTCAATTCCTAATTTTGCCGCTGATTTTGCACAAGGCACTCAACTTTTGTCTCAGTTTCCTCAGGTGTAAAATGTAATAGCTGGTTTAAATAACATCTAAAAGAGCTTTCTCGAGCCATGTTACCATAGTTCAAGATTATGTAAAATACAGACTGACATCTGAAGAAACAAGCATAAATAAATTTTATTATCAGTTATCCATCCTTTCAAAACATGTCAAGTAAGGCTGGTGTCAACCTTTACATCAGTCTTTTAAAAAAAACTATCAACCCCTACAGTAAAAGATACATCCTGCTGTCACTTATTAAACAGCAGAAGCTTTAGATTTGGATGTTTCTCCAATGAGGCACGGTCAGGAAGATGATAGTCAATTAAAACTGAATCCACATAACAACTGATTCTTAACACAGAAAGTATTTGACCCCTACACCTAATTAGTAGCATTCTGTGATAATAAGAGTGGGAATGGGAAGAAGGGGAATTAACTCTGGGTATAATAGCCTAATTCTAATTCATCCTAAAATACTGTTAGCTTTAAAAGCTAGATTTATATGCCCCAATATAATTTACTGTGAAATCCTTCCATGTGGGTCTCCATGTTTCAGCACCTGAATCTCCTTCTGCATAATGAGATAAGTACTTTGTCTATGTTAGTACAGAATGAAGCAATTTAGACCAGTAGCGGTGGCTCACTCCTGTAATCCCAACACTTTGGGAGGCTAAGGCAGGTGGATCACTTGAGGTCAGGAGTTCGAGACCAGCCTGGCCAATATGGTGAAACCCCCATCTCTACTAAAACTACAAAATTAGCTGGGTGTGGTGGCTGGCGCCTATAATTCCAGCTACTTGGATGGCTGAGGCAGGAGAATCGTTTGAACCCGGGAGGCGGAGATTGCAGTGAGCAGAGAGCGCGCCATTGCACTCCAGCCTGGGCAACAAGAGCGAAACTCTGTCTCAAAAAAAAAAAAATATATATATATATATATATATAATTATGCAATTTAAGAGACAGACTATGTCCGAGTTCAGCACAGTTAGATCTTACTGAGGGTTAGGTTCCCAAGCTGTCTCTTAAACACAATGTAGTAAAAATTGGCATTGAGAAGCCCTCAAATCACCAGGACGGGTGGAGCCTGGAAAGCTCATAGACCAAAAATGAGCTTATTTTATTTCTCTTCACATTTTTGTGCTGGGGCCTCCCTTTCTCTGGGACAACAAAGCCCAAGTTCTGCTTTTAAAAAGGCCAGTCAGAACACTGGGTATATAAGGCAATTTATCTCTTTTTATAAATAGTTGAACTAGCGTAAATTAAACATTCAGTCAAGGCTACTGGGAGAAAGTGGACAAGCCCATTATCCTGTCCTCATTAACAAAAAAAGAACCTTCCAAACTGGAAGAGCAATTGGGGGAAAGTCTCCAGTTTCATGGATTTCGCTACATGCCCAGTATCTCTCAACTCATTTCACTTGTGACTCTGAGATAAAAGGAGTAAAGAAACAAGATGGTACCTTCGGGAACCAGGGTCCTAATTCCAGTCATGAGCAAACATTTTAGAGACACACAATTTCACAACTTGAGGGCAATATACCTGCATCAGAGAAGGGCCAACTTTGCAGGTCTGCTCCCGGCCAACAATGAAGTTCTGTCAGAGGGCATGACACGCAGGCATGACACACACTGTGCACGCCACGCTCCCTCCGGCCCTGGGCCGCCCCCGGGGGCGCGGGTGGGGCACATTTTTCATGGGAAATCCACTACACACCCAAGAACGCTTGCAACCCTGGAATTTGGGCGAGGGTCACCTCGACCAAGCAGCGACACACAGAACTCCGCAATGTGCCACAGACCCGAAAACTTCTGAGGAAAGCAGAAATGCCCAAATGAAAAGTGCGGAGGGAACCCCCAACACGAGGGGGACCAGAGGCGGAGGCAGGCTCCAGACCACCCGCGAGAAGGAGCGACAGTGCTCACGCGCTCGGGAGGCTAACGCCCAGCTCGGAGCAGTCAAGGCAGCCGCCCGCTCGTTACCTGACTGACGTCATGGCTTCGCCCTCCTGCCCAGCGCCACGGCGCCCGCGTCCGATGCTCTACGTCCGCTCGGGCAGCAGCAGGTACCACAGCAACTGCTTCCCGGCTCAGGCACTCAGCGACTGGGAGCGCGTCCTCACACACCCCGCGCGCGGGCGGCCCCTGGCTAGCCGGCCCGGCGTGCTGATTGGAGGGAAGGCGGGCGCTCCGCCCCGTGCGAAGGGCTGGAGATCGTCCCCAGACGCCGTGGGCCACCGCGTGTCTCGTGCCAGCTCACTGGCGCGCGGGCTAGCGAGATGACTAGCGGGCGCGGTGGCCATCTTGAGTCCTAGTAACAGCGTCCCGTCACCCCGCAGTTTACAGGGCGAGAGATTGGGTGCCCGCCCCAAAAATGGCCGCGCCTCTGGCAACCGGTTTAGCAGTCACGTGGCCACTGTCTACCTCGGCAAGCTCAGCTCCCTGTAACAGCACTTAGGAAAGAGGCGCTGTCAGGGCAGGTCTTCGGGAGTGGGATTTAACAGCCTGCAAAATCCATCTGCAAAGGTGGGGGGAAAAAAAGCAACAGCCTGGGAAGCCTCAGCCTAGGAAAATATAAAATGCCTGGCAACGGCAGCACGACGTACTAATTCCAGTCCGCAGCCTTTGAGAGTCAATTGCTGGATCTGATGGTCCCAAACGTTCCTGAACTTCAGAAACACTTAGAGCAGCTTATTTAATATGGAAAGTGTCACTTTATGTATCCGAATCTAGAAAGGTAGGCCTGGACATCGGTATTTTTAGCAAGTTACCAGGTGAATCAGGTACAGACATAAAATTTTACAACCTCTGGGCCCCACTCAAGGCTATCCTATTTGACACAATTACCTCACTTTCCAAAGAAGCATGCGGGCTATAAAAAAAAAAGAATCTAAGACCATAGAGGGGAAAAGTGGATGGCACCCTAACTCCTGGCTCTAATCTTACAGTTTAATGCAGTTGAAGAGTTAAGAAATTGTGAACCAATAAAAGGAAAATTAACTCCAACTATGAAAAGGGGGGAATCAGTAAATGCTTTATGATCCAAATTGCTTTTATTCCTTTATTCTCTGTGCAATAATTTTTTTAATTTTCATTTTTTTATTTTTGTAGAGACAGGGTCTCACTATGTTGCCCAGGCTGGTCTTGAACTCCTAGCCTCAAGCAACCCTCCCACCTTGGCCTCCCAAAGCACTGGGAATATAGGTGTGAACGACTGGGCCCTGTTCTACAATGTTATTAATAGACTACAATATCCTGTGGCATTAACTTACTGACCATCTAGGATGGTGATCAATTTCATATGTCTGAAATCAGTTATATCAGAAGCAACCAATACCATCCGATATTGAAATGTGGCTGATGGGACTGAAGAACTTAATTTTTAATTTATTTAATTTTAATTCATTTAAATTTTATAACTGAAGCAATATATTTTTCCACTAAACACAATTGTATTGTTTTAGTTGGACTACATTTCACTTTTTTTTTTTTTTTGAGCTGGAGTCTTGTTCTGTCGCCCAGGTTGGAGTGCAGTGGTGCGATCTCCAACCTCTGCCTCCTGGGTTCAAGCGATTCTTGTGCCTCAGGCTCCCGAGTAGCTGGGACTACAGGCATGCGCCACCGTACCTGGCTAAATTTTTTTGTATTTTTGGTAGAAACGGAGTTTCACCATGTTGGCCAGGCTGGTCTCAAACTCCTGGCCTCAAGCGATCTGCCCGCCTCAGCCTTCCAGGCGTGAGCCAACACTCCTGGCCTCTTTTTTACCTTTTTTAATGTGGCTACTAGAAAATTTAAAATTACAGGAATCTTGCATTATATTTCTACAGAACAGTGCTGCTCTAGTCTAAGTTAGCTTTACCTATCACTGTCCCTGTGATAGAATAATTAAGTTCACAAAATGAAATTAGTAAGGAAGCCAGTTTATACAAATCTGTTTTCTTGCTAGCCATAAAACACATCAAATATTCCAGAAGATTTCAAGTTTCTTTAGAAAATGCTATTTTTAGCACTGTTCTCTTTAACCTGGGAAATGCCTATCCAGAATGAAGCCATGGTCTATAAAACTGATGTGTTCAGTCCATGAGTAAAAGCTGTTAAAACACTGAGCTATACTTGGCGTGGTTAAGACTTTGACCGAAGGTCCACAAGCAGAATTAGTCAATTGTTCCTCTGGATTAAACAGGATCTGAAGCAAAGCAGCAGCTGGATTAGCAATTCACAGTGGTGGAGACACTGGCTAGAGTTACCCACCTTCTCTTGTGGAAAATGTTGATAGATAATCCACATTTCACACCATCAGTGCTTTTCAAACTTTAACATGCATACAAATCTCGTGGATCTTGTTAAAATGCAGGTTTGGCACTGCAGGTATCAGTGACCAAAATTTTGCATTTCTTTATGTTCCCAGGTCTCACTAATTGCTTCTGGTCTGTGGGCCAGGCTGAGTAGCAAGCCTGTAAAGGTAGCAAAAGGTATCTGGTTTGCAACTTCTGCTTGACTTCCTATTACCTGTATGACTTTAAGCTGGTTCTTTTTTTTTTTTTTTTTTTTTTTTTGAGATGGAGTCTCAGTCTATCACCCAGGCTGGAGTGCAGTAGCATGATCTCGGTTCACTGCAACCTCCGCCCCCATCCCCGGGGTTCAAGCAATTCTCCCACCTCAGCCTCCCGAGTAGCTGGGACTAAAGGCACGCACCACCATGCCTAGCTAATTTTTTTTTCGTGTTTTTAGTAGAGACAAGGTTTCACCGTGTTGGCCAGGCTGGGCTTGAACTCCTGACCTCAAGTGATCCGCCCACCTCAGCCTCCCAAAATGCTGGGAATACAGGCATGAGCCACCACACCCAGCCTTTAAACTGGTTCTTAAACTGTCTGTCCCTCGGTTTACCCATTATATGCTGTTCAGGGCACTGTGAAGATTAAAATTTAATTAACTATAGTAAAGAGTCTAATAGAATCCTTGGCACATGGCATAATTATTACTTTGTTATTATCATAATAGTTAAACTTACATCTCTGGAGGCATGATCCCAAAGCTAACATGAACTTGGCCCTCTGAACAATCAAATGCACTTTTGCTCATGCTTAACATACTTTGGTAACACCTACCTTTGATTTGTAACATTAAAATTTTCAAATTAAAGCCAGGCACAGTGGCTCACGCCTGTAATCCCAGCACTTTGGGAGGCTGAGGCAGGAGGACCACAAGGTCAGGAGTTCGAGACCAGCCTGGCCAATATGGTGAAACCCCATCTTTACTAAAAATACAAGAATTAGTTGGGCGCGGTGGCACACACCTATAGTCCCAGCTACTTGGGAGGCTGAGGCAGGAGAATCACTTGAACCTGGGAGGCAGAGGTTGCAGTGAGCTGAGATTGCTCCACTGCACTCCAGCCTGGGCAACAAGAGCAAGACTCCATCTCAAAAGAAAAAAAAAAAGAAAGAAAAAGAAAAAAAATTTTCAATTTGAAAAAACCTAGCCGGGCGCAGTGGCTCACACCTGTAATCCCAGCACTTTGGGAGGCCAAGGCGGGTGGATCACGAGGTCAGGAGATCGAGACCATCCTGGCTAACACAGTGAAACCCCATCTCTACTAAAAATTAAAAAAAAAATTAGCCGGGCGTGGTGGCGGGTGCCTGTAGTCCCAGCCACTTGGGAGGCTGAGGCAGGAGAATGGTGTGAACCCAAGGTGGAGCTTGCAGTGAGCAGAGATCATGCCACTGCACTCCAGCCTAGGTGACAGAGCAAGACTCCATCTCAAAAAAAAAGAAAAAAAAAAAACTAATTTTGATACCAAAACAGGTAGTCTTAAAACTTTATTTTTTAACAAATATACTAAATTCAGTATAATTAAGGGAAGATATGGGTCTGCAATATTAAAATAGTTAATAAAATTGAAGCCACACCAAAGATATTTTTTAACTCATTTTTGATATTTGCATCTAACCGTTTTTTTTTTTTTTTTGACATGGAGTCCCACTCTGTCACCAAGCTGGAGGGCAGTGGTGCACTCTTGGCTCACTGCAACCTCTGCCTCCCGGGTTCAAGCAATCCCCTAGGCGTGCGCCACCAGGCCTGGCAAATTTTTTGTATTTTAGTAGAGATGGGGTTTCACCATGTTGGCCAGGATGGTCTTGATATCCTGACCTCGTGATCCGCTTTTTTTTTTTTTTTTTTTTTGAGATGGAGTTTCACTCTTGTTGCCCAGGCTGGGGTGCAATGGCGCGATCTCGGCTCACTGCAACCTCTGCCTCCCAGGTTCAAGTAATTCTCCTGCCTCAACCTCCCTAGCAGCTGGGATTATAGGCATGTGCCACCATACCCGGCTGATTTTGTATTTTTAATAAGAGATGGGGTTTCTCCATGTTGGTCAGGCTGGTCTCAAACTCCCAACCTCAGGTGATCCGCCCACCTCGGCCTCCCAAAATGCTGGGATT
Organism: Homo sapiens; assembly: GCF_000001405.40. Taxonomy (NCBI): domain Eukaryota; kingdom Metazoa; phylum Chordata; class Mammalia; order Primates; family Hominidae; genus Homo; species Homo sapiens. Next base: position 74,172,432 of record NC_000010.11, on the reverse strand, counting down.
ACAGGTGAGCCACCGCGCCCAGCCAATCAGCTGTCTAGCCAGGTGCAATGGCTCACACCTGTAATCCCAGCACTGAGGGAGACCAAGGCAGGAAGACCACTTGAGCCTAGGGGTTCAAAACCAGCTTGGGCAACATAGGGAGACCACACACCTGTAGTCCGAGCTACCTGGGAGGCTCAGATGGAAGGATGGCTTGAGCCCAAGAGTTCAAGGCTACAGCAAGCTGTGTTTGCGCCGCTGCAATCTAGCCTGAGAGATAGAACAAGACCCTGTCTTAAAAAAAAAAAAAAAAAAAGAAAATCCATGTACTGTAGGAAATGAAAAAAAAGTTTTTTATTAATGGTCAAAAAAATTTTCAAAAAGTTTATTCTCTCAAAATTTAAGTACCAGTCGTGTCAGCAGTTACAAACACAAAAATATTATTTCAAGAAAGAGGACTCATGTGATCTTTCAGAGTCAATAATGTAGCGACAAAAGTAAAGATATATTTTCCCAGGTAAAGGCAGAAGTTCTGTTATTCACAGCAACTTCCCTTCCCCAGCCTTTCATGCTCTATTTCTAATCTTTCCATTCTACTCTTTTTCTAAATACACACACACACACACACACACACACACACACAGAGAGACAGAGAGAGACAGAAAGAGAGTGAGCGCTGAGAGAGAGAGTACTGAGTAACTACTACTTTTGATCAATTTTCTAAACAATTTATTTCAACCCTATTTTTTTCCTAAAAGCCTAGCTTATCCTACTTTAGGAGAAAATAGTCAACTGAAATTTTTAACCTTCAGTAGTCTTTTTACAATTAGAATAGCTGAATCAAGATAAGTGGGTCTGAATAGTTTGCTCTTCGTAAGACTGATATGTAAATATTCCATATACTTTATCTAATCTTGTGGTCTGGCCCTATAAAAGCAATCAGATACATAACCCAAAATAGCTAAGTGCCTCCAAATAGCATACCAAAAATGTGGACCCATCCACTAATCTCTTCAACAAATGCTTCAAGCCCCAAAATAATAGCAAAGTTCTCTTCAAACACAACCAGTTTGTTAAGGGTGCGATAAAACAAGCACTCTCATATAAAATTAATGGGAGTATAAATTAGTACATTTCTACTATAAAGAATTTTGGCAATATGTGTCAGTAATTCCAACTTTTAGGCAACTATCATTAAAAGAGAGACAAATGTGTATAAAGATTTGTATACCCAGTTATTCATTTCAGCCTTATTAACAATAGCAAAAATTTATTATATCCCAAATAACCAGAAATAGGGTAATAGTTAAATAATTACAGAATGTTATGGAACTATTATAAAATGTTTCCACAGACTTTTTAGGGACATAAGAAAATGCTCATGATATAATGTTAAATGAAAAAAGCAAAACAAAAGGAAGTAGAGTATGAACTTGACTGTGTTTAAAAAAATACACACCATATATGCATAGAAAAAAATGATTGGAAAGAAATACACCTAAATGTTATTAGTTATCTCTGGAAAGTAGGATTATGCATAATTTTACTTTATTTACATTCATCCATCATTAATTTTCTAATACTGGTTTTATAGTTATAATTTTTATAATTATTATTAAATATCAACTATCTTTTTTCTTTTTTTTTTTTTTTTGAGATGGAGTCTTGCTCTGTCGCCCAGGCTGGAGTGCAGTGGCGCGATCTCGGCTCACTGCAGGCTCAGCCTCCCAGATTCACGCCATTCTCCTGCCTCAGCCTCCCGAGTAGCTGGGACTACAGGTGCCCGCCACCACGCCCGGCAAATTTTTTTTGTATTTTTAGTAGAGACAGGGTTTCACCGTGTTAGCCAGGATGGTCTCGATCTCCTGACCTCGTGATCCGCCTGCCTCGGCCTCCCAAAGTGCTAGGATTACAGGCGTGAGCCACCGTGCCCGGCCTTACTATCTTTTTTAAATGGCTTAAAAATACAAAACTTACTCCTGCCCTTTTTGAAAACTTGCATTTTTAAAATCATAACCTTGTTCCTGAGTTTTTTTAAAAAAAGAAATTCACAACCGTCAAAACTACCCTTATTTTTAGACAAATTGGGCTAATTTTATAAATGTTTCATTTTTTCATGTATAAAGATTCTTTAAGACAGGAATAACAAAAATAAGGTGTCCTCATGATTTTTTTGATTAATTTTAAATCACAACTTGACAAAAGTTAAAAGTGTGTATCCTACTTTTAGAGCTTTGCAAAGCCTTGACGAGCCCAGCTGTCATAACATGAATGTGGAATGTTTTCCCTGCATGTTACTTAAAAATACAAACCCTCATTTAATATGAATTCAAAAATCAGTAAAATAATATTATTTAAAGAATCTATATCATATCCAAAAAGAGAAACTTCTTAAAACTTGTCTCCCTAAAATAGTGTGCAGCCATGTAAAGGTCAGGGGCCTGGGAATGAGAAGGGATTCGAATCCTGGACTTACCAATAACTTTATTACTTTTGACAAATCATTACCTCTTTGACCATCAGTTTCCTTTTCTGAAACACAAAGGAGTTTGTTATAGGTGACATCTCAGGTTCCTTTAAGTTCTTATTAGACAATGAAAGAAAATACTTGTGCATACTTGTATCTCAAAACATATTGAATTTTTTTAAAGGAGTTGATAAATTTTAATGCAATTTTAGTTAGCTTTCATTATGGACAAGTTTATTCAAAGAAACACTGCTAAATCTATTAATTCTCTCCTGCAAAAGACATTGTAAGAATGCTATTATGTTGTTTGCTTTTAATAATCATCTTTAGATTCTTATATGTCACATTTCACTTTAACATCACATATTCAAACAAAATACAATCTTTAAATGGAAGCTGGCAATTTATTTCCCTGGAGAATTTGAAGAGTACAATAACATTTGACTGATTGAACTTTATTTAGTAAGAATTCTTAGCAAAACTCCCTCCCAGGCACACCCACACAGTACTTCTTTATTTTCTGTGAGCTACAAATCTTTGACTCTCAAAGGCAACTCCAATCTGAAAGTACAAGATAACACTGCTTATCAATTATTTATGCTGCACAGAACATATTTTTAAACTATAGAAGTGAATATCACTATCATTTCACAACAGAAAAGGGATTTTAATACAAAAATATAGAAAGTACATCACAGAAATAAAGAATAGCCCTTCTCAAAAGCTTGTTGCTAACCTTATGAAATATATTTTCTTTTTCCTTTTTTTTTAAGACAGGGTCCCACTGTCACGCAGGCTGAAGTGTACTGGCACAATCTTGGTTCACTGCAACTTCCGCCTCCCAGGCTCGAGCAATCCTCCCACCCCAGCTTCCTGAGCGGCTGGGACCACATATGCACGCCACCATGCCCAGCTAATTTTTTGGTAGAGATGTGGTCTCACGATGTTGCCCAGGCTGGTATCAAACTCCTGAGCTCAAGGGATCCACCTGCCTCAGCCTCCCAAAGTGCTGGGATTACAGGCATGAGCCACCACACCGGTCCTATATTTTCTATCTAAAAGATTTTCCTTATTTTGGCAAGGCACGGTGGCTCACGTCTGTAATCACAGCAGTTTGGAAGGACAAGGCGGGAGGATCACGAGGTCAGGAGTTTGAGACCAGCCTGACCAACGTGGAGAAACCCCATCACTACTAAAAATACACAAATTAGCCGGGTGTGGTGGCACATGCCTGTAATTCCAGCTATTCAGGAGGCTGAGGCAGGAGAATCGCTTGAACCCGGGAGGTGGAGGTTGCAGTGGGCCGAGGTCATGCCACTGCACTACAGCCTGGGCGACACAGAGAGACTCCGTCTAAAAAAAGATTTTCCTTATTTTTATCATTTCAACGTAGATCTGATCTATGATACTTCACAATCTTTTTTTTCTTTCTTTCTTTTTTTTTTTTTTTGAGACAGTCTCGCTCTGTCGCCCAGGCTGGAGTGCAGTGGCGCGATCTCGGCTCACTGCAAGCTCCGCCTCCCGGGTTCATGCCATTCTCCTGCCTCAGGCTCCCAAGTAGCTGGAACTACAGCGCATGCCACCATGCCCCGCTAATTTTTTAGTATTTTTAGTAGAGATGGGGTTTCACTGTGTTAGACAGGATGGTCTCGATCTCCTGACCTCATGATCTGCCCGCCTCGGCCTCCCAAAGTGCTGGGATTACAGGCGTAAGCCACCGCGCCCAGCTCACAATCTTTTAAATTGTTCATTCATTAACTCAACAAATATTTATCGAGCATCTGTTCTACTACAGGAGACACTACAGATTTGGCAAAGATCAAGAACATGTGCTGCCCTTTTAGAACTTACATTCTAAGGAGAGAAAGATGAATAATCAAGTAACAAAAAAGAACAGCATCAAATGATCATAAGTGCTATTCAAAGAATTAAAACCAGCAGATCAATGTAGAGAAAGAAATTTTAAACTTTAAATCATTTCTTCAAAAGCATAAAACCCTCAGTATTCCATGGAAAAATAATATACATACTCAAATTGAACTATGAAAATTTACCAAAAGCAGACAAATTTCCCAATGGAGGAAAAAACACTTTAAAAGTGATCATCCTTCAAAGGGCAATAACAGAATTAAAAGCTTGGATATATAATTCAGTCATGTTTTTCTAAATTATTTTACATAATTGTGGCAGACTTAAAATGGGAACAATATCTTAGAGACAAGAAGTCTATGTTCCCTTCTCTTAAATCTGGGCTAGCCTGGAACTCCTCTGACCAATAGTGTATAGTGAAGGTGATGCTATGCCAGATTCTAAGCTAGCCTTTGAGAGGGCTGCCAGCTCCTGCTTTGGTCTCTTGGAGCTGCCACGTGAGAAGTCCAACTACCCAGCTGAAGAAACCACAGAGAGGATCTCAAACTACACTAAGAGAAGCCCAGTTGAGCCAAGCCTCCAGTTACCCTAAGGCATAAGGTGAGTGAATAAAGATAAGATGGACCCTCCAGACCAGACCTGTTGTCAGCTAAACACCTCCAAGTGATCTTATTCACCATATAGAACAGAATCAACAGGCCAAGCTGTGTCTGAATTCCTAATCCAAAAATCATGACATCTAATAAAGTAGTTATTTTAAGCCACCAAATTTTGGAATAGAAAACCAAACTGTGTGAAAAATACATTTTTTGGCCAGACACAGTGGCTCACGCCTGTAATCCTAACATTTTGGGAGGCTGAGGCGGGAGGATCACTTGAGCTTAGGAGTTCAAGACCAGCCTGGGCAACATAGTGAGACCTCATCTCTATTATATTTTTCTACATTTATATTTTTTTAATTAAAAATACATTTTTTACATTGTAACCCAGTACCCTATACATATAACTGAAACAATGATTCACAGAGCAATACTTACCTCTTAGGTACTCAATGCACAATATTTTTTATTCTATTTCTCGTTTATAAAATACCACTTGTGCAATACTCAAAAAGGCTCATGTAGTCTGGAAAACATTTTAGTCTATACAACTCACTTAACAGGTGCATTCACAAATCCAGACAGAGACCTTAATAGGACTCAGGTGTCCTTATCCCTAATCCAAAGCTCTTTTCCTTGCACCATGCTAAAAGCCAATAGGTATTACAGTTTGTAACCAGAAGTTCCTCACAAGCTCATATAAACACCTCAGAACTGAGTGAAAGCTTAAAAAGCTTCATGGAAGTCATGTAGCAATCAGAAATAGCTAAGAGGAACTGAGACTTTTCCTATTTTAACCATTTCTTTTTTTTTTTTCTTTTTTTTTTTTTTTGAGACGGAGTCTCACTTTGTCACCCAGGCTGGAGTGCAGTGGCGCAATCTTGGCTTATTGCAACTTCCACCTTCCAAGTTCAAGCGATTCTCCTACCTCAGCCTCCTGAGTAGCCAACGTGGGCAGAACACTTGAGGCCAGGAGTTTCAGACCAGCCTGGGTGACATGGCAAAACCTCATCTCTACAAAAAATACCAAAATTAGTTGGGCGTGGTGGCACAAGCCTGTGGTCCCAGCTACTTGGGAGGCTGCGGTGGGAGGATGGCTTGAGCCCGGAGGTGAATGTTACAGTGAGCTAAGATTGTTCAACTGCACTACAGCCTCTGCAACCAAGTAAGACCCCATCTCAAAAAATAGTACTAATAAATTGTTCTTAACTAGAACATTTTAATTAAACACAAGCAAAATTGGTTTGTCTAAAGTTTTGATTAGAAAATACAATCTACTGGCCGGGCATGGTGGCTCACGCCTGTAATCCCAGCAATTTGGGAGGCCGAGGCGGGCAGATCACCTAAGGTTGGAACTTCAAGACCAGCCAGGCCAACACAGTGAAACCCCGTCTCTACTAAAAATACAAAAATTCACTGGGTGTGGTGGCGCATGCCCTTAATCCTAGCTACTTGGGAGGCTGAGTCAGGAGAATCACTTGAACCCAGGAAGTGGAAGTGTACCCAGGAGGCCACTGCACTCCAGCCTGGGCAACAGAGCAACTCTGTCTCAAAGAAACATGAGAAAAAAGAAAATATAATCTACTAAAAATTCCAGTTCAATGAGTTAATCCATTTGCAAACCATACCACTAAGTAGATCCCACAAGAGAATAATTATTTTGGGGGGGATAAAACTACATATGTGTGAATAAGAAAACTTGAGAGACACAAGTCTAGACAAGATTATAAAACACAATTGACAATTGCCACAGAATTTCTTTAAACAGGGTGCTTATCTAGCACATACAGAATTTACTGACAGCTTCTCAATTTCTATCTTCATACATAATATAAACAGCAAGACACATGAGTCAGAGGTCCTGAACGTGAGATGAATGTTTACTACTTAGGGACTCTTAACCTCTCGGGGGTCTGTTTCCTCAGCTAAAGACAGATTGCCTGGTTGTCTTCTTGTGGAGATCAATAAGAAAATGTAAGTGAAAGTACTTGACATTTTCTTCAAATATGTTATTCTTATCTTAAAAAAAATTAAATTTAATTAAAAAAAAAAGCTCCCCAGGAAATTGATGCTTCATTTCTTATTCCAGAGCCTAGAGCAACGGTAAGTTATAAGACTCAGGATCAAATCTCACCTTGGATACTTAGTAGCTGTAACTTACTGTGTTACCTTACTGATACCACCTAGCCTCTCTGGGCTTTAATACCCTCAACTGTACAACCCAAATATTAGACTCTGATTTTAAGTACCTCATCAAGCACTAATAATCTAAAAAGTCTAAAATATGTTCAGAGTTTTCAAAAATCACAAGAAACTGTGAACCACCATTTCAAAGCCACATCTGGCTGATACTGAAATCTGCTGCTTTCACACCCCAACTCGATGTCTTGCAGGAAATCTCAGCTCTAGGAGGGAACATTTCCAACTCTACCTGAGAACAGGCACTCTTAGGCATCTCCTCCCTCCGCTGCTCCTATCCCAACTCCCACCAGCATTCCCAAGCAGTCTTCGGAAATATGAAAGTAGTTTCTCAAAGAGAAAGGCTGAGAGAGCCTGCTTTAACCTGTTTTATGAGAGTAAAGAATCAACATCTTGGGAAACAAAGAAAACACTTAAAGATCTTTGAGTTTGACTTGATATCTACAAGAAACTAACACGTCTTCTCAGGAATCGAGTTTATTGAAACTTCACAGAGAACTGAGGTCAAAGGTCTCTGATGTGGTGTTTTTTTACATTTGAAAAATGTAGGAATGCTACACAAATATGGGGGAAATAGTGCTAAAGAAGAGATTCTTGTCCTCCAGAGGAAACTAGGCAAAGATAAGAATCTACGAGTATAAGTCTAGAAATGTATATATTTCTCTAAAGAACACCCTTAGGATATGCAAACACAGAGATGAATACCCCTAAGGAAGTCAATGTATTATGTAGAGAAGAACCTACACTCCCCTCCCAAAAAAAAAGGACAAATTTTTCCTTTTTTAAGATGGAGTCTCACTCTGTCGCCCAGGCTGTGGTGCAGTGGAGCAATCTGGGCTCACTGCAACCTCTGCCTCCCAGGTTCAAGCAATTATCCTGCCTCAGCCTCCCAAGTAGCTGGGATTACAGGCGCCCACCACCATGCCCAGCTAATTTTTGTATTTTTAGTAGAGACAGGGTTTCAACATGTTGGCCAGGCTGGTCTCGAACTCCTGACCTCAAGTGATCTGCCTGCCTCAGCCTCCCAAAGTGCTGGGATTACAGGCATGAGCCAACATACCCAGCCTAAAATACTATTTTTAATAAACATTTTATACTATGTACTGAATTTAATAATGTAACCAAGTTTTATTATAATATCTCAAACCTAAACAATCAAATTTAATACATTTGGATGAACAAGCAATAAGTAAAACAAGACAAAGTAGAATTTCATCACTATGTTTTATATGCATCAACATGCTATCCTATGATAAAATGTTTTATAATCAATTCATCCTGAGTAGGTGAGAACAGATATAGACAACAGCATAAATCTGCATCACTTCTACGGCTTAATGGCTTCAATCTTCAACAAAACTAAGAACTAAAAATGATAACTAAGGTCTCAGCTGGGCTGAGAAAAAACTATTTTAAAAAATTCTATTTTAGGAGAAGACTTCCTCAGTCAAGCCTATAAAACAACAAACTATTTAAATCTCTATGTGGTTAAGTTCAAAGACAAACAAGAGAACTGTTTATTTGTAAAGGAAATAATTTTCTTGTATTTCAATTTGTTTCCTCAAAAACTTAGATAATTTTTCAGACTGCCATTCTAGGGCTAAGAAGGAAACAGTTTCTTTTGCTATATCGAGATTAAAGGAATTTGAGAAAACCTAAGACATCTGAATTTGACTTTTTTGCCCTATTTTGTTTTTAAGTGACCCCTCCTAGATGAGTCAATAGAGACAAACTTCTTTAAAAACAAATTTTGTGGTACTATGGATTCATTTCACAGTATGTTATGTTACACAGTACATTATGAAATTCTGAACAGTATTACTGACCTTCCATGCTTGTGCAGTTCTAATTACACTGCAAACAGCCTTACTAATTAAAGGCTTGCTAACACAGAGAAAAGAGATTCATCATTCTAACAGGTCACTGGGATCTTCTTTGTACATTCACTCTTTCAGAAACTCTATTCCTCCCCCAAATACGCAATTCTACTATATTAAAAGAAGAAAGAATGAGTGAAGACATCAACCACGGGACCTTAAGAAAAGGTTACTGTTGGCCGGGCACAGTGGCTCGCGCCTGTAATCCCAACACTTTGGGAGGCCGAGGCGGATGGATCACAAGGTCAGGAGATCGAGAACATCCTGGCTAACATGGTGAAACCCCGTCTCTACTAAAAATACAAAAAATTAGCCAGGTGTGGTAGCGGGCACCTGTAGTCCCAGCTACTCAGAGGCTGAGGCAGGAGAATCGCTTGAACCCGGAAGGTGGAGGCTGCAGTGAGCCGAGATCATGCCACTGCACTCCAGCCTGGGTGACAGAGCAAGACTCATCTCAAAAAAAAAAGAAAGAAAATGTTACTGTTCACGTAGGAGAAGTGTATTTATTCTGAGGGAATTTTTCCCCATAGACAAATATAATAAATGGCTATTATAATCGAGCTCACTATGGTCACCAGAAAGAACAGAAACGCAAACTGGGGACAGGCGTGGTAGCTCACACCTGTAATCCCAGAACTTTGGGAGGCCAAGCCAGGCAGATCACTTGAGGTTAGGAGTTCAAGACCAGCCTGGCCAACATGGTGAAACCTAAAAACACAAAAATACAAAAATGAGCTGGGCACAGTGGTGCATGACTGTAATCCCAGCTACTCAGGAGGCTGAGGCAGGAGAATTGCTTGAACCTGGGAGGTGGAGGTTGCAGTGAGGTGAGATCATGCCACTGCACTCTAGCCTGGGCGACACAGTGAGACTCTGTCTCACACACACACACACACACACACACACACACACACACACACAAAAGAAATGCAATCGGGAGTACCTTTCTTATCCTTTAGTATCAGGTTGATTTTGCACACAAGCTCACTCCATTTAACAAAAAAATGAAAGGCCAAAGAATCGTGAAGTATTTTCAGGTAATAGTTCTCTCCATCAACTCCCATTATTGGTAAGAATTTATAGACAACACATGAATCCATTTTGCACCATTAAATGCTACAAGCAGCCGAGCCCAGTGGCTCACGCCTGTAATCCCAGCACTTTGGGAGGCCAAGGTGGGCGGATCACAAGGTCTGGAGTTCGAGACCAGCCTGGCCAACATGGTGAAACCCTGTCTCTACTAAAAATACAAAATTTAGCCAGGTGTGGTGGCGGGCACCTGTAACCCCAGGTACTTGGGAGGCTGAGGCAGGAGAATCGCTTGAAACCAGAAGGCGGGGGTTGCAGTGAGCCAAGATCGTGCCACTACACTCCAGCCTGGTCAACAAGAGTGAAACTCTGTCTAAAAAACAAACAAAAAAATCTTTAAAGGGTTAAGAGGCCAGGCATGCAGCTCAGGCTTGTAATCCTAGCACTTTAGGAGGCCGAGGCAGGAGGACTGCTTGAGTTCAAGACCAGCCTGGGCAATAGAGTGAGACCCTGTTTCTACAAAAGAAAATTTTTTCTTTAATTAGCTGGGCACAGTGGTGCATCCCTGTAGTTCCAGCTACTCTGGAGGCTGAGATAGGAGGATCGCTTGAGCCTGGGAGGTCAAAGCTGCAGTGAGCCATGATTGTACCACTGCACTCCAGCCTAGGCAACACAGCAAGACCCCCTCATCTCAAAAAAAACAAAAAAAAAAAGTGTTAAGAATTCCCTGATTCTGCCAGGAATGGTTGCTCACACCTGTAATCCCAGCACTTTGGGAGGCTGAGAGGGAAGATCACTTGAGGCCAGGAGTTCAAGACAGGCATAGGCAAGACCAGCATGGGCAACATAGTGAAACCCTGTCTCTAAAAACAAAAAAAAAATTAATTAAAATTTTAAAATAAATAGGCCAGGCGCGGTGACTCATGCCTGTAATCCCAGCACTTTGGGAGGTTGAGGCAGGTAGATCACGAGATCAGGAGATCGAGACCATACTGGCTAACACAGTGAAACCCCGTCTGTACTAAAAACACACACATACACAAATTTAGCCAGGTGTGGTGGTGTGCACTTGTAGTCCCAGCTACTCGGGAGGCTGAGGCAGGAGAATTGCTTGAACCTGAGAGGTGAATGTTGCAGTGAGCCGAGATCATGCCACTGAACTCCAGTCTGGGCAGCAGAGCGAGACTTCATCTCAAAAAAATAAATAGGAATTCCTTGATTCAACAGAAATTCAGAGCCTGTTATATTGCAATGAAGTGATCAGTTATGAGGCACTAAGAGTTATTCAACTAGTTTCCCAACTTCAAGTAGCAATAGGTGAGATAAAACATGCACATACTGTACATTGCAATAACGCAAAGTATAAAGTACAAACAGTCAAAGGAGAAACCATTTCTAGGTTTGGTGAGTAGAAAAGTTTTATAGAGAAGAGAGAATTTGGCTAGACCTTGAAGACTGAGGTTGTCGGGTTTTTTGGAAGGGGAGAAGAGGAAGGTTGTTTTAATAAATATTGTACATGCTAAAATGGATTTTTCTCTTGCTGAGGGAATGACACTACCTCCCTTACTCTACAAGGTCCTGTCGGAGTTGTTGATTACAGTGTACCCATCAACACCCATCCATTTCCCCCCATATACGAACAATGCCTACACTCACTGGCTCCCCATATACCTAGTACTACCTACACACACACATACACACACACACACACACACACACACACCCCTACCTGCATGCACGCACACACCCCTACCTGCATGCACGCACACAACAGACGGGCAGACAGTGAGAATGTATCCAAGGCCAGCCCAAATCTCCACCTCTGATACAGTGATTGTAATGCAGGGCAGGTAAGCCCCAGAACTGGGGCTTAGCCCAGGACGGTGCTTGGCTTCATCCAGGAAAAAATTCAAGGGTCAGCCAGTGGTGTGTCAGCAACTTTTATTGAAGCAGCAGTGTAAAGCATCGGCAGAGGTACTGCCCCTTGCAGAGCAGGGCTACCCCATAGGCAGTATGCCCAGAGTAGCAGCTCAGAAGCAGTTCTGTGGTCATATTTATACCCAATTTTAATTATATACAAATTAAGAGGCAGATTATGCAGAAATTTCTAGGAAAAGGGTGGTAACTTCCAGGACACTGTCATGAAAAGGGACGCTAACTTCTGGGTGTTGCCGTGGCAATGGGAAACTGACATGGCACATTAGTAGGTGTGACTTACGGAAAGCTGATTCCACTCTGTCCCTGTTTTAGCTAGTCCTCAATTTGGTCCAGTGTCTGAGCCCCACCTCCTACCTCAACTGGTTCAAGGTAGTGTGTAACACAGGCAGAACCAAATTTCTCTCAAAACTGATACAAGCATATAGAAAAACTCTCTTCCTTTGGACTCATGAGATTTTGGCTTGGAGTTGAGAACTGCCATCTTGTTACACTGAAATGGCCTACGTGAGAGATAAATTGAATCTAAAGGACAACAGAGACAAGCGGTGAACTCCTAGATTGAGTCATATTTAGATGGACTTTAGGCCAGGTGCTGTGGCTCACACCTGTAATCCCAGCACGTTGGGAGGCCAAGGCAGGTGGATCACCTGAGGTCAGGCATTTGAGACCAGCCTGGCCAACATTGTGAAACCCTGTCTCTACTAAAAATACAAAAAGTAGCTGGGCATGGTGGTGCATGCCTGTAATCCCAGCTGCTCGGGAGGCTGAGGCAGGAGAGTTGCTTGAACCCAGGAGGCGGAGGTTGCAGTGAGCTGAGATCGTGCCACCGCACTCCAGCCTGGGTGACAGATCAAGACTCCATCTCAAAAAAAAAAAAATTAGATGGACTTTCCAGTTAGGTTGAGTCAACTGAGTCTTTCAGAGATTTCAAAATGGTTCTAAGTATGAACCAAAGTCTAGCCTAAGCATGTAGAAGGCAAGTAGCCAAGTGACCACTTCAATATAATTTCTGATAATCCCTAATTCAGTGAGTGACCAATGATCACACAGGCTACCTTCACATCTGCAATCCTGTTTGCAGGTAACATAGTAAAATAGCAGGACTCACTACTAACCAAATGTGGCTTGCTGACAAAATGGTTAAGACCATGTTAATACAGTAACCAAACTGTTGTGCCTACAGAAGGCAAGAATTTCTTACATAATTGCTATACATATATATCTTCTAAATTGTAAAGAAAATACTAAAGTCAGCATGCATGCAATGAAAGTAAAAATGCAAATAGAAACTCAGATGTTCTTATATCAAAGGCTAATCACATTGCTTCTAGATCTGAAGTGTATGAACCAAATTTTTAAAGAAATGGTACGAAGCCAAAAGTACAAACAACATCAGAAATAATACACATAAATGAGAGCAAAAACTCTAAATCTGCTTTGATAAATCATCAGAATGTATCTTCTTCAAGCAGTATGTGAAACTTCAGTTTGGGAGACCATTTTGTAAAACAGCCTTCCAAATCTTCAAGTCCAAAAGTTGAAGAGAAGTCTGTCTTTTCAGTTACTACTGGAGAGGAAGAAAAGCCTAATAACTCAGTGACATCAACTGTACTGGTATTACAGTAGAGCTAGCCAAAAAGTATCTTTGAAATGAGCATCTACTTAGTATCATAGAAGTGCAGAACAGTGACTAGAGAAAAAAATCTAGGAACTAACTCTGATGAGAAATTATTGTTCCTGCACAGTAGCCAACTTTTAAAAGTAAACTATAAATAAGTAATAAAAGTCCACAAACCCTTTCTTAAATCCTTGGGGCAGGGTATGTTTTGGAATTCAGAATTTTATGGATTTTAGGAAGGTAACACTGCACTATATATTTTGTAGAACACCCAGGAGGAATTCATGTGGCATGTCATTAACAGCCTAATATTTCCATAGCAAAGCATATACATTTGTGTCAGACAAATAAATACTACTGACACCTTTACATCAGTTCAAATTTTGCTGCCAAATTAATTCATCTCAAACTTTTTAAAAAACTTCCAGCTTCCAGAGCTTTGGGATTTCAGAAATATAGCTTAAAAGATTATAGCCTACAATAAAGTCATAATAATTATGTTACCAAGTTTCAGAGGTATTTGGTATCCCAGAGGTCCATTCTGTAAAGATAATATTTAGCCACACAGCACTTGGCCACTTATATATTCAGTGTACTTCAAGTCTCTCCAACTTAAAAGCAAGATTCCTAATATGTTCAGTGTAGAAACATTGGAAAATACAAGTTTTTTTTTAAACCTCATAATTCTTCCACCTAAAGATGCCCACTATTAAATTTGGAGTGTCTAAATTTTCAGTCTTTCTATAATAGATACATTAATATAATTAGCAAGAAAATCTCTGAAGTTTTAGTTTATATTTTTGTTTCCATCTTACTAGATACATATAATGCCCTTTCAAGCTGAGAACTGGTCTTTCTTAAATTTTGGTAAATTCTCAGCCATCAGCTCTTCCAACCTGGCTTCTCCACCATTCACATTATTTCCTCTTTTTGGAACTCCCAGTTAGATGTAAGTTGGTGCCTCTCAATTTATGGAGTTGCGCTGTTGCCCAGGCTGGAGTGCAATGGCACGATCTCGGCTCACCCCAACCTCCACTTCCCGGGTTCAAGAGATTCTCCTGCCTCAGCCTCCTGAGTAGCTGGGATTATAGGCATGGACCACCACATCCAGCTAATTTTGTATTTTTTTTTTTTTTTTTTTAGTAAAGATGGAGTTTCTCCATGTTGGTCAGGCTGGTCTCAAATTCCCAACCTCAGGTGATCTGCCCGCCTTGGCCTCCCAAAGTACTGGAATTACCGGCATGAGCCATCACGCCCAGCTCATATTTGTTAATTCCTATTTATTTCTCTGTGATACATCTGGGTACTTTCTTCCAATTCATTAATTTTCCCTTCAAATTTGTCTGGTCTAGAGTTCAACTGACCTATTTTTTTTTTAATTTCAATAATTCCATTTTTTCTTTAATATAGCCATCTATTTCATATCTACCTATTTTTGATTCATGTTTTTTTATGACCATTATTTCTTTTATCTTTTTTAAGGATCTTTAAAATACTTACAATTGTTTTGAAATTACCCATATTTCCATCAGATTTTTTGTGAATTTATCTCTTGGTAACTGTGTTAATTTTCTAAGTAATGGTCTTCCTCGTGTGTTTATAGGCTCAGACATTCCCTCTTTTCCCAGGGGTTCTGTGATAGGCCACCCCTCTTCCAGAGTCCACGACCTCCAAGCTTGGTGCTCTTGTACTAGCTGATAGTGGGGAAACCACAGTTCCTGACTCTGAGCCATCTGGCAGCTCAGCCACTTCTGCATCTTCACTCCAGGTCCACAGCTTTTTAAAGCAACAGCCAAGAGCAGATGTTTTCAGCCCTCTTTCATCCAGTCTCAGCCCAGCTTCAGTTTCATACAGAGCATCTGACCCTAGGTCCCCTACATGTTATTTCTACTAGCTCCTGAACCCAGAGTCTAACTGCATGTTTCTTTTCTGTTCTTGGTCCCTGGAGATGTTTATCTTGTTCTTGAGTATATCTATATCTTTTCCTTTCCTTTTTAAATTTTTAATTGCTGCGTTTCCCTCTCAACATCCTTATGAGGTTCGTACTATTACTATACCCATTTTACAGGTGAGAAAAGAGGTATGGGGCAAGTAGCCAATCTTCCCGAGATCACTAGCTAATAAGGATCAAGGGTCAAACCAGATAGCTGATGCCAGAGACCATGCTCTTAACCACTGCTCTACTGGGATCCATTCTGACCAGAATGCTCTTTAAAATTTTGATACTTTTTTTCCCCCACCTAACTGTAAACACTTTGGACACAGGAAAGATATTTTGTTTTCTTTTTTTGAGACAGAGTCTTGCTGTTACCCAGGCTGGAATGTAGTAGTGCCAGTGCCTCAGCTTCCAGAGTGGTTGGGACAACAGGAACCTGCTGCCATGCCTGGCTAAGTTTATTTTTGTAGAGCTAGGGTCTCACTATGTTGCCCAGGCCAGTCTAGAACTCCTGGCCTCAAGCAATCCTCCCACCTTGGCCTCCCAAAGTGCTGGGATTACAGGCATGAGCCACACCATGTGGCCAGGATTTTAATTGATGGAAGTAAAGCAAAGACATATTCCAGGTAAAAAAAAGCAGCACATCAGCCTCATGTTTTATTTGAGGCTGAATATTCAGTCTAGGCCTGTACCCAAAATAAGAAACATAGTCTTCAATGCCCCTTGTTTTCCTAAGGCCCTTCCCACTTTCCCTGAGTTTCAAGCACTTCCATGCTTGTCCCTGGATACCCAGAACCATCCATGCAAGCTTTCCTCTGGCTCTCTCTACCACCCTCACGCTGCACTAGTATATATTGCCCAGGAAAGGATCTTATTAAGGCATTCATACTAAGTGCATTAGGGGACTTTTGTTTTCCATTCCTTCATAGCCCAAAGCCTTAATCTTAAAGGATTAAATTTGCGAATATAAGTAAAAGGCATGCAATATCATCCAAAAATAACCAAACTCTTTCAATAGTAGATTATCATGATGAAAAAAGAAAATAGTAGCAAAGCTCAATTTTAGGCTGCATTATTAAAAGTATAGGGTCGCCGGGCACGGTGGCTCACCCCTGTAATCCAGCACTTTGGGAGGCTGAGGCGGGTGGATCACGAGGTCAGGCGATCAAGACCATCCCGGCTAACACGTCTCTACTAAACCCCGTCTCTATTAAAAATACAAAAAATTGGCCGGGCGTGATGGCAGGCGCCTGTAGTCCCAGCTACTCAGAGGCTGAGGCAGGAGAATGGCATGAACCCGGGAAGCGGAGCTTGCAGTGAGCCGAGACTGTGCCACTGCACTCCAGCCTGGGCGACAGAGCGAGACTCTGTCTCAAAAACAAAAACAAACAAACAAAAAAATATATATATAGGGTCTAGAAAAATGAAAGTTATCAGTGCCACTCTATGCAACAAACATTAATTAAGGCCAGGCTTGGTGGCTCACACGTGTAATCCCAGCACTTTGGGAAGCCAAGGAATCCTCCTGCCTCAGCCTCCTGTGTAGCTGGGACCACAGGCTTATGCCACCATGTCCAGCTAGTTTTTGTTTCGTTTTTTTTAAAGATTCGAGGGTCTCATTTTGTTGCCCAGACTGGTCTCGAACTTCTGGGTTCAAGCAAACCTCCCACCTTGGCCTCCCAAAGTGCTGGAATGTAGGTGTGAGCCACCATGCCCAGCTCCTAGGTTTAATTTTAGAACACAGGGTCCATAGTGAGGTAGGAGATAGAGGAAAATAATAAAAGGGGTCCATGGAAGTGAAACAGTTAGGAAGCAATATTTGAGAAAAGCTCAGCATTTGCTGATTAGAGAACTGTAGTTTGTTTCCTTTTTAGTACTATTAAAAGTCATGATCCTTAATAATCCTTAATTGCTAATGTCAGATGGAGTAATGATATGGGCTTTCAGGATTCAACGTTTCCTAACATCAACTTCAGAGTTTACAAATATTTGCCGTGATGAATAAGTAGAGCTGTGCCTAAAGAAAAGTAGGCAGAACTTGAGGCTGAAGGTAAAGAGACTGCTTAGGAAGTCAAAACAAAATCTAAGCAAAAGATAAAGTCTAAACGTAAGGTGTGGCAGCAGGAATGGAAAAGGAAAGACATTATAATGTGGATGTAAAATGAATCAAATATCTAGGTCTCAAACTTTGGAGTAAAGGAGGTTACTGGTGCCATTAACAGATGCAGGAAATATGGAAAAATGCACAGATTCAGGATAACAGATAATTTAGTTTGGTATATATGACTTCGAAATGTCAGAAAGTCACTCAGAAGCACATACTCAGCAGACAGTAAAAATTAAGGTCTGGGAAGGCAGGGCACGGTGGCTCACACCTGTAATCCCAACACTTTGGGAGGCTGAGGCAGGTGGATCGCTTGAGGTCAGAAGTTCAAGACCAGCCTAGCCAACATGGCAAAATCCCGTCTCTACTAAAAATACAAAAATTAGCCAGGCATAGTGGTGTACGCCTGTAATCCCAGCTACTTGGGAGGCGGAGGCAGCAGAATTGCTTGAACCCAGGAGGCAGAGGTTGCAGTGAGCCGAGATGGTGCCACTGCACTCCAACCTGTGCGCCAGAGTGAGACTCCAACTCAAAAATATATACAAAATTAAATTAAATTAAGATCTGAGAACTGAGAGGCACAGAGATAGAAAGGACACATGTGAGAGTGTCTAATACAAAGCCTGGACCCCATACATCTCTGCTTCAGTCAGACTATCTGCACTTCCCCAAGAGGCAGCTCTCTCCCAGTTCTGCCACCAAACAAACTTTCCTATAAGGCAGATACCCTACTTCACAGATACCCTACAGTCACAGATGACTGGTTAACTCCTAGTCATCTTTAAGAATACTCAGGTGTCATTTTCCCAAACCCCACTTATTTCCCACCAAGAGGATGGTACCTGTGCCTTACCTCTTTCTCTCTCTATATATATCCAGTTTTTAACACCATGTCTAAAATAGCATGTACTTGAAAGACAAACTGAAGGAAAAGACTTGGCACGTGCTCAACAAGCCTTGGAAGGCACTGTAGCCTCTTAAGAGGCGATCGCTAAAGAAATGAACTTGGATGAGATTTCCAAAGGAGAGAAAAGAAAACTAAGTTGTCTTAAATATAAGTGATCATCATGGAACACCTTCATCTAGGGAGCAGTTCCCAAAAATGTTTCTCCACTTCTTTCATCACAAAATAGCTCGTCTGTAACACAGGAATCATTGCTCCTACCTCATAGGTCACTGGGAGGGTTAAAAGAGATAACATATATAGAGCACATAGTATAATGTCTAGCACTCAATTAACGTTCCCTTCTTTCCCCTAATCCCACGTGAAAACATGTCAGAGCCTGATTCTTTCTTTATAAGCAACTGTTATATGCTGAAAAGCAACCGAGCCTAGAAAAATAATAGATATTTGAGAAAGGCAGACTAGTCTTGTCAGATGCTCCCTCTAGAACAGATTTCTCAACCTCAACACCGTTGACGTATTTGGCCAGATAATTCTTTGTTGTGGGGGTTGTCCTATGTAGCATGTTTAGCAGCACCCCTGAATTCCATCCAC
The DNA here is from genome assembly GCF_000001405.40 of Homo sapiens. NCBI lineage: Eukaryota > Metazoa > Chordata > Mammalia > Primates > Hominidae > Homo > Homo sapiens. The sequence goes on along the minus strand of NC_000010.11, from coordinate 74,153,319 downwards.
TAGGTGCCAATAGCTCTCCCTACCAAAAATATCTTTCTAGACCACGCCAAATGTCCCCTGGAGGGCAAAATTTCCCCTGGTGGAGAATTATTATCCCAGAGCTGACCAAATTCTCACAAATCCCTAAATCTAAATATTTTTCCTGACATCTACAAATATATCTCATTATTTGTTCCCACTGATGCTGCACATTAAATTATGCAAAGTCTTTATAATCCATTCTCCTTAACCAAAACCAGTAGCAATCCCCTGTCAAGCAAGTCATCATAAATTCAGTGTAAATACTCAATGCATTATCACACTTTGAGTCTGAAAGCAAATTAATATAATAAAAGTAATAATAGCCGATCCTAAAATGTCTCCCCACAAAATTAGAGATTTGTCCCAGTACTCAAGTGTCTAATCTTTTAACTTCATGTCTACAGGTGGCACTAAATTCATATTGTATAAAGTGAATTTTAGTTGCCTAAGGAATGCTCTCACCACAGCCTCACAAAGCACCAGGACTGCAGGTATAAGAAAACATGCTCAGCTAGTTCCTATTTCTGTTCCTGTACTAATTGTTTTATTTGGGCTTCAATATCTTCAATTGTAAAATAGGCATAATTCTTGCCTTCCTTTGATCACAGAACTGTCCAACAAGATAATAAATAGGAAAACACAGTGAAAATGGATCAGCATTATATATAATAATTTTTATTAAGGAAAAATCTAAGGAAATCTAAGGGTTATATGTTCAGTAGGATGGTAGGGAAAAGTTGCATCTGTCTTCCAGTTTGGCGAAGGAGGTGCCTTATAAGGAAATACTCTAATAAAGGGCAGAGTAGGGAAAGCACATGCCTTGAACTCAGGTAGGTCTGATTCAAAAGCCGTTGCTTTTTATTCTGCATATAGTTGGAATATTTAAAATAAAAATAGAATATCCTGAGGGTTTTTATTTTAAAGTTTATGTTCTTGGTATAAGGTAGGCACACTAACCCTTTGAGGGTAGTAGGAATACATTAAAGGAACTGGCAAGGATTTGTTCACCCTCCATTCAAAGCAGCATGAACACACCACCAGGCCCCTAAGTGTCCTTTTCTTTTCAATTGTGAGTGATTCCTTCCTTTGGAGGTGAAGAAGAGTGATACTGGAAGAAATGGGATATGTCCTGTTTAATCAGGAGTGTCCTAATAGTTTTAAATCAGTTTGATATGTCTATTTTAAGATGGAAAAAAAAATCGCTGCCTTTCAGCGAACATTTCCAAATCATCAAAGACTGCCTGCTTCACTTTATACTTATTAGGAAGGGATATTTTAACAAATGACTCTTCATAAGTAAAAGTTGCAACATCAATCACATGTGAGGCAGGTGTTAGGGGCAGCACTGTCCCCGTTGCTGCCAAAAAGTGTAAATAAAAAAGAGAAATCAACCTTTCCTATCCATTCATCCAAATGCTGCCCCTGCAAAGCATCGGAGGGGTCTGGGTCCCTGGTAGAGGGTCCTCAAAGGTACGGGCTTTCAGAATGTGCACGAAAAGGAAGGTCAACGTGCCCTTCCGCAACACTCTGAAAAATCCCCAAGAATTCTGACTTTGCCCCAGTGTACAGCAGTTGCCGAGCCTCTTTCCCGCCATCCCCCGGGAAGAGAAGGCGGCCGCCTACAGACGCTGCTCCGGTCCGACCCTCCGGGGTCGCACCAGCCCAGCCTGGGCTTGCTCGCAGGTGGCGCGGTCAGCCAGCTCGGTCCCCCTGCGGGCCACGACTGGCGAAGGGCTGCTGGAGCCGGAGCTGCACCAGACAGGCGGGGACTCAGCCAAACGGAGAGAACGTCTGGCAAGGGGTCGCGGCCAAGCGGGCAGCTGGGGGAGGTCCTGCGTGTTGGCCCCAAGCTGGCAGTGAGAGACACCACCCAGCGTCGGGGCCGTGCAACCCCACGTGGGCCCTGGCTTGCTTGCAGCGCCGTCACCCTCCTCCCCAAGTCCGGCAGCGCTCACCTCAGCGCTTGCGGCGCCTCCACCTTCAGCTTTTTGGGCTTCGGCTCCTCCTCAGCAGCTGCCATCTTCGCGCTCCCACCCCACTTTGGCTCTACAGCCCACCTCTGCCATCCACTCTCTGGTCCCGCCCCCTCTTCGCATCACCGCTTTCTCTTCTCCAAATCCCGCCCCTCCAGACTCCGCCCATTCTGTGCCGCTGTCATCCACAATCATTGGCTCTATCCGTCGGCACCAACAGCGAATGCCCCGCCCATTCCTGACCCCGCCTCCCCTACCATGAGGGACCCCAGACTGCGTTAGGCAGCAGATGACCGCCTGAATCTAGATGGAGAGAAACCCACCATTTTTCTAGGCCCTGGATTATGTAGAAGATTTAGATACTAAGCCTCAAGAGACGTCTTTCCTCTCATTTACGGTCTTCCTGCATATTTAAAATTTCTAATACGGTAGACAGAGTCGGTGTCTTTGAAGCTGTTAATCAGGCAATTTCCTGGGCACTCCAGCTGCGGGTCCTCGCGGCCTTCTCGGCTTCTCCAGCTTCGGTAGGAGAGGATCCGGCGCCGAATCACTGACTGGCACAGGTGTTGGGGTGAGTGTGAGGGGCGGGAAATCTGTGGACTGGGGACAGCTCCAAAACCCGGGAGTAGGCTGAATAGCTGGGGCCCCCGACTCCGATCTGGGCTCTAGGAGCGTCTTTGGTGCTGTTGGCCCGGGCCTCGCTTCCCCCCCACTCCCGGCCTTCCGGGCTTTCTCGCCAGCAAGGCCAGAAGGGAGCGGTCCACCTGCAGCCCAGTGTTCTCAGGCGCCTGAGCCCCGGAGGTCAAGCTTACTGGGTTCCCCCTCTATAGTGAGCTGGAGTACAGACGGCAGGAATCTCAGTCCCAGGTTTCTGCTTTGGAGGACAAAACCCCAAACGGACCTGAGCAGACGTCCTGTTAGCGGGTGGTGCCTGGAAGAGCCTGGGGTGAGGAATGCAGTGAGAAGGGTGTTGCAGTTCTTCAGGAGAGAGGTAACGGGGTTCTAAGCTGAGCAGGTGGCAGTGAGTGTGGAAGAGTGACGGGCGATGTGGCTGTTTGTATTTGGTAGATTTGTTTGAACCTGAAACTTACAGCCTTATGTGTGATTAAGAAGATGGTGCCAGTGACAGGAGGAGGTATTTTATGGAGTTTGAGTTTTATCGAATTTGAAACAGTGGTTTACATGGAGATTGTAGAAAGACTTTAAAAAAAATTATGAGAATTAAGCCCGAAAGACTTTCAAGGTGAGACCCAAAACAGATGAAGTTTCATATAAAAGGGTAAGAAGTATTTTTGTTTAGGAGAAAGTTATCAATGACATAAAATGCTGCAATGGTCAGAGGAGGAAGCTGAAATCAGAATAGGTCGTTGGATTTTATAATTAGAAAGTCATTGAGCTGTTTGAGAGAGATGCTTTAATAGTAACTGAGGAAAGACTGCAAGTGTAGACCAATCCTTCATCATTTGGGGCATGAAGCAAGATTATTGAGAGTGGCAAGGTGGGGGAAAGTTTGGGGTTTGTTTTAAAGAATACAAGATATCTATTTGGGGGCAGGAAGCAAGCAACTATTTGAAGATTCAAGAAAAAGTCTTGTCTCCCAGAAGAGAAGGAAAGGAATGGGATCAAGTTACAAGTGAAAGGATTAATTTGGGAAAGACAGAGGGACACTTTCAATTGACACTATAGGAGAAGTGAAGTGAATGAGGTTAATGAAGAATTATCTTAATTTACGAATCTTGGCCAGGCGCGGTGGCTCACGCCTGTAATCTCAGCACTTTGGCAGGCTGAAGCGGGCGGATCACAAAGTCAGGAGTTCGAGACCAACCTGGCCAACATAGTGAAACCCTGTCTCTACTAAAAATACAAAAATTAGCCAGGTGTGGTGGCACACGCCTGTAGTCCCAGCTACTTGGTAGGCTGAGGCAGGAGAATCCCTTGAACCCGGGAGGCGGAAGTTGCAGTAAGCTGAGACCTCACCACTGCACTCCACCCTGAGCGACAGAGCGAGACTCTGCCTCGAAAAAAAAAAAAAAAAAAAAAAAAAAAAAAAAAAAAAAACCTTACGTATCTTTAGGAAAGCTCTCTTTGCAACAAGATTATATTTTCTTACTTAATCTTATGATTTTTATTTCTAACCATTTAATATAATATACGGCCAGGCACGGTAGGGCTCATGCCTGTAATCCCAGCACTTTGAGAGGCTGAGGTGGGTGGATCACGAGGTCAAGAGATCGAGACCATCCTGGCAAATATGGAGAAACCCCGTCACTACTAAAAATATAAAAATTATCTGGGCGTGGTGGCACGTGCCTGTAGTCCCAGCTACTCGGGAGGTTGAGGCAGGAGAATCGCTTGAACCCAGGAAGCGGAGGTTGTGGTAAGCTGAGATTGCGCCACTGCACTCCAGCCTGGCAATAGAGTAAGACTCCGTCTCAAAAAAAAAAAAAACAAACCAATATACTATGGGCAGATGGAGTGCGGTGGCTCACGCCTGTAATCCTAGCACTTTGGGTGGGTGAGGCGGGAAAATCACTTGAGGCCAGGAGCTGGAAATCAGCCTGGGCAACATAGCGAGACTCCATCTCTACAAAAAATTTAAACATTAGCCAGGCTTTGTGGCATGTGGTTGTAGTCCTAGCTACTCAGGAGGTAGAGGCAGAATGAGGCAGAAGGATCACTTGAGCCCAGGAGTTCAAAGTTACAGTGAGCTATGATTGGTCCACTGCACTTCAGCCTGGGCAACAAAACAAGACCCTATCTCTTAAAAAAAAATACATATACACATACGCTATGGGAGTTCTTTGCAGATTTAAATATTTTTAAGTAGCTCAGTACTGTGTCAATTCATGAGTAGCACATGGTATTTACAGAGAAGAGGACTTCTCTCTCCCTTTGGAAATGACCTCTCTCCCATTACACAGAGAAGGAGAGCCATCATCTGCCTGCAGTCAAGTATACAAACCTTCCCTTCAATCTGAAGAGTAGAAAGTGTTCCTTCTCCTTAGAGAAGGCAAACCCTTTGACCTAGTCTCTCAGTAGCATCCTCTCCTGCTATGTCAGGGTCCTCTTTCCGTTTTTCCCTCTCTCCTATGTCAGCTTTTCCCCCTCTATTCACACCTTTCCTTCAGCATTTGAATGTATTCTTCCTTCACTTTATGAACTGCTGCATTTATTTTCCTGTCTTTTCATCCTCTTCACAGCTAGACTTCTTGAATCTACTCTACATATCTCTATTTTTTTACACTTCTTGCTATTTATTTCCCAGCCCACTGCAATGTCTTATTTCTAGCATTCCACTGAACTACCACCAAAACTATTTTTTTTTTCTGAGATGGAGTCTTGCTCTTGTCGCCCAGGCTGGAGTGCAATGGCAATCTCGGCTCACTGCAACCTCCGCCTCCAGAGTTCAAGTGATTCTTCCGCCTCAGCCTCCCGAGTAGCTGGGATTACAGGCGCCTACCACCATGCCCAGCTAACTTTTGTATTTTTAGTAGAGACAGGGTTTCGCCATGTTGGCCAGGCTGGTCTCGAACTCCTGACCTCGTGATCTGCCCGCCTCAGCCTCCCAAAGTGCTGGGATTACAGGTGTGAGCCACCGCACCCAGCCCACCAAAACTACCTTTACCAAGATCACCAGTGTCCTCTGTGTGTTAAATCATGCATTCTCAAAGCAGATAAAAACTGCTTCTTGTGAGGTGAAAAAAATATAATACTCTTTTTATGTGTAAAGCACAAATACAATACATAAACAGAGAATATTCTGTGGTATTAAAATTTTATGGTGATATTAATTAGCTTCATTTAATTATTCCACATTTCATAAATCATAACATCTGGTACCCCTAAATATATACAACTATAATTTGTCAATTTACAGTTGAAAAAGAAAGAATAATAAAAAGTTTTATGGGTGAGGAATTTGATTGGCAGGGTGGTGAGAAGATGGAGTCTAAAAGGGCTCCTTAGCAGGCATTAAGGAAAAGAAAGTTTAAAAAACACTCTTAAATCAACAGACATTTTCAATTCTTTTTTGTTGTTGTTGAGATGGAGTCTCGCTCTGTCATCCAGGCTAGAGTGCAGTGGCGCCATCTCGGCTCACTGCAGCCTCCACCTCCCGGGTTCAAGCGATTCTCCTGCCTCAGCCTCCAGAGCAGCCGGGATTACAGGCACCCACCACCACACCCAGCTAATTTGTTGGTATTTTTAGTGGAGATGGGATTTCACCATGTTGGCCAGGCTGGTCTCGAACTCCCGAGCTCAGGTGATACTCCCACTTTGGCCTCCCAAAGTGCTGGGATTATAGGTGTGAGCACCACGCCCAGCTGACATTTTCAATTCTCGTAGCTTAACCTCTTTGTGCCATGTAACAGTATTTACCACTCCATTCTTCTGGAAATACACTAATAAGCTATAGTTACTAAAAACCACCCTGTTTTTTTTTTTTTCTTAGGACTCTTCAGTCACATCTTGGTCATTCTTTAGGTCCACTTCCTTGACCCACCTCCTACTCAAATGTTGGAGTTCCTGCCATAAGCTCTCTTCATACTATGCACATTCTTTCTTTTGTTTCAATTCTCCTTTTGATTAATTCCCATTAACAAAAAATCCTGATTACTTACAATTCTGATTCCAATCTGGCTTCTCTAAAGCACCAGAAGGGTATATATAATAGTTTTTTGAATATATTTATTTGGGTCAGATGTATCCAGAATTGGTCAAATTACACAGGACCAGGCCAAGTGACACATCTCTCTCATCTCCACACACCCCCTCCTCCAAGCCTAAATGTTTTTTAGCACAAAACCTAAATGTTTCTCTTATCTTTTCACTGTACCCCATCCTCATAGTCAAGACTCTAGACCAGGCCATCACCACTCATCTCCCAACTGGTGTCACAGTGTTCAGTTACCGATTATCCAGTTTCCGCAGTGTAATTAGTATGATCTTTCTAAAAATGTAAATCGGATTGCATGATTAATTAAAAAAATTATAAAATGACTTTACATTGCACTAAGAATAAAGTCCAAACTCCTTAACAAGTTTAGCATGCTCCATGAACCAATCAGTCTCTGCTTACCTCCTTGTCCAGTTTCATCTCCCCTCTTCCCTCCACCTTCCATATTTGCTAAATTTATACTGGATTTATTTGTCTTGTGTTCTCTCTCACCTCTAAGCCTTGTAGATTCCCACAGCACACTATATTTCCTGTATCATCGTAGGAATTACATCTTAACTGTATTAAGTTGTCTTCTCTGCTCATCTCTAAATGCTGTGAGTATAGGAACTCTAATTTTGTTTGTTCTTATATACCCAGTGCCTCAAAACTCTGTGTTGAATGAATATGTGGTCAAGATATTGGCTGAGAATCAGAAGAGTAGATGCTTTTCTGGTCTCATTCTCTCAAGTTCAGTATAGGCCCTTCTGTGCCTCCATCATATTATATATAGAAGGAATACATTTTTGTTTTTAGACACTGTCTTCCAAGAATATTTTGACTATTGTAAATGCATTGCTTGTGAATTACCCAGGATGATTATAAAATGTTTAGTAAAAAGGATTTATGATGTATTTAAGCTGCAGTCAAAGCTCTGGTGGGTCTGCCTCTGAACACAGTTTCTTCTAGTGGCTTTTAAATAAGCTGGGAGAATTCTGTTTTATGACTCAAAAGCCACTAGGAACAAAAAGATGGTTGTGGTAATAATGAGTGTGTAGTTTTCTCAGAAAGTTTATGAAAATAATAATTAAAAAAATAACTGCAGCTACCAAAAGGACGATAAATAAAGAAACAGGCTAATTTACACTGCAACATGGTATTATTTAATTGTTATATGCATTAGACCTTGGTCATAATATGGATAGAAGAAGTAAGCTCTCTTTTCCTATTATAGAAGGTTAAGATGGGTTTTAAAGCTAAGCACAGTCGAGAACTTACAAGTGTTATGCTTTCATCTCAGCACTAAGGATAACAACAATAAATCTAGGAGGCTGGTTTAACTTTCTGTATTCTGAGACCTGAACTACTGCCAATAAAAACAACTTCGGTGGAAACTTTCCTGGAAAGAATTTTTCACCAGCTTAAGAGGATGAGTAGAGATCTGGCCCTAAAATAAAGTAACTACAAAATCACTTACTTTCAAAACAAGCAACTCTTTCAGAGTGTATTGTGGCAAAGGAGCACTATAAATCCTTGTGAACTATATTTTCGATAGGATGAATGATTTTAGATAACCTGTGTCGGTGCTTTTAAATATAACTTCCACTCTAAATAATTTATTAAACTTCCTCAGCATAACAACTAGAATGTCTTTTGCCTCCTAACTAAACAAGAAATGTCTTTTACCTCCTCCTCTTAAATCATAAGCTAGGCTGGGTGCAGTGGCTCATGCCTGTAATCTCAGCACTTTGGGAGGCTGAGGCGGGCGGATCACGAGGTCAGGAGTTCGAGACCAGCCTGGCCAACATGGTGAAACCCCATCTCTACTAAAAATACAAAAAATTAGCTGGGCATGGTGGCGCATGCCTGTAATCCTAGCTACTCGGGAGGCTGAGGCAGGAGAATCGCTTGAACCCAGCAGGCGGAGGTTGTGGTAAGAGGAAATCGTGCCATTGCACTCCAGCCTGGGCAATAGAGCAAGACTCCGTCTCAAAAAAAAAAAAAAATCATAAGCTAAAGCAGCACATTCATGCACTGTTCAATATATTAACTACTAACCATATATGGTTATTTAAATTTAAATTAATTAAAATTAAAACTTCAGGCTAGGCTTGGTGGCTCACACCTGTAATCCCAGAACTTTGGGAGATCAAGGTGGGAAGATCACTTGAGCCCAGGAGTCCAGGATCAGCCTGGGCAATATAGGCAGACTTTGTCTCTACAAAACAAAAATTTGAAACTCAGCTGTGTGTGGTGATGCACGCCTGTAAGCCCAGCTACTCAGGAGACTGAAGTGGGAGGATCGCTTGGGCTCTGGAGGTGGGCGTTGGAGTGAGCCAAGATGACGCAGCTGCACTCCAGCCTGGGCAACAGAGCGAGACCCTATCTCAAAAAAAAAATAAAAATAAAAAAGCCGGGCATGGTGGCTCACGCCTGTAATCCCAGCACTTTGGGAGGCCGAGGCGGGTGGATCATGAGGTCCGGAGATCGAGACCATCCTGGCTAACATGGTGAAACCCCATCTCTACTAAAAATACAAAAAATTAGCCAGGCGTGGTGGCGGGCTCCTGTAGTCCCAGCTACTCGGGAGGCTGAGGCAGGAGAATGGTGTGAACCTGGGAGGCGGAGCTTGCAGTGAGCAGAGATCACGCCATTGCGCTCCTGTCTGGGAGACAGAGCAAGACTCCGTCTCAAAAAAAAATTAATTAAAATTTCAAAAAAATTAAAACTTCAGTATTGGGTACATTAGCCACATTTCAAGTGCTCAATAGCCATGGGTGTAGTGGCTACCATATTAGCACAGATAAAGGACATTTCCATCATTGCAGAAAGCCCTGTTGGACAGTGCTGTATTAGAACGTGTTCCTAATAATTAGTCTCTACAAGGCAGATAAGAGCAGGAGCTCAGAATTCAGCTGGATTTAGGTTTGAATCCTAGCTTACTGCGTGATCTTAGGTAATTGACCTAACTTTTCTGAGATGACATTGTCTTATCTGTAAAATGGGGATAATAGTAGTATTTATGGTGTAGCATTGTGAAAATAAGATGAGATAAAGTGTCTAGCATAGTGTCTGGCCCATAATAAGTACTCAATACATTTTAGATAGTATTAATTCATTTATTATTCATTATCTTTAATGAATAAAACACTTTGAATGGGGACTGAGTACAGTAGCTTCACTTTGGGAGGCGAAGGCAGGCGGATCACTTGAGGCCAACATGGTGAAACCCCATTTCTACTAAAAACAGAAAAACTAGCTGGGCATGGTGGTGCACACCTGTAATCCCAGCTACTGAGGAGGCTGAGGCACGAGAATTGCTTGCCCATGGGAGACGGAGGTTGCAGTCAGCAGAGATCACACCACTGCACTCCAGCCTGGGTGACAGTGGGAGACTCTGCTCAAACAAACAAACAAGCTTTGTTCCCAAGTAGCTGGGATTACAGGCGCACGCCACCATGCCCGGCTAATTTTTGTATTTTTAGTAGAGACAGGGTTTTGCCATGCTGGCCAGGATGGCCTTGAACTCCTGACCTCAGGTAATCCACCAGTCTTGGCCTCCCAAAGTGCTGGGATTACAGGCGTGAGCCACTGTGCCTGGCCAAAAATAACCACATTGAATGGGGCCAAAAGATTAATTTTTGCAAAGAATGCTGTGTTCCATATGTGACTCACCTGAAGTGCCCAAATCTGAGTCTGCTTGTGGATTACAGTGCTCCACTTGAAGTCATACATTATATATTTCAGATGCTGATTTTCTTCCAAGAAAAAGGTGTAATAATAAAAATTTAGTTGCAGATCTTATGGTTGGATATTCCTGTTTCATTTAAAAAATGAAAATGAAAAGTTTATCAGCTAAAGATTATAGTTAAAATCAGCAGGTTCTATATAGCAAGTCTAAGTATTCTAATGGCACTTATATTAATACCCAGACAGAAATATAAGACACAAAGCAAGCCTACTAAGCAAAGCATCTGACTAGATAAAGTAGAAAAATTTGGCAGGTTCCAACCCTGAGGTGTCAGAGTTTATTGCTAATAACTCAAGTTGATTTCTTGGCTAAACAGAGGGCTTTAAACAAAGAAATTTTTTGGTTCTAATTAAACAGGAACCCTAAACTGTTAACAGTATTCATACTTTATTAATACAATAATTACTAAAACATATCTTAGTAACTAGTATTATTGATAACTACTGAACATGTGTCGAATGGGAAGAGGAGATCATCACCACATATTCTTTAAATGTCAGCCGCTTTCATAAAAGAAAGGGTTGATGTTGTTTTCTGTCAACAGAATCAAATGAATCAATTCTGGAAAGTCTTCCTTTCCTCTTTGGAATTTATCTTCATTCATAGAAACTGTATTCATAGGTCTTAAATTCTTTCTTCTTAGACTATAGTACTATTACTTGGAATGATTGAGCCACTAGACTAAACACCTGATACTGGTGCTTATACACGTAAAAGATAGGAACAAGGTAAGATAATTAGACATTTTTCCATTGTCCCCCATATTGCAGGGACAATAAACTTCTTATAGGAAGCATAACTAACACTCAGAAAGTATGCAAATCACAATGTAAAGCCTAATGAGTTATCATAGAAGGAACACAGCTTGTAAACATCATGCAGGTCAAGAAATAAAACATTGGCCAGGTGCGGTGTCTCACTCCTGTAATCCTAGCACTTTGGGAGGCTGAGGCAGGCGGATCACGAGGTCAGGAGTTCAAGACCAGCCTGGCCAACATAGTGAAACCTCGTCTCTATTAAAAATACAAAAAAAAAAAAAAACTAGCCAGGTGTGGCGGTGTGTGCCTGTAATCCCAGCTACTAGGGAGGCTGAGGCAGGAGAATCTCGTGAACTTGGGAGGCAGAGGTTTCAGTGAGCCGAGATAACACCATTGCACTCCAGCCTGGGCGACAGTGTAAGACTCCATCTCAAAAAAAAAAAAAAAAGGAAAATAAAAAAGAAATAAAACATTACCAGCACTCTAGGAGATCATCCCCATGGCCCTCCACTCTCCATAAAGGAAACCATTTGATTTAACGTAGATTAGTTTTGCCTGTTCTACAACTTCATATAAATGGAATCATACTGTGTATATTCTTTTGCATCTGGCTTCATTTATTCAACATCGTATTTGTAAGATTCGTTTGTATGTATATATTCTTTGAGTAAATGTCTTTTCAAATCCTTTGCCCATTTTTTAATTGGCTTGTTTATTTATTTATTTTTTATGTTTTAGAGGCAAGGTCTCCCTCTGTCACCCAGGCTAGGGTGCAGTGGTGGGATCATAGTTGACTGCAGCCTCAAACTCCTGGACTCAGGCAATCCTCCCACCTCAGCCTCCCAAGTAGCAGGGACTACAGGTATGAGCCACTATGCCTGGCTAGTTTTTAAATTTTTTTATAGAGACGGGGTCTCAAACTCCTGGGCTCAAGCAATCCTCCCTCCTCAGCCTCCCAGAGTGCTAGGATTACAGTTGTGAGTCACCACACCTGGCCCTTCTTATTATTGAGTAAAAGTTCTTTATATTTTCCGGATAGGGGTCCCTTTAAGATATATGGTTTCAAATATTTACTATCATTTTGTGAATTTTTGCTTTCTTGATAATGTCCTTTGAAGCACTAAGTTTTAAATTTGATGGACTCTGGGTTATCTATTTTTTATTTTTCTTGTCTGTACTTTTGGTATCGTATCTTAAAAAACATTGTCTAATCCAGAGTCAAAATCTATGCATATTTTTTCTAAGAGTTTTATCATTTTGGCTTTTCCAATTAGGTCTTTGATACATTTTGTGTTGCTTTTTGTATCCAATTTCATTCTTTTGTATGTGGAAATCCAGTTGTTCCAGTACCATTTGTTGAAAAGGTTGTTCTCTCTCCAACTGGTCACCCAGGTCTTGGCACCCTTGTTGAAAATCAGTTGACCATAAATGTAAGGGTTAATGTTCTATTGATCTGTAGGTCTGTCCTTGTGCCAATACCACATAGTAGTTTTGTAGTAAGTTTTGAAATCAGGAAGCACGAGTTATCCATCTTCGTTGTTCCTTTTTTTTTTTAATTCAAATATATATATTTTTTCAATCTTTTTAATTCTACATATTTTTGTAAGCATCCCCCCAATTCTTGTTTCATAGTAAATCAGACTGTAGATGAAGCATTTCAGACCTTTTGTCAATCATGTCAAGTGTGAGGGGAAGTCTTTTGTAAGTCAGCCAAGTATTTCAAAATGAAAAGCTTTTCCAAAAGTAAAGGCAGAAGACCCCGCTTTGAAGGCGCTGGTCGGCACAGAAGGGCTTGCAAAGGTATGTAGGGAAGTCCACCGGTTACAGGTGTAAGGTGAGTTTAACCTACGGCGACCAGCTGGCCAGGAGCGCCCCAAGGCAGACGAGGACGTGGGGCTTGGGCGCACGGCCGCCTGCAGCCATCTCGCCCCAGATCCTGGCTCAGGAAACGCAGGCTCGGGCTGGGGTGGATGTGTGCGCCCCAGGGCCCTGGCACCCGGGGGACCGAGGGCTCCTCCCAGGTCCTTGGAACAGCAGAGTGGCTCCCAGGAAGGATGCTCAGCTGCAGGTGGGGGTCCCTGCTCCCAAGCACCCTGGCCAGGGAGGAATGGCGCACCCCACCCCGTTCGCCCCTGTTGTTCCTTTTCAAGATTGTTTTGGCTGTTGATCTTTTTCAATTCCTTATGAATTTAGGATTAGCCTGTCAAATTCCACGAAAAGGCAGCTGGGATTTTTTTTTTTTTTTTTTTGAGATGGAGTCTCAATCTGTCACCCAGGCTGGAGTACAGTGGTGCAATCTTGAGTCTCGGCTCACTGCAACCTCCGCCTCCCGGGTTCAAGCGATTCTTCTGCCTCAGCCTCCTGAGTAGCTGGGACTACAGGTGCGTGCCACCACGCCTGGCTAATTTTAGTAGGGACGGGGTTTCACCGTCTTAGCCAGGATGGTCTCGATCTCCTGACCTCGTGATCCACCCACCTCGGCCTCCCAAAGTGTTGGGATTACAGGCGTGAGCCACCGCGCCTGGCCTTTTTTTTTTTTTTTTAGTAGAGACAGAGTTTCTGCACGTTGGCCAGGCTGGTCTTGAACTCCCGACCTCAGGTGATCCACCTGCCTCGGCCTCCCCAAGTGCTGGGATTATAGGCATGAGCCACCACGCCCGGCCTGAAATTGTTTTATTTCATTTTCAGTTTTGTTTTGTTTTTTTTTTTTTAATAGAGATGAGGTCTCACTATGTTGCATAGGCTGGTCTTAAACTCCTGAGCTCAAGCAATCCTCCTTCCTCAGCCTCCCACAGTGCTGGGTTTATAGGCATGAGTTACAATGCCTAGCCCATTTTTAGTATTTTATAGCTATAGTGGATAGAAATATAATTGATTTTTATATTGACTTGTGTCCTGCAAGCTTGCTGAACTAAATTTATTAGCTCTAATAGGTTTTTTTTTGTGTGTGTGTGGATTCCTTAGGATTTTCTATATATAAGATTGTATCTTCTACAGATACAGTTTTACTTCTTCCTTTCCAATTTGGAAGCCTTTTGTTTTATTTTCTTGCTTAATTGCCCTGGTTCAAACCTCTAGTACCATGTTGAATAGAAATGATGGGACTGGGCATCCTTGTTAGGTTTTGTTATTAAGGAGAAAGTGTTCGGTCTTTCACCTTTAAATATAATATTAGCTGTGGGGTTTTCATCAGGTTAAGGAAATTTTTTTTTTTTTTTTTTTTTTTTTTAGATAGTGTCTCACTTGGTCACCCAGGCTGGAGTGCAGTGGCGCAATCTTAGCTCTCTACAGCGTCGATCTTCCTCCTGGGCTCAAGCAATTCTCCTGCTTCATCCTCCTGAGTACCTAGGACTACAGGCAAGTGCCACCATGCTTGGCTAATTTTTGTATTTTTTGTAAAGATGATGTTTTGCCCTGTTGCCCAGGCTGGTCTCAAACTCCTGAGCTCAAGCAATCCGCCCACCTCAGCCTCCCAAAGTGCTGAGATTACAGGCATGTGCCACTGAGCCTGGCTGAGGAAGTTTCTTTTTGTTCTTAAATGGCTTTCTTTTTTTTTTTTTTTTTTCGTAAAAGGATGTTGGATTTTGTCAAATGCAATTTCTGCACCTTTTGAAATGATTGTTTTAGTTCTTATTGTATATCATGTTGATTGATTTTTGTATGTTGAACCAGCCTTGCATTCTTAGAATAAATCCCACTTGGTCAAGGTGTATAATCTTTTTGTGTATGTTAAATGATATTTAATGTATAATAAATTTAAACCTTTCTTTGCCCCAACAGAAAATGATCCACAGTCTATTTCTCATAAACTGTTCCGGTGACATATTTCTAGAGAAGCACTGGAAGAGCGTTGTGAGCCAGTCTGTCTGTGATTATTTCTTTGAAGCTCAAGAGAAAGCTGCTGATGTTGAAAATGTACCACCTGTCATTTCAACACCTCACCACTACCTCATCAGTATCTACCGGGATAAGCTCTTCTTTGTATCTGTCATACAGACCGAAGTGCCACCTCTCTTTGTAATTGAGTTCCTACATCGAGTTGCTGACACTTTTCAGGTTGGTTATCTATCATACCTTTCTAAGTTAAATGACCCAAGTTAGCTGAAGGTGAGACATGATTATATTATTTAATTACCCAGGTTTTGATGTTTACTGTCTGTCTCTCTCTGTTTAAGCGTAAATTCATAAGCCCTTTTCTGTGTGGTATACAGTTACACACATGGCTGCTCTATTCACTATTTTTTATATGTATTACAGATTACAGTTGGCTCTCCATATACATGGGTTCTGCATCCATAAAGTCACCCAACCTTACATGGCAAATATTTGAACAAAAAAATCGAACTGAACATGTACAAACTTCTTCTCATTATTACTTGAACAATACAGTATAACAAATAGTTACATAGCATTTACACTGTGTTAGATATTACAAGTAATCTAGAGGTGATTTAAAGTATATAGGAGGATGTGTATAAGTTATGTGCAAATACTATGCCATTTTATGTCAGCGACTTGAGAATTGTGAACTTTGGTATCTACAGGGGATCCTGGAACTAATTCCCACAAATACCAAGGGATGACTGTATATCATCAGGAAACAATAATGCCCTCCGCATACAGTTCTCTCAATGGTCTCAAGATTTTCATTGGTTATGAACTCTTCTATATTTACATTTTATTATTTTGTCTTGCGGAATATACCAAATAATTTAAGCTTATCTATATGTATTTTGGGATAATCAGGGTGAATGAAGTTTATAGCTCAAATTCCAATTTAATGTTTCAATACTTTCTGGTATAATATGTAATAGGAATTAAATTCAACCTAGAAATATCAAGAAAATATTGAGGAATAATATTAGGACTATAGAGGGGTTTTTTTTGTTTGCTTGTTTTGTTTTGTTTTGTTTTGTTTTGTTTGAGACGGAGTCTCACTCTGTTCCCTAGGCTGGAGTGCAGTAGCATGATCTTGGCTCACCGCAACCTCCGCCTCCCGGGTTCAAGCAATCCTCCCGCCTCAGCCTCCCAAGTAGCTGGGACCACAGGTGTGCACCATCACACTCAGCTAATTTTTGTATTTTTAGTAGAGACAGGGTTTCACCATGTTGGCCAGGCTGGTCTTGAATTCCTGACCTCAAGTGATGCATCCGCCTCAGCCTCCCAAATTGCTGGGATTACAGGCATGGGCCACCATGCCCGGACTATAGAGGGTTTTTTCCCCCGCTCTGTTTTATATATGTTCAGCAGCTTAAGCAATGAATTATGCTACTCTAAGTTTATTCTTCAGAACAAAAAGTATTTAGCAGGCCTTTCTTTTTGCCTTCCATTGTGTGATATTTTGTGTGTATTTTGTCAGGACTACTTTGGTGAGTGTTCAGAGGCTGCAATTAAGGATAATGTGGTCATAGTATATGAACTCTTAGAAGAAATGTTAGACAATGGATTTCCACTGGCTACCGAATCTAACATTTTGAAAGAATTGATTAAACCACCAACAATTCTACGCTCTGTTGTCAACTCTATTACAGGTAAGATGAAAACATACTGTGCTAGTAACTGAGCAATTAAAACTTTGTAAACAACTCATTATTGCTCATGATCTGACATATTATTAAGGTAGTACAATTTGGCCATAATTAAAGTTACTGGTAAAGTTAAAATGGATGTACTATATATTTATTTTCATGGAAAGAGGCTAGACCTTAAGTGATAAAGAACTTTTGGTTATTACTCTTTTTTTTTTTCTAAAACACCACAACAATATTATTACCATTATTTAACACTAAATACTAAGACTGAATAAATTGTTCCAGTTATTCCTAAAGAAGCCAGTATATGAGCCCACTTAGAAGAGAATTTAGTCCATTTATAGACTGGCATTTTAATATTTAAAATAGCATTACATAACTGGTATGCTGCTACTCCACAATTACTAGAGAATAGAAAATTTAAGACGCTTAACCACACAGTACTACAATCTCCTCCAAGTCTTTGTTTTTATGCATTCAGAAGATGTATTAAGAAAAAATAGGAAATAGTTTACTTATGAGATCTCATGCATTGTGGGCCTGTACTTGTGTTGTAAGCTTCCAGCTGGGTTTAATTCTTGAGTGTAGCTAGAAATTAGGCACATCCAGATACCAATATTCTTTCGAAAGCATTAAAGTCTTTTAGACAAAGATTCCTATGAAATGTTATATGCCACTCCAACTCCACTGTCAACCATTGTAAACCCCTGTCCAGTGCCTTGACCTAAAAATGAGGTGAGAGAGGCCTATAAGAAAAAGATCATTCAGCAGCTCTTTATTCATCCTTTGTGTAAGGACGAATGTTAGGAGAAATTCAAAGAAAGATAAGATGGTGTGTCTGTACTCCTAAAACTTATACTCTGAATGGGACATTGGAAAAAAAATTAAGTAAATAACTGTATAAGACTTTAAAAAGCAATTCCATACTTCACAGATAAAGTAATAGCATTGGAAAATAAATACACATGATGTAACGTTAAATTGAAAAGTCAGCACAAAACTGAAAAAAATTATTCTTATATATAAATATTCACTCCGACAAAAAAGTATTTACAATGATTATACCCAGCTAAATACAGATTATATTTATTTTTGCTTTATACTTTCTAATTTTCCAAAATAAACATGTATTTTATAGTCAGAGAAAAGTTACTAAAATATATAATGCAAAACATAACAGATTCATTAGATAGTGTATTACAAAGTTCAAGAGAATGGTTCCATTAATGAAGTAATCCCTCCTGAACTGTGGTGGGTGGCCACCTTGGAAAATCAGTAGAATTCAGGAAGTGAGGAAGGAATAAGAGCATTCTCCATGGTGGAACTGTATGAGAAAAAAACACACATGAAAGAGAAAAACCTAAAGTTTTATTAATCCCTTTAGCAGAAGCAGAACTGTTTTTCACTTGAGAAGTTAGAGATCAAATTAAAAAGTAGAGAAAGTCCTTCAAAGCTAGGATAAATATTTAGCTTTTATCATAAAGCCAGTGAGCAAACATTGAACGTTTTTGAGCAGGAAGATAACATGATTATAGGTTGCAGGTAGGAACACCAATCATAAGTAGACTGCAAAATTGTAGATACAGTATGATTGCGACTATATTTTAAAGTGCAATTAAAAACCAAAATTATCAAAATAGAAAAAAATGCAACCTTCTGGTGGTGGAAATATTCAAAGAAATATACCAAAATGTTAATATTATATTAAAATGTTAATACCATAATATTAACAAAAATGTTAATGGTAGATATATTTTGTTAGTAAGAAGACAGGTGTTTTTCTTTAAACCACTTCTCTGAACTCTACCTTTTTGTTGTTGTTAAGTATGTAGTACTTTCGAATGGGAAATATAAATTAACCAAAATATTAAGTAAGTCACAGCTCAAAGATATGTGTTTTGGACAACCAGACTTATTTTTAGGCATGTGTCAGTTTACCAGGAAATGAGCTGGATACTGAATACTAGCTATATTGCAGCCGTATGGGTATGCTGACCTTAAAATAGGAAAAGGCCAGATTCCATTTACTCCACTGAGGCGTGCTTGGCAGCATCTCATGTAAAATAAAGTTGAATACTGAAGGGCCTAGTTATAACTCTGTATTCTCACTGGAGACATTTTATTGGCAGAAGGTTTTGAAACAACCAACCTCTTTTTTCATCAGTGGCAGAGATTCTGTTGTTGAGCCACTGGAATTAGATTAGATTACTGTTAACACACAGGAGGCAAAAGATAAGTAAATAAATTTAACCTGGTTTGGCAGGTAGACAGAGGGCCACATGGCCTATATTTCTTTTCTAGAAATTTGATCATGTTGGTATGGATATGTCTGACAATTCTAGTGACCATCCACAACTTCATTAAGAAAAATCCAAACATTGAAGAAGCAGCTTTTTTTTTCCTAGTAATAAATTTTCTCATGACTGTTTTATACATCAGCTTTGCCTTCTCCTTTTTTGGTTTCTAGGCAGTAGTAATGTTGGGGACACACTCCCCACCGGGCAGCTGTCCAACATACCATGGCGTCGGGCAGGGGTAAAGTACACAAACAATGAAGCCTATTTTGATGTTGTTGAAGAAATAGACGCAATTATAGATAAATCAGGTAATTGTGTGCATGTCATCTTATTTGGGGAAAAACAATTCATCTGACACAGATGAATAGAAAACTGAAGTCCTGGCCGGGCGCGGTGGCTCACGCCTGTAATCCCAGCCCTTTGGGAGGCCAAGGCAGGCGGAACATGAGGTCAGAGTTCGAGACCAGCCTGGCCAACATGGTGAAACTCTGTCTCTACTAAAGATACAAAAAATTAGCCGGGCATGGTGGCGCGCACCTGTAATCCCAGCTACTCGGGAGGCTGAGGCAGGAAAATTGCTTGAACCCAGGAGGCAGAGGTTGCAATGAGACAAGATCATGCCATTGCACTCCAGCCTGGCTCTGTCTCAACAAAAAAAAAAAAAAGAAGAAGAAAGGAAAAGAAAATTGAAGTCCTTTGGCAGTATGGTTTCGGTGGAAAGGCATTCATTATCTGATGATTTTTAAATCTGTTTGTTTATTTATTTATTTATTTGAGACGGGGTCTCACACTGTTGTCCAGGCTGGAGTGCAATCACATGATCTTGGCTCACTGGAACCTTCACCTCCTGGATTCAAGCGATCCTGCTGCTTCAGCTTCCCAAGTAGCTGGGATTACAGGCATGAGCCACCACACCTGGCTAAATTTTTTTTTTTTTTTTGAGACGCAGTTTCACTCTTATTGCCCAGGGTGGAGTGCAATGGTGCAATCTCAGCTCACCGCAACCTCCGCCTCCCGGGTTCAAGCAGTTCTTCTGCCTCAGCCTCCCGAGTACCTGGGATTACAGGCATGCACCAGCATGCCCAGCTAATTTTGTGTTTTTGGTGGAGATGGGATTTCTCCACGTTGGTCAGGCTGGTCTCGAACTCCTGAACTTAGGTGATCTGCCCGTTTCGGCCTCCCAAAGTGTTAGGATTACAGGCGTGAGCCACCGCTCCCGGCCCTGGCTAATTTTTTGTATTTTTAGTAGAGACGGGGTTTCACAATGTTGGCCAGGCTGGTCTCAAGCTCCTAACCTCAAGTGATCCACCTGCCTTGGCCTCCCAAAGGGCTGGGATTACAGGCGTGAGCCACTGCACCTGGCCCATAAATCTGTTTATTTTGCCCATAGGTTACATATAATTTTCATAACCACTAGTTGAGGTCTGCCAAACATGTAAATCAGAACTCATAATGCCTTACTTTAAGCCAATTATTACCCTATGTACCTCTACCTCTTGCTATTTATTCCTTCTAACATTTATTGAAAATCTGCTATATACCATGCTTTTGCTACTACATTATGTGCAGTACTTCTGGTAAAAGCCCCTATCTGATTATTTTTCACTTTCTTTTTTTTTTTTAAGTACAGGGTCTTGCTCTTTTGCCTAGGCTGGAGTGCATTGGCGCAGTCCCTGCTTACTGTAGCCTTGACCTCCAGCTCATGTGATCCTCCTACCTCAAACTCCTGAGTAGCCTATAGTCCCAGCCAATCAGGAGGTACACGCCACACGCCACCATGCCTGGCTAACTTTTATTTGTTTTTTTTGTACAGACAGGGTCTCACCATGTTGCCCAGGCTGGTCTTGAACTCCTGGGCTCAATCAGTTTACCTACCTCAGCCTCCCAAAGTGCTGGGATTACAGGCATCAGCCACCACACCCAATCTGATTATCTTTTTAACCAGACAAAACAATAGTACTCTATAAGAATCGTAAAATTTTATTATTAAAAATAGCAGCCGGGCATGGTGGATCACGCCTGTAATTCCAGCACTTTGGGAGGCCGAGGCAGGCAGATCACTTGAGGTCAGGAGTTTGAGACCAGCCTGGCCAACATGGTAAAACCCCGTCTCTACTATAAATACAAAAATTAGCTGGGCGTGGTGGCAGGCGCCTGTAAACCCAGCTACTTGGGAGGCTGAGGCAGGAGAATTGCTTGACCCTGGGAGGCAGAGGTTGCAGTGAGCCAAGATTGCACCACTGCACTCCAGCCTGGGTGACAGAGTGAGACTCCATCTCTAAAAAAACAAAAAAAGAAAAAAGAAAAAAAATCTAGTCCTTCCTTTACATTTATTTTACACATAAGGAAAGCCCAGAAGGGTTAAGTGAACTGTTCCAGGTCACACAACTTGTTAATATGTAATGATGGCTTATTGTGAATTATAGTCAATATCTTCTCTTCCATGAGTCCCCTTTTCATTATAACATTCCATCTTATAGAATAATAGATTTTTGCCAGGCACGGTGGCTCACACCTGTAATCCCAGCACTTTGGGAGGCTTAGGCAGGAAGATCACTTGAGCCCAGGAGTTCAAGACCAGCCTAGGCAACATAGCAAGACCCCATATCTATCAAAAATTTAAAAGATTAGCTAGGCATGGCTTCCTTAATCCTACCTATTCAGAAGGCTGAGGCAGGAGGATTGCTTGAGCCCAGGAGTTCAATGCTGTGGTGAACTATGTTCACACCACTGTACTCCAGCCTGGATGGCAGAGGGAGACCCTGTCTCTTAAAAAAAAAGAGATATCTTTCTATTATGGATCCTATTTCTTAAAAGTTAACTTAGTCCATTTCATAATACACTTGCCACATTTTAAAATTCTATTGAAGCCGGGCGCGGTGGCTCACACCTGTAATCCCAGCACTTTAGGAGGCTGAGGCGGGTGGATCACGAGGTTAGGAGATCCAGACCATCCTGGCTAACACAGTGAAACCCCATCTCTACTAAAAATACAAAAAATTAGCTGGGTGTGGTGGCAGGCGCCTGTAGTCCCAGCTACTCGAGAGACTGAGGCAGGAGAATGGCGTGAACCCGGGAGACAGAGCTTGCAGTGAGCCCAGATAGCGCCACTGCACTCCATCCAGCCTGGGTGACAGAGCAAGACTCCGTCTCAAAAAAAAAATTAAAAAAAAATAAAATTCTATTGAAAATGGTTTTGGTTGGTTTGTTTTATTTTGTTTTTGAGACAGAGTCTCACATTGTCGCCCAGGCTGTAGTGCAGTGTTGTGGTTTCAGCTCACTGCAACCTCCGCCTTCTACGTTCAAGCGATTCTCCTGCCTCAGCCTCCCAAGTAGCTGGGACTACACGCACACACCACCACGCCTGGCTAATTTTTTGTATTTTTAGTAGAAACGGGGTTTTGCCATGTTGCCCAGGCTGGTCCCAAACTCCTGAGCTCAGATAATCTACCCACGTCAGCCTCCCTAAGTGCTAGGATTACAGGCATGAGCCACTGCGTCCTGCCAAATGTTTTAAACTCATATCCAGTCATCTTACAGGGTTGGCTCCATAAAGGAAACAGTTTAATTTTCCTTAGAATTAGCATATTCTGGCTGGGTATGGTAGCTCACACCTGTAATCCCAGCACTTTGGGAAGCTAAGGTAGGCGGATTGCTTGAGCCCAGAAGTTTGAGACCAGCCTGGGCAACATAACAAGACCCTGTCTCTACAAAAAAAATACAAAAATTAGCCAGGCGTGGAGGTGCATGCCTGTAGTACCAGCTGCTTGGGAGGCTGAGGTGGGAGGATTGCTTGAGCCCAGGAGGTTGAGGCTGGCTATCATAGCACCACTACGCTCCAGCCTGGGTGACAGAGCAAGACCCTGTCTCAAAAAAAAAAAAATTATATTCTACAGTGGCATACCTGTAGTCTCAGTTACTCTGGGGACCAGCTGGGACTAGCTAGTCAGACTTTATCTCTTAAAAATAAAAGAATTATTATTATATTCCAGCCAGAGTTAAGTATGGACCTTGTCCCCTGACCTGTTAATAGAGATGTAAAGCTTCAGTTAATCTGACACCCAGAGGGTATCTCTATTGTTCTAGATGTAGTGATTGTTGGGCTAGGTGTCATGGCACGCACCTATATTCCCAGCTATTTGGGAGGCTAGGGCAGGAGGATTACTTGAGCCCAGGAGTGAGGCTGCAGTGAGCTATGATCATACAACTGCACTCCAACCTTGGCAACAGAGCAAGACTCTGTCTCTAAAAACAATAAATAAAAATAAAAAGATACAGTGATAGGTCTAGTGAAGACTCATATTCCATTGATGTTATCTTCCTTTTTTTTTTCTTTCTTCAGGATCTACAGTCTTTGCAGAAATTCAGGGGGTCATTGATGCTTGCATTAAACTATCTGGAATGCCTGATCTCTCCCTTTCTTTCATGGTAAGTTTTATTCTCCTGTTTTATAGCCCCTTGAATGCCTAATACATGTGAAGTACTAAATGAAATGATAAATATTGAGATAAGTTTGCATCTTAGATTGCAAAGGATTATCTCAGAAATATTCCTAGCAGAGTTTCCTAAGACAGTCGCTTACATGATGAGCGTGGTCTTTGTGGAAAGACTAAGGGAGGTCTTTGCCTGAGTGTGCTAGAAGGGGCTTAAAATTGGCTGGCTGGCTTCTGCAAATATCCAGTATCATTTTTACTGAATAATTATTTGCTTTGCTGATATGAAAGGACACTGGTCTTTTGTATCATTTTAGAGTCAGCATGATATACTGCTAGGAACAATTAAGAGAACTGACTTCTGGTGTTGTCACCAGTTTGCTCTGACCTTAAGTCCTCTGAACCTCAGTTTTTTAATCTGTTAAAGGGAAATAATACTACTTGCCTTTTCTCCTTTATAGTTATTGAAATTCAAATAAAATAATGTACATAAAATATTTACAAACTTTAAAGCATTATGAAACTATAAGGTTGTGTAGATGTGGTCATAAACTCTTCCATGACTGCTTTATCTTCAGGGAACATATTTGTCAAGGTATCTGAGTACAGTTCCCATATTCATTATAGTCTATGAACGACTGTCTTCTGTTTTTCTGGCAGAACCCTAGGCTTCTGGATGATGTCAGCTTTCACCCCTGCATCCGGTTCAAGCGTTGGGAATCTGAAAGAGTTTTGTCATTTATTCCTCCAGATGGAAATTTCCGACTCATATCATACCGTGTCAGCTCACAAAAGTATGTTGATGCATCAGCCAGAATCTGCCATCATACATATCAAGTACAACTCACCTTTCCCTGTTTCTTTCTGAAAGTTGAGTACTTGAGGTCATCACTGCTCACTTTAACCATAGCTCACCAGGAGACCCAGTGAGAACGGGTGAAAATACGCACCTAAAATAATCCGTATACTTTGAATGTATGAGTGTAGAGTGGTACTAAGTGAGACTAGAGTAAAATCTATAGCCAAGAACAAGCAAACCATACATAACCTGGGCAAAAATTGTGGTACCGGTCCTTTGCAAGGTTATGCATGGTCAAATTATGGCACTGGTTCTTTGCTCAGGTTATGCATGGTCCATTTTGCTCTGCTTCTGAAAGCTGAGTACTTTGCAAGCAGAGCAAAACGGACCATGCATAACCTGGGCAAAACCATGAACCATTGCCATAATCTTACCATAGTCTGTAGAGTTTGTGGCCAACAAGGAGACAGACCTACCTGTAGTTCGTGAGGACATTCCCCAATTTACCTGCTTCAAGTACGTCTTCTCTGCGTTGAGTTTTTAAGGAACTGTTTAGCATTGAGGGGCCGGGTGCAGTGGTTCACTCCTGTAATCCCAACACTTTGGGAGGCCAATGTGGGCAGATCACTTGGGGTCAAGAGTTCTAGACCAGTCTGGTCAACATGGTGAAACCCTGTCTCTACTAAAAACACAAAATTAGCCAGGCGTGGTAGCGTGTGCCTATATAATCTCAACTACTTAGGAGGCTGAGGCATGAGAATCACTTGAACCTGGAAGGCAGAGGTTGCAGTGACAGATCACACCACTGCACTACAGCCTGGCCAACAGGGTAAAACTCCATCTCAAAAAAAAAAAAAATTTAGCATTGGGGATCGGAGTTATAGGTAGTTTGTTTCTTGAAAATACCAAAAGTTATTTGAGTAACATCATGACAGAACTCAAAAACAGAGAAATTATTTCTCGGCTCTTTTCTTTTCCTTTTTTTTTTTTTTTTTTTTTTTTAAGCCGGAGTTTGGCTCTTGTTGCTCAGGCTGGAGTGCAATGGTGAAATCTCGGCTTACTGCAACCTCCACCTCCAGGGTTCAAGTGATTCTCCTGCCTCGGCCTCCCAAGTAGCTGGGATTACAGGCATGCACCACCACACCCGGCTAATTTTGTGTTTTTAGTAGAGGCGGGGTTATTCCATGTTGGTCAGACTGGTCTCGAACTCCAGACCTCAGGTGATCTGCCCACCTCAGCCTCCCAAAGTGCTGGGATTACAGGCGTGAGCCACCGTGCCTGGCCTGTTTCTTGGCTCTTATCACATAGGAACTGTTTTCATTTATATAAAACATATTTTACATTATTTTTCAGTGGGATCATAATTCATTTTAAACTAGGGCCATTTGCCCCAATTGTTTTTGTTTGTTTGTTTTATGTTATTTTGTTTTGTTTGTTTGTTTTGAGACGGAGTTTCACTATTGTCACCCAGGCTGGAGTGCAATGGTGTGATCTTGGCTCACTGCAACCTCTACCTCCTGGGTTCAAGCGATTCTCCTGCCTCAGCCTCCCAAGTAGCTGGGATTACAGGCACCTGCCACCGCGCCCAGCTAATTTTTGTTTTTTGTTATTTTTTTTTTTTATTAGAGAGGGGATTTCACCATGTTGGCCAGGCTGGTCTCAAACTCCTGACCTCCAGTGATCTGCCTGCCTTGGCCTCCCAAAGTGCTGGGATTACAGGTGTGAGCCACTGCACCCAGCCACCCCAATTGTTTATACTGTTATTAAACTTCAGATTTCTGTCTTGATTTGTATACAGTTCCCAGCACAGTGGTACAAGAACATTATGCTGTACTCAGCTCCCCCTTGTGTAGATACTGAATCTGCAGTTCTAGAGGTACTGCCATCTTGGTATCCTTGGAGGACTGGTTGCAAAAATCAGCAGATGCTCGAGTCCCTTACATAAAATGGTGTAGTATTTGCATATAACCTATGCACATCCTCCTGTATACTTTAAATCATCTCCAAGTTACTTGTGATAGTACACTGTAAACACTGTGTAAATAATTGTTATACCATGTTGACTTTTTATTTTTATTGTAGTTATATTGTTATTTTTTACTTTTTTTTTTTTTTTTTTTTTTTTTTTTTTTGAGATGGCGTCTCGCTCCTTTGCCCAGGCTGGAGTGCAGTGGCACGATCTCAGCTCACTGCAATCTCCGCTTCCCAGGTTCAAGCGATTCTCCTGCCTCAGGCTTCCAAATAGCTGGGACTACAGGCATGAGCCACCACACCCAGCTAATTTTTGTATTTTTAGTAGAGACGAGGTTTCACCATGTTGGCCAGGCTGGTCTTGAACTCCTCACCTCAGCCTCCCAAAGTACTGAGATTACAGGTGTGAGCCACCGCGCCCAGCCCTAGCTAATTTTTGTAGAGACGAGGTTTCATCATGTTGGCCAGGCTGGTCTCAAACTCCTGACCTCAGGTGATCCCCTCCCAACCCTGGTCTCGGCCTCCCAAAGTGCTGGGATTACAGGCATGAGCCACCACGCCTGGCCAATTTTGTGAAATAATATTTTCAATCCTCAGCTGGTCAAATTCAAGGATGCAGAACTGTGGCTACAGAGAGCCAACTCTGTAGTACCTTATTGTGGAGTTAAAGGCAGGGTAGGATACTCTGGACAGAGGTTTTCAGGATACCTCTGGAGCTCTCCCCACACCATTAATTGTGTTTGTGCTTTTGTATCTTTCTCTGTTTCTCTTTTTAGTCTAGTGGCAATACCAGTGTATGTGAAACATAGTATCAGCTTTAAGGAGAACAGTTCTTGCGGCAGATTTGATATAACAATTGGACCAAAGCAGAATATGGGGAAAACTATTGAAGGAATTACAGTGACAGTTCACATGCCAAAAGTTGTGCTGAACATGAACCTGACACCCACACAAGGCAGCTATACATTTGATCCAGTCACCAAGGTACAGCCACTTCAAATCAAGAGTGAGCAAGTGTTTCTGCAATCTATTTTGTGATTTGTGGGGAGGAATGGAGGGAAAGGTTTGGCACCTTGTTTAAAACTAAAGTTCGTATCAAAACCTAGAGAGCATACTGTGCTGTGCTTCTGCCACTGGCTGCAGAAGGAATCCTGCAGCTGCTACTGAGTAGATGAACAGAAAAATGTGTCATTCTGTCCTTTTTCAGAGTGTGCCTTCACTCATCCATTATTAATCCAGAGCCTGACTCTGCTATCTAATAAGAAAGAAGTAAAAGCTTTTTTAAAAAGAGAAAACATTATGTAGATTGAAGAAGATATTATGATGGTCTATGAATTACTAAGTTTTCTATATAAATTGATCACTAAGACCTTTTTCTTCCTTTATAATTTAAAAGCATTATTTCATACTCTTTCACAGGGCTAGGAAAGTTGCTTCCTCACTCTACTTAAATTTTTGTGTAACAGAGGGTTTTCAGAGAAACTGTAGCAGATGATTTTCTCTCAGCTTCCTGATTAGCTGGTAAATATGATTGTTTTCAATAGCAGAGTCATTGAGCTACCTGATAAATGAAAAGACATGTTTTTTGAATAACATCATAGAATGTTAAAGATTATTTAATACAGTTGTAAGGATTCAAAGAACCTCCTCCTGGAGACCACACAGGGCTGAGAAAGGGAGCTTCAGATTCCTGGCCCTTTACCACAGCTTCAACTATGACAGCTTTGCTTTCTTTCTCATCTGCTGTTGAGCCTTCACACCGAAGATTTCATTTGAACAATGGGTTTCACAGCTAAAAGTTTTAAAAACACCATCTTAAGTCAATCTAATTATTTTACAGAAAAATAAACAGAGGCTGGGCGCAGTGGCTTACGCCTGTAATCCCAGCACTTTGGGAGGCCGAGGTGGGTGGATCACCTGAGGTCAGGAGTTCGAGACCAGCCTGACCAACATGGAGAAACCCCATCTCTACTAAAACTACAAAATTAGCTGGGCATGGTGGCGCATGCCTGTATCCCAGCTGCTTGGGAGGCTGAGGCAGGAGCATCGCTTGAACCTGGGAGGCAGAGTTTGTGGTGAGCCAAGATTGCACCATTGCACTCCATCCTAGGCAACAAGAGTGAAACTCTGTCTCAAAAAAAAAAGAAAAAGAAACAGGCCCAGAGAAAAGTGAAGATGGTTATGATGGAGAACATTTGAAATCAGAGGGCCTTAGGTTCAAATCCCAGCCTTACCTCTGACTAACTATGTGACCTTGAGCGAGTCATTTGATCTCTGAGCCTTAATGTCCTCTGAGCTTTAATTTCCTCATTTGTAAATAGAAGACAAAAGCTACTTCACAGCCCTCAATGAGACAACATATGAATAATGCTAAGCACGGTGCTAATACAAAAGAAAATGCTCAACAAATGTAGATTCTCTGCTCTCACTCCCCATTCAAAGTCACAGAATTAATCAGAGGTAAACTCACTGTAGATGCCAGATCTCTTGTTTTCAAGAGACTGCACTTCAGTTTGTACAGAAGTTTATGATATCTTTGAACTTTGTTTTTGAGGGTTTGTCTTTAATAAATGGTTCTATTTGTTTTTCATTTTTTGTCTTTTTAAGGTACTAACATGGGATGTGGGAAAAATTACTCCACAAAAGCTCCCAAGTCTTAAAGGACTGGTAAATTTACAGTCTGGAGCCCCCAAACCAGAAGAGAATCCGAGCCTCAACATACAGTTTAAGATCCAGCAGCTTGCTATTTCAGGTAAGGATAAGGTTGACTTGTAGTTAAGGGTAATTGAGTTTTGCAAGCTCATTTATTAGGCATTTAGAAGAGTAACAAAAGTTTCCTTCTCTAGAAAGAGCAGTAGCCCATTTGCCTTTTATACTGTGCTTGGTGGGGCAGTCTCACAGGCACCGACCAAATGATTTTTCAGAGCACCTTATTTCAAACAGCTTCCCCTCACCTCCGCCCTCATTTAAGCACCAAAAAGAGAGTTATTCATATTCACAGAAAGTAGAATTATACTTCACAGACATTCCCTGCCTGTGTGGGAATCTTAACCAAAACCATACCATCAAAGTGCAATAATTTGTAAATGATAGAAGAGACATTTCTTCCAAATGGTGGAAGGGACACTGGTTAATGTCAGATTTACCATATAGCGCTCATTGCTAACATTATATTGGTTGGGATGATGATAATTTATTCTTTTTCATTCTTTTTGATACAGGCTTAAAAGTAAACCGTTTGGACATGTATGGGGAGAAATATAAGCCATTTAAAGGAGTCAAATACGTCACGAAAGCTGGAAAGTTCCAAGTGAGGACATGAGAAGAGGCCAAAATTCCTCAGGACCAGTTTGTTTTCCAAGTGTCATTACGATGTATCACTATTAGGTACCAAGTGAGTGGGAATACATATTCTAGTTAAAGCATTTGTGTCTAGCTACACACCGCTAACAAAGTTACTTAGTTATCAATGTAGGATTCTTAAGGAGCTTTAAGCTAAGGAAACCTTTTAGTGACTTAGCTTATTTTGTATCTTTTCACTTAGGAAGATTTTGGAGGTGATTTTTTTCCATAGGAGGATACCATCTGGCGGCTGCACATTGTAACAGTAAAGGCAGAAAGCTGTAGTGATAACCTCTCTCCTAAAAGAGTTAACTGGTCTCATCCAGCAGAAGCTATCTTAAATCTGTGATGTGTCAGGTGCAGCCAAATATCACACCTTCTGATCTTAGCCATCCCAAACCAGTATCTGTCCCGAGAGGAAATTCCCCCCACCCCCAGAAGTTTACAGAAAACTGCCTCTTCAAGTGTTTGCCTTATTCAGCTTTTCACTTGTGCCATTAAGCAAGCACTGTAGCAAAAGCCACTTCCACATGGCCCTGGCAGGGAGCACTGCTGCTCCATGCTCCATTCTCACTGTACTTGGTATTGTATTTTTTATAAATAAGATTTTTATGTAAAGCTTAGAATTTGATTTACAGGGACCTTGCTGCAGTAAATACCATCTCAATTTTGTGCCACTGGTTCAGCTGTTAGCACAGTAAAAAAATCATTTGTATCAAAGGGGCAAATGCTTTATTAAGGTAGTAAAAGGGAACATTACTTCTGCTTTTAGGAAGTTACTGCAAGCACAAGCATTTGTGCTTTTAAGCAAATTAAAGTAGTAAAAGAAAAACTTAAGTGAAACCTTTGCCATCTTCATGTTTTATAATATAAAGCTTACCCAACACCAGTTAAGCCATGGTTAACCTAAATGCCTCATGCCCCAGTTCAGCAAAAGGAGGAAAATGTGCCTGCCTCACAGTCATCAGTCTTTTTAAATCTTTTTTGTTGTTGTTCTTAAGGGTTTGAATTTGTCTGCATTCCTTGTCTTTAGGGGAAATTCCCTTTTCATATTGTGTGCTTCCCAAAGCTATAGTCATAGATTTCTTCCAGAAACTATTGTCATAATTGTCACTGGAGTGCTTAAATATACGTACTATACTGACAAAATACATGGAAGTGAGTTATAATGAGGCAGAAACAAAATCCTCGGTAACATTGATGATACTCTACCGATCACCGTGGTTTTGGAAAGTCAGTCAACAGTTGTATTATTGCACTCAATTTCATTGTGACATTTTATTTAACTTCTTCATCTTGGTGGTCCTTGCCCAGTTATTTTGCCTCATTAGACATCAAGAAATGGAGAAAGACTGAAAGTTAATATCTTAAGTGCTTGTTCTTCATGTTTCCTTCTTGTTATTTATGCTATTCTCTTTGTGGCTCCATTCTTCTTTCAATCTTCTCAGCTTATAACCGTCTTTCCCTTATGCTAAGGATAGCCCTTACACTCATCCCATCTATGCTGTCAAGGGCTGCTGGTTGGTGCTGGTACAAGGAGCCCACTCAGCAGTTTTCTTACCTTTGCCTGCCCTGCCTTTCATGGAATAAGAAAGGCAACGTTTTGCAGCTTCCAAATTTCTGAAGAAACTAATCTCAGATTGGCAGTTAAAGTCAAAATGTTGCCAAATATTTATTCCTTTTGCCTAAGTTTGGCTACCCGGTTCAATTGCTTTTTATTTTTAATGTCTTGACTCTTCAGAGTTCGTACCTCAAAAGAACAATGAGAACATTTGCTTTGCTTTCTGCTGAATCCCTAATCTCAACAATCTATACCTGGACTGTCCAGTTCTCCTCCTGTGCTATCTTCTCTTCTATCCAAGTAGAATGTACGCCAGGAGCTCCTTCCCTCTAGCAATTTCTACTAAAATGTCCAAGTAGAATGTTTCCTTTTACAATCAAATTACTGTATTTATTAATTTGCTAGAATCCAGTAAATCATTTTGGTAGCTCTGGCTGTGCTATCAATAAAAAGATGAAAGCAACAAGTTGATTTTTTTTAGGTCTACTATTGATTGAACATTCTCCAATGGGCAAGGCTCATTGTCAAAGCAGGGTGAACATGATCAGATTTTCTTCTGCATCATCACACAAGCTGCGAGTGTTGCTGCAAAGCACTTCTCAGTACTCCTTCCCTAACCTCAGTATGTTAATAGCCATTCATACTTGGCTTAAGCATCACCATTCTGGCCACAGTCTGAGAGATTAGTGATCAAAGCTCCCTTCCCTATCACTACCACCACCTACTGATAACAAAGATTTCTGAATACTTAGTAGTAGTAAAATATTTTTCAAGCACAGAGTTACAGCTAATCCTGGATCACTTGTTCTAAATTCATAAGGGAGTATATCAAGAGCAAATGAAGTAAATGATTCTTTCCTGCGTGTGGGAGTCACCATCATTTTATTCAAAGGGAGTTCCTGTGATAGGTTCATTCCTTAAGTGGTGCTACAGAAGGACCCTAGGAAAATGCTGATCTTGTCCTGAGAGGCAACTGATTTGAGAAAATGATTATACTACAGCAGGAAGGCAGCACCAGTGAACATATGGTAAATGGCAAAAACAAGACAGTTTTAGAAACTGCTAATTCAGTAGCAGCCTTGGCCTTTCCCTTAACTCAAGCAGGCTGGAATCTGTCTTTATAGTCGGCAACTTTCCAAGATAAAGCAGTGATAATAGCAGTTGGCAACACTAAATATCAATATCATCACCCTTTAATGACATGTTACCCCTTTCAGATCTAGAAAATCAGGGAAAAAGTGATGTCCCAACTCTACTCTAAAAACCTGCTCCTACTATTTTAGTCAGTGTTTCTTTAAGGAAGAAGAGGACTATGTCCCCAAAAGCTAACTCTGTTTTATAGCCCTGGTGGATCCCTGAAAACCCTATTTATTCTATACTGGGCTTTGGAATATGAAAAATGGACCTGTGTGGCCGGGCGTGGTGGATCACACCTGTAATCCCAGCACTTTGGGAGGTCAAGGTGGGCGGATCACTTGAGGTCAGGAGTTCGAGACCAGCCTGGCCAACATGGTGAAACTCCATCTCTACTAAAAATACAAAAATTAGCCAGGCATGGTGGCGCACACCTGTAATCCCAGCTACATGGGAGGCTGAGGCAGGAGAATTGCTTGAACCCGGGAGGCAGAGGTTGCAGTGAGCTGAGATTGCACCACTGCACTGCAGCCTGGGCAACAGAGCAAGTCTCTGTCTTGCAGCAGGGGGAAGGACCTGTGGTACTCCTACAAACTTAACAACTTTAGCTTTTCGGGGAACAGTGGTGGTCTCCACAGATAGCTAGAATCTTCTAAGATGAAAATAAACTGTTTCATCCAGCTGCTTTCTGCCTGTTAACCTTTGCCACTTCCATTCCTTCAAGTG